>NC_000014.9:95861713-97111713 GCF_000001405.40 Homo sapiens
AGGACGATTAACATTTGTATCATGCTTTAATGCTTACAAACCACAGTCACACTCAATGTGCCTTAAAACTGCAGAATTAGAGAAGTTTGAGTCAGGTAATATTTTTCCACTGAAAATATTTATGTTCAATTTTCTACAACTAGCAAATTAGAGACATTATTAACGTTTTACAAATATTGTAAAGAGAACCCCTTGCAGGCCATTTCCAACTATGCCAAAATGCATGCTGACATCCTTCAAATATTAAAAAGAGCAAGCAAAACATTTCAACTATTTGGACTATGTGAACCAAGCCAGTGGGGAATGCACATGACTCTGCAGAAGCAAAGAACATTATTCAGCAAAAAAGACATGCATTCTGCATAAGGCTATAAAATAATTTTTTCCTAGAGCATATTTTTAGATCATTGTACTGCAAGAATTCTGATTTCTTTCTAAAACAAATTGATTATCAAGAATCACTGAACTTCTGTAAAAGAATAGCAACTTATCTAAATTTCCTGTTTTGACAAGCATTAAGGAAAATTATGTAGTACTCACAGCCACAAGAGGAATGTGCTATAGAGTTCTTATACTGTTGAGACTGTTAATCATATCAAAACAAATAATTTCACTCAGCTAAGTTTGTACTTGGTAGAGCAGATATTCTTATTGCAATACTTAATTCATGGACTCAAGCCATTGGCCATTCAAGGCTAAGGGCATAGAGGAGCCGGCACATGCAAGTCTCTCTCCATGGTACTGAGTTGCCCATCCTCTCGCGTTAGGGTCTAGTTGTGTCTCTTTCCTGCTGAGAGGACCAGATGCAGAGTCAGGATTTAGAACTCTGTTCCAGCTCCATCACTACATAACTAATTGTGTAGCCAAGGTCACATTATTCACTTGTTTTCTCTCATCCTCAATTTCTTCAGAATGTAAAATTAGCACATTAAAAAGAGGACTCTATGCTCCAACACCCTATGATTTGGTGACTTAAAATTGCCAAAGTAGGGTGGGCATGGTGGCTCATGCCTGTAATCCTAGCACTTTGGGAGGCCGTGGCAGGCGGATTGCTTAAGCCAGGAGTTTGAGACCAGCCTGGGCAATATGGCAAAACCCAGTTTCCAAAAAAAAAAATGCAAAAATTAGCTAGGTATGGTGGTGTGCTCCTGTGGTCTCAGCTACTGAGAAGGCTGTGGAGGGAGGATCACCTGAGGCCCAGGTAGGTTGAGGCTGCGGTGAGCCATGATTGTGCCACTGCACTCCAGCCTGGGTGACACAGTGAAACCCTGTCTCCAACAACAACAACAAAAAAAGATATTGCTAAAATATTTGAACAGCTGGCAGGGTTCTCAATTTGATTTAACGAAGTATAATTAGGGTCATCTCTCATATTTCATATACTATGCTAGGTACTAAAAGTACGATTACATATTAGTTAGAAACTTTTTGGTTGAAATGGACACAAAACATACTGGCTTATATGGAAAAAAAAAGGTAATAACGTCGGGTAATTTACTAGGTCAAGAACCAAACTTGTAGGATTCCAGCTGGGAGTCAGGTTCAATTGGAAAGAGAACCTGCAACACCCTCAAATCTTTATTTTTTCTACTTTATTCCTTTATTCCAAAATGACTTTTACCCAGAAGGTGTGTGGCAGACAGAGTTTCAGGTGCCCCCCAATTATCCCAGCCTCTTAGCACTCACAACCTTATACAATTCCCTATCCTTAAGTATGGGCATGACTTGAGAGTTACCTCTCACCAATAAATATGGCAAAGGTAAAATGACGTCACTTCTGTGATTACGTTACCTAAGACTGTAACATGTTTCTTGCTAACGTGTTTTTTCTTGCTGGCTTGGATGAAGCCAGTGGGCCTGTTGGGGAGGCCCCAGTGACAAGGAACTAGGGGCAGCAGCCTCTAGCCAACAGTCATGTAGGAACTGAAGGTAGCCTCTGGCCAACACCAGCCAACAACAAACTCAGACCTTCGGGCCCATGGGCAACAGCATCCGGTTCTGTCAACAGCCGTGTGAACTTGGAAAGGGATCCTTCCCCAGCTGAGCCTTGAGATGAGACAGGGGCATCAGTTCCCACCTTGATTACAGCTTTCATAAGAGGCCCTGCTGCAGAGGATCCAGCAAAGCTGTACTCAGATTTGTGACCCACAGAAACTGTGAGATAGCAAATGTATGTTTTTTAAGCCACTGAGTTTGTGGTAATTTGTTATATAATAGATAAATAACATGAAGGGCATGGCCACTAAAATCCCTGCACCTGAATCTCAAGCTTTGGAACCTGGGCAGAGCTGAAAACAAGTTTTTCTCCTTTCCTGTTGAAAATTCCTAATGAAGAGCTTTGATCATCCCAGCTTGTGTCAGGTATCCACACTACTAACCACTGAGGCCAGGGAGGTGGAAATTGGCAGGAGGCAGCAGCCTTTATTCAGGCTGATTGAATTGGATAGAACATTTCCCATGACAAGAGAAAAAGTGCAATTATGGTCAGGCCAAACAGTAGTTGCCCACCGCAAATGGTGAACAATGTACATTTTCTTTGCCCATGATCTAGAGGCAGGTGTAAGTGAGTTAATTGCCTATTAAAATCAGTTGTTTCTCTGCTGCAGTAAGGGAAGTACAGATCTTGAAGAAGGACTTTTACACAAACCTGAGAGTCAGGAAAAAATATCCAGGGAAAGTGACACTTAAGATAGCAACTGAAAACTGAGTAGGAGTAATCCAGGTAAAAAAAGGACAACTAAGAATGCCTCAGACCTGGAAGACATCTTGTGAAAAACGCCCAGGCACTAGAGAAGAAAAATGAAGTATCTGGTTGATTCCAAACATCTTTAATATACTCAGATCACAGTGTGGAGAGTATGCTAGGGAAGTGCCAAGAAAGAGGCTGAAGAAATTTTCCAGGGCTGGGACATGAAAGACCTGGTATTAGTCAGAATTCCTGGTGACATATCATAGACTCCATTCTTAGTTGGCTCGCAGGGTTAAGACACCATGCAGTCAGAAACTCTGCAGCCATGGTGAGACCCAGTACACCAGAACATCGTGGTTGCCCATCCCCACCATTGGCACCAGTCATCCCACACTGGATAACAAAAGCTCTCCCAGAGAAGTTAGATGTCCCACCCTTCTGCCTGGTAGGAGACTATCTCCCAGCTCACCACTGGGTCTGCTGCCTCAGGTAACACTTTGGCATCCAGCTCTCACAGTGGGGGTCTGATTGGAAGAAGCCAGGTCGCTTGCCTGCGTCCGAGCTGCGAGGAAGGCTGGAACGTGTTATTGCAGATGCTGATTTTATTCCATCATGGGAATGTGGGAATCATATATGGGAACTGTCAAAGTGTAGAGAGGTTGCTCAAAAGATAAAGACATCCATAAATGACAGCTGCTCATGAAACGCTTCATGAGCCAACCAAGAATTTTGCCTTTGTCTCGGAGGATGTCATCAAAGGGGTTTGGGTAAGGGAATGGCATGCTTCCTCTTATAGTTTAGGAAGCTCACTTGGCATAGAGGGTGGAGGATGAATTGGAGGCAAGGAGGCCAGGTGGAAACCTGTTGAGGCATTCAGGTGAGGAAACCCAAATGCTGGGAATAAAGTTGAGGCAATGGGAATGGAGAGAAGGAAACCGCTGGGTGGATCCTAGGAGGCACATAAATAAGTACTTTCTCTTAAGTAGACAAAAATACTTAATAAATTACCATTCTTTTCTGCACACCCGCCCCCCACCCCCCCCCCCACCCGCATCTTAGCAACACTTGGGGATATTCCTCTCTACCTAGGGTTAAATTTGGATTTTTAAATGCATTTTCCCAAAGAAATAATACAGTGGTGGGCCATGTGGGAAACCTATCATTTGTAATATAGCTTCTCTGACAAGTGTCTTTTAAATATATATTGAGCATGGAATCTTTCTTCAAATGAAATCTAATATAAAGTCAATGAGGGCAGATGTTGGGTAAGCGTGGTGTTTTTCAGTTCAGAACTCTGCCCTCTCTTTCTTTCCAAAATATCAGCCTGGAGGAAGATCTGCAGAACCCTGGGGTATCATGTTGCATGGTTTGAGAATATGTGCCCCTTGAAAGTGTGTCTTGAGCTTACACAAAAAGCAGAACTGACTCTCAGTTGCTCTTATGTGCTGCTGTAAGTACTAGGTGGATTCACTGGGGAGAGAGAGGAAAAGGAAGGCAGGAGCTACCATAGAAAGTTTCTTGGAGGAAGGTGGCTAGTGCTGAGCCTCCAAGGATAAGAAAGATGTGCCAAGGAGGGAGTAGCAATAGGAGTGCTCTATGAAGAGCTGATGATGGCAAGGGCACTTACTGAAATTAGATGAGTGGTATGGTGGGCAGGCTGTAAGATGTCCCCACTGGTCCTTGTCTCCTGGGATTCACACCCTTGTATAATCCCTTCTTCTTGAATGTGAGCAAGACCTGCTTTTAATAGAATACAGCAATGGTAATGGGAGGTCACCTCTGTCATTAGGTTACATGAGATCTTGGTTTCCGTCTTTCTTGCAGCTCTCTTTTTTGTCTTCTTGTCTTGCACACTTTGATGAAGCAAGCTGCAATACTGGAGAGGCTCATGTGGCAAAGAATTGCTGGTGGCCACTGGCCAACAGTCATCTAGGAAGTGAGGCCCTCAGTCCAGCACCCTCAAGGAGCTAAATTGTGTCAACAATATCCTGAGAAGAGGCCTGCAGTGGATACATCCCCTGTTGAGCCTTCAGATGAGCTCCCAGCCCTGGTTGACACACTGATTTCAGCCTTGAGAGAGACCCTGAGCAGAAAGCTCAACTGAGCTGTGCCCATCTAACTGTGAGGTCATAAGTGTGTGTTGTTTTAAGTCACTAAGTGTTGTGAATGTGTTACACAGCAAAAGAGAGCTGATGTAGTGACTTTGGGCATGCTCTTCATATTCCTAACCCTCAGCTTTCTACTCTGTAAGTGTGGGGAATATGTGGACCACCTTTCAGGTTTGGTGGAGGGATTATATAAAACAAGACAAGGAATGCCAGCATTCTGTAGGGCTAGCTGTAGATGTTCAATAAGCAGTAGCTACAGCCACCACTACCACTAACATCAACCATGCATAAAGGAGAAATAACCCTCAGAAGATTTTCACAATCTGTGCATGTCTGTCACTTACTGGAAAAACCAATACGGCCCCGTGAACCTCTCCCAGAAATCTAGCTCTGGAATAAGAGTGAAAGACATACAAAATATCTCTAGAAGCTTTAAACCCCTCAGTTTTGAGGGTTGGCCCTAACCATGCATGCTTCTTGATCACACTGCACCAAGGAAATCCCAGGTTCAGTACCATGTCTGGATCTGTAATATACATTCATGAGCTGATCTTATGTCAGGGGAGAGAAGGGCAACATTGTGCTAGTTTTTTAAGGCAGCATTCCCAAGTTAATGAAAAAAAGTCTGCATTTTCTTTATCATTCCTCCATCATGTTCAACCTCCAACAAAGATTACAACCTTCAGATATTAGTCACTCTCCAGTTGTAAGAGTTAAGGTTAACAGGGTAAACAGATATTCAGTACTGCTTTGCCAGAAAAACTTGGCTGATCCAACAGATTTTAACTCCGTAGGACACATTTTGCTGTATTTGTGCTTTCCTTTTTTTGTTCTGTCTTCCCTAGAGAAGTATTAACTCAAAGTCATCACGAGAGACCCATCGCTGCTTCCTGCTTTTTATATTATCACTTGCATCTTTCTCTTTTATAATTTCTCCAGCCATTTGATTAAGCACACACACACATGCACACACACACACCCAGAGGATGCCATCCACTTCTAAAAAGGCAACAATTTGATTGGAAAATGGAGAGTGTATAAAAGCATCTTCATATCCACCCATTTCACTTTCATCTACCTTTCCTGGTCTACTCAAGCCAACAGCAGGACTTTGCTCTTTAAATGTAATGGCTGCGATGAAATGCAGTTAGCGACCGAACTTAGAAAGGAATTAAGAAGACTGAAGTGGGTTGGAAGCTAACAGAGAGGTACCCTCTGGACTTGTATTTTCAGTGATCTCTAAAAATGTGATGGATTCCAATGATGTTTTGACAAGGTTGCTGATACTTAAATCTTAACTGTTTAGAAAAAAACAGGTAAGAGATGAAAGAACATATTTTTCTTTGTCCAAAGTAGGTACGGTGACTGTGTTTTGAGAGGGTGAACTCCGAAAATAACAGTAATTTGACACACCAGCCATTAAGAAGGCAAAGAGGTAAGTCTGTCAGCCACTGCTTGTTTTGTTAGTCTGAAAAGTGAGAAACTATTTCTTGAAAGTTCTGCATTTTTGTTCATTGATGTGACAGAAGGTGTTGCATTTTATTAGCAATAGCCTTTGCCTAGTCATATATACATATATCTTACTGTTAGCTTTTAATTAATGGCTTCTAACAATTGGAAATATTCATTAGCTAAGTTTGGATCTTTGAAGATGAAAAAATAGCCTTTTTCAGTCACTGCTTTTTCATCTGAAAAATGGGAATCATGATGTGAGCTTGTGGTGGTAGTATGAATTTTAAGTAGAAATAATATACATGAAAGGGCCTGGCACAGAATAGAGGCTCAATTAATGCTGGCGAGGATGATGATGATGATGAAACTAAGCAGAGATGTATAATACACTGATTATTCCTATGGAAAGCATAAGCTTTCTTTAATCAATGAAATGGCTTTAGACATTTTCCTAGATGGATTATTAATATGGTCACCCTAGCAATTCAACATTCCTGTGTTTCATGAGGTATTTGTAAGTCATCCAAAGCCCCTCCTTCCTTATTCATTTAGAGGAATCTAGTGCAAGGAACTCCAGCTGGATTTGGCTTCATGCAGAGCTTCAGACAGGCCAAGTTGGCCTACGGCTGGTTTGTGAGAATAAATAGAACTCTTAGGAAGGATCTAGATTGGAAAGACAAGATGAGGAGCTCTTTGCCTTCCTCATTGTCCATTAAGAGGCTCTCCTTCAGCGTGACGGAGGCAATCATATGACGGTTTGCTCCAAACTTAGCAGATGATGTGGTTAACTGGGTGGGTGGGGAGCGGGGTGCGTGGTTCGAGAAATGGTCTCTGATCCTAGTTCAGCTCTGTGGCATGTCATCTCTTAATTACCGTGGCTTCCCTGTCACTGGAGAATATTTGTCAGCTTTTAGAACAATTAATATTATGGAGAGTTGAGACTAAGAGGAAGAACAAGGGACTTCAACAACCTTTACATTTTTAGTAATTTTATGGATATGTTTATTTTATGGACAATCTCCCCAGCAGAACTGAATTACTACATTAATATTTATCCTTGGAATAAGGTAATGTGTGCTCGAGTGTACACGGAGCAATTAATTTAACAATGCTCTCCAATCTTACCTTGGGAGCTGAAACCAAGCATGCTGACATTGACTAATTATAAATAAAATATATAGGAATCCTTTTGTTTGTAATTAACTGGGGACAAGGCTATTACTACCTTGCCCCTGCATTGTAAGTTATCATAAAGAAAAAAAAACAAGAACCACCTCTCATTTAGGGATTCAACACTGTCCAAAGTATGGCTGGGGGAGATAAATAAAACAAGGCTAAGGTTTGTGTGTCCTGTGGCCTGGTGTGGAGGTGAAAGGGGAAGGTTGGGCTAGAGAGGAGACCTCAGCACTGAGATTAGACAATCTACGTCACAGGCAAAAATGGGAATAGAAGATGAAGGGGCATTGGGCTGAGGGTATCCCTGTGAAGGCATGAAACATCTGTGGCATTTTTATGTGATGCTTCTTTCATGTCTCACCAGGTGGACACCCCCGACACTTTCTGTGGTCTTTTAAAATTCTAAATAAACACAGCCAGGACACCAAGACTTCTCCTAGCTGGAGAGCAAGCATGAGTTTGGTTCAAATAGGTTTTGAGCATGATTAAGTGACTGAGAGTGGATGTGTTAAGGCCTGAATAATATCTGAATGCTTCTCAGGTGAAAACCTCTTAGAGGTATCTGTAGCACAGCTGGGGAATCCTGCCAATGGCAACCAACCACCTTGATTATCTACTATCACCTGCAAACAAAAACAGCAGCAAGAAAAATGTAAAATGGAAAAATGTAAAATGAGTTTGTTGCTGCTGTCTTACTTTGATGGGAGAAAGGAATGAAAACTCAAAGCAATGAGGGCTTTAGAAAAATCAGTGCCTGGAATTCACCGTGGTGTGGACTGGATCGAGCCATTTAGAATGAGGGAAGCAGTCTTTGCACAAAGACAGTAGAAACAGGAATTAATCAATTTGGCCTTTGCTGATGCTATTCATAAGGGGACATTATTCGTTTCTGGTTGGGAAATCTTTGCTTCAGCACGCAGGCTGTAGATTATGCAAAAGAACATTTTCTTTTGTTTCCAACACATCACGGTGTTTGCAAGACAGTCTGAGATGGGAAAATGGAACCTGTTCGTATTCAATCTGGTTGAGAAAAAGATAATGAAACGGCCACAGGCTTTTTTTTTTCTAAGAGATGATTTTTATTTATTTATTTTTGTGTGTGTGATCCTACTTGGAAAGAAAGCAAATTTCAGTTAATAACATTGAGCAGTATTGTTGCTTTGCTAGATAGTTACACCACCGGCTGAGTATATCCCTCCTTGCCTTTGGAATCTACCAGGTCCTCATCACATTCTGGCCAAGCTAGGTGGGGCCGAGGTGACCAGCTCCTCAAGGGCAGGTGATTTGTCCAGCTCAAGGTCTGGCAGCGAGTTTGCTGAATGATGTCCCCAGATACACCAACAGAAGCCCAACAAAACTAATTTCGCTGATACCATAGCTAATCCCTTTCAAACACATAGTACTGTGTGAGCCACATGGGTATAATGGTGGCCCAGAAATGATCCACGCAGTTATTCATTAATGAGCTTATTCATCAATGAGTGCCACTTTCCCAGTGGGAGAGGCTAGGGTGTAAAAAGATTTCCAACATGTTCACCCTTGAGATTGCCTGAATTTGTACCTCATCTATCTTGTCATATTAAACAGGCAGAGAAAGCCACTGCTCACTTTGATGGGCATTGGATACTGGCATGAAAAGCTATAGTCCTGAAAGCCTGCTGAGGCTGCTCCACCGATTATTCATTTATAGTTGTCACTATTGTAACAGGTAGACAGCAAAGAAATTTGAATAATTGTCATTAACTGTTGGACTCTTACAATCTCAAAGGGACCTTACAGGTTACTCAGACCCTTTTCAACATCACTGCTTAACAAGCCTTCAGCTTTTGCTTGAATGCCGCGAGTGACGGGGAACTCACTACTTACCAAGAGAGCCCATTTGTTATTTGGGTTGCTGTGAGTCACGAGTTGGAAAATTGTTTCTGTAAAGGGCTGGACACTAAATGCTTTAGGCTTAGTGGGCCATTCGGTCTCTGTAGCAAGTACTCATCTCTGTTCTTGCAGCACAGACAAGACAAAAACGAATGGGTGGGCACTAGAATCTTGTTTACCGAAGTGGTCAGTGACTTAGATTTGACCCATGAGCTGTGGTTTGCTGCCCACTGCTCTAAGGGTGAAGGTGCTCTTTCTCATCTTGAAAAAAAGCAATTGTCTTCCTGGTGGCCTAGTTCAACCTCTTGGGGCCACCTGTAAGAGCTAATCAAGCTCTCGCCTATAAGAAAACCCTGCAGCTATTTGAAATTGATGGTATCCTCTTTCCAAATTATCTCTTTTGTGTTTGCCACTTCTCTCCGCTCTTCCCAGCTGCCCCAATTTCAATCTTTCACCACCTCCTTGGTGTGGTCAGTTGGGGATCTCATTTTGATAACCTCTTGATATGGGTGTTGCACAGCAAGATTTCCGACCTGAAAGCTGATCCTAAACAAATGTTTGAGTGCTCTTGACTTCATTTCACCTGTGCTTTATGTCACTCTTCAGTCAGGCCCTGCCACTGACGCAGGCTGTCCTATTTGAGTGAATGCATATGAGTCAAACTGCTGCTCAGCCCAGAGGCTGCAGTCTGTCTGGATAAGCCCAGCCAGTCACCCTTCTGGCTTCCTGCTAACCAGGGAGCTCTGCTGGATAGACGCTGCCCCTCCCTGGGCTACCATTTTCTTCCTTTGAAGCTGGAGATGCTGACAGAGTCAAGTGAGCTCAGGGAGATGGACATGCATTGTGAACTGTAAAGAGCCATATGCAAGTATTAAAAATTAACAGGACCAGGCTGGGGGCGGTGGCTCATGCCTGTAATCCCAACACTTTGGGAGGCCGAGGTGGGCAGATCACGAGGTCGGGAGATTGAGACCGTCCTGGCTAACGCGGTGAAACCCCGTCTCTACTAAAAATACAAAAAATTAGCCGGGCGTGGTGGCGGGCGCCTGTAGTCCCAGCTACTCGGGAGCTGAGGCAGGAGAATGGCGTGAACCTGGGAGGCGGAGCTTGCAGTGAGCCGAGATCATGCCACTGCACTCCAGCCTAGGTGACAGAGCGAGACTCCATCTCAAAAAAAAAAAAAAAAAAAAAATTAGCAGGACCAGACCACCCAGGAGGAAGTCCCAGGTTCAAGTCACAGGGTCCGTCAGGTATCAGCTTGGAGACTGAGGAATCCTCCAGATCAAACCCCCATGTACATGATAAGAGCCAATGAAATGTGGGAAATGAGACGTTTTGAAAACCTCAGAGCACTGTAAAAAAATAAAAAGTCATTAACAGTAGAGATACTAATTTTTAGAAAGGAAGGATGCTTCCAATCTTTCCTGAGCCATTTCTAAGGAAGTCCTTTCTCTCTCTTGGGTCCTACTACCCCCAACCCAATATCATACACCTGTCTGACTGCACTTCACACAGTGTTTCTTCTCTAAAAGGAACAATTAGGTTTGACCTTTCTCAGTGGGCTCTAATTTTTCAGTATTCGAAAGTCTTTGCAAGTGCTGCTCCTGGACTTGAAATATTTCTGCTCCCCAACCCCCAAACCATTTCCCTTTCATTTGATTGACTCCCACTTATCTTTCAGACTCATTTTAGAAGTCCCCCTCACCCCAGGAAGGCTTCCTCAATCTCCTAGATCCAAGGAAGGGCCTCTCTTTTGTGCAACCACATGACCTAATAAGTGCTCAATTAACACTTATTAAATGAATGACTGCACAAATGAATGAATAGATTGTGGATGCAATAGGCCAATATCTGCAAAAAGCTGGAAACAGATGTACTATTTATGTGTCTCATGCAAACATTACACTCACTACCGATTGCCAAGCCCTCTCACACAGAGGGACTGGTGAAGTATACTGTGTGCCTTGCCACGTCCCTGCAAAGTGTGGAGGCTGGTAGGGATCAGGACCCCACCGTCCTTATGAATGATGGGAGGAGACTCAGTCAAGCACAGCCACTAAGTCTTGGCTTGGGTAGCTGTCTGGAGGCTGGATCCTCTTACAGCTACCTGCTCCACTGTCTCACACTCACCACCCCATAGGCCAGACTCAGCAGATGGCCTTGCCTGCTTCTTCAGGGAGGAAACCAGCACTAACAGGAGGCATGGGCTCCCCTAGCTCCCTCTCTACTTGCCTCCCTGAGAGCTCAAAAGAAGGGCAGTCCCTGCACTTTTGAGACTTTTCTTCCACCTGTGTCTTTCAGCATCCCTAGGACTTGCTCCATGTCTTCAACTTCTTGTCTACCTGCCTTGGGTCTCTCTCAGCTCCTGCACACAAGAGCTGCTTGTTACCAGCTCTGGGATTTCCCCTGCGTATTCCTCCTGATTAGCTTGTTCTTGCTTCTGCCTTATCACCTGGCCAATATTTACGGATCCTTGGGGACCCAATTCAGATGCCACCTCCTCTGGGCAGCCAGCTGCAGTCCCTGCAGATAGGTATAGTCACTTTCCTCTATGCCTCCAAGAATAGTATTTGGTAACCTCTATAAGATAGGGCATAAAAATTCACACAACAACTATGAGGGTCTAGCGATGATAATAACTATCTTTTTATCAATAGCTCACTCTGTTCCAGGAACTATGCTGGAGACTCCACGCACACATCTCATTGGCAGTCCTAAGTCTCAAGCAGCCACTACCTATGTTACTATTGTTCTTTTTTTCCTTTAGCCTGGCAGACAGTATAGGAAGTTAGGAACTTGGGCTTGGGGTTAGGAAGACTGGGTTACAAATCCCCAAGTCCATCATTTGCCAGCTTCATGACTTTAGGGAACTTACATAACCTTTTTGAGCTTCCCTTCCCAAGCAAAGATAATGGACCCACTTTACAGGGTTTGGTGAGGTTAAAATGAGCTTTCCTAGATAAAACTCTTGGTACCTGGAGTTCCTGGCATGGGTTAAGCCCTCAGTAAAAGCCCCTATGAGGACCCAGAAGACAGAGGACTTATGTAAGTCATTTTTGCATCCCTGGTGCCTAACACTGTGCCTGACTTCAGTAGATACTCCTTACAAATTTAGGGTGATGTTCTTCCACTGCATTGCTGAGGAACAATCCCTGTGTGGCCACAGGGATCATGGGCTTCCTCAATCCTGGCTTTCCTGTGCACTCCCCACTTCCTATTATTTGAGAAAAACATGAAGAATGAATATGCAATGTAGGAGTCTTCCCTGCTGCCTTTTTCCCCATGCATACACACACCAATAAAAGATGTATGTGCCAGCTTTTGCTATGCTTAAACAACATTTTTCAAATCTCTGCAAACCATGAATGAGACACTTGTGCCGTCAAATCGCACTTCCTTACAGGCTGCTTTGTTTCCTGGAATAGTGGGACGCATGGAATCCAAGCTCTGAGGTTTCATTTATTGTAAGCACTGGGCTCCCTGACCAAATTAGGTGTCAAACTCTACCTGCAGATTGGGAAATTGGGGCTGAAGAAAGAGCCGGCAGCCAATTTGGCACACAGAAATAGTTCTTCTGGAGTTTCTGGGGACCACCTCCCTGTCTGCAACTACCCATAATAACTGGTTGGGAAATTCAGAGATATTGCTCCCAATTTCGCCGGAAAATGTTGGAATGCAACTGTTATACACAGGCTGGGATGCAAAGTGCTTTTCTCAGAAAAGTGTGGCCTTTGGACCCTGGTTTCTTAAGACACAGGTTTCTGTTTCCATGGACTTGCAGGGTTTTTCAATAGGAGTTACTGGCATCTCAATAATAATAATAATTGGAGGAAATGTCTTGTCACTAAGCCAACAAAAACCACTCAGACTCTGCTGTTTCCCAAAGCCCCTCATGGAGGGACTCTGTCCTGTAGAGCTGCAGGGCTGGGGTGTGGGTGTTCCTGGGCAGGCCTGATTCCCCTAAATCTCTGCTGAGTCTCTCCTCTGCATCTTTCTCCCCACATCCATACCATGAGGAAGACAGAAAGGCCAGCTAGGGAGGGTATGGGTTGGTGTTGTGGACGAGGTGGTAGGTGATTCCTATTCTGTAGCAGGGATGGGAGGGAAGCAGCCTTTTGGTAGGCAGGAGGATCTTCTGAGAAGTAGGGGCAGAAGGTTCCTTGCACCATCCAACTGGGGAAGGGGCACAGCGGTGGGCCCTGGGAACCTGCTAACCAGGATGTCTGGGTTCTTCCCCCAGCTCTGCTTCTGAGGCACCCAGCAGACCTGGGCAATTTGCCTCCTCGTCGATAGAGACCATGGTCGCTGCTTGCTCTGACCATGTTTCCCGGCACTTGCCTTACTTCCCTGGACGTTGGGGTGGATTTTGGTGAGGTCCCAGAGAACCAGGAGACAGGCTGCTTATCTTCTAGAAAATCATGTTCACATTCATGGAAGGCCTTAGGTACTAGTACTTAGCTATGACCTTTGGAGACAAGGACTCCATCTTCCTGAAGACGTTAAAATGTCCTGTGTACTGAAAGCAATTGGAGGGGCCTGGATTTGAACCCCAGTCTGTGTCAGAGGTCCCAAGTCTTCCAAGAAAGTGGAAGGCGCCCCGAGGCAGGTTAGAGGGCCTACAAGGCGGGCAACTGGACATGGGGATGGGCTGGGGAGGCGCCAAAGGGCGGCAGGGATTGGGGGTATAGTGGTTTGACCACGACTTAACTACCTTCAGCTGCCAGGCCATCCGCCTGTTCCCTGGAAGATATAAGGAGCTGGGAGTGGGGAACGGAGCAACCTGGGCTTCCATGATGAAGAAAGAGACAGCGCAGGAGCAAAATGTCCAGGAAGGAGGGAGAGAGACCAGAGGAAGGAGGAGGCGCCTCTTTCACCCGCGTCCCCAGGTCCCCATGTACGCCACGTGGGTGGGAGCGTGTCCCACACACCCGCGCGCCCAAAGCCACATTCGCCACGCTCCCGCCGGGGCGGGCTCACCGCGCGCCTCTGGGTGCCGAGCCTCCACAGGCCACATAGCCGCCACCTGCTGCTGCATCCCCACTGCGGGGACAGGGGCACTCAGTGCCTCCCTCCGTCCCCCCCGCCCCGCGAAGGCCTCCCATCCTCCAGGGCCAGGCGGAGGCCACGTCTTTCCCGGGCCCCCTCCCCAACGCGGAGAGGGAAGCGGAGGGAGGAGCTTGGCCCGCAGCCGCCGGCCCTCCCCGCACTGGAGCTCCCCCTCCCCTCCCTCCCCGCCCCTCGGCTGCCGCAGCCCGGCTCGCAGCGCGCGTCAGCGGGGGCTCCCCGGAGCGAGTCGCTAGGTAACGGGGCTGGCTCCGCAGACGCGGGGCCGGGGAAGCCCGCGCGCGTCATCAGCAGCGGCGCCGCGGGGCGGGGGGCGCAGAGACCCTCCCCAATCCCGGCCTGCCACCACCTGGCTCGCGCGCAGCCCCGGCCCAGAATGCCTTAACCTGCGCCGATTGCTGCCGCCGAGGTGCCCCTCCCCTGTAGGGACCCCGACGCCGCCAGCCCCTTCCTCCTTTCCCGCAGGTGCGCACTGCTGTGCTTGCGGCCGGGTGGGCGCCCCGCCGCTGCGGTCGCGGTCGCCGCTGGTAAGCTGCGCTCTGGGGCTTGGGGCAGGAAGCAGTGGGGGGCGCTCGAAGAGCAGGGCAGCTACGGCCACCGTGGCCGCCGGACCGGCCATGTGCTAAAGTTTCTGGGGCTCGGCGCCCCGCTGGGCGCGCAGCGCGGGGAGCAGACGCGCCGTGGGTGGGGCAGCGCGGTGCTGCTGGCGCCCGGCCCCCGCGGGGTGCAGCTCTGCGCGTTCTCATGCTGTCTCTCTCTCTTTCCCTCCGCGCTGCCTCTCCGAGGTCCTCCCGCCGAGCCCCGGCGCGGGGCATGAGGAGCCCCCGGGTGCCGCCCAGAGACCAGCAGGCTGCGCGCACACCTAGCCAGCGGCAGACGGGGACATGAGCAGCGCGCACGGGGTCCCGCGCCCGGCGGCCAGCCCTATCCGGCGGCGGCCAGCGGGTCAACGCTGCCCGGGAGAATGAGGCAGGAGCCGGCGGCAGCCTCCTTTTTTTCCTTCTCCTCGCCTTCCTGCGGCTCCGGCGCTCCGGGTCCGGGCCGGGCTGCGGCTCTGCTGCGTGCCCCGCGCGCCCCTCAACCGCCTCCGGATGCGCTTCTCGGTAAGCCAGGCCCTCCGCCTCGCGAACAAAGCTCCCTTCGCAGGGCCCGGAGGCCGCCTCAGGGCCCCTGTCCTACCCTCCTTCCCCACTTACAGCCTGGAAACATTCGGGGCTTCCGATTGAATCGTTCAATTTCCCCTGCCCCGAAGCCCCGCCTGGAGGCTGAACTGCCCGGGCAGACCTGGTGCTTTCTTCTGCCTTCTGGAGAAAGATGTGGGTTTGACATGCAGGCGGGAGACCTGTCTGGTCTAGATAACGGCATGTGTATGCAGCTAGGTTCAGACTTAGCATTTGGGGGCAACAACTCTTATTTAGTGGGTGTCCAGGCCGTGCCGGGCAGTGTGCCTCAAAGCCGCTCTGGGAAATAGGTCCCCGTTTCTCCTTGGCCCAGATGAGGAAACTGAGGCTTAGAGAGGTTGAATGACTTAATCAAGGTCACAAGGTTAGGAAGTGGGAGACCAGGATTGGAAACCAGGGTACCCTACTTCCCTGCCAGACTGTTCCCTTTGTAACAAACACACCTGTCTCATTTCTTCTACTAACTGCTTCCGTCTCGAGAGTCATTGCGTGTGTGTGAAAATACTTGCTCCAATGAGTATCTGTTCTGATGAAATAAATTGCCTGTAGCAAGCACTTTTTGTCCATCCTGCCATCACGCTGCTGCCAACCCCTAATGTGTACTCTACTTTTTAGTTCAGGTGAGAGGATAATATGTTTTCCTAGGTGTTCTCTTTCCTGGGGTTCTGTTTTCCCAGTCCTCCTGAAGGATGGAAAGGACAGTGGTTCCTCCTGTGTGCCCAGCACATGCTAGGCCTCAGAACTGCATCCTTAACCTTTCCCTGGGGGCAGGGCTCATCAAGGTTACCTGCCCCTGGTTTTGTAAATCTTGGAGATGATTACTTAACCGGAGCGGGGGCTGATCCCAGATGGCCACTGTGCAGGGGCTGGCCCAGTGTTGGCTCATATTTGCCAGCCCTCAGTGTCAGCAGAACTTCTGAGCCCCAAACACTTCTGAGCCCCAAAGAAAAGGAGTTTTAATGCAGATACGATGCCTGATGCATGCCCCCAGTTCTCTGGCTTGCCGCTGTTAGCTGTTTGCTTAAGTGCATTTAGTTAACTGTTTGCTTAAGTGCATTTAGTTAACTGTTTGCTTAAGTGCATTTAGTTCCTGAAGGGGCAAGCCACCTGGAATCAATTGATCCTGGTCTGAGGGGCTTGTTCCATTGGTGAAGTCACAGTGTTGAGCTCAGTTGTCTACACGTACATTTGTGTTGGTGCAGAGAAAGTCCCTTAGCAGTAGGGGCCTCTGTGTCTCTGTTAGTAAAGAGCAAGGGTGGACTGACCAGCCCTTCAGACCCCCTTCAGCTAAATGATTCTGAGTGACAAAACTAGTAAGTTACAGGCTTGAGCTAGGATGTCTTAGTCCAGTCATTTGGACGAACATTCTACACTGAATGGGTTGTTGATTTCCAAGAAGAGGACTTGGTTTCCAGGGAGCTGTGAGATTCAGGTTCAGCCCAAAAGAGGTGAAGCTCGAGCTGTGCTTAATAGATTATTTACTGGGCTAACACATAGTGGCTATAAAATGTTCCAAGCTACCAGATTGGGGTTGTGGGATAGGTTAGGCCTTTCAGTAGGAGAGATGACATTAGCTCCTAAGAACTGATGACATACAATGCATTAAGAAGATGCCCAGCAGGCTAGAAAGCAGCAAGCTGGTGAGCTTTTCCTGCCCCTCCAAAAATAATCAATCATATTTGCATAGGTAAAACATTCCCAGCACAAACAATTACTGCAAATAAATAAAGTGATTTTTTTTTTAGACTCTTCCAACTGCATTGTTTGCTGAGTATATTAGCGATGCGTGGAGCCGGCCTTAGCTTGGCTGCAGAGGGGCTGGGACAGGGAAGGTGGGCTGAAGGATGTTCAGACCCTGAGTTAGTTTTTGGCTGTGGATTAGAGCTAAATCCATCACTTTGACCTATGGGTCGTTAATGGGGTTGTCATTGGTCTTTTTAAGATGTGGATTAATGAACCTCTTAAAGTGTTGCCGAATCCCAAATGAAACGGGCATGTCCCACCTTTTTCCCAGAAACTCGGCTCTCAGCGGGTTTTGTGACTGTTTGAAATTCACAAAACCAGAGCAAAGCTTTCATTTTTGACAGGCTCATAGGGATCTGCAAAGGAAAAATAATGCATCTTATGTAGGGATATTAATCTCCCAGCATTGTGTGTTTTAGCTTCTCATGATTAACTGGTAAGGTTTTGAATAAAAATGAATGCAGAGAAACAATCTTCATTAAGTTGCTTTTGAAAATGCTGAGGTAATTATGAAATAACGATTTTTGTGTCATAGATCATACTACTCATAGCCAAAGCTGGATTACATCACAAAACATTACTCTTGTTACTGATATTTATTTTTTAATTCATTAGTTTTCTCATATTTTTTGCCTTTTTTCTCCCCGTGTGAAAATAAGCCATCGAGAATAAATTCTTCCTTTTCAGTTTTTCTTTGTCTTAAATCCAGTTTTTTTTTTTCTGTAAGATCTCTAAGCTGAACTCTTCCACACCATACATATAATGGCCTCATGTTAAAATATGTTTTAAGTGCCTTGGATTTCTTTTGGGAGAACAAGAGGGTTATGTATCGTAAGTAAATAACAGTGATGAGACATTTCCCTTGTTTGCTTACTCTTCTAAGTCAGGGCTTGAGACCATGCCCTCATGATTGCAGCTGCCACACTTAGCATCATGGGGACACAGCCTGAGTGCTGTGGCATTTCTGCATCAGTGAGGATGCACACCTGGACTGATCGGAGTGTGAGGAAAACAACAGCTTCCGTAGGCCAGGAAACCTGGGGTTTATTCCCGACTCAGTTGTTCATTGGCTTTGTGGCCTTGGGCAAATTATTTCCATTTGCTGGGTCTGGGTTTACATATATGCAATGGGTGTGTACGTTTGCATGTATATGTGTGTGTATTGGTACCAGATATTGCCCTCCAAACTCTAAGTTTGAAGAATCCTCAAAATTTGGGTATAGCTGGTTATTAATACCTCCAGAATGCTCTGTACTTTAAGGTTACATAACGTTCCAATTAGACATTCCTATAAACAATAAGAAATTGGTGATTATAGAAAATATGCTGTTTATTACCCTAAGTGGAGACTCCGTACCCTGAGTGTGTGAAGGAGGATGGAGCTTTGATCCATCCTGATTATGCCGGCTTCCCTATCAGAGTCCCCTTGCACGGTAGAGGCTCAGCACAAATCTGAGAGCACTAGAATGAGCCATGACCCTCTCTAGGATCCATGTGGCAGAAGATGCAAGAACTATTATGTAATTTGGGTCAATGGGGTAAGAAGACTATGACATTCTATCTGTGTAGCTTTAGGGTTCAGGGGACTTGGAGATTCCGCCTCAATCTCAGGCTGTTCCTGGAAGGTAAGGAAGGGGAAGTATGTAATTTGAAAATGGAGAGTACTTTAGTTAGAGCCTTGAACTCAGCTGAAGCTGGGAAATGGTGAGGAAGAAGCTTGTCAGTTTGGCAGTGGTATTTTTTGCCAGGTTTTGTGTGTAGGCTTCCCTTGTAACATCTAAGGAAGTGTGTTGTCTGAGGTCAGGCTCCCTGGTGAAGCTGCAGTCATTTTCAGATAGAGAGGGCATGAGAAAGGAACCACCAGCCCTTAAACACTTTGTCCTTGCAACTCTGCAAAGTAGACATTGTGAACCCTGTGTTCTAGATGAGGAACCCAGGCTCAGAGAGCTGAAGTGTCTTTCTTAGTCTCTAATAATTATCGAATGGCAGAACCATGCAATGTTTTAAATGGACTCTGCTGGGGTTTAAATCAACCCGTGCTGGACCTCATTTCCACTGCTACTGCAGTGTGTCTGTCTGGCAACCAAATTGTGTCCTTCCTCCCCAATTTCTAGATAACCATGGCACTAAAAAAAGCATGCAGATGATTTGACGTAAGTAGCATACGGAGGTGATTTTGCTGTCAATAAACCTCTAAATTCACCAGGATTTTTGTTAATGCATTAGATTTCTTTTAACTACACGAGGTCAAACATGTCGATTTCCAAAAAGATTCCTAAATAAGCCAAGTGTAACCCTAACAGGGTTAGTGCTGGTGATTCTTTGGGAAAAGCTAAAAGAATTCTCCTGGGTCCCACATTCATCCCCCTGGGGTTCTGTGGGAGGTGAACACAAACTGATGTATGCGACGTCAGTCTGAGGAGTTGTCGCTAGGCTGCTCCTCCTGAAAAAGGGACACAATAAAAGTTATGTAACAGCTTTCAAAAGAACTGTTTCTCCTCCTCCAGGATGCCCATGAGTTAATCCTCCCCCAAACAACAGACTAGAGAAGGTATTCAGAGGAACACATGTAAGACCTTCACGGTTCACCTACAGCTCTTAGGAGTTTCTGGGACTCGGGAGGAAATGTAGGTCTCAAGGAACTTTTCACGTTATCGAGTAGAGATGCCGTCGTAGCTGATGTTGGGGACGGCCTTCGGAAGGTCACCCATGTGAGTATAGCTGCTGCTGTTCTTCGCTGTAAGTGTGCAGAGCTGGCCAAGCATCCACCATTCCCAGGACCAGAGATTCCAGAGTCCTGTTGGTAACACTCAATTTACAAAGAGCAAAGGAAAATCCCTGAAATACTCTGTCACCCCATTGCGTGGCTTTACATTCTGCTAACGATACTCAGGCTGGGTTTCTTCACCAGCAGTTGAAAATGCTTCTGTCTCTGACGCTGGCCTTGCCTGTGTCATGTGAGTGACGTCTTCACCAACAGACCCCTCCTTCCGTCTCCCTTGGATCACTGAGCTGCTTATATGCCAAAAGCTTCAAGTTTGTTGATAGGTGATGAGAAAAATTAGACAGAATGAGTTAGAAAGCTTGACTATGCTTCATCTACAATCTTTAAAATACCACATCTCAGCAGTCAGCACAAGTTTTTGATTTGGTAAATGAGGAATAACATTGCGTGTCCTCGGTGCGGCCCATGGAATCTGCATCTTCTGCCCCCAGACTTTGAGAGAACAGGTGCCCCAGGGCTTCAGCTCTGGGCTAGATTTCTAACATGTGTAGTTACTAAAAAGTAGAAAATGCAAGAGTAGCTTTGCAGAGTCACCAGAGAGGATAAGATAAGAAGACAGAGAAGTTCATGGCCTCTGATACGTGATTACTGCGAACACTTATTCAGGGCATGGTAGTAGAAATGATTTCACACCCGTTTCCAGCAACGAGAAGCACAAAATAAATTCACTAAGAAATTTAGCTGTGTTTCTTGTTGTTTTTGTATGTGGCTTATGACAAGTGCAGATGGCACTTCATGTAGTTAAAAACCTTCGCCTTCCTAAGTCCTTCGTGGTGGCTAAGAGAGGCTAGGCTAAATGCCTTGGCAGACCTGCATTTTTGAAACCTGACTCCCAAGGTCAGGTGGTGGTCTTGGTGAGGGTCAGTGTATTTCCAGGTGCTTCTGTTTCTTAATAATCTATGATGAGCTGCTGTATGTACCTCATTTAGCATCACCAAGCAAAAGAGCAAACAGAGAATGCCCAGGGCATTTTTCCCAACCTGCCACATTTCTCCGCCTCTATCTGCTAATATGGTCTGGGGATCCTGATCCACTTCTTGATTCTTTTAATTCAGAAAATGGATGATAATGACAGTCATTTTTTAAATGATCAATATTGATAAGTCTTATATTTTTAAATAAAGTGAATGCCCCTGAGAGCATCACGTGCAAGTTTAAAATGATTTATGAATGGATACAGTATCCTTTAACTTGTTCAGAGGGCTTTATTGAATACTTCTAAAACAGTACGTCTATTATCCTTTAATTTGTTCAGAGGGCTTTATTGAATACTTCTAAAACAGTACGTCCAGTTTTGCAGTGTTCAAGTCTAAAGGTAGACGTGAAAACCACATCCTGTGTTCTTCATCTGAAAAGGAGGAGTGGAAAAATACACCCGACTTCTAAAAGGGAATGTTGAGACTGTTCCTCTCTGTTTTACTGACAAGATAACATTGCTTCGGTCTGAAAATTCTCTGTAGATGCATCTTCTACAGCAGGGCTGGTTGTCCTCCAGTCTGCTCGAGGACATCCCTGTGGCGGTTGAGAGTGGCTCTGTCCATCTGTGCAGGCATGGAGCTGTCTCCTCCACAGAGCATGCCTCTCTCTGGTCCCGTCTGGTTACTAGGATCCACCCCCCCAACACACACCATCATCCTTTCCTCAGACAGATGTCAGGGACAACAGTTTAACAAACAGTTATGGAGCACTAGCTCTGGTCCAGGCACTGCTAGGCATTGAGGCTGCAGTGGTGGACACAGACAGCTGTAGTGTGTCATAGGCTGCTACTGTTTCAGTAGGCCTGGGGCGTCACCCTCTGCCCTTTTTAAGGGGTCTGTTCAGAATCTGGAGGATTTAGCTGTTGCATACTTGGAGGCACGCTGGGGCTGGTGGGGAGAGCCCAGGCTGGGAGGCAGGGGGCCTTCTCTCTCCTCTCACCTGGGTGCCTAGGGCCAAGCCACCCCCCCGCCGCCACTCTGACCCTTCACTGGTTTCAAGTGCAAAGATTGGGTCACTGCAGGTTTTTTCCAAGTGTGATCCAGGGACCACTTCCATGGAAACACCAGGTGAGCTTATTAAAATGCATATGGGTGGACCTTGCTGCAGACTTGCCAAATTAGAACTCCTGGGGATGGGGGTGCCCAGAATCTATATTTTTAACATGCTTCCAGGTCGCTCTCACCTTGAGCACAGTGGTGTTCAAGAAGCACTGGTTCTCCTGGGTGTCGAATCAGTAATGCCCCTCCCTGCTCTAAAGGACTCAGAATGTGGCACTCACCCCCATGCTGGCCACTCTTCCCACCTTCACCCACCGCCGTGCTGTCCAAGCCAATCGACTCTCTCTTCACCACGCTTCCCGCTCCTCCTCCTCTGTGCACTACAGTTTGTTTCCCGTATGGTAGCCAGAGTGAGCCTTTTAAAGGATCTCATTTCTCCTTGGCTGGGAGAGCTTCAGTGCCCCCTGTGCCCAATAGTCAGGGACCTTAAGGTGACCCTCAGGGCCCTGCACGATCTGGCCCTCCATCTCACCTCCTCTCCCACCACCTGCCCCCTTGCTTCCCTCTTCATGTCACAGCCCTAGAACCCACCCAGCTGCCAGGCATTCACTCCAAGGAGCCACAGGACCTGGGGACTGGCAAGGCAGGGTGCCAGCCCTGGTAGGTGGGGCACAACCCTGTGAAGCTCTGTTTTCTGTCTTGCCACTATGCTGAAAACCCCTGCAGACTGACACTCTTAAACCCACTTGGGCAAATCTGTTTCTGGGCCTGCCCACCACCATAGTAAAAGTAAATTTAGAAGCAGCTCTTTAAGTCTAGGCACCGTGTTACAGGGTGACTCATCATGGGACTGCATTGTCAAAGTGGCTCTAGAACTTTTTTTCGAGGAAGTTTCTGGATATAGACTGCAACCCTCTTGGGCTGGACTATTAACTCAGCCACTTTTGATCCCAGGGCCCTGTCATCCCTCCTTGTCTTCTTTCCACAAGTATTCACAAGACACCTGCTACGTCCAAACACTGCGGTCCCCACAATCTGTGTCTGCGTGGTTGTATCTCCGACTGCCGCTCTTGCTTACAGATGAAACAATGTGGTCTGGAAAGTATTTCTCTGGCCTTTTTTTTTTTCCCTCCTACTGAGAAATAGTTGCTCTGGCCTGTGTATCAACAGCAGCCCTCTTGGGGCCTAGGTTAAGCAAACTGCACTCGAAAGGATCAATCCCTTGGCAAGTAGGAGGGAAAGATGGACCATGTTGTGAGATTAACCTCCAAGGCGAGCTGAGTGCGTAACTGGAAGATCTGTGGGGTCTCTCAGATGGGATGCGTGCTCAGCGCATGGGGCCAGGGCTTGGTTTTCTGAAAGCCAGCCTGCCCAGCAGTGCAAATGAGTGAAAAAGGCCAGGAAAACTTCAGATGCTTTTGGGTCTGACATTGCAGATGCCTTACCTTGAATCGTAAGGAGGGAAGCATTTTCACGCTCAGCATCAATCTTCTTTGGGATGCTTTCTCTGGACATATTGACCAAGCCTTCACTGAGAGGCCATTAGCAAAGTGGGGTGGAGGATGAAAGTAGAGATGTTCCCTGCCTTTTATGGTTTCAGAGACAGTTGGGGAAAACGTGTTACGTAACTACCTGTAGCTAATTAGAGTGACTGACGTGCTCTGAGAAGGCAGAGATAGGAAAGATGGGTTTGGCCGGGGGAGGGTGGAGGCGTTTGACTTGAGCCCTGAGAGACGAGAAGGAATTTCCTGAGCAGAGTTGAGCGGGAAAGGCCTTCTAGGTAGGAGGGCAAGTGTGAGCAGAAGCACAGAGGCCTGTTTATTGGGGAGAGGGTACTGTGTTATAGGTCTGTAGAGTCAGGCTGAGGCTGCAAGGCAGGGACAAGGCTGGGTCACTCCTGCTTAGATGGGAGTGGGTCTTGAATGCTAGATTAAGGAGGGTTCCATGTCTTACAGGTGACAGGGAACTGTGGGAGGGGTTTGACTCAGGATTTGCATTAAAAAGATAGCTGGTAGCCCTGTTCATGACCCCCTGTACCCTCTATATTATAGGATAGTGAAGATGTGTAAAACGTTCAAGAAGAAATACTGTGTGGGAATGAGCATGGTTGTCCCGGGTGTAACCTCAGGCACCATTTCTCTGATTGCAGTGTCTCTGCTTGTCTGTATCTGTTGTCTGATCCTCTGGGCCCTGCTGCCCAGACCCCAACTCCACCAGCCCTGCTGGGGCTCGGAAGGAAAGCAAGGTAGCCGCTGGCTTCAGCAATTGCTGCCCAGCCATCGTGGACTCTAGCCAACAGGAAATGGAGCGGGCAGTGTCCCAGCCTGATTCACCGAGCCATGGGTCTCCCTGTGCCTCTGCAAATGCATTCAGGCTGCTCCTGGCCTAAAAACAATGCTCCCAGACCTACATCCACAGCTGAGAGAATCCAGGGCACACATTTGCCCGCCAGCTTCCCTGAGCTTCCCCCAGCAGTGGGCTCAGTGGGTAGGAGAGGGGGACATGGTCTGGAATCAAGGCGTGTGCCACTCAGTGACCATTTGCTTTGAAATCAATGTGCTCAGCAGGGCCAGTGACTTTTGCAGAGCTGGCTGGACAAAGGGAACATGAAGAAGGGAAGAGTGTCTCAGGGTCACGGGTGGTTATACTACCCTTGAACTTCACCTTCCTATTGCTAAGGAAGAGAGAGAGACAGAAAAGCATGTTCCACAAGCCAGTGGGCAAATTCTTAGCTGTTTTCTGTGGAGTCTGGGCCTGGCAGAGAGCCCTCTTCACGACTGGCTGACTGCCAGATGGTGCCAAGGGCACGGCATCCCGGGCAGTCAGCCTCCTAGTGAAGATTGCCATCCTCTGGAGGGTTCCCTGCCCCAGGACATGGGCCTGGGAAGGGAATGCAATTCCACCCTCCATGGGTCCCATTTACAGGTCAACAAATTGAGGCCAAGAGAAGAGAAGTGGAATTGTGGCCGAGTAGCACATGAAATCACTCTGGAGTCGGTCATGATCCCTGAGGCCGGCCAATGCCCAGTGCCCATTGCTGGCAGCAGTCCACCTGGAAATGGACAGTTTGTCCTCACACTGCCTTGCTACCCACCAGGCATGGAGGATGTGGCTTTCTCCTTGTTCATCTGTCTTCCCTCTTGGAACCCAGGCCCAGAGCCAGGGGGCTGGGCATGACCCCTAGATGTCTGGCCTTTTGTTTGCTTCTTGGTTTCTGAAGCTTGTGTGGAAGTTGAATGCAAGCAGAGAAAGGAATTTAGTAGCAAGTTATCAGAGCAGATTAGAATGGTTGTCAGGATCTGGGCATGGAAATCGATGGGGCTGAGTTCTCTCTTTGGAGCTCTAGGGCTCCTGAAACGCACCATCAGGTCCTGGGAAAGCCTTTCATCCTGGTTCTCAGAGCACCTAGTGCACACTTACGTACATACATAAGTTTAAGCCAAACCATCTCATGAGATCATCATCGCTGGCTCCATCTCTTTCTTTCAACTGTCTCTTCCCTGGATCCTCAGTACCTGGGGTGAACCTTGCTTGGCACCTGGAAGTCACTCCTGGCCTGTTAGTGACTGGATGGGGGATGCAGTGTGCAAAGGGACTTGTGCAGCGGTCAGTCTGGCTGAGCTTTTGGGGCAGCCTGGTGCTCCTGACTGTTTCTCACCTTATCAAGTAGGTTCTCCTAAATGCATAAGAAGCTGATGACAGCTCTGCTGGCTGACTTCAAAACAGTCAAACCTTCAGTGCTTTATCAGGCAGATCTGTAAGTACAGTTCCTGCTCATAAAATGCATCCGTCACAGCCCCGTGCAACATAAAGGAATTGTTTGCAAACTTTCCCAGGTTATTACCCCCAAACTTAGTAAATATATGTATTGGATAAATAATCTTGGGAGGTCCATAAATTATTGCAGTTTCGGACAGTACTAATCTACCTGCTGGCACATTTCATAGGTTTCACCACCTTATTGACTCACATTTTAATGAAAGAGGAGAGCAAAGCTATAAAAACTATCCTCATGGGTTGGGGACCCGACCAGATGATGGATGACAAAGCAGTGTAGAAAATGTATGAGTTCTGTGTGGTTATTCAGGGTAATTATTATTAAGACATTTTGAGCATCTGACCTCAGTTCCTTTTGTTTTCCTGGGCAAGGACCTACTACCTCCCAGATTCTGCTGCACTTGGCTGGCGGCACTCTGTGCCTACAATCTCACCATTGGAATGGCAGTTCTTCAACAGGATTTTGATGGCTGTCACAGTCACTTTGGGGGACATGCACCTTTTATTTGAAGCTGTTCTTCGAGTCAGATTGTGAGGCACTGGACAGACCTGGATTGAAATCTGAGCTTATCCTCTAATTCCCTGTGTGATTCTTGGACAATTTGCTTCAGCCTTTATGAGTCCTGTTTTCTCTTCTGAGAAATGGGCATAATAACAACAATTAATGGTAATCCCAGCTTTGATTAATATTTGCTGGGTGCTTACTGGGGTAGGGACCCTGTGCAATAAGTCCTTTCCGTGGACTCTTTCACTGAATGTGTACAATAGCTTGATAAAGGAGTTAATTTTATTATTCCCATTTTACAGATGAAAATACTAAGCCTTCGAGTATGTATTGGTGCATACAAAAACACCTCAGATAATGGTTTTGAACATGAATAATCATTTATTTTGCTCAGCTAGGTGGCCTTGCTGCGGGCCTCATGTGAGGTTGCAGTCAGACTGTGACTGGGGCTGGAATCATCTGGGAGGCTTCCTCACTCGCATGTCTGGCCCCTGAGTGAGAAGGGGTGCACAGCCTGAGGGTGGGAGTGGGGAGGCTGGCACAGCTGAGACTCTCCATCGCTCTGTGGACGCTCCGTGTGGCTGGGTAGCCATACTGCCTACCTGTAGTCTAGGGCTCCATTGACCCAAGAGAGAGCAAGAGGTTGTAGTGCGTGGGGGTGTCTGTCTCTATCCTCTTTGGTGATCGAGCCTCAGAAGTCACATAGTATCACTTCCGGCATGTCCTTAGAAGCAAGTCTCTAAGGCCAGCCCATATTCGAGGGGATGGGGGGGGCAGTTAGACTCCATCCTTTGATGGGAGGAGTGCCGAAGGATGCCAGTACGTTTGAAGCCACCACGGAGTGCTTAGGTGACTTACACAAGGTAGACCGTTGCAAGGCAGCAGAGTGGGGTGTCGGATCCCGAGCATGGCCGTCACCCCTCTGCAGTGTAAAGTGTGAAGCACTACGGGCCCCGTGAAACGGGACCTCTGTAAGCATGTGAGCTGTTTCCCCTTCAGATGTCCTTTCTGAAGAAGGAAGCAGAGCTGTGTGCGAGTCCAGCTGCTGCTTCTCAGCTTCAAAGAGGCCTTTATACCAACCCTTGGGGCAGACCACCTCCCCTCCCCTCCCCTGCTGTCCCTGGCCTCCCTTCCCTTCACCTGGAGCCACATTCTCACTTTCTTGGGTCCTGGGCAATTCTGTTTTCATGGGCCTCTTCCACCATAAAAAGAAAAATTAAAAATTATTTCTTAGGACTGAGCTGATATAAAGATGAACATATTAATGTTACATATTAAAAGATTTTCTTCTACCCAGAAGTTCATTGTTTTCCTTCTGATTTTAAATTGGAACATTTCTGTGGGCCCTGGGCACCGTGCCTGCTGCATGTGAAGGAGAAGTTGGCTTGCCCTTCCACCTCCACCCCTCACCCCCTCCTCTCCCTCCCCCTCCTCCTCCTCCGCCTCCACTATTCACTCTTCTGCCCTGGCCACCACTTAGCAGGCTGCTGTCCTCTCCTAGGCTGTGAACTTTCAGGTTCTCTGCACCCTGGGCAAGCCCCGTGACTGGGAGCTGACTGCTCCCCGTAACTCTGGCTTTCCTGTCTCCTGGTCCTTCACCAAGGGTAGACCTCCCTCGTGAGGAGGAACTTAAGCAGAGACTCATCTTCCCTGTAAGCCCACGGAGCCGTCACCCCTGTCTGGCTTCTGGCTGGTCTCTCATAGCAGAGTACCGGAAGGGCCTCCCTTCCTGTGCACCTGCAGGGGTGGTGGCAGTGCAGAGATGGCTGCTCTCCTGGCTCCTGCGTCTGACACCCCAGCCAGCCCATCCATCCGTGAATCCTCCACTCAACCATTTAGGAAACAGCTTTTTACTGGTGAGCATTTCACGAGGCCTACCTAGTCTCCTTCCTCATGGAATTTAGAGGGACACAAAGACAAAAAAAAAAAAAAAAAACTGACAAATGATTCTAAGCAATGGGAGATTTTTTTCCCCAAGGGGTGGGGTCTCACTGTGTTGCCCAGGCTGGAAGGCAGTGGCTATTCACAGGCGCAGTCACTGCACACTACACCCTTGAATTCCTAGGCTCAAGCACTTCTCCTTTTTTAGCTTCCCAGCAATGGGAGATTTTTTTTTATAAGAAATTGGCATTTCATGGAAATCGAAGCAAGAAGTGTAGTCTGGCTTCGTGAAGGAGAAATGAAGCCATCAGCGACCAGGATGTTTTCCTTCCTCTCTGTCTGGAGCCCCAGGTCTCACCATCTTGTACCCTTTGTCTCTAACCTTCCTCTCCAACTTCAGGTTTTTCTTCTCGTCCTCTGAGCATATGGCCAAACAATGGTCACCCCAGTATGGCAGCCCCAACCCTACATTTGTGTGGCCTCAAAGCTCACTCCATCTCCCCGGGGCCTAATTTCCCAGGAGAGAAGTAGAGTGGCCTGGCTTGGTGAGGAGCCCTCTGCTCTAAACAGCTGTGGCTGGGAGGTGGTGTCACATGGTAGGGAAAGCTGTCCCTCGAGGCTGTCACTGAGACAGGCTCCCCAGGTAGGGTGTGCAAGAGGGGAGAGAGAAATAGCACGTTCACTACACCTTTGCCTCAAAACCAATTCTGGTTTAGGGTGGTGGTTGCCAGCCTTTTGATGTCCACAGAAGAGGATATTTGTTTAGTTGAGAAATTGGTATAAGATTGCCCAATTTTAATCTGCCCTCTCTCATCAGCATGTGATAAATAATTTAGAAAACAGGAAGACCTTAATATTAGAATCGTGAAAGTATTTTAAATTTGTTCATTAATCAAATTAATCAAATGTAATTAAATTAATCAGAGTATTCTTGGTTTTCCCATTTCACCCCTGACAGCTGAGACTTTGGTCACAGAGCTGAACGGGTCTGTGGGCTTACACCGGGACCCACAGCACTCGGAGTCCTCAGAAATCATTGTTAACAACAATAATACAACCCAGACAGCAGCAGAAAGAATCGACCCGTGTCTGGAGCCTGCTGAAGTTGGGGGGCAGGGAAGCGACATGATCTAGTCTGTGATTTAGAAAGATAGCCCTTCGGCCACGTGGAGGTCGAACTAACATTCGCAAATTAGAAATCTGTGTTGGCAAACACTTTTAATTAGAGCAAATGTTTGGCATATGCAGACACACTCAAAGTGACTGATTTCTGAAAGTGCATCCCCATTCGGAAGCTAGAGCCAAGGTCCCACCTGCTCGGGGGTTTTCCCTGGAGCTTGAGAGGAACCTTTCACTCACCCACCTCCGAGTCTGAAGACACAGGCTGCCAGCGGTTGTGTTCATGACGTCAACTTTGACGGTTGATTCCTTTTTTGGAGAAAACCACTGGCTTTTGGAATAATTTTCGCCCTCTCTCCACAAGAGCCCTGCGATTCATATAAGTTCTGTTTATAAAACCCCTTCGGGGGCACAGGTCAAATTTAGCAAGTCTGGGATAGGGCAAGGCTTACTGGCCCAAAATGGCAGATGAGGAAAAAGGCTCAGACACCCTCAGGAGCCTGCCCAGGGCCACACGGCTCCTGAGAGATGGTGCAGGAATTGGACCAGAGTCTCTGCTGCCAAGTTCATCTCCCTATTACTATACACTCGCTACACATGCAGTTGGGAAGCTGTTCCTGATCTTGGCTCTGTTGTCTGTTACGTGTCCTAGCTGGGTGCTTAGTCTTCTAGGGTTGCCATAACAATACCAAAAGCTGGGTGGATTAAGACAACAGAAATGTATGGCCTTGTAGTTCTGGAGATGGGAAGCCTGAAATCCAAGTGTCAGCAGGGCTGTGCTCCATCGGAAGGCTCCAGGGCAGGATCCCTGTCTCCTCCCGGTTGCTGGTGGTTGCCTGCAATCCTTGGCATTCTTGCCTGTAGCTGCACCACTCCAGCCTCTGCCCCGTCTTCCCATGACCTTCTCCCTGTGCATCTATTTGTCTGTGTCCAAATCCTCTATTTTCCTCTTATGAAGACATTAGTCATTGGGTTTACTCACCCTGACTCATGTGACCAGATTTTAACTTAATTGCATCAGCAGAGATGCCATTTCCAAACAAAGTCACAGGTACTAACAGTTAGGACTTGAGCATATCTTTTGGGGGGACACAGGTCCCCTATGACACTGAGACGCTGCCAGGGGGCCCCTGGTGGACCACACTCATACCCAGAAGGTTCTGTGCCTGGTCAGTGTTCTCCCATCCGTGGGTTCTCCTCAATCCCCTGCTCAGGCCCATGAGATGCTTCCAGTAGGGGCTGTGCTCATGAGTCCCTCTGCCAGGAGGGACATGAAGTCAGCTGCTGCCAGCCTGTGGACGGATTGTGCCGCTTTCGCATCTGTCTGAGATGCTGCAAGTGCGTGGCCTCAGTGAGTGGGTGGCAGTGCGAGCACATTGTGTGTTCCGGGGAGCCGGGCCACCTCCGGCTGGATGTGTCGCCTTCCTCAGGGCTCCTGGCAGCACCTGGTGCATTACTGGGTCAGGGTATCATTTTGACCTCAGGGTGGCTGAGGAAGCTATGTTTGGGGAAGTGGCATGGAGCTTAGACATTCGAGCTGGCCTGATTCTTTTTCCCCACCAGATGACAAGCGTCTCTAGGGCAGGGATGCCTGGCCATCTCCATTTCCCCTCCAGCAGTTTCAGGCTCATGGGAGCTGCCATGTTTCTGCAGCTTTAGTCCCACATTGCTGTGACCCTGTGAGGCTCCCCTGGGCAAGTCTTCACTCTCTGAGCACCATGCAGGGCTGCTGTGGGGTTCCATGAGATGATGCATTTTAAAACCATGCACGACTTGAAATGCCCGCAGCTCTCATTATCTGGGAGATGCCTCAGGACAAAGTGGCAGGACCTGATTGAAGAATAGGGTTGAAGACAGCACCTCGATATGTCTGGCGGTGCAGGGATAGGTGGCCATGTAACCCCAGTGGGAGCCACTTATAGGAAAAGGTGGTAGATTTGGGCAAGGAGGTGGCCCCTCTGAAAACCTGTTGCAGTTTCAAGTGAATTTCTGAAGACGCGTCAAGTTTTAGATCTACTGAGTCTGCAGTGACCATGGCCAATGGGATGGGAAAATTTTCTCACTAGAGGAGACCAGAGAGAGGGAACACGGACTCTCCAGAGAGTTTCGTGAGGGTCCCTGCCAAGGACTAGTGGAAACCCAAGCAGTTGGGGACAGGGATAGTGGGAGAGGTGGGAGGCCACCTGGGATCTTGGAAAAGAGGAAGCTTCCTTTTTGCAGCATGGGAGGCAGCCTGGGAAAGTTAGGGTTGCAGGATGGGAATCCAGGGTTTCAGGAGGCAGGAACCTGGAGCAACCTGACTGGGCAGTGCTGTCAGCAGACCCAAGAATACTGACTGGCCTGTGAAGGAAAAGTTTGCTGCAAAGTGGAATCGAAAGTGACCAGGGGCCAACAGGGAAGGGGCCGCCCTCACTCCTTATGGCTCTAAGGGGTTGGGTCTGTTCTCAGGTTCTGCGTGTGTCCCTGATTCCTGAAGCTACCTGGATGCTCCCTGAGAGCAGGAGCTGCTTCTGAAAGACCATGGATCCCCCCCACCCCACTCCCCATCAAGCAGCCAGCAGAGTGCCAGGGGCATAGCAGGTGCTCATTTAACAAAAATAGACAAGACCCGTTGCCAGAGACAGCTTTTGCTCAAGTGCTGGAGTTCTCAACCCAGCTGTCTATGAGAATAACCTTCCCAGGAGCATTTGAAAAATGCTCATGCCCAGGCTCCTCACTTTGTATTAATGATGCAGTTGGTCTGAGCTGGAGCCTGGCACCAGGCATTTTCAAAGCTGCTCATGGACACTGCATTGTTAAGGTTCACCACCAGCTCCGAATTGTGGCTGCACTATGTGGGCACATGCCCGGTCTTTCTGGGCCTGTTCAGTCATTTGCAAATAGCCTTGCAGAAATGTACATGGTGGGTCCAGTGTGTGCCTGGCACCCAGAGCCACTCTGGCTAATGCTGATTCAAAGTCGCAAGACGATTTTGCCCTGTTTTGGTGGATAGCTCCCCTGTGGAGATGACTGCTCAGGGAAACTGGCAGATTTCCAGAAGAGGGAAGAGGAGCAGCCATTGCTGATTGGATCATCCAAGCTGGGTTAGCGTCTGGCTTCGAGCACTGGTTTAAGGTGAGCATTAAGGTCCCGTGGGATGTTGAGAGTGTTTGAGGAGAAAGAACACATCTCCTTGGTCTAGATCTCCTTTCAATGAAAAATGCCATTTTGTCAGAAATTCCCCTCTTTTGGGATCAGGCAGTGCATTTGATGTTAACGAGCTCTCATTGAACACACGCTATGTGCTGCATTTGTGCAAGGGCTTGGGGACCCCCTAAATGAATTAGACAAATTAGACAGTCATGCCCTGTTGGAGCCCAGTGGCTTTTGGGTCCCCGTTCCCCAGGCACCTTAACCCAGGACAGCCACACTAGCAGGAGGAGGGCGGGGAGGGAGAGATTCACACGTGAGGATCAGGATTTGCGAACTTGCGGAAGAGTGTGGTTTGCGGGGCCCCTGGCAACAGTCCTGCTTGTCGAAACACTTTTTTCTTGGTGTAAACTGTTCCCAATCGATTGAGAAAGAAGATTTGGAACCAGGCCCATGACCTTCTGCAGGTGCTGAGCTGTAGGTCTATAGATTGTTGGAATGTTACATAAAACAAAAAGCCCCTAAGGCCATGCCTGGAAGAGCAAGCTCTCCCACAGGTCAGCCTCCTTCTCTGCATATTGCACAGCTTCAAGAGATCTTAAAAGAAAGGACTCTTTTAAGCAAGGGTCAGATGGGATTGGGATGACGCACAGGGAAGGTGTAGATGCGGTTGCAGTGAAGGAGAGAGTGAGGACCCAGAGACCTCCTGTCCTCAGCCACAGGTGGCTTCCTCTTGGAGTCCACAGCATGTGCATATTGGTGCAGGGCACTGCGGGATGGAGTGTTCATCCCAGCCACACGTTCCTGCTGGGCACCACCTCTCTCCTGACGATAGGTTGGAGCTGAGGGCACAGAAATGGCCAAGGCAGGGAGTCAAGCCAGACAGCCAGCATCTCCAGAGAATAGTGACAGATGTTGTCTGCCAGGTAAGTGCAGGAAGTGCAGAACCTGCCTTGAAGCTGGACGAGGGTCATACAAGGTGTCCCAGAGAGGGGACATCTGAGCTGCATCTTAAAGGAAGAGTAGCAGTTAGCTATGTGCAGAAGGGCAGTCCAGGCAGGAAGAACAGATGTGTCTAACCCAGGAGGAGAGCATGGGCCAGCGGGAAGGGCAGGAAGCTAGGACTGGGCAAGATAGAAAGATCTGCCTGCTGGTTTGATAGAGTGAGGGAAGTGTGGGGCCCTGTTTTAGCTCCGTAGCCAAAGACCTGAGTTCCAGCAAATCACACATGTGTGCATGTTGTTAGAGTGTGTGTGGTGCGTGTGTGTATGTGTGGGTGTGCATGCATAGGAGGAAAGGGAGCGGAGAGTTGTCAAATGAGGCAAGCCAAAACCCAGGCAGTGGGATGGTCATGTTAGCATCTGTTTTACAAGGGAGTTCCCGACGCATCCTCCAGGATCATGGTTCGCTCAGCCTCACATTGCTACAAAGTGGGAATTTTACCAATGATTTAAAGCCCTTCCAAGGGCTTCCAGGGTCTCTGATCTTCCTGGCATAGCTCTCTGGCATCTTCCTCACCCCCAGCACCCTATGCACCAGACCTTGGGAAGGTGTTTCCGGCCCATTTTTTTCTTGCTTTGAACCACAGCACGTGCTGTTGCCCCCACTGGAACACTCTCCCGCTTCTCTTCCTCCTTCAGATCTCAGCCCGCTGTCGCCTTCTCTCTGACCCTGGTCCCTTCCACTGCAGGCTGTTGCTCCGGTGTCTCTGGGCTGCTCCACCACGTGGTGCCTGCCCATCATGGCATCCACCACCAGGTGGCCTTTTTCTTGGTAAGTTCCTTACAAAGCAACATGCTTTGTGCACCTCTCAAATCTTCAACACCTAGCGTGGTACCTGGCCCCAGGTGGGCACTTGGTCGCATATTTGTTAAATTATTGAATCCTTGAGAAAGCCCAAGCTCAGCAAGGTTAAAAAAACGTTTCTGCCAGTGAGTAATAGAGTGGATATTCAAACCGGCCTTCTCGCTGGCCCCACTCCTGTGCACCTCTCACTGCACCTACCCACCTGCTGCCTTTCCTACCGATCTCAACGATTATGCAGTGAGCTGTGGAAGAAATGGGGCTCAGAGTCCGGTCTTCTAGAAGGTGGGCACTGGAGTGAGCCAGGCAGGGTGTCAGGGTGTCAGTGTTCAAGCTCAATGGGGAAACTGAGGTAGAACCCCAGAAATAGAGATTGGGCTGTTCCAGCTAAGTAGCGGCAGTGCACAGGCATGACCCTGTACCCACTGGAGACTTCATTTGTGGCATCAAGGCTCACTGCAGCCCCACCTCCTGGGACAAAGCACCTCCTGCCCTGTTTTGTGTGGAATAAAGCTGGGACTTCCATGAAGGGACTGGGCTGGGTGAGGGGCAAGCCAGAAGCTGCACCACACCCTCTGGAACTCTAGAGGCCATTCCAAGCCTCACTTGTTTTTCTTTTCGCAAAAGTGGAAGCAGAAAGCCTCTGCTCTGTTTGCCTTACTCTGCAAATAAAAATGGAATCAGGAGAGTAGTAGTTTGAATCCCACTTGCAAGCAGTTTGTAAGAAGTGCCCAGGTGCCCCAAAAGGTGGAAACATTTATTTTCCATTTGTAAAAAATAACACTTTGTTATGTTGATATCATGCGGCAGCAGAGTACTCTGCAGTTTGCAGCTTGGGAATGCAAAGGGCAGGGTCTCCTTGCAGGCCTGGCTCTGGGAAGCCTCCTCACCACAGCCCTCCATATTTTCCATGACACTCTCCAGCTCCCAGAGCGTGCTGCCTTGCCTGCTTAGCAGGCTCTAAAATCGTACTTTACAGTTTATGCCATGATTCGGGCTTGCGTTGGAATTTGTTCCTTCAAATAGCTCTGGCATATGTTTTTATTTCACAGTAAAACCGTTTTTAAAAGTTAACACATGCACATTGTCACAAATCAAATTGTATAGGCAAGTATATCATAAAAGCCCTGATACATCCTGAATGCTTGCTTTGTGCCAGGCACTGTTCTGGGGATGTTTTTCCTATAAACTCATTTAATCCTCGTCAGAACTTTGTCCCCACTTTGTGTGATCCAGGATTTGCATCCAGACAGTGCATTGATCGTCTTTGAGCCCCAGTCATGGACTTCCTGATGTGGAAGAGGAATCCACTGCCGTACTAGTGGCTCTTTCTCCTCCTCTCAGTTTCATCTGTGCTTGTTAAAGTGCTTCTCTCTGTTACTTTTCAATCTTTAGATACATTTTTCTCCAGCACCCTTGCACAGTGTGTCTGTCTCCTTATTTCATAAGGTGAGGTTGTTAATCCATATTGTTCCTTTTGTCTTTCCTCTCAAGCTTCGGTGCCACCCACCTGCTACTTTCAGGCTGACATTCCTTCAAGGTTGCTGAAGCTTGCATCCCATCCTGAATGCTCTAGCGTATGCATTGTCCATAGTTTGACTCTGAATGTTGAGAACAGTAGGTGACATTGCTATAATTATTGCTGCATCAGAAGTGGCTAATGCTGGGTTAACTCATGCACTGGGATGACCTTTTCTTCTCTGGAGATCAATGCCAGAACCCCTAGACCACTCAAAGCAGAATGGCCTGGAACAGACTTGAGTGGGTTCTCCCGCCTACACAATGTCATTTGCTTGGAAGCATGCCATATTGTAGTTTGCTTCATCTTTGGATCATCACTTTATTGCACAGGATATTTTTTCTGGGATTTCTGGTTGCCTTTCTTTTTTTCTTCTTGCTTTCTATGCCTTTTTCATACTCTCCCTTTTTTCATACCGCCTGTTCCATTGAGCCTTTCCCCATTGTTTTTCTGTTTTGTTTTGTTTCTTCTGGAGAGCTAACCCCTCTCAGGATGCTCTCCCCTCCTCTACCCAGGGTACTGCATCCTCTCCAGGGCTGCTGCCCCCAGGTCATCTTGGGCTCACCGTCATTGCTTTCCTGGGTTGGAGGCTCTGTTTGCTTAAGTTACCTCCTAAGAAAAGGTACATGGAAAGTAAAGTGTCTGAAAATGTCTGTATTTTATGCTCACACTGAAGGTCGATTTCCAGGTTCTAGATCATTTGCCTTCAGAATTTTGAAGACTTTAGAGTTTTCCTTGTTGCTGATGAGAAGTCCGATGCCTGGTTCTTTGTAGATTATTTATTCTCTATTTGTCTTGTCCAGAAGATTATAAGAATTCTTCTTCATTCATGGGGTTCATGTATTACATGAGGATAGTCTCCAGGGTGGGTCTTCATTTATTCATTGTTCTGGATGCCCAGTGGCCCCCTTTCATCTGAAAGCCCACGTCCTTCAGCTCTGGGAGATTCTAATGGAACTGATTGTTTTAAAACCTTCATTTGTTTTCCATTCTCCATATCTGAGCCTCTTACTTGTCAGCTCTAAAATCTTCCAGAAAGGGATTATATTCTTCTACATTTTTCTCATTTCTTTGCCTTTTTGCTCTTTATTCGAGATTTTGTTGACTTCATTTTCTGGTTTGTCATTTTGCTTTTTTTTAACTTTTAAAAAACATGTTGGCACTAACATTTTTAACCTCTGAGAGCTTTTTCTTGTCTCTGATCATTTCTTTTCCTGGAATCTATTTTCGTTTTATAGCTACTAGTATACTGAGTGCTGGAATAGTAATTAGAGCATTTTGTTTGTTTGTTTGCTTTAGTCCATGAATTATTTCTGTCTCCTCTAAGGTCAGTTTTTGATTGTTTTGACTCTGCTCTTCCTGCTGCTCACTTTCTCCTGTGCCTTTTCGTTTCGAGTTGAAAAAAGTCTAGCAGCTGTTGTGAGATTGTTCTTTGGCCAATGAGTAAACAGGCTGAGAAAGACTGGGTAACTGACCAGGATCACCCAGGTAGAAATGACTAGCTGGTAACCAAACCCCAGCCTTCTGATTTCTACTCAGCTTCCCTTCCCCCCAAAACTTGATTGATTTCAAGTAGATTTTAGGCCAAGACTTGTCCCACTTTGCTGATTGCATGGAGGCTGGCATCTCTTGGTAACTGGGGCTGTGGGAGAAGCTGACTTTCCCATTTCCCACCACTGGTCTGTGCCTCCTCTGTGGTATGCTGGAGGACCCAGGAGTTCTGTGGTTGTCAGGAGACCATGCAGCCACATCTGGGATGGTTGGTGGCTTCTCATTGGCCTGATGTCCTTTGTCGAAGGTGAGGCCCCAGAATCCACTCCCAGGTATCCCACAGCCCCCCACAAAAAGCTCAGACTTCTCCCTCTCAGAACAGGAGACCCTCAGCTCTGAGATGGGGACCACAGTGGAGCAGCACCCACTAGAAGGATTCCTGGGTCCCCGAGGCTTGGTTAGAAGTAAATCTTCACCTGCATGCAGAATAATTCAAGGGGGTGTTTGACTGCAGGCAGGCTGCCTGTCTTCATCCATTTGGGCTGCTATAACAAAATAGCATAAATTGAGTGGCTTCTAAACTACACACATTTATTTCTCACAGTTCTGGAAGCTGGGGATTCCAAGATCAAGTTGCCAGTAGATTGAGTGCCTGGAGAGGGCCCACTCGGTGGTTTGCAGATGACCGTCTTCATGCTGCCTCCTCACCTAGTGGAGGGAGGGGTGGAGAGCTGTCTTCTGGGGTCCCTTTTATAAGGACACTAATTCTATTCATGAGGGCTCCACCCTCATTACCTAATCTCCTTCCAAAGGCCCTGCTTCCTAATACTAGCAACTTGAGGGTGAAGATTTCAACATATGAATTTTGGGGGGACATATTTAGATCATAGCAGTGCAAAATTAGGAAAATGTGGAAGAAACCATTAAACCATAGATATTTTAACTCATGTCACCCTCATCTTCTGCTCCTGGAACTTTCTCCTATAGAATATTCTGACTTGCAGAGAGAAACAGTGAAATCATTCAAAGGAATTTCTCGGTCCTCCAGCTTTGGGATGCTCCTTAAATCACATGGAATCTGAGACTGAGCCATTTATTGGGAGCTTTTCTTTATTCCTTTTTTTCCCCCATTTATTCAGCAGATGTATATGAAATCTTCCTGTAAACATAAAACGATGCTTAAATACAAGAGGTGAGAAGGGTGCAGAGGCAATTAAGATGTGGCGTCTGCCCTCAAGGGCCCTGCAACTCAGAGGGAGAGACAAACATGTAAACAGGTGCACTGTGAGGCGAAGGGAAGGCTGCGCTGCTGGGAGGTACAGTTAGTGGGCTGCATGATTGCGGGGAAAGGAGCGATGAATTGTGCTCGGGGGAACTGAGGCAGACTGGAGCAGAGACGGCACCAGGGCTGGGCTGGACAGGAAGTTGAGTGTTATTAGATGGAACCAGTAAAGCAAGGCATGGCTTGAGCAAGAGCCAGGAGTCAGAGGCTCACAAGTGCCAGGCCCATCCCAGGGCTGCTGGCCCCAGTTGGTGGGAGTCCAGGGTAGCAAAGGACTTGGCCATGCGAAGGTTTGGGTTTCTTGTCTGGTGAGGGCACAGTGCCTCCTTCTTAGGTCTGTGCTGGGGAGTAAATGAGCCAGCCAGGGCAGGAGGTGGGCTCCATGCTGGTTGCATAGTAAGCCTTAATCCAGGTTAGCTGTCATTGCTTATGACAAGGTGGCCAACAGTTCTACATAGCCTTGGAGCGCATACTAGTTTGGAGAGCAAGTGGTGCCGGGTTTCAAAGAACTGTGGGCATTAAAAACAGTTCATGACAAAAGGGGAGAAGCAGATGCCCTTAGAAGGGATGCAGCCACCTTCTCCACATCGCCATTTTGTGGACAGGCAAACAGGCTCGTAAAGGACAGATGTAGCTCATTTATGTGCGGTGAGACAGGACTGAAGCCATGTGGTTTATAGGTGCCTTTTGCTTCTTTTTTTGTTTAGTTGGCTAGTTATTTTTGTGCCCTTTACCTATTTTTAGGAGCGTATTTTTCCCTGCTTTTTAGTTTCAGTACTCATATATAGGTTTCTCTCTTTTCTTTTCTAGCATCATGTTTGAGATGGGTAAGAGACAGTCCAGGCAACAGCTTCAGAAGGTGTGTGTTTAACGGACAAGCAAGCAAGTGCTGTTGTCTGGCTCGGTGTAAGAGCTTTCTGACCGGCAGAGCTGACAGGAGCCATTGCTTATGGACTGCTTTGGGAGGTGATTCATGCAGCCCCGGAAATGCTCGAGCAGAAATCTGGGCAACCATCTGGTGAAACTAGTAGAGAAGGGAATGAGGATTCAATGAGTGGTCAGACTGGAAAAGCCCGAACATTCTCTTCCTCCCCAGAGAGTTGGGGGCCAGGGATTCTGTTCATGTATTCAGACCCTCCTTCTGTAAGCATTTTGTGAGCCTCTCCTGGGTGCCAGGCCCCATATAGATGCCAGGAATAAGGAAGTTAAGGGACAGAGGCAGGAGATGTAAATTTTGCTAATGTGGGGCACAGGAGTTAATCTTGTGGATTTGGGCTCAGGACAGCCCCAAGGGTTGACAGCCCTGGCGCCTAGCAGGGCCATCGTGGACAAATTACTTAACCCCAGGAACCACAACTTCCTTTTCTGGAAAATGGGCAGATACTCATTCATTGAGCCTCTGCCATATGGCATTGTTCTTGGCACAGGGGCTGCAATGAAGGACACGATTGCTGTCAAGTGGCTTCTCTTCAAAGTAGGGAGGAGAAATGAAAAAATAACATACTTTGGAGTAGGGAATCCTACTTTCTTCAGTACTTTGATGAAAATGAAGTGTAGGGTACATAGCTGGAGAGTGATGGGAATAGGGGACCTTTATAGACAGGGTATCCTGGAAGACTTTTGCTGCAGGGACACGGTATCTGAGCAATCTGAATGCTGTGATGGAGCCAGCCAGTGCAAACGTTTGGGCAAAGTGTGTTCCAGTAGAGGAGACAGCCAGTGTAAAGGCCCTGGGGTAGTAATTTCAAAAAAGATCAAGGATGTTCACATCCTTTAGTTGTGATGGGATTGACAGAGATTGTGTAAAGATCACAATCCTTTAGTTGTGATGGGATTGACAGAGAGGGGAGAGTAGCGGGAATTTAGATAGCTAGGCAGCAGTAGTATCAAGTGTATTTTTCCAGTGTAGCACCTTATAGCAAAGTCATTTTTTTTCAAGTTTTTTTTTAACCCCTGTTAGTCTGGACAAGTATTGGATCAAAATTGTAAGCTTGACTTCTCCCTGCATGTCAGCCGCAGTTTCTTCAAAAAGTTATCATTCAGAAGGATGCTATTTCCAGGCTGGACGCAAACACAGTTGGAGGGATCCATATGCAGAGATGAGAATTTTTGTATCTCAGAAGATGGTAAAACCCACCCAGCTGTCTAGTCATGTTGGAAAAAAATCACATTAAAATGCAAATGCTCCTGAGTAAGTGAAATGTTGATGGGTGCAGCCCGCCAAAGAAAAATATTCATGAAATACAGGCTGTTGATCCACAGCTAGCATGGCCAAGCCATTTGCTCAGCAAGACCTGAGTGCTAGGAAATCGCACTTACGGGAGCTGTTCTGTGCCCTTAGCAAACGCTGATCTCCCCAGGGGCATTTGGAAATGGGGACGCTCAAGTGCTGGGTAATCATGGGGATGGGGTGGGGGAGCCTGCTTGGTAAAAGGACACTCTGGCCACATTGCTTTCATCGTCTATTTGAACCTCTCAGCATGGACCTTGGGGACAAAGACTAGAGACGGTGTCACCTCCACCTTCCCAAGAGGAAGGGGTCTGCATTTCCCTGCATCGTTTCAACTTGTATTTCTGAGCCTATCAGGGACTCTAAGCTGGATTTCCTTAAAAAGCATTCTCCTTTCATGGGTGGGTCTTTGAAAAAGCATTGAGAACATAGATTTTCTCAGTAAATATCTGGTATTTGCAACTTTGAGCCATAAAATGTAGGAGTGGAGAGAGAGAAAAAAATGTGTACCAGACATCATGATTGTTTCCCATTGAATCCATACAACAGTAATCAGGTGGGCATTGTTACTCCATTTTGTAGACAGGAAAGCTGAGGCTCAGAAACAATAGAGTGGGGCCATTTAGAGCATGGCCTTGGCGAACATGAGAGAATCCCAGCTCTCTCACACCCTGAGGAAAGGGGAGATGTTTCTCCCGCTCGCTGATTCCACTTTGCCCATTTATAAAATGTGATGATAGTGTCTTCCTCTCTTCTGTTGTTGCAAGCATTACAATTATTGATGGACATAAAGTGCTTAGAACATTACTTGGCCCCTGGGAAGCAGTCAGCAATGCTAGGGGCTCTGCTGACTGCTTTAAATGTGACCACAGTCACTCAGCAAGCAGAAAGAGATGATGACATCAGCACGATTGTCCCTGTGCAGAAAGACCAAGCTCAAAGCCCAGAGACCCCTTGAGATCACCAGCGACAAACATTCCACACAGATCACAAATGAGCATTGTTCTGCTCGCAGAGTTCTTGCTCAGTTACCTGTGGAATTATTCTCCCCACTTTACAGATGAAAAAAATTGACATTCATAAAAAGCCCTCTTTTCCTTAAGGATTGCAAACAAAAGCCTCTTTCAGCCAGTGTTCCCGTTACCTATTGCTGTGTTACAAGCCAGTCTAAAACTTAGTGGCTTGAAACAGAAGGTCGTTATTATCTCATGGGGTTCTGTGGGTTGACTGGACTCAGCTGGTGGTTCTCACTTTAGGTCTCCTGGGTACTGGGGGCAGATGGTGGCTGGGGCTGGAGCCACTGGGCTGGCAGCTGGGCTGGGCTGGCCGGCACAGCCAGGGCTGTAGGGCTTCTCTGCCCATTTCTCTCCACCTGGCTCGCTGGGGCTTCCTCACAGCAGGTGGCCTCAGGGGAGTTGGATACTGGCATGGCAGCCAGCTTCCCAAGAGGGAGTGTTCCAAGACACAGGAAATGGAAGCTGCTGGGCTGTAAGGCTGGCCCAGGAACTTGCATGAGCTCTCACCCAAGGGGAGGGAACATGGACCCCTGCCTCATGATTGGAAGGGAGTGAGTGGCCATCTATAATCCCCCATTGCTGGGCAAGGTGGATTTTGCAGATCCTGGAGGGCCAAGTATGTAATAGTTCACTCCCCTGTAACATGGGTTCTGCTAGGTCCCTCAGCATAAACCTGGAGCCTTGCTTGATCCTGCTGGAGACATAGGCCATCACTGGCTCCTGTGGGGGGGCCTGGGTGGTTGGCTTAGACTAGAACCTGCCTCACTGGGGATCTGGGAGAAGGTCACTCTGGCAGACAGACTGAACCCAGGCAAGCAGTCAACATGCAAGGCCTGTGGAGGATGTGCTGGTGATAGGCAGAGCACAGTGGGAGGGAGTGGGAGAGGAAAGGTGGGCCCTGGAATGATTCAGGAAGGCAGGCAGGCTGACCTTCAGGCCTCAGGAGCACAGCCAAGGCAACCAGGCAGGTGCAGGGCAGACCACTCTCTCTGGGTGAGGGATAGGTATGAAAGTCAACAGCCCAGGCCAGGGTCACCAAGCAGCTTCCTGGGACAAGAGCTCAGCCAGAGGCCGAGTCCTAAGAGGTGGGCCACACTGTGTACTGGTAAAGCCCAGGTGTCATCCCTGAAACACAGAAGCTGTGGTTCCCAGAACCCAGGGCCCTTGAGGCTCAGCCCCATAGAGGTGGGGAGCCCCTTCCAGGCCTCGGGCCCTGATTGCTTCTGAGAACCAAGGCAGGTAAGGTCTGCAGAGAAAAGTCCAGGAGGTGGAGGGGCTGCCCGGGCTGGGTACCCCGCAGTGCCTGAGTTTATATCCTCTTCCCCTCAGGACGCTAGCCCTGGCTGAGGACCTGCGCAGGATGTTCCAGAGATCCCTTCAGTTCTGGGGCTTTCTGTAACCAAAGACTGTCCCAGAGCCTGTCACCAAAAACCAGCTCATTCCACAAGGGCCCTGGAAGCTCTGGTTCACATCCAGCACTCCTTAGCCTCTGTTCCCTGCATCCTCTAGAGGCATTGATACTAGAGCAATCCTTAAGTGGGACTTAGCAAAGGCCCTGGTGGTTTGGTCTAAGTGTTTGTGAAATCATTCAATAAGGGACTTAAACATTACCTCTTTTTAAAATTTTGAACTAATGTAGAAGTCATTTCCGCACCCAGTGGCCCCTCCCGTGAACATCTTATATAACCTGAGTGTAATCAGCAAACCCAGGAAGTTACCAACGTGTAATACTATTAACTCAATTGCACACCGATTCAGATTGCACCAGTTTTCCCACAAATGTCCTTCCATCCAGGATCCCGTTCCAGATCCCACACTGCTCAGTTGCCATGTCTCCTTATTCCCCTCCAATCTGGGGCAGTTCTTCAGTCTTTCTTTGTCTTCCATGACCCTAACACTTCAGAAGAGCACTTGTCAGCTATTTTCTTAAATGTCCCTCAGTTTAAGTTTGTCTGAAGTTCTTTTTTGGACTGAGGTTGTGCACTTTTGGCAAGAATCCCACAGAGCTCATGTTGTGACCTTCTTGGTGCCCCCTATCGGGATTCATGGTGTGGACATCACTGGTGACATTGACCTCGATCACTGGGTTAAAGGGATGTCTGCCAGGCTTCACTGTAAAGTCACTGTCTTTTCTTCGTAATTGATAAATACCTTGGAGGAAATACTTTGAGACCATGTGAATCTCTTTCTCCTCAAACATGAGCTCATTACTTTTAGCATCCATCGGTAGATCTTGTCCACAATAATTATTACTGTGGTGATTGCCTACTGGTGATTTTTCTGTTTCTCTCTGTCTTTGTAGTCCTACATTTATTTATTGGAACTCTACTGTAAGAAAGAATTGGTCTTTCTCCCCCATTTATGTATGTGATTATTTACTTATGTCAATGAAAACTCATAGACATTTCTTTTATCCTGTGATTTATAATCTAATCCTGTGGTTATTTATTTTCTTGCTCAAATTATCCCAGCTTTGGCCATTAGAAGTTCCTTCAGGTTTGCTCTTGTGTTTTCAACCAGCCCCTCCACCCCCACCTGTTTTTGGAAGACTTCCTTAACTTTCTGGTATCACAAGATGTTCAAGGCTTATCTTGTATGTTCCCTTCCTCAACTCTGGAATCAACCACTTCTCCAAGGAGCCCTGGTTCATTTTATTGGAGAATGGCATAGAGAAACCAAGGTTTGGGTGCCAGGTATGTTTATTGCCACTGAGCTGTCATTGCTTTTAGGCCTTTTAGGGGACATAGCTGGGAATGATATGGACAGGCACTAATCCATGCGTGCACACTCATCTGTATTTCTGTGTCCACCTACCTGGATGTATATTAAAAACCACGTGTTTATACTGGTATCTCTAATTCTAGTCCAACATCACAAGGCTCATTTTAACTTTTTCCCTTTCCTGCAATTTTTTTCCCCAACAGCAAGAAACTCAGCTTTTGTTAGCTAAAATATATTTATTTAATTCTAGTATACACTAAAGTAGTTTCAGATTTATTAACCCATGTCCCCATGAGAAGCACATTTACCCAATTACTGAGTAGGTGATAGCGTTTGTGTACAGTCTTTTTGTCCTCAGCCTTATGCTATCCAATCAAAATACTGTTTTCCAAAATTACTTAGGTGAGTTCTTTTCTTTCCCACCCCCTTCAGTGTGGTAATACTATTTATTTGTAATAGTTTGGTCCACTTATTAATGTTTACATTCCATTTTGGGTTTCCTTCCGGTCTTGGTAGGTTTGAATTGCTTTGTGTGGACATATGAAAGACATGCTAAACATCGCAATGCTCCTGAGTCAGATCTATAGCAAAAGATACACTCAGAGAAGCATCACTTCCTCCCCATCCTCGCCATCGTGATCCTACCCCACTCTTCTCTGCATCCCTTTCTCTTCCACCACCTCTAGGGAACCAGTCTCTTTAATTTCTAGTTTACCCTTCCTGTATTTCTTTTGCATAAGTGAGCAGATGCATGCATGCATTTTTGTAGCCCCTTTCTTCCATGAGGTGTAGCATACTGTTGTATGTTACATGTCTGTTGCATGCACTTTCACACTTTGCTTTTCTAAGTTAACATTGGGTCCTTGAAATCTCTCCAAGTCCATTCATAGGGTCCTTCCTCCTTCCTTTTTGCCACCACATCGTACTCTGTGTGGACATGCCATGGTTTATTCAGCCCTTCTCCTATATCTGAGCATTTAGGTTGCTTTTCGTATTTTTGCATTTACAAATGAGGCTGCAGTGGATGAACTTGCGTGTGTGTTTTCATAGCATTGGAGCTTATCTTCAGGGTAGAGTCCAAGAAATGGAGTTGCACAGTTGCAAGGGAAATGTATATGTGGTTTTGTTAAGTGTTGCCAATTTTGTTTCCAGAAAGCTTTGCCTTCAAGGGTTGGAAAATAGTTATTTCTTGTTGGAAGTCAACGGTAAGCATAAGGGGCAAGGTGGGGGTATTGCTACTCTTCTTATGGGATCTTTAGAATGTTGCTTTTCTGGCCAGAAATCTCTGTGGCCAGTGGTGCCTTTGCCCAAGTTCTTGTCCGGCATCCAGGAAGAATGAGGTATGCAGACAAGTGGAGGGTGAGCAAGATGAAGAGGTGCTTTACTGAGTGTTACAACAGCTCAGAGGAGATCTGCAATGGGTAGCTCCTCTCTGTAGGCAGGTCATCCCATTGAGCGTACAGCTCTCAGCAGAGAAGAGACCCTGGAGTGAGTGGCTTCTTTATGCCAGCAGGTCATCCCACCATTTCTGCAGCTCTCAGCAGAGAGGAGGCCCTGAAGAGGGTGACTCCTCTTTGCAGCTGAGTCTCAACATCTGTGCAGATCTCTGAAGCCCTCAGCAGAGAGGATAGATCCTCTCTGCAGCTGGTCCTCCTGTGGTCTCTCTGTCCTCTCTGACCTCTGCCCTGCTCTGGCTGAACCTGGGGCTTTTATGGACCTCAGAGGAGAGGAAGTGTGTGTCAGTTGGTCCATGGGCAGCCATGGGTGGGCCTGGAAAAGGCACCACAAGTCCCCAGTTTGATCTGCAGGACTGGCAGTCTGGCCCCCAGCCTTCAGGCCCTCCCTGGCCTTAAGGTGGAGCATTCCTAGGGACCTGCCTGCTTCTGCTCAGGAATCTGTCTGCCTCCTGATGCTGTTCATGGCACCTGGGCTTGGCCCCAGTTTTGCTCTGAGATCAGAGCAGATGCCAACAGCAGGGAGAAGTCAGATAGTGGGAAGAGGCACTTCCGAAGCTATGAGGGCAGGGATGACTTCCCAGGTCCCCAAGAGTGCAGGGAGGCCTGAGTCTGCAGCCATGGTTTGGGCAGCTGCAGCTGCACCCAGTGGGGTGGGGCTCCTGCCTACTCAGCCGCTCCAGACGACCTGCCACTGCCATCACTCTGATGGAGGCTCTTTCTCACCAGGCAACGATCTGTCAGGCAAAGTGCGTCCTCCCATCTGTCCTCTTAGCATCAAGGAAAGGCAGATGCTGGTCTCTCATGACAACTTACTGAGGACTCTCATATACGCTGCCTCGTTTTGTCCTCTAACAACATCATGAAGGATCTGAGCTTACTCTACTGTTGGCTCCATTTTAAAGGCAAGGAAACTGAGGCTAAGAGAAGTTAAGAGATTTTCCCTTGGTCACAGAGTTAGTTGGGATCACAAGAGTCTCAAAATCAGTTTTCTCAGATTATGGCCTTCTTCCCCTCTCCATGTACACTATTGGAACCATAAGAGGCCTTGGCTATCACCCAGTTTGAGCCCATCATGAATCCATTACAGATGAGGACCAGAGAGGGAAGTTGATGTAGTTTAGGTGACACAGCTCAGTGAGGGCCATACCTGGAACCCAAATCCCTGGGTCCTTCCCCTACTCCCTGTTAGTCCTGGGAATTGGAGGTAGAGTAGCCCTGGCAAGTGGGGTCCATGGCCCAGTGGAAGTGGCAGGTAGGCGGGGGGTGACGTTGCTGGGCTGGAGGTCTGCACCACAGGCCTGCGTCTCATCTCTGCTGTTGAAGCATCCTTTCCTCAGAGATACCTGATGACTTGGGTTCCTCAGGGAAGTCTGGACTAACAGAATTAACTTTTCCCACAAGTGAAAAACGTGTTCTCGTTGAGCAAAGGAAATTTTGATTAATTTACCCTTAAGTGTCAGTACAGGGAGCTGTTTTTTCTCTTTAGATCAGTGTTTAAACTTTTCTCACTCAACACACAGTAAACTAATCCTCCTTTCCATCAGACTTCAGGGGGAGAAAGAAAATAAACAAGGTTATCCTTGCTGCCATCTCTTTTTTTTTTTTTTTTTTTGAGGTGGAGTCTCACTTTGTCACCCAGGCTGGGCTGCAGTGGCACGATCTCGGCTCACTACAACCTCCTCCTCCCGGGTTCAAGCGATTTTCCTGCCTCAGCCTCCCGAGTAGCTGGGACTTCGGGCACCCACCACCATGCCTGGCTAATTTTTTGTATTTTTAGTAGAGACGGGGTTTCACCGTGTTAACCAGGATGGTCTCGATCTCCTGACCTCGTGATCCACCCGCCTCAGCCCCGCAAAGTGCTGGGATTACAGGCGTGAGCCACCGTGCCCGGCCGCTGCCATCTCTTTATAGGGAAATCCAGCTAGGTGGGCTGGGCTAGGCTGTCCCTACCCCCCATCTCAGCTGCCTCTCAGAGTGAGCCAATGCATGCACTCACTCTCAGTACTGAACACTGCGGCTGCCCCAGGCCAGGCTCAGGGGCCAGAGGACATGGAGGTGAATCTGACCCACCCAGGCCTGTCCTTCCAAAGGAGCTCAGTTTAGTGGGGAAAGACCCAAATCAAGAGATGGTGACAGGATAGGGCAGGAGTTGCCCAGACATCCGAAGACGGGGTCCTGGGAAATGCTACCAATGGAATCGAGCTTCAAAGGGCCAGCAGTAGTTCTTCAAGCCAGGAAGAGCATGTGAACAAATGCACAGGGGTTAGAGCCCCAGCAGGCGGTGGTGGGACTGGAATGTGGGGGGCATTTGAGGGCAGGCAGGAGATGGGCAGCACCTGGGAGTCATGTTGGCTGCGTGATTTAAATCGCAACTCGGTGTATGATCATTTCTTTACTTTTTTCACTGCCGTATCCCTAGTACCTACAAACTTCCTGGAGTGTTGCAGAGCTTCACTAATTATTTAAGTCTCAATTCCTTATCTCTAAAATGCAGATAATGCTTATTTTTGTCTGTGCTGTCGCTGTGTCTCTAGAATAGGGTCTTGGCTGGGCACGGTGGCTCACGCCTGTAATCCCAACATTTGGTGGAGGTGGGCAGATCACTTGAGCCCAAGAGTTTGAGACCAGCCTGGGCAGCAGAGTGAGACCTCGTCTGTAAAAAACAAAATAGAATGGGGCCAGCGTAGATTAAATACTAAATAAATATTTGTTGAGTGGGTGAATGGATGGAGGAACTGTGTATTTATTAATTAGTAGCTATGACGTTTATCATCATGTGTGGCTGGATAGTAGCTACTGGCCCCATCATGACAGATATCAAGTACAAAGCCAGATCCAGCAACATCTTGGCAATTAGGGAGGGGAAGCACTGTAATTAATACTAATCATTGTGAACCTTCGTTGATCAGACTAAATGCTTTACAGATATTTTATCTCTTCACTGGTTCTTTGGAACTCCTGGGAGTAATTCCTATCACCAGGGATGGCCTGGCTGCCGTCTCCCTTGAGTGGCTTGTCTGATGACAGCCAGGCCATTCTGTGGCTGCCTGTGCTGGGCATGGGCATGTGTGGAGGAGCTTGTCCTTTGGAAAACTCTTGCCCAGCCCCTGACGAAGACCTTGCCTGGGTTCAGACTTTGTCACTCAGAGGCTCCCAGCTCATTTCCTGAAAGCCTGGAAGGCAGCTGTGGAATGTTGGCAGAGCTGGCGGCCACCCTGTCTAGACATTTAGTCCTGGAGAGCCGGTTACCCATTTTACTTACTGTGGTTTGATTTTAGGAGCCAAGTGAGTTTCAAAAATTTAATATAAAGTATCTAATGCATACAAGAGTATACATAGTGTATATGTGTGATTGAAAAAATAAACAGGAATTGAACATCCATGTACCTATTGCATCTAATGAATAAATTCCACAGGTGCCTTGCATGACTTACAAGGGCCTCTGTTCTAGTCCCCGCTTCCCCCTCCAGCCTCAGCTCTTAGGACAGCCCCCTCACCATGCTGCTGCGCCAGCCCTACTCGATGTAGCATTCCGCACTTCCACATTTTCTTCACATCTGCCAGTCCCCTGCCTCGTTGCCCTTCTCCCACCATCAGCTGAGATGGTCCTACTGGCCTTTGATGTCTCAGCTCAGACCTCCTATCTTGTGGAGACAGTTCACTGCGTGCCCTCTCTGCAGTGCCCTGGGCCCTCATCACCATAGTGATCAATTTGTGTTTTCCGTTCACTGGGCCATGAGCTCGTTGAGGGCCAGGGCCCTTGTCTTCCATTTGTACATGCCCGTTGTTATGGGCAGCTGTGTTTTAGGTGACCACTGAGGTCTCTTCTTGGAAGGGAGAAGTTGATGCTTCCTCTGTGTTCTGGCCTCATCTGCTAGATTTGTCAGACAACGATGCTAAATTTCCAGGCAGGAGCTTGCCATCGTAGATAGGATCAGCGTGAACCTTCCCCGCTCCAAAATATGGAAATGTTCTCAAGACGGAGAAACACTCAGAATTACAGTTGAGCCTGAGCCACTCCATTGAAAGCAGCCAGCAAGTAATGGAAAGAATTTGGATAGAATAATCCCTGTCTTCCTTTTCCGGAATGTCTGGTACCTTTTAGCACATCAGGGAGCAAAGATTTAGTTCTGAGACTGGCATTATTTTGACAAACAAGTTGGTACTAGAATTAAATGACCCAAAACCCAACTCCCATTCAGCCTAAACATCTCTGCTGTACTATAGAAAGGCTGTCAGAACCTCCTTCATTTGTCATTTTTCACATACAGCAATGGCCCCTTTTGGTTTTCAAATTCCAGCCTCTCAGGCAGAGAGATACTGACATGAAGATTTCTCCTTGCATACCGGCGTTGTTCTTGTCACTTGGCTGGTGAGGTTCTTTGAGGATTGTTGGAAAACAGAAGCACTCGTAGTCTTCGTAGTTTTATTTATTTATATATTGATTGCTTTGAACATGATAAAAGTAAATTAACATAATCAACTATGTTATAGAACATTTCTGAATTTTTCCCCCAGCATGTTTTTCCTAAACAAGTAAGGTTTTAAAAATCTTACTTGCACTATATTGTACTTTGTATTTTTACTTTAGTCCCCATAATCATGTTGAATTTATGTGATCATTGATTTTATTTAATATGGAAAAGCAAATTTCTTCTTAAATTTACATTACCTAATATTCTCACTGGCTACGTTCTGCATTCGACACTGCCTTTTATTGTAATATTGTCTAAATAGATGCAGAAAAATGGAATTTTCTCTATTAAAGTATTTTACATTTGAAATATAAAAGAACTAGATAACAGTTTTCTATTCAAATGTGTTTATTTTAACATTGTTTGGTTAAAAAAGATAGATGAAGTTCCAGTCAACCACTTTTTCCCCCTGAAATTTCAAGATAATGCTGTATTAACTTTTCTAGATCTAACACTAGCTTATCCTTCCCTCTTACAAAATTGTTTGAACTTACTGAGAAAATATTCCCATCATTAACAAAAATAAACTATTTAATAGAAAAAAATTATTTGCAGTCATAAGTAGAACTGAATTTTAATATCCTGTGCTTTTCCCCTTATCACATCGTGGGCATCTTCCTTTTTTTCTTTTTTTTTCTTTTTTTGAGAGGGAGTCTCGCTCTGTCGCCCAGGCTGGAGTGCAGTGGTGCGATCTCAGCTCACTGCAGGCTCCATCTCCCAGGTTGACGCCATTCTCCTGCCTCAGCCTCCCGAGTAGCTGGGACTACAGGCGCCTGCCGCCACACCTGGCTAATTCTCTTGTATTTTTAGTAGAGATGGGGTTTCACCCTGTTAGCCAGGACGGTCTCCATCTCCTGACCTCGTGATCCGCCCGCCTCGGCCTCCCAAAGTGCTGGGATTACAGGCATGAGCCACCGCGCCTAGCCGGGCATCTTTTTTTTTTTACCTCATGGTCTTTGTCACCATCATTTTCTTTCCTTTTTTTTTTTTTTTAAATTCTACTCTAAGTTCTGGGATACACGTGCAGAACCTGCAGGTTTGTTAAATAGGTATACATGTACCATGGTGGTTTGCTGCACCCATCAACCCATCATCATCTAGGTTTTAAGCCCCGCATGCATTGGGTATTTGTCTTAATGCTCTCCCTCCCCTTGTCCCCCACTCCCCGACAGGCTCCGGTGTGTGATGTTCCCCTCCCTGTGTCCATGTGTTCTCATTGTTCAACTCCCACTTATGAGTGAGAACATGCGGCGTTTGGTTTTCTGTTCCTGTGTTAGTTTGCTGAGAATGGTCACCATCATTTTCAGCTGCCAGGTAATGCATCAGTGAGTTGTAATCACACGAATTTTTCATTCCGCAATTTACTATTGATCACTGAGTGGCTTGGCAAGGGACAAACTCCATTTCTTAGAATTGGCTCTGAGAAATTGGTCTAGAGAAGTCATAAAGAGGAAACCTCACCAGCAAATAGAGGCTGCAGAAAGTGCCAGGACCCAGCATCTTGGATATCGCTCAGCCATGGTCTGTCCAGCAGGGTCACTAACCTAGAGACCTCTAAGTCCTAGATGGACTGGACTTTTTTTTTTTGAGACAGAGTCTCACTCTGTCACTAGGCTGGAGTGCAGTGGCACGATCTCAGCTCCCTGCAACCTCCGCCTCCCAGGTTCAAGCGATTCTCCTGCCTCAGCCTCCCGAGTAGCTGGGACTACAGGTGCCAGCCACCACACCCAGCTAATTTTTGTATTTATAGTAGAGACGGGGTTTCACCATGTTGGTCAGGATGATCTCGATCACTTGACCTTGTGATCTGCCCGCCTTGGCCTCCCAAAGTGCTGGGATTACTGGCGTGAGCCACCGTGCCCAGCCCCTAGGTGGACTTTATAGCAACCTTGGATAAATATGGGCCAGAGGAGAAGGCAAACAGTAACCAATTGACAGCCTTGGAAGAGTGCTAATGAACTAGTTGGTATTAAGCTGGAAACCTAGTCAAAAACTGGAAGGTGAGTAACTGTATGGAGAGGGTGCACATCCAGTGTGTGGATGATCTGAAGCTGGGAGGAGAGTGACTGTGTAGGAAGACAATCATCTAGAAGCCAAGGCAAACTCAACAGATTGGCACAGTGGGCAGAGGTCAGCCCCCTGGACTGTAATGTAAATACTAAGTCCTATTCTTGGGTTAAAAATGCTCACCTTCCACAAACAGGGAGCAATGTGATTTTGTAGCATCGTAAGTCATGGCATACTGTGGTGACCCCAAAGTGAAGTGGTTCTTATTAGCATCCATGGATGTGCCACATCCAGGAGGGAGAGGACAAACCTGCCCAGTTTGGGCTGAAAATCTTTCCCTTATGTTTTCCTTATGCATGCTGTGATTTTAGGGTGGGCCTTCCCAGGAGAAGGGATCATGATTAGGAGTGGCTATGTGGACAAGTAGGGAACAGAAGGTGCTTAGCTGGACAAAAGGGCTTGTGAAGTCATGAGAATGAGCCTCTGTCATCATTGTCATCATCATCAATCATCATCATCACCACTTAATCATAGTGGCTGCCATTCATCAAGCTAGGAGACTTAGAACTAATGTCTTTAATCCTACAAGCTACTGTTATCCCTACTTTATAGGTGAGGAAACTGAAGCTCAGAGAGATGAAGCAGCTTGCCCCAGTCACATAGCTGATAAACCACTGAGACAAAATTGGATCCCAGCTATATCTGAAGCCAGAGTTGTCATTCCTTCCGTATCAATTTTTCAAAAACCGTGGTGCTCCCTTGCAGAGGATAACAAGGACTTGCTTTTGTTTAGTTCCTGGTTATAAAAGTAGTTCCAGTGGGTGCAAGCTAAGCGAGAATATTTTGTTTTAAAGCAAAGGGCTTTCCTGACTGAGCTGTCGGCAGGTAGAATATACTTCCTGAGAGGTGGTAAATTCCAGAATGATAGGAAGTCTTCAAGAGGAGGCTTGGTTAGCACTGTGTGTTCTAGAGGGAGCTCAAAGAAGCCAACAAAATAACCTTGAATACCCCTTCTGTACAAGTAAAAGCTCTGGTTGCATGCAACAGATACTGGTAAGAAATGGGTTCCAACTGCCTTAAGCAAAAACACTGTTTTTTGCAGGGATATGGGGTAGTTCATGGGATAGAAGGAAATGGTGAGCTGAGCTTTAAAAAGGGCAAAAGTCAGCCTGGCTGCAGGCATCCAGGCGGCAGCAGCTAATGGAACCTCATTTCAGCACCGTGGCTAGGATGAGTCAGTGTTTACAGTTGACCCACCTGCTATCACCCTACCTAAGACTAAGCTCCAGAGACAGAGCATCTTATAGGCTTAGCCAGGATCCAGACCCATCCCCATGGCAGCTTGATTGACAGCCTCCATTAGGAAGGGTAATTTTCCAGAGGAAAATCGAGACCAAAGAAAGACCATGAATGCTGGTTAGGCCCAGTGAGCCATGACCTCCGTGCCTTCTAGCCCTGCCCGGCTGGGATTCCACACTGAACCCTGAGTCCCCCTGCAGGGCTCTCCCTAGCTGCTCTGCAGCCTCTAGGCCCAGGCCACACACGGCGCTGTGTCACTGTATACTCGTGGTTTATTTTCCAAGACACGCATCCTAATTAAGCAAATGATTAAAAACTCTCAAGTGTGCTCATCGGAAGCAGCCCAACAGAGGACTGGCTTGCTGGGAACTGTGCTTGAAAGTGAGTTGCCCATCGCCTTAGCACAGTAGGGGTGCTGATGAGGAGCACTCTGTCTTTCCAGAAAAGTGGCTCCCTTCCTGGTTACCATGCGGGGCTTCTTTTGGCATTCAGCACAGCACTTAATATACCCAGTCTTTAAAACCCTGTGTTTTTTAAAAAAAATTGTTTTTGCTAATTAATTTGTTTTAATATCAGTATTGTTTTATTGTTAATTATGCAGTTAACTAGTAAGTATTAAATCACCAATTAACTTATTAAGTATGGAATAGATATGAGAAGCATATTTAGAATGTAAGTATAAAGAGCAAGCGCTCATGTACCCACCACCAGCTTGAGAAATATTACCAGTGGCTTAGAGAGTCCTGAGCATCCTCTCCATCCTGTCCACTTAGTGGGAACCACTACGTCGGCTTTGGGATTTATTGTTCTCTTGTTTTTCTTTGTGTTTTTATCACACTTGTATCTCCATATAAAATATTGTTAGAATCTCCCTGTTTCTGAACTTCCCACATAAGTGGGAACATCCTTTCTGTGGTCTTTTGCAACGCGCTTTTGCACTCGATATTGTATTTGCAATTCATCCATGCGATGGCACGTTCCAGCATTTCATTTTTTCCTCGACGCTGTGTGTTTTTCCAGCATGAGAACTCACAACGGTAGATCCAGGCCACCGCTGATGGCCATTGATGCTGGGTCCAGCATTTTGCTTATGCTGACATTGCTGTCTTTAAATGCTCTTATCCATGTACCCTGCTGCTCATTTGCAGGTGTACTCGGTGTGTATCTCAAGGTGGCATGGCTGGGTCACTGAGGTGTGAGTATGTTTGGCTTTATAAGATAATGCCATCCTGTTTTCCAAAGTGACAGTATCCACTGATACTCCTGCCATAGGTATCTGAGAGTCCCTGCTACCGTACAGACTCTGTCAGTGTTCAGTGGTCTTGTCAGATGTTTTAGTTCTTGCCAATCTGATGGCTGTTTGATGGTAGCTCACTGTGTTTCAATGGGCATTTCTCTGGTACTGAGGTTTAGCTTCTTTACGGCTGTTTACTCTTTTGTAAACCATGCCTGGACATGGTTTTGCCCAGTTTTCTACTGGATATTTATCATTTTCCTACTCATTTGAGACTAGAATGATGTATAGTGTATATCCCAGTTTGTGGCTTAACTTTTCACTTTTGATGATATTTTATTTTTTTGATAAACAGATATTGAATTTAAGGTCATCGAATTTCATAATTTTCCTTATAGTTTGAGCTTTTATGTCTTGTTAAGATATCCTTCTCTACCCCAAGGTCATACAGATATTCCTTTATATTGCCTTATAAAAGTTTCGAAGTGTTCTTTTTCTATTCTTATCTATAATTCATCTGGAACTGATGAACTACTGATTTGATTTCATTTATTTTTTCATACAGATACTCAGGTATTCCAACACTGCTCATCAAAGACCCGTTTACCCCTGTGGATCAGCAGTGTCCATGTGTGTGTAACTTTGTTTTTGTTTCTTTGGCCTATTTGTCTAAGGCTTGTATAAGCCTTAGACCTAAGACATATTGATGCCCTATGAGGCAGATCTCCCTACCTTATTCTTTAGTAAACATCTTGGCTGTTATTATCCATTTGCTCTTTGATATACATTTTAGAACCTACTTGTCAAATATCACCAAAAACCCCATAGACATTTTGACTGGAACTGCAAAAAACCTATAGAACACTTTAGGAAAAACTGATGTTTTTAGGATATTGAATCTTGCTTATTGAATCTAGCATTCCGTGAAGATGGTATGTCTTCTTTTTCATGTTGGTCTGCTTTTATGTCTTTCAGTAAAGTTTTACAGTATTCTTCATCAAAATTTCACACATCTTTATTAGATTTATTTCTGGGCACTTTATATTTCAGATACTATCACAAATACTGTTTTTTAAAAATTAACATCTTGATTGAGATATAATTCACAAACCACAGAATTCATCTATTTGAAGTGTACAGTTTCATGGCTTTAGTATATTTAGTGTATTTAGGGTTGTGCAACTGTCACTAAAAATCTAAGTTTAGAATATTGTTGTTACTCCAAAAAGAAATGCCTTTACTGTTATCAGCCAATCCCCACTTCCCCCTCCACCCAGCCCCTGGCAGGAAGAAATGAGTAAATGATTGAGTGGATAAATGAATGTATAACCTTTAGCAAGCTTTATGTCAGACATTGACTGGCCCCAGCCTTTGCTTGTTGTTTATTTTTAATTTTTTAAATTTTATTTTTTAAGTTTTAATTTTTGTGGCTACATAGTGGGTGTATATATTTATGGGGTACTTGAGATGTTTTGATACAGGCACACAGTGTGAAATAACACATCATGAAGAATGGGGTATCCATCCCCTCAAGCATCTATCCACTGAGTTGCAAACATTCCCGTTACACTCTCTAATCCATTTTAAAATGTGCTGTTATTATTATACTTGTTGCTTATTGTTTCTGTTTTCCTTTCCCATCTCTGTTATTGTTCTGGTTTCTAGGCTAATCTCCTGGATTCTATGAGTCTCCTCCATCACTGTTCATCCTCCAGACCCTGGCCAGACAACTTTTTCCAAAGAAAACAATATTCTAACTTCTCCATTTAAGGAAGCCCTCAGTAACTCCCCTGGGAATCAAGCCACACTCCCAACGTGTTGTCTACAGGGGAATTGAAGTTTCCAAGTTGATGACTTAAGCAACTTGGAAACAAACACCCGAGGTGCAACTCTTCTGTGAGTCGGAGAAGGTCTCTTCTAGGTCTTTGTTTGCTTCAGAGTCCTCGGAAAGTAAACACAGCTGACCTGATTATTCCCCTCCACTTCCTCCTGAGTCAGAGTTATCTCGAGTTAATTCAGGGAAGAGGCTAAATTAAGCCTTGAAACCAAGCAGCCTCCATGACAGGCGCTTTGTTTTGCTTGAGTGACTGTGATGATGGGTCTTTGGTTATAAAGGCAGCACTAATTGTATCTTCTTATACCAATCCTGGCCATCTATTCCCTGGCCTGTAGAGACTGGGAGATGCCAGGTTGCCCCAGAGCACCCACTCATTCATTCAGCACAATTTTCTTAAGTGCCTGCTCCATGCCCGGCATCACGCTTGGAGGTGGGGATTCAAAAGTCCTTCCTCCAAGGGCTTGCAGTCTTTCTAAGACGACGGATGATAAACCAGAGACTCCATTAGAGACATGACTAGTGCTTGGATAGACATCTGTCCAGGGCAGTAAAGGGAGTGGATTTCTAAGATTCTTACAACAGACTTCTCATGACTTTGTGCAAAGTTTGAGCTGTGGAGTCACCAAAATAAAAAGGGGGGATCCACTAATACCTACAAACTAGCAAACAGACACAACCACTTTGAAAAGCTGTTTAGCAGTATCCACTAATGTCAAACGTATGCGTACCCTGTGCCCGGCAGCTCCTCTTCTAGGTATGTATGTAGTAATAGGAAATGCACGTGTGAATTTTACATTAAAAGAGAAAACTGTAAATAAAAACTGTAGTTAAAACATGCAGCATGCTGCAGTGTTTACGGGGAAATGAAATAGTATCTGCAGTTTAGGCCAAGCATGGTGGCTCACACTTATGATCCCAGCACTTAGGGAAGCTGAGGCAGGAGGATTGCTTGAGCCCAGGAGTTCAAGACCAGCCTAGCAACATAGTGGGACCCAGTCTCTACAAAAAGAAATGTAAAAATTTTAGCTGGGCGTGGTGGTGCACGCTGGTGGTACCAACTGCTTGGGAGGCTGAGGCAGGAGGATCGCTTGAGCCCAGGAGGTCAAGGCTGCAGTGAGCCGTGATCACCCCACTGTACTCCAGCCTGGGCAAAAGAACAAGAGCCTGTCTCAAAATAATAATAATAATAGTAATAATGATATATGTAGTTTAAAATGCACCCAAAAAAGAAGATAGATGAATAAGGAATGGGCAGATATGTGACAAAGCAAGTATGGGAACATGTTAGTAATGGATTTGAGATGGTGAGTTTATGGGTGCTCACTGTAAAATTCCTTCAAATTTGCTGTATGTTAAAAAACTTAATATGAAATATTGGGAAAGATGTATGTATATGCTTGCCCGAATATATATACAAGAATGTTCATAGCAGCATTATTCATAATAGCCCCAAACTTGAAGCAGTGAAAATGCCCATCAGCCATAGAATAGAGACATAAATTTTGGGTGTAGTGATCCAGTGGAATACTGTTCACATATAAGAGTGAACGAGCCACAGCTATACACAACGACGTGAGCAAATCTCACACACAGTGTTGTGAGTAAGAAATCAGACTCAAAAGAGGACATACTGTATGATTCCATTTACGCAGAATTCAAAACCAGGCAAAGCTCACCAATGGTGCTAGAAGCCACAATAATGGTTTTCAGGAGGTAGGGATAGTGATTGGATGGGGCACTGTGGGAGGCCCCTGGGTGCTGGAAGGCTCTGTTTCTTGATCTCGGTGCTAAACAGATATGAAAATGTATCAAGCTGTACATTTAAACTTTGTGCACTTTCCTGTATGTTTACTATACATCATTAAAAGTATACGAGGGGAGAAAAAGCAGGAAAACCGAACGAATCCAACTAGAAGCTTTCCCTAGCTGAGCTGTGGGAGTAGGAACCCACTGTAGGCCTATCTAGTAAACCGAAGTTGTGAAGAATATGAAACTTGCCTTTAGGGTGTTCATTTGTTCACTTATGCACAGTTTCATGTTGCATCAGTTCCTCCATTCTTCACTGATGTGCTTGCCTCTCGTTCATACGGATGTTCATTCACATGTCCTGTCCTCCGGATCCAGAGCCGCTCTGTAAGGTGCGAGCGACCCAGCCCTTTCAGGGGCTCATGTGCACAGGGGGAGGGCATGCAGACGTTTCATTTCCCATCTCATTTCACATTCCCACATTCCTGGATTCCCGTTTGTGATCCTTCCTGGATATGTGCCCTAAGATAGCATTCGAATGAGAGAAACAGAACTGGTAAGATATATATAGGTGTATATAAAGAGATTTATTATACAGAGTTGACTCGTGATTTTGGAGACCAGCAAGTCCTGAGATCCGCAGGATGAGTCAGCAAGCGGGAGACCCAGGATGGCCAGTGGTGTGGTTCCATCTGAAGCCCTGCAGGCTCAAGGCCCAGGAAGAGCTACCTGAAAATCAACAGTTCGAGTCCAAAGGCAGGAAAAAGCCATTGTCCCAGCTTGAAGGCAGGCAGGCAGGAGGAATTTGGGGGAATGTCAGCCTTTTTGTTTCATTCGGGCCTTCAGCTGATTGGTCAGTCACCACCCACATTTAGGACAGTCTGATTTCTTCAGTCTCCCAATTCAAATGTTAATCTCATCCTGACACACACACCCAGAATAACGCATGACCAGCTATCTGGGCGTGCATGACCCAGTCAAGCTGACACATAAATTTAACCATCATCAAACCCTGAAGCGTGAAAAGCCTCCTGGCTCTAAAGGCACAGCCCTCCAGTGGAAGAAATGTAGCTATGGGGCTGGCCTGGTGCACATCACATCACAAGTGGACGGGCTGCCACCACCACACACACTGATCCTATTTTACCTGTGGTTTGGACCAGCAATTGGTAGAAAAGAAGGCTTTGGCTGCCCAGTCTGCCTCCTGGATGGCCATGTTTTCTGTCTTCGAAAATAAAAAGTTATTTTGATTATTGCAATACATACCATGCATACAAAAAGAGTAGCTGGAAGATATGCCTGCAGTTTAAAGGAACAGTTTAAAGCTTAACAGATGGCAGATGACTAGTATCTGAAGGCCACTGGTGCCCCTCCCTCATGGCAGCCTGCTCCACTCTTGCCTGGAGAAAGCCACTCTCCTGAGTTTTGCGCTAGTCACTTTGGTGCTAATCATTCCATTACTTTTTATGAAAATCAAATAGCACATGTCTAAAACAATAGATGACTTGGTTTTGCCTGTTTCGAGCCTTTATAAATCAAATTGTACTGCACAAATTTGTCTGCCATGTGCTCTTTCCCTCCGCTAAGTGTCTGGGCTTTGTTCTTCCTGTTGCCTGTAGTTCTAATTCATTCATTTCACCATCATATAATATTCCATTGTAGAGACTGACCACCACATGTTCATCTGCTCTCCTCTCGGTGCATATCTGGGTAACTTCCAGTTCTCTGCTATGGCAGATGAAGCCCATGGGAGCAGTCCTGTGTCCATGCCTCCAGGTGCACAGAAGTGAGGCCTTCTCTAGGGTATAACCTGGCAGAGCAGGTGCCCAGTGGTAGAATATGTCTGTTCACTTTTCTAGCTAATGCCTGGAAACTTTCTGGAATGATTGTAGCAATATCTGTTTCTACCAGGGATTATGAGAATTTCTCATGGCGTTACTCATCCACACCGTGCATAGACCCTTTACCATCCTGCCTGGTCTCAATGAATCACCTTCCCTGGCTTCCAGCCACCCCTACCCATACCGCAGTCAGAGCTTTAGCATGGTAGGACTGTGATGCCCCATACACACTTTGTGGATACTCAGGACAGCATGTTTCTTGCGTGTAACCCAATATGTGAGAGTATGTGAAATTCCCACCACCAGGATGGAGGGCACAGACTTTAGTTTCACTGCAGTGCAGCTGACCCAGTTTCTCCTTCAAGGGAAGGGGGGAAAACCAGCTCAACAAAGTGGGTGATGCCCGGGTAGACTTCTAGGCTCCTCTCTCTGTACCAATGTCAGGACACTCATCTTCTAAACCAATTAGCCGTGTTCTGCCTTTTTCCCATGGCCAAGAGCAAGGTGTCCCAAGGTAGGATCCTTGTGGGATTTGTCATTCTCCCACCATGTTCTGACCTGCAAGCAGATCACTACCCACTACAGATCTGCCTGGCTATGGAGGGCATGCTTATAAATGATCATCTTTTGTGCTGCCTCTTTCCAATTACAGGTTAGCCTGGCAAGGAAGATAAAGACATTTGCAACCAAGATGGTAATCACTAGTGAAAATGATGAAGACAGAGGAGGTCAAGAAAAAGAAAGTAAAGAGGAGAGTGTCTTGGCAATGCTGGGGATTATCGGGACCATTCTGAACCTGATTGTGATCATATTTGTCTACATATACACCACCCTGTGAATGGCCCAGAGCGTCCTCAGAGGCCTCAGAATGGCCAAAGACGGAAGTCCTGCGTGTCGGCGCATCACTGACCAGACCCTGCGAGAACAAGCAGGCTTGACCCGCACATACCACCCAATCAAATGCACCTTCAAACTTTACAAAAGGTCACACAAATAGACCGATCCTGCTGCAGGGAGCAGACACTAAAGCACAATGATTCCAACAAAACTCATTCACAGCACTAGGAACTCAACGTCTTTGGCAGGGGGCCCAGAAGAATGCTTGGAAGACCAGCCTCTGACACCATCAGTGAGCGGATGGGTGCAGAAATTCATTATTCCAGATCGCTGACAGATATCACATATTTGAAAAGATGAATAGGGCGGACATGGCTCAGATGTGTGTCTCCCAGGACAAGTGTTTCATCTTCACTTGACGAGCTATTTAGTGGAAAAACCACAGGCGCAGCCCTTTGACAGGCATCCCATTCATCAAAAGTGTCTAACTATTTGATACTGGGGAGATAACTTATTTTTCTTTTTTCATTGGCTTGACATGTGTATCTGTTCATGTCAAGGTTTATAAATATATATTTTTAATAAATGTGCTCTATTTTTTAGCATGAACCAAATACTTGGAGAGGCACTCCCAGATCCATAGAGCTTTCCTTAGTTTTATCTGCTTTGTCCCCTCCTCCCCCAACTACAGATGTTCTGTTGTGGAGCCATTCTAGTCCTTTTGTCTCATCTTGAGTCTTTTACCTTGCGCTTTTGTTCTCTCTCTCTCCTCTCTCTCTGCCTCTTTGGTCTGAAGGACATTTTCCCATACTGTCAGCCATGGTTTTGGGTGCATGTTTTAAGATTGTCCATTGAGTGGCTTTTTGTTGTTATCTCGGAGATATAAAATGATTGTGGGCATGCAGACCTTAGATGCACCCTATCTTTACTGAGAATTATGCATGAATAAGGGCTGAGTGATAGATCAGCTTAAAATTAAAAGGACTACCTTTGAGGAAGAAGAGCGTGGCTATATTTGCAGATGAACTTTTGAACAGAATATTCAGCTTCTTACCGGCAGCGTTATTGTTTCATTCTTGTGACCATTCGTTTATCAGATTTTGATTTTAGCGGTCATGTACCGCGAGAGTTGGGAAGAACAAGGGGGAAAGCTCGGGATTAGGTGCATTACTCCTTCCTTTGCAAGATACCTGGGATCCTCCTCAAAAGCGGGTGGGGTATAAATGACACAAGAACTCCCCCAGGAGATCTCATGGTGATTCAGGCTGTGAGGACAGCCCTGTGACAGGTGACTTTTCAGGGACATGAGGAGGGGATTTAATGATTGCCCTAAAGGACTTCTGTATTTTTAAAGCCCCTGGTTTACACCCACATGAAGCTATTTCCTCTCTGGCAGGGATGGTTGCATAAAAACAAATTAGCTCCCTTCTGGCTCCCTGAAATGGGCCCTTGCCTGGCTACAGTGGCATGGCCTTAAAGAGAGGGTTAGTATTCCTTCTGCCATTGCCAGCTGTATTAGTCTGTTTTCACACTGCTGAAAAAGACATCCCCAAGACTGGGCAATTTACAAAGAAAGAGGTTTATTGGACTTACAGTTCCACGTGGCTGAGGAGGCCTCACAATTACGGTGGAAGGTGAAAGGCACGTCTCACATGGTGGCAGACAAGAGAAGTGAACATGTGCAAGGAGACTCCCATTTTTAAAACAGATCTCGTGAGACTTTTTCACTATCATGCAAACAGCATGGGAAACCTGCCCCCGTGATTCAGTTACCTCCCACCGGGTCCCTCCCACAACACATGGGTATTCAAGATGAGATTTGGGTGGGGTTACAGCCAAACTCTATCACCAGCCTTGCCCCTGGGCAGAAGCAGCAGCAGTCTGCCTGGCTGGATTCAAATGATTCTGAGGCTTCTATAGTCTATGCCTGCAGATCTCTCCCTCACCCATGCTATAGTGTCTGAAATTCCACCATTAGAGAGTCATTTCTTGGGCTCTGTTAAATGGACCAGGCTCTTTTATAAAGAAAATGCCCCTGAGCAGCTGGCTCTGGCATTGATTTATGATATCTTCTCTTCCCTGCCAGAAGGAAGGAAGCTAAGGTGCATGTAGGGCGTACTGTGTGCCCAGGCACTGTGCCAGATGCTTTGGATACTTGGAGTCATTGAATTCTTGTAGTAACCCTGTGAGAGAGGGAGTCTTTTCTCCACATTGTAGAAGAAGGAAAAAGGGCTCAGAGAGGTCAAGAAATGTCCCTGAGATCACATGGCTTCTAGTGGAGTCAAGATCCAAACCCAATGTGTCTGATTCCTTAGCCCTTGGGGGTCCGGAGGCTGCTGAACAAGAAAGGAGGTGGAGAGGAGAGAAAGCTGCAGGCATACCACCGCACACCCTTCTCCCTCCCCTGTAAAAACAACCCTGGGAACTCCCTGGACACTAGCAGAATATCATACACTAAGGATAAGGGATGAGAGGAGGCTGGTTAGAAATAAAGCAGTGTCAGGGGGAAGGAGCTACTCAGTAGGCTCTGTGTGATTCTAGAAAGACTGTATGAAAATTCTGAACAGTGAACAGAATAAACAATAAAGGTGCAATGGAAAAAAATACTCGATGTCTTTTCTTTCAACATTGTGGGATATAAAACATTTCAATGTCAGTCCTTTGCCTATACATAGTGTTTATTTATTAAAAAAAAAAACTGAATGTGATGCTGTTAAACGGAGACTATTTTGTGTGGACTATAGAAGCCTCAGTGGTTTTTCAAGTATACGAATTTGAAATGTATTGAGGGGGAAAAGTGCCTTTCCAATCCTCTGCTCCCGGGATGGTTCTTCTAAGTTGTCCTAATCCACAGCCTGGAAATAAAGCTGCCTGTTCAATGTTGAACAGAGCAGTGATGCCCTTTCCCACAGCTCCAGCATGCCCTGTCTTGTTTCCCTTCTAATTTAGTAGAGACCATGAATACACACTGGGCAAACTCATAGCTTCCCCCAGATCTAAAGCCATCGCGAAGGGACGTGGAAGGGAGAGGCTGGCAGTGCCCCTCCATCCTCAACATCTGAGTGAGCCCCAAGCCCAGCCTTGGCCAGCAATAGCAATACCCAAAACAATGCCAGGGCCATCTACTCTACCAAGCACTTTCTACTCATCCTGCTGGGCACAGAACAATCCCATGAGATGTGTGTTTATCCCCACTTTACAAGATGAAGGAAAAAAGCAAATCGACTTTTCTGAAATTGCACAGCCAGAAACTAGCAGAATCAGGTCTTTGCCCCACGTCCACCAGCCGTCAGCACCTTGCCTGCCCCAGGTGGTGTGATGAACCATCTGGCTAGCTCAGTCACAATATACAGATTCCCATCAGCCCTGGCACTTCTTGATCACAATACAGCTGGCCCTGTATTGATCACAATACAACTGATCACAATACAACTGGCCTTTCACCTCTCCTCTGGGAAGGCAACTTTGAAAGGCCGGGTCCTAGCCCCGGAGGGCCAGCCATGCTGCTGGAAGTGTAGCCTGGTGGTTTGGAGCCACAGGGCACTTGCCCTATGGCCAGAAACCTCCTGGTCCTGAGCCCCATCTCTGCCTCTTTCAGTGTAAGTGATGACGGGCAGCTCACAGGAACTCACTCTGAGTTTCAGCTTTCCTCACCTGTAAGAGGGGATAACAACAGTCCCACCTGGCGGAGCTTTGTGAGGATTAAAGGAGCCTGACCAGCTGAAGCTGCCGGCACCACCAGGCCTGGCCCATAGCTCATGCTCAGGTCATGCTAAGCTCCTGCTGCTACATGAAGGCAGCCAGGGAGCCGTTGGGCATACATTTTGGGGGCCCCTTCTGGCCTCGCTCCCTCTAGTCTGCATGCTTCCCTTGCCTGCAGGGAGGACCAGAGAGGGGCCTTATGCCAGCAACAGAAAGGGAAGTTCACATGGCAACTCGGTCCTACTCTTGTTGTCTTTTCATAAATCACACACTCATAGTCACAGTCAAAAAATAATTACAATTCTAAAAACTATATACAAGCACTTTTTAAAATTAAGGTAACTCCCAAATCTCACCACCCAGAAGCAACCACTATTAATATTTAGTGTGTAATTTATAGAGCAGGTGGCTTGTACTATATATATTATATTGTATAGTACACTAGCACTATAGAGCTAGTGTGTAATTTATAGAGCAGCAGGACTCTGTTTGGTGAGTCCATTTTTTCTTGAATTTTGAAATCTCTTTGTCTTTTGGCAGGGCACACTCTTCAGCCACTGCCCCCGTGGCCCCTGCAGTCTTTCAGTGGACAGTTCTCCACATTTCTGTAACTTGGGTCGTAAGATGTTCTAGACGATATCCTTGAATGCCCATCCAGACATTGACCTATAAACAATAGATTGGATATTGTAATTTATAAAAAATGGCCTCATGCTATGAGCAGTGCCTCCAAATAATTTTGTCATTGGCAATTATGAATACGCTTCCACATCAATGGATCTATATGGGCAAGCCCTCGTGATGGTTGTTCAGTGTTCTGTGGTTTAGATGTACCATCACAAATTACCCTGTTCTCTTACTGCTGACCCTTAAGGTCATTGTCAGTGTTTTGCTACGAACCATGCAGCCTTGCTCTTTAAAGCATCCCAAGCATTGTCCATCTCTCCCCCATGATCCCCTAGAGTGGTCTCAGGTAGTGTGCTTTACAGCAAGCTTCAAGGACATATCCCTCTTTCCCTCCCTCTCTGCCTCTCCCTCTCCCTCCATCCCTCTCCCTCCGTCCCTCTCTCCCTCCCCCTTTCCCTCCGTCCCTCTCTCCCTCTCCCTCTCCCTCCATCCCTCTCTCCCTCTCCCTCCATCCCTCTCTCCCTCTCCCTCTCCCTCCGTCCCTCTCTCCCTCTCCCTCTCCCTCTGTCCCTCTCTCCCTCTCCCTCTCCCTCCGTCCCTCTCTCCCTCTCCCTCCATCCCTCTCCCTCCATCCCTCTCCCTCTCCCTCCATCCCTCTCCTTCTCCCTCCATCCCTCTCTCCCTCTCCCTCCATCCCTCTCCCTCCATCCCTCTCCCTCTCCCTCCATCCCTCTCTCCCTCTCCCTCTCCCTCCATCCCTCTCTCCCTCTCCCTCCCTCTCTCCCTCTCCCTCCATCCCTCTCTCCTTCTCCCTCCCTCTCTGCCTCTCCCTCTCTCTCTCCCTCTCCCTCCATTCCTCTCTCCCTCTCCCTCCATCCCTCTCTCCTTCTCCCTCCCTCTCTGCCTCTCCCTCTCTCTCTCCCTTTCCCTCCATCCCTCTCTCCCTCTCCCTCCATCCCTCTCTCCCTCTCCCTCTGCCCCTCTCTGCCACCCCCCTCCCTGCTTCTCCCTCTCCCTCCCTCTCTCCCTGCTTCTCCCTCTCTCTGCCTCCCTCTCTCTGCCTCTCTCTGTCCCTCCCTCTCCCTCTCCCTCCCTCCCTATCTCCTTCTCCTTCTGTTCCTGTCTGCCTCCCCTTCTTCCTCCCTCCCTCTCTGCCTCTGCCTCTCCCTCTGTCCCTTTCTTTATTATTCCTTCTTTCTCTTTCCCCTTCCTCCTCCTCTAAACACCAGGGCCTCGCTCACTTTCCTCTCCTTTACATGTTGCCACCCCCATGCTTAACTCAGGGCCCCTTCCCACCAGCTGCCTGCAGAGCATGAGAAAGCCCACCCCCTTCCCTGTCTCACTGTTCTCCACACCAACAACCCCATTGGCCATTTAGGCACTTTCCTACCAGTGACTTCATGAGCCCAGACTGGCTAGGAGCATGCCACGCATTAAGAAGAGAAAGTTCCAGAGGCCAAATTCCTGATTCCTCTTCCAAAAGAGCTCACCTAGGAGACTTCTGTGGCCTCCATCTCCCTGAAGGCAGGACCCCTATAACAGGACACCTCCAGAAAGATCCCCTTGTGGACCCGGAGACCCTCTGGCACCACTATGCAATGATTCCTCCCTGTCATGGGAAGCAGATGGGATGAACAGACTGTCAATATTTTGTGTTGTTCATAAACATGTTACATAAAACTGTGGATACTTTTCCCAGAAGATGGGCTACATGTTGCCAGGAGAAGCAAGATTACATGGCTGTAAATTTTCTCTTAAAAGACTCTTTGTTAAGAGCCGTATTTGTTTACTTTCTCCAATTCCATTAGGGAGTAATGGGGAAACTTTTCCAGAATGGGGTAAGAGTCATAGTTGCATGTCTCCATGGGAAAGTAATGAAAGGTCCTCGCACCTCCCTCCCTGACACAGCAGCCGCCAGGTACATAGACAGATGCTCAGCTTCAAAGCCGAGACATCCAACACTGTCATCCACCTGTGACTACCAAGAGGACAGCACAACTCAGCATCCTGTTGGGGCAGCAGAAACATCCCACCTCCCAGCCAAGAGCAGGAAGCAGGGGGGTCATAGCTGAATAGCCCTAAGCATTGTAGTTAATCAAAAATAAGAGGACAGCGCTTTTAACTCGTATCTGTCTCATTGGGACTAAAAGAATCAAAGTTAGAACAAACACAGAGAGGTGAATCAGCCTTAATTCTGGCAAGATCCAAAGCCTACACTTTATGTCTCCCTTATCTCATCTTTCTCTTAACCGGGAAGGAGTTTTTTCTAGCACGAAAGGCCAAAGGCACAGATTGACTGACCCACCCATGTGGTCCAGCCACAAATCAAAGCTGCCGAGATGCAGACAGGCTGTTTCATCTCTGAGACCTCGAGCCAGGGAAGGTTGACTTCAGGCGCTTCCTCACGAGCTTGCGCATGCCAGAATGAACAGTGTAGCTTCTGTTGGAGTGGATATGTGGTTAGCTTGCCTAGCCCCTCAGTCAGTTTCCAAAGAGATTCATAATTCTCAGAAACTGGGCAGCCGCCACAGTGCGGTGTCCTGCCAACGGTTACCATAACTCTCTCCCCTTCTTGCCACCCGAGCCTCTGTCGTCCTGACCAAGGTTGGCCATGTTCTTTCTTTTTTTCCGTTTTCTTTCTTTCTTTCTTTCTTTTTTTTTTTCAGACAGAGTCTCACACTGCCATCCAGACTGGAGTGCAATGGTGTGATCTCGGCTCAATACAACCTCCGCCTCCTGGGTTCAAGTGATTCTCCTGACTCAGCCTCCCGAGTAGCTGGGATTACAGGTGCCCACCACCACGCCCGGCTAATTTTTTTGTATTTTTAGTAGAGACAGGGTTTCACTATGTTGGCCAGGCTGGTCTCAAACTCCTGACGTCGTGATCTGCCTGCCTCAGCCTCCCAAAGTGCTGGGATTACAGGCATGAGCCACTGCGCCCAGCTGTGGCCATGTTCTTTCTTTGGTAACTTTGTTTTCATTTCTAAAGAGCTCGCTTTAGTGTTTTTAGTTCTAAAGACTATACTATAGAACTTTGGGTTCTGAAGTTCTGAGACTGCCTCAGTGTTGAAGAGTCGTGTGAACTCAGCTTCAAGAGGCTGTTCTGGTTTGATATTGGCTTGGCCACCCAAGCTGTTGATAGTTCTCACCTATCCCATTTTCCTCCAGAAAAGTTGGAGGATAATTCCATTGCCTGTGAGTACTAAAGCAATAAGTGTGTGCAGAAAGCCGATCCTCACTCTTCAAGGACCACCCCCCTTTTTTTCTGAGGGCCAGGAAGTTATCCAGAAATGGAACTGGGATTCAGAAGCAGAAAACCTGTGTTCAAGTCCCAACACGGCCACATATTGGCTATTGATCTTGGATCACACCCTCAGTGTTGCTGAGCCTTCATTTTCTTGTTTTGAGTTTAATAATTCTGATCTCTCAGTGTTGTGTGGATTACATCTTTATATATCATTTGGGGAACTGAGAAGTATGTTCTTCTGCTAGCAGTTAATCACAGAAATTACAAATTATATAGAGATGATACATAGATAAATAAAAAGTAAATACATAGCAGAGATTAAAGAATATATAGAGATAGATATATTTAGATAGATATGTGTATTTAAATTTTTTCACTGAAGAATCATAAAGATACAAGATTCAGATGCAATAATGTTTCAAAATCCTTTTATTGTCAAAATTAAGTGTAGTTTCACCTGGGTTGGTAGCAGAGGTCTATGTGATTGGAAAACTAAATATTAGGAACTTGGAAGTAGCTACATACTGAAATGTGAGCACAATGATCTCTTCATCAGTGATTTGTGATTTAAACTCTATCTTCTATCCACAAAGAGAACAAGCAGAGATATATTTATTCATAAGGCAAAGGTGTGTGTGTTGCAATTTCAGAGCACTCTGTGTAGACAGATACCTTAACCCCTTTGTTCCAGGTGGTCCTCAGAAGAATCTTTGTGGAGTGGATGGGACAGGACACCATGCATCAGTCATGGTCAGAAGTTAACCATATCCTTCCTGTGCTCCCAGGCCAGTGCTCACGTCTCCTCCTCTGCCTCTTACTTTTGCAGAGGAAGACAGAGACATAATCAGTCACAGCTGCTGGAAGAGGTCACCATAGTGTTCTGGGTCTCTTGCAGCAGCCCAGAGGGCTAGGTGTGACCAGCTTCAAGTTAAAGACAAGCAAACTGAGGCAAATAGAGTGTAAGTCATCCAAATTCCACAGCTGGTGAATGGCAGAGCTGGGACTTGAATCAGCATTGTCTGGTCCAAAGGCTTTGAACTTTGGACTCATGTTGCTAAAGAATTCCAGCAGTTCCTCCCTGGGGTGAAAGGTGGGCTTAGACTGACCTCACAGGACTATGGGCACACATGCATTCTGGGAAAGAACCCAGTATCTCAGTGTCTATGGACTGAATGTTTGTGTCCCCTTCAACCCCCACAGCAAATTTAAATGTTGAAGCCCTAATTTGCTAATCACCAATCTGAAAAGGTAGGACCTTTAGGGAGTTAATTAGGTTTAGATAAGGTCATGAGGATGGGGTCCTCATGAGAGATTACTGCGCTTATAAAAAAGACCTCAGAACTGTGAGAAGTGTTAATTGTTTAACTCACCTAGTCTGTGGTATTGTTTTTTGTTATAGCAGCCTAAACTAAGGCACAAGTGCATGTATCTCTTTCATCACTTGTAATTTTAGAATTCCAGCTGATGCTCCCTACTGTACCCAGAAAACACACACAGTGGCTTCCCACGGAATCTCATAGAGACCCTCAGTGAGCCCTCCCCCAATACTGAAGACAGCTTCCTCTGAGATAACAGGGTTTATTGGCTCCTTTATTTATTCATCCAACATGTATGGAATACCAACTGTGTGCCAGGCACCATGCTAGGCTTGGAGGCTCCAGAGATGCCTGTGGCATGGTCTCTAGCCATGAGAAGAAGGTAATTCATAGTCTAGTCAAGGAGACAGATATATAACTATCCTATTACCCAAGATGGCTTATTCTGCCTAGGACAAGATGGAAAATCATGAGATCCTTCCTAGGAGAGTTAGACTTGAAGAACGAGTAGGATTTTGTCATGGTACTAAAGGTAGAAGATGTTTGAGCCAGAGGAAACATCAACTATCAAGGTACCAAAGTGGGAAGGAGAACAAGGCTGTCCTCAGCCCCAGGGAAAACTGTTGCCACAGATGCCAGGACACATATCTCATTTCTTTCTCTTTCAGACCTGGTGTTTTGGGGCTTTTTATCTCAAAATTTCCTCAAAGTATGGGTTTTGAAAAAAATCCAGGTTCACATGATTTGTCCCAGAGTTGACATTTTGTGATCTAAGTGAGTTGCCTTCCATTGGTTGGACACCATCAATGTTCATTAATGTGCCATCATCTTGACAGCCAGCCTCAACTTCTAAAATATTTATGAAGCCTGAGATGGGCCCTTATTTACACACTAAAATATTTAACTACCAAAGATGAACAAGATCTGCAAAGAGTAGGCTGCAGCCCTGGGTTCAAACTGGCTCCGTTTTGCACCAAAGCACTCTTAAAACCAGCTATTTTGTTAGAAATCAAATATTAATATAAAGGGTGAATAATTCATTGGTAAGTCTGAGTTCCCGAGAAGTTCCATCGAAATCCCCAAGAGGAGATTTTGGTGCAGCAGTGACTATATATAGACTCAGCTCTTTCCACCAAGTTCAAAATGAGAGATGCTGGCTCAGAGCATGGGCTCTTTAACTAGGCTACATGGGTTTTCACCCAACTCTCACTTACTTGCTGTGCCAAATGTCTTCTATTTGTCCCTATAAATCACCCTCTACCCTTCACACTCTGCCCTGTGCTCCAACAGGCTGAACTCTATGGACTGCAGCAACAAATACCGTGGACCTGTGCCTTCCAGTTGTTCAACCAATGGAAAGCCCTGGCAACCACTGCAGAAACTGAGAAGAAACAGGCTGAGAAATGTGTTTTCCCAGCTCCCTGTCTCCCTGCTGGATCACTATGGGCTCAACCAAAGGCCACATCTCCTCTCAGGTGGACTGTCTACATGGCTCCCTCTCTAGGCTCTAGTAACTACTACCTCCTCTCACTCCTTCAGACCTAGCAGTGCCTCAGCTTCCTGGGTTACTAGCCCCAGGGTACTGCACCATCACTTGTTGCTTGCCCTAAACTCTGGTCATACATTTGCGTTAAGTTCAAACTTATAAAATTGCTATTTTTGAAAGTCAAAAATCAACAAATATTGGCAGTCTCATGTTTCAACCTCATATATTGCTCTTTTATTAAACTTGCTTTAATTTGTATGTGTTACCTATTTTCTACAACAACCTTAACTAATACAAAAGGTATGTGACTAGTTAATCGACTTTGCCTCAGTTTCCTCAGTTTGCCTCAGTTTCCTCATCTATAAGATGGAGGGAATAATAGTAGAACCTGCTTTAGAAAGTTGTTCTAAGGATCAAGTAAGCTAATGTACACAAGAAGGGTGTGTAAAACAATGTCTGGCAACAAAAACGTGCTCAGTAGGTGTTGTGGGAAGAGATATTCGAGATAGAAAAATCAGAGGAATGGGTGTATGGCTTAATAACAGACTGGGCAGAAAGAAGGTGACATCCTCTGCAACACCCAAAGGAGAAGAATATAAATAATTTACATTTATGTACATTATTCTACTGCTCAGAAAATTTATGCCTATGTTCTATTTTAACCACTTAATTAAAAATCTATTAGATGCCTACTATATTGCTGCTGGTCGCTATAGAAATATAACAGAGAGCCCATCAGGGACCCTCATCTACATATCCTCATCTCCTGAAAAGACACAGACAAAGAGGCTGAAAATGACATTACAGAGTCCTGTGAAGTGCAATGATGAGAAAAGTCAAAGATGACACAGGGAGCACTGACCACAGATTTGGAGAGTTACAAGATGGCTTCTCACAGAAGGAAATGTTTCCTCTCTGACTTGAAGGAGAAGTAGGAATTATCCAGGCACAGGGTCCAGACGATAGAATAGTATTCCCAAGAGAGGGAACAGCATTCCAGAAAGCTAAGAAATGAGAGAATGTGGAATATATAGAGGAGTAAAAGAAGTTGAGTGTGGCTGGCTCAGTTCCTTGTTGCCTAAGTCAGTCCCTGGTACACAATAGGTGCTCAATGATTAATGAAGAAACAGAAATTACAGACACATCTCTAATACATTCACACAAGGAAGACAATATTCTCCAAGTGGAGTGATTTGTCTCCCCACATGTTTATTGGACCTTATTGCTTACCTCACAGAAGAACAACTCCCTGTACATGTTGTGTAGCCCATTTCCTGCCCACCCAATCACTCATCTTTCCTTTATCAGAATTCAGAAACAAAGATGCAAATCTCTGGAGGATCTCTGGAGCTCAGGAGGCAAGATTAAAAGGAGAGCAAACTGCTGGAGGCCAGGCCTTTGAGGAAGATCCTTTGAAGGCAATTCACTCATTCATCCACTTACTTACTTGTTGATTTATTTATTCACTCATTCAACAGATACTAGTTGAGTGCCTGCTGTATGTGCTGGTAGCTGGCCAGTGCCACACCAATAAACAGTATAGATACATAACCCATTATCATGGCAAGCTATGTCTGTGAGTATAAGCCCAGGTGATTAGGTAGAATGGCCAGGTAGGGTCAGAAGGAGACAACCAGTGCAGACTCTTGCAGACTGTTGTCTTTGGCTCTGACAGCTAAGGGTAGGTTCCTGTGGGAGTGGCCTTTGGTCAGGGAGCCAGGGTGAAACCTACAACTGAATTGCCAGGGCAATATAAAGCATCATTATCTAGTGTAAAAAAGCAAGGAATCTGAGGTCAAAAGATCTGATTTAACTCTGACTTCCCCACTTGCTAACTGTGCGACTGAAAATGGGTTGCTTCACCTCTGACATTTAGTCCTCTTTTATGTGAAAAACGGGAATAATCACACACCCCTTGCTGTGTAGTTGTGAGAATTAAATAGGATCAGGTATGAAAAGTGTATGGCACATAGAAGTCACTCCACAAATTGTAGTTTTTACCATTATAAAAACAGTTTTAATTTCACTTCCATTGACCACAAACCCTTATTCCATTTTGGTGACTGGAAGGAGCTCTCCATGGTGCTGATCTATTTTGCAGCAGCTGGGAGCCTGCCCTGTGTTAAGAAGAAAAACCTTTGTCAAGAAGAAAAGTGGCATCCACAGCAAGATAGAACACATATGTGTTCCCGAAAAGATACTCCACCAAGGATTTCTCCCATACTCACTGCTCACATGGAAGTACCATGCCCAAATTGCAAGAAGTAAACCAAAAGAAAGTACCAGTTATACAAAGACTATTCTTGAAAACATCACTATGATGGGAAGCATCACAGTGAGAATAATAATAGAAAAGAAAAATAAGAATAACATCACAATAGTAGGAGTAATATTAAACAGCAAGAGGCAAAATGCTATGGTGGTTAAGAATGCAGTTTCCAAAGGCAGGACTCTTAACTCCAAATCCCAGCTATGTAGACCTTCAATGAGTTACTCAAATTCTCTGAGCTTCCTCATCCACAAGCAGAGACAAAATAGTTCCTGCCTCATAGTGTCATTGTAATGATTAAGTTACATAGTGTCATGATTATAATTCCTTTATGCCAGACACAACTCTAACTACCTTTCATACCTTAAGTCAATTAATGTAGGATTAATTGACATTAAGTCAATTAATGTATGAAAGGTACTTAGAGTTGTGTCTGGCATAAAGGAAACACTCAATAAGCATTAGCTGTTAGCACGGTAGTAAGAACTTTTAGCACAATTGGTAAGCAGCGCTGAGGGAAGCATTGTATGCACATTATTTCTTAGCACCTCAACAACATGCAGTGACCAATTATCAACACAGATTGCATGTACTACATGCCAGGCACTGTCATACTTCCAGGCACCCTGGTTTCCTCAGCTCCTGGCACAGGGCCTTCCATACAGTGAATGCTTCCAGTACATGGGAGTTAAAATAAACTGAATTTATCTGAATTAGAAAGAAAATGCCTTCAAATCCAAAGCTACTTGCCAGCATAGCCCATGCACTTAGGAGGAAAATGCCACATAGAAAGTAACCAAAATTCTACCCCCCTTCTCCCCCCACCACCAACCCCCTCTGGAAGAGGCAGCTGAGACTTTCTCACTAAAGAAATTAATCCTGCCGAGAAATAAATCCCCAATGAGCTTCCCAAGGAGACCCTTAGCAAACCACGGTTAGACACTGGCAGGAGTTTCTTCCTGTGGAAGTCCCATTGAGTCACTGCTGAATTCTTTTCTCCTGTGCAGCAGTTTGCCTGAGCCTGAGAGATGGCCAGCAATTACAGGAGAGTAAATATTTCAGCAGTACAGAGTCAGACTTCTCAACAGCCGATAGGAAACCGTTTCTCTTTCCTTTAAACAGTTTATTAAAATACAAGGTTAAACCCAGCAAGGGAATACATTTTTCTGCAGCCTCCTCCAATTAACAAGTTATTTCCATGCTGAAGTTTTTCTTGCTTTAGCAAAACCTCTGCATAAACTGTAGGAAGAGTGCTTTCCCCTCAGGGGACCATGGGGGTTCTGAACTTGGAATCAATTAGATTCCGAGCCCAACTGTCCTATGATTTCTCTGGGCAACCTCAGGCAAATCACTTTTCAACTGCCTGAATTCAAGTTCAAGAAAATGGGGACAGCAACACCGACCTGCTTAGCTCCTGTGAGATGGTAAAGCATGTGGACGTAGCTAACTTGAGAGCCAGTGCACTGAAGGCAATTGGCGAACTTTGCTGCTACCCAAAATCCACTCCTCCCTTCTTCTCACCTTTTATCCGCAGCCCCAAGGCATGAATTCTGAATGATACATGTCAGTATGATAAACCTATTTCTCTGCCAGGACTGGTTTGAGAACGGATATAGGGCATAATTTATTGGCCAGTGAGACATGAAGGAAAATCTGTTGGGGAGCTTCTGGAAAGGGTGTCATCACTTTCCAAAGGGATACCTCAAGAGGAAGGATGTAAATGTGGTTTGATGTTTTGTATTACTGAAGTTTGGTGTCTATCTGTGATGTCTGGAAGTGCTGCAGCCATCTCGTGACTATGAGGAGATAAGCTTGGGAATAAAAGCTACCATAAAAAAATGACAGAACATAAAGATGGAAAAGACCAGGGGCTCTGATGACACCTGAGTGTCTGAGTTAAACAACACTGACTCTACCCTGCTTTTGGATCCACTCCAATTTCTGGTTATGCAAAATGGTTCCTTTTTTGTTTAAGCCACTTTTAATGGAGCCATCTATTACATGCAGTTGAAATCATCCTAATAAGAACACCAATCAAGAATGAAATATCAGACTTAGGGCATATTTTATCATGGAAATGTCACCTCTCTACCCAGCTAGCCAGTGGCCAGCAAATCTTTAATGAACACCATGAACACCTATTATACATGCATAGCTTGCATGTCTACAATGTAATATAAAGTAAGATAAAGAAAAATACCAGGACACCTTTCCTCTCAAAAGAAAAATGAACTTCAAGAAAATAGGGACAGCAACACCCACCTGCCATTTTATTTATTTATTTATTTGTTTTGAGACAGGGTCTTGCTCTGTCACCCAGGCTGCAGTGCAGTGGCACAACCATGGCTTACTGCAGCCTCAACCTCCTGGGCTCAAGCGATCCTTCCCACCTCAGCTTCCCAGATAGCTGAGACTACAGGCATGCACCACCATACCCAGCTAATTTTTAAAATTTTTTGTAGAGATGGGGGCCTCACTCTGTTGTCAGGGCTGGTCTTGAACTCCTAGGCTCAAGAGATCCTCTTGCTTCTGCCTCCCAACGTGCTGGGATTACAGGTGTAAACCACTACACTTGGCTCAAGCCATTTTATATCTAAGATACAAATCATAGAGATGGTGACGATGATGAGAATGAGGATGATATTTGTGCCCATTCAAATTTTAAGTTGCAGACAACAGGATCTACTCTATCTGGTTTAAATGGAAGAGGAATTTATTAAAGATTGTTAAGAGCTTGCAGAATCTCCAAGAGGGCCAGAGACTGGGGCCTGGAGACCACATGCCCAGGAACGATTTCCAAATCGCCTGTTTGCACTGCTTGTAGCTCACTTGGATCTCATGGCCTCTGGCTACAGGCCCTGCAGACGCCAAGCACAGGACACAGCTGCTGCATCCTTGGGCTCTGCCAGAACTGAGATCTGGATGCTGCCTCTGCCTCATCCTTCACCATCCTCATCAAGAAAGGATTGCATGTGGGGTCTGTGTTTTTATGTTTCCTTCTTCCAAATCAAGGCCTTGCATGGATGCCTCTGATGGCCTGCATCTAGGCAACGTTCTTAGAAATGGCTGGGAAATCGACTTCTAGCTTACTTGAAGAGGAGAGACTTAAAAATGTGGGAATTTCCCCTAATATAGGAAAAATGTTCAGAAATGTTAAGTGATATGACAAGTGTTCATTATACCATCTATTCAGTACTTTGATTTAGCTGGAAAACTTTTGGACAAGCTGACAGAGGGTTGGGGAGCACCAATTTTAGGGGTAGTAAGTGGTTGGGTCACCAAACTAAAAAGCTGAAGATGCAGGTTCATATCTTAGCTCCATCACTAACCAACTGGGACCAAGCAACTGCCTGGACAATTGATGATGACCTGACAAGCACCCCTGAGGCTCAAATGAGTCAGCCTTCTGCGTCTGGTGCCGTGAACTCTCATGCTCCCTGTCGAGGGCTTGGAGACAGGGAAGCTGAGTCTCACTCTTGCTTTATTGGCTAATTGGCTGAATGACCTTGAGAATGCCATTCTTGGGCCTTAGTCTCCACACTTTTTAAATAGTGGGTTGAGCTAGGTTGTGTCTAGGGGTTCTTCCTACTCCATTTCTTGTCCCTAGAAAGATGTCACATCTGATGACTCTTTAAAGTACTTCTGGTTACGGTAGCAATAATTCCCCATTTGGTGTTGTCCCATTTGTAGGACTCACCGAAAAACAGCTTGCCCAAGAAAATTTGATTTTCAGGCATTAGTAAACTTGCACCAAATATTTCCCAAACTTAAAGTGACCAAGAAGTGTTTTGCAAACAGAGCACCACGTCAACACCTTCTAATAATACAGCAATCTCTCCCCAAAGACATGCCACTGACCTGTGGCAGGCAGCTGCCCACTGACTCATCCACCCTCAGAAGACAGATGGCTCGGCCTTGAAGGCCAGCCTCGGCCAGCCTGTACATGATGAGCCACTCACTTCCAGCGTATCCAGGGATGCTCTCCACACAGGCTCCAGGCAACTTTATCTTTCACCCTAGGAAACCCATGCACTATAAATACAGCAGTCTCTGTCTCTGGTGAACCCAACTCCCAGCCTTTCACAGACATATCACAAAGACTGACATCTCCATTCCCACACTAACGAGAGAGCACAGACTACACACACTCCACCCGCCATATCCATCTGGTGGCTGGACCATGTTTCACTTAGCTTTCCTGTTTCTGAGCGCTTGACAAGGAACGTGAGAGTCCATGGCTCCAGATGCAAAAGACTAACTCCTTTGAATGATTTTTGACCATGGACAAGCTCCTATGTCTCTTTCTGAGCCTCAGTTTTTCTATCTCGCAAATCAGAGTTAAAAATATCCAACACAAAGAATTAGCCAGTGAACGTGTGTAGAAGCCCCTAGCCTGGTGTTGGGCACTTAGCACGTGCTCAGTAAATGTAGCTTGCCTTTATTTCTTCAACGTCTTCTTAGTATCTGGAACCCACTCTCTTTTTAGGGGGTGCTCCCATGTGAGTGTCCACCCCTCCGCATATGTGGTCCCGCCTTCAGACCTGTCTCCTGGTGCCTTCAAGGCTCCTTCCAGGACTAAACTTCCAGGATCCTCACCCTGCCTGTAGTCAGAGCAGTGACCTGTCCAATGAGCTAAGCAGATAGTTCAAGCTAATTAGTCAATTATGGCAGCATGCATGATGTAAATAATGAATTACGAGACTGTTCACTGACAAAACATTAACCCGAAGGAGGTAGTGCTGTGGGCCCCCATCCACAGGACTCATGGAGCCTGTAATTCCAATTTATATATATATATCTTTCTCTCTCTGTGACACACACACACACACACACACACACACACACACAGAGTTAGGAGGTCCCAGAGAGCTGGCATGGTATCATTTGTGTCCTTATGATGTCTGTGACCAGAAGCTGGGCTACTTATGGGTGAGGGTCTGCATCCACCAAAATGTCAGTCAGAGGGATGCACACACCATGAGAACCAGGAGGCTGAGTCCAGGCCACTGCCCTGCCCTGACTTGCTGCTGCAAGATTTTGGGGAACAACCCTCCTCCTCCTGTCAGCTTTCTTTTCATCTCAGTAACATAGCTGATGTCCATTGAGCATGCGGTATGAGCCAGATGCTTCACTGGGCTCCATGTGCATTTGCACATTCAGTCATCTCTGTAGCCCTGTGAAAAGATCTCATGGCCATCCCCATTGACATGAGAGGAAACTGAGGCACAGCTCCAGGTCACACAACTGCTAAGTGCTAACTTAGGGGTCTGCATATATCCAATACCCCATGGCTACACCCCCCTACACACCCATCATAGGCAACTGAAGACTCCAAGAGGAGAGAGCGTTCTGTTGACTCCAGTCACTGGAAATAAACACTTTTGCATGACTGATATGGTTAGGCTTTGTGTCCCTCACCCAAATCTCATCTTGAATTATAATCCCCATAATCCCCATGTGTCAAGGGAGAGACCAGGTAGAGGTCATTGGATCATGGGGGCAGTTTCCCATATGCCATTCTCATGATAGTGACTGAGTTCTCACAAGATCTGATGGTTTTGTAACTGCTGGTAGTTCCTCCTGCATTCATTCTCCTTCCTGCCACCTTCTGAAAAAGGTACCTTGCTTCTTCTTCACCTTCTGCCATGATTGTAAGTTTTCTGAGGCTTCCCCAGCCATGCTGAACTGTGAGTCAATTAAACCTGCTTCCTTAATAAATTACCCAGTCTCAGATAGTTCTTTTTAGCAGTGTGAAGATGAACTAATACAGTAAATTGGCACTGCAGAGAGTGGGATACTGCTATAAAGATACCCAAAAATTTGGGAGTGACTTTGGAACTGGGTAACAGGCAGAGATTGGAACAGTTTGGAGGGCTCAGAAGACAGGAAGATGTGAGAAAATTTGGAACTTCCTGGAGACTGGTTTAATTGATTTGACCAAAATGCTTATAGTGATATAAACAGTGAAGTCCAGGCTGAGGTGGTCTCAGATGGAGATGAGGAGCTGCTTTTTGGGAACTGGAATAAAGGTGATTCTTGCTATGCTTTAGCAAAGAGGCTGGTGACATTTTGCTTCTGCCCTAGACATCTGTGGAACTTTGAACTTGAGAGAGATGGTTTAGAGCATTTGGCGGAAGAAATTTCTAAGCAGCAAAGCATTCAAGAGGCAATCTGGGTGCTCTTAAAAGCATTCAGTTTTATGGATTCACAAAAGGATGGTTTGGAATTGGGACTTATGTTTAAAAGGGAAGCAGAGCATGAAAGTTCAGAAAATTTGCAGCCTGATGACGTGATTGAAAAGAAAAACCCATTTTCTAGGGAGAAATTCAAGCCAGCTACAGAAAATTGCATAAATAATGAGGAGTTAAATGTTAATCACCAAGACAATGGGGAAAATGTCTCCAGGGCATGTCAGAGGTCTTCACAACAGCCCCTCCCATCACAGGCCCGAGGCCTAGGAGGAAAAAATGGTTTCCTGGGCTGGACCCACTGTCTTGCTACTTTGTGCAGTCTTGGGACCTGGTGCTCTGCATCCTAGCCATGGCTAAAAGAGGCCAATGTACATCTCAGGCAATTGCTTCAGAGAGTGCAAGCTCAAAGCCTTGGCAGCTTACACATGGTGTTGGGCCTGCAGGTGCACAGAAACCAAGAATTGGGGTTTGGGAACATCCACCTAGATTTCAGAGGGTATATGGAAATGCCTGGATGTCCAGGCAGAAGTTTGCTGCAGGGGTGGAGTCCTTATGGGGAACCTCTGCTATGTTCCCCTCTGCTAGGACCCCAGAATGGTAGATCCATTGACAGTTTGCACCATGCTCCTGGAAAAGCCACAGACATTCAATGCCATCCTGTGAATGCAGCTGGAAGAGGAGCTATACCCTGCAAAGCCACAGGGTTGGAGCTGCCCAAGGCCATGGGAGTGCACCTCTTGCATCAGCATGATCTGGATGCAAGACATGAAGTCAAAGGAGATCATTTTGGAGCTATAAAAATTAATGACTGCCCAGCTGGGTTTCGGACTGGCATAGCACCTGTAGCCCCTTTGTTTTGGCTAATTTCTCCCATTTAGAATGGAACATTTACCCAATGCCTGTACCACTGTTGTATCTTGGAAGTAACTAACTTGCTTTTGATTTTACAGGCTCCTAGGAAGAAGGAACTTGCCCTGTCTCAGATGAGACTTTGGACTTGGACTTTGGGTTAATGCTGCATTGAATTAAGACTTTGGGGGACTGTGGGGAAGGCATGATTGGTTTTGAAATGTGAAAGTGACATGAGACTTGGGAGGGGCCAGGGACAGAAAAATATGGTTAGGCTTTGTGATCCCACCCAAATCTCATCTTGAATTATAATTCCCATAATTCCCACATGTCAAGGGAGAGACCGGTTGGAGGTAAATGGATCATGAGGGCAGTTTCCCCCATGCTATTCTTGTGATAGTGAGTGAGTTATCATGAGATCTGATGGTTTTATAAGTGTTTGGTAGTTCCTCCTGTGTTCATTCTCCTTCCTGCAGCCTTCTGAAGAATGTGTTTTGCTTCCCCTTCACCTTCTGCCATGATTGTTAATTTCCTGAGGTCTCCCCAGCCATGTGGAACTGTGAGTCAATTAAATCTCTTTCCTTTATAAATTGCTCAGTCTAAGGCAGTTCTTTATAGCAGTGTAAAAAAAGACTAATACAATGACACAGGTTTAGGGAATCCCTTCCTGAAAGTGTCACCTAAATAAAAAAGAAGTGTGATCATCATGGCTTTCCACCCACATCTGCCAGGTTTTGCCATGGCTACTTGGCAGAGAGCTTCAGTGCCACTGCTTTGCAGCCAGAGGCACCTGAGCATCAATCCTAACTCACCATGCTGCCTTTAGACACAGGCTTTTACCCTATCTGAGGTTCAGTTTCCCCATTTGTATAGTGGGCCTAATTCTCTATGTCAATGGCATCCTTGGGGAGGATCAAACTTCCCAGTGTGGAAAGGGCTGAGCAAGGGGCCTGCCTCATAGAAGCTACTCAGCAGCTACTGCCATTGTGGAAACTGACTGGCCCTTGCCAGTCATAAAGCAGGCTCAGCCAGTTTTCTGACAAAGGGATGGATTTCCTTACAGTTTTAAAGGTGAGTTTTGCTCTCCAAGACTCCCTTCTGTTGGGCCCTTCTTTCCCCTCTACCTCCTCCTCTCTTTCCCTTACAGAAAGAAAGCCAGTCATTTAAAAAAAAAAGGCAGGAGGAAAAATGCCACTCTTGGCATCCTCTGGATGCCTTTCCTATCCACTGCCGTTGTCATGGTAACCTAAAGCCATTTGCCTGCCTCTTTCGGCTGTGCCTTCTCCACTGAAAGCTGAGTGTGTGGCTGGCCTTTTCCCTGCCCCCTGAAAGCTACGTTTAGAGTTCCCCAATCTATTCTTAAATTTCTCCGCAGCTCCCCATCCTCCCTGCTTTCTCTGCCTCTTACACTTGAGAGTGAGAAAGGACCATATCAAGCAGGTGCCCCATGGCATTAACTCCACAGATGTTTAAGCAGACCTCCTGTGTGCAGGCACTGTGCCAGATAGAAATTTGTCAGTGCCAAAATGCATGAAGAGAACCAATCATTTTATCCTGGAGAAACTGAGGCCCAGAGATGGAAGGAGGAGAGCCTGTCTCAGAGCCCCATGTCCTCATGCCCAGGTGAGTGCTGAGCTTTTGTTTGTTGTCATTAGCCTTTGCCAATGACCAGCCTCATGTGGGCCCCAAGCTTTCCATCTGCAAGTGCCATGAAACTGTGGAGCCATGGGCAGAGCTGGCCAGTTTTCCCAAGATTCCTCTTTCCTCTGGTGCAGCTGGGGGGTTAGGGCCCAGACCTCTTTATGAATGTCCTTTTAGCACAGCTAAGGCAGATCTTCCCCGACCATGGCCCTATCCGCTGCAGCAGACTTCCAGGAGTGCATGGAAGCTCCTGCTTCTCCCACCCTGCCTTGCTCCTTACCATGGGCAGAGCTGGAGAGAGTGTGGCTACAGCTAGCTTTGCTCCACTTAACCTGCCAGCTCCATCTGCAAGCTGACGTCACCTGAGCCACCACTATTCCCCCCACCCCCACCCTGGCATTTTCTGCTTATTAAAACACACATGCCATCTCCGCTCCTGCACCATTAAAACATTTGCTCGGCAGCCCAGACTCGGAAAAGGGAGGGATGGAGGGAGGGAGTCCACACACTGTAGAAATAAATTAATGTGGAATAAAACAGCAGTCCTGGCTCCCATAAGGTGGCTGGTTTGAGAGGCAGATAGATGCTAAAAGGCTCTAGTTACTAAATAAGGAACACTTAAAATAAGCACCCATTGCTAATAGCTCACCCTTAAAAGAGAGAATATGACAAAGACTGCACGAAGACCAACTATGGGTCAGCACTCCATCGTCTTCATCATGACGACATGTACACAGTACTTACTATGTGTCAGGTGCTTGACCACACTCGCTAAATCTAGTTTTCATTTATACATCCATTATACTTTCTTCCATCTCCACCCTCTGCTCCCTTCTCTCACTTTCTGCTCCCCACAGGTAATCCTTTTTTATTCTTTTTGTTGGTCCGTTTCAGATTCACCATATCTATAGATAATCTATTTATTAGGGTGACTGACTTGGAGGCTTTCTCTATTGACTTCCTACTATGGAATTTAACCCTCTTTCCTTAGCTCCTATATCCACCACAGACACTTCCTGCCTTCATCCTTCCAACAGGGTCATGTGGTCATTTTATTTAGATCAGCAGCTTTGCATGATCATGACTATGTGAATATTCTACCTAGATAAGCCATGTAGTGTGGTGTGGTGGCCACAAAATGCACCCCTCCAGTGTCTTTCTGAAGGGAGTATAATAGACTAACAGCTCAGCTGCTGCCCCTCTGGGCCCATCATTACCTTCACAACAAGGCCACATCCCTGTGGCCCAGTGACTGAGCACAGGTCCATTCCTGCAAGACATGCAACTTCTCCAATTGGCCTCTTGGGTTGGAGACTCCCCTGTTGTCCTGGCTGCTCCTTTCTGGAAATTGCATTGCAGCCTGGGCTGTCCCCACCTCATCTTCCTCCCTTCCCTCCCTCCTGCACAGGGGCCAGCCCTGCACTGACTTCTACAAGTGCCGCTGCCTGTGTCTGGGCTTTCCCACTAGATCCTTCAAAGGTGTTTCCCCCAATCAATCTCTCCAACATCTAATCCCATCTTAGTGTCATTCTTATCAAACCTGTACTCATATATCTGGAGTCAATCATTGTCCCTCTCTCATACCCTGTTTATTTAGTTTTTTATTTGTCTGTTTGTTCATGGGCTTTATGTATGATAGCTAAAAGCTGAAAATAAACAAATGAATGGATAAATTAATAGTGGCATATTCAAACATCAGAAGAGTACTCAGAAAAAGAAAAGGCTGAACTACTCATACATTATTAATAAATCTCAAAGTAATTACACAAGACAAATAAAACCAGAAAATAAGAGGAGTAAACACTTTATGATCCAATCATATAAAATTCCAGAAAAGGTAAACATATATATTATAGGGCAAAATAAATAAATGGTTACCTGGACGCCTGGGAAGGATGAGGAGAGGGATTATAAAAGGACATGGTTTCACAGCTTCATCTGTATGTCAGAATTTGTCCAATTGTGTATGTCAAATATGTGCAGTTTATAACATGTAAATTATACCTTAATAAAGCTTTAAAAATTGGTTCAAGATAAAAATCTACATATCCCACTCTCAGGTTGTTTGTTTCGTTTTTTATGTGCTTATCACTATTCTATTCTGAACTCTCCTGGTATGTAAATCTTCTCCCAATGTGTGCAGACACACTAGGCAGTCTCACAATTGCACTGCATCTTACAGAAACTTCTCCTGGCTCCTTCTGACCTTTTCCAATCTGGGCTGGGCTCTCTCCACCTGCTGTGCAGCTGACCTCTTGGGATTTTCCTTACTATCATCTGGGGGTCTTCCTCTGTTGCACCCCCTCTTTCCTGTTTTTCATGCCTGGATCTCCTTTGACTCACCCTCATCTTGCTGTAGCACATCCTCCAGTAGTTTCCCACTGAAGGGTGGGATTACGCCTGTAATCCCAGCACTTTGAGAGGCTGAAGTGGGTAGATTGCTTGAACCCAGGAGTTCAAAACCAGCCTGGGAAACATAGCAAGACCTTGTCTCTACAAAAAAAAAAAAAAAAGAATAAATCTGAAAGTAAGATGGAAATTCTAAACCTGTCTTTCATCTATCCTCACACTTTAGCAAGAGTCTGGCTGGACACAAAATTCTAGATGGAATCATTTTCCTTCAGAGTCTGGAAGGCTCTGCTCCCCTGTCTTTTGTGTCATGCAGTGCTGGAGTTCACAAGCCTTTTCTCCCTTTGGAAAGAAAATGGAATTCCTCCTTCCCCCCCGCATCCTGAAAGCTCATGGCCATGTGCCTCCTGTGGGTGGGTCTGTTGTCCTCCCTTGCTCTGTGCTCAGTGAGTCTTTCCAGACCAGCAACTTGGCTCCTTCAGTTCCAGGAAAGCAACTTGAATTCTTTATGGGTGAATTCTTCCTTTCTCTTTCTTCTCTTCTCCTTCTTTGCAGCTGCTTTTACTTGGATATTGAATGTCCTAATCTGGTCCTCACATCTTCTCATCATTTAGCTCCCATTTTCTCATCTCTTTGTCTCTCACTGTACTTTCCATGAGATTTTTCAACTTTATCTGGCTACTTTTCTTTTTTTTTCTTTTTTTGAGACAGGGTCTCACTTTGCCACCTGGGCTAGAGTGTGGTGGCACAATCAATGCTCACTGCTCACTGCAGCCTCAATCTCCCAAGCTCAGGTGATTCTCCTACTTCAACCTCCCAAGTACCTGGGACTACAGGCATACACCACCACGCCTGGCTAATTTTTTTTTTTTTTTTTTTTTGCAGAGACAGGGTCTTGCTATGTTGCTCAGGCTGGTCTTAAACTTCTGGGCTCAAGTGATCTGCCCACCTTAACCTCTCATAGTGCTGGGATTACAGGCAAAAGCCACTGTTTCTGGTCTATCTTGCTACCTTTTAATTGATTTTTTAAATTTCTGCTATCTTTTTTTTAATTTTCAAGATTTTTTTTGGTCTTGGAATAGTCCTTTTTATAGCATATTCTTTTTTTTTGAAGCATTCTTCTCTATAAAAGAATATATTAATAATATTAATTGTTAAGAATAGTAAGAATAATGTACGTGAAGTTCAGTCTACCGGAATAGCTTCTGCTTCTTTCAAGTCGCTTTTTTTTTTTTTTTTTTTTTTTTGAGACAGAGTCTTGCTCTGTTGCCCAGGCTGGAGTGCAGTGGTGCAATCTACAGGCATGTGCCACCACGCTGGCTAATTTTTTTGTAGTTTTACTAGAGACGGGTTTCACCATGTTGGTCAGGCTGGTCTTGAACTCCTAACCTCAAATAATCTGCCCATCTCGGCCTCCCACAGTGCTGGGATTACAGTCAAGTAGCTTTTTGTTTGTTTTGATAGCTTTTGTGTTAAGTGCATTCCCAACATGTCTTAGCTGTTCAGTAGTATTTACAACTAGTTATTGAGAAGGTAACTAGCTATCTGGGCAAGGTGGCTGGGGGAGCTTGTTATCTGTAGTTATGTTGGGTGATCTGACTGACTATTTCCTTAGGCAATTCCAGATCTTGGTATCTTTGACACTTTTCTTTTTAGTTAGTGAAATTTCCTACAAAAGACTCCTAATCTCTTTCTGGATGTCAATAGACTGTGCAGAATTCATTGTCCATGATCAGCATTTTCAACTTTTAGCAGAGTCCAGCGCTCTTCCAGAGCAGACCCTATTTACAACCCCCTCCTCTATACGAAAAAATTATTCCCAGTAATAATCATGTAAGAATCAGCATTAATCACTTCTTTATTTCTTCTTTAGTTTTAAAACAAACTGTTAACATAACAGATGGATAAATTTTCATTTTAATTATATTATGCAGATTCAGTAAAGTATTTTATGTAAGAACTAAAATCTGCATTTGCCAAACCAAAGTACTGCACTCAGTTCACACTCTGATTTACTGATTTAAATTTTAAGCATTCATGAAATTCCAAGCAGTCACATGGAATGCCAAGCGTGAAATAATGCAAATTCTACTTCTTTGTCTTTGCATTCACAATCTCTCATTGTTGCAATCTTCTTTACAAATGCAGGAATTTGCCGCACCCCAGGGATTGGACCCAGGTCACAACCAAGGAAGCTGCACAAGATCTGAAGTGTTAGCCATCTCCTCTCAACCAAATGCATGTGCTGAGTCCTCATATGCTGGGGTTCTTGCAAATAACTTCCATGTAGAATAAAATGCTTATTAAAGGGTCAGTAATAAAATGTGCTGTTTTGAAGCGTACATCTATACATACTTTTTTATTTTTTGAAAAAGGGTTTTGCTGTGTCACTCAGGCTGGAGTGCAGTAGCCCAATCATGGCTCACTGCAGCCTCAAACTCCTGATTTCTAGTCATCCTCCCACCTCAGCCGCCTGAGCAGCTGGGACTACAGACATGTGCCACCAAGCCCAGCTATTTTATTTTATTTATTTATTTATTTTGTAAAGATAGGGGTCTCGCTATGTTGACCAAGCTAGTCTTGAACTCCTGGGCTCAAGCAATCCTCCCACCTTAGCCTCTCAAAGTGGTGGCATTACAGGTGTGAGTGTGCCCAGCTGACATCTGTATTATTGAAACTCAAGAGTAACCACACAGTTATTTAGAATATAGACCAACAAGATATTTTTCAGGGAGGAATACTTTATCACAATATTGTTCAGAATTACCAGCACATGGTGATAATAAAAAAACTTGGCTTTTTATTGTTGTAAAATGTACATAACATAAAATTTATCATTATAACCATTTCTGTTTCTGGAGATGAAGTTTTGTTCTGTTCTTCAGACTCGAGTTCAGTGGTGCAATCATAGCTCACTGCAACTCCAAATTCCTGGGCACAAGTGATCTTCCTGCCTCACCCCCCTGAGTAGCTGGGACTACAGGCATATGCCACCACTTTCAGCTAATTTATTTTTTGTTTTTTATTTTTATTTTTTTTGACAAAGTCTCACTCCATTGCCCAGGCTGGAGTGCAGTGGCACAATCTTGGCTCACTGCAACCTCTGCCTCCTGGGTTCAAGCAATTCTCCTGCCTCAGCCTTCTGTGTAGCTGGGATTACAGGCGCACGCCACCATGCCTGGCTAATTTTTTTTTTCTTTTTTTTTTTGTATTTTTAGTAGAGACAGGGTTTCACACCATGTTGGCCAGGCTGGTCTCGAACTCCTGACCTCATGGTCTGCCTGCCTGGGGCTCCCAAAATGCTGGGATTACAGACATGAGCCACCGCACCTGGCCAATATTTTTATTTTTTGTAGAGACAGGATCTTACTTTGTTGCTTTGGCTGGTCTCAAACCCCTGGCGCCTAGTTATCCTCCCATCTCTGCTTCCCAAAGTGCTGGGATTACGGGCATTTTCACCATTTTTAAGTGTACAGTTCAGTGGCTCTAAGTACATTCATACTGCGGTGAATCACCACCATCGATCTCCAGAACTTTTTCTTCATTGCAAACAAAACCCTGTACCCATTAATACACTAACTCCCCCTTTTCATCTCTCCCTAGTTCCTGATAACCTCCTCTCTACTTTCTGTCTCTACAATTTTGACTACTCTAGGTATCTCACATAAGTGGAATCCTACACTATCTGTCCTTTTGTGACTGGCTTGTTTCACTTAGCGTAATTCTTCAAGGTTCATCCATGTCGCAGCATGTGTCAGAATATCCTTCCTTTTTAAGGCTGAATAATAACCCGTTTTATGTGTACACCACTTGTATGTGTACACCACATTTTATTTATGGGCTCTTGGGTTGCTCCCATTCCTGGCTATTGTGAGTAACCACTACTATGCACATAGGTATACAAATATCTCTGTGAATCCCTGCTTCCACGTCTTTCGGGTATATACCCAAAAGTAGAATTTCTGTACTATATAGTAATCCTATGTTTAATTGTTTGAGGAGTCACCATGTTCTTTTCCACAGCAGTTGCAGCATTTTACATTCCCACCAGCAATGCACAAGGATTCTGATTTCTCCATGTCCTTGCTAACACTTGTTATTTTCTGTATTTTTTTTTTTTTTTTTTGAGACGGAGTCTCGCTCTGTCACCCAGGCTGGAGTGCAGTGGCAACAATCTCGGCACACTGCAAGCTCTGCCTTCCGGGTTCATGTCATTCTCCTGCCTCAGCCTCCCGAGTAGCTGGGACTATAGGCATCCGCCACCACGCCCGGCTAATTTTTTGTATTTTTATTAGAGATGGGGTTTCACCATGTTAGCCAGGATGGTCTCGATCTCCTGACCTCATGATCCGCCCGCCTCAGCCTCCCAAAGTGCTGGGATTACAGGCGTGAGCCACCGCGCCCAGCTTCTGTATTTTTTTTTTTTTTTTAAATAATAGCCAGCCTAGTGAGTGTGAAGCGACACACTGACTTTTCACCAGTTGTATAATTTTTGGGAAGTTCTCTACAGACAAAATGTGACTTTGCTACCTCCACCCAAGACAGACCCTTCCACTGACTGCCCTTGGTACTTCTCGGGCCTCCAGGATGTAGCGTTTTCCAGCATTGTGCCCTTGGTACCCCAAGCCCAGAGCCTCTCTCTTTATCTTCTCCCGGGAATAAGGTTCCCACCCCTCTGCTGGAGTGGGAAAGGGGCATGCCCAGTAGCATGAAGTGGCTGAGGAAGCTGGAAGTCTAACTGCTTTTTGAACTTTCAACCAATCCTTCTGTTTCTAGCCCCAAATCACTTCCACTTCCAAAACTACCGTGCCACCAGGTCCAGAGCCTGTAAGGCGTTCGGTGATGCTCATCCATTGCTTCTCATCCCCATTTTGACTTAGGATTTAATGCCTCCAATCTGCTCAGTCAGTTACCACGCATCCATCTGCTTTCCAGCCTGCAATTGCAGATTCCACATCTGCTGCTCCCTCCTCTCCTTCTCTCTTTGGCCTTAAGGGTCTAAGCCTTCTTAAAAATTCCTTTGTTGTCATTTGGATGGGGTTTCAGGAAGGAGTAAAGCTAAAAACATGTGTTCAATCTTTCATCTTCAAAAAGCCTCAACTAAAGTTTAATATGCATTACTTTACTTAAATTGTACTATTATAAATGAAATTAAACATGAGGATCTGAGCTGTGGTAGAGGTGGAGGGGCATGTGGAAGTTCAGGGAGGGCCCCCAGTGCAGCAAAGGGTATCTCCAAAAGCTCCTCAAGGAGGTAACATATGAGCACATGAACTGAGCTGTGAAGGCAGAGTAGGAGTTTGATTCATTTTACACCTGTTCTGTGCTGAGAACAGAAGCATAAAGTTTTAATAATTCATTGTCCATCTACCCAAACTAACACTTAGCTGCTCTCACCATGTGCCAGACCCCAGGAAAATGCTGGTGAGTCCTCAGCACATGCAACCAGCCCCGGGGTCTCCCCTGTATCCTTGGCTCTCCGAAACTGCCCCACCCAGAAGCCATCTGCTTTCTATGATCTGGCATCACCTCACCCTACTTCCAAATGCTGGTAAATCTCCCAGCCTCACCTAAACGTTCAAGCAGCCTATCTGTAACCCAATCTTTGTGAAATTGTTGGAAAGTCCCTCCCTCCTTCTCCAAGAATGGAAGGTTACATAAAGGTCGTGCAGAAGAACTTGGATGAAACAGAGAGATTGTGCAGAATTCATTGTTGATGGCAGCCAGGCTGGGGACAGATAATCCTAGGGAAAGCATCAGAACTGACTTGAATCTCTGCCCACAGAGAGGGGATCCAGAATTCAGAGTATGACCTTGAACAAAATTTCAGTCTGCTCCTGGACTGAAGACCAACAGCACATAATTAATTGGAAGTGAGGTCCTTATGAGTGACAGGTTGGCAGTGATTAATTATCTTAATATTTGCTCTGGGTTCTGAGGATGTGCAAAGTGATTAAAGAGGGGTTTTGGAAACAGTGACTTGTTTGTTCTCTGTCCCCTAATTGTTTGCTAAATGATTCACCATAATTACATGTAACGTCTCCCTGCTCCCCCAGGTAATACTTGCATAATATGGAAACAAAACTGAAATTTCTAAAGTACAAACACAGCAAGGTCTGGGGGGTGGGCTGAGAAGCTCCAGAAGGCATCATGTATGGGACCTGATAATCCAAGCCTCCGATCTTGTACATTGCTCCAATTTGTAGACACCTGAATTGTAGCTCACGCAGAGCTGTGGAGCAGTATTGTTTCACAGCAGGATATGGAGGGGGTGATTAAGAGGTGAGATTGGGGTTAGGCAAGGAGTTAACCTCAGTGCCATCAGGAGACTGAAGTTCTAAACCTACTGTTGCCACTTCGTGTGCAGGAAAATAATCTGAGGCACAGAGAATCAGATTGAGCCATCATGGGTCTTCCTAAGCTGAATGCTCTGATCCAACCCCAGCCTCCTCAGCCTCAGGCCCCCAGGCTTCTCTGCACAAACAGGAGAAACAAGTCCTGGACCTGCCGTCCTCTTCTGATGGGCAAGGGGAGAGCCACCACCTCTCACTCACCCTCCAGCGCCCACCTCTTGCCCATCCCAGCCATTAGGATGCTTGGCTAAGAAGAGATCAGCTGATTGGGGTGGGGAGTATCAGGGAGCATCGAGATAGATGTTGGGGCTTCCAAATTCCCAGAAACCCCCATCCTGATTTCAGCACTCCTTTACCAGTCAGTACCAAGGACAGCGACTATTGCTTCTGGTTCCAGAAAACACAATACAAAGATTCAAAGGTATGAGATCCAGGAGGGCCTGAGAGGTGGTGAAGTCTAGCCTGTCCCCTTACAGGTGAGGACACAGGCCCAGAGATCAGAGGGTATTTTCCAGCACCAAGCTAAGCCCAGGTACTCAGGCAGGCAGGATCTCATGATTCACACTGCGTGCTGCACCTGGGATGCTGCCACGCTGCCTGGACTCTGGGCTCCTTGGAGGAAGGGGCTGGACATAACTCATCTGTGTCCCCACAACCCAGTCCAGGGCCAAGCACAGAGGAGATGCTTAGCGTACACGGGTTTAACTTATCTGTAAATCCAAATCCTCCCAGGCACATCCCCATAGGCCCAGGCCAAGGAACACCTCCCCTGGGAAGACCACCTTGTCAATGGTGGAGAAAGTGCCTGCAGCTTAGAGCTGGTATCACCATTTCACATGAGCAAACCTTCTGTGTGTTATTGCTGCTTTCTTCCCAACTATAATAAATTGTCTCCTCAATAAACCTGAGAATTACTAATTCATATTCTCTGAATCTTTAATAATGCCTGGCATAGATATTTGTAGGATACCTGCATGAAATACTGTCCCAATAGAGAGAGAGAGAGAGAGAGAGAAGAGGAGGAGATAGTTAGAGGGACAGAGACTTAGAGAGGCAGAGACATTTTTAAAGAAACAAGAAGAACACTATGCATCACTGTGTCACAACTATTGTTCAGTGGCCCCCAAAGCCCAAGAGGACCCATTTAAGCAAGTAGGGATCACCAGTGAGATTTCAGACTTGCTTCCTTTAGTTCGATCCAGAAGAGAAAATAAATATTATGACTCATTGTTGGTTTAAAATGAGCTTTCCTACCCTCAAACACAAAACAAACGTGGATTCTATTCATCTTCCCTCCAGCCTACACTCTGGGCAACACCTTTGCATGCACACATCAGCCACTGTCTGTCACTTCCCCATGGCGGGGGAGCATGCTGCTCAGTAAGGCTTCACAGCAGAAAGCTTATATCAGATTTGCAGAATCAGGTGAGTGAATCACAGACAAGGCCCCTGGGCCTTCCGCACAAACCAGCTACTTGGTGGAAACGGGCAAGGGTTGACAAACTGAAGGATGATAGAGTCAGAAGAGAGGATCCTTCAGCTATGTTGAAGAGACTCCTTCCTAGATGGTCAAATAAGGATCTTCAGACTCCAGATAGGAAGTGTGGTTTTGTAACACGCTAATCTGACTGTATTTGGTTACTATTGAAGACCACCATGGCTCTACTTTGCTCACAAAAGCTGCTTAACCTGAATAGCAGGGCACCAAGGTTGGGGTCATTCCATGAATGTGGTCTTTGCTTCTACCCCGCCCTTTGCTCTAGCACCACCCACTGCTCAGCTAGTCACACACAAGGTGGCCCTCTAGGGGGACTCGTCCCTCCTAGGAATGCCTTTCTACCCTCCCCTCCCTAGTTCTGCAATTAGCTGGGGACTCCCAGGCATTTTTAGGACCCCAGGCTGAGCAAGCTGTCATTCCTCTGTGCCCCAGAGGCAGGCCCTCTGTGGCTCTCCATCAGCTCCTGTATTACAGTGACTTTTTTACTCCCACCACCACACTGTGTACCTTTGAGGACAGAGTCTGTGTGGTGGACACTGGCTGACTGCCAAATACCCACTGCGATTCCCCATGCCTCCCGCTATACAGCAGAATGAGACCTGAGAAACAGACTCCAGTCTGGGGATTGGGACGTGTTAGTCCAAGCTATTGTGGCAACCTCATCCCCTTGGGCAGTGACTGGTCTTGAGCCCAGGGCTAAGCCAGTCAGTGTGTGGTGGTGCCCTGGAGATGCTGTTGGTCAGGGGCAATACAGGCACAAGAGCTGCTCCAGTCAGAAGGAAGATTGGGCTTTTTCTGTAGAGTTAGTGAGGAAGAACTCTTTTTTCTCAACTGGCCACGAATGAGGAACTCTCTTCTCTCCACATTGGCCCAATGGCTCCTTGACCATGAGGGAATCCAGCCCCAGTGTGTGTCCAGCATTGTGGATGCCAGAGGACAGGATGGGAGAACCTGCATCCTTGTTGGCACCATAGAGCCTCTGGGTCCTTCATTTGCCCTCTGAGTTTCTGACACTGCTAAGAAGTGCATTTCCAGCGTCAGCCAGTCAGGACTGAGTTACCTGTCACTCATAGTTGAAACTCCAGAACTGATATAGTTGGTCTCAGTCACCTTTGTGTGTCAGTGCTCAGAAGCATGTGAGAAAGAGTAGATGCTCAAATACGAGAGTGTCAGCATTGGGTGCTCAATTCCTGTTGCTGGTTAGGAAAAGAATCAATGAGGAGGAGGAAAGAAGCTTGCTGAGGGCAGTGAGACCATCAACCACCAGATTGGGATGCATCAAGGGCAGGTAATGACAACCACCTATGCAGATTCCACAGTGGAGCCAGCACCCACCCTAGGTCTCTGTGGCTCCAGTGCCTGGCTTATCTCTACCATCTGTCCTGCCTGGTGACCTCAGACCCAAAGAAGGCATTACTGGATGTATTGTGTATTCCATATTCAAGATATTTTATCAGAAAATGCTTTAAAGGTGCATTTAAATACTGGTCAAACAATATTATTTTATATTCTTTCTTTTTACATCAGCATCACATAAAAATATAAATTCTTTTATCTTAACCCAGCAACCAGTCATATCTCTCCAGGGCCTCTGCTGATCATTATCAATGTGTCAACATTGTTTTGCTGTCTTTGTAATCCATATATATTCCTGCTTCCTACGTTTTTTTAGTTAACTCTTTCATTGACAGGTAGCAAAGTAGCAAAGGACCTTGTCTGCGTAATCATCATATTTATCATTTTAAACATCTGTACCCCATTCCATCATACTAATAGCTTGATTTTGCAGTCTCCAGTGGTTGGGCCTGAGGACTGTATCTGCTTTCGCTGGAATAGTCATTGGAGTAATACAGCATACTGGTAAACAGTGACTGCCCTTCAGATGTTAACAGCCAGTGGGTAGAATGCAAAGTAGGGATCCCGGGTCACCACCACTCATCAGTTTCAATCAGGGTGCATTAGTTTGCAAGGGACTGAAACTCACTCAAGCTGCCATGAGCCAGGAGTTCAGTAGGGACAGAGCAAAATATCTGGGAACCACAAAACAGCCAGGCCTCAGGGAACTGCTAAGAACCATCTCTACAGTTTTTCTGTGTCACCCTGTCTCTGTCTCTGTGTCTCTGTCTCTTTGTGTCTCTCTGTCTCCAGATGAATCTCCACAACCACCAGACCTCAAATCCCCACTGACCTGCTGGTCCAGGGCCCATCACCAACCAACCCAGGGCTGAAATTCTCAGAGGACTGTGCATGTCTGTGGCCAGTGGGGGCTGGGGGAAGGGTGTCATGTGCCATAACCTACACACTGACTTCTGTCTCTTTGGCCAGGACTAAAGGTGAGCAGCTTTCAGACAAAGGGGTTCTGGGGGAGGGAAGCCACATGCACCTCCTCCACTCTGGCACTTCTATTATTAATACATCACAGAAAAACACTTTATAAATTTTAAAATTCCCTTCAGTGCAAATTTCCCTTTAAAGGCAGGCCTCCTGTATTTGAATCTGAGTCCACCACCCACCACTCTCTGATTTTGGGCAAGTCATGCCCCACACCTTTTGTGCTCCCTGTTCCTAGGTGTACTCAAGTCAACAAATGAGGGAAGAGAGAGACCCTTTCATATTGTTTTATACTCAGTACCTGTTTAAAGAAAAAAAACAAGGAAGTGAAATCAAAAACAGGCAGCCTGGTGCCAGGCCCAAAACTGGACCTGGGCCTGCCTGGCCTAAACCTAGTAGTTAAAAATCAACTGATGACTTAGAAACCGATGTTATTCATAGATTCCAGACATTGTATAGAAGAACACTGTGAAACTCCCTGCCCTGTTCTGTTTCTCTCTGACCACCAGTGCGTGCAGCCCCTGTCATGTACCGCCTGCTTGCTCAAATCAGTCACGACCCTTTCATGTGAAATCGTTAGTGTTGTGAGCCCTTAAAAGGGACAGAAATTGTGCACTTGGGAAGCTTGGATTTTAAGGCAGTAGCTTGCCGATGCTCACAGCTGAATAAAGCCCTTCCTTCTATAGGTCGGTGTCTGAGAGGTTTTATCTGTGGCTCGTCCTGCTACACAAACACTGACTGCCTGTTGTTAGCTGACATTAATTGAGCATTTACTCTATGCCAAGCGTGGTTGTAAGCACTTTCCATGAGTTAACTCAGGGAATCTTCACAGCCTCCTAAGATGAGAAATCTGAGGCACAAAAAGGATAAGTAAGTACTTGTGGATTGGACAGCTAGTGTTTAGTATGCAAAGAAATGCAAATCAAATTAAGATACCACTTTGCATTCACCAGATTGGCAAAATGAGAAAGTTGAGTGACACTAAGTGTGGGCTTGGATATGAGCAAAGCGGAGCTCTCCTGCAATGCTGATGCGTGTGAACTTGGAACCGCCTTTCTGAAGGGCATCCAGGTTGTGTTTATACTGGAAGTATTCGTGTTCAACGACCCAGCACTATCACCTTCACGTTCCAATTCCAGAGAAACTCTCCAGGGCTACCCAAGGAGGCATATTCAAAGATGTTCATCACTCTGTTGTTTACAGTAGCAGAGGACTGAAAGTGACATAATCTAGGCTTCCCCGACTAGGGGAATGGAAAAGAAAAGGTACAATACACATCTACATAGCTGTCAGCTTGATTTCAAAACCAGAATGAGGAGTGAAAACTGTGAAGAAAATAGAATTATTATTGTGAAAGGAAAATATCTTGGGCTCCTTCAAGCTGGGAACTGCTCAGGGCAAATGTGCCTCCCATTCTTTTCAAAATCACCCCCTGCTCACTGAGATAGATGCATATCTGATGGCCTCCTTTGGAAAGGCTAATGAGAAACTCAGAAGTATTCAACCTTTTGTCCCTCACCTACCTGTGACCTGGAAGCCCCCTCCCTTCTTCTAGTCTTCCTGCCTTCAAGTTGTCCTGCATTTCCAGACTAAGCCAATGTACTTCTTACATATATTGATTGATGTCTCATGTCACCCTAAAACGTATAAAACTAAGCTGTGCCCCGACCATCTTGGACGCAGCTTAGGCCTGAGGCCATGTCATGGGCACTCATCCGCGACCTTGGCAAAATAAACTTTCTAAATTAACTGAGACTGTCTCAAATTTTGGGGGTTTACATTATCCATATTGTAAACTGTTAGGGAAAAACCCACCCAAAAAAGCTTCTTGGCACTGCCAACACCCCTCCCCTTCCCCCAAGCCTTTTTACATTTCTAAGCCCTTATCTAGGCGCCATGGTGAAGCCTGCAGACTTTACCTATCAGGCCTTACTGCGATAAAGCAAACCCCAATTACAAACCATCTGGACCAAACGGAGAGGGGGAGGTCGTAGGAAGCATAAACAAACTTTACCCTCCTGTAAGTTCCTGCTATCATAAACATCACCAGGTGATATGTGGCAGAGTTAACAAACAAACGACCCCAGGGTCTCTCTCCCCCATATAAAACTCCTCATTTTGTAAGCTCAAGGCTGCCTCCTCTGTAATGGAGCAGCTGGCAGGTTCAATAAACTTAGTTGCCTGAACTTGGGTCTCTCTCTCTCTCTCTTCCTTTCTCTTGGCTGACCTTACATAAACAATATGCGTATATATCCAAAATAATTACATATATATTAAATATATATGTGTGTATATATGTTCCTCAAATTGTGTAATTTTCTTGAGACATGTGAGTAAATCAATGTTTGGCAGGACACACAGTACGTGAGAATGGAGGTGAATGGAAGGAGAGGACAATTGATTGGGAATAAGGATAGAGAGAATGAAATTGAAATAAAATGAAATAAAACCCTAAGAACTCAGCTTCTCAGGTAATTTAGTTTGGATGTCTGTCCCCTCCAAATCTCATGTTGAAATGTGATCCCCAGTGTTGGAAGTGGGGCCTGGTGGCAGGTGTTTGGGTCATGGGGCAGGATCCCTTCTGAATGGCTTGGTGCTGACCTTGCCATTGTGAGTGAGTTCTTGTGAGAGATCAGGGTGTTTAAAAGCATATGGCACCTCCCCCATCTCTCTCTTGCTCTTGCTCTGGCCACGTGACATACTGGCTTCACTTCAACTTCCACCATGATTGTGAGCTTCCTGAGGCCTCCCCATGCCAGCACCATTCTTCCCATACAGCCTGAAGAACCATCAGCCAATTAAACCTCTTTTCTTTATAAATTACCCAGCCTCAGGTATTTCTTTACAGCAATGTAAAAATGGCCTAATACACCAGGGCTTCTGAGAATTAACCTGTCAGGTGCAGAGAACTACTGCAGACACCAGATCGGTCTTTCTGAACTGCGAGATAAGGACTAGATACAACATCAGTATCTCCAGGCCCCTGCCTTCCACATCCCATGGTGAGTGCCCTCTGCAAGAGGCATCTCTAAATCTGCCTCCTGTGCTTGGGTGTTGCATCAGGTATTCTTGGTACTTTTATCTACGTTTGGTAATTGGACAATTCAACAAACACTTAAAATTCTATGCAACTATTGCGACTCTTGTTCAATAACCAAACATGGGTAAAAGTACCGAGAATACCTCTACTATAAAGACACATGCACACGTATGTTTATTGCAGCACTGTTCACAATAGCAAAGACTTGGAACCAACCTAAATGTCCGTCAATGATAGACTGGATAAAGAAAATGTGGCACATATACACCATGGAATACTATGCAGCCATAAAAAAGGATGAATTCATGTCCTTTGCAGGGACATGGATGAAGCTGGAAACCATCATTCTCAGCAAACTAACACAGGAACAGAAAACCAAACACCAAATGTTCTCACTCATAAGTAGGAGTTGAACAATGAGAACACATGGACACAGGGAGGGGAACATCACACACTGGGGCCTGTTGGGGCATGGGGGGCTAGGGGAGGTATAACATTAGGAGAAATACCTAATGTAGATGATGGGTTGATGGGTGCAGCAAACCACCATAGCACGTGTATACCTATGTAACAAACCTGTATCCCAGAACTTAAAGTATAATAATAATAATAATAATAATAATAATAACTGAAATAAATAAATAACACTCTGCTTGCTACTTTACAAAAAGATGAAAACTCATTTTTTCATATTTTATGTCTCCCCCAGCAGGTCTGGTGGAGAATGGAGAGCTCAGGGGAAAATGGGACTGATTGAAAGAGACTCTCTGGAGGGTTTTGTGCTGCACGTACCCAGGGGGCCCGACCACCATGAGAAACACTCTGTTCATAATGCAGCCTGTTCCCTCCCCTTCAAGGCAAAGCACAGCCCTGGCCCTGGCTCCACAGTGTCCTGACAGCACAGACAGCACCTGGTCCATCCCCCACAGCACAGCTGATGGAAGCTGAGGCCTGGAGAGGAAATGTGGGTTGTTGGGTTGAGTGGTGCCCTCCCCAAAAAATGGTATGTCCACTTGCAACATGTGAATGTGACTTTATCGGAAAAAGATCTTTGAAGATGTAATTAAGGATCTTGAGATGTGATCATCCAGGATTAGGTTGGTACCTAAATCCAATGATAAGTGTCCCTAGAAGAGAAGGCGCAGAGGAGAGGAGTGGCACTGAGGGGAAAGCCATGTAAAGAAAGAGATGGAGGCTGGGTGCGGTGGCTCACACCTGTAATCCCAGCCCTTTGGGAGGCCCGGGTGGGTGGATCACGAGGTCAGGAATTTGAGACCAGCCTGGACAACATAGTGAAACCCCGTCTCTACTAAAAATATAAAAATTAGCTGCGCGTGGTGGCAGGTGCCTGTAATCCTGACTACTCGAGAGGCTGAGGCAGGAGAATTGCTTGAACCCGGGAAGAGGAGGTTGCAGTGAGCAGAGATAGCACCATGGCACTCCAGCCTGGGTGACGAGTGACAGTCTGTCTCAAAAAAGAAAAGAAAAGAAAGAGATGGAAATTGGATCCTGCAAGCCACGGAAGGCCAGGGACTGCCCATGGCCACCAGAAGCTGGAAGAGGAATGGGGGTCCACTCCCTCCAGGCTGCCAGGAGGAACCAGCCCTGCTGACTCCTTGATTTTGAGTTTCCACCCTCCTGACTGTAAAGAATATGTTTCTGTTGTTTGAGGCCATTCAGTTTGTGAATTAGGAGACCAATACAAGTTTCTACTCAGCAAACAGTTGTGACCACCTCCTGTCCTTTGTGCCAGAAGCTGGTAATTCCAGCTAACCAAAGCAAGGGCCTGACCACAAAGAGTGCTCAAATTAGGAGTGTGAGTCAGATGCAAGAGTGGCAGACAGAGCAAGAGCCCTGGGGCTTGGCCCAACCCAGAGAGCCCAAGATGGCTTCTAAGAGGAGGTGATGCCTGGGCAGGAAGAGAATTCCAGGCAGAGATAATAAGAGCCAAAATAAGGTATCTGAGGGAGCTGCAGGCTGCTTGGTGTTGCTAAAAATTAAAGTCCATTGCATCAGGAATCAAGGGGAGAAGTGATGGGAGATGGGGCATAGCCAAGTCCCTTCCTCAGCACAGCTCACTATGACTGAGGACTGGACATGGGTGGCCCTCATGGGCAGATCCATCCAGAGCGCTACAGGGAAGAGATCCTTGCTCCTGGCTTCCTTTCTGTGATGCAGACATTAGAGGGGGGTGGCTGTCATGTCACCAGACCAGCATCCAGCCCACAGGCTGTCTGCCCCATGCCCATGTCCCCCCTGCTGTCTAAGCTTTGTGAGGCTAGCAAACCCAGGGTCTCATTGTTCACTCCTTACTTAATGTAGCTTCTCATCCAGGGTTTGTGGAATGGATGAACACTTTCTGAGGATTAAATAGTATGCTGCGTTAAACACTTCTGAATGCCAGTGTGTTAGCTGTGAATTGCTTGTTCATTATTACAAGCTCCTCATGGGAACTTTGAAACTAGCCCGACATGACAAAGCCATCCGGAACAAGCAGCCTTTAGCATGGGCTCCTACACTTTGGGACAGTGTTTCCCAAAACCTGGTCTGTAGACCCTCTGCATCAGAACCTCCTGACACCGGCCAGGAGGCACAAATTCAAGCACTGGCCCTGGCCTTCTGACTCAGACTCTCTGTGGGTGGGACCTGGGTGCTGGCATATCGAACAGCCCCCAGGATACCCTGTGCGTGCTGAAGTTTCAGGACCTGGCAGGAGAATCCTCAGAAAAAGGGAAGACAGCTTCTGGCTACTGCTTCTATTCGGCACTGCTGCCTTGACAGGGCAGGCAAGCCACACACCAGGAAATGGGCTATTTGACCCCACGGTTGGCCTCCACCAGGGTGACAGCTATTGAAGAAAAGTTGAGTGGAGGACTAGCAGAGAGGGTGACTGTCCATCCTGGTCTGCTCGAGACTGAGGGGGTTCCTGGGATGCAGGAGTTTCAGTGCCAAAGCCAGGAAGGTCCTGGGTAAGCCTAGGGGGGCTCTTCACCTGCCTTCCTGCAGCCCAGCCTCAAGGAGCATCTCTGGGGCTCACTGTTACTCACCTGCAGACAGGAAAGAGATCCTGGAGCCCTCCCATTTCCACTAGATCCTTGGTATCCCCTGCGCCTCTGGGAGCTGATGAGTTTGATATGGCAGCTCTACAGTGAGAGGACGAAGCTTAAGAAGCAACTTTCACAGAGAAGTAAAAGGAACTGTGATAATTTTGACCCTGTAAACTTGTGAAGGGACAGTCTGAAGTGTTTCCCTTACAAACACTTTTCTCTTTCAAGATGTGGCCCCCAGAACTTAAAGAGGCTTTATGCTAGGAGAGAAAGCTTTCAAGCACAAGCTCTTATCACAAAGCATTTGCCTTCCCCTCAGGGCAAAGGGCATGTGAGCATGCACACACACATACAGACACCCACACACAGGCACATACACACAGCCATTAGAGTTGATTCATCAACGTCCACACTAAAGCTGCCCATTCTAGCTGCTTCTATTGTAACGGTTTCTTCAAACAATAGCTTTCCACTCCTAATACTAATAATTACAGCTGTTATTTATGGAGTACTCATTGTGCTGGGCACTGACGCGTTTCCCATGCACTATGGCATTGCCTGGCATTTCATTCTGGAGCCATCCCCATTTTGCGGATGAGTACCCCAAGGTACAGAAAGGCTAAATAACTCTCTCCAGTTTATACAGAGGGCAGATGGTGAAGCCCGAATTCAAAGCCTGTGTTCTTAATGACCACACCAGTGGTTCTCTTGAGGGGGTCTCAGAATTGCCTGGGGGTCTTGTGGAAACATGGATTGCTGGCCCCACCCCCCTAGAGCTCCTGACTCAGTAGTCTGGGTAGGGTCAGGGAATTTGCATTTCTAACAAGTTCCCAGATGATGCTGATGCTGCCGGTCCTGGGACCACACTTTGAGAACCAGTGCACGATACCATATTGCCTTCATTAAGCCAGAAGGGCTGCTATGTAAGAGCAACAACAATAATCATAATTAAAAATGAATGTTCTGCAGTGCTTATTAGGTTCCAGCCAGTATTAGAAGTGCTTTAAATACATTAGCTCGTTTCATCCTCACACCCACACTCCATGATGGAGAGATGGTTATTACCGTCATTTCACATGTGAAGACATTGACAGCGGAGAAGCTGAGTAACTTGCCAAAGGCCACACAGCCAATAAGTAGCGAAGATGAAATGCCATCTACCTGGTTCCATATTAAATTGATCAATAATTACCTGTGGTGGATTCAGACCTCATCCTGACTTGACTTGACCTGCCCCACCCTTTTCCAACCAGTTCCCTTATAGTGTCTTCTATTCATGTGATTTTATGTACTCAACATAAAGCAGCCATGTTTTTTTTCCCTGGGCGAGCCCAGCCTCTGAAAACTGGAGTGTGCATGGCGTGGACCCATGGGTTCCCTGTTTAAACAGACAGATCCCTAGAACAATGCAGGATAGGGCATGAACTCATGACTATGGAATAATTTATCAGAAAAAAATCTCCCTAGAATAGTGATTCTTAACCTTTCGTGGGGTACAGTCTCTTCTGAGACCCTGACGAAAATAGTAACCCTCTTCCCAGGAAGACACACATGTCCATATACACCCGAGATGTTGCATCCAATGCTAAGGCAGTTATGAATCTTCTAAAACCATTCACAGTCTGTATGCCCCCAGGTAGGGCTCTGCCTCAGAAAGCAAAGAACAAAAAGCCAGGGCAAGTGGTTTCCCCAAGTTCAGCCCCTCCTTCCATGAATGCAGCTTTCATCACGTGGATCGTATGGTCTTAAAGTACCCCTCTGCCTGCAAAGCAGTGTCTGACCCTTAGCCTGCCAAGCAAGGTGCTCCTACCTGGGAAACAGTACCCCACTCCTGCAGCTTCACCTCAGGAGGCTCTCAGGCTACCCTCAGGCCCCAAAGACAGTTGAATTTCCACTGGTCTTTGAAGTGTTCTGTTAAAAATGCAAATACTATAGGAAGGGATCACTGACCACAGCTGGCCCTAATACAAATGCAAAGTGTTATGAAATGTTATGAGCTTTAAGATCTTGAAGCTGATTATAAGGAGAAAACAGGCACCTGCTTAATTGTAGTTGTCTTGGGCCTCTGTGAATGATGCTGCAACAGACATCTTTGTCCATACGGAAACTGCCTTAGCAAAGATTATGACAGCAAGGGAGTCTAGCACAGCTGACTCTATCTTGCTTCTAGCCTCACAGGCTGGCTGTCCTCGCTCATTCCTGGGCATAAGCCAAGCTAACTGTAGGAGGAATTTAGTTTATGGTTTAGCTTTGAAACAAGCATGATCATAGTCCCTCTCTAAAACTGATCCCCTGCTTGTTTGGGGCCTGAAACTGCTTTTGTAAGACTAAAGAAAGGCCACAAGATTATGATTATGGGAGGGGCCTGAATTCTGCTAAAATGTAGGCATACTTTCTGTAATCCCTTACTGCTCTGGAGTCATGTAGCCAGAGGTCACAAGATTTGTGGCTGCCCCAATTGCTCCTATAAATAACATCACTATTGTAGAATCTAAGATTGGCCTTTGGAGATGTTTTTCAGACTTCTGAATTCTGGCATCCGACTGACCCCACCTGGACTCGTGACTCATGACTCAGTTGGTCCTGTGGCTCCACCAATAGGCAGGCTCAGCACATGAGGACCGTCTTCCACACCCCTATGATTGTGTCCCCAACCAATCAGTAGCACCCATTCCCTAGTCCCTTGCCCACCAAACTGTCCTGGAAAAACCCTAACCTCCAAACCTAGGGGGAGAATGATTTGAGTAATAACTCCATCTTCTGCATGGCTGGTGTAGCATCAGTTAAACTCTTTCTTTACTGCGATACCATGATCCAAGTGAACTGTTTTTGTCTGTGCAGCAGGCAGGAAGAACATGTTGGACAATTACAATATGAGAGTACATGCCAGCAGTTTCATTTCTATGGAATATATCCCAGGAATGGGATTGCTAGGTCAAGGTTGATTTGAATTTTTAATGTTAACAGTTGTTAGCAGATTACTTTCCTGAAAGATTCTAACCATTCACACTTCCATTCACAGTGCAGGAGAGAGCTTTTTGGCCTACATGGCCTCTGGCAATATTTATCACTCTCTTAGATTTTTGTCAGGCTCTAGGGTAGAAAGTGATACACCATTGCGACTATAATGCTTATGTAGTATTTAAGCTCTTTTCTTAACTGCTAGAGAATTTTAATATAATTCTTGGCCATTTGAATTTGCTGTTGTATACATTGCTTCTTCATAATAGCCTGCCCTTTTTTTCTCTTGTGTTGCTTGTTTTCATCAAATTTTAAAGCACTGAATACATCATACACATATATGTACACATATACATATACATATTTTAAAGCACTGAATACATCATACATATATGTACACATATACAATACATGTATATACATATACATGTATATGTACATATATATGTACATATATATACACACACACATACATAGAGTCATCTGTGCTGCCAGCATTCTTTCCAAACTCACCATTTGTCTTTTTTTTTTTTTTTTTGAGACAGATTCTCACTCTGTTGCCCAGACTGGAGTGCAGTGGCACAATCTCAGCTAACTGCAACCTCCTCCTCCCGGGTTCAAGCGATTCTTCTGCCTCAGCCTCGCAAGTAGCTGGGACTGCAGGCATGCACCACCACGGCTGGCTAATTTTTGTATTTTTAGTAGGGACAGGGTTTCACAATATTGGCCAGGCTGGTCTGGAACTCCTGACTTCAGGTGATCCACCCACCTTGGCCTCCCAAAGTGCTGGGATTACAGGCATGAGCCACCACACCCAGTCTACCATTTGTCTTCTTATTTCATTCATGAGTGTTTTTTCCATGTATATTTTAAAATTTTATGGACCCAAATATGCCTACCTTTTCTTTGTTAACATCTGGGTTTCTTGTCTTGGTTCAGAAGGTTTTTTCCACCCTTTGGTTATACATATTGTTTATCTTGCAAATTTTTAATCCTTTTAACACAAGTCTGTAATCCACCTAAATTTTTTTGGATGATATAAAATAGTGATTCAATTTTATTTCCTTCCAAAAGGAGAACCAGTTGTTCCAGCACCATGTGTTCAAGTATCCATTTTCCCAACCAAATTTAGCCACCATTTTTATTACATGAAAATCCTTGTTAAGCAGGACCAATTTCTGCACGCTCTATTCTATTCCACTGATCTGTTTAGTCCGATACCAGTGCCAGATTGGTTGGGTTACTCTGACTTTTTCCAAAATTCCAGTGTCAAGTAAGATGAGTCATTCATTCTTCATTTATACCTTTGATACATCAAGGACATGGCCTACTTTCAGGCCCACACATGTTTGATGTGTGTGGGGACAATTATGAGGCATTTATTTTTCCATATAGATTTATATATTAATTTATTCAATAACTCACTTCAGAAAAATATTGCATTTGAAATTCCAATCAAAATTTTATTTCATTTACATATTTATTTTGAGGTGAACTGACATTTTTATAAGACATATTATTTTACAACTCACTATGTCCTTTCCTTTGATCAGCTCTATATTAGTTCTATATCCTTCCTTGAGATCTTCTAATATTCTCCATATAGGTCCTGTCTTTTAAAATTATATTCATTTATAAATACTTTAGAGTGTTTATCACTACTGCAAATAAAATATTTCTCCTCCTTTTCATTTCTAGATGCTTATTTACTGGAAGAGAGAAAGGCTATTGATTTTTGTGTTTTATCTTATAACCATTCCACCTTACTAAATTCTTTTTGCCATTCCCTTTATTTTAAGCACTTATTACTGTCTTAAGCATAGTTTTTTCAAACACAGCATATGGTTACATTTCATCTTTTAACCCAATATGAAAGTCCCTGTCTTTAGGTGGGAAAAATCCAGCCATTCAACATACAGAGTAACTGCTGGTAGACCTTGTTCTATTTTTTACAATTTGTTTTATGTTTAGTATTTGGTTCTCCTTTTTTGACTTTTATTGTCTTAGTTTAGGTCAAATGACCAAGATGTTCGTATTCATTTTATTTCTTCCCATTGTGAATTTGGAGCTCTTCTGTCCACTCCCATTCCATTAGCATTGACTTTTCCTTTGCTGGCTCTCTTCTTTGACTCTACATTTTGCTACAAATATCTGGAAGTAAGATGTTAACTATTCTCTCTCTCTCTAAAGATATATATTTACTATATCTATAGATAGATAGATAGATAGATAGATAGATAGATAGATAGATAGATACCTTCTTTTAAATTTTTTTTTAAGAGATCAGGTCTTACTCTGTCACCCAGGCTAGAATGCAGTTGCACAATCATAGCTCACTGCAGCTTTGAATTCCTGGGCTCTGTCAGGCCTCTGAGCCCAAGCCTGCACGTATACATCCAGATGGCCTGAAGCAAGTGAAGAATCACAAAAGAAGTGAAAATGGCCGGTTCCTGCCTTAACTGATGACTTTCCACCATTGTGATTTATTCCTGCCCCACCTTAACTGAGCGATTAACCTTGTGAAATTCCTTCTCCTGGCTCAGAAGCTCCCCGACTGAGCACCTTGTGACCCCTGCCCCTGCCCGTAAGAGAAAAACCCCCTTTGACTGTAAATTTTCCACTACCTACCCAAATCCTATAAAACGGCCCCACCCCTATCTCCCTTGGCTGACTCTCTTTCTGGACTCAGCCCGCCTGCACCCAGGTGAAATAAACAGACTTGTTGCTCACACAAAGCATGTTTGGTGGTCTCTTCACATGTACGCGTGTGATAGGCTCAAGTAATCCTCCGTCCTCAACCACCATGCCCAGCTATTTTCTCTCTTCATCTCTCTGTCTCTGTCTGTCTGTCTGTCTGTCTGTCTGTCTGTCTGTCTGTCTCTCTCTCTCTCTCTCTCGTAAAGACAAGGTCTCACGATGTTGCCCAAGCTGGTCTTAAACTCCCAGCCTCAAGCAATCCTCCTGCCTCAGCCTCCAGAATAGCTGGGATTATAGGGGTAAGCCACCAAGCCCTGCAGATGTGAACTATTCTCTTTCCCACCAAAGATGCCTTTGCTCCCACCAAGATTCTCAGCATTGCTTTTACTCTCTCTTGGCCCAGAGAGATGGGTCCTGGAGATATTTTCACTTTCCTCCTTCAGCTTGGTCCTCCTTTTCGCCCACCACCCCCTCCCTCTGGCCCCTGCAATGAGACTTTGAAGTTGATGTCAATTTGCCCCCTTACCGCACCACTCCGAACTCCTAGGTTTTGCTGTGATGGTTTCATAGTTTTGAACTCTGTGTGATAGTCTCTTCCTTCTGTTTGAGGAGAATTTAACAAGCATATTATGCTACTCCCAGACAGCTTCATCATGTTCATCTGCGTCTAATTATGCACACACATATATACAATATTATGTTTAACTACATATCGCTGAATGCCATGTACCCTGCCCTTCATCTCCCCATCTTTAGTCTATCTTTGGGTTCATTTATCATTTAATGAACATTATTATCAAGTCCCTTTTCAGATGGATCATGTGAGTGTATTCTTCTAGTGAAGGATGGCCTTGACTGAGTATGGATTTGGTTTCTCCATCCTTTTCACTCAGCTGTCTGTAGATGCAATTCCACCATCTTCAATCTTCTAGTTAATGCAGAGAAGTCTGATGTGAGTCTAATTATTTATCCTTTTAGGTAATTTATTTCTGCCAGGAAGCTCATAAAACCTTCTATTTATGCTTAGAATTCAGGGATTTACTAGGATATGCCTACATCTATGCCTTTTCTTATTAATCCAGGCCTAGAACTTAGTACAACTTTTCCATCCACAGACTCTGTTTTTTTCTTTGTCTCAAGAAAGTGGTCTTCTGTTATGTCTTCTGTTCTTTAATTGTCCTTTCTCTATGTATCCCTTTCTCATTTTCTGAAATTCCTGTAGTTCGTGTATTAAGTTTCCCTCCTCTCTCCTCCTAGTCTCTTATCTTGTCTCTCCTGATTTCAAAGTCATGTTGTTCTGAGATTTCAGATAGTTCATGCACTTGGCCCTCTGAGCCACTGACTTAGGCCTCAACTATGACTGACACCTCCTATTCCTTTGTTTAGCTCAGAGACTAGTCCCAGGGAGTCTTTTTCTTACTATCACCTGAACATCTTTATATTACTCTTATGTTTTAAAATTCAAGTCATCTGCTTCCCCCAGGCCCTCTGTTTCACTGAGTACCTGTTCTGTCTATCTTGGCTTCCCTCTCTCTCTCTACCTTTGGACCCTCTAGATAGGTTATGGGTTTTTGTTTTTTTTCACCTCTTTAGGGTGCTGGTTTAGTTTGATTATTAACATGTCCTCAGCAGAAGTTTATGCAGGTAAAAAGGTAGAGCTGGTGTAGACCAGGGCTTAGCCCCTGGCCCCACTGCTGAGGCTCCTGGCTAGCAGAGCCTCTCTGCTCTCAAGGCTTGCTGTGCTGACCCAGCATCAAAGGAAGGCAGAACTTAACCCACTATTTCATTGTATTCTTCAGCAGTTGATGTCCAAGGGACCAGGCCCATCCTGTGGGTAAGTGGTGGCCTTTCCTCCACTCCCTCTGAAGTCCTCAGGTCTCTGAGGCTCAAGTGCTTCTCACTGGGTATCTTAAAATGCCTAGTGTTTACCCTGGAACTCCAGGAAGGTGATGTCTGGGCCCTTGCTCAACCCCACAGGGGATAATGATTCATACCTGTAATTACCACAAAGCCAGGACCACCACCACCCCCCAACCACGCTCTGGAGATTAGCTCCCTCTGGGATCCGTAGACAAGGCAAACAGAATGGAGAAGGGAGACAAGGGCTCAGCCAGTTAGCAGACTTCCAGATTCCCCCTCATTAACATCATTAGCATTAAACGTTAGAAGGAGGGAGGATGACACAGGAAAAAAAAATGGGACAAAAAAGAGCGGAGTATTTCACAAATCAAGATGCTTAGGAATTTGAGACTAATATTTATTAAGCATCTACTATGTGCCAGATAGACATTGATACTTTTGTACATTATCACATCTCATTCTCTTATCAATCCTAAAGTTAGATATGTTGATCCTCAATTATAGATGAGAAAACAGCTACAGATGAGAGACTCAGGAAGATTAGTCGAAAAGTTCAAAGTCTAATGGGTAGAAGAAGTGGCAGAGATAAAATTGAAATTGGAATAAGGTCTTCCCTATTCCAAGATCATGACCTTTTACTGCACCGTACTGAGCACAGGTACTTTCAAATGTATATATATATATATATATATTTTTTTTTTGAGACGGAGTCTTACTCTGTTGCCCAGGCTGGAGTGCAGTGGCATGATCTCTGCTCACTGCCACCTCCGCCTCCCGGGTTCATGCCATTCTTCTGCCTCGGCCTCCTGAGTAGCTGGGACTACAGCCACCCACCACCACGCCCGGCTAATTTTTTGTATTTTTAGTAGAGATGGGGTTTCACCATGTTAGCCAGGACGGTCTTGATCTCCTGACCTCATGATCTGCCCACCTTGGCCTCCCAAAGTGCTGGGACTACAGGTGTGAGCCACTGCGCCCGGCCCTCAAATATTTTTCTTAAAAAACAAACAAACCACTCTGCCTAGTAGTGTCTGGTTATTTTACAAGGCCTTGTAACAGTCACATCTCCCAGTGGTGACACTACTTGGAATGAACATGCTGTTTCTGAGCAGGGGAAGAATTCATTTTCCTCCTGTAAGAATCTGCCAGAACTAAGAATAGGCCAGGGACAACCTGTGTATTTAATAAAGCCCTGCATCAGGAGTGCCAGCCTGGTGAAGCATCCCCTTGGCTAATGAAGGAAGGCAGAGAGATGGCTGTGGCAGGGCTGGGATCACCAGAACTTGCCTCTCAGATGTGCTAGACACACATGCACCCTCACATGCACACATAGGCTGCTATGGTTTGAATGTGTCACCAGATTTTATGTGTTGGAAACTTAGTACCCAAATTCATATATTGATGGCATTAGGTGGTAGGGCCTTTGGGAGATAAATAGGATTAGATAAGGTCATCAGGGCGGGGCCCCCACGGGGGGACTGGCGGCTTTATAAGAAGGGGAAGAGAGAACTAAATTAGTACACTCCTTCTGTCTTGTCATGTGATGCTTCCCGCCATGTCATGAGGTAGCAGGAAGGCCCTCAGCAGATGCTGATGTTATGCTTTTGGATTTCCCAGCCTCCAGAACTATAGGATAAATAAACCACTATTCTTTATAAATTACCCAATCTGTGGTATTCAGTAATAGCAACGGAAAATGGACTAAGACACATGCATATACACACATGACATGTACACATCATGTACACACACACACCAGAAACATACACACATGCACATCCACACCAGACATGCCACACATACACCACATACATACATACACATGCACACATAACCATGATACACATACACACAAATAACACACACACATACAACACACACATGCACACACCCCACACACAAACTCACTGTGCATAAACATACATATGCATGCATGCACACACACCACAGATGCACACACATACACACATACATATGCCACACATACACACAAACAGCACACACTTATTCATACCACACATGTGCACACATCACATGTAGGCACACACATGCACACACATCCCCACATACATACATGCACCAAACACATAGACATACACATGGATACATGCACACACACCACACATGCACACGCATACCACACATATACATATACATGCACACAGACACACAAACAATGTACAATTTAATACTATCTTCAACTTGAATGTTTGCTGGACTCAAGTCAAACAGCTTTAGCATACGAGCAAAGAATAAGAACTTCCCAGTTAATGACTTTGTATTTTTTAAAAACTGTTTTTAACTCTTGGCTCTTGTATGTTGCACAAGTAGCTTTATGCTAGCAATCAAGCAAATGAGAAAGATGGGAAACATTCACCCAGAATCCCTCTAGTCCAGTCCAACACTTTGTTTTAATTTTTCCACATCTCTCCTCATCCCTTTGTCAGATGAAGGCATATTTTACAAAGCTCCAATGTTTTTCCACTTGTCTTTTCCTGTGTTACAACATTACCTTCAGAACTATTGTTATCAGCCAAAATTTGTTCCATCAAGTGGAGATGTCTTAGTTTACTTTGTTGGGTAAATATCTCCACTGCTGTATGTCAGGACTCTGAGCCCAAGCTAAGCCATCATATCCCCCGTGACCTGCACATACGCATCCAGATGGCTGGTTTCTGCCTTAACTGATGACATTCCACCACAAAAGAAGTGAAAATGGCCTGTTCCTGCCTTAACTGATGACATTATCTTGTGAAATTCCTTCTCCTGGCTCATACTGGCTCAAAAGCTCCCCTACTGAGCACCTTGTGACCCCCAACTCCTGCCCGCCAGAGAACAACTCCCCTTTTCCTTTACCTACCCAAATCCTATAAAATGGCACCACCCCTATCTCCCCTTGCTGACTCTCTTTTCGGACTCAGCCCACGTGCACCCAGGTGATTAAAAGGTTTATTGCTCACACAAAGCCTGTTTGGTGGTCTCTTCACATGGACGCACATGAAATTTGGTGCCGTGACTAGGATCGGGGGACCTCCCTTGGGAGATCAATCCCCTGTCCTCCTGTTCTTTGCTCCGTGAGAAAGATCCACCTACAACCTCAGGTCCTCAGACCAACCAGCCCAAGAAACATCTCACCAATTTCAAATCTGGTAAGCGGCCTCATTTTACTCTCTTCTCCAACCTCCCTCACTATCCCTCAACCACTTTCTCCTTTCAATCTTGGCACCACACTTCAATCTCTCCCTTCTCTTAATTTCAATTCCTTTCATTCTCTGGCAGAGACAAAAGAGACACGTTTTATCCATGGACCCAAAACTCCGGCGCCGGTCACCGGCAAGAACCCCATCCCTTCTCTCCGTGTCTCTACCCCTTCTCTGCTTTTCTGGGGGAGGGGCATGAACCCCTCAACCCCTTCTCCTTCACCCTTAGTGGCAAGTCCCACTTTTCTGGGGGAGAGGCAAGAACCCCTCAAGCCCTTCTCCTGCACCCTTAGCGGCAAGTCCCGCTTTTCTGGGGGAGGGGCAAGAACCCCTCAACTCCTCCTCCTTCAACCTTAGCGGCAAATCCTTCTTCTCTGGGGGAGGGGCAGGAACCCTGACATCTTATCTCTGTGCCCCAATCTCTTATTTCTGCACCCCGACCTCTTATCTCTGTGCCCCAACCCCTTATTTCTGCGCCCCACCCCCTTCTCTGCTTTTCTGGAGGGCAAGAACCCCTCACCCCTTCTCTATGTCTTGACTCTCTTTTCTCTGGGCTTGCCTCCTCCACTATGGGAAAGCTTCCGCCTTCCATTCCTCCTTTTCTCCCTTAGCCTGTGTTCTTAAGAACTTAAAACCTCTTCAACTCTCACCTGACCTAAAATCTAAGCATCTTATTTTCTTCTGCAATGCCACTTGACCCCAATACAAACTCAACAGTAGTTCCAAATACCCGGAAAATGGCCCTTTCAATTTTTCCATCCTACAAGATCTAAATAATTTTTGTCATAAAATAGGCAAACGATCTGAGGTGCCTGACATTCAGGCATTCTTTTACACATTGGTCCCTCCCTAGTCTCTGTTCCCAATGCAACTCATCCCAAATCTTCCTTCTTTCCCTCCCACCTGTCCCCTCAGTCCCAACCCCAAGCATCACTGAGTCTTTCTGATCTTCCTTTTCTACAGACCTCTCCCCTCCTCGCCAGGCCAAGCTAGGTCCCAATTCTTCCTCAGCCTCCGCTCCTCCACCCTATAATCCTTTTATCACCTCCCCTCCTCACACCTGGTCCGGCTTACAGTTTCGTTCCATGACTAGCCCTCCCCCACCTGCCCAGCAATTTACTCTTAAAAAGGTGGCTGGAGCTAAAGGCATAGTCAAGGTTAATGCTCCTTTTTCTTTATCCCAAATTAGATAGCGTTTAGGCTCTTTTTCATCAAATATAAAAATCCAGCCCAGTTCATGGCTCGTTTGGCAGCAACCCTGAGATGCTTTACAGCCCTAGACCCTAAAAGGTCAAAAGGCCGTCTTATTCTCAACATACATTTTATTACCCAATCTGCTCCCAACATTAAATAAAACTCCAAAAATTAAATTCCGGCCCTCAAACCCCACAACAGGACTTAATTAACCTCACCTTCAAGGTGTACAATAATAGAGTCGAGGCAGCCAAGTATCAACATATTTCTGAGTTGCAATTCCTTGCCTCCACTGTGAGACAAACCCCAGCCACATCTCCAGCACACAAGAACTTCCAAACGCCTAAACCGCAGTGGCCAGGTGTTCCTCCAGAACCGCCTCCCCCAGGAGCTTGCTACAAGTGTCAGAAATCTGGCCACCAGGCCAAGGAATGCCCACAGCCCGGGATTCCTCCTAAGCTGTGTCCCATCTGTGTGGGACCCCACTGGAAATTGGACTGTTCAACTCACCTGGCAGCCACTCCCAGAGCCCCTGGAACTCTGGCCCAAGGCTCTCTGACTGACTCCTTCCCAGATCTTCTCGGCTTAGCAGCTGAAGACTGACACTGCCTGATCACCTCAGAAGCCCTGTAGACCATCATGGATGCCGAGCTTCAAGTAACTCTCACAGTGGAGGGTAAGTCCCTCCCCTTCTTAATCAATACGGAGGCTACCGACTCCACATTACCTTCTTTTCAAGGGCCTGTTTCCCTTGCCTCTGTAACTGTTGTGGGTGTTGACAGCCAGGCTTCTAAACCTCTTAAAACTCCCCAACTCTGGTGCCAACTTAGACAATACTCTTTTAAGCACTCCTTTTTAGTTATCCCCACCTGCCCAGTTCCCTTATTAGGCTGAGACACTTTAACTAAATTATCTGCTTCCCTGACTATTCCTGGACTACAGCTACATCTCATTGCCGCCCTTCTTCCCAATCCAAAGCCTCCTTTGCATCCTCCTCTTGTATCCCCTCACCTTAACCCACAAGTATAAGATACCTCTGCTCCCTCCTTGGTGACCGATCATGCACCCCTTACCATCTCATTAAAACCTAATCACCCTTACCCCATTCAATGCCAATATCCCATCCCACAGCATGCTTTAAAAGGATTAAAGCCTGTTATCACTTGCCTGCTATGGCATGGCCTTTTAAAGCCTATAAACTCTCCTTACAATTCCCCCATTTTACCTGTCCTAAAACCAGACAAGCCTCACGAATTAGTTCAGGATCTATGCCTTATCAACCAAATTGTTTTGGCTATCCACCCCATGGTGCCAAACCCATATACTCTCCTATCCTCAACACCTCCCTCCACAATCCATTATTCTGTTCTGGATCTCAAACATGCTTTCCTTACTATTTCTTTGTACCCTGCATCCCAGCCTGTCTTTGCTTTCACCTGGACTGACCCTGACACCCATCAAGCTCAGCCAATTACCTAGGCTGTACTGCTGCAAAGCTTCACAGACAGCCCCCATTACTTCAGTCAAGCCCAAATTTCTTCCTCATCTGTTACCTATTTCGGCATAATTCTCATAAAAACACATGTGCTCTCCCTGCTGATCGTGTCAGCTAATCTTCCAAACCCCAATCCCTTCTACAAAACAAAAACTCCTTTCCTTCCTAGGCATGGTTGGATACTTTCACCTTTGGATACCTGGTTTTGCTATCCTAATGAAACCATTATATAAACTGACAAAAGGAAACCTAGCTGACCCCATAGATCCTAAATCCTTTCCCCACTCCTCTTTCCATTCCTTTAAGACAGCTTTAGAGACTGCCCCCACCCTACCTCTCTCTGACTCATCCCAACCCTTTTCATTACGCACAGCCGAAGTGCAGGGCTGTGCAGTTGGAATTCTTACACAAGGACTGGGAACGCGCCCTGTAACCTTTTTGTCCAAACAACTTGACCTTACTGTTTTAGGCTGGCCATCATGTCTCCATGCAGCTGCAGCTGCCACTCTAATACTTTTAGAGGCCCTTAAAATCACAAACTATGCTCAACTCACTCTCTACAGCTCTCATAATTTCCAAAATCTATTTTCTTCCTCACACCTGATGCATATACTTTATGCTCCCCGGCTCCTTCAGCTGTACTCACTCTTTGTTGAGTCTACCACAATTACCATTGTTCCTGGCCCAGATTTCAATCCGGCCTCCCACATTATTCCTGATACCACACCTGACCCTCATAACTGCATCTCTCTGATCCACCTGACGTTCACCCCATTTCCCCACATTTCCTTCTTTCCTGTTTCTCACCCTGCTCACACTTGGTTTATTGATGGCAGTTCCACCAGGCCTAATCACCACACACCAGCAAAGGCAGGCTATGCTATAGTACAAGCCACCAGCCCGCCTCTTAGAACCTCTCATTTCCTTTCCATTATGGAAATCTATCCTCAAGGAAATAACTTCTCAGTGTTCCATCTGCTATTCTACTACTCCTCAGGGATTATTCAGGCTCCCTCCCTTCCCTACACATCAAGCTCAGGGATTTGCCCCCACCCAGGACTGGCAAATTAGCTTTACTCAACATGCCCTGAGTCAGGAAACTAAAATACCTCTTGGTCTAGGTAGACACTTTCACTGGATAGGTAGAGGCCTTTCCCACAGGTTCTAAGAAGGCCACCATGGTCATTTCTTCCCTTCTGTCAGACATAATTCCTTGGTTTGGCCTTCCCACCTCTATACAGTCCGATAACAGACCAGCCTTTATTAGTCAAATCACCCAAGCATTTTTTCAGGCTCTTAGTATTCGGTGAAAACTTTATATCGCTTACAGTCCTCAGTGTTCAGGAAAGGTAGAACAGACTAATGGTCTTTTAAAAACACACCTCATCAAGCTCAGCCAACAACTGAAAAAGGACTAGGCAATACGTTTACCTCTTTCCCTTCTCAGAATTCAGGCCTGTCCTTGGAGTGCTACAAGGTACAGCCCATATGAGCTCCTGTATAGATGCTCCTTTTTATTAGGCCCCAGTCTCATTCCAGACACCAGACCAACTTGGACTGTGCCCCAAAAAACTTGTCAACCCTACTATCTTCTGTCTAGTCATACTCCTATTCACCATTCTCAACTACTCATACATGCCCTGCTCTTGTTTACGCTGCCAGTTTACACTGTTTCTCCAAGACATCACAGCTGATATCTCCTGGTGCTATCCCCAAACCGCCACTCTTAACTCTTAAAGTAAATAAATAATCTTTGCTGGCAAGGCTATGCGAACCTCCTTAGGCACTCTCTAATTAGATGTCCTAGGTCCTCCCAATTCTTAGTCCTTAAATACCTGTTTTTCTCCTTCTCTTATTCCGTTTAGTTTTTTAATGCATACAAAACTGTATCCAGGCCATCACCAATAATTCTAAATGACAAATGTTTCTTCTAACAACCTCACAATATCACCCCTTACCACAAAATCTTTCTTCAGCTTAATCTCTCCCACTCTAGGTTCCCACGCCGCCCCTAATCCCGCTCGAAGCAGCCCTGAGAAACATTGTCTATTATCTCTTCATACCACCCCCCAAAAATTTTCACCGTCCCAACACTTTACCACTATTTCATTTTCTTTCTCTTATTAATATAAGAAGACAGGAATATCAGACCTCTGAGCCCAAGCTAAGCCATCATATCCCCTGTGACCTGCACGTACACATCCAGATGGCCGGTTCCTGCCTTAACTGATGACATTCCACCACAAAAGAAGTGAAAATGGCCTGTTCCTGCCTTAACTGATGACATTATCTTGTGAAATTCCTTTTCCTGGCTCATCCTGGCTCAAAAGCTCCCCTACTGAGCACCTTGTGACCCCTACTCCTGCCCGCCAGAGAACAACTCCTCTTTTCCTTTACCTACCCAAATCCTATAAAACGGCCCCACCCCTATCTCCCTTTGCTGACTCTCTTTTCGGACTCAGCCCACCTGCACCCAGGTGATTAAAAGGTTTATTGCTCACACAAAGCCTGTTTGGTGGTCTCTTCACACGGACGCGCATGAAACTGTATCTTTTTAATTGTTTGCAAAGATTTGCCACCATACATAACAGCACAGGGAACATTTTCGTGGAGAGGGGTTCTACTGTTTTGGAGGCTGGATTGGTGGGTGGATGGATGGGAGAGGTTGAACTGAAATTTCATCTTTGTGGGACTCTTGAAGAAACCCAGAGATGGCGCGAGGTACTCACAGAGTGAGAGGCTGAGCTAGGAGGGTCAGCCACCCAGCTCCCCTCCAGCCAGAGCTTTGCTTTTGTCTCTTAGATGTTAGACCTTGGCAGACAGTGTTGTTTCACCAAAAAGTGGCACTGCTGAACATATATTTGAAACTCAGAGGTCAGAATTAGACCTAAGCAGATTCCTATCCAGCTCCCTTTTGTTCATTAAGGCATATTATCATTCATGAATGGGCATTGCATTTAATTAATCATTCATTCAGCACTTTTTGAAGATCCATTCTGTGCCAGGCTAAATTCCAAAGGTAAACATACAGACAGGGAGTCCCTGCTTAACTGGCCCCAGTTTAGGTCAAGTGAGAGAGACACCGTAATGATGATCATGATAAAAGTTCACATTTATTGGCTTTTTACTAGTCACCAGTATATGCCCTTGTTTAATTCTCATAAGAGCCTTTTAAGGTTTTACCTGTGATATGCCCATTTTACAGATAAGGAGATTGAGGCTTAGTTATAAGCCAAAGGTCCAGGGGTAATAAGTGTCGTGCTGAGCTCTCTACTGCCATGCAACCCTGCATCTCTTGAAGAGGTGACTTGTCAAACCATATGACAATGGCAGCATTGTGCAGTATAAACCATACAGTGCTTTACAGTGCTATGCCATATAAACCCTGGAACATGACGTGCTTTCCAGGGCAAAAACGGCAGAAGTGACAAGGAGGAGAAATTTCCCTGACAAAGAACAATGGAATGCGGGGCTTTAAGCATAACAAATCCTTTTGGGCTCTTTGAAAAACTGGGTCAGCTCCCAGTGCTGAACACCCTCTTTGCCTGGGGTTTTCTACCTGGAACTGTGTGCAGACGTCATTACTGCCCCCCAGAGGACTGAATGGTCTGACAATGCTCCCCAAAGTTAATGACGAAAAATTATGCAAAATCTCAAGGAAATGAGAATCAGGGAAAATGTCTGTCACTCCATGCCACCATCCTTCCCTTTGGGGCTAAAGTTTTGAGACATGAAAACCAATCCATTTTAACACAAACCCCACGGATGCTTCTGGGAATGAAGAAAAGGCTGCATTTGCAAGGAGATAAAAGAAGGTAAGGTGGGTCCTCTTTGGCTCTGTTCTCTCCCCGTTACAGATTTCTGAAAAGGCATCATTTGGGGGACAGGAAACAGCTTGGGATCTAGCTACCAACTCAGAGTGTAACCTTGGGTGTCTCACTTCCTCTGGATGGCTCTTAGCCTCTCCTCTTGGGTCCCATGAAGGCATTAGACCAGGTGTTACAGTCCGGGCTGTCCAGAGAAACTGAGCCAATAAGAGCTATCTTACCTTTAGACACACATTCTTTATGCATATCTTTATATACTTATATATCCATATCTATGTAGATATATAGGTATCTATATATGCATAAATTATATATTTTATGTATGTATTGTGAAAGGAAAATCTTGGGGCCCCCAAATTACTAAGCCACAAGGAAAAGTCAAGCTGGGAACTGCTCAGGGCAAACTTACCTCCCGTTCTATTCAAAGTCATCCTTCTGCTCGCTGAGACAGATGCATACCTGATTGCCTCCTTTGGGAAGGCTAATCAGAAACTCAAAAGAATGCAACCATTTGTCTCTCAACTACCTGTAACCTGGAAACTCCCTCCCTGCTTCGAGAACCAACGTATTTCTTACATATATTGATTGATGTCTCATGTCTCCCTAAAATGTATAAAATCCAGCTGTGCCCCGACCACCTTGGATGCATGTCATCAGGACTTCCTGAGGCTGTGTCACGCGTGTGCATCCTCAACCTTGGCAAAATAAACTTTCTAAGTTAACTGAGACTGTCCCAGATATTCAGGGTTCACAGTATGTACAATACAAATTTTATTTATATATACACATGTGTATACATACCTCCATATATATTTTATACATTATACATTCCTATATTTTCATATATTTATAATTTATATGTACACATATAGAGAGAGATTTATGTGAAGGAATGGGTGGGAGCTGTTATGGGGGCTGGCAGGTCTGGTATCTGTAGGGCAAGCCAGTGGACTGAACACACAGGCTCAGGTCGAAGCTGTAGTCTTCAGGTAGAATTTCTTCTCCAGAGAACTTCAGTTTTTACTCTCCAGACCTTTGACTGATTAAATGAGGCCAATCTATATTATGAAGGATAATCTTTTTTAGTTAAAGTCAACTGATTATGACTGTCAACCTTATCTACAGAATATCTTCACAGGAGCCAACACCTGGATTGTAGTTGATTAAATAACTGAGTACTAGAGCCCAGTCAAGCTGACTCACGAGGCTAACATCGAACCAGGTGGTCTCCAAAGTCCCTTCCAGCTGAGAAGGAGCAGAGACTCACTGATCCTCTGGGCCCCAGCGATACTAGAAGAAGCAGGGGATGCCCCTGGAATGGGTCTGTTGAAGCCTCCATCGTTTCTCACACTTCCCAATCCACTAAGCCCAGTGCAGGCTCCGGAGAAGGGAGCCTGGTCCCCACCCCAGCTCTGCCACACAGCACCTAGGAGCTCTTAGGACTAAAACCTGGTCTTCTCACCTGTCAAAAGGGGGATAAATGGGGCCAGGTGTGGTGGCTCATGCCTGTAATCCCAGCACTTTGGGAGGCTGAGGCCGGTGGATCACCTGAGGTCAGGAGTTCGAGACCAGCCTGGTCAACATGGTGAAACTCCTACTGAAAATACAAATTAGCCAGACATGGTGATGGGCGCCTGTAATCCCAGCTACTTGGGAGGCTGAGGCAGAAGAATCGCTTGAACCCCAGAGGTGGAGGTTGCAGTGAGCCAAGATCGCACCGTTGCACTCCAGCCTGGGTGATAGATAGAAAGAGTCTCAAAGGTGGGGCGAGGGGGGATAAATGGTCCCCACCTCAAAGACCATGAAGGGTTAAAGGAAATGGTATTTGTGAGCTCCTTAGCAGAGTAACAGGCACATCAAAAGTGCTCAGAAAATCTGTACTCAAAACCCCAATACCCACAGCCTGAGGAGCCAATTACTCTCCTCTTGTTCTCTCTAAAACCCCCTTCAATCAGGCTGACACCTCTGCCCCTCCCCCAAAGTTGCTGTGGTCAAGGTCAGCTGAGCCATCAGCAGCAGTGCTGCCCTGGCGGTTCCCTCACTCCTGGAAACACTCCCTTGCTTTGATGTCCCGAGTCCAATACATGACCCCATCATTCCTCCTGCTTCCCTGGCTGCTCCCCTCCCCTCCCCTTGGTTGGTCCCTCCTCATCACCCGCACCCTGCACCTCTATACCTCTTCCCTGCTTAGTTTTATTCAATTGCTACGTGCAACTTGTTTATTTTCCCTGGCTCCTCCCACCGTGAATCCGTGAAGGCAGGTGCTTTGACTGTTTTGTTAATTACTTTACCCCAGCGTCTAGAAGAGTGCCTTGTGCATGGATGTTTGTCAGTGGACGAATCAATACATGTGATTGATGATGACAATGGTGGCAATGGCAGTGACGACATGACGAAGTGTGCACATACCCTAGATGCTGTTCAAACAACACCCAGTTTGGACGGAACAAAGGTGTGCAGTGAAAAGTATATAAAGAGGATGTGATCAAATCTGACTTCTCATCCCAGTACCCTCTGTTCATTACAAGTAGCTTAACTCACCTGAGCTGGATTCATCCCAGAGATTTAGACAATATCCAGCCCAAGAACCAAGGGATAGTCAGATTCTACTTCTAACTGAAGAAGGTAAGTGCACCCACCCATACTTGGAGAACTCTCTTCCCTGAGATAAGCTGGCTTGACCGGCTGGAGCCGAAATGGCTGCCCTGTTCCCACACTCGCCTGCTGATGGCTTGTGTCTGGGCTTACGTCTCTTTTCCCCGGACCCTGCCCCTAGCTCCTTCTCCTTCTTCGGCTTTCCCCAGCCTCTCAGCTTCCAAAGATACTGCCTAGAGCCCTTTATAGCTGCTTTCTTTCCCTTCTCATTTCTATTCCTGCCTTATTTCACCGGCATGTACACTTTACTTATTTTACAGCGAGCCTACAATTTTGAATCCAGCTTTTAGTCTTAACATCATGGCCTCCACATTGTATGCAGTTGCAGAATGTTCTCATTTTTATGCCCCAGTAAGTGTGCTGATTGGATTATCCATCACCCACTCAGTGTTGGAGCTGGGCTCTGTGCTAGGTCCGTCTCGGTTTCCAAGGAGCTTGCAGCCTGGCTTCAAGATTTCATGCCCACGCTAGCTTAAATAGTCCTTATTATTGGATGTTTGGGGTTTGTTCAGATATCCCCTTTGGTAAATGATTCTGGGATTAATATCGTTGGGCATAAGGGTTTTCCCAGTTTGGGGGTCGTTCATTTCTTTGACCTTTTATGGAGCACCTCTATACTGTCAGCCGGTCTGCATTCAACTCGACAACATCCCTGCATTCCCATCCCCTTCTTTGCTGCATCACAACCAAATTTCCCAGAGGCATCTTTAAATGAGGTTTCTGCTTCATTTCTACAAATGAGAAGCCCTTGCTTGACACATGGCAGGAAAAAGAGAAGAAGCTGTTCCTATTCAAAGGAATCTGAGGATAGGCAGCTGGGATCGTCAGTACCAAATGCCCTTTGCTTCTTGGTGTCCACTGCAGTCTTCCTGCTCCAGGGATGTGGGCAGCTGGGATCACCGACGGTGCCTTTGCTGTAAAACCCAAGCCTTTATACTACCTCGGATGGATGATGTGGTGTTCCTCTCATATCCTCTCTTCAGGGGGCTGATGGGTCACAGTTGTATCCCTCACTGGACATTGCCCTCCCCGTGGGGTTTGGCCTTGCCCAAGCTTACATCCTTTCCAAAAGAACGGCCAGTAGCCAGTGGCTGGCCAGTGCCTAGATACAAAGGCCCAGCTCTCTTTTTCTGGTTTGAGACAACACTGAAGACCATCCCAGCTCCAGAGCTCCCCGTAAGACTGGCTGAGGCTTTGCAGCAACCACACTGCGAGTCAGCATCTCCTTCCACCCAGTCCTCCTTCCTCCTTTCCTTACAGCTGCATCCCCAAGACACTTTTCAGTAAACCTTCTATATACAACTGTCCTTCTCAGAGCTGTTTCCAGGGAACCCCTAGACACTGATCTTTGCTGCCCAAGCTCTTACAATGATCACATAAGCCATACAATTTCAGAGTATGTATTTGCTATGGCAACTGCACTGATTATCTTGATGAAAACAGAAATTGAGGCTGGAAGTAAAGCTCTGTTATGGCAACAAACCTAAAATACGTGATACTTGCTTCATTGTGGGGTGACAGGCATTGAGGAAAATTATAACTTAGGAAGCAAATATGTCAATTCATGTTGTCCTAAAACACTACCATGTGTGGTGAAACCTGCCTATGGTTATTTCGGAAGCAGACCATGTGCTTACTAAATTGACAACTCTAGGGTTGGACTTGGAAAACATGTCTTCAGTGCTATGTGTTGGTTGCTATTGGCTGCATTCATAAGGTATTATAAGAAGAGATGAGCTTACAGTGAAAAAAAAGTTGGGAGGAGGGGAGCAGAGAGGGAGGAATAGAGAGAATCCAGAAATGTGAAGATTAGACCATGAAAAGCCAAGTGCTTCTGGATCCCAAACAGGAAGACATGGAGCAAAAAAGTCTTTAAGGTATAAAAGCTCAACCAAATTTCCCTGTAAAGATCAATTCATGGCAAAGATCAGAGTAAGGGCAGGATTTTCCTACCTACTACTCCAGATGACTTCAGTGGCGCGTCCATTGAGTTGGGTGGGGCACAGGGCAAGGGAGTGAAGAAATAATGCAGATTGAGAACCAGTTTTAAAATAGTTTTTTGGGTGCAGTTACTGATGCATGGATTTGGCTGGGAGCAAATAAATCACGAGTGTATAGCATACCTCAAAGATACTGTGGGTTTGATTTCAGACCACCGCGATAAAGTGAAAACCAAAATCAAGTGAGATACATGAATATTTTGGTTTCCCAGTGCATATAAAGTTATGTTTACACATGCTGTAAGCTATTAGGTGTGCAATAGCATTATGTCTAAAAATGTACATACCATAATTTTAAAATACTTTATTGCTGAAAACTGCTAACAAATCATCTAAGCCTTCAATGAATTGTAATCTTTTCATTGGTGTAGGGTCTTGCCTTGATGCTGAAAGCTGCTGACTGATCAGGGTGACGGTTGCTGATGGTTGGTGTGGCTGTGACAATTTATTAAAATAGACAAACATGAAGTTTCCCATATCGATTAACTCTTTTCTTCACAAAATATTCTCTGTAGTATTGTATGCTCTTAGATAGCATTTTACCCACAGTAGAACTTCTTTCAAAATTGAAGTCAGTCCTCTCAAACCCTATCACTGCTTTATCAACTCATTGTATGTAATATTCTAAATCCTTTGCTGTCATTTCAATAATATTCAAAGCATCTTCACTGGGAGTTGACTTCATCTCAAGAGATTTTAGCAATTCACTGATATCTTCAAGTTTCCCTTCTAATTCTAGTTCTCTTGCTGTTTCCACTACATCAGTAGTTACTTCCTCTGCAAAGTCTTGAACCCCTGGAAGTCATTCATGAGGGTTGAAATCAATGTCTTTCAAATTCCTGTTCATATTGATATTTTGACTTCCTCCTATGGATAAGGAATGTTCTTAATGACATTTAGAATGGTGAGTGTTTTCCAGAAAGTATTCAATTTACTTTGTCCAGATCCATCAGAGGATTCACTATCTATGGCAGCTATAGCCTTATAAAATGTATTTCTTAAATAATAAGACTTGAAAGTCAAAATTACCTCTTGATCCTTGGGCTGCAGAATGGATGTTGTGCTAGCAAGCATCGAAACAATATTCGTCTCCTTGTACAGCTCCATCAGAGCTCTTGGGTGACTAGGCTCGTTGTCAATGAGCAGTAATATTTTGAAAGGAATCTTTTCTTATGAGCAGTAAGTCTCAACAGGGGACTTAAGATACTCAGTAATTTATTCAGTAATCAATTTCATTAATTTCTCCTCTTCAGCTATGGAAGTCCTAGATGGCCTTTTCTTCTAGTAGAAGGCTGTTTCATCTACACTGAAGCCACCTTCATCAGTGGTCTTCTGGATAACTTGCTGCAACTTCTACATCAGCACTTGCTGCTTTCCCTTGCTCTTACATGTTATGGAGACAGCTTCTTTCCTTAAACCTCATGAACCAACCTTTGCTAGCTTCCAGCTTTTCTTCTGCAGCTTCTTCACTTCTCTCAACCTTCACAGAACTGAAGAGAGTTGGGGCCTTGTTCTGGGTTAGGCTTTGGCTTAAGAAAATGTGGCTGACTTGATCTTCTATTCTTATCACTAAAACTTTCTCCATATCAGCAATAAGGCTGCTTAGCCTTCTTATCTTTTGTGTGTTTACTGGAGCAGCACTTTTAATTTCCTTCAAGAATTTTTCCTTTACATTCACAACTTGGCTAACTGGCCCAAGAGGCCTAGCTTTTGGTCTGTCTCACTTTTTTTGACATGCCTTCCTCACTAAGCTTAATCATTTCTAGCTTTTAATTTAAAGTGACAGACGTGTGACTTTTCTTTTCACCTGAATGCTTCAAGGCCCATTGTAGGGTTATTAACTGGCCTAATGGCAATATTGTTATGTCTCAGGAAATAGGGAGGCTTGAGGAGAGGGGGAGAGATGATAGATCAGCTAATCAATGAAGCAGTCAGAACACATGCATTTATCAACTAAGTTCACTGTTTATGGCACCCCAAGACAATTGCAGTAGTGACATCAGAGATCATTGATCACAGATCACCATAACAGATATAATAATGAAAAAGTCTGAAGTATTTTGAGATTACCAAAATGTGAAACAGAGACACAAAGTGAGCACATGCTGTTAGAAAAATAAGACTTGCTGAACACAGAGTTGCTATAACCCTTTAATTTGTAATAGATGGAATATCTGTGAAGTGCAAAAAAGTGAAGTGCAATAAAATGAAGTTTATACTTGTGCTACATTTTTGAGGGTCATGTTACCAAAGAACCATACAGACAGACTGAATAAGACCTTCAGTCTTCAAGCCTTAAGGCTTGTACCAAACTTTTAGAACAGCAGTCCATAAGGAGGGCTTATTTCTCAATGCCTGATTCATGTGCTACCAAGGAAGCTTACAAAAAAAGAAATAACCTCATGGGTAGAACCAGGCTCATGGAGAAAAGTGAACAAAGCAGCATCTCTCAGAGAGCAAAACTAGAGCCTAATCATGGATGCCGAGGATATGGGCTTTCATGACGTCTGCCCAGTGGGATTTCAGAATTGCTATGGACAGTGACTCTATGTACTTCCCATCCTTCCCTTTTCCAAGTGGGAGGTGCCTATTGAGGCCATATTATCTCAGTTTCATCATTATATATTGGAAGCAGGGTTGGCAGGTGACTTTTTTTTTTTTTCCAGTTTTGGTATCCTTGGACCAAAAGGAGCCACATGCGAACTTGCTGGGAAGAAGGCCAGACATCACCCAGAGATCTGAGTTTGAACTGGATGTGGTGACTGGGGGAGATTTTAGAGGAGGGGTTGAGTGAGCTCTATGTGGGGGCAGAAAGAAATGAGAAGACAGTGATGAGAAGGGCACGCTCAGCAGAGATGGCATACACCAAGTATTCCATGTGCTTCTTTGCACTTCTCAGCCTCCCTTGCAGCTGGATTGAGACTGTGAATAATTATGGCCTGTGAATGCAAGTGGCATGTGTCTTTCTCTCTTGCAGAGGCAGTATATATCAAGTGACATACTAAAAAGTAGAAGAGACCCCCCTGAGCACATTGAACTTTACACAAGGAAAAACATAAACCTTTATTCCATGAAGTCATAGAGATTCCTGGGTTAGTTAGTTTCTGCAGCAGACCCTAGCCTGTCCTGACCAATATTCTGACTATGTGCTACTTTTCTTCAAGTCACTGAGTAGGAACAGATATTGAATAACAAAATAGCATGTTTAGGTAGTTATGAAGTTTCCAAATTTTAATAAAATTCTGATGCTCCTGGTCCCTGGACTTCTAGAACCTCTTCTGAACCAGTCTACAAGTTTGATTGCACTTATTTTTTCTGCTTTTATTTCTGAGCGTGAGGGAGGAGCTGGAAGACTCACTGATAGCTCTCTCTCCTCTTTCTCACTCTAGCCCTTCAGTAAACTGTGTGGGCTAGGTTTGGGGGGAACTTACATTATTTTATATTCTTTAATTTACTGAAATACTATGTATTTATATATAAATAATATACAACTGCATTTATAAATAGTATTATGCTAGAGGACACACTCACTGGACTTTCCTCTATACTCCCCAATCCTACATTAAGTTATATTCAGGTTTGAGGTCCCCCATGGGACTAGGTTGTTTCATTCCTTCATGCTTTGTCTGCACTCCTTCTTCTGTCTGGAACATCCTCTCTCCCCACCACCTTCTCCATACCCCAAACTCACCCGTTCATTTTCTCAAATTGGGCTCTCTCTGTGCTCCTGGGCTGACTAGACCACCCCCTCCTTGGTGAACCTGTGGTGCCTCCAGTACCCCAAACTCATCACAGGAAGGCCCTGTAGACATTTCCCTTCTGTGATAATTAATTCCATGTGTCAACTTGACTGAGCTAAGAGATGCCCAGATAGCTGGTAAAACATGATTTCTGGGTGCATCTGTGAGGGTGTTTCCAGAAGAGATTAGCATTTGAATGAATGGACTGAGTAGAGAATGTGGGTGGGTGACATCCAATCTGTTGAGGGCCCAGATAGAAAAAAATGACAGAAGAGGGGCAAATTCTCTTTCTTCTTCAGCTGGAACTTCCATCTTTTCCTGACCTTTGACATTGACTCCTTGTTCTTGGGCCCTCAGACTCCAGGACTTACACCAGCAGCCCCTCTGTTCTCAGGCCTTTGGACTCAGATTGAATTACATCACCAGCTTTCCTCGGTCTCCAGCTTGCAGATGGCAAATCATGGAACTTCTCAGACTCCAAAATCACATAAGCCAATTGCCATAATAAATCTCCTTTTAGATCTCTCTCTTGCTCTTTCTTTCTGTGTGTGTGTATATATATATATATATATATATATATATATATATATATATACACACACACACACACACACACCTATATATCTTATTGGTTCTGTTTCTCTGAAAAGTCTTGACTAATACACCCTCTGTCTTCCCTTCCCTTCTCAACTGTGGGGTCCTGGAGCCAATATCTGTGTTCTGTGGTCTCTGTTTCCCCTGCACCAGCACATCTCATTTTGAGTTATCCACTGGTCTTGGCTTGTGTGACTTTGGCTTTGGGAGGAGGAGTCCTTGGGAATTGAAGGCTCCTGCTATGCTGAGACCATGGGAGGTGGGGAGCTCTGACTATGCTGGTCCTCAAAACAGGACAACCAACCACCCCTTCGCTGCATCTCTCTGCTTTCAGGACTTGAGTGTTGCTCTTGAAAGTAAGGAAACCCAGGGAGAACGGTGAGGAAATAAATCCAAGAACTAAGAAAGGAGAAATCCCTAGATGAGCTCTCTCTTTGGAATTCCTCATGGAATAGGACAGGCCCCAGAGGACACTAACTCCACCAAGATCAGACATCTGAATGTGCTGAGCCAACTAAATTTATGCTCCAATTACCCTCTGTTGTTCCTCCTAGATGTTCAGTGAACTTTTTGGAAGTTCTTGTGGCCTCAGCACAAGGACTCCAAAAACAGGGGCTTGGTCTTATGCAAGCTCCATTATTCAAGGGTGACAGTATCCTCACGGGAACCTGAATAGCCAGAGACAGGAGAACAGGGACAGAGCAAAGGATGCCATGTGGACTGCCACCACCCCACACCTGCAGGTTTAAACACTGAGTATGTTTCAATAAGAAAACTGTTCCCAAAAGGCTCTTTGCAAGACCAATATGAAAACAAAGCCTGGATATATGCTGAGCAGTGACACCTGAAGTGAGGAGGCTCCCATATTTCTCCCTCATATCCCACACAGGCAGGGTAGTCATCTTCCCAGGGATCTCACCTATTATAGCTAGTGTTGCTGACCACCTGCTATCTGCTCTTCCCTGTTAGAAGTCACCCCTGCACCATTCCAAGTTTCCCACCGATTCGGCCAACACTGATTCACTGCCTACATGTACCAGGCACTGTGCTAACCACTGATGGTCTGAAATGAGTAAGGTGTATGCAGTAAACGGCAACATTTTAGAGGGCCAGCCTTCTAAAATGTGCACCATCCAAATGGCTAAGACTGATCTCAGCCCAACATGAGACAAAGGCCCAGATGGTCAATGTCCCCTTCCCATTTCAGTTTTACACTTTCCCTGTTGAGCAACTTTCCCTGAGCTGTTCTCAGGCACCAGTGTCCTCAAGGTACCCTGCAGAATTCTCCACCATCCTCCAGTAAGGAGCTGCACACCCTCATCAAAGCTGGCCAATCCACTGTCTATTTACCCAGAACTCAACTGACCACAAAACATTTGTTTTCTTCTTTGAAGCTCTGTAGACAACTCATTCACCCAACAAACACTTAAGAAGTCCCTTCTAGGTGGTGGTCACCCTGGAGTAGACCGTGGGGTACGATGAAAAATGAGACAGTGATACTGCCTTCAAGGAGTGAAGGCTCAAAGGGGCAAGGTGGACACACAGTGCCCCATAGCATGGCAGGTAAGATGGCAGGAGTCAGGACATGCAACAACATAAAGGAATGTAGAGTCAATGCATTCTGAGGACAAATGATTCCAGAGAGGCTTTGGGGAGGAGATTAAGCAAAAGGCATGAGCAGTTGTTCTTGGGTTTCCAGGAGAAGGGGTCAGCTGGGGGTTTGTGTAGAAAACATCTCTCAGGACCATGGCCATTGGCCTCCTAAAGGTTCACTGAAAAATCACTGGAATGAGACTGATGGATTAACTGGGGAAAAGGCATAAAATTATATTTAATTTTTATTCAGAATGAAGATCCAACTTCCCAACGAGCTACAGGAACTTATATATCATTTTGAAATTACAGAAAAAATGGGGGCTTGGATTCTGGTAAAACAGGTTATTGGAAGGGGGAGATGAGGAATTCTATTGAAGGGCAATAAGTGAGTGCTATGAAGAGTGATTGGATGGGGAACAGAGCTTACCTTGTAAATAGTAAATAGTTTTCTTTGGAATGCAGATGATCCTTGGACAGTCACTATGCTTGTAAAAGAGTCTGTTCAGGTGTAGTCACATCTTGGTCTTCTTTTCTGCAATAGATAATGAGATAATAGGGAGAGGAAGAAAGAACAGTTGTTCTCCTTGGTGGGTCTGGATTTTAGGTAGATAAAGAAACTTCAGCTTCTTTGGGAGAAATGGTGGAAGAAGGGGGAGGTCAGGGAGACCTGAGCCTTCTTCTGTTCAGCATGTCAAAATGCCATATTTTGGAGTATCAGTTTCTGAGCTCCAATACAACATTCAGCAGAAGGAAATAGCATGAGCAAAATCACAGTAGTATAAATTATCCATGGGAATTCTCCACATTCTAGATGGTAAGGGAAAGTCCAGTCATAATTGTTAAAATAATGAAATGGGAGGTCACTAGTTTGAGGTGGCTCTGACACCCTGGGTTCCTGTATAAGCCAACTGAAACCTAACTCAGGAATTAAAAGAAAACAAAACTTAAGCTCAACTAATCATAGGCAGCCAACTGGGCATTCGTTATCTTGTCTTAAACTTCCTATTAGGATAGTTCAAATGAGGCTATGACCACCCAATGAGTTCACCATGCCCACTGCCCAGATAGAGCCAATTTATCGAAACAGGGGAATTGCAACAGAGAAAGAGTTTAACACACATAGAGTCAACTAACCAGGACAACAGAGTTTTATTATTACTCAGATTGGCCTCCCCTAAAATTTGGAAGGTAGGATTTCTCAAAGATTGGGGTGCAGGGGGCTAGAGAATGGATGCTGCTGATTGGTTGAGTATGTAATCACAGGGGTGTGGAAAATGGTCCTCATTCTCTGAGTCTGCTTTGGGTTGGGACCATAGGATTGGTTGTGTGGAGAGTCACGGGTCTGGGTGGGGTCATCTGCTCATGAGAAATGCAAAAGTCTGAAAAGACATCTTAAAAGGCCAGTCTTAATTCTACAATAGTAATGTGATTTACAGGAGTAATTGGGGAAGTTGCAAATTTTATGACCTCTGGAATAATGGCTGGTAATCATTTAACTATAAATTCAGACCTCTCTCATCCTTCTAACTTGGTGACTTTTCATTAGTTTTACATAGGGGCTTTAGTTTTGGGGAAGATCTATTATCATTTAAACTATAAAATTTCTCCCAACCTTAGCTTGGCCAACACCTAGAAGTGACCAGGGCTCTTTGGAGGTTAAAGGCAAAATGGAGTTGGTTAGGTTGGATCTCTTTCACTGTTGCAATTTTCCCACTGTTATAATTTTTGCAAAGGCTATTTCAAGGCAATTGCTCAAACGTTAACTAATCAAATAATTTTTTTGCTCTGCTTCCACATTTGTTCTACAAAAGCCTTTCCTTCAAACCTCTTTGGCAAGCCCTGAACCATTTGAATTCTGGAGCTGCCCAGTTCATGGATTGTTGAATGCTCAAATAAGCTCTAATATTTTAATGTGCCTCAGTTTATCTTTTAACAAAATGTATGGTGTGTGTGTGTGTGCACATTTATGTGCTGTTGGGGAAAGAAGTACACAGGACAGGAAGGAGTAGGCAGGGGCCAGATTCTGCAGGGCTTGTGAGACATGTGAGAGAGAGGCTGGACTTTTCCCTGTGGACAGGAGTCTCAGACTTCACAGTGCATCAGAATCACCCAAGGGTCTATTACAGGCAGATTGCTGGGCTCCCATCAGCAGCTCTGGTTCAGTAAGGCAGGTAGCAGGCAAGGAGTCTGTATGTGTGATAGATGGCCAGGTGACCCCAGTGCCGTGGTCCTGGGAGCCCTGCATGTTATGGGAGAGGTAGAGCCTGTGGACATCACCTTGACGCAACCCCACCCTAGCTGACAAAATCAAAAGCCAATCACCTTTGGTAGAGTTCACGCTGTTACAGGAAAGGAGTCCAGATCCTGACCCCAAGAGAGGGTTCTTGGATCTCGCGCAAGAAACAACTAAGGGCGAGCCTGTAGAGTAAAGTGAAAGCAACCTTATTAAGAAAGTAAAGAAATAATAGAATGGCAACTCCATAGACAGAGCAGCCCCGAGGGCAGCTGTTTGCCCATTTTTATGGTTATTTCTTGATGACATGCTAAACAAGGGGTGGATTATTCAGGCCTTCCCTTTTTAGACCATATAAGGTAACTTCCTGACGTTCCCATGGCATTTGTAAACTGTCATGTTGCTGGTGAAAGTGTAGCTGTGAGGACGACCAGAGGTCACTCTCGTTGCCACCTTGGTTTTGGTAGGTTTCGCTTGGCTTCTTTACTGCAACCTGTTTTATCAGCAACGTCTTCATGACCTGTATCTGGTGCTGACCTCGTATCCCATCCTGTGACTTAGAATGCCTTAACTGTCTGGGAATGCAGCCCAGTAGGTCTCAGCCTCATTTTACCCAACCCTTACTCAAGATGGAGTTGCTCTGGTTCAAACGCCTCTGACAAAACCATCATCTCCTAAAATCAGGATTCAGGATTTCTGTGAGAATAAGGGCTCTGCCCATTCTGTGCTCCCACTCACAGACTCACAGACGAGGCTCTGAGACAGGAGGAGCTCAACGGCAGCTGCAGCCTGTATCTGTCAGTGGCAGAGCTGGGATTAGAAGCCTCGCCATCACCCCGCTCCACAGTGCCACAGCCACAGCCATGACTGTCGCAGAAAAGTCATCCCTGGCTCTCCACCAGCCTGTCAGGGCCCAGGATGGGTCAGCTGCTAGAGTCCCTGCTGTTCTGCCTGTAGGGCATGTTAACTGAATAGAGTGCTCTGGGGAGCCAGTGGGATGAGTCTGTAGTGAAGACAACTCAGGTGCTGTGACAGGAGAGAGTTACTGGCAGATCAGGTCTTTCTCCCAAGCCTCTAATCAGAGCACAAAAGAGTCATTCAGTCATCACTGAGAAAATTCCAACAAAGAATATCATTAAGTACTTTGCATTTAATAAAGGGCCTTTAAGTGCAATAGCATATATAAAGCCACCCTGGAGTGGCATTAATGGTCAGACTTTGGGTCTATGGAAAGCTAATTGAAATGTTTTTGGAGTCCCTGTCTGAGCCCTTCCAGCAACAGGAAACTCACTAGTCCTGAAGACAGATTGTTCTGTTTGGGGATGCCCCTGAGTGCAGTTCAAATTCCTTTTTGCCAGGCTCTTCAGCCACAGGTCTGTGTAGTATCCACAGCGGAAAGAGGTCTCTCCCCCGTGGGTCCCATCAGGAGCTAGGGAGAGAGGAGCTCTGCAATTGCAGAGTTCATTGTGTTCTGAGAAGGCAAATCATTTATTGTGGGGACAATTTAGCCAATTAGCAGAATTTAGCTAAAAGCATTTCTTATGCACCAGAGCCCCCTGCTGGCTAAATAGAAGTATTGATAGTCCTGCAGAAGGACCCTCTAAGTTGGAGCACTCCCAATTTAGGATATCCGGACTTTCTGCTGGTGGAATCAAATCACACACCTTCAAAATCTGTTGAGAATCGTGTGGCTTATCCCATAATGAGTTCCAGGGGTCAACTATTTAGGAGGTGGAGGGAGTTAATTAGAGTCCATTAGAGTCCTATTTCACTCAGGACACTGAGATGAATTCCCAGATGAATTAAAGAGTTACATATTAAAATATAGAATACTAAAAGAACCAGGAGAAAATAAATATGGATCCATATTAATTTGATTCATAATGGAAAATACCTTATAAATGTAGAACCAAAGTAAGATTTTATAAATGAAAATATAAATAGATTTGGCAAGGGAAAAGACGTTTATTTCTTCATAGCAGTCATCTTAGACTGAAACAGACCTAGGATGGAGACTTGTGTGCAGGAGGTTTATTGGGAAAGGCTATTGGAATGGCACCTGCAAGAGAATGAGTAGGACAGGTGGAGGGACACATTGAACGGCAATGCAATAGCAACAGGGCTGAGGATGGCCCCTTCAGCTGTCCTGAATTAAAGTCAAGGGCTCAGAGCTTTGTGTGTCCTAATGGCCCAATCATTGGATGTGAGATCCACTAGGGAGGCAGCTTCCTTAGGCAAGGACAATTCCTAGGGAAGGACTCTGCTTGAGCCATGAGCAGGCAGCACTCCTGGCAGCTGGGGAAATAGGTGCCTCTATCCTTCACTGGGAATCTGGGTGGCACACTACAGCATCCACTACACCCATGCTTGACTATGCCCATGCGCATTTTATCCTACCCTTGGCAACACTTACAATTGATATGTTTAAATACTTGCCAGGGTAAAAATAAAATAATATAGTCTTAATTTGTTGAAGTACCTTTTTGTTAATATATTTACTGATTTTATCCCATATTTTGTAGCTTGCCTAGTCAAATTCCTTGTTTCCTTTTCTACTAATTTTAGTTTCTCTAAGTGTATTCTTAAGAACTTTAAAACTTTATACTCTAATTTATGTTTACCCTCCATTCCAACCAGTTAGATTTCATTTTCTTCCTTTTCCTTAAAAGCCTGAAGGTAGCATCTTTAATGAATGCTAGCTGTCAACTGCTGAAATGACAGTCAAGTTCTTTCAAGAAAAATTTATCTTCTAGCAAAAAATCATTTAGCTCCACTTGTAGATGTTCTGAAATCTAGATATGGTTACTGAATCTTTTGTATCCCCAAACGTGTACATGGGCAAGCCTCTAAAAAAGCCATATACTCTTTTAAAATTATTCTTTATTTAACTTTTATTTTAAGTTCAGGGCTACACATGCAGGTTTGTTACATAGGTAAACTTTTGCCATGGTTTTTTTTTTTAACAGATTATTTAATCACCCAGCTATTAAGCCTAATACCCATTAGTTATTTCTCCTGATCCTCTCTCTCCTCCTACCTCCTTCCTCCAATAGTCCCAAGTGTGTGTTGTTCCCCTCTATGCGTTCATGTGTTCTCATCATTTAGCTCCCACTTATAAGTGAGAACATGCACTGTTTGGTTTTCTGTTCCTGTGTTAGTTTGCTGAAGATAATGGCTTCCAGCTCTATCCATGCCCCTGTAAAGGACATGATCTAATTCCTTTTTATGGCTGCATAGTATTCCGTGGTGTATATGTAGCACATTTTCTTTATCTAGTGTATCATTGATGGGCATTTGAGTTGATTTCATGGTGCTGCAATGAGCATATGTGTGTATGTATCTTTATAATAGAATGATTTATATTCCTTTGGGTATATACCCAGTAATGGGATTGCTGAGTCAAATGGTATTTCTATTTCTAGGTCTTTGAGGAATAGCCTGTATTACACAATTGTTGAACTAACTTACACTCCCACCAACAGTGTATAAGTATTCCTTTTTCTCTGCAAACTCACCAGCATCTGCTATTTTTTAATTTTTTAATAGTAGCCATTCTGGCTGGTGTGAGATGGTATCTCATTGTGGTGTTGATTTGCATTTCTCTAATGAACAGTAATATTGATTTTTTTCCATATGACTGTTGGCCACATGTATGTCTTCTTTTGAAAAGGGTCTGTTCTGTTCATGTCCTTGGCCCACTTTTTAATGGGGTTTTTTTTTTCTTGTAAATTTGTTTAAGTTCCTTATAGATGCTAGATATTAGACCTTTGTCAGATGCATAGTTTGCAAAATTTTTCTCCCATTCTGTAGACTGTCTTTTTACTCTGTTGATAGTTTCCTTTTCTGTGGAGAAGCTCTTCAGTTTAATTACATCCCATGTGTCAATTTTTGCTTCTGTTGCAATTGCTTCTGGGTCTTTGTCATGAACTCTTTGCCTGCTCCTATGTCCAGAATGGTATTGCCTAGGTTGTCTTCCAGAGTTTTTATGGTTTTGGGTTTTACATTTAAGTCTTTAATCCATCTCGAGTTGATTTTTGTATATGGTGTAAGGAAGGTGTTTAGTTTCAATCTTCTGCATATGGCTAGCCAGTTCTCCCAGCACCATTTATTGAATAGGGAATCCTTTCCCCATTGCTTGTTTTTGTCAGGTTTGTTGAAGATCAGATAGTTGTGAGTGTGTGGTCTTATTTCTGGATCTCTATTCTGTTCCACTGGTCTATGCATCTGTTTTTGTACCAGTACTATGCTGTTTTAATTACTGTAACCCTGTAATATAATTTGAAGTTGGGTACTATGATGCCTCCAGCTTTGTTCTTTCTGCTTAGGATTGCCTTGACTTTTTGGGCTCCTTTTTAGTTCTATATGAATTTTAAAACAGTTTTTTTTTCTAGTTCTGTGACGAATGTCAATGGTAGTTTAATAGGAATAGCATTGAATCTATAAATTTCTCTGGGCGGTATGGCCATTTTAACGATATTGATTCTTTCTATCCATGAGCATGGAATATTTTTTCCATTTGTTAGTGTCATCTCTGATTTCTTTGAGCAGTGTTTTATAGGTCTCCTTGTAGATATCTTTCACCACTCTGGTTAGCTGTATTCCTAGGTATTTTATTTTTGTGTGGCAATTTTGAATGAGAGTTTTTTCCTGATTTGGCTCTAAGTTTGACTGTTGTTGGTGTATAGGAATGCTAGTGATTTTAGAACATTGATTTTTACATCCTGAGAAAATGCCATATATTTTTAAGGATCACCTTCCAAGAAAAATCATTAGTTGTCAAGATAGGAGACTTTTCTTCATAATGAATATAAATGTCACATGTTGGCATAGTGAAAGTGTTTGGAGAAATGCTGTTGTTAAAATAGACTTGGTGAGGCTGAGACTTTGAAATCACCTCCCTTTAAGTAAAAGAAAATAGACAATTCAAAATAGAAGCAATAAAGATTCTATCTATTGCATCCATTTAACTCAATGTCCCAGGTAATTGTTGAATGTCTGCCCTCTGGAAGGCACTGGGCTAAGCTTGAGTGATTTATGTGTAGCTTCTTCAGTAGAGCATTCAAAGTCCTTTGTGTTCTTGTTCAACCTAAGGTTCGATACTTTCCTCCAGTCACATCTACAATGATGCTTAAAGTGCAGCCACACAGGACCCTGGGGTGGTCCCAGAATGTGTTGTCTGCCTCTCACATGCCGCCTTGTTGATGAGAGTCCTTCTAGCATCCCCCTTCTCCACATCAGGAGCTGCTACTGAGATCCCAACCTGTAGCTCAAATCTTCTTTCCATGTCAACTGTTTGCTTGCCCCTGTCCCTAGCAAAAGCTAACCCTTCCTTCTCTAGGCTCCTACAGCACTTTGTCCAGTGCCAACCATAGTCTTTCTGTAGATTTTGACAATTGCTCTCTCCAACGTCCTATGTGGCCACAAGAGAGTGAGGTGAGCCCTTCACATTGTGCAATGTGCAGCCAATAGGCATTGTAACAAAAGTTTGTGAATAAACAAATGAGTAGATCTGGAAAGCATTTTGTAGTTTACAAAATGTTTTCGCAGACTTGACGCAATTTAATCCTCACACCAGCCCTGAAGGCTTGAAATTGTTATGAGAGAGAAAGAGACAGAGAGAGAGAGAAAGGAGACAGAGAGTAAAACAGGTCCCTGCCCTCAAAAGGTTTACAAGCTGATGAGGGAGACAGAGATATTGTAAGCACTGGACAGTAATAGAAACCTAGACAAGATACTGCAGAATCAGATTTGGGGGTCAAGAGGTAAAAAAGGTGAATTCCAACTTAAGGGGAAAATAAATAATATTCATTTTGGTTTTTCTATGAGTGAGAGAAATCCTAGCAATAACTTGAACACACCACACAGGGGCAGAAGAAGCTCATTATCATTAGGATTTAATATTCCTCCATGAGTGCGTGCCTGCTCATAATTCTACATTGAGTGGAGATGCCAAAAGAAATGAGGATCCTCACATTTATTGAGTGCCTACTGTATGCCAGAAAGTTTACATGGAGAGAGTTGGTTAATCCTTTAGCACAAGTAATCCTGTAAGGGATTCTTATCTGTCCTCCCCATCTCCTTTCCAAATTCTCTCCACTTCCTTTCCTCCCCCACCGTGATGTGACTTGTCCATTGTCACACATGTGGCCCAAAGTGGAGCTGGCGTTCAAATTCATGTCAGATTCCAAAGTCTAACTGCATTTCTTTCATTTCTTTTACTTTTTTTACTTTTTCTTTTTCACACTTTTAAAATCACACCAATAATACAAAAATACATTCTCATCATTAATAAAGACATTGCAGATAAACACATGTCACCCTGACCCTCACCTAATCCCACCACATGCCCACATATACAAATGTTTCTCTCAGTTTGGTGTATCTCTTTCCAGATGTTTGTCCATGCACTTGCAAACATGTAGATATTTATTTAAACAAAAATGAGTTCACATAGAATCATTATTTCACTGTTGTGATATACTTATTGTCTTAAAATATATCTTATAATTACATACTATGTTTAAAATTTCATGATGAGCAGAATTTGTTTTTGCAAAATAATCCATTAGAGTGGATGAAACTAATGAGGTCTTTGATTGATTATTGTTGTAGCTGGGTGATGGGGTTCATTATACTGCAATCTGCCATAATACAGTTTTAAAAAATACTCATAGACTTCCATTCTCCACTTAGGAGATAGGCAAATGGAAAAAAAAATCGCTTCCATCTTTACAACAACAAATATGCTGGACAACCTGTAAATCTTGCACCTGTTAAAGAACTGAGGTCACAGGGCAACCAACTAATGTGAAATCTAAGGAAATACAGGATCCCCCAAGAAGAAAGGGGAGGTGAGCCCTTGCTTACCTGTGGTAAATCTCACCAGACACTGGTAAGAAAAATCAGCTAAAAATGCTAACAAATTGCTAAAGGACAAATACAGACAGGTGAGAGGATATAGAACTACTGGGAATCACAAGCACAAGGGGAATATGTAGCTGCTAGCTAGCTGTTCTCCAAGCTAGATGATTACAAGAAAGATGGGGTCAGAGCATGAGTGCTGAGAGGCATCACTGATGGTGCTGACCCAGGAGAAAGGCACAGTAGTCACTGTGAGAAAAACATTAAACCCTACCTGGATCCTTTTTTCTATGTCTCCTACAGAACAAATGGCTTATACCCCTGGGGAAAGACAATACACACTCTGTCACACTTAGCACATTGATGGAAACCCATTCTAGCTGGGAGAAGGAACATAAAAATACATTCTACCTTTGCAGAAGGTGCAAGATCACTGTCCCCTGACCAGACCCACAGTTGGAAGTGTGCGATACTGCTGAGAAGGCCCCATCTCCAAGACCCAGGGACACAGTTCTTGCCTCTAAAACTGAGGCTTAGCCAGAACAGGAGAGGATGCCCCAGCTCTGCCTCTCTTTAGAGGCAGAAATGACTTCATGGCCAATGACTTGTGTGATCACACAGCCCATGCTTAGAAGGGTCCTGCATTTGGTTTAATACTCTACTATTGCCATCCTGACAGTTTTAATACTTTCTGAGCAAGGAGCCCTTCATTTTTATTTTTCACCTGCAAACTCTGTAGCACATCCTGTCAACAGGCTACAACAGCGTCAAGTAACAAATAACAGCAGTTTCCAGCTGGGAAAGAGACAAGAGCATGAAGAGAGACTCTTTCTCTCTTTCTCTCTCTGTCTCTCCAGGCATGGCACAAAGGAAAACTTAAAGTCAAGGGTGAAGCAGATATTGACTAAAAAAACCACTCTTTAAGAGCAGCCCATATGCTAGATATGACTTCATTGGTGAATTCTACCAAACATTCAAGGAAGAAATATGAATTACACACAAACTCTTCCAGAATGTAGAAGAGGAGGAAAGACTTCCCAGCTCATTTTCTGAGGCCAGCATTACACAGGTACCAAAACCATCCAAAGAAATTCAACACACACACACACACACACACACACACACACACACACACACACACACCTAGAGAAGAATATCACTCACGGATACAGATACAAAAAATTCTTCAGCAAAAATATTAGCAAATTGTGCCATATATATGTACGTATATGGTAATACATTATTACTAAGTGGGATCTTTTGCAGGAAGTTCAGGCCATTTCAACATCCAAAAATCAATCAATGTAATTAATCACATCAACAGACTAAAAATGAAAAACCATGTAACCCTCTCTATAGATGCAGAAAAAAATAATTTAATACAATTCAACAAGTCTTAAAAAATATTGAATAGAAAGAAACTTTCTTAACTCAAGAAAGGATACGTACCAAAAAAAAAAAAAAGCCACAGTTAATATCATACTTAAAATAGAAGGCTAAATATTTTCCCCAAAGATCAACAACAAGGCTGGGATGCCCCTCCTCACCATGCTTATTTAACATCATACTGGAGTTCCTAGCTAGTTTAATAATGTAATAAATAAATGTCTCTACTTGCAGACAATGTGAGTTTCTATGTAGAAAATCCCAAAGAATCTACCCAAAAAGCTACCAGAACTACTAATTTTCACAAGGTCATAGGATTAAAGGTCAACATTTAAAAATCAATCAGGGGGTGGGGTCAAGATGGCTGACTAGAAGCAGCAATGGTCGGAGGCTCCCACCGAGAAGAAACAAAACAGCATGCAAATCCTACACCTGCAACCAAGATATTCAGGTTCTATCATCAGGACTAACTAGGTGGTTGGCATGACCCACGGAGAGCAAAGAGAAGCAGGATGGTGCATCAGCCTACCTGAGAGCCACACGGGACAAGGGGAGCACCCCCATGCCCAGCCAAAGGAGGCGGTGAGTGAGTGTGCTACCCAGCCTGAGAAATTGTGCTTTTTCCACAGATCTGTGCAACCCACAGATCAGAAGTTTCCACTCATGAGCCTACGCCACCAGGGCCTTGGGTCCCAACCACAGAGCCACACAGATTCTCAACAGCCTCTCAGCTGAAATCTGCTTAAGACTACAGAGTTCCCAGCAGGAGGGGCAGCCATCATCACTGTGCCTGCCTGTTGTCTAAGTCATCTGAGCTCCCTAGGGGAGGGGCAGCAACCATCACTGTGGTTACCAGCTGCCAGCTGCCTAAGACAACTGAGATTCCTGAGAAAGGGGCAGCCATCATCACTGTGGCTGCCAGCTGGCTAAGAAAGTTGAGCTCCCCAGGGAAGAGACGGCAGACATCACTCCGGCTGCTAGCTGCCTAAGACACTGAACTCCTGGGGAGGGGGGACGGCAGCAGCCATCACTATAGCTCCAGGCTGCATTTCTCCCCTGCTAGAGCCAGGGAGACTGCATGGCTTGGTCCCGAGAGGTATTCCCCACAGCATAGCACACCAGCTATGACAGACTATGGCCAGACTGCCTCTTTAGGCTGGACCCTGACTCATCCCACCTCACTGGGTGGGGCCTCCCTGTAGGAACTCCAGTAACTCCAGCCAGGGGCTTAGGGGCAAAACTCTGATCTCCCTGGACCTGAGCCCCTATGGGGAGGGGTGGCCATGGTCTCTGTTGACCCGCAGACTTAGTCTCTCTGCTTGCTAGCTCTGAGGAATCTGGGCAGCCCAGATTAGTGGGTTTCCCCTTAGTGCAGCACACCCCCTCCACCAAGAGACAGCCAAAGTGCTTCATTAAATGGGTCCTGATTCCCATGCCCCCCAGTTGGGTGAGAGCTCCCAACAGGGGTCGCCAGACACCCTATACAGGAGCACTCCTACTGCCATCAGGTCAGTGCCCCTTGAAGTCAGAGATCCCAGTAGAAGGAGCAGGCACCCATCTTTGCTGTTCTCCAGCTTCCTCCAGTGACATCTCCAGGTGGGGGAAGGACCCAGATGAATAAGGCCTCAGCAAACTGCAGCAGCCCTACAGAAGAGGGATCTGACTGTTGAAATAAAAACAAGCAAGCAGAAAACAACAACAAGAGCTTCAACAAAAAAGTCCCCACAGAAAACTCGTCCAAAGGTCAGCAGCCTCAAAGATTGAAGCTAGACAATCTCATGAAGATGAGGAAGAATCAACAATAAAATGCTGAAAACTCAAAAGGCCAGGGTGCCTCTTCTCCAAATGATTGCAACAGCTCTCCAGCAGGGGCACAGAACTGGACGGGGAATGAGATGGACAAATTGACAGAAGTAGCCTTCAGAAGGTGGGTAGTAACAAAATTCACTGAGATAAAGGAGCATATTCTAACCCAATGCAAAGAAGCTAAGACCCATGACAAGAGGTTACAGGAGCTGTTAACTAGAATAACCAGCTTAGAGAGGAACATAAATGACCTGATGGAGTTGAAAAACACAGCACAAGAAATTTATGATCCAAATATAAGTATCAGTAGCTGAATCAATCAAGTCAAACAAAGAATATCAGAGCTTGAAGACTATGCTGCTGAATTAAGGGAGGCAGGAAAAATTAGAGAAAAAAGAATGAAAAGAAATGAACAAAACTTCCCAAAACAATGGGACTATGTAAAAAGACTAAACCTACGACTGATTGGAGTACCTGAAAGAGATGGGGATAATGCAACCAAGTTGGAAACACACTTCAGGATATCATCCAGGAGAACTTCCCCAACCTAGCAAGACAGGCCAATATTCAAATTCAGGAAATATAGAGAACCCCAGTAAGATACTCCATGAGAAGATTAACTCCAAGACACAAAATTATCAGATTCTCCAAGGTTGAAATGCAGGAAAAAAATGTTAAGGGCAGCCAGAGAGAAAGGCTGGATCACCTACAAAAGGAAGCGGTGGACCTCTCAGCAGAAACCCTACAAACCAGAAAAGAGTGGGGTCAATATTCAAAATTCTTAAAGAAAATAATTTTCAACCCAGAATTTCATATCCAGCCAAACTAAGCTTCATAAGCAAAGGAGAAATAAAATACTTTTCAGACAAGCAAATGCTGAGGGAACTTGTCACCATAAGGCCTGTCTTGCAAGAGCTCCTGAAGGAAGCAATAAATATGGAAAGGAAGAACTGGTACCAGCCACTGCAAAAACACACTGAAATACTAAGACCAATGACACTATGAAGAAACTGCATCCACTAGTGTGCAAAATAACCAGCTAGCATCATGATGACAGGATCAAATTCACACATAACAATATTAACCTTAAATGTAAATGGGCTAAATGCCCCAACTGAAAGACACAGATTGGCAAATTGGATAAAGAGTCAAGACCAATTGGTGTGCTGTATTCAAGAGACCCATCTCATGTGCAAAGACACTCATAGGCTCAAAATAAAGGGATGGAGGAAAATTTACCAAGTAAATGGAAAGCAGAAAAAAGCAGAGGTTGCAATCCTAGTTTCTGACAAAACAGACTTTAAACAAACAAGGATCAAAAAAGACAAAAAGGGCATTACATAATGGAAAAGAGATCAATTCAACATGAAGAACCAACTATCCTAAATATATATGAACCTAATACAGGAGTATCCAGATTGATAAAACAAGTTCTTAGAGACCTACAAAGAGACTTAAACTCCCACACAATAATAGTGGGAGACTTTAACACCTCACTGTCGATATATTAGACAGATCATTGAGAGAGAAAATTAAGGATATTCATGACTTGAACTCAGCTTTGGATAAGTGAACCTGATAGATATCTACAGAACTCTCCACCCCAAAACAACAGAATATACATTCTTCTCACTGCTACATGGCACTTACTGTAAAATCGATCACATAATTCAAAGTAAAACACTCCTCAGCAAATGCAAAAGAACAAAAATCATAATAAACAGTATCACAGAACACAGTGCAATCAAATTAGAACTCAAGATTATGAAACCCACTCAAAACCACACAACTACATGGAAATTGAACAACCTGCTCCTGAATGACTCCTGGGTAAATAATGAGATTAAAGCAGACTTCAAGAAGTTCTTTGAAACCAATGAGAACAAAGAGAAAATGTACCAGAGTATCTGGGAAGCAGCTAAACCAGTGTTAAGAGGGAAATTTATAGCACTAAATGCCCACATCAGAAAGCTAGAAAGATCTCAGATCGACACCCTAACATCACAACTAAAACAACTAGAGAAGCAAGAGCAAACAAATCCCAAAGCTAGCAGGAGACAAGAAATAACTAAGATCAGAGCAGAACTGAAGGAGATAGAGACAGGAAAAATCATTCAAAAACTCAATGAATCCAGGAGCTTGTTTTTTGAAAAAAATAATAAAATAGATGGCTAGCTAGACTAATAAAGAAGAAAAGAGAGAAGAATCAAATAGACACAATAAAAAATGATAAAGGGGATATCACCATTGACCCTGCAGAAATACAAACTACCATCCAAGAATACTATAAACACCTCTACCCAAATAAACTAGAAAATCTAGAAGAAATGGATAAATTCCTGGATGCATACACCTTCCCAAGACTAAATCAGAAATAAGTTGAATCCTTGAATAGACCAATAACCAGTCCTCAAGTTGAGGCAGTAATAAATAGCCTACCAACTAAAAAAAGCCCGGGACCAGATGGATTCACAGCTGAATTCTACCAGAGGTACAAAGAAGAGCTGGTACCATTCCTTTTGAAACTATTCTAAGCAATTGAAAAGGAGGGACTTCTCCCTAATTCATTTTATAAGGCCAGCGTCATCCTGATCCCCAAACCTGGCAGAGACACAGCAAAAGAAGAAAACTTCAGGTCAATATCCCTGATAAACATTGATGCAAAAATCCTCAATAAAACACTGGCAAACTGAGTCCAGCAGCACATCAAAAAGCTTATTCACCACAATCAAGTCAGCTTCATCCCTGGGATGCAAGCCTCATTCAACATACACAAATCAATAAATGTAATTCATCGCATAAACAGAACTAATGACAAAAATCACATGATCATCTCAATAGATGCAGAAAAGATCTTCGATGAAATTCAACATCCCTTTATGTTAAAAACTCTCAATAAACTAGGCATTGATGGATCATATTTCAAAATAATAAGAGCCACTTATGACAAAACCACAACCAATATCATACCAAATGAGCAAAAGCTGGAAGAATTTCCTCTGGAAATCGGCAGAAGACAAGGACGCCCCCTCTCTCAACCTATTCAACCTAGTATTGGAAGTTCTGGCCAGGGCAATCAGGCAAAAGGTAGAAATAAAAGGTATTCAAATCGGAAGAGAGGAAGTCAAATTGTCTCTGTTTGCAGATGACATAATCCTATAACTAGAAAACCCCATTGTCTCAGCCCAAAAGCTCTTTAAGCCAATAAGCAACTTCAGCAAAGTCTCAAGATACAAAATCAATGTGGAAAAATTACAAACATTCCTATACACCAACAATAGACAAGTGGAGAGACAAATCATGAATGAACTCTCATTCACAATTGCTACAAAGATAATAAAATATCTAGGAATTCAGCTAAAAAGGAATGTGAAGGACCTCTTCAAGGAGAACTACAAACCATTGCTCAAGGAAATAAGAGAGGATACAAACAAATGGAACAACATTCCATTCTCGTGGATAGGAAGAATCAATATCCTGAATATGGTCATACTGCCCAAAGTAATTTATAGACTCAATGCTATTTCCATCAAACTATCATTGACATTCTTCACAGAATTAGAAAGAACTATTTTAAAATTCACATGGAACCAAAAAAAGAGCCCATATAGCCAAGACAATCCTAAACAAAAAGAACAAAGCTGGAGGCATCATGCTACCTGATTTCAAACTACACTACAGGCTACAGTAACCAAAACATTGTACTGGTACCAAAACAGACACATAGACCAATGCAACAAAATAGAGATCTCAGAAATAAGACCACACATCTACAACCATCTGATCTTTGGTGAACCTGACACAAACAACTGAGAAAGAATTTTCTATTTAATAAATATTGCTTGGAAAACTGGCTAGCCATATGCAGAAAACTGAAGCTGGACCCCTTTGTTACACCTTATACAAAAATTAACTCAAGATGGATTAAAGACTTAAATGTAAAACCCAAAACTATAGCCAGATGCAGTGGCTCACGCCTGTAATCCCTGCACTTTGGGAGGCTGAGGCAGGTGGATCACGAGGTCAGGAGATCGAGACCATCCTGGCAAACACGGTGAAACCCCATCTCTACTGAAAATACAAAAAAATTAGCCTGATGTGGTGGCGGGCGCCTGTAGTCCCAGCTACTCGGGAGGCTGAGGCAGGATAATGGCATGAACCTGGGAGGTGGAGCTTGCAGTGAGCTGAGATCGCACCACTGCACTCCAGCCTGGGAGACAGTGAGACTCTGTCTCAAAACAAACAAACAAACAAAACAAAAAAAAACAAAACCCAATAAAACCCAAAACTATAAAACCCTAGAAGAAAATCTATGCAATACCATTCAGGACATAGGCATGGATGAAAATTTTATGATGAAATCGCCAAAAGCAATTGCAGCAAAAGCAAAAATTGACACATGGGATCTAATTAAAGTAAACAGCTTCTGCCCAGCAAAAGAAACTATCATCAGAGCAAACAGGCAACCTACAGAATGGGAAAAACTTTTGCAATCTACCCATTTGATAAAGGTCTAATATCCAGAATTGACAAGAAACTTAAACAAATTTACAAGAAAAAAATGAATAACCCCATCAAAAAATAGGCAAAGGACATGAACAGACACTTCTCAAATGAAGACATACATTTGGCCAACAACCATATGAGAAAAAAAGCTCAACATCACTGACCATTAAAGAAATGCAAATCAAAACCACAATGAGATACCATCTCACTCCAGTCAGAATGGTGATTATCAAAAAGTCAAGAAGCAACAGATGCTGGCAAGGCTGTGGAGAAATAGGAATGATTTACACTATTGGTGGGAATGTAAATTAGTTCAACCATTGTGGAAGACAGTGTGGCAATTCCTCAAGGATCTATAATCAGAAATACCATTTGAGCCACCAATTTCATTACTGTGTATATACCCACAGGAATATATATCATTCTATTATAAAGACACGTGCACATGTATGTTCATTGCAGCAGTATTCACAATAGTAAAGACATGGAACCAACCCAAATGCCCATCAATGATAGACTGGACAAAGAAAATGTGATACATATACACCATGGAATATTATGCAGCCATAAAAAGGAATGAGATCATGTCCTTTGCAGAGACATGGATGGAGGTGGAAACCATCATCCTCAGTAAACTGACACAGGAACAGAAAACCAAACACTGCATGTTCTCACTCATAAGTGGGAGCTGAACAATGAGAACATATGGACACAGGGAGGGTAACAACACACACTGGGACCTGTTGTTCCCCTCCCTGTGGGACCTGTTGCGGAGGGCAGGGGAAGGGAGAGCATCAGGGTAAATAGCTAATGCATGTGAGCTTAATACCTAGATGATGGGTTGATCTGTGCGGCAAACCACCACCGCACGTTTAACTACATAACAAACCTGCATGTTCTGCTCATGTATCCCAAAACTTAAAATAAAATCAAATTAAAAAAAAAAAACAGAGAAAGGGATTGCCAAAATTGTAAAGAAAAAATCATATTTCTTTATACTACCAATGAAAAATTAGAACTTGAAATAAAAATAACAGTACATTTTAAATACTACCAAAAATATAAAATACTTGGGCATAAATATTATAAAATATGTGCAATATCTATACTCTGATAGCTGCAAAACACTAATGAAAGCAATGAAAGAAGGCCTAAATAAATGAAGAGGCATATATTGTTCATGAATGGAAGATTCACTATTATTAAGATGGCAATTATCACCAAACTGATATATAGATTTAGTGCGATTCCAATCAAAATCTCAGGCCAGGAGTGGTGGCACATGCCTTTAATCCCAGCACTTTGGGAGGCTGAGGCAGGAGGATTGCTTGAGCTCAGGAGTTTGAGACCAGCCTGGGCAACACGGTGAAACCCCATGTCTACAAAAAATACAAAAATTAGCTGGGTGTAATTGTGTTCACCTGTAGTACCAGCTACTCAGGAGGCTGAGGTGGAAGGATCACCTGAGCCTGGGAAGTCGAGGCTGCAGTGAGCCATGATCATACCACTGCTCTCCAGCCTGGGTGAGAGAATGAGATCCTGTCTCAAAAAATAAAAATAAAAATAAATTTAAAAATCCTGGCAGGACTTTTTTGTAGAAATTGGCAAAGTAATTCTAAAATTTTTATGGAAATTTTAAAAAATAACTAGAATGGCAAAACAAATTGTAAGAAAAGTAGCAAAATTGGAAGACTCACACTACCAGATTTTCAGGCTTACTATAAAGCTGGCAGTCAAGAGAATCTGCTATTAGAAAAGGATTAACATCTAGATTAGTGGAACAGACTAGAATAGACCAATACACATGTGGTCATTTGGTTTTTGACAAAGTCCCAAAGGCAACTTAATGGAGAAATGATAGTTTTTCTCAACAAATTGTTCTTGGACAATTGAATATCCCTAGGCAAATAAATGGATATGCCTCAAGGCATGCATTACCCACTATAGAAATATTAACTCAAAATAGATCTCAGGCCTAAATGTAAAGCCTAAAACCACAATACTTTTGGGAAAAAAAAATAGGAGAAAATCTTTATAGCCTTAATTAGGTAAAGCTTTCTTAAATACAACACCAAAAACATGACCCATAAAAGAAAATATGATAAATAGGGCCTAATCAAAATTAAGAACTTCTGCCCTTTGAAAGACACTTTAAAAAATGGAAAGACCAGCCACAGACTGGGAGGAAATGTTTGACATTACATGTCAGGTAAAAGACTTGTTTCTAATGTATAAAGAACTTTTAAAACTCAATAAACAAACAACTTTTAAAATAGACAAGATATTTAAATGGGAACTTTTATCAAAGAAGATATACAGATAACAAATAAGTATATGAAAAGATGCTCAATGTCCTTAGTCATGAGGAAAATAGAATTTTGGACCAAAATGAGATAAAGCTACATACCAATTAACATAACTTTATAAAAAGCAAACCTGATGACAGGAAGCTTAGGTAAGGATGAGGTGCAACTGGAACTCTCATACCTTGCTGTTGGGAATGCAAATGGTACAGACACTTATACTTTGGCATTTTCTCACTGTATGAGGCCATTCTTGCATTGCTATAAAGAAATACCTGAGACTGGGTAATTTATAAAGATAAGAGGTTTAATTGGTTCACGGTTCTGCAGGCTTTACAGAAAGCATAGTGCTGGCATCTGCTCAGCTTCTAGGGAGGCTTCCGGAAACTTACAATCATGGCAGAAGGCAAAGGGTAATCAGGCATGTCACATGGTGAAAGAAACAGCAAGAAAGAGAGAATGGAGAGGGGGAGGTGCCACACACTTTTAAACGACCAGATCTCATGTGAACTCAGAGCAAGAGCTCACTTATCATCAAAGGGATGGCTGAAGCCATTCATGAAGGATCTGCCCCCATTATCCAAATATTTCCCACAAGGCCCCACCTCCAACATTGGGGATTACATTTCAATATGAGATTTCAGTGAGGATGGATACTCAAACTATCATTCTATCCCTGGCCCATAAAATCTCATGTCCTTCTCACATTGAACAACACAATTATACCTTCCCAATAATCCCCCAAAGTCCTAACTCATTCTGGCGTAAACTCAAAAGTCCAAAGTCTCATCTGAGACAAGGCAAGTCCCTTCCACCTATGAGCCTGTAAAATCAAAACAAGTTATTTCCTCCCAAGATATAATGGGGGTATAGGCATTTGGTAAACATTCTCATTCCAAAAGGGAGAAATCAGCCAAAGAAAGGGGCTACAGGCCCCACGCAAGTTCAAAACCCAACAGGGCAGTCATTAAATCTTAAAGCTCCAGAATAATCTCCTTTGACTCCATATCCTGCATCCAGGCACACTGGAGCAAGGAGTGGGCTCTTAGGAAGCTCTGTACCTGCTGCTTTTCCATGCTGAGATTGCAAGTTACTGGTGGTTCTACCATTTCCACTTCTGGAGAGCTGCGGCACCCTTCCCACAGCTCCACTGGGTGGTACCCCATTGGGGACTCTGTGTGGGGACTCCAACCCCACATTTCCCCTTGGCAATGCCCTAGCAGAGGTCTCTCTGGGGGCTCCACCCCTGCAGCAGACTTCTGCCTGGGTATGCAGGCTTTCTCATACAGCCTCTGAAATCTAGGCAGAAGCTGCCAAGTATTCTTCACTCTTGCACTCTGCACACCTGAAGGCTAAACACGACATAGAGGATGCCAAGGCAGCAGGCTGAGCTGTATCTGGGTCCCTTTGAGCCAAGGCTGGAGCTGGAGCAGTCCAGATGTGGGGAGGAGTGTCACAAGACTGCACAGGGCATAGAGGCCCTGGGCCTGGCCCTTAAAACCATTTAGTCCTTCTAGGCCTCAAGGCCTGTGATGGGAGGGGCTGCCTCTTAGATCTCTAAAATGTCTTTGAGGCCTTTTCCTCATTGTCTTGGATATTAGCACTTGGCTCCCTTTCAATTATGCAAATATCTCTAACACATGATTGATCCACAGTCTGTTTGAATTCCTCTACTGAAAAAGCTTTTTCTTTCTTTGCCACATGGCTAGGCTGAAAATTTTCCAAACTTTTATCCTCTGCTTCCTGTTTCCAACTGTTCCAAAATTCCAACTTTTAAGTCATTTCTTTCTTTGCACATCTGAACATAGGCTGTTAGAAGCAGCCAGGCTATATCTTGAGCACTGCTGTTTAGAAATCTCCTCCACCAGCTCCTCTAGGTTGTCACTCTTTAGTTCTAACTTTCAACAGATCCCTAAGGCATGAACAAAATGCAGCCAAGCTCTTTGCATAACACACATGACCTTTGCTCCAGTTCCCAATAAGTTCCTCATTTCCACCTCAGCTGCTGGACTTCACTGTCCATATCACTGTCAGCATTTTGGTCACAATCACTGAACCAGCTTCTGAGAAATTCCAAATGTTTCCTCATCTTCCTTTCTTTTCCTGAGCCCTCCAAACACTTCCAACCTCTGCCTGTTAACCAGTTCCAAAGCTGCTTCCACATTTTCAGATATTTTTATATCAATGCCCCACTCCTTGGCACCAATTTCCCGTGTTAGGCCATTCTTGCATTGCTATAAAGAAATACCTGAGCCTAGATAATTTATAAAGAAAAGAGATTTACTTGGCTCATGGTTCTACATATTTTACAAGAAGAATGGTGCTGGCATCTCCTCAGCTTCCAGGGAGGCCTCAGGAAGCTTACAATCATGACAGAAGGCAAACGGGAAGGAGGCATATCACACGGTGAAAACCAGAGCAAAGGAGAGAGAAAGAGTGGGCAGCAGGAGGTGCCACATACTTTAAAATGACCAGATCTCGTGTAAACTCAGAGTGAGAGCTCACTTATCACCAAGATGTTGGCCCAAGCCATTCATGAGGGACCTGCCCCCATGATTCAAACACCTACCACCAGGCCCCACCTCCAACATTAAAGATCACAATTCAGCATGAGATTTGAGCTGGGACAAATATGCAAACTATATCACTCACAAAGTTAAATACATACTTAACATATGGCATAACAATCCCACTCCAAGGTATTAATCCAAGTGAAATTAAAACTATATTCACATAAAAGCTGTGTATGAATGATACCACCACAAGGAATGGTGCAGTAAGGACTTTATGTGATAAATTTCCACCCCATTTTTAATAACAAAGCAAATAGACAAAAGACAAAGAAATACAAGACTTGAACAATACTGTAAAGCAGCTATGTCTGTCACTGAGGAAGACAAGCATCTATAGAACATTCCACTCAGCACTAAAAAAATGAAGTCTTCTTAAATGTATGTGGAACATTCTCCAGGATAAACCACAAGTTAGGCCATAAAATAATTCTCAATAAATTAAAAAGGGCTGGCTGAAATCATACTAAGTATTTCTGAGGGAAGAGAGAGACCCTCTCATATTGTTTTATATTGTTTTATACTCAGTACCTGTTTTAAGAAAAAACAAGGAAGTGAAACCAAAGACAGGCAGCCTGGTGCCAGGCCCAAAACCAGGCCTGGGCTTGCCTGGCCTAAACCTAGTAGTTAAAAATCAACTCATGACTTAGCAACCAATGTTATCCATAGATTCCAGACATTGTATAGAAGAACACTGTGAAACTCCCTGCCCTGTTCTATTTCTCTCTGACCACCAGTGCATGCAGCCCCTGCCACGTACCCCTTGCTTGCTCAAATCAATCATGACCCTTTCATGTGAAATCTTTAGTGTTGTGAGCCCTTAAAAGGGACAGAAATTGTGCACACGGGGAGCTCAGATTTTAAGGCAGTAGCTTGCCGATGCTCCCAGCTGAATAAAGCCCTTCCTTCTACAACTCGGTGTCTGAGAGGTTTTGTCTGCAGCTCGTCCTGCTACGTTTCCTCTGACCATGATGGAATAAAATTAAAAATCAACAACAGAAAGAAATTTGGCAAATTCACAAATATGTGGAAATTAAACAAAACACTCCTAAGTAATTAATAGATCAAAGAAGAAATTATAGGAGAAATTAGAAAATATTTTGAGATGAATGACAATGAAAACACATCATACCAAAATTTATGAAATGCAGATAAAACAGTGGAAAGAGGAAACTTTATAGCTGTAAATGCGTATATTAAAAAAGGAGATCCCCAAATCAATAAACTAGCCTCCACCCTAAGTCATAGCAATCCCAAAGCCAGACCCAAAGCCAGCAGAAAGAAATAATAAATATTGGAGTAGAAGTTAATGAAATCGAGAATTTTTAAAACAGAGAGAGTCAGTGAAACCAGAAGTTTGTTCTTTGAAAAGATTAACAATATTGACAAAATCTTTGGCTAAACTGATGGAAAAAAAAGAGAAGACTCAAATTACTAAATAAAATCAGAAATGAAAAGAGGAGACATTATTGCTGACTTCTGAAAAATAAAAAGGATTTTAAAGGAATACTGTGAACAATTGTATGCCAACAAATTAGATAATCTAGATGAAATGGAAATAGATTTAAGTCCCTAGATCTGGCAATGTGTCCCTAGATTAGGCAATGTTCTCTTAGATATAATCTCCAAAGCACAAGCAACAAAAGAAACAATACGTAAATTGGGCTACATCCAAATTAAGAACACTTGTGCTACAAATGATACCATCAAGAAAGTGAAAATACAGCTCACAAAATCTACAAAAGGGGAGAATATATTTGCAAATCATAAATATGATAAGGGACTTGTGTCTAGAATGCATAAAGAACTCTTAGTATTCAACAATAAAATGACAAATTCCGCAATTTAAAAATTGGCAAAAATTTGAATACACATTTCTCCAATTAAGATATGCAAATGGCCAATGAGCACATAAAAATGCTTAACATAATTTAACCATTACTGAAATTCAAATAGTGAGACAACATTTCACATCCACTAGGATTGCTAGTGTGAAAGTTAATTATTCAAATTGGGTCATTCTTGTCATACCCAAATAAATCAGTCAAGGGGGCTACGGGGAAAAAGCCCTGGGAGCTCGTAGCACCTGCTCCAAGAATTAAATCTTCCACAGGCCCAGGTGCCTAAATGGCCTGCTGTAACTCCAAGAACAGCTTTACCTAGCAGCTGCTGAAACAACCTGCTGGGACCCTAACACTGGTTTTACTTACCACCATCACTCACTAATCAGAGCTAGCAAGAAGCTTGCTATCTCCCAAAAGCTTCTCTAGTGCAAATGAACTTCTTTCAAAACAATACAGAATATGTCTCTTTCTAATAAAATTTCCAACATTCTCTTTGGGACATGCTGAGGACCACTTGGTCTGTGTGTGTGCCCTGAATCGCAATTCTTGCTTTCCAAATAAAACATTTTAAATGTAAAGATTCATCTCTATTGTTCATTTTACTTAGACACTATAATCAACAAAACAGACAATAACAAGTATTGAATAACTCAGATGTGCAGAAATTGGAACCCTCATACATTGCTGGTGGAAATATAAATCGGTACAGCCACACTAGAAAAAAAAATGGGCAGTTCCAACAAGTTAAATATGGAATTATCCTGAGAGCTATCAATTCCACTCAAAGTGAATTGAAAACGTGTTCATACAAAATTGTACATGAGTGTTCACAGCAGAATTATTCATAATAGCTATAAGTAAACAACCTAAATATCCGTCAACTAATGAATGAATAAACAAAATGTGGTGTGCCTATACAATGTAATATTCCCGCTATAAAAAGAAACAAAGTAGTGATACATCTCCAACAGTGATGAAACTTGAGACAAGCTAAGTGACAAAAGCCAGACACAAGATGCCATATATTTTGTGAGTGCATTTATATACTGAAAGGGGAAAATCAATAGTGACAGAAAATAGATTAGTGGTTGCCATAGGCTGGCAGCAGAAGCAAATTGGGAGTAAGTGCTAATGGATATGGGGTTCTTACTGGTGTGAAAAAAGTGTTCTGGGATTAGACAATGATAATGGTTGCACAATTCTCTGAATACAGAAAAAATTACTGAACTGTACACTTTAAAATGATGTATTTAAAGGCACGTGAGTTATAGCTCAATTTTTTAAAACTATGTGTGAGTGCTTATAGTGGGTTCATTTTTTTATAAGCCAAGTAAGGAAGAGGAGGGGCAAGGGAAGAAAAGAGCAGGAGAACAACTTCAAGTTCCTTAAATGGGGAATGGATAAACAAACTTACACATTCATACAATGGAATACCCTTCAGCAATATAAAAAAGAATGAACTACTGAAACACAATGACATCGGTGTATATCAAACTCATTACACGAAGTGAAATAGCCAGACTCAAAAGACTACATACTGTATAATTTCATTCTATGACACTCTCGGAAAGACAAAATTATGGGGATAGATTACAGATCAGTGGTTGCTTGTAGCTGGGATGGTTGTAGTGGCTGACTACAAAGGAACATGGGGTACACTCTGGGGGTGGGTGATGGAACTCTTCTATTCATAGTTTTGGTGATGATTACACAACCGCCTACATTTGCCAAAACTCACAACATTGTACACTAAAAAGGATAAATTTTGCTTTCTGTGCATTATATCTTAATTTTAAGATGGGTTGTTTTTTCCTTAATGCCTTAGAATCCTTATATGTTAGTACAGGGAGTAATTTGAGTACTGCATAGTTTCACACTATAAATATATTCTAATCTGTTTATCTAGTCCTTAATTGATGGTCACTGAGGTTGATTCTTTTGTTCATTTTCTTTCCTTTTCTTGCTGTTATAGCATTGCTTCAGTAAATATTCCTGTACTTGCTTTCCTATGCCATGTGTTTTTATTTCACTAAGACACACGTAAAATGAAATTCCTAGGTCGAGTTTTGCAGAATACGGACAACTCCTGGAGATTTTTCTGCCAAGTGGCAGCCTGGAGCCTTCCTGTACAGTGCAGTATGGGGCTGAATGCTGAGTACTAGTGCTCAGGTTTTCGTTTTGTAAGTTAGTTGCTTTTTGGTCTCAGAGACTTGTCTCCAGCATTATTTCTCTGTTTGGTGGATTGAACTGGCTGATATATACCCCTTCCGTGGCTCATTTATCTTGATTGCCAACAACCCTCCCTTTCAGGAGGTAGCCGATAGATGTGATTCTGAAGCTACGCAGGATTTCTTTGGCAGAAATATTAATATTTTTAAAGCAATGCTGGACAACCTTAGTTACCATAATCAATGGCCTGCTTTACTTTGCATGGATGATTGCTGCAGTGTGTGTGCATGTGTGTGTGTGAGTGTGTGTGTGTGTCTGTGTCTAATTGAAAATCCCCAGGAAAGAGAAGCAGTGGTTTCCCACAGTAATGTAAATACTGTATTTTAAAAATATATTGTTACCTATGGACTCTTGAAACTAGGAGGGATCCACTAGACTCAAAGGGAAGGAACCACAGATAAGATATTCACTGTGGAATTCTCAATGGCTAGCAGTTCCCGGCATGGAGTAAGTATGCCTTAAGTGTTGAATAAACAATCCCTCCAGGCACTCAGTCTGGGCCAGGCTGCCTGTTCATTACAGCATTTATCCTCCCAGGCTTTGTAATTAGACACGACAGCTCCCACAGCTCTTTCTCCACCCCAGCATTCTCTTCCGAGCCCTAGAGCTGCATGTCTGTTGCCTACCAGACCTCTCCACCGGGATGGTCCATGTACACCTCAACTACCATGTGCTTAAAACTGGACATGCCTTTCCCACTCTGCTCCTCCTCCAGCATCCTCACCTTGGGAAAGAGTGGGCAAAACTGCCCACTTGCTTGGCCAAACCAGAAACCTGGGCATTTTCCTTCTATGTCACCTCCCATATCTAATCAATCCCCAGTCCTAGTGAGTAGGCTTCTTAATTTTCTCTCATAAATGTCTCAGGAAATTGCTGACTGCTATCCATCCCATGATCACAGCCACATCCAGACTGTGCCCGAGAATGACTATAAGCTTTTCCCAGCTGATCTCTTAACTGGTGCCTTCCTTAATGTCATTCTCCTATTAGCAGGAGTGTTATCTTTTGAAATAAGCCTGATTAACCCACAACACCATCCTTGGAATAAAGTCCTGACTCCATGTGGCTTCCCAGTCTGCCATGACCTGTCCCTTGTCTACCTCTCCAGTCTCACTCCACACCCCTGTCCTTCCTCTCCTTCACCTTCACCTAATAATCTTTCCAGTCTCAATTAGGTATTTCTTTCTCCCATAAACCTTTGCTACCCCCTAAGTTGGGTTATTTGCCTGCCCTCTGTGCCTCTGTAATGTCTGGCACATTCTAGCTCTTTTCACAACATATTTTGATCACCTATTTAGTCATTTGGTTCTTCCACATGGTGATCATGAGCTCTGTAAGGAAAGAGGGCATAAATGTGTTCTTAGTCATTTGGCCTCCAGAAGTGACTACAATTTCTCTCAGTGTAAGTAATAATAAGGTAGTAATTGAAAAAGGAGGACAAGGAAAAAGAGGGAGAAAAGGACAGTAGTGGAGAAGAGGGAAGAGAAGGAGGAGAGAGAGAGAAGGAGAATGGGGAGAAAAAGGTGCTCAAAATATTTGTTGAATGCAGGATGGATGGGTGGATGGATGAGTGGGCGGATGGATAAATGGATGGATAGATGGATGGATAGATGGATGGATGGATGGATGGATGGATGGATGGATGGATGGATAGGTGGGTGAGTGGATTGATGGATGGATGGATGGATAGGTGGGTGAGCGGATTGATGGATGGATGGATGGATGGATGGATGGATGGGCAGATGGATGGATGGATGGGTGGGCAGATGGATGGGTGGATGGGTAGATGGATAGATTAATGGATGCTTGGCAGATCTGGGATTTGAATCTCTGATTGGCCACTTAATCTTTGGAATGTGATGATCTTTGGTGCTACCCATGGATACAGAGCTTTCTCCTTCCTCTGGCTATCTGGTAGACCACACTTCCTGCCTCCATATGGTAGATGGGGCCATGTAGCTATTTATTGTCAAGAGTTGTGAGAAACGATCTATATCACTTTTGTCCCAGAGAAGTCTGAGGTCTTCTAATGTTTCTTTCTCTCTTACATGGCAACTGACAACACTCGAGATGGTGGTTGCTCCCATCAGCCTGGGTCTTGGAATTCTGCCCTCTCCTCCTTCTCTTTCTCCTCCTTTTCCTCCTTGAGTACAATAAGCAGAACTCCGCTTCCAATTTGCTGTGAATATACAACATGAATGAGAAATACCGTTTGATATTTTAAGCAATTGAGACTTTGCTGTTGCTTACAGCGTAACCCAACCTATCCTGATTGATACAGAGTCTGAAAGAAGTGATTAGCCTTTGTGAATCAAAATCTTTTCTGTAAATGAGAATAATAATAATACAACCATAGGATTGAATAAGGCAATTCTATATGGTACATAACCCAGCACCTTTGCTGCTCCACCCTCCAGGGCTTTCTCTCCAAGGGGTGCCGTCAGCCCAGGTTACCCTTGGGAAGCCAGTCTCTTGGTTCCGAATCCTCCAAAACTTCTCTGAGATATCAAAACTCTCCTTCCTCAGCTTCAATCAACCTATTGTTATGTACCCTCTGACCCCTCTTTCCCTAGCCTATCAATTTTATCTGCTTTTGTCCAGAAACTAGCTCTTACATCACCCTGCATTCTTCTAAATTTTGTTGTTTATGTGATACTTTTTGTGTATTGAGTCCTTCAGGTTTTGACCCTTAATGTTCAACGGCAAAATTTTGTAACTTCAACAAAACACTTGCTTTTACAATTGATTGAAACTTTGTCTTTCACAACTGTTGTGTTGGCTAAGAGTATAAAAATAATGTACACAGGAACACAATTGACAACTTCGTTTTCTCAAAGGTTGGCCATTCCCCTGAGGCTGTAAGCCTCTGTCACCTAGTACACTTTTAGTGTTAGAATGATTGTGGGTAAAAAGTAATTATCTAGAATCAAAAAATATATGTGTCAATACTTCAAAATGTTCTCCTCACATCCTATTTTGGAGCAGAAGAATAAATAATGTTAACTACACTGAGAACCTGAACGCTGAAGCTGCCATGGATATCTCAGAGGGCCGTTCAGCTGCCAACTCCATCTCTGAGTCTGGGCCAGTGGGACTAAAGTCTCAGAAGGACCTGGAAAATATCGGGTCTTTGCCTTCATTAGTCATATGGGCACCTCTACCATCTGTGGTCACTACATCTGCCACATCAAGAAGGAGGGCAGATGGGTGATCCACAACCACCAGAAAGTGGGTGCCTCTGAGAAGCCACCCAAGGACCTGGAATACATCTACTTCTACCAGAGAGTGGCCAGCTAAGAGCCTGCCCTTACCCCTATGTAGCCTGAGGGCAAGGGAAGACCACCTAGCATGAAGGAGAGGAACTGAGGGATGGACTTCAGCCCCCCTACTCTGTAGCCTTTTTCCTTTTGTCCCCAGCAGCAGGAAGAAGCTGCAGGCCATGAGAGAATGACCAGGCAAAGCAGAGGAGCAGTCAATAGACTCTGGGGATGGAGCAGGAAGGGGACAGGAGGGACCAACCACTGATCCATAAGGAGACTTTCTTGCTTCCCCTGCCCCCGGAATCCATAGTGCTCTGCTTCTCTCCATCACCCTGCCTAGCCCCCTGGCATGGAGGGAAGGGATCTTGTTTGTGTGCATGCATGGGTGTAGCGTCGTGCATCCTCTTCCAGGGGAGGGAGAATCTGTGCCTTCCCTCCTGCTTTGTGTTTGCCCTCTGTGTGGTTGTACAAGGAGGGGGTGATATGGTTTGGCTGTGTCCCCACCCAAATCTCATCTTAAATTGTAATCTGAATTGTAATCCCCATGTGTCAGGGGAGGGACCTGGTGGGAGGTGATTGGATCATGGGGGTGGTTTTCCCCATGCTGTTCTCGTGATAGTGAGTGAGTTATCACCAGGTCTGATGGCTTTATAAGGGGCTCTTCCCCCTTCGCTCGCTCTCTCTCTCCTGCCACCATGTAAGACATGCCTGCTTCCCCTTCTGCCATGATTGTAAGTTTCCTGAGGCCTCTCCAGCCATGTTGAACTCTGAGTCAATTAAACCTCCTTTCTTTATAAATTACCCCGTCTCAGGAAGTTCTTTATAGCAGTGTAAACATGGACTAATATGGAAGGATATGAGGAAAATGGGGACTCCCCTTGCCTTTCTACCTCAGTCTTTCTGCCACCCTGTCTCCTGTTTGTCCTTCTCTGGAAAATGCCAAAATACAAAATGTGAATAAAAGTGCAATGGCTAAAATTAATAATAATAGCATGAGCTCCACACACACATAATGGACAGGGAAGCCTGATGCCTGGGCTAAGATATTCAGTTCTGATGACAGTCATCACAATAGCAGGTCCATTTCTTATTCTGTCTTCAATCATGGAAGAAAAATTTAAACTTGATAAAATTTAATTCACTGACTTTTTTTTTCCTAAGAATTAGGATATGCTAGAGATATGTAACTGCAAGGCATAGAAAACTACTCAAGTGAGCTCAAATACAAATGGACTTACTGAAATGGCAGTAGGAGGCTCATGGATATCAGGCATAGGGAGTCTCTGAGACTGAAAGGTGTCCACTTCTGCTGCCCACTGGCTCATGCGCAGACGTGGTGGATCTGTGGTTGAGGGCAACCCTCAACTCAGCCTCTTGGATCAAGTGGTTGAGGGCAACACTGAGGGATGGGGGAATAATTAGACAGAGGAAGCCTGCACTCCAGCAACTTTGCAGAGTACAGCTCAGCAAACCAAGTTCTCCAGAGTGTGGAATGAACAGATGTGCTGCCCCAGTCGGCAGGTCCAAGAGGGTATTCATGATGATAACACAGGCTCACTTGGAATGAATGCATCAGTAGATTCCCCAAAGTGATGATATTCAGCTTGGGAAACAATTAGCTAATTAGCATAGTAATCCATCACTGGAAATCAAGGTCATCGCCCTGGGATTCTGTCTCCTGCTGCCAGGCCTCTCTTTGGAGAGAAGGCAGGATACCCATGAAACCTGCCTGTGCCCCATTAAGTGGCAGGGTACCCCTCCCAAGGCAATGCAAGGTGGAGCCCCTCTGGCAATGCCAATGGCTCAAACACTCATGCTCATGCTCACCCTTCTCAACCAGGTGATGGCAAGATTGGTTTACATGTATGGAATGTAAGACAAAGAGCTCCCTGTGGAGGAGCTGAGGACAGTGATGATTTGTGGTGGCCTGGATATTTACTTGGGGCATCTGTCTTTAGGACACCCTGAGCCAAAGACTGGGAAGTGGGTCAGGCAGGCTGTATGCCTTAAGGTCACTGAAAAGATCTAGGACTTGGAGCTCATGAACAAATAAAAAAAGTAAGTCAATTAACTATTAAACTAAGAATAATAATAGCCTTTTTTGAGCATGGCTATGTGCAGGTACTGAAACAGGCACTTTTATTTAATTTCATGACAACCCTATGAAGTACCATCACTGAGCTCACTTTACAAATGAGGAAACTCTTTGAAGTCCAGGTCCTGAGATGTTTCCTCTTTAACACCTGGGAGCAGGCATGGCCATGCCACATGTCAAATCTCAGCACTGTGTGTTCATAAAATGTGGAAAATTCCATATGCCTTTGGACATCCTTCTTCAACCAGAGAACTCTTTTTTAAAAAATCTATATGCCAGGTATAAATACCACCCCCGCCTCCCACATGCAGATATCAGCACAAAATATCACACTTAGAAAATAAAATTTTAAAACGTCAAATCAGATCCGGCTCTGAGTTGCTCTCATAAAAGTTTCTGAAAAGCCTAATATCTAACACTGGAGGATTCCCTCCCACCTCCTTCAGTTAAACCAGAAACCCCAAAGCTTACTCAGACCCTAAAATTGGGAGAGAGATCTGCACTCTCCTCTGTGGTACCTGTGTTCACTATTCTCATCCTCAGTGGCTGTTTGTGGGAACAGAGTCCAGCCATCCTCCACTCCAGGACACCCTAAATCAGCCCCTTTCCAAGCTCAAGACCACTCCATGCCCCTTCTCAAAGCTCAGAAATAGGCTATTTCTTTTATGAGAAGAATCAGCTTAGTCATGAAAAACACAAAGTTATTAAATCTCTTTGAGGCAAGAGAGCCTCCAACTTGGAACTGAAAGCCTGGCTGCCCATCCTATTGGTGTAAGGATGGACAAATTCCTTTTCACTTTTCCTGAAGAGTCCTCAGCAGTCGAAGAAGCCAGACATCAATTAATTTCTCAAACACTCCTTCAGTCACATCTGTATTACCCACCGAACTTCTTTGAACAAAGTATATTGTAGCAAAAAATAGAATGGTTGAAACTGGGGCCCACTGTTTGCATCTTACAGATGAGAGTCAGAGATGAAGAATTACTCCCAAGGTCTCTGAGCTACCAGAGAAGCTCATCAGTCCCAAGTGTTGCCAGATTCTAGGCTCAAAAACCCAACAATTACTAGATACTGGTTTCTAAAGGTCAATCCCACTAAAAGAAACCAAGGCTCCTTGGAAGAATGACTGGTCCCTAGGTGGAGACAGAAAAAGTATGACATGGGCCTATAACATCTAATTGTGTCTGAGAAGTAAGTAAGTGCTCAAAAAGAAAAATGATGGGAGCATATAAAAAGGACACAGAACCCAACTTGAATCGATTTGAATGGCCAGATTTGACAATGTGAGCATTAGAATAATGATTCTTGTTGCGATCTCAATTGTGTCCCCAAATACTTATGTTGAAGCCCTAATCCCCAAGATGATAGCATTTGGAGACGGGGCCTTTGGGAGGTGATTTGGTTTAGATGAGGTCATGAGGGTAGGGCCATCGTGATGGGGTTAGTGCCCTTGAAGAACAGACACACCAGAGAGCTTGCTACCTCTTTCTCCACCACATCAAGACACAGTGGATGGTGTCACCTGCAACCCAACCATGCTGGCGCCTTGATACTGAACTTTCAGTCTCTAGAACTGGGAGAAAATTAATTTCTGATGTTTAAGCCACCCAGTCTATGGTATTGTATTATGGCATTGCTAGCAGACTAAGACAATAGTAAGACTGTAGTTCATTGAATAAAATAAGAATCCAAGAGTTCATACAGATAGGAAAGGAAACCTTTTTTTTCTCCCTTGGTCCAGAGAGAGTATTTCTAGACTCTTCTTGGAATATGTCCATCCCTGGTAGATTGTGAGATGTAATCACTGATAGTTCTAAAGTAACCTCCAAGGTTGAGAAGCTGGGAGATGGAGAAGTTGTCAACCTGACCTAACCACTCTGTGTGACTGTTGGCAAGGTTTTCAGAAGAAAAGCAGAGTTTTTAGAGCAAAAAAAGGCCAGGGTGGGTGTGAGGCAGGCAAAAACAATAGATGTCAACTACATCCTGCCCTCTGACTGTCCAACTTCCATATACCAGTCTTCCGACACCCTCAAAAATGCCTGCACCTAACAGAATGCAACAAATCATGTTCAACCAAACACTGCCCTCTCTCCTACCCCAAAGAGAGACAACCTAAAGTCATGTTCATATCCATATCCAATTCCACAAAATGGGCAAATTTCACTAATCTCCATTAGATCTGAATGTAGTTTCTCGAGGTTCAGCAACCTACAACTGAACTCCTCCCCCACTCAGCCTATCTCTTGTACAACAGTGGAGAGAGAATAAAAAAGAAAAATTGCAAGAAAAATCCCTTTGGGAAAAGAGGAAACAACATAAGACTGTCACTTCACATTATTTAGCTTATGCATAGCCTCTAGGAGTTCCTCCTGGCAATGGATGAGTTCCTTGCTTAGCCATGTTTGGTTGCCCCTGTTTCTGCTCTCTGGGGAGATCCCCCTCAGCTGCTGACCTTTACTGCTGGATCATGAAGGTTGCTCCTTTGACAGTTACATGTCTTTGGCAATCCAATTCTTGTTGGTGTAGGCTCAAAACTTCATCATTGTCTTGGGGGTTGAGTAAATCAGGCTTTTAATTCCCATGATTGGGATTTCTCTAGAAGTCCAGTAAATTGCAAACTCATTAAGATTCTGGTCTATTATGTCTGGACAACTCCATGGACCAGCACCCAAAGCTAGAAGTCTGTTTGAAGTCTAGTCTTTGCCTGCAGGTTGTGCACAGCTTGGGAAATTCTACAGATTAGAAGCAGGCCTCCCTCTGTTCCCTCTCAACCCCAATCATCCCTCAACAATGTGGCCACCACCTTGTTTAGGCAACCTAACAAACAAAGTGTAGAGAGGTGAACTTTCTCACCTGCTCTGTGCCCAGGCTAAATCCCAGTGATGTCTTTTTCTGGAGCAAATCTTACCCTGGTGGTTGGCACACATGGGACATGAGATTGATACTTGGAGGGGTTGGAGTGTGAAGTGGATGTCATGCTTTTCCAGGATCCTACATGTCTTGCTCTGTTTCTTTCCCCCAAATTAACCTGATTAAGGAATAGAGCTGGTTTTTCTAATTCTGTAAGGAGAAAGATTATCTGACTGTTGGTCAACTTCGATTATTGGCCAGAGACCAAATAAAGCCTCTTGTAGGAAAGCCAGATTTTATTCTTTCTCACCACTTGGATGTGCCAGCTCCCATCAAAGCTCATCTCTTTCTTGTAAGGATTTACTGAAGTCTGTAAGAAGCAGCCAGCATGCTCCAAGATCCTTTTTCCTGCCATATCTCTTAAAGTTCAATACCAGTCAGCACGGGGCCCCAGCACGGGGCCCCAGGACACGCAAGCAACTCTCAGCCAGCTAATTTGCTCCTGCATAACAGGGAAGGCCAACTTCTCACCTGCAGTTAGAGAAATCCTCGTCACTCTCGCACTAGTCCCATTCAGCTGATCCTTCATTCCAGGTTCTATCACTTGCAACACCCCACTTCTGCTACCAACTTTAACACTGAGTAAGAGCTTTTGGTTGCAGGAGACAAAAACTCTAATTTATTTTTTCTGGTAACTGAAAAGTCCAGGGGTAGATACGCCTTCAGGCCCCAAAGGATCCAGATGCTCAAATGCTGTTATTGGAAACTCTCTCTTCATCTCTCAGCTCTGCTTCCCTACAGGTTGGCTTTGGTAGGAAGACGGCTGCTAGCAGTTTCCCATTTATAGCCTATCAGGTCAGCAACTTCTCAGGCAGACCGTTTCTCTTTCCAGTCAAAACTCCAAGGCTCACTCTCATTGGACCACCTTGGGATCATGTGTCCTCCCCTGAGTAAAATCATCCATGGTGATGGAGAATAGGATTAGCCCCAGCTAAACCCCTTGGACAGAGAGTCGTTGACAGGGAAAACTGGAGCACAGTAACCAGAGGAGGGAGAATGAAGACTGGACAGGCACAAACAACACATGCCCACTATAAGGTGCCAGGCTTACATGGTAGCTGTACTTGGAGAGCACAAAAAGGGAGGGAATGAACACTTTTGGAACATCTACTATGTGTCTTTCTTCTGCTTATTTTTTCAACATAAAATTTTTAGCACCTATTATTACAAATAATAGTAACAGCTAATTCATATATATCCTTTTTGTTTACTTGGCTTTACACTATTAATTCATTTAATTCTCACAAATCCACAAAGTGAGAACTATAATTATCATCCTAATTTTACAGAAAACTGAAGCACAGAGCATAAGCAAATTGTTCAAGATTAGACACCATGAGTTGTAGAGTTTAATATCTCTTTTCATTTCCTGGGGCTACTGCAACCAAGTATCACAAACTGGGTGGCTGAAAACAATAGAAATTTGTTCTCCACACTTCTGAAGGCCTGAAGCCCCCAATCATGATGTCAGCAGGGCTGTGCTTCCCCAAGAATCTGAGTGGAACCCTTCCTTGCCTCTTCCCTGCTTTCGGTGGTGGCCGGCTGGCCTTGGCATTCCTTGGCTTACAGTGGCATCGGTTCCCTCTCTGCTTTCATCAGCATGCGTTGTTCTTCCTGTGAGTCTCTGTGTCTCTTCTCCTCTTCTTATAAGTCATTAATCATATGAGATTAGGGCTCACCTTAATGATCTATGTTAACTTGGTAACCTCTGCAAGATCCTACTTCCAATAAAGTCACATTCAACAGGTTCTAGGGGTTTGGACTTCAACGTATCGTTTTGGGACATGCATAACAGCACCTAGGCCAGACTGGTTCCAAATCCTTGCTCACCTCTAGCCCCAGTCCAAGAGACAGCTACTGGGTCCCAGTGGTGAGGAAGCCAGGAGCCTATCTTCCAGGGACTTTCAGGGTGTAGGGAGATGTATCTGGTATGGTAAGCAATGAGTGCTCCAAGGAGGGTGGGCACAGAAACCGAGTACCCACTGAGCCCCAGCAGGTTCTGAAGGAAGGGATGTCTTCACGGAGCCATGAAGGAGGAGGAGGATGCAGCAGAAGGAGAAGGAGATGGGAGAAATATGCTCTAGGAGGAAGGGACGCCATGGGCAAAGGCTGAGGGTGCAGAGGGAACATGGCTTGTTTAGAGAGGACAAATTAGTTCAAAGAGATGGCAAAGAGAGAAATGAAAAAGAGGAGTTAAGAGGCCGGAGGGAGGGCAGAACTGGAAGGGTTGGGGCAGCCATGCTGAGGAGCTCAGACATCAAGATGTCAGGATATCATGTCCTAGGTGATGTGAGGAGCATCACAGGGCAAGTGAGGGGCTCAAACAGAGGCACTGAGATTACAGTCCAGTCCTGGCTGTCCTGTGAGGTCAGTGGTATTAGCTCCATTTTATGCAATGTAGAAAGAAACAGAGGCTCCTGAGATTAAGTTGCTAGGTCTGGGCAGAGGCAGGATCTGGGCCGAGCTCTCGCCCTGCAAGGTTCCCAAGGGACTCAACTTACTCCAGGAAGCAGTGGGACATGAGGCAGTGGCAATCGCCAGCCCAGATGCTGAGTTCAAGGCCTGCCCTTCCAATCATGAGCTAGGTGACATTAGGAAAGTTGCTCCTCCTCTCCGAATGCAGACACCTTCCCCTGGCCTGGGCTGCCTTGCAGGGCTGCTCTGGGAAGTAAACTATGTGATGGGTGCTAAGGGGCTGGGAAAATCAACATGCAGGGAGACAGGAGCAGGCTGGAGACCACGTGATCACTGTCGTCATTATTGTTGTTGTTCTGCAAGATGATGGGATGTGGCTGCCCTGGGCAGGCAGAGCTGCAGGAAGAAGTATCTTACAATTTGCTTCCTGCATCACCACCCTGCCACCCTCCCCAGCAGAGCTGCATGTTCCCCCATTATTTCCTCCCAGTGCATCAGGCACTTTAATTAAAACGAGTTCACCAGACTCTTTGAAGGTGCAGCCAACAAAGGAAACAAAAACAGCAATTGCCTTCTGGGGATGGCGCCTGAAGATTTGCAAGTTTCCTGTGAAGAAAAGCAAGTGTGGGTGGCATGGAAGGTTTTAGCTGGGGCTTTGGGGAGGAGACACTTTCCTCTTGGCATGTGGGAGAAGCTGGCAGGCATGCAGCAGGGGTTGGGATTGGGATTTCTGAGGGGGATGTGGGATTCCTGAGGGTGAGCATTCACATCCCAGCTCCCAGTAAAGGTGTTGGGTCCAGGCCTGGGATGCCAGGGTAGAGGGGGCTGTCATCTTCCTTAGAGAGCAAAACGAGCATGGCTGCATTTGAAATGGCTCTCTTTTGTCTGCTTGGGAAACGAGGGCTTTATTCTGTTAGAATTGCCTGTGCTGGCTCCCTTGCTGGAGCACTTTGTCTGTTCCCTCTGCTTACGTGTCCCAAACCAGTCATCCTCGAGGACCACAAAGCCAGCCTAGCCCCCTCCAGCTCTCCTGCACCCTAGCTCAGCCTCAAAGATGAGCTGTGCTGTGAATGGACTATGCCAGTGCTTGTCAACAGAAACAGAATGCAAGCCATCTGTACAATGTAAAATGTTCTAGTTGCCACTTTAAAAACATTGAAAAGAAATGGGTGAAATTAATTTTAATTATATTCCCTTTAGCCCATTATATCCAAAGTATTGTCATGTCAACATGTAATTAATATTAAAAATCATTAATTTTTTTAGACTAGGTCTTAGAAGTCGTGTATTTTACACTTACATCTCAGCTTGGACTTGCCGTGTCTCAAGGGCTGAGTAGCCGCATGTGGCTGATGGCCACCATATTGGACACTGCAGTCTGCACTTTGTTTTAATGCTGGGTGTGGCCTTGTTTCCATTTATCAACTTGGTTCATTTTCCTCCTGTGGAACTGTGGTCCAGGAAGGTATATTCACCCCCGGGGACCCCGGCACAATGCCTGGCTCTTGGTAGGAGCTTAGTAATTGCTTTGGAGTAAATGAATGATTGCATGTGAGGGTTCCTCTGCTCTCACATTAAGAAATCATGCTAGAAAATGTGGACATTTAATTCTCCAAGTGTAGCAATGGCCAGGGCATCCTGCTCCTAGTGCCCTTTTCTTTCCCAAGCTGCAGAAACCCGGCAACAGTGAGGAAACTGGGGCCAACAGGTGAGCTTCTGTCCATCTGAAAATCACTCATTATAACTCTCAGCCCTGATGGGTGTGCATGGACAAAGGAAAGCAAGTGGGGCCATTGAGGTGGGCAGAGGGAGATGTTTATTTTCTGCATTCTTCTGCCTACTTTCATCCATCCACTTACCCAGCCATAGATGCTTATGAGCTCATTAGTTTATTCATTGGTGAAGCATTCTCAGAGCACTCCATTTAAGCCCAGCGTCTCCAGGTGCTGGCATGTTTCGTGGATAAAGAAAAAGCCATCCTGCCTCTTTCTCTGTAATCCTCTGGTGCACTTGTTCTAGCAGAATATTTGTTAAAACTAGAACAAACATAAGCACATGAGCAATTCCTGCACACATAACCTTCCTTCTATACTTCTACTGATAGAGTGCCTACTCTGTGCCAGGTATGGCGCTGGGCACTCTTACCACCATTTCATTCAGCCCTCCACTTTTACAGATGAAAAAGCTTGGCTCAGAAAGGCTAAGTCGCTTGCCTGATGTCATCAGCTACCAGGGTCAGAGCCAAGATGCAAACCTGATTCTTCAGCCTCCCAAATAGGCAACTTTTGGCCATACTTCAGCTGCTTGTCACTGCTGTTGAAACTCTGCCACTCTGGCCACCCCTTCCAGGCACACAGTGTTCAGCACATCGTAGGTGTTCAGGAAACACATATTGGATAGATGAATGGAATACCTGCTGAATAAAAGAATGAATAGGTGAAGGAATAGATTAATTCTTCCTCACTTTATAATTCTTTCTGTTTTTGCATTGGTCTGACTAAAATATAGATACAATAGCATAGAAGACATTGGGACTTTAGACTCATCTGGGTCTGGATTCAAATCCTGGATTTGCCCATATTTGCTCAGTGACCCGAGCAAGTTAACCTTTCTGAACCTCCATTTTTTGTAGTTTACTGTCCATCTTGTGTGTGGCATAGTGTGATATGCTCAGTAAATTCTTATTAAATTTGAATTGATTTAAATTGAATCAAATTGAGTTGAATTGCAATTTCATAGCAGAGTCCTAGGGAGCCCTAGAAAAGAGAAGGCTTAATTTGGATTGGGAGAAAGATGAGTGGGCATCAGACTCACCTGGAAAACCTGTAAGATCCATATTACACAGCCCCCCTTCCGGAGAACCTGGTTCAGGAGAAATCTGTGTTTTAACAAGGTCCCCTGGTGATCCAGATATTCAGATACTAGGGTCCAGGGATCACCTTTTCCAAAGTGCAGGTGGGTGGGACACCCTGTAGAGAGTGGTCAGGGAAAAAAAATGTGTCTTACTGAGTGAGTGGACACAGAAGGGAGTGTTGGGGCCAGGCCTCGAAGGACAGCAGGATTTCCTGTGCATGTTGCCATCCCTGCTGGCCTCAACTGCTTCTGCCTGTTAGAAAAGGGTGGGCCATGGGCCATGTCCACCCCCTGTGATGTGCCTTCAATAATGTATGAGATCACTCAGCGAGAAGCTCATGAATTCTTAAACCCTTTTAAGGGCTTCCCAGGGAGGCCAGTCGTCCACCCCAAGGCCTCTGTGGACCCCTGCCTTCTTCATCTGGGCCCCAGATGAGGCATAGTGACAAGGTCCTGCCCCCCTGCTATGGCCTTAAGGCTAAGAGCCTTTTAAGGAACGGAATGTTCCTTCTCACAGATCCCAAGTTCTCTGCACACATGAATTATGTATCTAGCACTTGGCGTAACAGCACTCTGGAAACTGTTCCAGGATCCCAAAGGTGCAGTCCCCGACTCCATCCCCGCACCACACTGCCCAAGAGCATGCAGGTGGCCCGGCCCGAGACTCAGCTCCAGGTCCCCCTCCTCTCACCTCCAGCCCTCACCAGCTCTGTGTGGCTGAGTTAAGTCACCTCGCTGCTCCTGGTCTCAGAGCGGGATAATTAGGTGTCCTTGCCTGACTGCTGTGAGCATGGGAGAAGAGGATATGGAGGAGGCTGCCGGTTCAGCTCCTCGTGCAGATCAAGAGCTGCCAACACAGAAGCTGGTGCTGTTTTCCCTGTTACTCTTGACAGTTCTCCCGACACCTCCGTATCCCCAGGGAGTGGACACTTGTCCCATGATGAGTGTCTGTCACGCAGTGGGCTGTGTTACAGGAGGGCAACACAGAGCCTCAAGGATTCAGCGCTTTGAAGGTGAGCAGTGAGCGAGTCTGCTCTGTGTCCACGGGGAGATGTGACCCCACTCTCTCCAGGTGCTCATTAAAAACAGAATCCTTACTTATAAGTGGGAGCTAAACATTGAGTACACATAGACATAAATATGGGAACAACAGACCTACTAGTGGGTTGAGTGGGGATGGTTTTAAAAAAAAACACCTCTCCAGGCTGGGCCTGGTGGCTCACACCTGTAATCCCAGCACTTTGGGAGGCCAAGACGGGGGAATCACCTAAGGCCAGGAGTTCGACACCAGCCTGGCCAACATGGTGAAACCCTCCCTCTATTAAAATACAAAAATTAGCTGGGCCTGGTGGCAGGCACCTGTAATTCCAGCTACTCAGGAGGCTGAGGCAGGAGAATCACTTGAACCTGGGAGGTGGAGGTTGCAGTCAGCCGAGATTGTGCCACTGTACTCCAGCCTGAGCAACAGAGTGAGACTCTATCTGAAAAAAACAAAAAGCAAAACCAAAAAAGCTACCTCTCCAGTACTGTGGTCACTACCTGGGGATGGGATTCATACTCCAAACCTCAGCATTGTGCAATGTTCCCATGTAACAAACCCGCATGTGTACCCCTGTATCTAAAATAAAATTTCAAGAAAAAAAAAAGCAATCCTGAAAAGTAGCCCAGGAAAAGAGTCACTAGAACCTTGCCTTCTTGCCATCACCTGTAACACCCTACAGGGGATGATCAGGGCCCATCTCAGGTGGCTTCTCCCAACAAGTAAATAATTTTAAAGTGGAGAAATGCTATGAAAAACACAAAATATTGTGCTATGATAGAAAGTGGTCAATTACTTAAGCTAGGGTGATCAGGGAGGGCCTCCTGGAGGAGGTGGCTTTTGAAATGAGATCTGAGCCATCAGAAGAAGGATCTAGAGAGAATCCCAAGCAAAAGGAATAGAAAAGACTAATTCCCTAGGGAGAAAGACACTTTGCATGGTGTGCTCCTGGGACAGAAAGAAGCCTCCTATGCTGGAGTACAGTGAACTCGAGGGTTGGTGGGCTGAGAATGGGTATAAGGAAGAGAAGAGATGAGGATGACTTTGCTAATTCCCCCAAAGACCCTTCTGGGGGAATTAGCAAAGCATCCCTTCCTCTGGGCAGACACATCCCCTTATCTGGGCATAGCTTCCATGAGGGCAGCATGAATTTTAGGCCCTCCCTACTTCTCCACCAGGTGCCCTTGTGCAGTGCACAACTTTCAGAATCATACATGGAAGACTTGGGTAGTTCCATTCATTACCTGCCTGTGATGGAGCCAGGTGGGTGGGGAAATCAGCTCAGTTCTGGCCAGGCTAAATGTGAGATGCCATCAGCCACTCAGGAAACGGTGCTGAGGAGACAGTGGAATGTGCCCCTGAAGCTCACAACAGAGGTCTGGGTGTCCTTAGTGGGTCTTTTTATATGCCTGGATGAGGTCACTCACTCAGAGCATGTAGGGTGATCTTTCTAATGTGTATATCTGCCTGGGAGGTGCTTACCAGATAGTGGGTGATGCCAGCAAGGAGCCAAGGAATCAATATTTAAGGAGGCACTCACTGTCAGGCTCCCGCCAATGTAGGGTTTGTGCCTGAGAGTGAGTGGAACCTTAAATTTTGTGTCTCCTTAAGTCTAGCCCCAGTCCTGGGTAACTGAACAGATAGGATGGTGCTTACAACAATAGTGCTGGTATAATTGCATATCCCTTTAGGGAAAAAAAGAACCTTAACCTTTCATTCAGACCATACATAAAAACAAAAATAGATTAGAACCCTAGGCATAAATGCTATAACTATAACACTTTTAGGGAAAAAAGGAGAAGCATCTTCGTGGCCTTGAGGCAGGCAAAGATTCCTTAAATAGGACACAAAAAGCATGGACCATGAAAGATAAAAAAAAAAAATCAATAGGATTTTTATCAAAACTAAGAACTTTGAAAAACACTGCTAAGAAAATGAAGAAAAAAGACACGGACTGACGTAGCTAAATGTTGATGAGGAAGTGATGAAAAAGAAACCCTTGCACACTGTTAGTGGGAATGTTGACTGGTGCAGCCATTATGGAAAAAATATAGATTCTTTTAAAAATTAAAAATAGAACTGCCTCATAACCCAGCAATCTCTCTTCTAGGTATATATAGAAAGGAAATGAAATCACCACATCGCAAAGATACCTACACGCCCACATTCATTACAGCACCATTTATATAGCCAAGATATGGAAACAAACTACAAATAAATGGATAAAGACATCGTGTGTGTGTGCGCGCACATATATAATGGAATATTATTCCGCTTTAAAAAAGAAAGAAACCCTACTATTTGCGACAGCATGGACAAAACTAAAAGACATTATGCTAAGTGAAATAAGCCAGACACAGAAAGAAAAATACTGTATGATCTCTCTTACATACGTAAACTTTTAAATGAGCACGTAGAAACCTAGTAGAACAAGGATTACCAGGCACAGAGCTTGGAAATGGGAACCTGTAGATCAAAGGGTGCAAAGTTACACTTATGCAGCATGAGGAAGTCTAGAGATCTGACGGCAAGAGGACTGTGGCTCATCATATCATATTGTATGCTGGACATTTGCCAAAAGAGTAGATTTTAGTTACTTTTACCATAAAGAAAGCACAACAGAAAGAAAGAAAAGAAAAGGTAACTCTATGGGATGATGAGTGTGAATTTGCTTGACTGCAGTAATCGTTTCACTATATATGTGTATATGAAGATAAATATATCAAAACAGCATGTCGTACACTCAAATGTATACAGTTAAGAAGCCAGAAACAATGAAATTAATAAATAAAAAAAATTTTAAATGAAAAAATACCATGGATTGAGAGAAAATATTGCAGTGTATGTATTTGACATAGGACTTGCACTCTTACAACTCAATAATAAAAAACATAATAAAAAGACAAGTGATCCAACTTTTAAAAAATAGGTGAAAGATAAGAAAATAAAAGAATGGCCAATAAGCACATGATTCGATGCTCAGCATCATCTGTCATCAGAGAAATGCAAATGTAAGCCAAAATAAAATACTGGTTTACACCCATTAGAATGGCTAAATTGAAAGCAATGAAAATACCAAGTGTGGCAGAGAATGTGGGGCAACTGGAATTCTCATACACGGCTGGTGGGAATGTAAAATGTACAAACACTTTGTGAAACTGTTTGGCAGTTTCTTATAAACAAACAACTAAGCAAACAAAATATCCATATAAATTCTGACACACAAATGTTCATCGGTGCTTTGTTCATAATAGCCAAATACTTGGAAACAACCAAAATGCCCATCCACAGGAGAATTAATAAATGAGCTGTGTTATATGCACACATCAGAAAACTATTCAGCAGTAAAAATGGAACTACTGATACAGGCAACAATGTGGGTGATTCTCAAAAATATCATGCTGAACAAAAAAGTCAGACGAAGAAAAGAGTGCAGTTGTACTATTGCATCTATAGACATTCTACAAAAAAGGATATACCAATGGCAAATAAGGATCTGAAAAGATGTTCAACATTGTTAGCCTTTTCTTAGGAAAATACAAAGTAAAACCACAATGAGATATCATGTCACACCTACCATAATGGCTAAAATAAAAAAAAAAGGACAATGCCCATATTAGTCAAAGTTCTCCAGAGAAACAGAACTAGTAGGACATTCCTAGAGATATATAAGAGGAGGTTTATTATGAAGAGTTGGCCAAGAAGTCCCAGAATCTACCATCTGCAAGCTGGAGACCCAGGAGAGCTGGTGGTGTAATTCAGTCCAAATCAGAAGGCCTGACAATCAGAGGAGGCCATGGTGCATATCTAAATCCCAGTCTGAGAGCAGGACAAGACAAGATGAGATGTCCCAGCTCAGGCAGTGAGGTAAGAAAAAAAAAAGAAAAAGAGAATGCTGCCCTCTTCCAGATTTTTGTTCTATACAGGCCCTCAATAACTGAATGACACTGATATGCTTTGGCTGTGTCCCAACCCAAATCTCACCTTGAATTGTAATAATCTCCAGTGTCAAGGGCAGGGCTATATGGAGATAATTGAATCATGGGGGTGGTTCCCCCATACTGTTCTCATGGTAGTGATTAAGTCTCACGTGATCTGATGATTTTCCAAATGGGAAGTTCCCCTGCACAAGCTCTCTTGCCTGCCGCCTTGTAAGACGTGACTTTGCTTCTCCTTTGCCTTCTGCCATGATTGTGAGGCCTCCTCAGTCATGTGGAACTGTGAGTTCATTAAACCTCTTTCCTTTGTAAATTACCCAGTCTCAGGTATGTCTTTATTAGCAGCGTGAGAACAGACTAATACAGATACCCACCCTCCTTGGGGAGGCCAATTTACTGTACTGAGTCCACTGATTCAAATGCTTACCTTATCCAGAAACACCTTCAGGGACACACCCATAAATAATGTTTTATCTGGGCACCCGATAGAAACTGATTCATAAAATTAACTATCACAACACCAAATACTGGCAAGGATAAGGAAAAACCACTCCTACGTTGCTGGTAGGAATGTAAAATGTTACAGCCACTGTGAAAAACAGTTTGACAGTTTCTTTGAAATGAAAACTGTAACTACCATATGATCCTGGGCCTTTATCCCAGAGAAGTGAAGACATGTTTATACAAAAAGCCATACACCATGTCTATAGCAGTGTTATTCACAACAGCCAAAAGCTAGAAACAACCAGGATGTCCTTTGACAGGTGAATGGTTAAACAAACTATGATATATCCATAACATAGAATAACACCCAGCAATGCAAAGGAACAAACTATTGATACAGGCAACAATCTGGATGGACCTCCAGGGAACTATGCTGTGTGAAAACTGCTGATCTCAAAAGAGTATAAACTGTATGATTCTTTTATAACATCCTTGCAATCACAAAATTATAGAAAGGGAGGGCAGATGAGTGGTTGCCCCTGGTTAAAGAGTGGGTGGGGCAGGGAGGAAGTAGGTCTCGCTGTAAAAGAGCAAAGTGAGAAATGCTTCACCATATCAATGTCAGCATCCTTGGGCCGATATTGTACTCTAATTTTGCAAGATGTTATCATTGGGAGAAACTGGGTAAAGGGTACATGAGATCTCTATATTATTTCCTACAACTGCACATGAGCCTATAATCATCTCAAAATAAAATCTTTAAGAAAGGCACCATGAAATGATTTCAGCAAGAGATTTGCAAGATCTTTATATAGAAATACTAAAGAAAAGTTAAGCATATAAGGAGATATGGCATGTTCTTGAAGAAAATATTTGTTATCTGTAAGATGTCAATTATCCCCAAAAAAGTTAATAGAATTTTCTTCAAGTCCAGGTTATTTGGGGGAGCTGACAAGGTCACCCTAAAATGTATTCAGAGAGCAAAGAGTGAAAGGTAGTAAGGAAACAAAGAACGCATTGAGGAAACTTGCTCTCCCATACATGAATTAGCATGAAATTAGAGTAACTAAATCAGAATAGCATTAGTATTAGACAGATGAACAACCAATGGAACAGAACAACCTAGAAACAGACTGATGGCTAAATGGACACCTGACAAATTTGGTGTTGCAGATCAATAGGAAAGAGCTGATCTAGTCAATATGGGGTTGGAATAATTGAACATTAATATGAGAAAAATAAAATTGCTTCCTTACTCCCGCCTCACACACAATATATCAGTTATACGAGGCTGAAATATGAGAAAAGTATTTAAATTTTTACTAAAATACTACAGGACAATATCTTTATCTTTATGGTCTCAAGTTGGCAAAGAATTTATTAAACAAGGGCTAACTATAAAAGAAAATATTAATAAATTTTGACCAAATTAAAATTATTTACTTCTGTTCATGAAAAGGTATAATAGAGTGACAAGAAATGTAAAATGAAAGATGATATTTAAAAACCTATAACTAGCAAGATTAATATCTAAAACATATACTTTTCCTGAGTCAATAAAAAAATAAGCAAAATTTTAAAACAAGCACAAAAGACCTGGTGAAAGGCATTTCTCATCAAAGGAAATGAAACTGATCAATAGATGTATAAAAGATGCTTAATGTCATTAGTAATCAGAGAAATGAGGATCAAATCCAAATGAAACACTACTTCATCATATCATATTTGCAAAACTTAAAAAAAAATCCTAACAATACAAAGTGTTGGTCAATTGTGGAGCAATAAAAACCCATGCCTACTATAGGTAGGATAATAAAATGGATGAAGCCTCCTTGGAAATCAGAAACTGGAAAGCAATGGGCATCAATTAGTAAAAGCACAGATGAGCTGACCACAATACCCAACTGTTCCATTCCTAGCGTATTCCCTGAGGACCCCTTGCACCTGTGCATCCAAAGACAAGATCGAGAGTATTCACAGCAGCATTTTTTTTTGGCGTTATCAGAAAACCTGGAGATGACCAAAGTATCCATCAAAGGGCTAGTGCATCAATAAAAACTGTGATAAGGACATACAAATGGAATATTGTGTAGCACTGAAAAACAATATACGTCAACTACACAAATAATGCTGAGAAAACAACAAAGAAGACATGGAAGAGCAAATTTAGAGCAATTTAATTTTTCTACAAAGGGTTAAAGCAGGTAATCTATAAAGGTAAAACTATAAAGAAAAGCAAGAGAATTGACAAGAGTGAATACTAAATAGGATGGAGGTGACCCTGGAAAGGGGGCAGGTAGGAGATGCCTTTGGAGAGATACACAGTAGGACTTCACGACTGTTTTTTATTGTTCCACTTTTTAACCTATGCAAGGCTATATTATTTTTCAAATTGCACACACACAACCTATACGCCCTTTTATTGTGAAGTATGCCGTGTACATAATATTTCTTACAGCAGACGGGGAGCCCTGGGCAGTTCTGGGCAGGCTGCTTTGCTATTGGCCACAGGAAGGGTGGGAGGAGGTGGGCGGCTCTTGGCATGGACTGTTTGGGCAGGCCCCGTGTGGACTAGGCTGGGAGGTGGCAGGAATGATGGGTGTGGTGAGTGCAGTACTGGCTAAAAACAGGGAGGGAAGGGAGGGCCAGGGAACTGGAGGGTTTAGAGACCAGAGGAGGAAGGGAGGAGGCAAGCATGACAGGAAAAGTGAAAAGAGAAAAGAAAGAAAAAAGTGGGGGGAAGGGGAGAGAAGGAGAGAAGGAAGAGGAGGAAGAAAAGGAGGGAGAAAGGAAGGGAAGGAAAAGAAAAGAAAGGAAAGTTACAGGAAAGATAACACTGAAAGCCTTCTGTAGGTCAGTGAGGTTCTGGTCCCATTCCCATAGCCACAGTCCCTACTGGGCCCCCAGCTGCCGGGGGACCTTGAACAAACCCCTCCATCTCCCTGTGCCACAGCTTCCTTGCCTGTGACAAAGTCTGGGAGTCCCAGGCTGCCCCTCACAGAGGCTCGTGATGACCATGAGTGTAAAGTACCTGGAAGAGACATCACCCAAAGGGACCAGTCGTACTCACTGAGACTCCTTAGAGTACAGCTGGTTCCCTCCCAGTGAGCCCCCGGAGGGCAAAGCCTCCACGTGTCACCAAGTCTGTGGTGTCCACCACACACACACACACACACACACACACATACAGAGCAATGGGCCCCTGTGGGCGTCTCTTCTGTTCCCCTTACTTGAACTGTGGCACCTGCATGATTTTCGATACTGGTTTGAGCTGAGAGCCATGGAGTACCCGCTGTGCAACCTGAGCACCGTGCGGTCCTCGAAGACACCACTCACAGCCTCGTCTCTATTGGATGATTAGCCATGTTAGGGCTCTCATTTATTGAGGACACCGCGTGCTATATTCCCTATCTCATTTAATTATTCGGTTCTGTATTCTCTTTTCACAGATGAGGAAATCTAGGCTCAAAGACACTATCTTGCTCAAGCTGCACAACAAAGCAGGGCTAGGATTAAACCTCGTTCTGCCCAGATGCCGAGCCGGGAGTACACCGGACTCTGGGAGGAGCGTTGGCGTGGAAAGCCAGGTCACTCCGATCTTGGTCCTCAGGCTCGGGATAACGTGTCAGCCCCAAGAGAGCGCTGCCCACAGCCCCGGGTGGGTTGGGTTCAACTGCACGGGGCGGGGCGCCAACAGCTCAGGACTTGGGTTGCAGGCTGGTTCTTGCACCAACCAGCGGGGCGGCCTCGGGCCTCAGTTTCCCCATCCCGCCCACGAAGGGAGGCGATTGCGAGCGCTTGGGGTTTCTGACGGACCCCGCCCCGGGGGTGGGGCGGGGAGTGGTCACGTGGAGGGGCGCCCCGTCCGCCGAGCCCCGCCCCACCCCGCCCCGCCCGCCCCCGCGCTCGGGGCCCTCCGCCTAGTAGAGATCTGGAGCCAGAAGCCCAGAGACAGCCGAGTGCGCCGTGCGGTCTCCGGACGCTCGCTGCTCAGCCCGATCCCCGCCAACTGTGCAGGCGGCTGACCCGCAGCGGCAGCGGCAGCAGCGAGGACTCGAGCGCTGGCTGCAGCGACACCATGGATCTCTCCTTTATGGCCGCGCAGGTAACGGGGCGTCCCCCCCACGCGCCCCGGGCCGCCAAGTTTGGGGAGGTTCGGGGCCACGGTCTCGCCCTCCACGCTGGGGCTGGGCAGTGGCGCCCGCCCGCGATCCGCGTCCCGGTCCTTTGTCCCGAGCCGGACACCCCCACTTGGTGCACGCGTCGGGGGCGGCGATCGCGGCTCTCCCGGGGTGGGGCGGGCTGCGCGCCCCGCACCCCCGCGGCTCGAGCTGTTCCCGCCCGGGCCCCTCTCGTTGGCAGGAAGGCTGCGAGGAGCCTGGGCAGCCCGAGTCGCCCCCTTCTGCCCATCCCCCACTGCTGTCCCCCTTCTGGGGTCCCGGAGCCCTCCAAGGCCGGGCCAGCTCAGACCCGCGCGAACGTGGATGGGCACACAGTCTCGCCCTTCCCCACTCTGTTTTCCCGAGGCGCCAGTAATCTGTCTCTTGCCGGTGACCTCGGGCGCCCCCTTTGCCGCCGCCTGAGGAAGGCTCTGAGACCCGCTTTGTGACCGTGACCCGCCAAGCGTCGACGCGCCGCGGTCGTTTGTCCTGTTTTGCTTTGTGTAGAGTCTGATGGAGCCACCAGTGCCCAGCGCGGCCAGAACCCCCCCACCCCCCTCCCCGACACAAACAGGCTCCCAGTGGCCGGAAAAACAAATCTCTCACAGCTTGAATTTTCCTCCGGCAGAATGCCCTGGAGTTCTGAGCTTGGGTGATGATTCTATTTCTGTGCCTTAACTCTCTTGAGCCAGAACAAAGACAAATCCCGGATTTCTCCATCAGTCTGTGACCCTAGAGAAGACCCAGAGCTGGCTCCAGGGAAGGGCTGCGTTTGGCCTGGGAGAGTAAGTCCCAATCTACCAAAGCCACATCTTGCACCTTCTCTGGTTGTGTTGGTTGGTTATGGTGGGAGCAGAGAGGTCGGGAGGCCACCCAGGCTCCCTTCTGTCTCCAGGGTGTGTGGCAGGGACCCCATCTGCTGCTGTTTTCTTTTACAGGGAACGAAGTTTGAGGGGACACTTGCTTTTTCCCCAAGCTTCACCTGTAGTGGAAGCCTGTTTAAAAAGTGACAGCAAAATCCAGACTGTGTGTGGACAGCGAGTCTGCAAATGGAGGCTTAAAAGATGCGGAAGCCCCAAGTTAGTTCTGGGGGTCTAGATCCTGGCTCTCCGGCAGCCCCTTAAGTTTTCCATGATGCTAATTGCCCTTCTGAGTATCGCTGGCCCTTTTTTTTTTGCCTGATTTTACATCTCCTGTGCCTAAATCCATACTTATAAAAATTGTCATGTAAACATCATTTTAGATAATGATGGTTTTAGCTACATGAAAACTAAGGAGGCTTTCCAGGATTTATTTCTAGACTGGAGAAGAACTGTGTCTGCCTTCCCCTCTGGATCCCACTGAACCTCCGGAATTTCCATGGTTAACAAGATAAACTGATCCCTGCTAACCCTGGAGCTGGCTGGAGCATCAGTTGCTGCCATGGCAACTTGACGAAATAAATACAGGGCTTTTTAACGTCTTCAGGCAGAATCTGCCCAGAGACCAGGTTCCTATTTTTCCTTTTTTGTTTACAATTCACATTCCACTCGGTCAATGTATTCTCCTTGACACATTTTTGACACTGGTTACATGCGCAGTACTGTGCTAGCTGCAAGGAACAGAAACATGAAGTACCACACATATGAGAACAGACGCTAAGGTTTGTTGAGCACCTACTATGTGCCAGACGCTGGGTGCTTGGCATATTTTATCACAGCAAATCCTTACAAGTCCATGACGGAGGCCCCATTTTACAGGTCAGGACACTAAACGAGATTAAATAATTTGCCCAAGAGCATGCCATTTGCAAGGAGGAGAACTGGATTTCACATCTGGGCCTGAGTATCTGCAAAGGGTTTTCCACCTTATTGCTTCATCCTGAGAAAGATACGATGTAAGGTACAGGACAGATCTATTTCAGAATGATTTCTCTCTTCTCTTCCCTCTGGGAAGTGGGCTTACTATTGTGCCTTTCTAGTAGATTGCTTTCTGCTGTTGATTCATCCCATTATCCCCATAAGGATGGGAACTGTTACTTCCCTACCTGCAATACTTCGCAGTGCTTGGCTGGAGCAAGTGCTCAGACCCTGCTCCTGGTGTGTCCTGTGGCCACCAGGTGTGTGTGACAGTCACTGTCTCTCTGTGCAGTCTTTCCCTCAGCAGGGGGCAGTTTGCAGCGAAATGTTGGTGCATCCATCCACTTGCTCAGCAAATGTCTAGTACCTGCCTTGTGACAAGCTCCGTATCAGGCACTGGGACAGGGATCCTGTGGGACAAACTTGAATAGGACGTAGATTTTCTTTCTGCATGTTTATAAAAGCTTCAAGAAATGATGGGCCCGGCTAAGACACAGAGGGGAATGGCTAAAGGGCTGGGCTGGGTTGAAGAAGGTGCCCAGCACGTAGTAGGTCCTCAAGTATTTATTAGAGGATTGGATGAGGACAAGATGTATGTTCATGAAAAGACATTAACAGGAGAAGATGGTGAATTCAAAGTGTCAAATGCCAATGCCACTGAACAGCTGTCATCATCAGGACTTTGAGAATGGGGGCTGAAGATGGATTAGAACTGTAGGCATATATCTCCTGGTGGGCCTGGGAGTTAAGACTGTTCTAGGTGGAGAGATATCGAGATAGCGAAGTCCAGAAAATATTCACAGAGTTCTTCAGAAAGCTAGAGGATGGGGTGCAGGAGGGCTGGGAGACAGAGGCCAGGGCCAGATTATAGAAGGTGCTGATTGCTGGGGTGAGAAGTTTGCATCTAATCAGTAAGGCAGTGGGAGCCATTGCAAGTTATTGAGCAGGAGAATGGCATATAGTTGAAGCAGTCCCTTGGGAAAACCTCAGCCCCTGTAGAGGATAGAAGCTGGAGGGATTCCTGGGGCTGGGCATGCATGCTTGTGTGATTAACTAAGTCAGTGAAACCAGATCCACGTGACTCCAAGCCCACGTTTCTTCTTCCCCATGTTGTTAAATGTGATTCCTGTTTTTGGCTTAAGAAGACCCAGAACACATAAGCCATTTTAGAAAGATTTTCCACTCAAAAGCTAAGCATTAAATAGATATCCTCTTTGGGTGTACAGAGTAGACACCAGTTATCTGGCAAATCCTCTTAGACAGAGGTGCCCTCCCTGGTGCAGTACACGTGGCTGTATGACAGTGTAAGAGAGGCTGCAGGCACTGAGAGTGTGCTCGTGGACCCCATCTTACTTCTGAGCCCTGGAGGCTCCCAGTTGCCCTCTCCCCTACCCTGGAAACACCCCAGCCCCACTCCACACAGTGCCTGAGTCTCTGGTGACTCTGGAGGATGTGAACAGTGAAAAAGGCCATTCATTTCTCTTAGGCCAGGAGTGGCCAAGAGGACAGGGCCACCTGGATGTCCAGTGGGCTGGGGACAAGGCGAGAATCACAGTCTTTTAGGACTGAGTCCAAAATCCCTGTTTCATTGGCAGGATCACGCATGTTCAAAGACAGCCGCCATGCATTCCCTGTCTCCCTCCTGGACATGCTTGCTGCCCACCACTTCAAGAGCTGGAATCTGATTCTTCTCCCCTTAAATCTGGGACTGTCCTTGGTGAAGAGAAAGTCTAGTGGCTTTCTTGGTGAAGAGAATGCAGTATTGGTGACATTCTGTGGCCAAGTCCTAAAAAGCCTTAGCTTCCACTTGGGCCCGTTGGGATGCTCACTTGCTCCAGGGGAAGCCCACATCATCCAAGAAGTGCAGTGACACAGAGGCACATGCTGGGGGAAGGGAGCGAACATTTCAGGAACGTTCTGCATGCTAAGCCAGCACTCATTATGGGGGAATGGGATGGACAACAGAGACAGGAGGGCTCCTTCACTTGTTCTTATGGCGTAACTCTCCTGTTAAAGCATGCCTCGGGTCTAAAAGCTCAACCTTCTTTTTGTCTTGCACTGTCCCGTCCCTGCAGTGAGTGGTTTCAAGCCAGTGGTTCTCAAATGTTGTTGCCATTAGAATCACCTGGGAGCTTTCAAGAGTCCTGCTGCCCAGGTCTCACCTCCGATACTCCCATCAGATTCTAGGGGTGGGAGCCAGGCACCAGCACTTTCCTTGCATTCCCCAGCTGATCCCAGTGGTCAATGAAGGGTGAGACTCAGAGTGTAAGCCCACCCTATAGGATACATCCACCCTCCCACTTCTCCCTCCCTGGATGAAACAGATCCCTGGCTCTCTGGTCACCCTTAGGCCATTAAAAACTCATGTGGTCACTGGAAGTCACCTAACACAGTATCGATTCAGCAACTTAAAATGTTTGGGCCCAGAGTGACATAGCCTTGGAACTTGCTCCAAAACTGAGCTTCTCCCTCTCTCCAGGCCACACCTGCCAGAGGTGGGAAACCTGTAGTTGAGGTGGGTGCCTTTATTATTCCCATCATCAAGAAAGGGAGATTTGGAATGAATAGCCAGGGAGGCTCAGCCGGCAAACAGAGGGCCAGGAGCGGAGCCACATCCACTGATGCAGGACCATCCTTCCATGTCACCGCAGTACCCCTGCAAGAGCTGGGGGGGCCAGGGACCCTCTGTGGATCAGCTTCATCCTCTGATCCATCCAGGCGGTTGTGTTTGTGTACATTTTTATTTTATTATCATTATTCTTTTTTATTTTGAGACACGGTCTTGTTCTGTTGCCCAGGATGGAGTGCAGTGGTGCGATCATGGTTCACTGCAGCCTTAATCTCCCAGGCTGAAGCAATCTGCCCACCTCAACTGCCTGAGTCTCTGGGGCTACAGGCACATGCCACCATGGCTGGCTAGTCTTTTAAAAATTATCTTTAGTAGAAATGAGGTCTCATTATATTGCCCAGGCAGGTCTAGAGCTCCTGGGCTCAAGCGATCCTCCTGCCTTGGCCTCCTGAAGTGCTGGGATTACAGGCATGAGCCATTGTACCCAGCTGTGTACATTTTTAAACAAATTCTTGAACCAATCTCTATTAGTTTCCTAAGGCTGTGATAAATTACTACAAACTGGGTGGTTTAAAACAACAGAAATTCATTCTGTCATGGTTCTGGAGGCTGGAAGTCCACAATCCAGGTGTCAGCAGGGCCAAAGTAGTCTCTCTGAAGGTGCTGGGGGTGGGGGTGGAATCTGTTCCAGGCCACTCTCTTGGCATCACAGTGTTACCTGCAGTCCTTGGCATTCCTTGGCTTGTGGACACATTGCTGTAGTCTCTGCCTGCATCGTCATGTGGCATTCTCCCAGTGTGTCTCTCTGAGTCTCTTCTCATCTTATGAGGACACCAGCCATATTGGCTTAGGGCCCACCCTAATGACATTATCTTAACTTGATTACATCTGCAGAGACTCTGTTTCTAAATAAGGACATATTCAGAGGACCCAGGATTAGAACTTCATTCTACCTATCGAGGGGACACAATTCAAACCACAACAGGTTCTGAAGACCCGTAAAGGATAAGCATCTTGGCCCTCATATTAGCAGCTGTTGATCTTGGGGCAGCAGTGAACAGATCGCTTATTTAAACCTCAGTTTCATTATCTGTGAAATGGGGACAAAACTGTGTCCTCACGGAACTGTTCATTTAGTGTCTTAGAAAATGTTTCCTGTGTGCCAGGCCCTCCCTACATGGAATGCTTTAGGTTAAGGGATGTGCCTCAGAGCCTTCCAAGTGATAGATAACAAGATGGGGGTAAACACAGGGGCTCCAGGAGCCCAGAGATCAGGCAAGCCTTCAGGGGTTTTTGACTTGAACTGAGTTTGAGAGATGCATGGCGGTTATGCAGACATAGGAGTGTGGGTGTTTTGGGCAGAGGGAACTGTGTGCACAAAGGCAAGAAGGCTTGAAACAGTATCTCCTGTTGGGAGTGTGAGTTGCTAGTGGCCATTGGAGCAGAGGGGTCAGGTGGTGAGGGGGTGGGTGTATAAGTCCAGGGAGCCCGAAACCAGCCAGGTGACCTCATGGAGTGGAGTTGGATGGAGTGGGGGCTGTGATGCCCTGGAGAGCTTGGCCAGCCTGGCCTGGATGGGGCTTTGGAGCTCTAGCCCCTTGCTCATGCCATGCAGAAACACAGGCCTGGGGCCGCAGGTGCTTCTGTGTTTAAAAGAAAGCTGAAACTTTGATTTTCTCATGCACTCTGGTTGTTTTAATGTTAACAATTAAATTAACAATTAAATGTTAGAAATTTTTACCAGACCTACCAACCATGGTGTGGACTGTTTCTGTTACTTACTGCTTATGACTTCAGTTACTTAATGGCTTAAAGCAATCATTTATTGTGCTGACGATTTTGTGGGACCAGAATTGAGGAAGGGCTTGGCTAGACAGTTTGTTTTTGCCCGAGTGGCATCAGCTGGAACAGCAGAGACTGGAGTCTAGGCTTCCAGCGTGTAGTTTCCTCTGAACTTGTCTGGTGCCTCTAGGCAACTTGGCCACTCTCCTCTTGGGATTTCATCCTGCAAGGGCTTCTTCAGGTGACTTGGGCTTCCTCCCAGTATGGAGGTCCCAAGGTTGTTGCTCTTCTTGCATGGTGCTGGCTCCCCCAAGAAAGAGTGTTCCAGCAGTTCCAGGTAGAAGCTGCAGGCTTCGTAGGACCTGCCTAGAAGTCCCAGAATGTCATTAACACTACATTCTTTTAGTCAAGAAAGTCTCCAGGCCAGCCCAGATTTAAAGGGAGGGGAGTCGGATTCCAGCTCTTGATGTAGTGTGTGTGTCTAGGAGCAAGGGACAGAATGGATGGTCATTGTCCTTGGGGACTGGCTACTACTTGAACCAAACAAAACAGGTGTGTGGGCTGGATTCATCCCGGGGCTGCCAGTGTATTATCTCTAGACTAAACAAGGGTGTGTAGAGCTTGGCAAAACCTTAAAATACTGCCAAGCCCAGTAGAAAAGTCACTTATTACTAAGGAGGTAGGCCATGGCTTTATTAGGCTGAACCATGTGAAATTGCTGACATTTGACCATTTTTGACCTATCAAATGACCATTTTATTTGGTTCAGCTACATATTGGGGAGATCCAAGTAGGTTTCCTGTGCTTGAGGAGCTGGGAATTCCCCCACCTCGCTCTTTCGCCTGTCTCTTGGAATCTGGCCCTTGCCAGGTGGGAAGATTCAGTCTCACCTACATATTAACATCATATTAACACTGGGCCTGTCCTTCTGGGAGATACTACATGTGTATCTAATCACAGCTGAGATGCTGGCATATCCCCTGCTAATTCCCCTTCTAAAGAGAAGGTCCCCCAGGACCTTGAGAGACTCACAGTTAATTTGCATTTTAATCATTTTTCACAGAGGGGAAAAAAGACACAAAAGACATCTCTTCCTATTGGAGAGGTGATTTTGTTATCTCTTGAAACTGTCTTAGCTATGGGGAAGGGCCTCATTCTGACAGATATGCAAGAAACTAGCAGAAGTTGTCGGTCCCCAGAGGAACATATCGCTGCCCAGAAAAATAGAATTCTAGGGAGTCTGGCAGTCTGCTTCTTAGAGAATATTTTCTTCAGCCAATGAGTGCTTCTTTTTCTTCAAGCAAGAATTATCATTAAAATACAAATTGTCTGTTATCTTAGGGCTTGTCTGGTTGTACTTCAGGTTTCCATTGCAAAGATTTAAATATTTTATCCTTCTAATTAGACCTGCTTCAGGAGAGGGTATAAGGCCACATTTTATGCAGAGGTGTAATGAGCAGTTCAAGAAGTAAACATTCCAGTGATTTTTGTAGACCAAATTTCTAGTGTTTTAAGATTTCAGACATATGACTTGAAACAATGGAATCTCACAAAGCTAAGAGAACTGGGACATCTGCAGGTGGATGGCCAGTCTCCAATGAAATGCTTGAGTGTTTAGGGAGCACTTGCTGTGTGCTCTGTCCTGCTCAGGTCCTGCACCCCAGCTCTTTCTACACTGAGGTGATGGAGACCCATCTGTGTTCACTCCCTCCTCACTGTGTCCCCTCAAGACATCCCTGTACCTTCCCATCACAGCTACCATTCAACAGATGCCTTTGAGGTAGCAGACAAACCCTGTGCTGAGCAACACACACAATCTCACTGAATCCTTGCAATGGCCCCTTGGAATAGGCACATTCAGATCCATTTTATAGGTGAGGAAACTGAGGCTTAGAGGGCACACAGCTGGGGATCAAACACAGGTCTCTGCATCACGTCAGCCTATTATTTTTAAGAACTTTTTTAAAGAGATGTTTTAAGTTCACAGAAAAATCGAGAGGAGGGCATAGAGATTTCTCAGATGCCCCTCTGCCCCTGTTCATGCACAGCCTCTTCCACCATCAGCATCCCCACCGGAGCTGTGCATTTGCCACAACTGACTAACCTACGTCGACACATCAGAATCCTCCAAAGTCGCTGAGCCCGGTGGCTCATGCCTGTAATCCCAGAACTTTGGGAGGCCGAGGCAGGTGGATCACCTGATGTCAGGAGTTTGAGACCAGCCTGACCAACATGATGAAACCCTGTCTCTACTAAAAATACAAAAATTAGCTGGGTGTGGTGGTGGGCGCCTGTAATCCCAGCTACTCAGGAGGCTGAGGCAGGAGAATCGCTTGAACCTGGGAGGCAGAGGTTGCATTGAGCTGAGATCGAGCCATTGCACTCCAGCCTGGGTGACAGAGTGAAACTCCATCTCAAAAAACAAAAACAAAACACTCCAAAGTCCATAGTTTACATTAGGGTTCTCTCTTGGTGTTGTACATTCTGTGGGCTTGGACAAAAGTATAATGACGTGGATCCACGTTATAGACAGTATTTTCACTGGCCTAAAAGTCCTCTGGGCTGCATGTATTTGCCTCTCCCTCCCCTTAACTCCTAGCAATCACTGATCTTTCTACTATCTTCACAGTTTTACCTTTTCCAGGGTATCATAGTTGGAATTATTCAGTATGTAGCTTTTCAGATTGGCTGCTTTCACTTAGTAATATGCACCTAAGGCTTGATAGCTTTTTCTATTTTATTTTTTATTTTTATTTATTTTTTATATTTTTGAGATGGAGTTTCACTCTGTTGCCCTGGCTGGAGTGCAGTGGCGTGATCTCAGCTCATTGCAATCTCTGCCCCCCCGGGTTCAAGTGATTCACCTGCCTCAGCCTCCCGAATAGACGGGATTACAGGTGCATGCCACCATACCCAGCTAATTTTTGTGTTTTTAGTGGAGATGGGGTTTTACCATGTTGGCCAGGCTGGTCTCTAACTCCTGACCTCAGGTGGTCTGCCTGCCTCGGCCTCCCAAAGTGCTGGGATTACAGGTGTGAGCCACCACGCCCAGCCTGCTTTTTCCATTTTAGTGCTGAATAATATTCCATTGTCTGGATGTACCACAGCTTGTTTGTCCATTCACCTATTGAAGAACTTCTTGTTTGCTTCCAAGTTTTTGCTTTTCTTTTTGAGATGGAGTCTCGCTCTGTCATCCAGGCTTGAGTGTAGTGGTATGATCTCAGCTCACTGCAACCTCCACCTCCTGGGTTCAAGCAATTCTCCTGCCTCGGCATCCCGAGTAGCTGGGATTTCAGGTGCCCACCACTGTATCCAGCTAATTTTTTGTATTTATAGTAGAGACAGGGTTTTGCCATGTTGGGCCAGGTGTGGTGGCTCATGCCTCTAATCCCAGCACTTTGGGAGGCCAAGGCAGGCAGATCACCTGAAGTTTTGGCAATTATTAATAAAGCTGCTATAAACATCTGTGTTCAGGTTTTTCTGTGGACATAAATTTTTAAGAGCCTATTTTAAAATCCAATCTAACAATCTCTGCTTTTTAAATGGAGTGTTGAAGCTTTTATTTTATTTTATTTATTTATTTTTTTGAGACAGAGTCTCGCTCTGTCGCCCAGGCTGGAGTGCAGTGGCTTGATCTCGGCTCACTGCAAGCTCTGCCTCCTGAGTTCACACCATTCTCCTGCCTCAGCTATATATATATATGTGTATATATATGCATATATATACGTATATATACGTATATACGTATATATATACACATATATACATACGTATATATATACATATATACGTATATATACATATATACGTATATATATACATATATACGTATATATATACATATATACGTATATATATACATATATACGTATATATATATATAGAGAGAGAGAGAGAGAGAGTTCTGTCTTCTCTCTCCTCTTCTTTTGGGACTAATACACATATATTAGGTCACCTGAAGTTGTCTTAGAGCTCACTGATAGTCTCTTCATTTTTTTTTTTTTTGGTCTTTGTTTCTGTTTGTGTTTTATTTGGATAGTTATTATTGATATGTCTTCAAGTTAACAAGGTTTTCTTCTGCAATATCTAATCTGCTATTAATAATAGCCCCACCCAATGTACTTTTGATACTAGATATTATAGTTTTCATCTCTAGAAGCTAATTTGGATCTTTTATATAAAAACATATCTCTTCCATTCTCTTCTTAACATGTTCATTGTTACCTGTAGCTTTTTGGACATATGGAATACAGTTATAACAACTGTTTTAATGTCCTCACTTATTAATTCTAAATATGTCAATTCTGGATTGGTTTTGATTGATTGCCTTTTCTCCTCATATGGTTCATATTTTCCTGCTGCTTTACATGCCTGATAATTCTTGGTTGGATGCCAAACATTGTGAATTTAACTGTGGTGTATGCTAGATATTTTTGTATTCCCATAAATATTCTTGTGCTTTGTTCTGGGATGCAGTTCAGATGCTTGAGAACAGTTTGATTTTTGCAAGTACTGTTTTTAAGATTTGTTAGGCAGGATCAAGCCAAATTTAATCTAAGAGTAATTATTCCCCATCACAAAGGCAATGCTGTTCTGAGTATTCTACCTGCTCAGTGTCTCATAAATGATGAGATTTTCAAGATGGGTGATGGAAACAGGCACTATTTCTGGCCCTATATGGGTTCCAGGCACTATTTTCTATAATTTTTTGGGTGATTCTTTCCCTGCCTCAGGCAGTTTCTGTACAAACATGCATTCATCTGTCCTTTGTTGAATGTTTGAGTGGTCCCTCTCTCAAACCCCAGGGTTCTCTCTGTGGGCGGCTGTCTTCTCTCCATACTCTGCCATGTGGTCTCCAGCTGCCTCACTCTCCTCAGACTCTCACTTCCATTCTTCAACTCAGAGAGTCCATTGAGCCCTGCCTGAGTTTACTGCTCCATGGCCTGGAAACTTTCCATAGGCAGTAAACCGGAGCACCTGTATGGCTCATCTTGCCAATTTCCCATCTCTCGAGGGTCACTGTCCTTCATTGTCTGATGTCCGGTGTCTTGAAAATCATTTTCATGTATTTTATCTGGTTTTTCAGTTGTTTCAGTTGGGAGGGTAAATCTATTCCCTATTACTCCATTTTGGCTGGATGTGGAATTTTCATAAGGCTGTGCTTTTAACAGCTATATTTCCACCGTTCCTCCTTTTCTCCCGTTGTGGGAAAAGGAATGTTGACACTTGAATCTAAATCTAGACCATTACCCCTACCTCCCAGCTATGGGCCCCTGATCCAGCCAGCATTTCTCTTTCTCCCTGTCTCCCAAATGCCACAAAATGTGAGTAACATACATACATACTCTACAGGTCAAGTGAGCCTGGGGAATAACAAGTGAGGATGCCAAATCATGCATGGACCAGCCTAACTCCTTTCCAGTCTGCCGTTGCCACTTGGAGTTCTTCCAGGTATCCTGTGACAGGATGTTCCATGAGACATTGAGGGAGCCAGTCTTTGATTCAGGTGTGGGGTCTGCAGACCAGGACCCAGAGTTGGGCAGTTCAGTGAGCAGAGATGGGTTCTTTAGGCCTCCATCCCAAATCCCTGGGTCCTAGGAAGCCTTGTTCCCCAGAAGGATGAAAGTGAGGGGAAATGCCGGGAGCAGGTTGCTCCAGCCTGAGGCCCACGCAGTTTGCCAGCCTTCCATTTAGCCAAGAGCTGGAACACTGCTGATTTCTTCCAGCCCTCGTGAGGACCCCTCATCCATCTCCTCAGCATGAAGCTCTGGAAGCTGATTAGAAATATATTAAGACTTGGTTTCCAGCAGCTTTGAGGGACACCTGAGGGGGGCTGACTAATGTGCTCTCCCAGGCACCCTGAAACCGTCTCTCTGCATTGAGTCTTAGCAGCCCTTCCTGCATCTCCTGCCTTCTCTCTGACCTCCTGCCAATCCTTCTTCTCTTCCTATGGAGGTTCCACCCGGGTCCTGCTGCGTATCCCAATAATCAAATCAATTAGGCAGGGCCAGCCGTGCAGGCAGGCTGTGTTGGGGAATGTGGAAAGCCAGAAAGAAGTGATTGCCAGCCTTCATCGTCTTTGTCATCCTTGCCAACAGCATGAGAGCACACATTGCATACAGACCATCATTCCTAGGCACGAAGACCTGTGAGGCAGGAGCCCCGCCCTCTGGTGGAAGAAGAGGATAGCTGTCGTAGGTGAATCTTGAGCACCTGCTAAGAGTTCTGTGCTGCGTGGGCAGCCTATGAAGGCAACACATTCAGCATGCCCATTTTAGAGAAGAGGATACCGAGGCTCAGAGAGCTTTGGGGCCTTGCCCAAAGTCATCCAGGTGAGAAGAGGCTAAGCTGGGGTCAAGGCTAGATCTGAGTCACAGCTGATGGATTGTAGAGTGTTGGGGTGAGATGGAGGCAGATGTGAGCCCCAGAGAGTGTGGTTCTATGTCACAACTCCTTCCAGCCTGGCCGTCTCTGCAGCCTGTCTGGGCAGAGTGGATTGTGGCTGAAGCCAGGTGTCCCACGACTCAGACAGGCTGGTGCCAGAGGTGGGGGTGGGGACCCCACAGGAGGCTGAAAGAATTGAGAGGGGCGTTGGAGGACAGGAAGCTTGCTCCCCCCGGGAGAGGCTATACCTCTCCTCTGCCCCTGCAGCTCCAAGCAGCTCACCATCAGGGCATCCCTCCCTTCCGAGGTTCCCTTGAGGGCCAAGGTTCTCATCTCATTTATGTCAGGATTGCTGCTGCCCAGCCCAGGGCTAGAACCAGTAAATATTTCATAAACCAATCAAGGAAGAGCAGGGAATTAATAAAGGCACAAGAAAGAAACTGGACAGAAAATTATGGCTTGCATCAGCTTGCGGGGCACCTCCTCTTTGAGTCTGGATTATGACTTTCCCCAAGGCCAGTGATCCGGACAGCACCAAGTCCCCCACCCTTGCCCCACGTCCTCAAACTCCCCAGTCCCCAGCGCCCCTCTCTTGTCCCCCTGCAAACTGTCTGCTGCATGCTGGGCCCAGCAGCACAGGCATTCTGCGCAGTACCCTCTTCTTCCTCTGAACGATTCCATGGTGTGAACCTGGGATGACTCAGTTGACTCAGGAGGAGAGTGGAGGCCAGACAGGGTAAGACGCCGGCTCAAGGTCTTTCAATGGGGCTTGTATTTGGAGAGGGCTGACCCCTTTAAACCTCTGGACTTCTCTGTCAAAATGGTGACTCAGAGGTAAGGTGACCAACCACCCCGGTTTCTGCAGGGCTGAGGGGCTTTCAAGACAGGAGACTTCCACTTCCAGTGCTGAAACCAGGACAGCCCCAGGCCAACTGGGATGGCTGGTCACCCTACCCAGAGGCCATTTAAAAGCCCAGAGGCTTTTTGGATCTCACTGTATTTGACTAACATTCTTGCTTTTTAAAAATGAGTGGGGATGGTTGAAACCATGTCCAGAATCCACACCTTTCCCCGGCCCATTTAATTCTCAAGTGTTAACAGGCACTGAGGATGAGCCAGACACCGTTCTAGGCACTGGGGACGCTGGGGAACAAGCACTAAATTCCCTGCTCTCGCTAAGGGCACCTTGTCCTGACAGCTGCTCACCTCTTATGAAAGGTGACCAAGGAGCGAGGGCACCACACAGTCCCTGCTGTCTGCTCACTTCTGTGTCCCGGCAGCCATGCAGAGAGGTGCCCAGTACATGTTGACTTTGATGAATCCATCAGGAAGGCAGCAGAAGATAAGCAGAGCCTGGGCAGACCCCTGGCCCCCAGAATGGGACTCTCCCTGGGCTGGCCAGACTCAGCAAGGAGCAGGCAGGCCCCCTCCTCTTCTGTGGTCCTAGAAATCCCAGGCTGAGCCCCAACAGCAGCTGGTGGTCTTGTAGGAGGAGCAGAGCCCCACCCCCATGATGGCCTTTGCCTGTTCAGTCTCCAATGGCCACCTGTCACCCAGAAGCCTCCCAGTGTTACAGAACACTGTTAGCCAGGTCACACGGCTCACCCTGTCAGTCTCCAGCAGCCCACTGTGGGAGGAGGTACCAAAAAAAGGAGGGATGTGGTCCCACCCACAGTCATGAGGCCTTGGGGAGGGAGCACTCCAGGGAGTCAAGCCATAGCCCCCAGCAGAACACTAAAGCGTCTGTCGCATCTCTCTCTTTACCCATCTGTCTGCCTCTCCTCTGCATAGGAGACCCTCAGGGCTAATGCAGTAAGCTGTGCCTCTCTTTACAGCTCTCTAGGGCCTGGCTGGTGGAAGGCCTTAATAAATGCCCGCAGTGAGCATAATGACCCCTCAGTTGGGGAGGGTGGTGGAAGTTCTGACTCGTCTGTTTGCGCTATTCTGGGATGCTGACCAAACCGCCCATGTAGAAGCACAGACTGTAATGTGCCAGAATCCCTCCCCATCATCCCTTATGCAGGGTGAGTCACCCGTTGTGTCTGTATCTTTAGCAACAGGAGGCTCACCACCTCACCAAACAGAGACTTCCATGGGAGTCAGGTCTCCCTGGGCTACAGCATGGCCCTGCCACTGCGCTGCCGGGGAAATCACGTCATGGTCCCCAGCCACGGCATTCTCATTTGTGCAGTGCACTGATGGTAGTTATGATACGTTGCCACAAGCCTTGGGATTTTGCCGCTTAAATATGGTAATGTGGCACCTGAGATGGGGAGGCAGGAGGCTTGAGTTCCCGGCCTGCCTCCACCACTCATGATTTGGGGCTGTTTGACTTGGAACAAGATGCTTAATTTCTTGGAGCCTCAGTTTCCCTTTCTGTTAAATGGGAACAGTAGTAATAGCTCATAGTATGGGTGGGAGAATCAAATGAGATGGTGAATGAGAAAGAACAAACTGTGCAGGGCAGCATGGACACCAGGAATTATTATGTTTGAACCAAAACTGTATATCCCCCTCCGCATCATCCCTTTTTTTGGGCTAAATGTAGCCATTTTCCTCAACTGTTTTCCCAAATGCACATTCTCTCTAAAAATCTTCACTAGGTCAGGCTCTGGTCTGTTAGTGTTCTTATAGAACAGTTTTTTCAGAACAGGACATAATAATTCAGGAAAATCTATTACCTCCTTGGATCTAGCCCTAATGCATTCACTAATGTGGCCAGTGAGGGCCAAATCTTGCCTTGTCTAATGCAAAACCTTTGACTCATTCTGAGAGGAGATCTCTCTTTCCTAAACACTGCTGTTCAGCCACGTCTCTCCTCCAGGATTTTTACAACTGATTTTTTTGAAGCTTAGCACAGATATGTCAAGAACTGTGAGGGGTTTGCAATTTTACTTTGCCTTCAAGTTAGTCTTCCAAAATTTCAAAGATGCAGACAGAAGACATGAGACTCCCGGAGTCAAAGGGCATTATTACTCACACCGCAGCAAGCGACTTGAGCTTCATGCTCACATCAGTGCTCCCTGCTCTGCAGGTCCCATGGGGCAATGTGGAGCAGCCCGGGTGGGTTCCGCGCATGCCATGGGTTTGTGTGACAGCTGAGGAACCCAAGCTTAGAAAATCCCACTCTTTTCAGGGAGACTGCTGACAAACCTGCCCAGCCTTTGCCTCAGAGTGAGAGATATAATTATCCTGGTCAGGAAACAGATGTGCCCTCTGCCCCAGAGGGGACACTGTCTTTTTTCAAGGCTGTTTACTTTACCCACATCTTGAAAAGATAGTCCAGAACAGAGACTATCAAATCCTCTATTCAAAAGGCACACAGAACAGGATTCTATGGAGAATTGCCTTCCAACTATGCATTTATACGTATCCTTCACAAATGCCGCTGCGTACATCTGGGCCTGCATCTCAGCTTGGCCACTGCTGAGCTGTATCACCTTGGGCAAACTCCTGAACCTCTCTGATCCTCCGTTTTCCGCAGCCTGTAAGAGGAGGTATAATTCCTATCTTCCAGAAGTTCTGTAAGGGACTCTCTGAAGTAGTGTTCATGAAGCCTCCTCACCGTGCCTGGTACAGAATAGACCATGGAGAGGAGGCAGCAGGGCCAAGATCACTGTGATTTAGAGCCCATCCTTCTGACCACTTAAATCTCTTTCCTTCACTATCCCTCCCCGACTTAGTCCTCTGGCTCCTGTTTCTTCCCTGCCAAGTGGGGCAGAATCACCTGGGTAGCTGGTGTTGCAAGGCTTGGAGCAGAGATCTCAGAGCCCGGGTCGCACCTAGGCTCTGGGACTGGGTGGTACTTTCTAAGCTTAGCCTCAGTGTCCTTTGTTACAAGGAACCCACCCCCTGGGATTTAAGAAATAATTAAAGGAGATAAAAAACATGAAATGTTTGGAATGTTCCTGCAAGGGACAGGTGCTCAGTAAAGACTTTATGATGCAATTTGGATAGCTTGAGCCTCTCAGAATGCGGTGTAGGCCATTCTAGCTGCTCCCCAGAGGGAACTTATTAGAAAAAGCAAGACAATTTGCAAGCCTCTTGCAGCTCACTCAGCATGCTGGTGGCATGCAGCAGCAATTGGCTGTACATTCAGCATTCACGTGACATGGCCCTCTGTGAGCTTCTGGCTTGGGGAATACAGAACTGCCCAGGGCGGCCTGCAAGGGGGTCAGGGTGGTCAGCTGGGCCTTTTTGGCCTTGACAATACTGCTCTCACATTGTGCGACCTTAGGGAGAGGAGAGTGGTGAGGAACCTCCTCCTTCTCGCTGGGCTCCGCTGAGGAACTCAGCACTGCATAGTGGTCAAGGGTTTCAGAGGAAATCAGACTGACTTAGGTTTGAATCCCGAGTTTGAAACCAGCTGGGTGACTTGAGCACATCACCCATCTTCCTGAGCTCAGTTTCCTCTACTGTAAAGTGGGGATAATGACCTCTCCTGGCTCGTGGAGGTGTAAGGATTAGGTAAGGCCATGTGTGTGCAGAGGCTGGCCAGGAAATGGTGCCTATGATGACGTTGCACTATTTTCTGTTTTTTTTGGTCTGCAAAATGCAGGTTGAGTGGGTAGACCCTAAGATCTCTTATTTCATGGGGAGATGGAAAAACTCCTGGAGTTGCAGTCAGAAAACCCCGGTCCAAATTCTTTATAGCCTCACACAATTTATCTGCACCTCACCTGTAGATGGTGCCAGCTCCCCACGCCTCCTTCTGTGATGTATGGCAAAAACACTGGTCACCATACCTGACAGAGGACTTTGGTAGGTGCTCAAGGTCCCTCTCAAGCTCCAGGGTTGTCAATGACCAGGGCCGCTGGCCTCAAAGTATGCTCCATCTAATCAGGGCTATAGCCAGTATGAAGGTAACTCAAGCATCAGACACTTAATGGGGCTCACAGGCACACCTACAGGGTTTTGCTGTGGTTTGAATGTTTGTCTCCTGCAAAACTCATGTTGAAACTTAATCCCCAATGCAATGGTATTATCCCAGTCAGGAAACAAATGGGCTTTTAGGAAGTGATTAGACCGTGAGGGCTTAACCCCCTCATGAATGGATTAATGCCATCTAAAAGGCCTTGAGGCGGTGAATGCACTCCTTCTGTCCCTTGCACTTTGTGAGGACACAGCCTTCCTCACTCCAGAGGGTGCAGCAGCAAGGCACAAAAGCAGAGAGCAGAGAAGCCTTCAGCAGACACCAGAGCTGCCTGCACCTTGATCTTGGACTTCCTAACCTCCAGAACTAGGAGAAATAAAATTCTATTGTGTATAAATTGCCTAGTCTGTGGGATTTTGTTATAGCAGCACAAACAAGCTAAACGAAGACCGGTTCCAATGGCTGGAGCTGCCTGTCACTCTGTTCTGATGCTGAGGATTAGACCTCAGGGCATCTACTGGAATGGTTCAGGCTGAAGGAGCTCATTGAACCCCAGTGGCACACAGGGTGAACCGGCCCAGCAGCAGACTCCTTTTTGCCAAACAATGCAGGAGTGATGTCTTCTGCAAAAGTGGAATCTGTTTGGCCTCCTGCTGATGAATGATGTCTATTGGTCCTTGGAAGTAGAGTCCATTTTTTATACTTTTGGTCAGGAAAATCACGTGGTGCTAGTAGACATCCTGGGAGAGAATCCTGCAGGCCTCCTGCATTGTACCTGGAAGGAAGCTCAACTCCACCCCTGGATCCTTTGTGGAGAACCATGTGGAGGCACTGAAATTCCTTCACGTCTCTTGGTTCCTGTCGCGGAGGTTGGAGAAGTTAACCTTAGGTGCCATTGGTCCCTTGAGTCACCATAACCATAACTGACCATACTGACCATGCTAACGCCTGCCTTGCTGTGTGCTGGGCTCTCCGTTGAACGTGTTACACAGAGCAGCACAGCTAAGCCTCACCACCATGCTCTGAAGTCGAGATTACAATTAAGCCCAATTTTCAGGTGAAGCAACTGAGGCTCAGATTTGAACCAGCCACCTGGCTCCCACGTGCTGTGTCTCATGGCTCACTTCCTCAGCTCAGGGTCTCCACTCTCCTCCCTGCCCGCACTTCGTGAGGCACATCCTCCTCACTCGGTCACTGTACACCTCTGTCTGTGTCCAACTTACTCACAAACACAACTTGTGGCTCCTGGAAGTAACTGCCTTCTGTGACCTGATGCTATTTTATTCCATTGGAATAAAGATCCTTAATGATGCCATTTCTACCTCCCCTCTTCCCTAACTCCCACCTCAACTCACCTCCCCCTTCTTTTAAGAATCTTGTGAACATTGGCTTATTTATACTTATGCACCATCTCAGGCCTCCCGGGGAAGGTTTTAATCATCTACCTTCTTGCTGGAGACATCTTGAAAGACTCCAATCCTTCACCCATGCTGAGAACATCTCAAGCAAAGCAAGAGGCATGAGAACAGTTTTTAATTGAAGTTAACATTGTGGCTTTTCCCACACAGCCAGACACTCAGGCATGTTGGGAAGATTAAAAGTGATGTTGGAAAATGCATCCACGAGTCTGTGCCCTCAAGCAGAAAGCAGCAGCCACCTGGGCTCATGGATCAGACAGGATGCATCTCAAACAGAGAATGGGAAGGATCCATAGATTTCCCTGCCTGGCCCAGCTCTCCCAGGTGCCTCCTACAGCATTGCAGCAGTAGGGCTGCCACTGGCAGGGCTGGGAACAGCTCGGGGGCTATCTCCTGTGCAGGGTAGCCACAGGTTGCCCAAGGGGCTTTGATTCCCCAGTCTTGGCTCTGCCAGAGCCTGGTTGCATATCCCGAGAAAGTCATGACTGAGCCTGTTTGCATATTTGAAGAGGGGCTCAAGATTACCTTCCCCAGGCTGGGCGCAGTGGCTCATGCCTATAATCCCAGCACTTTAGGAGGCTGAGGCGGGCAGATTGCTTGAGCTCAGGAGTTCAAGACCAGCCTGTGCAACATAGTGAGACTCTGTCTCTACAAAAACTACAAAAAAGTTAGCCAAGTGTGGTGTTAAAAAATTAGCCTAGCCAGGTGCACATCTGTAGTCCCAGCTACTCAGGAGGCTGAGGTGGAAGGATTGCTTGAGCCCAGGAGGTCGAAGCTGCAGGGAGCCATGATTGCAGCACTGCCCTCCAGCCTAGGCGACAGAATGAGACACTGTCAAAAAAACAAAACAAAATGAAAAACCTGCCCCATGGGTTTATTTTGAACACTGGATGTGGTAATTTGTGCAAACAGCTTTGCAAATATAACAGATAGTAATGACACAGCTTGACATGTATTGAGCACTCATGAAGGGCCAGGCACTGCTCTCAGCACTTCTCATCATTCCCATTCTACAGATGAGGAAACTGAAGCCCCAGGGTTATGTCACCAAGCCACACAGGGAGCAAGTGGCAGAGGGGGATTTGCAGGTCATGTTTGGGCATCCTTGCTGTCAGCCACTGTGCTGTGCTCACTTGTCACATGGCAGCATAGCTCATAGGATATTCTTTAACCTGGCAGTAGTGTCTGCTGGGGGGGCCCTAGCTGGGTTGGGTATTTCTTGACCCAGTAACATCCATCCAAACTCCCATGCCACTGCTTCAGCCCTTGGTCCCGCCTTTCCTCCTCCCTGGACGACTGCAGGTGCTTCTCACCTGGGGGGTGTCTCCAGTTGCTTCCTGATCTGTTTCCTTTCTTCACTCTTGCCAGAGGGAGCTTTCTCCTGCTGAGGGTCTTCTGTGGCTTCCTCCATCCATGGGATACAGTGCCAGGTCCTTGGGCCAACTGTTGTTCCCATGAGCAGACCCCATCTCTAGGCCTGGGCCCGAAATGCATCTTCTTGGTGCCCACACCAGTCAGGCTGAGACACATGCAGCTCCCCATAGTGGTGCCCCAAATTTTCAGTGCCTTGTCCCTGGGATGCCCCCCTCCCCTCCTTCAGTGCTGGATTCAGAATCCCCTTCCCACAAAGCCAGGTGCCTGGATCCCACATGCTAAGACACTGTCCTTTCTTCTGAGTGGCCAGTGCCCTTTTGTAGCATTCCTGAGGACTTCTCCCTCCCTATCGGCTAGATTGTCATTTGTGGAGCTGATCGGCTGGTTCTTGTGTGGCTCCCCAGCACAGGACACAGGGCTGGTATGAAGTTGATTCTGCACAGAAAATGAAGGAGGTGGGATTGGTGTCACAGGCCCAGGTCTCTGCTGGCCCCCACACTGGCTGTGTGATCTTTGCAAAGGTGACCCCCTACAGCTACCATCTCTGCAACAGTAAAAATGGAATGACAGCTGTTCTATTGGCACGGTGACCACTGACCAGCCAAGTGAGCTGCGATGTGCTTTATGATGTGTAGAGTTCCAGTGCCGTGCATGTTCATTGCTTGAGTGGCTAAACAGAATATTGAGTTTATTCAGCAGATTTTTTATCCTCTGCACCCTCATTCTCGTGCTACCATCTGGGGACTCAGGGCTCAGCTCCCTGACAGAGTAGTGTCCTTCCCCACTCTGTCTTTCTCCTTTGCCTCACCCATTCACTTGATTTCCTCCTCAGCCACCCCCAATTCCCATGCTGCATGCCTGAAAGAGGCAGGAACTTCACCTCTATGCTTTGGCCAGAGGCCTCTTCTCTCCCACCCGTGCCCAGTGCCAGGGACTCAGCCCAGCATCAGCAAATCCAGCAAACACATCTGTCTAAAGAGGAATAAATCCCACATCTCCCGTGCCAAACATCCAAGGAGCTGAGATGGGAAGGGTCTGGGTAAAGGGTTCCCTGAGCCCTGAGACACATCCCTGCCCATTTCCATAGCCCATTGTGTATTTGCCATAGACCTTTGAATAGGAAGGAAAACAGTAAGCTCATAATTCTCAAGTTTGAAAAAGTCCTTCCCAGAACATGCACCATCTTTAAATAGTAAAAACAAAGACAATGCCACGACCATCACCTACTACTAATGCTACTAAAACTAAACACAATGGCAGCTTATTAAATTACCATTTCCCTGGTGCTGGGCTCTGTGCCTAAAACCATGCACTGGGCCTCATTCTCAGGGCTTTTCTTCTGTCAGCTCAAGAAGTCCTCACAGCACCTCAGGGAGGGAAATATTTTCATTACCCACATTTAGAGATAAGAACGATAAGGCCCAGAGAGGGTGAGGGATTAGTTCACAGTCACACAGCTCCTTAGTAGCCAAGTCAGACATGGGGTGCAGATGGCCCAGCTCTTTGTTCCTGCACCTTCTCCCTGTTGGAGTAGCTGGGGTTGGTGTTATCTACTGCCATTGGGCATGTATTCGCACCCCTTATTTTAGTTCATAGGTTCATTTAAGGAGCTAACTGTGTGTGTGACAAACAGCAAACGTGGCTGCCTGGAGAGCCCACCACCAGAGCTAGAGCTGTGTGTGATGAACGTCTGCAGTGGCAGATATGATTCACTGGGGTTCTGATTCTCTGTGGGTTTAACTTATTGTATTTTCTTTTAAGTAGCACTAATTTGCCATCATGTGCCTTTGGGTGGGCAATATTTAAAGAAATAAACATCTCAGGACAGGTGCAGTGGCTCACACCTGTAATCTCAGCACTTTGGGAGGCTGAGGCAGAAGGATGGCTTGAGGCCAGGAGCTGGAGACCAGACAGGGCGGGTCTCTACAAAAAATAAAAAGTTAGCTGGGTGTGGTGGTGCATGCCTGTAGCTTCAGCTACTTGAGAGGCTGAGGCAGGAGGATTGCTTGAGCCCAAGAGTTTGAGGCTACAGTGAGCCAAGATCACACAACTGCATTCAGCCTGGGTGGCAGAGTAAGACCCTCTCTCTAAAAATAAATAAATAGATAAATAAATAAATAAACAAACATCTCAACATAATTCCACAGCTTTCTTACAAATGCTCAACAGAACAATTATTCTAATATTTTGTCTTCTATCTCAGTCACCACATTCCCCCTTAACGAGGAGTTAGTCAAACTTTCTGAGGATAAACCCTCTATCCAGCTGGTCCGGTCCTTTGGCTCATGTTGAAGTCAAAAGCCCTTGCAGGCAGCTTTTCTTGTCTGCTCATGGCTTTTCTCCAGCAAGTCGCTCCATGGATCGAGTCCCTGCCATGTGCATATGTCTTCTCTGAACCTTCCACAGTCTGCCCACTAGGGTGTTGAACCACAGGTCAGGTAAAGAAAATGGGCTTGGAGTGAAGGACTGGATGTGTGGCTATGCTACCAGAGAGAGAGCCTGACTGCACCCTGGCCTGAACCCCTAGTCCTCTTTCACCCTCAACCATGAGATGAGCATCACCAGCTCCAAATGCTCCCCATTAATCAAGAAAGAAAACAAAAAGGACCAATGGATCTTCGTGTTTTCCTTTCGTCAATCTACTTTCTCTCTCCCCTGCCTTTTGCAAAAGCTGACATGGAGATTGCAGCCCTCCACATGTGTCTTTATGGTAATAATTTGAAACACCAGCACTGCCTGTTTCAATTGGAAAGGAGGCATTTCCTGCCTCTTAGGAAAAAGTCCTCCTGCCCAGCTCCCTGCTCACGGCTGCTAAGGTTCACATCCTCGCAATTCCACCACTCTGAGCTGCATCCGTGTCAGAACCGCTAGGGAGTGGTCCAGATCCCTTTGCCAAACATTTCAGCAACTGGAACCCAGGTTTCTCAACAGAGGATTAAAGCGCTGTCTTCACTCCTGGGCTGCCAGGTACATTCTTCCTTGGCCTTCGGAGTGCCCTTACATACTCTCAGGATGAATCCAGTCTTGTTTCTGAGATGATTTTCTTTCCAACAAACAGGTTACTTATGGAGCATAATATAGACTTGATTTTGCCCAAACAAGCCACTGAGCATTTATTGAGTGCCTGCTATGTGCAAAACACTGAGGATCAAAGACACACCACAGACCCTCTCTGCCCAGAGTCACAAAAAGAGTGGATGTCAGTACTTTTATCACAGAAAAAAATTTTTTCATCTGATGCTTTTAAAGAGTTTGGAAGGTGGATGAGGCAGGGATCGTCATATCTGTTTGATAGCTGGGTAAGCAGAGGCCAGGGAGCTGTGAAGCAGCCGTTGACTTGCAGCTGGGGCGGGTCTCAGGCCTCCTTGCTCTTGTCCAAGCTGCCATCCCCTCAGGAACAGAGGGTGAATAGGATGGAGGTTCCGTATAAGAACTGACCTCTTGAAAAGTACTGTCCACCCAAGGAACAGGACTGTGGTATCCTTTTGTTTGTTTGTTTGTTTTTTGAGACAGAGTCTCGCTCTGTCACCCAGGCTGGAGTGTAGTGGTACAATCTTGGCTCACTGTAACGTCTGTCTCCTGGTTTCAAGTGATTCTCCTGCCTCAGCCTCCCCAGTAGTTGAGACTACAGGCAAACGCCACCACGTCGGGCTAATTTTTGTATTTTTAGTAGAGACGGGGTTTCACCATGTTGGCCAGGCTGGTCTCAAACTCCTGACCTCAGGTGATCCACCTGCCTCAGCCTCCCAAAATGCTGGGATTGCAGGGGTGAGCCACCACACCCAGCCATGTGGCATCCTTTTGAGGAACAACAAAAGTTACGTCCCTACATTGGCTTAGGCAAGGATTTGGTGACCAAGAACCCAAAAGCAAATGCAATAAAAACAAAGATAAATAGCTGGGACCTAATTATTCTAAAGAGCTTTTGCACGGCAAAAGGAACAGTCAGCAGAGTAAACAGACAACCCACAGAGTGGGAGAAAATCTTCACTATCTATACATCTGACAAAGGACTAATATCCAGAATCTACAACAAAATCAAACAAATCAGTAATAAAAAAAATAAACAATCCCATCAAAAAGTGAGCTAAGGACATGAATAGACAATTTTCAAAAGAAGATATGCAAATGGCCAACAAACATATGAAAAAATGCTCAACATCACTAATCATCAGGGAAATGCAAATCGAAACCACAATGCGATACCACCTTATTCCTGCAAGAATGGCCATAATCAAAAAACAGTAGATGTTGGCAGGGATGTGGTGAGCAGGAAACACTTCTACACAGCTGGTGGGAATGTAAACTAGTACAGCCACTATGGAAAACAGTGTGGAGATTCCTTAAAGAAATAAAAGTAGAACTACCATTTGATCCAGCAATCCCAGTACTGTGTATCTACCCAGAGGAAAAGAAGTCATTATGTGAAAAAGATATTTGCACAGGCATGTTTATAGCAGCACAATCCACAACTGCAAAATCGTGGAACTGACCCAAATGCCCATCAATCATCGAGTGGATAAAGAAACTAGGGTGCATATATACACACACACACACACACACACACACACACATATACATATATGTATATATATACACATATATACACATATATATGTGTATATATATGTGTATATGTATGTATATATATATATGATGGACTACTAGGCAGCCATAAAAAGGAATGAATTAATAGCATTTGCAGTGACCTGGATGAGATTGGAGACTCTTATTCTAAGTGAAGTGACTCAGGAATGGAAACCCAAACATCATATGTTCTCACTGGTATGTGGGAGCTAAGCTGTGGGGATGCAAAGGCACAAGAATGATACAATGGACTTTGAGAACTTGGGGGAAGAGTGGAAGAGGGGGCATAAAAGACTACAAATACGGTGCAGTGTCTACTGCTCGGGTGATGAGTGCACCAAAATCTCACAAATCACCACTAAAGAACTTACTCATGCAACCACAAACCACCTGTACCCCAATAACTCATGGAAAAATAAAATTAAAAAAATTAAAAAATAAAAAAGTCACGTCCTCATCTTAATTTGCTCTCCTGGCATTTTGCATTTTCCATGCTGGGATTCCGCTCTGGCCAGCTCTGTTGAACAGGCTTTGCTGGTTGGCAGGGATTGTGCACACACATGGTGCCACCTCCCTTAGCTTCTCTGGCCCTGTTTTCTTCCTAACCCAGTGTGCTGTCTTCCTCCCATACATAGGTAGGGGGTTTTGACGTGACTTCCTGGACATCATGTGTAGCGGTCGGGGGAGTTTTCTCTGGCTTCTGACCCAGCTGGGTGTACTGAAATAACTGTGAGGCTGCAGGGTTCTGAGCCGGATTGTGTTGGCACAGGATGGCCACCTCTGTGCCTTCCTCTTCTGCTCATACAGGTGCCCCTGGGGAGGAGGGTGCAGTGTGTTCCCCTGAGAGCTACATTGGTTGGAGGAGACTATAGCATTTTAGAACGTCCTCCTGGAGATTCCGATGTGCATCTCCAGTGGAGAATCTGGCCTTTTGTTGCTGTTGTTTCATGCCATGATTACTACTGAAGACAATTTTGCCATATAGAGGAGAGGATGTTTAAAAATAAACCAAAAGGATCCACTTAGGGAGGTAAACATCCTGGGCTTGCCGTTGCCCCGGCCGCCGCTTCACTCCAGTATGCGTGTGCTCGCTGATGGAGAATGATGCTCAGTTTCACTTTTATTCCTTTTGTCCTCTCCTCTTAGCCTTCATCACCCCCCACCACTTTCCCCTTCTCTCTCTCTTCCTCCAAAATAGGGATTACATAGTTTTTTTCTTGGTACCTCTGGCTTCTAGCCTGACCCCCTCCACCCCCAGCATGTAGTAGGTGCTCAGTAAAAGGTCTGTTCAGCCAATGAACGAGATAACAATTGAACAAACACATTCCCCACCCATCCTCCTAAGGCCCTGAGACTTTATTCTGCTCAGTGGCAAGGAATTTAATCTGATTAGGAGGCTGCTGACCCACACAGGGGACGCCCATTTGGTTCCAATGACACTGCTGAATCACTTCAAAGATGCTATCGAGTTAATTGGGGTAGAATAAATACTAATTTATGGCAACCTTTGCCAGCTCTTCCCCAAGGGAAAATTTTTAAACTCCCCATCCTCTTGCTTTGCTTGACCGCTGAGATCCAGTGAAAGTGGCCTGAACTTCCCATAGCTGAGCCAACAGAGGCACAGCCTCCTCCCCCTTATCCCCACCTCAGGAAGCCACAGCCACGTGGAGGAGCTCCTCAGGTACAGCCAGGGAGGTGGGGCATCTCAAACAGGCCTTGGCTGTTTCTTCTTAAGGTTCTTAGCCAGCCTCCTCTGAATGCAAGCTGTGGCTCTGGGGCTTGTCCCAGTCCCCTGAATTCTCACCATGGACCATGGGATGCGCGTGGAGGACAAGGTCCCCAGGGCCCTGGACCACACCATCTGAGCCTTTCTGTCCCCGCAGGGCAAGTGCTTCTTCCATTATTGCTAATCTAAGATGCTGTGCTCTGATGAGACAGCGTTTTCTCCCCCTGCGTTGTGCTGAGTTACTATGGCAACACTTTCAGAAGCGGTGAATTTGCTTTTTCCTCTTAATTCTGAAATGCTCTCAGGCTTTCCAAAAATATCCTTATTTCCCTGGGTCCAACTGTGGGTTGAGGCATGTCGGACACACAGAAAATAGAGCCAGCTCCTCCACCATGTATATATTACATCAAGTAGCTCAGTGCACAGCAATTGTTTGGGTAAACTTTTTTTTTTAATAAAAAATATTTTTAGCATCTGCTCTATGTCAGTAGATGTGCTAGGCACCGGGATTCAAAGAGAAGTTAGACTCAACCCGTATCCTACAAGTGCTCACAGTCCCTAAGAAAAATAGACAAGTACACAGTTAACTATAATGTAATGTGAGTACACATCTAACTATAAGATAATGTAACATAACATAATATATTGTAATGTAATATAATAGAATGTACTATAATACATGTAATGTAGTAAATATAATGTAATGTAATAAATATTTTGTCAGTTCTAGGAATAAATTAGTGTAAGACCCCAATAGAGAAAGCTGTTAATTCAACCTGGAGTGAGGAGGGTTAGGAGTTGGTAGATCTAGAGTTTGATTTCTGATCAATTACGTATGGGCTGTGCCAGCTCAGGGAAATGAACATCCCTCTCTGAGCTCCAAACCTCTATCTCATGCTGAGCTGTTGTGAAAATGAGGGGACACCATGAAGTTACAGCAGCCAGTCTCAGAGCAGCTGTTACTCAAAAGATACTGCTCTTCCTTGCCCAGGTGCTGGGGTGCCCAGAAGGGGCTCAGGAGAGGAAGTGAGCATAGATAGAGGGACCTGCAGGCAGCAGCGTGCCAGCACTTCTGTCAAAGGCAGTCGCGCCAGCAGCAAGGTGGCCGCGTGAGCACACCTGGCACATCAGTTCACAGGGAGATAGGAAAGCCAGTGTGGCCACTGCAGGGGACTGGACCTGAACCCATTGCCATCCTTGGGCTCTGGGTGGGACCCCTTTTGAAAGCTTCCACTGAACCAGAAAGATAGCACAGTGGTAAACTGCTTACAAGGGAGGCACTGCAACAAACATGAACATTGCTCTAAAAATTAGTGTGCACTCTGGGAGGCCAAGGGGAGCAGATCACCTCAGGTCGGGAGTTTGAGACCAGCCTGACCAACATGGAGAAACCCCATCTCTACCAAAAATACAAAATTAGCTGGGCGTGGTGGTGGGCACCTATAATCCCAGCTACTCGGGAGGCTGAGGCAGGAGAATCGCTTGAACCCAGGAGGCAGAGGTTGCTGTGAGCGGAGATCAGGCCATTGCACTCCAGTCTGGGCAGCAAGAGTGAAACTCCGCCTAAAAAAAAAAAAAAAATTAGCATGCACTCAGTGTAGGTCCCAGTGTCATTGTGCCTGGTCACACTTGGAGTGCTGTAGGCGTGCCCTCTACCTTCCACCAGCTTAGGTGCTCTTTGAGGGAAGAAAGCAGCCCTCTTTGTCCTGCTCAATGTTAGCATATGCAGGTGGCCACTTATAGGGGTTCCAGAGAGAGTTATGTCTTCTTTACTATGTGTGCCTGTGTCCTCGCCTGTCAAACAAGGGTGACGATAGTACCCACCTCATAGGGTTGCGATAATAAAACCCAATCATGCCTGTAACGTGCTCAGCCCATATCTGGCATATAGCGGGCTCTCAATAAATATTAGCTTTCATTTTTATTTCATCCACCTCATTGTAAATTGAAGACTCTCCAGCATGGAAACATTAGTCAAGGAGAGTGGCAAGTACTGATACCCAGTAGCAAATCTTTCCCTTAACTGCACCCTGCGTGGGCGAACAGCACAGAAAGGCTCGGTAGCTCCCTGTGTGTTGGAAAGCTTAATGAAAGAGCAGATTATGTTTTTTCAGCAAAACGGCCAGATTTGGAGGCCAGTTCTCTGCAGGATGTCACCTCAACGTGTTGCAGGGCTGGGCAAGTTAATGAGAAAGCCTTTGGGGTTTGGGGATTGGAGAAGGCCTGGATGCCATTCCCAGGTGTGTGATGTGAGTGATCTTAGGCGGGGTGCTCCGTGCCCGTCCAGCGGGCACTCACTGCAGATTCGTGGGCGCTGATTCCAGCCTTCAGCCTCCCTGTCTGTAGAAAGAGGCAGACCCCACCCACTGATACCCTCTACAGGGAGTAGAAAAGGATTTCTCACTTCCAGATGAGACCAAAGCTGGGACTCTTTGGAGCTCTCTATTTCTGCCTCCCTCAGGATGAGCACACGGACCATGTAGGGAGCAGCAGCCGCTTACTACCCCTGGGAGGAAAGCTTGGCCACATTCATCAGCAAAAGCCGATGCACCTGGCTTCTGTGCAAAGTTCCGCCCATTAGCTCTTGTCACCTTTAGCATGTGCTGTGCTCCAGGGGCTGTGCTGAGCACCAGAGGACCGTGATGGTTCATTTAAAGTGTCGACTTGGCTGCACCCTGGGATGCCCAGATTGGGTGTGTCCATGACAGTGTTTCTGGATGAGGTTAGCATTTCAATCTATGGACCCAGTAAAGCAGATGATCCTCTCCAATGTGAGTGGCATCAACCAGTCCACTGAGGGAGAAGGAAAAAGGAATTCTCCACTTTTATCTCCTGCCTGCCTGCTTCAGCTGAGACATTGGTCTTCTGCTCTCGGATTGGGTTTTACCCCCTCAGCTCCTCTGGTTCTCAGGCCTTTGGACTTAGGACTGAATTATGCCACCAGCTTCCCTGAGTCTCCAGCTTGCCGGTGACAGATGGTGGGGTTTCTCAGCCTCCATAATTGTGTAAGCCACTTCCTCATAATAAATCTCTTCATATATATATGTATATATATATATATGTATATATGTTATTGGTTCTGTTTATGTTCACATATATATGTTATTGGTTCTGTTTATGTTCATATATATATATATATATATATATATATATATATATATATATATATATATGTTATTGGTTCTGTTTCTCTGGAGAACCCGGACTAACACAGATTTGGTAGAGACTATTGATTTCTATAATCCTGGAATATTGCAAAGTATACCGTGATACTCAGGCAATTTGAATTTAGTTTCTGGTTCTTTGGAAATATTTAAACTATCAAAGCCTCAGTTATAATACCTGTGTGGTGGGAAGACACCACCTCCACCTCCCTGTGAGGCACACCATGATTAGCCAGGGCAGGCATGGGATGTGCATGAAGCTGGACAACTGGCAGCCCAGTTTGGAGCTGGCGCAGTCAGCCTGGGCAGGCAGGAGGCTTTTGAAGGCTTCAGCCTCCTGCACTGGCTTCAAAGGCCCAGGACTCAGAGGCTGACATCTGACCAGGGACCTCCATGAGTTACTTATGTAATGGAGTTGAGGGCCTTGATGATGTGGAAATGCATGCCACAAAATCCTGCTTTTTTGTTAAGTTTTAAAGGACCTCAACATGTATTATTTTGGAGAGGATGGCTTTCTACTTTGAGATCCCTTCTTCCCAGCAAACACCAACCAACCTTTATTTTTACAGCCTGGAAGTTTATTTTGATGCTCTTGGCACAGACATCTCCCTAAGGAGAAGTCTTCAAACCTGTGCTCATTAGCATTTCTTCCAGGGCCTTCCAAGACCCCGTGGAGGAAATTCACAGAGCATGCTGTTGTCCTGCTTCCACTTAATATTCCACATCGGAGAGCCCTGCCCCAGGAAGAGGGGCCGACTTTTGTACTAAGCCAGGTAGATTTACTGAAATGCATCCCCAGACCTCACCTCCACTTGTAGCCAAGGCTAAACCAAGAGCCTATGAAGTAGGAGCCTTGTGGACAAATGAGGGTTTTCCGCTGTGGAGGGCACTCAGGTTGTGCCCCTTGGAATTGTCCCTTTTTCTTGGTAATTAAATCTAGGTGCCTAGAGTCCTACGTTCTTTACCTCGTTGTTTACTTTTTAAATAATTGATTGCCCACCTCAGTGTCTCATGAGCCAGGTAGCCATCCTTCCCTTGGATCACTGGAGCTGACCTCAGCCCAGCCTTCCCTTTCTGGAGACGGTTACCTATCACCGCCTCATTCTTCTCCTTCTGCACCGTCTAAAGTTCTCTCCTTGAGGAAGCCCATGGCAGATAAAACTGGAGCCAGGTTTGTAGAAATGCAAGTCCTTAGGGAGGAGGAGACACTTGAAGCATGTCCCAGGAAACCCAGATTCTGATTTGAACTGGATTGCAAAGGTTCATTTGCCAGGGTAGATGAAGTCTCTCTCTCTCTCTCACACACACACACACACACACACACACACACACACACTGCACTGACCCCTTCTACTCCTTGCTAGCTGAGGGACTAACCTTAGGCAAATCGCTTAACCCTTTCTAGAGGCAGTTTCTGCATCCCCTTTTGTTAAAGGCACGGATAGAAATTACCCCACCAGAGTCATTGGCAGTTCTGAAGATTCCAATGGAAGGTGTGCAGGGGAGTAGCTGCATGCCCTGTGTCCTCATGGGGTGCACCTGCATCACCTTAGTTTCTCCATCCCTAGGGTAGTAGGGTCTCTGAAAGGCAGCTAAACCACTGTGAGTTAATGACTGCCACACTGTAAAGGTCATCGATCATTGTATGCAGTTTGCAGAGACCGCTGAGCTCACTCTGAGCCTTTGGTGATGTGCTGAGAAGGGGAAGCAACATCCAATGAGGTTTGTATTAGTCCATTATCATGATGCTAATAAGGACATACCTGAGACTGGGTAATTTATAAAGGAAAGAGATTTAATTGACTTACAGTTCCACATGGCTGGGGAGGCCTCAGGAAACTTACAATCATGGCGAAAGGGGAAGCAAACACGTTTTTCTTCACATGATGGCAGGAAGGAGACGTGCTGAGCAAAAGAGGGGAAAGCTCCTTTATAAAGCCATGAGATTGTGTGAGAACTCACTCACTATCACGAGAACAGCAGCATGGGGGTAACTGCCCCCGTGATCCAATTACCCCCCACCAGGTCCCTCCCACAACACATGGGGATTTGGGGAGCTACAATTCAAGATGAGATTTGGGTGGGGACACAGCCAAACCATTTCACTCTTCCTCTGTTGCCCATGTCTCCCTTCAAGCCTTCATCACCAGGAGTCTTTCTCCTATAGTGAAATGCAAGCAAGCCAGTCTCTTCTCCACTTTCCCTGGATTTGGTGGCATAAACTCAAGTGTTCTGATTGCCATCATTGCTACTACTGTCACCCCAATTAAGCCGTGAACACACACTGCCCCCTGGGGATCCCCAGTCTTTGGCCAGCTTGCCACAGTCCCAGCCCTCTCTCCTGAAGGGGTTCAGATGGCAGCCTGTGGACCTAGCCTGTTGCCACCCTGAGGGATGGTGCCACTCAACCTCGGGAAGCTGGGCCCCCTTCTGTGGTGAGTGAAAGCCCCAGATGTCTCAGCAGAAGACCAGCCCCAGGGGGAGTGTAGACAGCTGCAGGGAGGTGGGGCACACAGGGTGCCCTGCCAGGGCTGGTGGACATCGCCTTGTGCCTGTCCAGCCCTGGGCCTTCGTCACAAAGGACTTTTGCTGAAATCAATCAGCTTGAGCTTCAGCACAGTTCTGGGGCATGCCTGGGAGAGCCATGTGAATGTGGCCTCACAGAGAGGTGAAGGGAGACCTGGTGTGAAGGGAGAAGCTCTTTTTGGAGTTGCCTCTTACTCAGACTCCACAATGGTCATGCAGGGCTCAAGAGATCCTCCAAGTCGGAATGGCCATCAGGGTTAAGGTGGGGGATATGAATGGAAAGGCCTGGGACTCAGGGAGCCGTGCCCACGCTGTTGGAGAATCCTTCCGAGCACTTCCTCAGGAGAGTTGTCGCATGTTCTGCAGGCCTGTCGAAACACCACAGTGATCTCTGCTATGGGCTGAGGTCCACTGAGTCTCGATTTGCCAAGCACCTTTGTCATATATGCAGTAAAATCTTGGCGCTGTAGAAAGAGCTTGGGACGTGGAGGCAGATGTGGTTTGGGGTCCAGCCTGACCCTGGGTGCTTGGGCCTCAGCTGAGTCTGTGCAGTGGGAAGGCCACCACCACCTCCCAGGGGCCCTGAGGACTGCATGGAATGGTGAACGCCGGGCTTGCCACAGTGCCTGGCTCAGAGCAAATGCTGCAGTCTCCTTCCCAGGTGTGCTTTTGATTTACTTGCTAATATGCATACCAGAAAATTGTTTTGGTGGAGGGGATGATACGGTTCTCTAACTTGTAACAAATGCACAGAACCCTGTGACCATGACCACAATAAAAATTTAGAACTTTCCATCACTCCAAAATATCTCCTCTTGCTGCCTCTTGCGGTCAACCACCCACTACCTGACACATCCCTGTCTCTGCTGTTGTCCACCCCATTGTTTTTTGCATCATCCAGAATACCATCTAAATGGCCTTTTCCACATAGCTTCATTCAGTGTAACCTAATGCATTTGAGATTCACCCGTGTCATTGCGGACATCAATAACCTGTTCATTTTTATCGCCAAGTGGGATTATATTGGGTGAATGTAGACAGTTTGCCCATTTACCAGTTGAAAGTCATTCGCGTTGTTTCCAGTGTAGGGCAGCTATGAATAAAGCTATTGTAAACATTTGCACACAGGTTTTTGGTGAACACCAGTTTTTATTCCTCTTGGGTAAATACGTAGGAGTGGGATTTCTGGGTCATATGATAAACATATGTTTAACTTTGTAAGAACTGGCTAAACTGCTTTCTTTAAATGGCTGCATAATTGCTTCCCACAGCAAGGTACAAGAGTTCTGGTTGCTCCAATTTCTCATCAGAAATTAGGAACATCAGGTTTTTTTTTTAAGTTTAGCCATTGTGATAGATGTGTAGTGTTATCTCATAGTAGTTTTAATTTACATTTCCCTAATTAATGATGATGAACACCTTTTCAAGTGTTTATTTGCCCTCTGTATATATATCTCTTGTTCAGTGACATATCTCCTATTTAGCTGTTCAGATCTTTTACCTATTTTTAAAACTGGGTTGTTTTCCAGCCTCATTAAAAAGTGGGCAAAGGACATGAACAGACACTTCTCAAAAGAAGACATTCATGTGGCCAAGAAACCTATGAAAAAAAGTTCAACCTCACTGATCATTAGAGAATGCAAATCAAAACCACAGTGAGATACCATCTCACGCCAGTCAGAATGGTGATTATTAAAAAGTCAAGAAACAACAGATGCTGGAAAGTTTGTAAAGAAAAAGAATGCTTTTATACTGTTGGTGGGAGTGTAAATTAGCTCAACCGTTTTGGAAGACTGTGTGGCAGTTCCTCAAAGATCTAGAAGCAGAAATACCATTTGACCCAGCAATCCCATTATTGGGGCTATACCCAAAGGAATATATAATAAATTATTCTATTAAAAAGATACATGCATGTGTATGTTCATTGCAGCACTATTCACAAGAGCAAAGACATGCAATCAACCCAAATGCCCATCGATGATAGACTGGATAAAAAAATGTGGTACATATATGCCATGGAATACTACACAGCCATAAAAAGGAATGAGATCATGTCCTTTGCAGGGACATGGATGGAGCTGGAAGCTGTTATCCTCAGCAAACTAACACAGAAACAGAAAACCAAGCACTGAATGTTATCACTTACAAGTGGGAGCTGAACTATGAAAACACGTGGACACATGGGGGACACTGGGGCCTGTTGGGAAGGGTGGGAAGAGGGAGAGCATCAGAAAGAATAGCTAATGGAGGCCGGGCTTAATACCTAGGTGATGGGTTGATCTGTGCAGCACACCACATGGCACTTGTTAACCTACGTAACAACAAACCTGCACCTTCTGCACATGGACCCCAGAACTTGAAATAGAAGTTGAAGGAAAAAACAAAGTGGGTTGTTTTCTTATTGTTGAGTTTTCAGTGTTCTTTATATATTCTACTTATAAGTTCTTTGTCAGATAGATGATTTGTAAATAGTTTCTTTCAGCCTGTGGCTTGTCTTTTCATTCTCTTAATGGTGTTTTTCATGGAGAAAATGTTTTTAATTTTAATAAAATCCAGTTTGCAGTGTTTTCTTGTATGGATTATGCTTTTGATGTTGGATCTAATAACTCTGCCTACCATAAGATTACAGACATTTTTCTCTTAACATATTTTTCTAAACGTGTTATAGTTTTATGATTTCATTTAGGTCTAAGATCCATTTTGAGTTTTTTGTATAAGGCATGAGTTTTTTTTTTTTTTGCTGCAGCTGTTTTGTAATTTTTGTGTAAGAGATTGGGTTCCAAGTTCACATATTCTGTCTCTCTATATATTGTTGCATATTGACGTCCACTTGTTCCAGCATCATTTGTTGAAAAGACTATCCTTTTTCCATTGAATTGCCTTTGCAATTTTTTCAAAAATTAATTGGCCATATTATGTGCATCTCATTTCTGGACCCTCTATTTAATGTATGCATCCATCCTTTTGCTAACACTACACTGTCTTGATAACTGTAGCTTTATCGTAAGTCTTGAAATACAGTAGCATGAGTTCACCAAATTTGTTTTCTTTTTCAAAATTGTTTTGATTATGCTTAGTCCTTTGCCTTTGCAAATAAATGTTTGAATCAGCTTGTTGGCATTGACAAACATTCCTGCTGGGATCTTCATTGGGATGGCATTGAGGTTTTACATCAATCTGGGGAGAATTCACATCTTAACAATATTGAGTCTTTGATTTCATGACCATAGTATTTCTCTCCATTTATTTAGATCTTCTTTGCTATTTCATCAGTATGTTGTTTTCAGCATTCAGATCCTGCACGTATTTTGTTAGATCTAGGCTAAGTATTTTATTTTTTGGTGTTGTTGTAAATGGTGCTTTTTGGCTAAAGTTCATATTGTTTGTTGCTTGAGTGTGGAAACACAATTGATCTTTTAATATTGACCTTGTGTTCTATGACCTTTCAAAATTCAGTTATTAGTTATATGATGTTTTGGAAATTCCTTGAGATTTTCTGTATAGACAATCATTTCTTCTGCAATTAGAGATAGTTTTATGTCTTCTTTATATATAAGGCATCTCTATATATATATGACTTTTATTTCTTTTTCTTGCTTTATTGTACTGGCAAAAACTTTCAGTGTGATTTTGAATGGGAGTGGTGAGGTTAGACATCCTCTCGTATTCCTAGATCGTAGAGGGAAGCATTCACTCTTTCACCATTAGGTATAATGTTAGCTATAGGTTGTTTGGTTTTGTTTTCTAGATGTTCTTTATCAGATCCAGGAAGTTCCCTTCTATTTCTAGTTTACTAAGAGTTTTAAATCATGAGTGGATGTTTACTTTTGTCAAATGCTTTTTCTGCATCTACTGATATGATTGTTTTGTTTCTTCATAGTTCTGTCAGTGTGGCATGAATTGTAAGGATTGATTTTTTTTGGATGTTGAATATTTGAATGCTTTGCATTATCTTCTCTATATATTGCTGGATTTAATTTACCAATATCTCGTTGACTACTTTTTGTCTTGTTCAATTGAGATATTGATCCACAGTTTTCTGCTCTTGTAATGTCTTTGATTTTGTTAGCAGAGTAATGCTGCCTCATTAAGATGATTTGGGAAGTGTTCCATAAAATGAGTTGGAAAATGTTCTCTCCTCTTATTTTTTGGAACAGAATGTCTACAACTTGTATTTTTCTTCTTTATATTTTTGGTAAATTCTTCAATAAAATCATTTGGTGATTTTTTCCCAGAAGATTTTTAACCAAAAATTTAACTTATTTAATAGCTATAAGGACTGTGTGGTTTATCTTTTTTTCTTGAGTAAGTTTTGGTAGTTTGTGTTTTTTAAGGTATTGATTCATTTCACCTACATTGTCAAACCTATGGGTATGCAGTTGTTTTTAATTATCTCAGTAATTCCTTATTGTCTGCCCTTTTGCTGTCAGTAATATCTGTGGCAATATCCCTTTTCCATTTCTGATATTGGTAATTTGTGTTTTCTCCCTTCTTGCTCAGCCTGGCGAGAGGTTTATCATTGTTATTGATCTTTTAAAAGAACCAGTTTGTAGAGTCACTGATTTTTCTCTATTGTTTCTGTTTTCAATTTTATTGAGTTTTGTTCTTATCTCTATTATTTCCTTCCTTCTGTATGCTTTGGGTTTAATTTAATCTTCCCCTCTTCCTAATTTCTTAAGGTATAGTTTAGATCAGGGGTGTCCAACATTTTTGCTTCCCTGGGCCACATTGGAAGAAGAAGAATTGCCTTGGTCCACACATGAAATACACTAACACTAATGATAGCTGATGAGAAAAAAAAAATGCAGGAAAATCTAGTAATGTTTTAAGAAAGCTTATGGATTTGTGTTGGGCCACATTCTGTCCTGGGATGCATGCAGCCCGTGGGTTGTGGGTTGGACAAGGTTGGTTTAGATTATTAAATTGAGACCTTTCTTCTTTTCTCATATAAACAATTAGTACTATAAATTTTTCTCTAAGCACTGCTTTAGTTGCATCAATGCGTGCTGATAACTTGTATTTTCACTTTTACTCAGTTCAGAATATTTGCTAGTTTCCCTTGAGACTTCCCTCTTGATCCATGGATTATTTAGGAGTGTGTGATTTAGCTTCCAAGTTTTGGGAGATTTCCCCAATGTCTTTCTGTTATTGACTCCTAGTTTAATTCCATTATGATCAGAAGACATATTTCATAGGATTTTGATTCCTTTAAGCTTGTGAAGGTTTGCTTTATGACCCAGGATATGGTCTGTCCTGGTGACTATTTCACGTGCCCATGAGAAGAACGTGCATTCTGTTGTCAGGTGGAAGGTTCAGTACACGTCAGTTAGATCTTGTTGGTTGATGGTGACATTCAGGTCTTCTGTGTCCTTGTTGATTTCCTATTTCTTTCTATACCAAGAGAGAAGTGCTGAGGTGTGATAATTTTGGACTGGATTCTGGGTGTTTTGAATATTATGTTGTGAGATGCTGGGGGCTATGGGCTGAGTTGTTGCCCCCTCCCTCAACCCCACCATTCCTATGTTGAAACCCTAACTCCCAATACCTTAGACATGAGTGTATTTGGAGATAGGGTCTTTAAAGGGGGTGATTAAGTTAAAATGAGGTCACTAGGATATGCCCTAGTTCAGTATGATTGGCATCCTTATAAGAATAGGAAATTAGGACACGGACATGCACAGAGGGAAGACCATGTGAAGACACAGGGAGAAGGTGGCCACCTGCAAGCCAACGAGAGAGGCCTCAGAAGAAAACAGCCTTACCGACACCTTGATCTTGGACGTCCACCCTCCAGGACTGTGAGGATGTAAATCTCTGCTGTTTAAGCCACCCAGTCTGGGGTACTTTGTATGGCAGCCAGAGCTAACTAGTACACTGTGTCTTGTTAAAACTTTTAGAGCATCGCTTTGTTTTGGCAGTTTGGGTCTGGTCTGAAAATTCTCTGTCACCTTCTATAAGCAGTGGTTGCATGTCGTTTGGGTGTGTCTTGCAGGTGCACCCCTCAGGGGTTAGTCTCGACATGGCAGGGGTTTGCACCATAGTTCAGTTATCAGAGCCTTTACTGTGCTCCTTTGAATCTCTTTTGTGCATGCAGTTTGGGGTGAGCCCAAAATATGTACAGGTTCACACCACAAACTTAGGGGGTTCCCTTCTCCAGCTTCCTCCCTCTGGGTTCCCCTGACACTGTCTAGCTCCCATGGGCCTTTCTGTGTAACCCTCTGGCTGCAAAGCCTGCGTTTCTGCCCGCTGCATCCTCATGTGCTGCTGCAGAGGTCTGCACTGCCAGGGCACCCTGCAGGCAAAGCAGTGAGAGAAAATGGAAGAGATCAAGGGAGCCCCCACACTCTTCAGACCATGGGGCCCTTCCCTGGCTTCCTCTGGCCAGCGGAACTGTCACTGCTGCCATCGCAACCGTGGCAACACAGCTCAGCAACTGACACTGCTTTGAGAGGCAGGACCAGGAGAGAAAAAAGAGAAAACAAGTAAAAATCGGGGATTCCCCTCAAACTGCCAGCTCACAGGAGCCTGGCTTCTCAGTCTTCTGTCTAGAGAGAGGGGGTTTCTTCTAGAGCTTTTGTGCTCAGTCCTGGGAGATAAAAAAGGCAAAAACCCCAGTAAGCTCATGATGCCTGTCTTTCTCCAGGTTTATCTTCCTTCCCCGAGCCAGCTGTTGCCGCCTTCTTGCCAGGGGCCTCGGCCATTGCTTGTTGGAGCTTGCCTGGGCTTACTCTATCTGTGCCGGCACCGCAAGCATTTTTTCATACTCTCCTAGTTTCATAATGGTCCTGTGGGTCCCAGGCAGGAGTTCTCATGTTGAGACAGGGAACAGATCCAGCAAAAGAAGTGGCCCAGTCCAGCAGGCAGACTGGGCTGGCACCAAGATCTTACATCTCCCTTTGGGACCCCTTCAGGTACCACCCATCCCTTCAGGAGGACCTGCCTGCCTGTTCACGGTCCTGCAGTCCTGCCCGCCCCAGCTCAGGAGGCCGCTGTGCCATTAAGAGCCCAGCCTCCCAGCAGTTCCTGCTGATTTGTAAGAGTCCACAAATGGGAAATGAAAACTCAGGTGCTTTCCACCCTTTGCTGACCCTCCTGCTCTGTGGGGCTTCAGCCCTCCCCGTCAGAGGACATTTATGAGGGGATCAGCGTGTACCTAGCCATGCACCTTCCATTTCCTTTCTTACGTTCCCAGTGTAATCCACATAAAATAAACCAGACCCAAAAGTGGAAAATGGAGAAAATCAAAAGAGACCCCACTCTGGAGACACCTTGAGACAGCAGGTCCAGCTCTCTGCCTTGGGAGTCATGGGGCCAGGCAGCAAGGATGAAACTTACAATGACAGTTCACGAGCATGGAACACGTACAGCCGAGTGCTGTGAGTTTCTGTCACGCCATAGCACCTTAGGAGGTGGTTCCTGCTCTTATCTTCATTTTACAGATAAGGAAGCTGAGGCATTGGATGGTTAGTCACTTGCCCTCATCATACAGCTAAAAAGGAACCACGCAGGAGCTCAGTCTCATGCCTGATTCTGCAGCTCTTATAATGAATCCCAACCTGTGTTGCCTCTTTCTAGCCGAAATGTCTTCACCCCGTCGAAATCCCATCACCTTTTTCCTCTCTCTGTGAAAGTGCACATGACACCATTTTATGACTGTGTGTGTTTCAGTCTATATTCTTTTTAAATGTTGAGCCCTTCCGAAGTCATGAGTAACCCTTGGTGTGCCTAATGTCTGTCTATCACTTCCTGGTCTTCCTGGTGCAAGTGGGCCTTTGGTATTTGTTGAATGAATAATGAAAGGATGGATGGATGGTATTCAAATCTGTCCAGCCTTTATGTTTAGACCACAGAGACCCTGCGAGAATTTAGTGATGAGAGAAATTATCTTTAGAATGTTTGTACACTAAGTGGAGTCTTCTCTGGAATTTTCTGATGTGCTAGGTCCCCCAGAGAGCCTGGGCCACAGATGGTGTGTTCTGAAGAGACAAAACTGAAGGCGTGGTCCCTTGTACAAATTCTGAAATTGCTGCTAGTTTTTAGATTAGCCACATATTGAGTTGTCAGATGTAGCAAATAAAAGATGCACAGTTAAATTTCATTGTCAGATAAACAACAAATAATTATTTAGGATAAGTATAGGCTGTGTGATATGTGGGATATACTTATGCTAATATGTGGGATATACTTATGCTAAAAATTGTGTTGTTTATTTGAAATTCGAATTTAAGTAGGCATCTTAAATTTTGTTTGAGAATTTTATTGAAGGGTTTATATGGCAATATTTGCCACACAGACTCTCACTTTAGGCCCGTCTATAACTGACTTCAGCCTTCTTAGTATTGGGCAGGGACTTCTGACCTTAGATGTCACCCCATCCAAGCCACTCCCTAGTGTGTAAGGATCCAAGACAGGGCAGGGCTGGAGCAGGGCCAGATCTCAGGTCTCCAGGCCCAGAGCAGTGTGGGAGCAGCACAGCCCACTGGGGACATGGTTGTCTTTACCCCCACACAAATTTAACTTTAAAATTCATAGCCCAGGAGCATCAGATTCTAACTGTTCGAGGCCAGGTTGCTGCAGAACGGGCTCAGCCAAGACAGGCACTGAGACTGCATCTAATGGAGGAGGGTCTGGTGGCCCCCGTATCACAAGCCATCACAATCACCCTTCTATTGTTTTGTGTTTACCCATCCTCTGAAAGGCCTGCTGGGGTCACCTCTGATAACCACGCTTTGAAGATTTCCTTCTGAAACCGTTTTCCGTTCCTTTCTCTGTAGAGGTGGAGCTTAGGGGAGATTTATATAACGGTCACCTCCTTAGTAGGAACAGGTGGAGGCCTAAAGGCCACCCCACTCCTTGGAGCAGCATGGAGACTGTTGGGAAGGCAGGGCCCTCTGAGGCCCCTGGAGGATGCTGTCCCATTTTCCACAATGGCCCGGACCACCTGGAACACCCCACATCGCACTCAGCCACCCCATGCTACATGGTGCCCCGACACTGCGGGGCAGGGACCCCAAGCCTGGGGCACCCTTCTGAATTCAGAGAGCACTTAATCCCACGGCCACAACTGATTATAACCATCACGCGTTTGGTGCACTCCAATGCTCAAAGCACTGCTCTTAATTTTAGGAAGTTCAAAAATACCAAAAAATAACAGACACTCGTATACCCACTGACCAGAATAGGCCATTTATAATATTTCATCATGTTTGCCTTGTCTTTCCTTATAAGAAACGACTGCAGATGAAATCAGTCTGCTTTGTCCCATCTCCCCCTTTCCCAGAGGCAGCCACGATCATGAATCTGGCTTCACAATCCAAGTTGGTACTTTTACTAACATTTGTATAAATCCATGCATAGTACATGGTCATATTATGCATGCATGTTTTTGATTTCAAGAATGCTATCGGAGTTTATTTTGTGACTTGCCTTTTCCCCTAGAAAGCATTTTTCATCCAGTGTTAAGAACCTCCCAGCAGCCCCCTTCTATACGGCTGTCTTTATTATTTCCTCTGTTTTTAACTGAGAAACCTCTGCCTCAGAGAGATTAAGAAGTGGGCCTAGATCACACCACGAGGCAATGTTGGCCCTGGGGCTAAATCTCATCACGCCCTCAGGATTCTTGACTGATGGTCCTAGGATTCATTCATTTACCAAATATTTTTTGAGTGTCTGCTCTGGTCTAGGCATTGGGGATACTGTGATACTGTGGAAGAGCCCTGCCTTCGGAAAAGCGTAGGCAGAAAATACAGCCTTCTGTCTTCAACAAGCCAACAAGTGTTTTTGTTTTCTTTTTTTGAGACAGGGTCTCGCTGGCACGCAGACTGGAAAGCAGTGGTGCCATCAGACCTCACTGCAGCCATGATTTCCTGGGCTCAGGCGATCCTCCCACATCAACCTCCCTAGTAGCTGGGACCACAAGTGTGCACCACCACACTCCGCTAATTTTTTTTATATTTTGTAGAGATGGAGTCTCACTATGTTACCCGGACTGATCTTGAACTCGTAGCCTCAAGCAATCCTCCCATCTTGGCCTCCCAAAGTGCTGGGATTACAGGCATGAGTCACCGCACCCGGCCAACAAATGTTTTTTTGTTGTTGTTGTTTCTTTTTTTAATCTTGATGTGAATATCTCCTCCGATAGGGAAACAAGCCCCCCTCGCCCCCCAGGTCACCCTGTGTTGTCCTGGTTGCCAGTGTCTAACTCAGCAAGAAGAGACTAGTTTTCTTGTTCTGCCCTCTTAAGCCACTCTGTCTTCTGCACAGTAGCTTTTCTAGGGTTTAAGGTTAGGCTCACGCCCCCAAATCTGCTCTGAGTCAAAACCTCATCCAAGAATCCCATTCTCTGAAGGCCAGTGGCCACCCTTGCCCACTGGCGTGAGAAAACCCTGTTGCTCATTTCCAGCAGTGGCGTGCCACCAGAAGGGCATCTTTAAAAGTGGCTAAAAGTAGACTGGAGCTGGTCGGGTGGGCTTTGAGAGTGACATTCTCTCATCACCTGCTTCCAGGATGACCTCAGCCAACACCCCTCATTCTGACCACAAGCCAGCTCCTGATCAAATTTTTGTAACTTCCAAATGATGGAATTGAGACTGACTTTTTGTTTTTGAGTCATGGAATTCTGCTGTTGGAAGTTATTGTTATGTCTAACTCAGCACTTTCCATTTAGAACCTATTTTACAAAGAAAAAAAATATCAAAACAAAATAAAACCAACAAACCTGAGACAGATGGATGGAGCAACAGGGCTGACCAGCTTTGGAGCACCTCTCAGCCGCCTGTCTCAGCATACACTAGGGGGCACGGGTGGCCATCTGCTGACAACTGAAAATGAGTACCTGGTTATCGATCACACAAAAAGCACATGACCAGAAATGCCGTGTTCCTGATTTCCTCACTTTAGCTTAAGCAGCTGGATAAGAGATGCATGTGATACTGTCCTACAAGGACGACAGAGGGAAGGAATATTGGTAATCATTGCGTAACTGTCTTGGGCCATGCTTTCTTATACATGATCTTATTCACTGCTTGCAACAATCTCGCTGGTTGGACTGCATTCTCTTCATTACTTATAGAAGGGAAATTGAGGCAAGTGGGTAAGTAACTCACCCAAGCTCCACCATATGTGGCAAAGCAGGATTCAGCCCCAAGCCTTTCTGACACCAGAACCCACCCTCATTTCCCACGCTCTGAGACAGCAGAATCCGTCCCACACTGACCATCCTCTTTGGCAGTTCTGAGCTCCCACTACAGGTGCAGGGCAAAGGGGACTCCCCATGAGGCCTGTCCCACGGCTGGGAGCTCCAGGATTGGGGTTTATGAAGTACCGCCTGTGGGGAGCCCTTCTGCTGATTTCAAGTTCATTAATTCTGCATGCTTTTACTTGTCACTTTTTTTGTATGTTAAGGATGGGGCTGAGGGGGTTTGTGATGAGTAGACCATATCCTTGCCTTCAAGAGTTCTCTGTCTAATGGGAGGTGGACATCCAGTTATGCACACCATCCTGACTCCTTTCTGGAACGGAAGTCTGGGGTATGGTCAGCAGAGTGATGCCCCCACCAAGGATGTCCACGTCCTAACCCCTAGAACCTGTGGATGGATTACCGTTCATGGCCAAAAGGACTTTGCAGGTGTGATTAAGTTAAGGATTTTGAGATGGTAGGAGTAGCCTGGATTAGCCAGGGGAGCTCAATGTCATCACAAGGGCCCTTATAAGAGCGAGGCTGGAAGATGAGAGAGAGAGATTGGAAGATATTACACTACTGGCTTTGAAGATGGAGGAAGGGGCCATGAGCCCAGCCATGAGCCCAGGAATGTGAGCGGCCTCTAGAAGCTGGGAAAGGCGAGAAAACAGATTGTCCCCTAGAGCCTCCAGAAGGAGTGCAGCTCTGCCAACACTTCGATTTTAGTCTAGTGAGACCTCTGAAACTGTATGATACATTAGTGTTGTTTTCAGCTACTGTGCTTGTGGGAATTAGTCACAGCAGCGACAGGAAACTGACCTGCAAAGCTATTAAATAAATACCTGCCGGGAGGCAGAGAAGGGAGGGGTGCAGAGGCTGGAGGGCATCACCCTGACCCGTTTGGCAGGAATGTTAGGAATACAGGTGCCGAGTGCCTCCTGGCAGGAACCCATCAGAAGCAGGTGCTCAAGGGCCACCTGATGGCCTGGTTGGCGGGAGCCCTACAAAAGGCTCTGTCCAGGTTCCCTTCCTCTTTCCCCAGTGATTTGGATGAAAATACTCATCTCATTCACATTTGCCCTAAAGAGAAGAGAGAGACAGGACATATGCCCAGAGAGCTCCATAGGGTGGGAGAGTGGCTCAGATCCCATTCGTGGAGTCCAGGGAGACATCTGTCTGAGCAGCCAGCAGCATGGGCCTGGTGAGAGAGAAGAGACAAGAAGCAATGAGTGGGAAGGGACAGGAACGCTGGTTAATTCCTGGGAATCTGGCAGGGGTCGCGGGGGGATGTGGGGGCAGAACAATCCCCTGCAGCCCCCGTCATGCCCAAGAGGAAAAAAGCACAGCTTCTCACACTGAGCCTGCTTTCCAAGAGGCCACCAGCAAATGTTGGTGGCTTTACCTTAGCCTGGAGGCCTTCTGTTGTGGACAGGTTGGGCAAAGGCACCGATGATGTCGCCTGGGGAAGGGGAAGCCTCCCATTAGGCTGGCATGTGTCTGATGCACCCACACCCCATCTGACCTGCAATTCTTTTATTTACACTTATAATTGTATTTTTAGCATAAAAAACTGTTGTAATATTCTTGTTTGCATTGGTCATTATATTTAATTGAAATATAGTAATAGAATATGTTATACATATAAGAAGTACTCATATAAAAATGTACCCCACGAGGGGTGAACACAGCATGGTAACCTGCAGCCCCCACTCAGAAATTGCACCTGGCCTGCCCTGAGCCCCATAGCAGTCCTTTCCAGTCACTGCACTCTCTAGGTCAATAACTGCCCTATTCCATCCCCTCAAGGACAGCACCATGTTAGGAATATAGGTGCCGAGTGCCTCCTGGCAGGAGTCCATCAGAAGCAGATGCTCAAGGGCCACCTGGTGACCTGGTAATGGTCATCCTTTAAGAGGAGGCCACTGAGACTCAAGGCAGGCCAGAGAGCTTCTGAGCAGCAGCTGCCCAGGCACGTGTGTGCCTCTCATGTTCCAGGAGCCTGACCCTGAAGCCCATGGGGCTGCATGCAGAGCCGGGAGTGCCTGGGCTCACAGTCAGACACTCGTGGCACTCAACCCTGACACCACCACAGATTAGTGCTATGGCCTTGACCTCTGCTTATCCACCTGTAAAATGGGGTTGCAGTATTAGCCTCCACCAGGATTGTTGAGTGATTGAGAGTATTTTAATGTCTCTAGCACAGCCCCTGACCATAGCAGGAGCTCCACACAGAATACTGTCTCATGCGGTGCTCGGTAACTGTGCATCCGATGCAGGCCTCACTGTGTCATGTTCATTCATTCAGGTTCCCTTCAAAAGAAACATTGATTATGGGCCAAATAGGTGTCAGTGCCAGCCCAGGAATGCACATGCATATTCTGCCTCTGGAGAGGGCCTGGGAAGCCTGGACATGGGCCTCCTGGGCTGGGGCAGGAAGGGGCCTCCTCTTCACTGCTGTGTCCGGGATCACCCCCTCCCTTGGAGCACCCCACCTCCCACCTGAAGTCTGAGCAGCAGAGAACCTTTAAAAACAGAAATAGGAAGTTCTGATTCATGAATGCAAACATTCTGGCATCCCGTGTGCAGTGATGTGCGGCGTGGGCGGTGGGAATTAGGGAACCTCTTCTAGCGTATTTGTTCCTATCCACCGGAAGGTATACAGTGTTCATACTCATTGACTCAGAAATTGTGTGTCGGGGAGTCTGCCCTAATAGATAACAATGTGTGTACCATGATGCATGTACATGCTAATGGATGTACAAGGATGTTGATCAGTGCATCATTTATCATAGGAAAAGTGGAAATTGCTAAATCTCCAACACTAGGGGAGTGGTTAAACTGTGGCTTATGTTCATGATAGAATAATACACAATTGTTAAAATGGAATTTTGATGGCCATTTTGAAACAGGGATTAAAAAACACGTTTAAATGTGTTTTCTCTCTGTCTCTGTCTCTCTCTCTCACTCTGTCTCTCTCTCTCTCTGTCACACACACACACACACACACACACAGAGGAAAAAAAGATTGGAAAGAAAAACCATCAAAATGTTAGCACTGATTATGTGGTGGGATCATGATTCTCATTTTTTATCCTGTTTTATATTTTCTTAGGGTTCTATGCTAAGCATATATTATTTTTAAAATTAGAAGAGGAATGAAGGCATTTTACAACCCATATCGTTATGGAGGAGCCTGGCATGGGGGGAGGGGAATGGCTGGAGGGGTTGCTGTGAGTCCTGGTGAGTCACCAGCTAGCTGTTGGGTGAGTTCCTTGATGCTTTCATAGTAGCGTGGGCATGAGAATGTCTGCCTCAAAAGGCTGCTGTGAACACTGATTTTTATAAATTACCATCAATGATAAAACCACAAAAGCAAAGCCCCATTTTGCAGGTGCAGTAGAGATCGTAGCTTCATGTGGGGTTGTTTGACCAGACCACTTCCCTTTTGCAGGGTACATCTGCCCAAGCCCCCATGGCCCTGGATAATTCTCTCTCTCCTTCTTTGCAGCTGCCCATGATGGGGGGAGCTTTCATGGACTCGCCCAACGAGGACTTCAGCACCGAGTACTCCCTGTTTAACTCCTCTGCCAATGTCCACGCGGCTGCCAATGGCCAGGGCCAGCCGGAAGATCCTCCTCGGTCCTCCAACGACGCCGTCTTGCTATGGATTGCCATCATAGCTACGCTGGGGAACATCGTGGTGGTGGGCGTGGTGTATGCCTTCACCTTCTGAGGACGGCACACCCTGCACCACCATGGGGTGAGGCTTGGCACGTAGCTCTGACTTGCTGTCGGCCTTTGGCTTCTCCTGTGTTCTAGAACCAGGAGTTTTGACCAGGGGCGGCGGCCGTCCTTCTGGAATTTCTCCCCAGCAGCCCTGATTTCAAATATCCCATGTTGTGGTCAAGCTGAGTCAGAAGACATGGAAGTATGGGCCTCCTGCCCCTAGAGGCATGACGGGGCAAGGCCTTCAGAGGGCAGATTGGGGATCCTTGAAACTACATTCCAGGAACATGGGACCAGATGAGACAGCTAGTTAAGTTTAAAACATAGACATGATTTGATGATCGCTTGCTGGTGGTAAATAATCACTCGTGTGTCTTGTTTTTATGCAAACTTATCGAACCTAGGGCGTGGGGTGCTGGGGCAAGAGCAGCCCTCAGAACTTCAGTGTTCCTGACCCAATTCTGGTTTCACATTCAGTCCCTTGGCCATCTAGTAGGGCCATTGGATGTTCCTAGTTTGACTTTGAAATGGCACCTTTGCCACCAGACACCTGGTCCCTTCCAAGACCCAAGTGCATTGGGAGACCCAGGGATGGGGGGTTACTGGTAATAGGTGGGGTTTCTGGGGGTGTTGTTGGTGGTTTTTATCTCCTGGTCGGACTTTCTCTTCTTTTTAAGAAGAGGAGAGGATGTCTTTAAGAGCTAGATGTGCCAGGCAGTGGACTCTTCAGGCCACCCACGTGAGAATGCTGTTTCTTCTCTGAGGAATCGTGGAATTTTAAAGATGAACAAGATTCACATCCACTGAATTATTCAACGGATGGGTCAGAAAGGGGGGTGATTTGCCTGTGGTCACCAGGCAGGTTTGTGGAGGAGTCGGAACAGAAAGATGTGTCCTCACTCTCAGCTCACTGAGCTCTCTGCCCCAACTAAGCACTTCCCTGAGGAGGTTGCTGAGAAGCTGCCCTCAGGAGAATGTCCAGGCATCTTGAAGGTGGGTGCGAGATTGGCAGGCTGCTCAGATACCCGTCCTTTACATTCAGTGTGGATACCGTGCATTCTCCTGAAGCTGTGAAAGTGCTTCTGCCCAAGCCACTTCCTTAAATTCTGAAATATCAGCATCTGGGGTCCTGGCAAGCAAGGAAGCTTCCAAGTAAAAACCAGAGAGAAGGGCACACTTTTCTTTCTTCATTAGGAAATCTTATTGCACAGGAACCACCCCCACCCCCACCCCCCACACCTTCCCAAGGCAGCATCCCAGTGCAGATAGAGTGGGAAAGGTCCCAGAAGGGGGCTCACTCACCTCTAGGCCCAGAGAGGCTTTCTCCTCACTTTATACACTGCAAAAACAGAAGAATTGTGTCAATAACACCCTCTGTAGTGGAGAAACTTAAAAAGCTGGTTAGGAAGCTCTCGTGTATATTTAGAGACAATTACAAGAAAGCTGGACTTGCCGCTGTGGTCTCAGGAGAAATGAGTGTTCTTGATGACAGGCAAAGGGACATCTTAGTTGTCCAGAAGCGGCACTCTTCCCTGGAAGCCGCCATGTTAATAGGATTACTAGCCTGGCTCCAGACAGTGCCTGCTCATGGCTGCCAGTTCTTACCGATCACATCTGTCACTGCCACCGTATATCATCTGCCAGTGCATCAGCTTAAGGGGAGGTCACGAGTGCAAAAGAACCTGACCCTTGACAATGAGGGAGAAGGGACATGGACCACCTGTCTGGAATTCCTGGAATCACTGGCAGGGTGGAGGCTGGGCTGGGGAGTTAGCCGCGGTGTGCGTGAATGGCTCTGTCTCCAGCAAGTCTCTCTCCATCAAACCCCAGGTCTGCCCCATAAGCAAGATCTTTAACAGATGGATGTCTCCATGAGAAAACCCAAGGCGAGAAGCCCAGAGCCATGGCGGGGTTGCTTGACGTCCTCATGGAGTCACTCTGCCCCACATGCTCAAATCTTCCCTCTGGCCCCACATCCCTAGGAGGGCCTGACCCCTGTAAAGATACAGGAGGCAGCTCCCTGGCCTCCAAATGGCCCATGGAGATGGCAGTCGGGAGACAGGGTTCTGTGTTTGCTGCGGTGAAGGGAGGAGAAGGCAGGAGGAAAAAGGATGGCTTCTAGCCCTGAAGAGGACTCCAGCATCCCAGGCACCGGGTGCTTCTGGCTGCAGTTTTCCCTATGGAGGCCCCTCAGCCTCCAGCCCTAACATAAATGTCGGTTAAATTCAGTTTTCAAGCCTCTCTCCCTTTTCAGTGTCAGAGCAGTAGATGGTCCAGGGCATTGGAGGCCTCGACCACTCTGCATTGCAGATTACAGTGACTTCCTCGGGGTTGCCCCATCTTGGTCTCCTGTGGTTTCTTCATCAGCTTTTTTTTTACCAGCATCTCTCAAATAACAATGAAGATAGATATGCCCATTAGTGTCTGATTAAGGAGCAAAGGCTGGATTTCTGGCCACAGCGAGCTGCACTCTCCCTCCTGCCTCAGCCGGGGTCCGTCTTAGCAGTTTGGAAAGGGGAAAAAGATGCCGGTCCTCACTGCTTAAGTTTTGTGTCCAGGTGCCACTAGACTTGCATGCACACTAACTCCTTACAATCACCACACAGCATCATCGCCCCAGTGCACAGATGAGGAACCAGAGGCTCAGAGGAGTGAAGTTGCCTTCCTGAGGTCACACAGCATGAAAGTGATGAGCTAGGATTTGAATCTGGGAAGTTGGGCTCTAGAGCCAGACTGTACTGCCTTCTGCCACACTGTACTGCCTTCTGTGACTGGGTGGCACCTCCAGGGCACATTTACACAAGGCCCTGAATCTGCAGAGGCTGTTTCTCAAGATGCCCGTCATGGTGTGGCCTGGGCCAGCTCTGGCTTCCACAGGTCCCTGACTGTCCTCAGAGTGGAACATGCTCAACCTCCCGCCCACTGCTCTCTCTCTGCCCAGATTTCAGGGGTGCCGGTCCCCAAGGCCTGCCCCCTTCTTTAAGACTGAACTCAAGTCTCCTTGGAAGGCCCCGGTGAAGCTCCCAGAGACTGGTTTTCTTGGGATGCAGGCAGAAGGGGACCCTCCCTGGCCAACACCCAGGAGCCCAGCAGAAGCACCCACACGTAGAAAGAGGCTCACTACAGCCAGAAGTGCAGAGTCAGAGTCCTGGGACCATCTTGTTCTGCAAGGTGACCCCAGGCTCCCCAGGACAGGGGAGAGGGATCGTCCTCATTCAGACTCTAGCTGGGGCCTCTGTACTGGCTTCTCCCTGGGTGGGGTTGCCTGTTACATAGCTGTGCCTCAGAGAAAGGGTCCTGCATTTTCTGGAATGTTCTCTGTGCTTACCCCTCTGTGTGCCCCTCCATTGCTCCTCTACAAGCAATTAGGTGATTCAAAAGAGCAACTTAGGCTGGGTGCAGTGACTCACACCCGTAATCCCGGCACTTTGGGAGGCCGAGGCGGGCAGGGACAGGAGTTCAAGACCAGCCTGGCCAACATGGTGAAACCCTGTCTCTACAAAAAATACAAAAATTAACCAGACATTGTGGCATGTGCCTGTAATCCCAGCTACTCAGGAGGCTGACACAGGAGAATTGCTTGAACCAGGAGGCGGAGGCTGCAGTGAGCTGAGATTGTGCCACTGCACTCCAGCCTGGGCAACAGAACGAGACTCTGTCTCAAAAAAAAAAAAAAAGAAAAGAAAAAAAAAAAGAGCAACTTACTGCTTTGTGAGGTTGTGAGTGGCCACCACTGAAGGTCTTTGAGAAGAGGCCAGACGCCGCTGTAGCCAGGCCTGTCTTAAGAGGACTTGTGCTTCCAGGGACCCAGGCAGGATGATGGCGCAGCTCTTCCTACTCCAAGCCAATGCTGTCCTTCCCCTTTCCCATGAAATCAAGGTCAAGAGGCAAATAAGACTCCCTGCTCCACTCTACCCCCCAGAGAGAAATGATTCTCGCTCCTTTCAGATCCCCCAGGATCTGAGGGAGAAAGGATGGGAGGAGGGGCAGCAGCATTTCGCTGGAAAGGCAGCAGATGCTTTTCCAGCCCCGGTTCAGCTGGAAGGCTTGGAGGCTGGCCAGACCACTCTGGCGTCTCCTGAAGTGGGTCCCTGGAGACCGAAGAGGCTCAGTGGAGTCTGTCTGTTGTCAGCACTGCTGCCTGATCCCTGCAAGACAAATGGCACTTTCCTTCTTCAGAAGCATCATCTGCCTTCATTATTAGCAGTAATATTATTCCCAGTTATTATTCTTACCGGTGCCAGTTTTGCACATCTTTTTGTTGCTCTATTTGTGTCTCATTTACTTCTCAAATTGCCCCTGGGGGCAGGAATGAGGATGCAGAGAGATGCACGTTAATTACTGTCGCATTTTTCTGTGGAGAAAACTGAGGCCAGGGCTGAACGCTCACAGCTAAGGAGCTGTGATTCAGACCCAGTTCTGTCAGCTCTAGAGGCACCCTGCATCATGCCCACCAGGGTGATCCCCCTGGGATGGACCATCTCGGGATATGAGGCCTCGGAGGCTGGGGTTGAGATTTGGTCCTGAAGAGCTTATAGCCAGATTGCCACATTCAAGTGTAAGTCCAGGAAAGGGGCAGGCGGCAGTGCACAGGGATTTATCAGTTCCAGAACCTCACAGTGATAAGAGGCTTTAGAGAGCATCTAATCGAGACCTTTAATTTTTCGGGGAGAGCAGCTGAGGCCGTGTGGAAAATTAGTGGAGAGCTGACAAGTGTCTGGGCTCCTGGCCCAGGGGTCCGTGGTCCAGCACGTTGTGCGTTCAGTGGGAAGCAAAGGGCTTGCCCGGGATTACCTGCCCCAGCCCCGAGGTGGGTTGTGCTCCCTGCAGCTGCCATCGGCCCGCTTTGCTTCGTCCTGGCAGATGCCCAGTGATTGTCCCCGAGCAAGTGCCAGGGTTGGGCTGAGCTGCTATGACAGGGAGGCCCAGGGAGTTCTGCTCAGGGAGCCAAAGGGAACAGCCAGATCCTGAATGTTCTATGTTCACCTGCCCCAGCCCCACCCACCCTGGCCCACTCCACAGGCCCCTGACCATGGTCACTCACGGAGAGGGATGGAGGAGAAGGTGGTTGAACTGAGTACTGAGAACCCAGAGGACAGAGCCCACAGCTTCCAAGCAGGAAAAGGGACCTCTCTGAAAAATCTGGATAACCAGAATTATCACAGCACCTTCTCATTCCCAGCGCGTCCTTCTGAGCTCAGACCTTGAGCATTTACTGGGTTTCTTTTTGAGGAAGAGGGAAAGTGACAAAGGACAAAACAATGCAAATCTTCATGACTGAAGACGATCAAAGACTCCCTGGAGCGAGAAAACAGTTACTGCCAGAAGCAGAATGGAAGAGCCAAAAAGTACACAAAATGGACGCCATAAATTCTGAAATAAAAGTGTATGATGTGTTCTGAGTCACTGTAGAAGTCATGCATTTATTATCAAGATAGAAAAGAGCAGAGAATGACGTGGACATTGGTCCTCGGAGAGGCTGCGTAGGTGGTGCGGTCCCCGGGGGATTCTGGATGCTGGTCTTTTGACCGTGGCGGCAGCCTCGCGCCTGCCCGGATGGCTCCATCCAGACATTTGGCAAGGCTGTCATCTGCTCTTGGGTCCTTTTTCAAGCTGATTTCCTGCCTCCCCAAGAGGAGGTTTGAGCCCCATTCTGCCTTGGAAATAAATCCTGACAGATGTGCACAGCATATTTGCAGGGAATTTGCAGGCCTCGATTATTGGGGGAATCAGAGCCCATTCCACACCGAGCCCCATCCACGTGGCTGAGCAACACCCCTGTGTCCCCTGTATCTGTCTCACTGGCTGTCTTTCTCCCAGTTTCTTAAAGAACCACACCATTACTGCGTTTGCCGTTCGAAGCGTTGTCCCAACAATGCAGATGGTTCTGACAAGGGCTCTATATGCTGGCAGAAGGGAGCTTCCAACCTTTTAACTTGAGGAAAATGAATCTCTGAGAGGCTTGAGAGTGTTGCCAGGTGGAGCTTTTCAGGAGACAGGGGTCTTGAGCCCAGGACACCTAACTATCGAGTTTTCACTAGGAGACTTAGTGGTGGCTTTCATGAGGCCAGTCGTTCTCAAGGAAGGGCTGGGGGCCATCAGCAATGTCTGGAGACATTTTTGATTCTCACAGCTTGGTGGGGACTGCTATTGGTATCTCATGGGTGGAGGCCAGGGATGCCACCGAACATCCTACAATGCACAGGGCAGCCCCCCACAAATAAGAATTATCCAGCCCCAAAATGCCAATAGTGCCGAGGTCAGGGGACCCTGTGCTGGCCATCCTATCTCTGATTCTGAAACTATGCATGCTTTCCACTTTTCCCCATTTGTGAGTCATTGAGTAAATTAAAGCTCTTCTGAGCAGCAGCAGTGATCATGGTCACTGCCCTGCGTTCAAATAATGCGAGCTGAGGACAGTGATCTGCAACTCCCAGCATGTCATGTGGTCTCTTAGAAATCCATGTGACTGTTTCCACCATCTTGGGCATTTGTGGGGACCCCCAGACTGGAGGGAGAAAGCCCTACAAAGTGGATGGGAGTGTGGGGCTGAACTTTTCCCTACCCTTAACTTTGTGTCTCTGGGACCTCCAGGGACCTGGCCCCTCACCAATGCATATGAAGAGTATGCTTGGGGAAGAGCTTAGGAATGGGGTGGGCATGGGAGTGCTGGGTAGCAGCCTTTGAGCAAATCTGCATCTTCTCTTATTTCTGACCTTTTTCCACGTGCCCAGTCCTATTTCTGCCAGTTGAAGGCATACTAATATTCTTTATACTATTTAATCTTTTGCAGAAACCTTACTATTATAACTTGCTACTCTCCAGATACCAATTCTTCATGCCGAGAGCATCGGAAATGTTTTTGTGTCTTACTGATGTTTTCATGATCAACTTGTAAATGTAAGCAGTTGACTTCATAAAAGGTATTTTAACTATTCTTGGAGTCCTTTGCTACCCAAGCACCTGGTTTCACCATGCGATCACTGACTTCTCTACAGTGAAGACTCTTTCTTAATAAAGGATTTCGCTGTGCTCTTTTGATTAAAAATATCTAACCTTAAAAGACGTAAAAATGTATCTGTGAAATCTCACTTTGTTAGCGTTGCTGCTGTTGTCATTTTCTATTATGATAACTGAAAAGAGAAAAGAAGAAAACATGAACTCCTCTGTGTCTGGTTCTCATCTGTGCTTTATGCAAAGGAGATGATCTACTCAGCTTTAAATGGCTCAGCCCCAGCGTCACCTCCATTCTGATGCTTTTCCTGCCCCACCGAGGCAGGACAGGTCCCCTCCTCCCTATCCCCTCCTGATACCACTCTATCATCACACCTGTAGCAAATCAAATCACGGAAGCTACATTCAGTTTTCCCAACTATCTGAGCCATCTAAGAGCAAACTTATCTTATTCAATGTGTTATCCCCACCACCCAGCACAGTGCCTGGCTCCTAGCAAACATCCGATATTCTGTGAATGAGTGAATGATACCTAAATGACCAGCCCGGTACATTTCAACACTATGAGGAACATGGACCATATCATTTTCCTTATTAGTTCACTGATAGTAACAAACATTCGTATAGCACTTATGAGGTGTTTGGCGCAGCTCTGAGCTCTTTCCACACATGTTAACTCACTTAATCTTCGTTTTACAAATGAGGAGTCTGAGGCATGCAGAGGTTTCTTGCCCAAGGCCATGTAACTGGTGAACCAGGACTGAAAACCTGATTCTGGGTCAGTCCTGGGCTTAGGCCTCAAGAAGCCTTTTTTTTGTTCTGTCTTTGGAACCCTGAGGATGCAAGCAAGGCTAGCCTGCTGGATGAGGAGAGACCAGAGCCTGGCCATTCCTAGCCTGCCAACAGTCCAACAGATAAGAGAGCCAAGGGAGGGGTTAGAACAAGAAGGTGTTCCATAATGTCAAGAGCTGCATGGACTTTGTAGGCAGCAACTAAAGAGCTCACTGAGGACTGCCTGGAGGAGGCAATACTTAACTTGGCATGGAATCTGCAGAAACAGGTGCACAGCAGAGGTTGCATGGGGTTCGGGCTAGAAGACCAGGCTGGATAAAGGTCAAGGCAGCAGTGGATCTGAGGCTGCTGAGGATGAAGGGATACAGCCAGCTGAAAGGGGCCTTGAATGTCAGGGTGGGCACCATGGTGGGCCATGGGCCACTGTTGGCCATAGGGAAGCAGGGCTGGTTCTCAAGTAGAGAGGCCTGCAGTTTCTGGAGCAGGGAGGCAGCAAGAGAACTGGGAAGGGGCTCTTGATTTTGCCCCTCGAACCTGCTCCTCTGGCATCTTCCCTCGCTCGCTGGATGGCACCTCCGCCCTGCACCAGTGTGGCTGATAAGGTGGGGTCTCCCTCCCAATCGTGTGCCTTGCAAAGATGGCAGAGGCTTTCACATGGCCCAAAGGACTGCGTTCTCAAGACTGATAAGCATCATTCTGAAATAGCAAAAATGGCTAGCAGCAAGGTTTTTCAAGAAAAGGAGGCATCCCTGGTCCAATGCTGCTGAATGTGTCTCAAGAAGCTACAGCCAGTCCAGCCCAGGCCACAGCGTGTCCCTCACTTCCTGCCCCACCCTCCTTGCTAACATTTAATTGATTTAATTGAATTTTTGGTTTTACCAATCAGGATTGTAAACACATTCATCCTCATGCAATGTGCCTATTCCTAGTCAACCCTGGTATTGTAAGGGTATGGGCAGCTTTCCTGGAGCAGAATGTCCATCTGTAATGTGGGGCCTGTAAAGAAATAAAGGTTCAAACAACCACAGCTCTTCACTCTGTCCAGGAGTTGGTTATGCTGTGGGTAGTGGGGTGCTCCTCTCCCCTAGGGATGAGCCGGTCCCCCATTAGCTGTGTACTCTTGGAGGGGTAATGCCTCCTCTGGCTCACCCCTTTGTCCTCCCCAGTGCCCAGCCCAGGGATAACAGTGTCAGGCTTTCCATAAATGAACTAATGAGGGGGACAGGGATGAACACCGCAGCCTCCCTTCGGTGCCTGCTGGAATGGCCAAGCTCTGCATCCGCTCCCCAGAGCTGCCTGAGCCTTTAGGGTTGGAGGAGGGGGAGAGGAAGGGGAGGGATGGGTTTCTAGGGCTGAGATGGGCCCCTTAGTGATTCTGGTGGGGCTGCCTGTTTATTTAGCTGCCTGCTACCCATGGTCTCCAAAGCCTGCCCTCGCTGGGGATTTTCCATCTGGCTTCCAGTGACTCAGGCTCCCGCAGGGTGCTGGCCTTACCAGGCAGCAGAGATGGCCCCACGATTAATATTGATACACGCCAGCTGCTGAGGCCTCTTTCGCAAGCAAGACAAATAATATTAACTACCACAGCAACCGGCCTCTGAGCCGCACTGCCCTTAGGGTTTGCAAGCACTTTCCATTCCAGCTTTCCATCCTCTGAACAGGTGATCTGTGTCGGCCCCTCCCATGCCCCAAGCACAACCAGGCAGGGCACCTACTCTCTGTCTTGTGTGGTGGGGGGTGGGGGGAGGCAAAGGATCAGATGAAGACAATGGGTTGTAACTGCATGATAGTGAGAAGCTGAAATGCGCCGGGGCTGAGGGGCGCCTCCTAACCAGCCTAGCACTCCAGGCCAGAACGCCAGGGAGACAAGCCTCCAGTTTTTAGAAAACAAAACTGAAGTTCATCGACTTGTTCATTCAATAAGCAATGACTGAGCACCTGCTATGAGCCAGGCACTGTTCTAGACACTCAGGGTGTATAGTGAACAAAACAAAGCCCCACCCTGCTGATGGCAAAGGGAAGGTAGACAAGAAGCCAATAAAGAAATAAAGATCAAGCCTTACTTTCTGAAAAACCAAAAGAAAGAAACAGTGAAAGAATGCGCTATGGAATGGAGACAAATGTTGGGGGAAACAGAAAGTAAGTGTGGGGCTGGAGCGGGAGGGGCATGAGGTTTTGGAGAGGATGATCAAGGCACTCCTATCCCCAGGGGAGAGGTGGTGCCAGTGTCTCAGGACAGGGTGACAGTTCAGAGAGGTGACCTGACAACGTGCCTGGCCACCCCAAGCTTCTGGATAGAGAGAGTTTTGTACTCAGTTCTTACAGAGTATTGTCTTGTCCCAGAAGTGCTTTTGGAAATAGCATCATTCATTCATTCATTCATTCATTCATCCATTCCTTCACTGAGTCTCTACTCTGAGCTGGACAGGCAAGGATACACCCTGGCTCCTGCCCCCACGGTACTCATGGTCCAGGCTCGAAGTCCCTGTGTCATGATCATGGTTGGGGCAGCAGGACCCAGTTCTCCCCTGAGATTAAGTCTCAGAAGACACCTGGTTAACCAGCCAAAGTCTGCATGAGGGTGACACTGGCTGGAGAGTGCCGCCCACAGGGAATGCTCAGGTGGTGCCTTATACCTCGTTGGAGCCTTCTGAGTGGGAAAGGCACCTCCCTGTGTGGCTCCTGCAGGTGCTGCTGGGGCCTAGCACCCTAGCACCTATCTCAAGAAGTCAGACATGGCTGCTGGGGCAGGTGCATGCTGGTCTTGGACTCTCAGCATCTGTTGTCACTCCTTTCGGTAAAGCATGCTATTTCCTCTTGGGGAGCCACAATCCGCAGTCTGTGTACTCGATCCCTCCTGGGCTTGGTAGCCTGAATGCCCCATGGTCACAATGATATGTGCAGGGTGTGTGCCTGGCTCTGGCCTGGGCAGTGGTGACCTTGCAACCCCCTGATCCCAGTGGCTGGGCCAGGAGTGATTACACAACCAGACAGATGCAGGCAGCACAGATGTCCTGACTTGTAAGCGAGCACTGGGAAGCAGTCTGCACGGGGGACCCTGTCTCTCTGCTGGAAGGAAAGCCAGGAGGATGTGCGCCTGTCTTGGCAGCTGCCATCTCACCGCTGTGAGAGAAGCTGCTGAGAGTGGAGGTGCAGCAAGTAGAGCCCAGAGATGGGAAGAAAGAGACTGGCTCCTGCTGGGTCTAACCGGACCCCTGTGGATCAAACCACATCTGATTCTCCTTATGTAAGCTGATCAATTCCCCGTCTACTTGAACCGGTTTGAGTTGGGTTTCTGCCCCTTGTCATAGAAGGGATGTTGGCGATACTCCTTCAGTGCACTCTGGCCTTCACCCCACATGGGGATGGCCACCCCCAGGTTGAGGAGCTCTAGGGGGCCGTCCTATTCATCCTCGGCCATCCTGGGCTCTCCTGCCTGGCTGCTGCCTCACTCTATCCCTGCTGTCACCCAGTTCCCTTTGTCCCTCGAAGCTTGAACTTTGAGTCCAGCCACAGGTTCAGCTTTTCTGGCTCGACACATTGTCCTTGGTTTTGGCCTTATCTGCTGGTTTCTGATGGCCTCAGATACTGTCCACCAATGAGGCTCAACACCTCGGACCTGACCCCAGAATTAGCCTGATCCTGCCTCCAAAGAATTACAATTTGTCAAACAAACTCCCTCCTCATTTTTGTTTCATGCCAGTAGAGTGGGGCGGGGGGCTGCCCCGGTACAGCCCTCTGTCATTACTGCTGCTCTGGGAAGCCTAACATCACCAACATTATGCATCCCACTTCGTAGTTTGCAGAAATCTTTCATGCAGTGGACTGAATATTTGTGTCACCCCCCGCAAAAAAATTCCTATGTTGAAATCCTAACCCCTAATGTGATGGTATTGGGAGGTGGGGAGGTCTTTGGGGGGCGATTAGATCATGAGGGTGGAGCCACATGAATGGAAAGTTCTCTCATCAAAGGGACCCCAGAGAGCTCTCTCGCCCCCATTCTGCCAGGTGAGGATGTAATAAGACGGCCCTCTGCAACCCGGAAGAACTCAACCTTGCTGGCACTTTGCTCTTGCACTTCCAGCCTCTAAAGCTGCAAGAAATAAATCTCTGTTGTTTCTCCAAGCTAAGACATCTCACATACATTTTCTAATTTGATCACACAGGAGCCCTGCAGTGCACTGCCCAGATGCCCTGGGAGGGCTGGTGCATTTTGGTGTGCCCCCCTCCCAGCAGCAGTGTGCCTTTGTCTCCAACTGCAACCCCTGCAGCCTGCCCTCTGGCTATGGGTCCAGCAGCTTTGCCCACACAGGAGCAGCCAGGAAGGCCAGGCAGTTTGCTCCCTTCCTCCTCCCACATGGTGGCACTGATGACAGGTGTCCCAGCTCCTTTGCCTCCAATGGGCTCTAACAACTTACACCCCGGAGCTCCCTGCAGGACCAAGCTGAGGCTGCCCCCAGCAGGACATTGCCTGAAACTGCTACCCTGGCTTTGCTTCCTGCAAACATCCCTGTTTCCCAGAAGCACTTCCTTAATAAATCACTTGCATTGAACCCTTATCTCAGGTCTGTTTCTGGGGAACACATTGAAAGAAATGGCCCTAACTCCCATGAGAGCTAGATATGTTCTTCTACATTTTACAGATCAGGAAGCTAATGCTCAGAGAGGTTAAGCAACCTGTCTAATATCACACAGCCAGTGAGTGACAGGGTAGGCTTCAAACTCAGTTCTTCTAGACCCCACAACCCAAGGCACTCCATCCTCCATTGATTAATTAGATGCCTGGGATTGCAATTAGCAATCAAGACTTCAGAAGCTGGACATTAACACCAGAGCCTTAGAGAGCTCTCTGCAGCCCAGAGTCATCGTAAACACTGGCCACAGCAGCCACAGCCCTGAGTCTCATCTGCCCTCTCTCCCGAGCCTTGTCCATCCTTTTTCTTGCTCTGTAAGCCAACCATGTGGATCCCAGGATGGAACCCTTCATGTCCATCCAGATAGCCCTGAAGAGGAGAAACACAGAGCCCCAGTTGCTGCAGGGTCTGAACCCAACTGTGACTGTTTCTACCCTGTGAAAAAGATACTTGTTGGGGGAAGGGGGGAGGGATAGCATTAGGAGATATACCTAATGTAAATGACGAGTTAACGGGTGCAGCACACCGGCATGGCACATGTGTACATATGTAACAAACCTGCACATTGGGCACATGTACCCTAGAACTTAAAGTGTAATTTTAAAAAAATAAAAAAAAGGAAAGAAATGAAACTGGTGAAAAAGGGAAATGTATAAACACATACTACAATGGCTGGCTCACTAACTGCAGTCGTCTGAGATACTGCAATGAACAAACTAAGTATTTTGAGACTTTCTGTCGAAAACTGTGATGGGTCACCATGATGGTGACCAAAGAGCCGAGATCCCGAGAAATTTCATTCTTCATACGTGCAGATGTACAAAAAGGACATCTCTCCATTTACTGAGGAAGTTTCAATGTTCGTACGTACGTGGGCAATACTTATACAAAATGTCAATATTGTGATAATGTGCTTTTGTAGAGTCAAATTTGCAAAAAAAGAAAAAAAAAAAGAAAAAGGTACTTGTTATGAAGCCACTGACGAAGGTTTTCTTATATCCATTCAAGGTTTCCCCACCTTGCAGTGTGCTTAGGGTTCCTTTTGTTTGGGGGAGGGGACAAGAACACTACTGGGCAAATGTGAACATGAAAACACCATGTGACGGATGACCAGTCAGTCACAGGCACGTGGCTGTGTGATGGCCCCATGTGACTCCTACTGGCTGGCTCCAAGTGCTGCTAGAAGCTGGATCAGAGGCGGAATCCTTGGTGGGCCGCTCAGAGCCGTGAGCACCCGGGCTCCCTTACACGCATAGGCCTGCAGCATCAGGGGGTCGTGTGAGCTGGGGCTGCCTTCAGAGGAGCTCGTGGCACGGCCGAGATGCCCTCCCTTCTCCCTTACCTACACTACCCTCCTCCCTACCTCCCTCCTCCCTACCTCCCTCCTCCCTCCCTATGCTCCCCTCCTCCCTACCTGGACTCTCCTCCTTCAAGGAGTATTGTTTGTCTGCACCTGTGCTGACGCTCAATTTTTGACTCCCTGGAGGAACATTCAAAATCCTGCCTTGCCCAAGAAACTCCAAAACATTTAATTTATTCCCAAAATTTGCCTCCGGGGCAATTACGAGTTACTGGGCCTAGAAAATCAGTCGGATGGAAAAATGCAGTGAGCCAGGACCAGCAGGGGTCAGTGTGGTATTAGGGATGGGAACAGACCCCGGCAGCCTCTGGGGTCAGTGGGTTGTCGCCCGCTGGTGGCTGCAAAGAAAAACAGAAGAAGCTCTGAGATTCCCCCCAGTACCTTTCAGGAACTCATGTTCCCATACGAGAAATAACCCACAAACCACGAGGTCCCAGAGAGGAAATTAACTGATAACTCCCTGGGATCACCCTGCCCCACCCCCAAAATAAATGCCAAGCAAACCTTCTAAGCCAGAAGCCAGACAGGTGAACAGGCCGAACCCGGTCCTCAGACCTCCTCTGATGGAACTGGGCATGGCTCTGATTTGTTTGAATAAAGCTTTGCATTGAAGTACAACATACAGAAAGAAAACTGTGTATACCGTTCAACAAATTTTGACGACGTCCTCATACTCCATAAATCCAGAAATGGGGCCAACAAGCGGAACATTCTCAGAAACGTCTTCAGCCTGCACCTTGTTGTGAAACTCACTTAAATTGGTTGCCAACAATAACAGTAACAGAAAATTTGGATTTCTGTTTTTTCTGGAGAAAATGGAAAGATTCACACAGCGGCTGCCTGCCCGTGCTTGGAACAGCAGTTCATGCCCGGCCCCCTAGCCCAGGGAAGAGGGGAGCCTGCCCTGTGCCCTCTGTTTTAAAGGCCCTCCCTGTCCTCCTCTTACATGGTCCTTCCCCACAAGGCAAGGACTCCAAAGGCCAGAAGACATGTCCACCTGGCTCTGTCCTCCCCCTTCTAGATCACACTTCTGTACTCAGGACCCCAGAATTCTGTCTGTGTTTGTATTTTTGAGAGCTGACTGCCATGGTTCAGGAGCAGCTGTCTGTGACATGAGGAAAGGGCATGTCCAAGATGTTCCAGCTGGCCGGGCGCGGTGGCTCACACCTGTAATCCCAGCACTTTGGGAGGCCGAGGTGGGTGGATCATCTGAGGTCGGGAATTTGAGACCAGCCTGGCCAACATGGAGAAACCCCGTCTCTACTAAAAATACAAATTAGCCAGCACATGGTGGTGGCACATGCCTGTAATCCCAGCTACTCAGGAAGCTGAGGCAGGAGAATCGCTTGAACCCGGGAGGTGGAGGTTGCAGTGAGCCAAGATTGCGCCATTGCACTCCAGCCTGGGCAACAAGAATGAAACTCCGTCTGTAAATAAATAAGTAAATAAGTGATGTTCAAGCTGTGGATGGGAAGACAAGGGGGGCAGACCTGGGGCCAGGCCCACTGTCCTGGGCTCCACACCCCAGCACAGCACCCTAAAAAGCCACTACTAGAGTTCACAAGAGAAACAGACCAATATAGTGTGTGTGTGTGTGTGTGTGTGTGTGTGTGTGTGTGTGTGTGTGTGTGTGTATGCGTGGGGTTGGGGGAGAGAGAGAGATTTATTTTAAGGAATAAGGAATTAGTTTGTGCAATTATGGGTCCTGGCAAGTAGGGCTGGCTGAAATTTGTAGGGCAGGCTGGTAGGCCAGATATTGCTGTCTTAGGTCCACATTCCACAGGGCAATTGCCTGGAATCTCAGGCAAAGTTTTTGTGCTTCAGTCTTGAGAATTCCTTCCTCCTGGGGGAAAGTCTATCCCCTGAGGCCTTCAACAGATTAGATGAGGCCCAGCCACATGATGGAAGGTCATCTACTTAACTCAAAGTCTAGTAACTTAAATGTCAATCACATCTAAAATATACTTGCACAGCACCAGCTAGGCTGGGTTTGACCAAATAACTGGGCCACCATAGCTTAGCCAAGTTGACATAAAAGTCACCATCACAGATTCCCAGAAGGCTATATTCAAACCCAGCCTTCCTTCTAGGGTGCAAAGGTGCATCTGTCCAGGTAAAAGGAGAGAGCATATTTTGCTCACAATTCATTAGCTGAATCATATCTTTAAAACGTTTCGACAAATGGCATGTTGTCCTGCATTTGTGCAGTAGCCCTGGACCAGCATGAGTTAATGGAAGCCTCCCTGAAACTCCAGGTTGTTCTATAGCAGCTGGCTTTAGCTTCATCTTGCCTGTCTGGCCCTGTAGGTGTTGTGTTTGCAACCCTAGACTTAAAGAATAACAGTTGGGAGAGGGATAGAGGGGATGAAATTATTAGCCAGGCTATTAATTTCAGACTGGTTCTAGTTCTGTGAATATTTATGAAATCCCATCAAAGTCACCCTGCCCCCACCTTTGTATTGGCTATGGTGGTGGGGGATGGGAGGTGAGGGATTACGATTCTGTTTCCTGGGAGTACAATGGAGGAACATCCTATGGATTTAAGGAGATGATGTCAGCAGCAGGCCTTACTCACAGTGTGTGCTCACAGACCCTAGCAATGATTGCCACTGTGGGGGCTCACTGCTCAACAGAGCAGCCCACCTCCCACTAACACCCATTCCCTCATGGTTGGAAGAGTTGGGCAGGGCCTCATCTGCCTTAGAGTTCTTTAGGGAGCACCTTTCTCCTTGTTTAGTATTTGGGAGGAGGCAAGAGAGAGGAAAGTGCACTAAGGAGAGGCCAAGTCTGGCCCACTGCCTGTTTTTATAAATAAAGTTTTATTGGAAACACAGCTACACCCATGAGTTTAGTCCTTGTCCATAGCTGTTTAAGTACTGCAATAGGAGCTGAGTCGTTGCAACAGAGGCCATATAGCCAGCAAAGTAAAAAATAATTACTGTCTGGCCCTCTATAGAAAACGTTTGCCAACCTCACCAGAGAAGGTAATTCTGAGAATTAGCCCTTCCTAAAGACCAGGCAAGGTCACCTGGCTAGTCCAGCAGGAAAGTCTCACTTCTTCACCTTCCCTTTTGTCATCTTTGGGGGCAGCTGCCCCTACGGAGCTTAGGAGGAAGCAGTTCGGTACACAGCTGGCACAGAGAAGGCAGCCCCACAATCATTTGTCCTATCATCCCATCTTTACCCCAAGTAGGTCACTTATCATTAGCCCTTGGGTTAACAGAGACAGACGGAAGCAGCCTTGGAAGCCACATATGGCTGCACAGTGACAGGTTGTCACTACACAGAGGCATCTGGCCCAGGGGCATCCAGGGGCTGACGTGCAGATTGTGCCACTCACCAAGCTGTGTACCCAGTGTGGGCCACCTGTGCCCAGAGGACAAACACCTCCTCTTAGTTTTCATAAAAGAACCCATGAGGCATATGAGCTAATGTGGTTGCCCTCCAGGGGCTGGGCTGGATATCCATCCTGGCTCTGACCTTGGGCAAGAGACACACATTATCTGAGCCTCAGTTTCCTCATCAGTAAAATGGGAGCAAGAGTAGCACTGTGCTAGGCTGATGAAGGCCCTCCAAAGATACCCCTTGAACCCATGAATATGTTTCCTTAGATGGCAAAAGGGACTCTGAAGATGTGACTAAGTCAGGATCTTGAGATGGGAGACCATCCTGCATTATCCAGGTGGGCCCAATGTCATCACAAGGGTCCCCATGAGAGGGAGCAGGGGGTCAGAGTGAGCTCTCAGAATGTGACAAAGGAAGCCAGAGGTTGGAGTAACGCAAGGAAGGGGCCACAAGCCCGGGGGTGTAGGCTGCCTTTCCAAGCCAGAAAAGGCAAGGAAACAGATTTTCCCCTGGAGCCTCCAGAAAGACCCAGCCCCACCAACACCTTGACTTTAGCCTAGTGAGACTAATTTTGGACTTCTAGTATCAGAACTATAAGGTACTAAATTGATGTTGTTTTAAGCACTAAATTTGCAGTCATTGGTGACAGCAGATGTAGGAAACTCTACCACAAGCACCTCCCCTAGAGGATCACTGTAGGGATGAACTGAGATGAGGCCTCTAAGCATCCGGTCCCTGGGGCACAGCTTGGAGCTCAGTAAGTGGGAGCCACTGCCACTCGGTCAATACTGGGGCTTCCGAACCTCTGCCCCTATCCACCTCCTGCCTCTTTCCGGCCCCAGGAACCTCCTGGGGGAAACGAGGAGTGACCTCTGACCACGTGAGGAAGGGAAGGAGACCATATGGTGGAGATTACAGTCATTGCATCCTCGGCCCCTTCCAGACTTGCCCAACCACGGGAGGCAGGCCAGGTGGCCGTGAAGTCATTATTTACATGCCTCGGCTTGCGTCATTGGTTTCGAGTGCAGCCAGCGGTGAAAGCAAAAGTTCATCTCGGGCTGGTAGTGGGTGGCCAGCTGGCCAGATCATTCCCTGCAGTAATAAACCAGGCAGGGATGCAGTCACCCCGCCCACAGCCTTTCCCTGGGCTGCTTCAGCCCGCACCACATTCCGGGCCCAGCTACAGCTCGTCTCTCCTCTGGGAGGCTTCGCCCAGTGACCCAGCCCCAGGGTGACCAACTCATCCCTGTTTGCCCAGGACTTTCCTGGTTTTAGCACTGAAAGCCCCGTGTCCAGGGAAGCCCTTAGGTCCTGGGCAATCTGAGAGGGTTGGTCACCCTACTCAGCTGTCAGTGTGGAGAGAGCCTGCCCCATGGTACTTGATCCTGCTCCCCAGTACAGGACGGCCTTGTTCTCTTTAGATTCTGCCTGGTCTCAGGGCCCGCCCCATGCTGACCCCCCACCCAGCATCTTCTTCCTCTGGTTTGCCATGGCTCGCCCTGCCCTGGGGCCCGGACCAACCCACTTTGTTGGGGTCACTGCTCCTGTGTCTTTCTCATAGGCCTTCACTACCTTCCAGCTACATATTTGTCCCCAACTAGATCGTAAGCTCCAGGAGGGCAGGGACCCTTCTACTTGACTCAGGTCCCTGAAATCCTCAGTGCCTGCCACACTGCCTGGCTTATCACTGCACCTCAAAATATCATGTTTGGAGGATGGAGGGGAGGAAGGAAGAAAGAAAGAAAGGCAGGAGGAGAATCCCCAAGTCACCTGTGTCCTTCGGACTCCTAGCCCACAATGTGACTGATGTTACAGAAAATGCGCTCCAGGCAGAAGACAGGCTGCTTGGCATTTAGCTGTGCGGTGAGGAATGGCCTGATCTGGCTGGTAGGTGAGTCTAATGGGCTGGAGAGCAACGAGCAGCGGGGACGCACCGGGAGCTCCTGGGACTTCAGGCTCCCGTTTTTCAGATCTCTTAGACAGAGCCTTGCCCCAGAAACCGTCTGTACTGAGACTTCACACAAGGCCCCATCTGTGTGTGGATATAAACCAGAGCAGCTGAGAAACCCGCCCTCCCCTCTGAGACCTGGGCAAGGCTCTGGAGCACAGAGGAGGAGGCTGGAGCGCATGCACTTTGATCCTCCAAAAGGGAGCTGCCCCCACCTCAGACACCCCTCCCCCAAATTACTGAAGCCTATCCCCCCGCCCCCCCGCTTACTCTGTGCAAGCAGAGTAAGCTTCGTGTCCATGGCAATGACCATGGCCTTCAAAGTTCCTCTTCCCATCCTCCTGTGAGATGCCAGGGCCATGTGCGGGGTAGTCCTCCCTGGAGCTCTAGGCGGGGCCACCAGGACTCACCTCGGAGTCATGGGTGTGGAGACCGTAAGGAGGCTGTGCCAGAGCAGGCTGCAAGCTGGGCGGGATGACAATGTCACTGCCCACGTGCGTTCTTTCTTTCAGGCGTTCCCTCAGCAACAACTCATTGAGAGTGTGCTGTGTGCCAGGCCTAGGGCGGGAGAGCTGACACACATCAGCGGAGAGGCTGCCCTCATCTAGATAAAGGTTCTCCAAAATGTAATCACTGGGCAAAAGTGCAAATGGTTGAAAAATATTGACGTAATGCCATTTAGAAGATGGAAAACTCTGCTTTGCAGTGTCTGTGCGTCCACAGATAGAAATGCACAGGGAGAAAGTGGGACCCAGGATTACCCTGGGGAGAGGACTGGGAGGTGGACATGGTCAAAAGAGCCTTGACTCGGGTTTTTGCACAGAGAACATGTACACAGGTTATCTGTATAATTTTTTCATTCACATAATTAAATATTGAAAGGAAAAGAAAAAACAAGGCCGTAGGGCAGTTCTGATGTTGTACCCCTCAACAGCAACTCAGAGGTCATCTTCCAGTTTAACAAGAAAGACAAAATCCCTCATGTCTGCCAAGATCTTTGCCATTTACAATATAGACACACAACAGCCAGATGGACAGATAATACAGCTACCACTTAGCTTTTGCTGGGCTTAAAAACAAAACACTCCAAAATGTAGTCACTTATAGCCACAATCATTTTTTTAGCTCATAATTCCGTTGGTCAGCTGGGTGATGTTCCTAGTCTGGGCCAGGATATTTGCTGATATTTGCTGGGCTCCCCCAAAAGTCGGTGACCAGGTGGCACCTGGATGGTCTAGAATATTCCAACTCCTATGTCTCCTCACTCTCCTCTGCCTCACTCTCATGACCCAACAGGCTAGCTCATGCTTATTCACAGGATACCAAGAGAGGTGACGGGTGGGGGGCTGCGAGGCACCTGGGGGCCCCAGCTCTGAAATTCAGTGTCCCTTCCACACATTCCATTGCTCGAAGTAAGTCGCAAGCCCAGCTGTTGCCAAGTGGTGGGCAATAGACCCCACCCCACCCTGCTAACTAAGAAGAGAAATACCTCCTGTGTGCTAGACCCTGTGCTGAGCATTCAAGATAGATTTTCTCATTATCATCTCATAGGAGCCCTATGAGGAAGTTGTATAATTTCACTTTATAGATGAAGAAACTGAGGCACACTGTGGGTGTCAGAGAAGGGAATCTCTCCGATGGACTCCAGGAAGGCTTCTCCCCACCCACAAACTCTCCCCTAAGGATGCCTCAAATGTCACCTTCCCAACTCCCTCATGCTATGAACTAGATTGTGCTCCCCCAAATTCATATGTTGAAGCCCTAACCCCAAGTGTGGCTGTATGTGGAGTAAGGAAGTAATTAAGATTAAATGAGGTTGTGAGGGTGGAGCCCTGATCCAAAAGGATGAGTGTCCTTGCAGGAAGAGACGCCAGAGGTGGAGCGCTCTCTCTCTCTCTCCACACTCCCCTGCACCCTGCTGCCCGTCTTCATCATTTAAGGACAGAGAGGCAGCTGTTTGCAAGCCAAAAAGTGAGCCCTTATCAAAAACCAAACTGGCCAGCCCTTTGATCTCAGACTTCCAGCCTCCAGGACTGCAAGGAATACATTTCTGCTGTTTCAGCTGCCCAGCCCATGGTATTTTGTCACAGCAGCCACAGCAGACTAAGCCTCCTCCCTCCCCTCTCTGTCCTCTTTTAAAATGCAGCGCCCCTTGATCCATGGTCAAGCGTTCCCCAGTCCCTCAGGTGCACCTGTTGTTCACTTCACCACTCCCCTTCCCATGAAGACAGACTCCAAAATGTTCCCAGGACAGTAGATTTCTGTTTAGAACCCATCTCAGCCCCAATTTTTCTCTGCTGTTTCTCCTTTTTACTTCTCTACTTGGAAGACACAGGCTTAGCAATGACTGCTAGGATCCAAAGGGTGTTTCTTAGGTCTAAGGGAAACTGGAAGAGAAATAGTTCTGACACACCTTGGCTGTCGGTGGGTGTCAGCTGTGAATATTTCATGCATGATGGGAATGGAGAGGGAACAGAGCTCCACCTGGCAGTGCAGGTGCCCCTGTCCCCACCTGCCTCCACTGCTGGAGCCCCCAGCTCCTCTCATGCAGTCAAGGGCAGAGGCACTGATGCTCAGACCTCTTCTCTCACCATCAGCCATATCACCTGGGTGGGGACATCTCTCAACCTCTCCAGCCCTCAGTTTCCCCACCTGTCAAAGAGAGACAGCAATGGCACTTTCTCCTAGGGTTGCTGTCAGCATTAAATAAGCTATCACCCATCAAGTTCTTAGGGCAGTCTCTGACCCCCAGGAAGAACTAATGCGTGTCCACTGTGGTACCCACAGTGTTCCCTGGAGGAAAGGGCTGGGGGGCAGGGACCTCAGTGCTGCCCACACGCAGAGTCCAGCCCAGACCTCCCCTCCCTCCCCTCCCCACGGTGTTTACAGGGAACCCCCTGTGCATGGGAACAGAGCACGGGCATGGGCTTTACCCAGTCCACTCCTTCCTCTTCACAGCTACACTGTCCATGTTCCTAGGTGGGACAATGAGGCTAAGAAACTTAAGTACTTGTCCCAGGTGACACAGCTTGTGACACAGCTTGTGAACTGAGACTCAGTCTCCTACTCATGTTTCTGGTTTCCTGGGATCTTGTAGGCACACTGTGAATGAGGAGAGAGGAATCCTGGAGGTTGTTCAGCGTCAGCTGCCACTGTGCCCCCATTGAGAACCAGTCTCAGCCCGAATTCAGCGACACCTGTGCACTTGCCTTCATTCATGTCCTGCCATGGTGTTCACTGTGAGAAAAACAGAGACCTGGGCTGATTCAGTTCCCACCACCTATCATTGAGGTAAGCCGCTCAGCCCTTTTGAGCCTCCATCTCTCAAGGGTAAATGGGCTGATTAAACGTACTGACACATGTAATCCCCTGGCCTTGCACCGACGCACAGGGTAAATCGAGGATTCAAGGGTGAATGCGGATCCCTCTTTCTCAGCTTGAAACACCACACCTATGAGGTTAGCAGACCTCCTGGGTGCGCCCACGGCACCCACCAACACTTCCCACAGGTTTTGGCACATAGTAGGTGCTTAATACACCTACTGAAATAGAGACGGAATTGTATTAGTAGGGGCTTAAATTAGTAGGTGCTGAGATAGAGATGGAATTTAATTAAGAAAGTATTTGTGTGAAGTGTTTCCAAGATAAATGGCTTTTTTGATTGTGTCTATTCTTGGAAAACACCACGTGTCCCAGAAGGGGCCACCGGAGGGCCTTTATGGGCACTGGCGTGACAGATCGGAGATTTAGAAAGAAATGCAGACAGATGAGGTGTGGGGGTGCTGGGGTGGGAAAAACTGAAGAGAGACAAGTTTTGGGGTGGGGCAGGAAGACCATTGGGTGGTCTATGCCAGGAATATCATGGCCACTGTGGGACAGGTGTGGAAGAGGCCAGTAGAGCCAGGCCTTGGGCTTCAGGGCCTGCTTACAGACTCAAGTCCCCTTCTGAGCTGGGTGGCTCAAGCATCTTCCTTCCTCCGTAAAATGGAGGTACGACAGGTCCCCATCTGTGTGCACATAGTGCACCGGGACTGATGGGCGCACAAGTGAGTACTGGCATCATTGTGTGTTGACACCCTGCAGCCATCTTGTGGGAGGCAGCTCTAGAGTGCAGGTACAGTTCTGCAGCCTGTGTGGATGCCACCTCTGCTACTTCCCCCACAGGAACTTGGGCCAGTTGGTTAACACCCCTGAGAATTAGCTCTACCATCTGTAAAGTGGGGATGACACCTGCTCTCTAGGATCGTGTGCAGATTCAGTTGGTAAATGCTTGGCACTGAGTAAATGTTGGACAGAGGTCACTGTCCTTCCTGGTTGGACTCAAAAGATGGGGGAAGAGGCCACATGTCCCACTGCCTCCGGCTGCCTGGGCCCAGCATTTCACAGTGCTTTTGTTCTCTCCCAAGAACCTGGGTGCAGGCCCTGGGATTCCTCAGTAGGAACTCCTCCAGAAACTCACTGGGAAACATCTTAATCTGCACTGGCAATGGCCAGGGGCTGAGTCAAAGGAGGGGAAACGAACATTTTGGAAGCAAGTGTGTCAGCCGTGGGTCTCATTCATTGAAAGATATTTGAAAGCCTCTTTATCCAGCCTGGATGTGGCCTTTTCCAGAGATCAGAATGTTTCTCACTTCCCAGTGTTCCTGAGAAATCATACTTGGCCTTCCATTGAATAAGCCTTTATTGAGCACCTACTGTGTGCCAAGACCAGCGCTCAACACTAAAAAGACAAAAGTGTCCTCTCTGTCACTTGTTCAGAGCACATTCCTGAGTGCCTGCATGCACTGAGCACAGTGCAAGGCCCAGAGGACACACAGATGAGATGCCCAGTCCATGCCCTGAAGGACACCACAGTTCCAAGTGCAAACAGCAAGAAACACAGCAAGCATGGAAAAGCCACTCTTGTCTCCTACTGGTTCTCCAGAGCCTTCTTTCATCCTGAGTGTTAATGACATTTCAGAAGGAGCAAAGTGTTCAGCCACAAGCCTTCATGGGGCAATTCCAGACATCCCAGGAAAAGCCATGGAAAATATGGGAAGTGGGGGAATGGATCCTCTACAAAAATCTCTGAACGTCAGACCACATACATGATAGCTAAGAGCCAGTTCATCCATCCATTCAGCAAATATTCACTGAGTGCCTACTACGTGCTGGGCACAGGATCAAGAGCTTAGCATCCAAGTCTTACTTGTTTTCACTTCATCTCAGACAGAGCAGAGGCTACAGTTCTGGAAATCTACAGGCACATCCCCTGCATCATGGGCACTGGCTCCTTATGTGGGAGCCCAAGAAGCATATCGGAGACCCTTTTAAGAAAGCAACCACTTTCCTCTCAGGAGACCTATTGCCATTATTAATTCAAGAACATCTTGGAGAAATCACTTGCAGTCTGGGATGCTGGTTTGTGCAGAAAAATCTCTCCCTCTCATATGCCATGTGGTCATCTGCTTCTCTTTAAAGCTTTTAGATAAATAAGCCCCACATCAACTTGGCCTCCATTTCTGTAGCTATGGAAGTGGATTCTGGCTTGAATCACACAGACATGGGTTTCCCTTTGGAACAAGTCACATGGTTGACCTGTAGCCTCAGTATACAGATGAGAACTGGGGAGTTGGCAATATAAATTATTGAGAAGTACCATGAATTGTTCTTTTTTCAGAACTTAAAAAGAAAAGGAAAGAAAGGCAGAGGATAGAAACGCCAATCAGTTCAGAGTTTGCAGGTGGCTCCCAGGAATAGCTCCATCAAGGACCTGCCATGGAGCTCCAGAAGGGGAAGTTGCTGGTAGGAGCTGAGGACACAAGCTCAGGGTAACCATAGTAGCTCCCATGTAGTGCGTGCCCCCCCCACCCCCGCTGCTCCCATAGAAATTACCAGCCAAAATTTGAGGTCCTGACGTGTTGACATGTGAAAGCAAGAGGAAGGGAGTTCCTAGGACAGAGGAGAGAATGTTAGCAGTGGTGCATCCACAGGGGTCTGCAGCAACTCAATTCTTGCCTCCTCTGGGGAAAATATTCATCTGAGGGGCATAAGGCAGAGTAAGAGACCAAGGCAAGTTTTAGAACAGGAGCGAGTTTATTAAAAAGTTTTAGAGACTGGGTGCAGTGGCTCACATCTGTAATCCCAGCACTTTGGGAGGCCAAGGCAGGTGGATCAGCTGAGTTCGGGAGTTCGAGACCAGCCTGGCCAACATGGTGAAACCGTGTCTCTACTAAAAATACAAAAATTTGCCTGGTGTAGTGGTGGGCACCTGTAATCCCAGCTACTCGGGAGGCTGAGGCAGGAGAATCATTTGAACCTGGAAGGTGGAGGTTGCCGTGAGCTGAGACTGTGCCATTGTACTCCAGCCTGGGCAACAAGAGTGAAACTCCATCTCAAAAAAAAAAAAAAAAAAAGTCTTAGAGCAGGAACAAAACAAAGTACTCTTGGAAGAGGGCCAAGCAGGCGACTTGAGAGATTCAGCTCCCATTTAGTCCTTGACTTGGGGTCTTTTTACACTGGCATTTTTCCTGGATCCCCATTTCTCCTCCTCCATTCTTCCCTTTGGGCAGGCTGTCCTCATGAGCAGTGGCCTGCCAGCACTTGGGAGGGGCTGCATGCACAATACGTTTAGTGAAGTTGCATGCACACTCACTTGAAGGGTTTTTCCCTAATCAGTCCAGTGTTCCCAGAGGAAGGTCGTCTACCAGTTAAACTCCACCATTTTACCTCTTAGTGCGCATGCTTGAGCCCACTCACCCAACTCCCAAGATCTTATTGGGAAGCTGCTGATCACCAGCTTCCATTGTTTTCAGTTGTTTTTGCTGTTCCCTAGTGCCAGCTGTAACCAGCTATTATCTTAGCAAGACAGTTTAACAACTGCCTGACCAGCACCTAATGGTTGTCTGACATTCCTCGGTGTCAGAGAAGGGGGTTGGGAAGGCAGTGCTCTCCTGCCCTACTCTAACATTTTCCCACTCAAGAGTCCAAGACCCAATTCTTTGGGAAACGGGATGAAGGTCAGTCTTCTCTAACTGCTTCCTGCTGACAGAGGGGTGGTGGTGGTTGTTCTGTGGGTCTTGGACTCTTGCTAGCTGTCAGGGCAGGGTGGCTCCATGGGTTGGTGAAAGTGGTATTCAGCCAGGTCCAAGGGAAATGGGCAGGATTTTATCTCTGTCGTGTCCCTCTGCTGGGCAGTCTAGGGGTCCGCTGTAGAAGGGTGACTTGAATATTGAGAGGATGGCATCCCTCACTGAGGATCATCTGGAGCTTGATGACCTGAAGGCAAGAGGAGATAAATGGAGTTATTAGATTTAGAGGACATGGACCAAAAAGGAGCAAAAATCAGACTAATGAGGGGAACCAAAAAGAGAAGAATCCAGGATAATTATTTCCAGGTTCCTTTCCAATTTTGCCAACTCTGGGAGCCTTGTTCCTGTAAATTGGAGGCTCAATTTAGGAGTTGTCTGATGTTGTCTTATACTTTTCCCAGTTGATTTACACAAAAGCATCATTTTTTATCTAAGGCTAAACAAATTGTACTGGCCATTAACATCTCTAGTCCTTGATTGTTTTGGAGGATTACAGCTGCTAAAGAGTTGATTTGTTCTTGCAAGATTGTTAAGGTTTTGGCCATGGCCTCAATGTTGTTGATTTCCTTTGAGAGTTGGCTGTAGGTTAAGGAGACTTTTGTGATTCCAGCAATTCCAGCTCCTGTACTGGCTATGATGCCAAGTCCTGTGAGAAAAGGAATTAATTGGATAGCCCTCTTCACCCTGAGCAAGATGGAATGCCAGTGTATTGGTACTGGAAGAAAGAGATTGCCAAGGGCTACAAAGATGTTCAGGGATACATAGTCTATGGTATAAGTTTCAGTCCACTTAGTGGGAAGGCATTGGTGAACTGATTGGCCACAAACATAGAAGACTCCTTGAGTTTTAAGACAAGTAGAGATGTTGAAATGAAATAGAGTCTGAGCCTGGCACAGTGGCTCATGCCTGTAATCCCAGCACTTTGAGAGGCTGAGGCAGGTGGATCACAAGGTCAGGAGTTCAAGACCAGCCTGACCAATATGGTGAAACCCCGTCTCTACTAAAAATACAAAAATTAGCTGGGGGGGTGGTGGCGCATACCTGTAGTCCCAGCTACTCAGGAGGCTGAAGCAGAAGAATCACTTGAACCTAGGAAGCAGAGGTTGCAGTAAGCCAAGATCGCACCACTGCACTCCAGCCTGGGTGACAGAGTGAGACTCCATCTCAAAAAAAAAAAAAAAAGTCTGACTCTTTAGCTAGGGGTCATAGCTAACTCCATATTTTCCTAAGCTTTACTTAGAATTTAATGGCTTTAAAGCAGGCAAATTGTACAGTTATTAAGAGTTATAGTAGCAGTTTATGACCTTAAAGCATGTAGTATACCTAATGACCTTTGAAACTGTACAATTTTTATAAATTCCCTTTCACAAATCTTTTCACAAATTACACAGACCAGCTATGACATGCTTGGACTTTCTGACTTGTCCTAAATATCCATCTTTTAAAACAACCAGTCATTTTACTGTATGGCAAGAATTTACCATACAAGATCCTTTCTCATATAAAATCTCATTTCTTTATAATGTTCCTTACCAAAAATACCTCTGTACCTTTATAACCTTTGAATTAGGCAAAAGTCATTTTCCTTCTATTAGAAAGTTGCTGCTTGCACTACATGTTGCTGTGCAAGTCCTGTGAAGGGGAGCAGATAAGGAGGTTATCTACATACTGTAGAAGTTATCCCCCGCTCAAGAGATTGCTCAGTTAGATTTCTTGCTAGGGCTTGTCTGAATAAGTGTGGGCTATTTTTAAACCCCTGAAGTAGGACTGTGCAGGTTAAAGTTATTGGTTAAAGATTTAGGTAGCTTTCCCAGGAGAAACAGGGCTATTAGAGGGAAAGATGAATTTAGAGGTTGGGTAAATATTAAGGAGGCACCCATCTTGGAAAGTATATTTTTGCCCCAAAGGGGAGTGAATCTTTTCTTTTGGAGGGAGGGGGTGCAATTTGTCCCCACTATCCAATATGATTGGGAAGAGAGTTGCTCAGAGAAGGAGATTAGCACAGAGTAGGCAGCTCTTGAATCCAAAAGGAAAATGTATAATTTTACTTGACACCTCCAGGAGTTGTCCTTGGCTTTGTCCTATTGATGATGATGTCTGATTTGGAAGCCAGTTGAGTAGAGAGCCCCTTCAGCTCACAGCATTCAGGGGCTGGGATTCTGTCCCAGCAGTCCCATTTCTAGTGGATGAGCTTGTGGCAGAGGGGTCAAACTGTGAGAGGCTTTTTCCCATTTATCCCCTTGGACCAGTTTGCCTTCCAGCAGCCTGGCTTCCCACACCAATGGCAGTTACCTGGAGGAGTGGCCTTAGGGCAGTCTGGAGGGGCTGGGGGCTTGTAAAGCAGCCAATATGTGAGCAGCCTCTTGTCCTTGAGTTTCTCCTTTTTCTTAGCCCTGTCCTCCTTGTCCTGATCTTGGTTATAAAAGACTGAAGAGGCTAATTTGAGGATTTCTTGCATAGGTGCACTGGATTCTAAGGCTGACTTTTGTGATTTTTTTCCCAGTTCATTTTTAGGCCAAACAGTATTACTGAGGAAAACTAGTTTTTTGTTTTAAGGTTTGGGAGATCAAACTTTTCCCAGTTCTTAGGGATGCATCCAAGGGGGGTGTCCTGTGGTATGGAGACACAATTCCTCATCTGCAAAGAGAGAACAGAGGAGGAAAAGGAAAAAGAAGGTGTCCCCTCTGTTATCCTTTTCTGAACATGGCATCCCCCATTCATCCTTAGGGTTCCAGAATGAGCCAATCTTACTAGGTACCCTTAACCTCGGTCCCGATTATCCACTTGAGAACAGAGGAGATATTGGAGTCAACAGGGGACAGCTTGTTCATCCTTGGGGTTTTGGAAGAATTGGTCGTGCCCAGTACCCCAACCTTGCCTTCATCTCTGTTCTAATGATAATCTGTTCTGTTCCTGTAGCCTGGGATCTGTCTTCAACTCTGTCCTGTGGGTACTTTTTTTTTTTTTTTGAGATGGAGTCTTGCTCTGTCACCCAGGCTGGAGTGCAGTGGCGCGATCTCGGCTCACCGCAGCGTGATCTCGGCTTATTGCAGCACGATCTTGGCTCACTGCAACCTCCACCTCCCGGTTTAAAGCAATTCTCCTGCCTCAGCCTCCTAAGTAGCTGGGATTACATGCACCTGCCACTGTGCCCAACTAATTTTTAAATGTTTAGTAGACACAGGGTTTCCTTTTTTTTTTTTTTTTTCCAGACAGAGTTTCACTCTTGTTGCCCAGGCTGGAGTACAATGGTGCGATCTTGGCTCACTGCAACCTCTGCCTCCCAGGTTCAAGTGATTCTCCTGCCTCAGCCTCCTGAGTAGCTGGAATTACAGGCATGTGCCACCATGCCCGCCTAATTTTGTATTTTTAGTAGAGATGGGGTTTCTCCATGTTGGTCTCAAATTCCCGACCTCAGGTGATCTGCCCACCTCAGCTTCCCAAAGTGCTGGGATTACAGGCATGGGCCACCACACCCGGCCTAGAGACAGGGTTTCACCATGTTGGCCAGGCTGGTCTTGAACGCCTGACCTCGTGATCCACCCACGTCGGCCTCCCAAAGTGCTGGGATTACAGGGAGCCACCGCACCTGACCCTTATGGGTACTTTTGTCTCTTGCACCTGTGGCCTTGGGCTGGCCTATATCCTTGTCTCCATGACCTTATAGCGACTCTCACTGGGAGAAACAAAATGATTATCTCTTTTCTCAGATTCCCATTTCCCATGTTCTTTAAGTAGATGAGAAGCCTGCTTTTTTGCCAACTGCCACAAGGGGCTGGACTTTCCTCCCTTTGAATGTGACCTTGAAGGTCTTGATGCATATTGAGAAGGGCATGGGAGTGATTAGAGAAATGAAAGAAAATTTGTATTTGGGGTTCCTCATCCTCCCAGGGCAACACGCAGAAAAAATGCTTAAGCAGACAGGACAATCCTGCTACATGAGGAAGTGGGAAGAGGTGAGAATGACACTCATGGAAAGCCTTCATATGCTCGCAAAAACAGCAACCCTTGGATTTCAGAGCGCAACATTTATTTACCCTCTTGACATAAAGAAGGAACTTCTAGAGGACTTGGGGCTTAGGATAAGGGCTTCAAATGTCAAAGGAGGAATTTTCTGTCCTCCCAAAGGGATGCCAACTCAAAAAAAGCAAGTAAGTGGGATCCTTAAAGGAGTGAGAGTGAGGCCCTATGCAGGTGACAAGCTGTTTCAAAAGCCACCAAAAAATCTTGGCCCTTGAGTGTAACAGGGATGAAAAGTGTATGGTAATTTACAAGGAGCTGGCAGAGTGTGGTTGCAATTAGTGTCTGTCCTGGCAATGAGCCAACAGACATTTGCAGGGAGCCCATGTCTTTGCTGCTGCACAAATACAGCAAGAGCCGCGGGTGCACAAATCACAGGGAGTGTGTGTTTTAAGGCAGAGAAGGAAGTCAGACAGCATGCAAGGTGAAACCAGAGAAGAGGCAGACCTGCCCCTGAGGCAGACAGTGCAGTGGGTGCACAAGGCTATTTCAAAACACACTTAGAGAAAACAGGAGAACAGGATGTGCAGGTTTTTTGAGAAAGAAAAGATTTTAGTTAAAATAGCAGAGGAAACCCCAGACATTCCATGGTCTCAGGCCTTAGCCCTACCACTCTCATGAGCCTCTTGTCCAGGAGAGCTATCAGTGCCTCAGGTCTGCTTGTTGCAGATGCCAAGGTCCTTCCTACTCCCATGAGCCACCTGTCAGGGTGAGCTGAGAGATCAGCCTGGGGTAACAGAGCCACTGTGACCGAGAGGGATTGTTCCAGGGGTTGGTTAGTAAGCAGGAGTGTGAAAGGGGAGACGAAAACCACACACGGGGGTTAAACAACCCCAGCCAAAGAAGGCAAGGCTTAGCAGTATCTTACCACTGGGGACGTATCTGAGTCACGACACCAAAGTATGTTAGCAGCAGCAAATCCATATGGGTCTGCAGCAACTTGATTCTTGCCTCTTCAGGAGAAAAAATTCATCTGAGGGACATAAGGCACAGTGAGAAACCAAGGCAAGTTTTAGAGCAGGAATGAAAGTTTATTAAAAAGTTTTAGAGCAGGAATGAAAGGAAGTAAAGTACACTTGAAAGAAGGCCAAGTAGGTGACTTGACAGATTCAAGTGCCATTTAGTCCTTGACCTGGGATTTTATACATTAGCATGATTCCAGCATCTGCATCTCTCCTCCTCTGATTCTTCCCTTGGGGTGAGCTGTCCTCATGCGCCAGCACTTGGGAGGGGCTGCATGCACAATGTATTTACTGAAGTTATGTGCATACTCATTTTAGGTGTTTTCCCCTTGCTACTCGAGTTTTCCTAGAGGAAGATCACATACCAGTTAAACTCTGCCGTTTTGCGTCTTAGTGCACACGCTTGAGCCCACTTGCCCAACTCCTGAGATCTTATCAGGAAGCTGCTGATCATCAGCTTCGGTTATTTTCTATCTGTTGGGAGACTGCCTTTCCCTGGCACCAGCTGCAACCAATTATTATTTTAGAGAGAAAGTTTAACAACTGCCTGACCATTACCTGATGGTCGCCTGACTTTCCTGGGTGTCAGTTGTGGTGGTGGGGGGTCCTCTCCTGCCCTGCTCATGTCTGCATAACTACCTACTCTAACAAGAAGAGAGCTCCAGAAGGCACAAGCCCAGAGGAATCCTGGTTCCTTGAGAACAAACAACAGCCAATTGAAGGGGCCATGAATGAAGTGGCCCATTCAGAGCAGTGGAAACTTTTGACTTGAAGAAAGAGAACCTAGTGTCCTCCTTCTTCCCTGTCTTCCCAGCTGTTGATTTGTAGTTTAAGTAAGATGCTGAGAATCAGGCTTTGGTGAGACCTATTGTTCCCGAATGCCACCCAGTGTTCTGTAATTAATTCTCTCTGTCCTGCTTTGACTACTGATGCCTGCAAGATGCCGAGGAACGTTCCAGAACATTCACCAGTAGAATAACAGATATTCACATAGTTTTGAGGCAAGTATTGAGACCTCCATGCGGGGCCAGGATTAGGTGAGGCGAGTTAGGTACTAACCTCCTCACGAAATTTAAAGGGTGCCAAAAAACAGCTGAGGTAATGAAGGTAAATACTATTCTAATGTAATGTTTTACAAATGCCAAATTAATGCAAAATAAACCATGCAAAACATCAAAATTTTAAATTCCATAATAAGTATGTAGCACCATGCCTGGCACACAGCAAGCTAGTAAATGGCAATGGTGTTTTGGAGCAACAGAGTTTACAGGAATAAGGCAAGCCTCCTGCCTTCCAGGGGCTCCCTCACTGGTTGGGAGGATCCAGCACATAGGCCTCCAGAACTCAGAGAAACAAGAGAAGTTTATATCAAGAAAATTAGGAAAAAGAACATTTCTTTGTTAAAATGATTTTTTTAACTCAGCCCTTTGCCCAGCCCTAACCACATAACAGGTGCTTTCAGTGTTTGCCAAAAGAAAGAATAAAAAGGTAGAACAAGGAGGTTCATGGGTGCGGTTCAAAGGATAGTGTCCAGGCACAGTTCTGAGAAGTGGCAGCCTGGAAAGGATGATGCCTGGGCCTTCTCCTACCTCTCTGCAAAGGTCACCTGCTCTACCGGAGCTTTGTGCTATTTTTTTCCTTTAATTTAGGAATCTAAAAATATATATAAAAGTAGAAAGAATAATACAATAACACCTTCCATGTATTAATCATATTTATAAATCATTATTGACATTTTGCTAATCTTATTTTATCCATTCTGCCTCTTCCCTGTTTAACTTTTCCTGAAGTATTTTAAAGCCAATCCCAGATGTCCTATCATTTCACCCAAAAATACTTCAGTTTGTATCTCTGACAGAGAGAGCTTTTGAAAATGCATAGCTGCAAAATAGTTATCACATATAATAAAATTACAAGTGATTTATTAATGTCTGCTAATGTCTGCCAGAGTCCACATTTCTCCAACCATCTCAAAGTGTGTTTTACAAATAACTGTTCAAATCATGATCCACATGTGACCTATGCTTTGCACCTGGCTGATGTGTGTCTTAAATCTTTTTAAAATCTATAATAGTCCCTCTCCCCTTTTTACCTCTGGAAGAAAACCTGGCCATTTGCCTTGTAGAATTCCCTACATAGTGGATGTGATTGAGCATATCCTTATAGTGTCCTTTACTGGGTTCGTCTAACCTTTTAATTTCCTATAAGCTGGAAATTAGGTCTACAGGCTTGATTAGATTTGGGTTGAGTGATCTGGGCAAAAAAAAAGCTCATAGCTGGTACTGGATACTTCCTATTGCATCAGACCGGGAGTACATAATGACTGTTGTCCCAGCTTGTGAGTTAAGGTCACTCCATATAAGGTCCCTCTTTAACTTTTCATCCTCCACTGGAACTTTCATCATCCAGCCATGTTTGTTAGCTCATTCATAAAAGATAGAAAAATTTCAGCTTTCATTTAAGACAGGATTCCTCTGAGCTCTGTCTAGTGCTCAGACCTCTAGTTACTCTTCTTTATGTCTCACTTTATGTCTACGGTTAGAAATGGATGGCTCACACTCCAAATACAGTCTGGTGATGTGTTTTGTTTCAACTTCACAGTATTTTTTTTAAACAGCTGAGACAATTTTCTAAAGGGGCCCATGATAATGTACATTTTTAAATATGCATTTTCAGCTTCCTTTGAAATACCGAAAATCCAGCAGCATTGACTCGTGGCTGACACCCTATAACAGTGTGCACTCTTGGTTGTCAGTCATCACTGCCATGCACTCCTGTAGCCCCCCAGGCTGAGGCTGAGCATCACTCATATCTCCCAGGGATCTGCAGTGTTGTTTTTCTTTGGATGGAGAACTAGTTCTAAGTGCCAAGGTTACCATCAAAAATCTGAAACCAAGGGATATCCTGGAAGGGAAGCTTGTTTTAAGAAAATCAGGAAGAACGTTTCTTTGTTTTGACATTTTTAAAAATGAGAATAATAGTAAAATAAAGTGTATCTGTGCCAAAAGAATATGACTCGAGATGCCATTATGTTACTACCAGCCCCCTTTGCTCATTAATCTCTATTACATAGAGTTTGCAACCCCTTTTTTATCGTTCTCGGTAAAATCATCCATTCCCATAACTTAGATACCTTCTTGGGTATAAACTGAATTGTGTTCCTCCCAAATTTATATTGAAACTCTAAGCCCCTAGTACCTCAAAATGTGTCTGTATTTAAAGATAGGACCTTTAAACAGATGATTAAGTTAAATGAAGGCTTTAATGGAGGCTCTAGTCTAACCCAATCTTTTTATCTTTAGAGACAAGATCTCGTTCTGTCCCCCAGACTAGAGTGCAGTGGAGAGATCATCGCTCACTTCAGCCTTATCATTTATGCCGGAGGTTGCAAATTTTTTGTGTGAAATATCAGACCTTGGTAATGACCTTGAGCAGTAGGATATAAATAACTCCCACAAGCTTAGCGTACTAGGCATAAGTGGATTAAACTCCTGGGCTCAAGTGATCCTCCTGCCTTGGACTCCCAAGTAACTAGGAGTAAAAGCATGGCAAATTTTGTTTTTATTTTTCTTTCTTGTAGAGAGGGTGTCTCTCTATGTTGCCCAGGCTTGACTGATGTCATTATAAGGAGAGATTAGGATACACAGAGACACTGGGACACATGTGCATAGAGGAACGACTATGTGAAAATGGCAAGAGGGTGGCCGTCTGTAAGCCAACGAGAGAGGCCTCAGAGGAAACCAACGCTGCTGACACCTTGATCACGGACTTCCAGTCTCCAGAAAGGCGAGCAAATAAATGCCTCTAAGCCACCTAGTCTGTGGTACTTTGTTATGGCAGCCCTAGAAAATTAATATACGTCTCTGTGCTGAAAATCCCAGATCCAAGTCCCCAGTCCACAGTGCTGTGCTAAACTCCAGACCTGAATGTCCCACAGCCTCCATTACAGCTGCAAGCAAAAATTTCACAGGGCTAAGCAGAGCTGCAAAGGCAGGAATTGACTATGGAGGGAGGATATAGGTGTGGCTAGATTAGAGAGTACAGTAGTGCCCCCTATCCAGGAGGGATATATTTCTAGGCCTCCCAGTGGATGCTTGAAACTGAGGCTGGTATGGAACCCTATGTATACAAGGTTTTTTTCCTACACATACATGCCTATGATAGATAATAATGTATATATTAGGCAACAACAATAACTAATAATAAAATAGAACACTTATAACAAAATGCCAGTACCACTGCTCTTGTACTTTGGGGCCATTATTCAGTAAAATAAGGTCGACTTGAAAACAAGCACTGCCTCACTGCAACAGTCAATCTGATAGCTGGAATGGCTGGTAAGTGACTAACTTAGCAGAGTATATAGTGTGGGTAGAGTATATAGTGTGGAAACTCTGGACAAGGGGGTGATTCACTTCCCGGGCAGTACAGAGTGGGATGGCAAAAGATTTCATTACACTACTCAGAAGGGTATGCAATTTAAAACTTAATTGTTTATTTCTGGAATTTTCCATTTAATATTTTTGGACCACTGTTGCCCCAGGTAACTAAAACCAGGGAAAGCAGAACCTCAGATACGGGGGGAACTCCGTAAAGGGAAAGAAGCCTGAACAGGTAGGTTGTGATGGGATTGTAAAGCACTAAGAGGCAGTAGGTTTTCTGAAGACCACCCAAGATTTCAGAGTTGCATTTTGGAAAGATTAATCACGGGACGGTTACCTTCCCTTATTAGGAACAATTAACATGCCTTAAGAATGTTTTGTTGTTGTATTTCAATCCTGAATCCCTCCAACCAAACATTGCAGACCGCAATAAACATTCGTTGAGTTCCAAGTCATTCCACATCAGAGCAAAAGGGCACTGCAAGGCTGAATTAGCATTGGCCGGGTTGTGCAAACTGCCTCAGGGGAGAAGGCCTGAGTTTTGACCTAGGTCAGGATGAGATGTAGCACATGATTCACAGAAGGGGCTGGGGAAAAAGCTGGAACAACAAGGGAAGATTCTCCCCCGGAGCCTTTGGAGACAGCATGCCCCTCCCAGCACTTTGATTTGGGGCTTCTGGCCTTCAGAAAACTGAGACAATAAGTTTCTGTTGTTTACAACCACCAACTTTGTAGCAATTTGTTGCGGGAAGCTAATTCAATAGAGAACCAAATTAGAACCACACATATATAAGTCCAATTGATTTTCAACAAAGATGCAGTGTAATTGAATGAGAAAATAATAATCTTTTCAAGCAACATCACTGGAACACCTAGATATCCAAATGAAACAAAACAAACCTCAGCCTCTACCCCCAGAGCATACACAACATTTATGTGAAATAAACCATAGGCCTAAAAGCTAAATCTATAAAACTTCCAGAAAATAACAGAAGAAAAAGTTTTTATGACCTTGTAGGCAAAGATTTAAGACACAAAAAGCACTGACCATAAAAGAAAAAAATGATGAATTAGAATTATAAAAATTCAAAATTTCTTCAAAAGACACCAGTAACAAAGTAAGAAAACAAGAAGATATATCTGACAGTTTGTGTCCAAAATATACCAAGAACCCTCAAAACGCAGTAATAAGAAGACCAACAACCCAATTTAAAAGGGGAATGGCAAAAGACTACCAAAGAGACTTCACCAAAGAAAATATACAAATGGCCAAAAAGTCCATGAAAAACTGTTCAGCATAATTAGTCATCAAGGAAATGCAAATTGAAACCACAATGAGATACCACTTCACACCTAGAAGAGTGGCTAAAATTAAAAAGTTAATACCGAGGGCTGGCAAGGCTATTACTATTCTTGGTGCAAAAATTACTTTTAATGGCAAAAACAAAATTAAGTTTGCACCAACCTAATAGAACACTCATGCCCTAATGGCAAGAGTGTAAAATGGTACAGACGTTTGGAAAACAATTTAGCAGTTCTTACAAAGTTAAATATATACTTACCATATAACCCAGCCTTTATACTTCTAAGTATTTAGTCCCCCACAAAATGAAAACATGCATACACACACACCAAAAAAAAAAATGCTCACACAAAAATGTTTCTACCAGCTTTATTCATAAAACCCCGAAACTGAAAACAACCCCAAGTCCATCAACAGGTGAATAGATAAACAAATTGTAGTATAGCCCTCCACTGGAAGACTCAGTAATAAAAAGGAATGAATTACTGATACACACAACATAGATCAATCTCAAAAACACATTACCCTGAGTGAAAGAAGCCAATCAGGAAAGGGTATGTGGCTGCATTCCTAAGAAGTTCTAAAACAGACTCAATCCATCTGTAGTGATGGAAATCAGATCAATGGTAGCCTGGGATTGTTGATGGGAGTGGAATTGACTGGGAAAGTGTGCAAGGGAAATGTTTGGGGTGCCAGAAATGCTTTTATCTTGATTGAGATGGTGGTTATATGGTAAATTCATTTATCTAAGCTCATCAGTCTGTACACTATAATTTATACACATGTAAATCATACCTCATAACGTTAATTAAAAAACACATTTCACCTCTGAGTTTTTTGTTTCTTTAAGGACTGTATTAGTCCATTCTCATACTGCTATGAAGAAATACCTGAGACTGGGTAATTCATAAAGGAAAAGAGGTTTTGTTTTATTCTGTTTTGTTTTGTTTTTGAGATGGAGTTTCAGGCTGTTATCCAGGCTGCAGTTCAGTGGTGCAATCTCGGCTTGCTGCAGCCTCCGCCTCCCAGGTTCAAGAGATTCTTGTGCCTCAGTCTCCTGAGTAGCTATTACAGGGGTGTGTCACCACGCCTGGCTAATTTTTTGTATTTTTAGTAGAGATGGGGTTTCACCGTGTTGGCCAGGCTGGTCTTGAACTCCTGACCTCAGGTGATCTGCCTGCCTTGGCCTCCCAAAGTGCTGGGATTACAGGCATGAGCCACCATACCTGGCCAAGAAAAAGATTTAATGGACTTACAGTTCCACATGGCTGGGGAGGCATCACAATCATGGCCGAAGGGGAAGGAGAAACAAAGGCACGTCTTACATGGTGGCAGACAAGAGAGCATGTGCAGAGAAACTGCCCTTTATAAAACCATCAGATGTCGTGAGACTTTCTCATTAACACAAGAACAGCATGGGAAAAACATGCCCCTGTGATTTAATTACTTTCCACCTGGTCCCTCCCACAACACATGGGGATTATGAGAGATACAATTCTAGATGAGATTTTTTAGGTGGGGATACAGCCAAACCATAGGAAGGACCAAAACTAAAAGGAAATTTTACATAATGAATGTCTCAGATGTCATTTATTATGAATGGAGGTAACAAGGAGTAGAAACAGTTTAAAAAGACAGATGAGGCTGGAATATGACTTTGAAGGATTTTGTCAGTCCTACTAAGATATTTGAACCTTATGGTAGAGGCAGTAGGATAACAGGCAAATTTTATGGGTTCCTTTTAAACATTCTATCTACGGTGTCATTATATCTTCATAGGGAAATGCATTTATTTTTCAATATACGCTATGGACACTGATGCTTACATCTTCCACACAGGAAGTATGCAATTTATGGATATGCAGCTGGGTTAGCAATCCATCCAAACAAGTTCTGTTCATCGGTATGTATGGATTCAGGTGTTTCATGTGTGATACCTAATTTTGTTTACACAACAGCACTGAAAGACAAGCACATTATATTAGCATTTCCTGCATAATAAGCTACTCCAAAACTAGTGACTTTAAATAAACAACCACTTATATAGCTTACCATTTGGCAGGTAGACAGTTTGTATTGGGCTCAGCTAGGAGATACTTCTAGCCTTACCTGGGTTCACCTTTGCCTTTGTACCCAGTGCTGGGTTGACTGGAGGCTGGCTGATTTAGAATGGCCTTCCTTGGAATGGTTCCTTTCAGTTCCACGTGTCTCTCATCCTCCAGCAAGCCAGGCCAGATTTCTCGCATGGCAACTGGGCAGAGTTCCAAGACAGACATGTGCAATGCGTCTCCTAGAACCTAGACTCAGAACCAGCACCTATCATTCCATTGACCAAAGCAAATTAAAAAGGAATGGGAAATGGACATCACTTCTTGATAGGAGGAACTGCAAAGCCCACTGCCAGTGGTGAGCATTTGGGGAGGAGTGGAAGATTGTGACCATTTTTACAATTGACTACAATTATTATCTCCATTTTATGTAAAGAAAAACCAAGATTCAGAGAAGTTAAGTAACTTTTATAAGGTCACACAGCCAATGAATTACAATGAGCTGCTGGGCTTTGATTCCAGCTCATTTCTACAAGAAAATGTGGATCCTCATTTTAAGGAACTTATGGTATTTTATGCTGCTTAATCCATTCTTCCTTCCCTCTATAATGTTACAGAATCAACAGATCAGGGGATGAAGGAACAGAAAGTTTATGAGCAGTAGATATTTCTGAAATGATTTCAAATGTGACAGATTATTTCCTGAGATATAAACAGAAAAGAAATTCACTTCCTTTTGGTGGCATCGGCGGCTGAAAATGTCCCCAGCAGAGATTCCATTTGCCCCCACATTTCCTTATCCTTCATAAGAAGGGAAACATAAAAACGCCAAGCAGGCTCTTGACCCAGAGCTGGCTGAGGATACAGCGCACACATCCATGGTTGCATCTGCAGCGTTTGGGTGCAACCACAGGCAGCTTCAAAGGGAAAAGGAAGGGGAAAAAACCTTCTCTCCGTAGCTAGGCTACCAGTTCCTGTGTAGATTTCTCAAGATTCAGGCAAGAGGACATGTGGAGAACACATATTTAGAAACATCAGGTGGTTGCCAAAACAAGCCAATTTAGAACTGAGCGTGACAAATGCACATCTGAGGTTGAATGTCACCTGGGGAACCCACTGTTTCTGAGATCTCCACAATGGGGTGGGGTGAAGCACAGTGGAGAATGTGCTCACTGAGCACCCGGTCAGCCTGGGTGGGGTGGGCACAGCCCGGTTGCTACAGGACATGGGGCAAGGCATGGCATCCTTGGAAATACACACATATACATTGACATTGACAAAAGGAGGAAGTGACAAGGAAAGAAATGTGGAAACCATTAGAGCTGAAAATTTTGTCTCTAAATGTGCTTATGTGGAAGAGCTAGACAGAGTTGTTTACTGTTGCCTCTGCAAATTTGAATGGGTTGATTAGATCCTTCTTACCAAAGTAAATGGAGTGCCACGGTGATCTCCAAACTTGCCCAACTCTAGGCGGCACTCAGCTGGAACGTTTGTGCACAAAACACCTGCGCCTGTGTCAGGAGATTCTGATTCTGTAATAGGTCAGGATGGGGCCCAGGAGTCTGTGTTTCCCAAGAGCTCCAGGCAGCTGTGATTCTCAGGCAAGCATGGATATACCAGCGTGCAGCTGTGCAGAGCTTCCCAGCTAAACACACATAGAACATCTCTGGGGGAGGGGAGTGCTCTCTTCTTGGTGGAAGGCAACATACTCAAGGACTGGTCAGTATCTTAGCACAATTCTAGTAGGTGTGATGTTCCAAATATGTAGCTACAATAGGGTACAGTCTCCAGCCCCTGGGGTCCCTGTTCTGCCAGGCGTCTGCCCTTTGCACAGTTACTACACTTTGGGAGAGTCTGGGGCACTCTGGGGCAGCAGGATAAGGCTAGAGGCCTCCACAGACTTAGGGCCTTGGTGATATATCACCTAAAAGGAAGAACTCCAACATTCAGTACAGCTAGATGGGGGCATCCCTCTGAATGGCAGCACTGCCTGAAATACATTCACTGGGCACCATTTAGGAGGTTTTTGAGGTTATAGAAAAAGCCTGATATTTGGAGTCCCAAATCTGTGTGTTCTCACACAGGCACTAGCATGTACTATGTGATGCCGGCTCTGTGGAAGCTTCAGTTTCCCTGTCCCCAAAGGATGGAGATGATGCGTCTTCGTTCATAAGGTCACGGTGAGTGTCTAATAGACAGTGGAGCCCCAAGCACTTTCATCAGGTCTAAACCAGTGTACAAGTGTTGGTTTCTTTCTTCCCATCATGAAATTTAAAGACATCTCAGGTGCCTCCATGTATACATTGTTTGGGATTTTTGTTTTGTTTTTTTCCAATCTGTGAAATGACTTAAGAGTTCACAAACAGATCCATAATCCCTTATCTGAAAGTCCAAAAGCTTCAAATTCCAAAAGACTTCCCATATTTGGTGGGACAATCTGACCTCCCTGAGTTTGTTTCCCAGCTAAACCTAACATGAGGCTTTTCATGGTTTGTGTTTGTCACCTGCTTATGGTTTTCTCCAGAGATACTAGTGTGTTGGGCTTTGGGGTGCTTTCCAAACTCCCCTAGGGGTGTTACATAATGCAAGTTATATGCATACATTATAAGATATGAAAGTCCTGAATTCTGGAATAATCTGGTCCCAGTGGTATCAGAGAAGGGAATGTGGACCTGTCACTCCCCCACTAAAAGTTATGGAATTATTAGCTTTAAAGGGAGTCTTGAGGATCACTGTACGCATGTCAGGAATCTTCTACCGCATCTCTTATAGACATCTTCTAATTGCTGTTTGAAATCTTCCAGAACCAAGGACCTTACTGCCTAAGTCCCAGACACTCATTCCATTGTGGATCACTTCTTCAAAGGACTTCCAGCATCTGCACCACTGCAAAATAAAAACACGGAGAAAAATGCCATTAAAGGTACTAAAATATAAAGCTGTTCTCCTCTCTCTCTCTCTCTCTCTCTCCCTCTCTGTCATGGAATTTTTTTTTTACTTGCTATTTAACTTTGTAAGCAAAGAAAAATTAAAATGTTAAATGATTAGCATAAATTCTGTTCATCTTGACATTGTGCATTTCCAGTTTTAAATGCAAATAGAGACATTTAACTTACATGCGGAATCACTGATATTATGCAATTTGTATTTTGTAGCTTATATATACATATGTATTTGTTCTTACCAGTACAGCTAAGACAGAATACCAAATTAGCTGAACTATTTTAATTCAATTGTGTGTGTGTGTGTGTGTGTGTGTGTGTGTGTGTGTGTAGAGACAGGGTCTTGCTGTGTTGCCTAGGCTGGTCTCAAACTCCTGGCCTCAAGTGTTCCTCCCACCTCGGCCTCCCAAAGTGCTGGAATTAGAGACATGAGCCACCATGCCCAGCCCCTTCATGTCTTGCTATGGGCACATTCTACCCAAACTCTACCTTCATCTTCCTGAGGAGTAAAGCAGGACCGAAAGGAAAGGGACCATCTTTCCTTGTCTTTCTATGCCATCATCGTCACCCTATATGGTTGGTCAATACAGGGAAACAACATGAATGAGAATGGATATGACAAGATGCCTTGATTGTTCCTGTTTCTTAGAACACCACTGCCTACTTTGTGCTTTCAAAGCAAGTTCTGATATGAAAAGAAAATGTGACCCCTTGGGGGTGGCAGAGCCCCCTATTCAGTCGTAGCTGTAACACACTTACCTTGTGCTCACTTTGAGTCTTACCGATCACTGACGCATCGTGGGTTCATAGAGCATCTTGAACACTGTGTCAAGGAGCAGCAAGGGACAGAGACACACACGTTGCACTTCCCTCCTCGGGTCACAGTCATGCTCCAGTGTCCCATCAGACTTCACTTACAAACAGATTCAAAGATAAAAGTGTTAAGAATTTCAAGACAGCCACAGCACAGCCTTAATCCAAGCACTAGGCCTTACTGAGCAAGGGGTCCTGTGGGGCTGCCCAGGCCACTCACCCAGGAAGCTGGGCCTGTGGGGTCTATAGAAGTGGGTTGTTCCTGTCCTTTCTACATTTGGACTACCTAACTTTAGGGCCCCTGAGGGAGCCCGTATCTAAGTCACCTGAGGGTCCTGAGTGGGGGAAGTTCATGTGTGCAGTTGTCAGTGGCTGAAATGGCTTTCTGTGTTGGCCTTAACAGGTGAAAATGTAATGTCTGGAAATATGGCTGCCATTTTACGACCATGAGGAGATAAGCCTAAGGACTAAAGATAACATGTCAAAAAAGGCAGAGCAGACAGGAGTTGGATCCTCATTATTGAACCACAGGACTAAACAACCCTTTAGCTGCCTTGCCTCAAGAGTTCTTACTATCTGAGATGATAAATGCCTTTAAAGTTTAATCTACTTTTGGTTGGCTCTTCTATTAGCGCAGGCAATAGCATCAAATCCCATAACACAGACACAACCCCACATTTGCAGGAGCTGTGCCAGCCTTGATGTTGCATCCCCTATTCTGGGAGGTGTGTGTTCAGCAACCTGACTTAGACCGCCTTCCTGGTGGAGAGGAAGGTTGAGGTAAGTGCCTAACCCAGGTCTCTAACTTATCTACCTCTTTTGTTCCCAGGGTAGTAACCACCTCGCCCTTCCAGTTGCATTTCAGGCACTTCAACCAACCTAAGATGAGCACGATCTATGTGCCATTTGCCAAGACCGGGAAGGCAAAGAAAACATGGGCCCTGACCTCAAGTTGCTCACAGCCACGCTGGAAAGAAATGTTGACCAAGATTGTTATTAGTGTCTAAGATTCAGTTCTCTGGAAAGGAACTGTAATATGGGGAACCAGATTCAGAATGGTTACTGGGTATTGCTCTCGAAGGATTCACCAGTAGGAAGAGAGGAAGATAGAATTGGGAAGAGAGAAGGGACCCACACTGTGGTACAACTGAGACCTCAGACAATCCCATGTGAAACTCTGGAGCTGGGGAGGCCCTTCAGAGTTGCCCCAAATTACGGTAAATGGGCTGGATCTTCATATCCCTAATCAGCCAGTCATCAGCCATGGGCTGCCCCTGGGAGACAGTATAACAGCGGGTGAGACACAGGATGGTTCCCAGTGAAGGACTCAGGGCAGGGCTGGGGGCACCAGGGGGAGGTCGGGCCACAGTCCCTGTGCGCTTACAATGGACAAAGGAAGGCAGCTCTGACATGAATGATGATCGAGACTTTTATTTGCATTAATGAGTGAGATAAAAGTGATATTCCCAGCAGGGGGATGGGCGTATTGCCTGAAGAGGGAACCTTGATTAGGTTTCATAATATTCATATCAGTTAGGTTGACCATATAATTTATCCAAACTAGGACACTTTCAAGAGAGAAAGGGAGTATTATTAATTACATCAGTACAACGGTTTCTGTGCACAGTTCTCATTTTACAGATGAGGAAACTCAGGCACAGAAAGGTTGAGAAACAACATCATTTGCTAACAAGTAGTAGTGAAGAGGCAGGGCCAGGTTTCACACTCTGGCAGTCTCATTCCAGTGACTAATTCTCAAGACACTGTAGAGGTAGAGTTGGCAGACTTGGCGATGGATTGGCTGAGGGGTGTAAACTGGGAGGGCCAGAAGGGATCCTGGCATTCAGGCTTGAGCAACTGGGAAGATAGTGGGACTCTTGACCTGAGAGGGTGTCAAAGTAGGGGGAGGGGAGGGAGGAAAAGGGGATCTCAGACCTTCAGTGAGTGGCAGTGCAATCACTCTGCTGGCTCCTTTTATTTTTTGAGATAGGGTCTTGCTCTGTCACCCAGGCTGCAGTATAGTGGCACAATCATAGCTCACTGCAGCCTCAAACTCCTGGGCTCAAGGATCCTCCCGCCTCAGCCTCCAAAGTAGCTGGACTACAGGCACATGCCGCCAAGCCCAGCGCATACTCCATGCCCGGCTAAATTTTTTATTTTTTGTAGAGACTGGTCTCAGTATGTTGCTCAGGCTGCCCCACTGGCTTCAGTGTAATAAGTGGAAACTGAAAGATAGCTTTCTCAAATTACTCATGTTTATTGTAGAATTATCCAATATAAAACAATATCTTATCTAGAATTTTTCAGTCTTTCTAAACAAAAGCTTCCTAGTGATGCACCCCCCTGCCCCCACACAAACACTTTTTTAGGATGGGGTAGACAGCCACAGTACCTCACCCTCAGGTGAGTATCTCAAGAGCCTATTGGTGGCCCAATAGCTATGGATGCTGTCGCTTCTCACTGCGGACTGCATTTGCTATAAGGGCTCTCTCAGAGCAAGGAGCTTCCAGCCAGAGGCTCACCCTCTCGCACTGGGACAGGAGACACAGCATGCAGCTCCGTGGTGGCAACAAGGGTGCCTGGGCTATGAAAGCTCAGAGTTCTGCTCCAAGTGGGACATTTCCTTCTGGGATTGGTCCCCTAGTGACATTGCTGCTCATGCCCTTATGATCGGTTACATGCAAACTTGCAAACCCTCAGGGTTGATCTTATATACTGTGCGTGTGCACATTGACTCAGCTACCCCCATCCATTTGGCTGTGGGATTTCCTGATATGCAAATTGGGCAACCCTTAGAACAAGAGCTGATAAAATGTCATGGCCAGAATTGAGACTTAGATTCCCAAATGATACACTTAAGCATGTTGTAGAAGGGAAGCTGAGAAGAGAAGCAAATTCGGAGAGAAAGACTAAGGATTCAGCCCTGCATATGACTAGTTTGAGGTACCAGTGAGGCATTCAAGGGAAATGTGTGCCCATGAGAGGTTGACTTTGTAGTCTGAGTGTTTAGAGAGATCTTGGTTTTCTATAGAAATCAGGGGATCATAAACTGGTTCATGGTCATTATCTGCTGCATGGAAAGTATTGGCATGGAGAGTGCCTAGAACAGAACTATGAGACCCTATAGCATTTGAGGGCTGGATACAAGAGGAGGAGCTGGCAGAGGAGTCTGAGGAAGAACAGATCAGGGCAGAGGGGACCCAGGAGAGGTGACTGTCAGAGGATGCCAGGGAGTGGGTTTTAAGGAGGAACAGTCAGTAGTATAAATGCTGTGGAGAGGTGTACAAGATAAAGTCTCCAAAGCACAGGCCACATTTAGAGAGATGCAGGTCACCATGGCAAGGACCAACTTCAGTGAGGGGGCTGGGGGCAAAAGCCAGAAGATTGGTTAAAGAATGAGCAAGAATGGGTAATAGGAGTTACAGAGAGCAGGTAATTTGTTCAAGAAGTTGCCTGTCAATGGCTGGTGTGGGGTGACAAAAAAAAAAAAAAAGCCCTAATGGGTGGGGCATGATTTCAAGGGAGACATTTGCAGAGATAAGAGAGCTAGGCATGTTTTTTGCTGATGGGAACTAATAAGGAGATAGAATGGGGCAGGCTGAAGACACAGGAGAGGGAGGAAGCATTGAAGAGGCTGAGATCCAGAGAAGGAAGACATTAACGGCAAGAATGAACCATTCTCTGCTCCCTCCATGAACTGTGCCTTTGTGAATGTCTTAAATTCCGCAATCTGAAGAATAGGTCAACTAAAGGGACAACGACAAAACCACTCAGCCTGCATCATCAGTGAGTGCCAACTATGAAACAGACATTCTCAGCGAGAAAACTGAGCACAAAGAAGAGCAGACAGATAGATCGATCCATCCATCTATCTGTCCATCTATCTATCCATCCATCCACCTCCTCAGCCACCCATCAATTCATCCATCCATTGATCCATCCATCTATTCATCTATCCATCTATGCACCCACCCATCCATCTACCCCCTCACCACCAACCCACCCATCCATCCACCCGTCCATCTATTTGCATATGAATGAAAATATGGTGAAACTAAGCAGCAGGAAGGACACAGACCTGGAGGGGTTAAAGACTGGAAGGATGAGTGAGGCTAACTAAGGTGTGAGTGCTGCTGGCTTCACTCTCTGTGGTCATTAACTTGCTAATGGAGTCCCTACCTCCATTAGCTGGGCGATCAGCAAGCCAGATCAATGGGACCATGGATCTACTGCTCTAGAGGTTTCCTTAGAGCCAAAGTCCAGCTGTCTAGACTTGTGATCTGCCCTTGGGTCAAATCTGTGAAGAATAGGCTATGTGGGGTGTCCGGAATTCAGTCAAGAGCTCTGATTTCTTGTTGAGTCATTGCTGTGTGATCTTAAGGATACCTGTGCACCTTCCTAGGTTTCTGTTTCCTCATTTGTAAAATGGGAGAAATTTGGGCAGGCAATAGATGATCCCCAAAGCCCTTTTCAGCTCTGAGGTTAAAAACTATTCTAACCCACTTAAAAACTGATCAAAGGACTTAAATAGACATTTCTCCAAAGAAGATATACAAAAGGCCAACAAGCATATGAAAAGATGTTCAACATGTTAGTCATTAGAGAAATGCAAATCAACACTTCAATGAAATACTACTTCACACCCACTAGGATGGGTATCAAAGAAATGAAAAATAGCAAGTGCTGACAAGGATGTGAAGAAACGGGAACCCTTGTATATTGATGGTAGAAATGTAAAATGGTACAGCCAGTGTGGAAAGCAGTTGAGTGACTCCCCAGAAAGTTAAACATAGAATTACCATATGGCCCAGCAATTTTACTTCTAGATATATACCCAAAAGAACTGAAATAAATTCAATTAATAAATACTTGTGCCCAAATAGTCACAGCAACACTATTCACAATAACCAATGGGTGAAAACTGGCCAAATGTCCACTGATGAACGAATAAACAAAATGCAGTACATCCATACAATGGAACAGTATTCAGTCGTAAAAAAGAAATGAAGCACCCATATATGCTACAATATGGATGAACCTCAAAAACATTGTGCTAAGTAAAGGAAGTCAGGTCACAAATTATATGGCTCCATTTAGTTGCCTTTTGTTTGTTGTTTGCTTGTTTGAGACAGGGTCTCACTATATTGCCCAGGTTGGCCTCAAACTCCTGGGCTCAAACCATCCTCCTGCCTTAGCCTCCTGAATAGCTAGGATTACAGGCATGTGCCATAGTGCACAGTAATTATATGGCTGCATTTATATAAAATATCCAGAATGGTTAAATCCATAGAGACAGAAAGCAGGTTGGTAGCTGAAAGGGGCTGGGGAGAAAAAGGAACAGGGAGTAACTTACTGGACACGGAGTTTTCTTTTCGGGTGATGAAAATGTTTTGGAATTGGATAAGGGTCGTGGTTGCACAATAATGTGAATATACTAAGTTCCACTAAATTGTGGGCTTTAAAATGATTAATTTTATGTTAATGTGAATTTTGCCTTAAATTTTTTTTTTTTTTTGAGACAGAGTCTGGCTCTGTCGCCCAGGCTGGAGTGCAGTTGCGCCTTCTCGGCTCACTGCAACCTCCACCTCCCAGGTTCAAGTGATTCTCCTGCCTCAGCCTCCTGAGTAGCTGGGATTATAGGGACATGGCATCATGCCCGGCTAGTTTTTGTATTTTTAGTAGAGACAGGGTTTCACCATGTTGGCCAGGCTGGTCTTGAACCCCTGACCTCAAGAGATGTGCCTGCCTCAGCCTCCCAAAGTGCTGGGATTACAGGTGTGAGCCACCAAGCCCAGACAATTTTTTTTTTTTTTTTAAAGAAAAAGAAGCTATTCTAGAATCTCTTCATGACAAAACAAAACCTATGCAACTCCTTCAAGTCCCTGTTTTGGAAGTAGCCTGGCCACTCCAGGCCACCTCTCCCTCTCTCACATCTGATTAATGGGTTTGGAGTTCACAACACCAGATATCACATTCCTTCCTTAATAACCAAGTCCAAAGGTCTCTCTGCCTTCCCTTTCCCCATTTCCATCTCAGGATATCTTTAACCTTTTTTGGAAGACGCCCTTCCCTAAGTGAGTGGAACGGAGACACTTCCGGAGCACCTATTTTGGGAATTAGCCCAGATTGTAGACAAACAACCACCATATAGGGAGACATTCGTGGGCGAAGGCATTCCATGGCCAGAGGTGAGAGGTGAGACCACAGAGCTTTGAGGAAATGGACACTTTAAATGTTGGCCAAGGCAGCCATCCAGGTTTCCTGTGGTCTGAGAAGTGGCGGGGAAGTTGATGTCCCAGCTTGGTGTAGCTGCACGGACATGGATATGGGAATCAGTCACACCCTCGCTTCTTATCAAACAGAGGGGACCCTTGAGCAAATTGGTTCATGACCAGAAGGTGCTATTTTCAGCTTCCTTTTGGAGTACAAACGTTAGGCTGGAAGGCAGGGAAAGTGGTGGAGGAATAAAAAAGAATAAACTGGAAATGGGGGAGATGGGGAGAGGGCTAAGCAGAAATGGTATGGCTAATTCAGTGGGTGACCTTCAACAAGTCCCTTCACTTCAAATTTAAGTCGACCTGGTTGGGTTAAACTAGAGAAAAGGAAGAAAATGTTAAATGCCAGTGCAGATGAGTTTGTGGTTAAACAGAAGCAGTCACGCAGTTCTGTTGATGCTGAAACTGCAGTAGGCCGTGTGAAGGGACCTGCTGCAGGTCTTATGAACTGAAGGGGGCCAGGGATCAGCGTAGTCACAGACCGTAACACTCATGAGGCGTAAAAGAGGATTTCAAGACAATATCATGTAGTAAAAGGCGTGCAAGTGTGAAAGTCTGGTAGGTCTGGGCTTGAACCACTGGTTTTATCTGTTAAAGATAAAACACTTGCACGCCTTTTACTACCTTACTTGCTCTATCTACAAAATGGGACACACATATATATACATACACACACATATATATATACATACATATATACACACATCACACAAACACACCCACACACTTATTAAGGTTGTGGATATGAGAATAATGCATGTGACCTGACTAGAACATAGTCAATTTTAAATAGAATAGTGTGCGTTATTTTCCTGGCTCAGCCCTTCACCTTCTCTCAAGGTGAATTTGTCCTAGACGCCAGTCAGACCGTGATGAGTCACATCCCTGGAGGGGCCACCCCCTTAGGCATATCAGAAATGTAGGATGAACAACATTTAGCCACCTTCCCTAGCAACCCTTCTGTACACACCAAGAGCCAAAAAAAAAAAAAAAAAAAAAAAAAAAAAAAAAATACCACAGCTTTCCTGTTCACTTTACTTCTGGGAATGTATCCAAAGGAAATTACTGGGGAAGAAATGAAAAAATCACATATATACAGATACTCCCTGACATAGGATTGTTTGACTTAGGATGTTTTGACTTTATGATGGATTTGTCAAGGCATAACCCCATCACAATTAGAGGAGCATCTGTAGCTGTTTCTTAAAAGGTTATTTATCATGCACAACAGAAATGTCTACTAAGAAGCCCAGGAAATATGGCTTGTTGATGCCATGAAATACTGTTAGGTTAGTGTAAAAGTAATTGTGGTTTTGCCATGGAAAGTAATGGTGAAAACTGCAATTACTTTTGCGCCAAACTAATATACATTTACAATGATCAATGTGATAACTGTAGAAAGATGAAAGCATGTAAATGTCAAGTTTTTAAAAGTTGGCCACAAAACTACATGTACACTAAGATATTAACTATCCAGCTTATAGCTAAAGAGTGCAAGGAGCTGTGGAGAAATGTAAACAGTTGATGCACTGGAGGAATAGCATTATGGGTACAGTATTTTTGGCATGATAAAACTGTTTAATAATAAATAATAAATATCTTTCCTATCTCTTTTAATGACATGAAGTAGATGATTTCTAAGACTTTATTCCTCCTGAGGACTCTATAGGTAATTTGCTTCTCTTTATTTCAACTTATGCTTCCTCCTCTGTAAGATTACCTGGTAGTTTTCTAGCCACAATTCTTAGATTTGTTATCTAGAGCCACATAACAAATGACCCCCAAATTTAGCAGCTTAAAACAAGCATCGGTTGTCTCATACAGTCTCAAGCATTGGGAATTGAGGGGAGGCTGAGCTCGGTGGTTCTGCTCAGGGTCTCTCACGAGGGTGCTGTCAAGCTCTTGGCTGGGGCTGCAGTCATTTGAAGGCTCAACTGGGGCTGGAGAGTCCATTTTCAAGCTCACCACATACTGGCAGAAGTCCTCAGTTCCTTGTCATGGGGTATCTCCTTAGAGCTGCTCACAGCGTGGCAGCTGGCTTCCCTCAAAGTGAATGGCTTGAGAGAGAGCCCAAGACCAAAGCTGAAGTCTTCTATAACCTAATCTTGGAAGTCACATCCCAGCAGATAGTGAGTTATTGTTACTGCTACTGCTATGTTGCAACAGCATCCATTTTGAATATAAGCTGAACTTTCTTTTTTTTTTTTTTTTTGAGACGGAGTCTTGCTCTGTCGCCCAGGCTGGATGGAGTGCAGTAGCTCAATCTTGGCTCGCTGCAAGCTCCGCCTCCTGGGTTCACACCATTCGCCTGCCTCAGCCTCCCAAGTAGCTGGGACTACAGGTGCCACTGAAATTTCTTATACCAGAAGTAGGGTTTGGTCACCCTCAACACACTTTCCAGTTCTCTACCCTCCAGTTCCTCAATGTGGTCATTCCAGATACCTGCCTTACCAACCACCTCCTGGTGAACACCTCCCCATGGACAGCCGGATACAACCTACTTGATGCACCCCACTGATTCCCATACCCCACATGGAGAGCACAGATATGCTGCAGTGACTACCCTCTCAATCACAGTATAACTCCATGAAAACTGCCTGTTTCCTCTAAACCCACCAATTAGAACTTCCCAGGAGGAAACCTGCTTGGGTAATGCCCTGGATCCAATAATAGCTAGGGCCCACAGACCCAAGTGGGTGGGTGGGGAGCCTTATAGCTCTCTCTTACTCCCCACCCACTGTTTGAAAGCATTATTCTGGATGGCTTCCTGCTTCCCATTGGCCCTGCGAGGCATGCTGCCTTCTTCTCTCTGGGATCTGTGAGTAATAAACTGCTTCTGTCATTTCATGTGTTTTGCTATGTCATCTCCTCTAAGTCTCATCCAACTAACACACCCAAACCCAGCTTCTTTCCATCAGGGATCTTCCAGAGAATGGATGTCTTGGTAGGAATAAACTGGACAGAGGTCAGACAAGAGCCACAAGGGTGTCTGCCAGTGTAAACAAATTTTCAGGGAGAGGGACACCTGGTCATGGGTCTAGCACTTAGGCATTAGGTTGTCTGCCAGAATAGAGACATATCCCATGGAAGGCACACTATAAATATCCATGGCCAGATCCCTGAAGCCACATCACAGCAGGGGTAGAGTTTACAGCCACTCTCATGAGAGGGACCTCAAGACCTAACAGAGGAAAACACAACACACACTTCTACCATGTGCTATTGGTCACAGAGAACACTCCTGGAACAATACAGATAGGGGATTACACAGCTGTGAGCACCAGAAGGTGGGGGTCACTGGAGGCCGTGTGTGGGCTGCCACGTCACACCACAAAGTCATACTTCTATCCTGCATGAATGGCAGCTTGTTCCTCTACTCCTCCCATAGACTGGTGGCCTGTTGGACATCACATTATCCACCACACTGTACTAAGTAGGTGCCCAAGAGAGCCTTATTGATCAAGTGTATGTTTTTCTGCATGCATTCAAGGCATGTGAGTATTAGAGACAGTGTCTAGAATGTGTCTGCCTCACCAGATGCACCCCATGAAAAGGCAGATACACTGCTGTCCCCGCTTCTTACTCAATGTACCCAAGGTTATTAGCTGATCCATAGGAGAGCTTAGATTCAAACCCAGGTGGATCTGTTTGACTCTTAAGCCCATGCTTTTCCCACTCTACAGGGCTAGTTTCCAGATAAAACCCTCCCTCTTTCAGGCAGGAATTAGGAGCTGTCTGTTAGCTCTCACTGATTCCTACGTGCCTGACTACCACTCTACCTATTGCCCATTATGTGCTGGTAAATGTTTAACAACCAGCTCTCTGGGGAAAAAGAAGTCCTGGTCTGTAGCACTTGCTGATTGCCATGGTGTAAATATTCCCACCATGGCCACTTGCAAACTACCAACCTGATGTCCTTGATCAGAGAGTTGGAAAGAGAGACATGATCTGCCATTGTAAGCCCATAAGAGCCACCTCCAGCCCACCACTGTCCACTCTGGAAGTATATGAAACTTCTGGAAAAAGACATAGAACGATCCCCAAACCCATTCTGAACTGTTAACATGTTTTTGCCTCTCTAGTTGTTGCTGCTCTGCCTCGTCCCGTGTTAGCCATCTGGTCCATGACGTGCACACAGAATTTGAAGCCTACCGTCAACCTGTCCCCCACCCCCACCAAGCCTAGTTCAACTCTACAGCTCTGGCCCAGGGCTTGTGTATATGGGGCTTAGAAATACAGACCTATTCCTCAACCCCTCTCATAGTCTGCCCTAGATGAGACCTCCTGTATCCCAGCGACCCCCCACCTGACTCCTTTTATATTGCCAGCTGCCTAAAACTCAGTGGGGGTGGCTAAGGCTCTACCTAGACCACCATCACCAAGCCTTCATTTGTGGGAGGTTGAGGAGGCATACATTATTAGACATCCTAGTATCAGGGCAGTCAAGAGCACACACATCACACACAGATGCACTCCAGAAGAATGTACGAAGCTGACTGTGCTTCACCACTGTGTGAATCATATCATCTGACCCACAAAATTCCCCGACCCCACAGGAACATGGGGTTGGGATTTAGGAGTAGCTTTTTCACCCTATTCAACTCACCTCCCTCTAGCTCCTTAATTTACACAAGCCTCCTCATATTGCTACTGGGGACAACTTCACCAGGCCACCCACTGCAGACATTGAATGAGCCCCATCTCCCTTCTCTTTACCCTCTATCCTCATTGCCCTAGGTCCTTCCTCTGAACCTCTGGTCACTCTTAGTGCCATCTGGTTTCAGGCTCAAGGAAGAACCCCCAGGACCTGCTGGTGGAACACTGAAAGAAACCCAGACTTTGTGAGATGTCTGCAGGGGCCTCCTATGAGTGTCATGTGCTCTTTGACTGCAAGAGTCTGTGAGTCCATTTTCTGGGTCATGTTCCTGAATGTCCCATCTTAGCTGTGCAACAGATCTCGACAAGTGGGTGGAGTTGGGGGAAGCCAGCCAGCACCCAACCCACCACTCACAACCTGGGCAGATTCTTCTGCATCCCAGCAGCTCCCAAGAATGCTTATCTCCTTCTGAGACCTAACAGAAGGATGATGAAGCTCACCTTGAAGGCACAGTCCAGTTTCCTACTTGAGGAAAAATCCTGAATCATTTTGTATCTTGAGTTTTCATGTTCTGTTTTTTTCCTGCCGCTTTTTCTTTTCCCTCTAAGCTTTATGAAAAGAATTTCTCTTGTAGAAATTCTTATAAGGAAATGAAGAGGTTATTGACTTCAAGATAAAGCTTACTGGAAGCCCTTTGATATTTCATTTAGGAAACCCTTCACTGTCTGATATTCTAGACCTCTGAAAACTCTATTGTGGGAAGACTTGTTGGACCTTGGAATAAGTCAGCTTCCCTAAGGATGGTTGCTTCCCCCACAGTCTCTTTTCAGACAACGTCATCCACTCATGCCCTTGTCATCTTGGAGAGGATTGTCATTGTTCTCCTTATCTGCAATTTTATGTAAAACTCTCAGGAGTGGAAGTGAGTGCCCACAGGGTGAGCATCCCAGGACATCCGCAAGCAGAGTTTTGGAAACAACAGTCTAAACAAATTAGAGCATCATCGTCTAGACTTAGGCAGGCTTAGGGAAACTGACCAAGCCTGAGCAGAGGATAGAGGACAGACTAGTGGAGGAAGGCGGATGTCCTGGGGAGGGTGAGACAGACAAGAGGGTGGAGGGGGAATAACCAAGGTGGGAAGTCCACGTCCCTAGCCAGAGCCCAGATGGACTCCTTGCTATTTTAAAATGTGCCTGGGATCTTGTTATAATGATGGTTAGTTGACAGATGTGGAGATGACGGCCTTGCAAGGAGAGTTCAATATTTCTATTTCTATTTCCTAAGAGGAAGGGATCCGCCACACCATGCAGGGCCATGTCAGGAAGCACCAGTGCTGGTCAGGAGGCAGGAGGAGCGAGGGGCAAGCATGACCAGACCCTGAATCGTGGCTTTTGTGGAAAGGAATGGTCCAAACATGGTAAATATTCTAAGTAAGCTGAGGACTGAATGGTTGGAATAATTTCAGTGGGCTCTGATCTACGGGTGTGATCCCCAGTTGTCTAGTATCTGGCCCTGAGATGATTTAGGGTACCGGGAATATTGGCTTGGTATGTAAGGGTCTGGTAAAAGAGATGGTTGGGTTGTGGGCTCTGGACTGGTTGTTTGTATATCAAAGGTGTGCTGGCAGGCAAGTTGTCTGTTATCTCCAGGAATTAGCTAAACCTGGAAGGGGCAGACTCTCCCAGATCTGCAAGGCCCCAAGACATCAACGCATCATAAAATACAGAAAATAACAAGCAAGATTAATGCACTCATCCTGGCAGAAGCCAGGCTGATCTGAGGCTTCTGGACTCAGGCAGACTGGGGTTCGAATACTGGCTCTTCTCTCATCGGTTGGCGTGACCGCAGGAAGCTACTGAATCTCTGTGAGGATCAGCTTTGTCTACTGTGTAGTAGTAACACTGCTATCCCACTGCAGTGGGTGAGTCCTAGGCATGGTGTCTGACACGCAGCGGGCACTAGAGAAATGGTAACTGCCACTATGATTCTGGGTGAGGGATATCTCACGTGGAAGGTTTGTATTTATCTCCATAATGTTTCCCCTTGTTAAAATTGACAGTATTGCTTGTCATGGCAAACACCAGAAACAACCTAGATGCTTGTCAACAGAGATTTATTAAGTAAATTATGAAACCATCCATATGTGGGAGGTTAGGCAGTATAAATAGTTGAGGAAATGCAATCACAAATGCCATATATGCTTTGTTATTGAGTAAAAAGGACAGGTTACAGAATCTAAAATGTCATATCATCCCGTTTAAATGTATACACACACGCTCACATGGAATATTGTCTGGAAGGATAGATAACAAATGATTAGAGGTGATTCTTTGTGAGGAGTGGGAAATGACTGAAGGGCAGAAAACTTTCCTGTTTTTATTTATCATTCTATTTGAATTTTTACAAATAAAATATGTTGTTTACATAAAATCATAAAAAAAATCCCCATTTCGGAGAATAAAAGTCAAGTTGTTTGAAAGAGTGTCGTCTTTCAGCCAGCCCCCATCTGAGTCCTTGGTTGAAGACGGAGATTTGCCAAAGTGGATAGAAACTGCCACATGGTGTCACAGGGGATTAGGTCTCCACTGGCCACCCAGGCAGGTGGGTCTCACTGGTGGGAGCAGCAGCTGGGGGCAGACTGGGTGCGCTCAGTGTTCAGGGATTCTGGCCCTCCCTGCCCGGCCAGCCTGAGTCACCTGTGACATTGTGGCATATTTTTATTGTATTTACATGGCAAAAATTCTTTGTAATGATATGTACATTTCCCAGCTCTGCATTCAGGAATGTCCATCAGTAATTGGCCATAGGAGAATTTACACCACAGGAATCAGCAAATACTACAAATAAAAGCTTGATTTGTTATTTTGTTGATTGTCTACTATTAAAAATAATGGGTAAGTGTTAACGATGCAGATTCAACTTAAAAGAGTGCTGTGTCTGTACTTGTTATATTGTGAATTGTACAAAAAAGAAAAAGAGAAAATATTCCTCCAATATTCAAAACCCATTTTATAATCCAGCAAAAAAGTAATTTATGCCATTGATAAACGAGTGAAGTTCTGGCACGTGTCTTCCTTGTTTCACTTTCATCTTACTCATTAACAGAAATGAAAATAACTATTGTTCATGGCAGGACTGTATTCCTTTGTCATTCACAACTGTAGATTGACTATGGCCTGAAAAAAGCTTTCTGTAAGAATCTATTGTTATAAAGCTGGAGGCATCAGGTTATCTGACTTCAAACTATACCACAAGCCTACAGTAAACAAAACAGCATGGTACTAATACAAAAACAGACACATGAACCCAGAAAAAAAAGCCACACACCTACAACCATCTGATCTTCAAAAAAGCCAGCAAAAGCAAGCAATGGAAAAAGGACTCCCTATTTAATAAATGGTGCTGGGATAACTGGCTAGCCATGTGCAGAAGATTAAATCTGGACCCTTTCCTTATACCATACACAAAAATCAACTCAAAGTGGATTTAAGATTTAAATGTAAAACATAAAACTATATAAACCCTGGAAAATAACTTAGGAAATACCATTCTAGACATAAGCCCCGGCAAATATTTCATAATAAAGATGCCAAAAGCAATTGCAACAAAAACAAAAATTGGAAAATGTGACATAATTAAACTAAAGAGCTTCTGCACGGCAAAAGGAACTATCAACAGAATAAACAACCAACCTACAGAAAGGGAGAAAATATTTGCAAACTATGCATCCAACAAAGTCTAACATTCAGGATTTATAAGGCACTTAAATAAATTAACAAGTGAAAAACAACCCCATTAAAAAGCGGGCAAAGGACATGAACAGACAGTTTTCAAAAGAAGACATATGCATGACCAACAAGCATATGAAAAAATGCTCAATGTCGCTGATCATTAGAGAAATTCAATTCAAAACCACAATGAGATACCATCTCCCACCAGTCAGAATGGCTATTATTTAAAAAAGTCAAAAAACAACAGATGCTGGTGAGGTTTCAGAGAAAAAGGAATGCTTTTACACTGCTGGTGGGAATGTAAATTAGTTCAGCCCTTGTGGAAAGCAGTGTGGTCACTTTTCAAAAAAACTTAAAACAGAATTACCTTTTGACCCAGCTATCCCATTATTGGGTATATATCCAAAAGAATAGAAATCATTCTGCCATAAAGACCCATGCACGTTTATGCTCGTTGCAGCACTTTTCACAATAGCAAACACATGAAATCAACCTAAGTGCCCCTCGACAGTATACTGGATAAAGAAAATGTAGTACACATATACCACAGAATACTATGCAGTCATAAAAAAGAATGACATCATGTACTTTGCAACAACATGGATGGAGCTGGAGGCCATTATCCTAAGCAAACTAAGGCAGGAACAGAAAACCAAATATCGCATGTTCTCACATACAAGTGGGAGCTAAACATTGAGTTCACATGGACACAGAGAAAGAAGTAACAAACATTAGGGCTTACTTGAGGGTGGAGGTGAGAGGAGGAAGAGGAAAAACTACCTGCCAGGTACTATGTTAATTATCTGGGTGATAAAATAACCTGTACCCCAACCTCCCATGACATGCAATTTACCATATAACAAACCTGTACATGTACCCCGAACCTAAAATAAAAGTTAAAATAAATAAATAACAACATAAAAGAATCTATTATTATTACGGAATTTACATTAGAGTCCTGCATATTTTTAATTATTTGTCAATTGTGTCCTACACATTCTTTGTATCGCTAGATATATAACAAACTTATGTACATGTATAATTACGCATACTTTTTGTGGATTACTGATTATTAAATATTTACCAGCACAGCACTGCTCAGACTCCATTCTTGGTGATAATTGATCAGCCATGGCATTGGTATTTTTTAAATCTATCAGCTGCTACCAGCATGGAGAGGAGCTGAGAATCACTACCCTAGAAGAAGGTAGCAAAGAAGAGGAAACTACTAGCCTCTGGCCAAACATGAGACCCCCTGCTCCCACAGGTACAGCTCAGATTCTGAGCACTTTGGGGTTAGAGAGAGGGCGGCAGGTTTTAGGGAGAGTAGCCCCTTATTAAATAAGTCTGGCCTGTGGGTTCTACTCACTCTAACACAGTGGATCACAAGGACCTCCCCCTGGACTGAGAGCTCCTTAAGGGACAGGGCTATCTTACTTATCCCTGAAGACCTGGCACATGGTGGATGCTTCTTGAATGTTGAGAAAATGAATTAATAAGTTGTATTAAGACATAGTTATTCCAAACATCCAATAATAATGCTTTGGATAAATCAATTATGGTACCAAATTCAAAGGATTACTCTGCAACCATTAAAAATGATATTTAGTGAGATATGAAAATGCTTATGACATACTGTAATTGCAAACAGAAAGCTACAAAATAACATATGAATTACGAGCACAGTTTCGTTTTACAAGAAACACACAAAATTTATTCCCGAGTTTGACAGGGTATAAAATCAACTTCTGGCCTGTGTATGATTCATGTTGGAGAAACAAATGCTTCCTGACTCTTTGGAATTTACTGAAACCTCATTCTCCAAGGGAAGAATTTGTTTAGTTCGTGATTATTTTCATAGCCATGGTATGGACTAGAAAGTGGGTGCTGGGATTTGGAGTAATATTTTGCCACAGAGAATAAAAGAGTCCTCCCTAAAGGCGGCCCCATGCCCTGTGGTACATTCAGATAGGACATCTCACCAATTTAGATGTTTAGATATGACATCCACATGTTGTATTAGAACATACAGAAATATGATTCTGATATTGAGGGGGTTAGGGCTCATCTGTGATTAATCTTTTAAATTTTTGATCTTTTGAATCGTTAAATGTAATCTTTTAGTTTACATAACATTGATTGCCCACAGCTAAAAGGTTGGGAAGCACAGTGACCATCATCCCAGAGTTAGGAAGACTGAAAGGAAAGCTAAACTAGCTCCTTGAAAAGTCATGTAAACTATGTGGAATTCCTCCTGGATGCATCCAGAAACTACTGGCTGGGACTGAGCAAAGATAACAGCTATTTAACATGCTTAGCAACACTCTGGAACTCAAATACACTTTACCAAATAAATCACTCACCATTGTTCTAGGCCTGGGGCTCCCCTGGCATTGCAGGACAAACATGACTGTGTTCCCCTGCCAAGAATGAGAAAGCACAGCCAGCCAGCTCCCTCTGGAGCAGGGCATGAATTGGCGGTGGATGAAATTGGTCTTAGCTCATTCCTCAAGACCTTCCCCGCCCAGTCACTCAGTGTGTGGAAGTGGAAAGTGTTTAACAAACAGGGTAGAATTAACTTCCAAAACAGAGGTAAAAACTCCCAGGCCACCCCTACCCTGCATCCTGTGGTGTACAACTACAGGAACTCAACAAGGGCAAAACACCACCAAGAACTCAAAGACGCAAGTAAGAGTTAAGTCTGACCTCACATGTCCCCCAGCATGCAGCAACTCAAGCAAACACATCCACTAAATCTGAAAAAATATATTTGAGAGAATGCTTACCCTTCCCGGTGACCCCAGAACATGTGAGCCCTTTACAATGTTGAGAAAGAAATGTGCCTTCAGGCCAGTTTTACCATCTAGGTAATTTCGTTTTGCATTTTAAACATTTACTTTGTTGACTTTCTGTCTTAATGACCTGTCTAGTGCTGTCAGTGAAGTATTGAAGTCTCCCACATTATTATGTTGCCATCTATCTCATTTCTTAGGTCCAGTAGTAATTGTTTTATGAATTTGGGAGTTCTGGTGTTTTACATATACACACACACACACACACACACACACACACACACACGTATAGCTACAAAATATATATGTATATGTGTATAGCTACATATACATATATGTGTATGTGTGTGTATATATATATGTATATATATATATATATATATATATATATATATGCCTGTGATATTTTCCTGTTGGACTATTCCTTTTATCATTATACAATGTCCTTCTTTGTCTTTTTTCACTGTTGCTGCTTAAAAGTCAGTTTTGTCTGATATAGGAATAGCTACTTCTACTCTCTTTTGGCTTCTATTTGCGTGGAATATCTTTTGTCACCCCTTAAGCTTATGTGAGTCCTTATGTGTTGGGTGAGTATCTTGAAGACAGCAGATACTTGGTTGGTGGATTTTTATCCCTTCAGCCATTCCATACCTTTTAAGTGGAGCATTTAGGCCATTTACATTCAATGTTAGTATTGAGATGTGAGGTACTGTTCTATCCATTATGTTAGTTGTTGCCTTAATACCTTGTGGTTATTTCCATTGTATTATTGTTTTATAGGCCCTGTGAGATTTATGCTTTAAGTAGGTTCTATTTTGGTGTATGTCAAGGTTTTGTTTCAAGATTTAGAACTCCTTTTAGCATTTCTTATAGTGCTGGCTTAGTTGGGCAAATTCTCTCAGCATTTGTTTGTCTGAAAAAGACTATCTCTCCTTCATTTATAAAGCTTAGTTTCACTGGATACAAAATCCTTGACACACAATTATTTTGTTTCAGGAGGTTGAAGATGGGACCTCCATCCCTTCTGGCTTATAAGGTTTCTGCTGAGAAGTCTGTTGTTAATCTGATATGTTTTCCTATAGATTATCTGATGCTTTTGTCTCAAAGCTCTTAAGATTCTTTCCTTCATCTTGACTTTAGATAACCTGATGACTATGTGCCTAGGTGATTATCTTTCTATGATGAATTTTCCAGGTGTTCTTTGAGCTTCTTGTATTTGGAGGTCTAAATCTCTAGCAAGGCCAGGGAAGTTTTCCTCAATTATTCCTTCAAGTAAGTTTTCCAAACTTTTAGATTTTGATTCTTCCTCAGGAACGCCAAGTATTCTTAGATTTGGCCATTGAACATCCCAAATTTCTTAGAAGCTTTGTTCGTTTTTAAATTCTTTTTTTCTTTGTCTTTTTCTGATTGGGTTAATTTGAAAGCCTTGTCTTCAAGCTGTAAAGTTCTTCTACTTGCTCTAGTCTATTGCTGAAACTTTCCACTGCATTTTGTATTTCTCTAAGTGTGTCTTTCATTTCCACAAGTTGTGATTGTTTTTTTCTTTACATCTATTTCTCTGGAGAATTTTTCATCCATATCCTGTATTTTTTTTTAAAGTTCCTTAAGTTGGTTTTCACCTTTCTCTGGTATCTCCTTGAGTAGCTTTAATAATCAACCTTCTGAATTCTTTATCTGGCCATTCAGAGATTTCTTCTTGGTTTGGATCCATTGCTGAAGAGCTGATGTGATCTTTTGGGAATATTATAGAACCCTGTTTCGTCATAGTACTAGAATTACTTTTCTGATTCCTTCTCATTATTATTGCTCTTCTGGGTCTAGCCACCCAGTGGGGATACCAGGCTCTGAGCTTGTGCTGGAAGATGTCTGCAGAGTCCTATGATGTGACCTGTCTTCAGGTCTTCCAGCCGTGGATACCAGTGCCCACTCTGTGAGAGTCTTTGGTTGTAGATATGTTTAGTGTGCTGACTTTCTTGAATGCCGGTTATGCTAGTGATGAGGTTTCATGTGGACACCCGCAGGACCTCTGGTTAGCCAAGATATTGCAGGCAGCAAAATTAGGTGTTGTATTCTCCTTCCTGGGATCAAGGTCATTCTGTCCTGAGTTGTTGTAATGACCTGAGTTGGTTGGCCTCCAGCCAGGAGGTGCTGCTTTCAGGAGAGCAACAGCTGCTGTAGTAGTAGGAGGCTCTAAGCTCTCTAGGCTTGCCCAAAGATGGCCAGGGTAAGTATTTTGATTTATCAGGCAATGGATAGGGCCTTAAAGCTTCCAAGAGTTTCTGGGTTTTGTGTTTGGCTACGAGGGCAAGTAGGGAAATACCATCAGGTCCAGGCAGGGTTAGGCAGGTCTAGGCTCACACTCTTCTTGTGGAGGGCTTACCATGGCCACTGTGGGGAATAGGGGAGTGTCTCTCAGGCCAATGGGGTTAGGTCCAGAGGGGATTATGACTGCCTCTGCCATGTCATGTAGTTTGCCAGGGAAGTGGGGGATAGTTGGTAGCGAGAGGCCTCACCCAGCTCCCACGTAGTTGGAAAGACTAGTCTTGCTCTTGCAGTGCCCCACTCAGACCTTGCCCCAGGCCATGAGCTACCCCACTGAGAAAGCAAGCACAGCTCTCAGACCTTGCCCCTCGCCCCTCCCATCTGCCCACTCTGACAGTGGCAGCTCCTGTGCTTCTGTGCTCCCTCACTCACTCATATCCAGCTCTTGCTCATCCCCTGGACTCCACTCAAGAAAATGTGTGCCCAGTCGAAACCACAACCAATTTCAGTTGGGAGTTTCCTTTGTCCCACAACCCCTCCCCAGTTCCACTGGCTGCCTTCCCCAAGGGCCCCTGTGAGATATAAAAGCAATGGCTTCCCAGGGCTCGAGCTGGAGACTGAGAGTGCATTAAGGCTCTTCCCTTGAAGCTAACTGTACTTTTATATTTCTTGCACCTCCCTAAATCTGTTTCATTTCTAGGTAAGGTTAAATCCTTCTCCTGTGATCTGGATTTTCAGATTCTCCAGTGGGGATGTGTGTTCAGAGGTGGATTTTCCCCCTCTCACACTTTGGGAACTCACAGTTTTTCACCTGTTTCATGGAATTTGCATCAGGGTGCCGCTTCTTTCAAAGGATCTGTGGATTCTTTTGGTTTTCCTGGTACGTTCCTACAATGGTTCTTGGAGCAAAAGATCATGGTGTGAGTCTCCACACACTGTTCTGTTCATCCATGTGGGAGCTGCATGTTAGCCCTGTCTCCTATCCACCATTTCTATCCTTAAACATCATTAACTGAGTGGTTACTATATGCCAGGTACATAGTACAACACAGACGGTTCAGGTACAAAAATCAGAGGCAATTTCTTTCTTCTAGGAAATTTTAGTTCAGAAAGAGAGATAGGTAAAAATAACCACTGAATTTCAAACAAAGTTAACCAAGTAACCATCATCACTCCATCATCATCACATCTGCTAGCATTGATGGAGAGCCTGTTACTCTGGTGCTAGAGTACTCTACATGTATCACCTCATTTAATTCCCACAATGACTTATGAGGAAGTTCCCATTATTGATTCCAGTTTACAGATGAGAAAACAGAGACTAAGTAATTGCCCCAACATCTTAAAGCCAGCATGTGCCAGACCCAGTATAAAACTTGAGTCTGCCTCCAGAGTTTCTTTTTTTTTACATTATTATTTCTATTATTTATATTTCTATTATTTCTAATTATTTCTAATTTCTATTATTTCTAATAATTTCTAATTATTTCTATTATTTCTATTATTTTACATTAAAATGGGATATGAGCAGACTCCCATGGGGCGGTGACGGGCAGAGCAATTCCGAGAAAGAAATCAAGGAAGGCTTTATGGAGGAGGAGGCACTGAGGCAGAGCTTTGAATGATGAGTTGAATTCCAAAAGGTGAGGAAGAAGGGTAATGGCATCTTACACGGTAGAAGCTGCTGGGGGCTGGAGCCTCGGGTGCCCTGCAAGAGTAACCCAAAAGTTTGACCAGTGCTACAATAAATCAATTTTATTTAACACTCAATGGCTACTTGATTATTGGTCTTCAAAGGAGGCCTCTCCTGCATGTTCTCACTTGTTATGTAACTCCTACAACTCGTCAAAACATAATCTCAAATTCCTCTTTAGTAATTGGAAAGTACCAGCCAGGCACGGTGGCTCACGTCTGTAATCCCAGCACTTTGAGATGTTGAGGCAGGTGGATCACGAGGTCAGGAGTTCGAGACCAGCCTGGCCAACATGGTGAAACCCCATCTCTACTAAAAATACAAAAATTAGCTGGGTGTGGCCGTGCATACCTATAATCCCAGCTACTCGGAAGGCTGAGGCAGGAGAATCACTTGAACCAGGAAGTCGGAGGTTGCAGTGAGCCGAGATCGCACCACTGCACTCCAGCTTGGTAACAGAGTGAGAAATTGGAGAATACCATATTGTATGTGATGGCCTCGATGGTGTTACACTGCTTCTCTTTCACTGCCCATTTTTATTTGAAACATTACCAGACACCAGAGGCTGACACATCAGGAGAGTGCTTTTGCCTCGTGAAAGCTGCCAGATAACAGGCTCAAAATGTAGCACTTTCAAAGTGCCAGCAAAGACGCTTGGGGACACTAAGATGTGGCTTGCCTTGCTTGGGGGCAGGCTGAGAGAAAACGCCCTGCTCACTGGCCTCCCCCCTTGTCCACCACGTGTCGCTTGGCAAGGGAGCCTTCGTGGACACTTAGATCATGCTGCTTGGTGAAGGTGAAGCTGGGGAAGCAGGCAGGAGTGGATCCCGGAGGGCCCGGAAAGCCGCGCTGTGGAGTTTGGCCTTGCCCTGCAGACGATGGGCAGCCGTTGCCCGTTTTTGAAGAGAAGGGTATTATGATCCAAAGTATGTTTCAGGAAGAGAACTCTGGCTGTAGTCTAAAGAAGCTTTAACATCCCTCTCTCCACAACTGATGAAACAACTTGACAACAACATTAACGACTTTGAAACAAAGTTGAGTAAGATGTAGATGAGCTAACAGTATCAATCACCATGCTCAACAGCTGAAGGCTCTATCTTTCAGTGGACAATGTCTGTTTACCTGATGCTGGGTCATAAACTAAGTCTCAGTAAGTTTACAAAGATTTAAATCATGCAGAGTGGAAGTAAATGGAAATAAATTAAAAATCAATGATAAAACTGTATCTAGAAATTCAACAAGTATTTGCACATTAAGCAACAAACTTCTAAATAACCCAGAGGTCAAAGCAGAAATCACAAAGGAAATTGGAAAATATTTAAAGCAGAGAGAAAAATCTGTGCAATAAAGCTAATACAGCGCTTGGAGATAATGTATAGCTTTAAGTACTTACACTAGAAAAGAAGGAAGGTCTAAAGTTAATAGTCTAAGTTTCTACAGTAAGAAATTAGAAACAGAAAAGCAAAGTAAAATCAAAGGAAATAGAAGAAAGAAGGTAATAAAGATAACAGCAGAAATAATAAAATAGAAACAGAAATACTACAAAGAAAAATAACAAATCCAAAAGTTTATTCTGTGAAAAGATACAAGAAAAAAATAATAAACACCTAACTAGACTGACCAAAGAAAAAAATAAATACAAACTACCAGTAGCAGAAATAAAAGAAGGGTTTTTCTGCAGACATAACCAGACAGTGTAACTCTAATATCAAACCTAACAAAGATATTACACAAAAAGAAATTACAGATAAATATGCCATATGAATATAGGCACAAAAATCTTAATAAAATGACAACATACCAAATCCAGTACTGTATCAAAAGTATAATGCATCGTGACTAAGTTGGTTTTATTACAGAAGTACAAAATTGATTTAACCTTTAAAAATCAAATCGTATATATTGCCATATTAATAAGATAAAAGAGAAAAACACATGATAATTTTAATAAATACAAAAAAGATACCAAAAAAGCATTTGACAAAATTAAATGCACATTCATAATAAAATTATCAGAAAAGTTTGAGGAAAGGACATTTATTAAAAATACTACAGCCGGACGGGTGAGGTTGCTCATGCCTGTAATCCCAGCACTTTGGGAGGCCGAGGTGGGCAGATCACCTGAGGTCAGGAATTTGAGACCAGCCTGGCCAACATGGTGAAACCCCACCTCTACTAAAAACACAAAAGTTAACTGGGCATGGTTTCGGGTGCCTGTAATCCTAGCTACTGGGGAGGCTGAGGCAGGAGAATCACTTGAATCTGGGAGGCAGAGGTTGCAGTGGGCCGAGATGGCACCACTGCGTTCCAGCCTGGGCGACAAGAGCAAAACTCTGCCTCAAAAAAAAAAAAAAATAAATAAAATACTACGGCCAAATCATACTTAATGGTGAAGTAGTTAATATTTTTATCTAAAGACCAGGAGTAAGGCAACATATATGCTATCATCTCTTCTACTGAATCCTGCACTGGAGGTTGTAACCATATAATAAGCAAGTAACAATCAAAAGACACAAAGGTAGGAAGGAAATAAATACAGCATTTTTGCAGATGACATCATTGTTTACATAGAAAATGTTAAGCTACAAAACAACTACTAGAATTATAAAATGAATCTAGCAAGGTCACAAAATACAGGGCAAATATACCTTAAAAAATCAATCAATTTTTTTTTTTTCTTGAGATGGAGTTTTGCTCTGTTGCCCAGCCTGGAGTGCAGTGGCATGATCTCGGCTCACTGTAACCTCCCCGTCCTGGGTTCAGGCAATTCTCCCACCTCAGCCCTCAACTAGCTGAGATTACAGGCATGCATTACCATGCCCAGCTAATTTTTGTATTTTTAGTAGAGACGGTGTTTCACCATGTTGGCCAGGCTGGTCTTGAACTCCTGACCTCAGATGATCCGCCTGCCTTGGCCTCCCAAAGCGCTGGGATTACAGATATGAGCCACCAGGCCCGGCCTCAAATTTTTATATATTAGCAGCAAACAATTTGAAATTTAAATTTAAAAAGTAATGTTATTTATCACAATATCAAAACCACAAATATTTATAAATAAATGTTTCTTTAAAAAAATGGGCGAGATCTATACACTGAAGGCTAAAAAGCGTTGCTGTAAACGAGAGAAGACTTAGAGACAGAGCTAGACGATTGTTCATGAATGTCAAGACTCAAGTTTTGTAGATGTCAGTTTTCTTTTAAGTGATGTATGGATCTAATGCAATCCCAATAAAATCAGTTACAAGCAGACTTTTTTTTTTTACAGAAATTTGACCATGTAGTTCTGAAATTGAATTGAAAGACCAAGAACCTAGAATATCTAAAGCAATCTTAAGAAGAGAGAACAAAGTTGGAGGACTTACACTATCTGACTTCAGACTTCAAGATTTACTCTAAAGCTATATTCATTAAGAGAATGTGATACTGACCCAAGGCTTGACAAACAGATCAAGAAAACAGAATAGACAGCCCAGAAATAAATCCACACTTACATGGCTATTTGATTTTTGATAAAGTGCCGATATAATCCAATGGGGAAAGAAAAGTCTTTTCAATGAATTGTGGAACAATCGGATAGTGATATGGAGGACAAAATGAACCTAGACCTCTGCTCCATACCAATAAGCAAAGCTAATTTAAGATAAATGGTAAGCATAAAGGCTAAAATAAAACTCTAAAAGAAAATAGGAAAATATCCTCATGATTTAGGGTAGGCATGAATTTTCTACACAGGACACAGCGACAAGCATAAACTTTTTTTTAATTGAAAAATCAGAATTTATCAAAATCAAAGCCTCTGTGCACCAGAAGACATTGACTAAAAATAAATAACTGGCCAGGCACAGTGGCTCACTCCTGTAATCCCAGCACTTTGGGAGGCCAAGGCGGGTGGATCACGAGGTCAGGAGTTCGAGACCAGCCTGACCAACATGGTGAAACCCCGTCTCTATTAAAAATACAAAAATTAGCCAGGTGTGGAGGCGGGCACCTGTAATCCCAGCTACTCAGGAGGCTGAGGCAGGAGAACCATTTGAACCTGGGAAGCGGAGGTTGCAGTGAGCCGAGATTGTGCCACTGCACTCCAGCCTAGGTGACAGAGCAAGACTCTGTCTCAAAAAAATAAAAAAAAGAAAAAGAAAAAAAAGAAAAAAAAAAAAGAATAACCCAGCCAAAGCCTGGAAGAAAATATTTTTACAACATATATCTGATGAAGCACTGGAACCCAGGATATATTTTAAAACTTCTATACCTCAATAACAAAAAGACAATACCACAAAAATTTAGCAAAAGATTTAAACAAAGACATTTCACAAAAGAAGATATACAAATGGCTGATAAGCATATGACAAAGTATTCAACATTATTTGTCATCAGTAAAATGTGAATTAAAACCACAATTACATACCATTCATAGTCCTCAAGGAGCTAAAATTTACAAGTCTGACAATACCAAATGTTGGCAAACATGGAACATCCAGGATTCTTGTATACTTAAGCAGTATACATTCACACTCTATAAACTATTACTGTATTCGCACATGCAACTTCTTATGAAGTGCAGCATATGCTTACCTTATAATTGGGATTTCTGCTCCTAGGTATTTACCCAGGAAAAAAATGAAAGCATATATCACAAAACTTCTGCGTAAGAATGTTTTCTGTAGTTTTACTTAAAATATCCGCAAACTAAGGCCGGGTGCAGTGGCTTATGCCTGTAATCCCACCACTCTGGGAGGCCGAGGCGGGCAGATCACTTGACACCTGGAGTTTGAGACCAGCATGGCCAACATGGAGAAACCCTGTCTGTACTAAAAATACAAGAATTAGCCAGGCGTGGTGGCACACGCCTGTAAACCCAGCTACTTGAGAGGCTGAGGCGAGAGGATCGCTTGGACTTGGGAGGCAGAGTTTGCAGTGAGCCAAGTTTGTGCCACTGCACTCCAGCCTGGGTGACAGAACGAGACCCTGTCTCAAAATAAAATAAAATATAAAATATCCCCAAACTAGAAACAACCCAAATGAACATCAACAGGCAAATAGATAAATAAGTGTAGTATTTTATTACAATGGGATATTGCTCAGCAGTAGAAATAACCAATATACACAACACTGTGGAAAATTCTCGTAGACATATTGAACAAAAGAAGCCACACACAAAAGACCACACAATGCCTGATTCATTTTACATGAAGTTTGAGGACAGGCCAAACTAATCTATGGTAGTATAAATCAGAAAGTGGTTGCCTTTGAGAAGCTGGGTGCGGTGGCTCACGCCTGTAATCCCAGCACTTTGGGAGGTTGAGGCGGGCGGATCACCTGAGGTCAGTTCAAGACCAGCCTGGCTAACATGGCAAAACCCTATCTCTACTAAACAAACAAACAAACAAACAAAAAGCTGAGTGTGGCTGTGGTGGCAACCACCTGTAATCCCAGCTACTTGGAGGCTGAGACAGGAGAATCACTTGAATCCAGGAGGCAGAGGATGCAATAAGCTGAGATCATGCCACTGCACTCCAGCCTGGGTGACGACAAAACTCTGTCAGAAAGAAAGAAAGAGAAAGAGAGAAAGAGAGAGAGAGGGAGAAGAAGGAAGGAAGAAAGGAAGGAAGGAGAAAGAAAGATAAAGAAAGAAAGAAAGAAAGAAAGAAAGAAAGAAAGAAAGAAAGAAAGAAAGAAAGAAAGAAAGAAAGAAAAAGAAAGAAAGGAAGGAAGAAAAAGAAGGAAGGAAGGAAGGAAAGAAAAAGGAAGGAAGGAAGGAAGAAGGAAGGAAAGAAAGGAAAGAAAGAAAGAAAGAAAGAAAGAAAAATGATTGCCTTTGAGAGGTGAAGGTTGACTAAAAGCGGCCATGAGGGAAATTTGTGGAAATGAAAGTATGCGTTCTCTTGATTGGAAGTTGGTTTTATATATATACATATTTGTTAAGATCCACCAGATTGTACATTTAGGATCTGTGCATTTTGTGGGATGAAAATTTTACCTCAATTTAAAAAGAATTGCATATATAAATAAATATAAAAATGAGAAAGGAAATTTATACAGAGAATAAAATAATTGAACGGTTAAGCAGAAAAAGTAAAGAAAATAAATATTAGAAAGGCATAGCTTCTCCCAGGCATATGGGCCCATGCTGCAGAGCATGGCTTGGAGGATTGAAAGCGAGCTTGATTTTAGCTTAATTCGTTCCTGGCTAGACACCCTTGGGCAGGGCGCCACCTGCACGATTCTACAAAGCACTTGTGCCCAGCTCCCTCCTCAAGTGGAAGGACAAGGATGCACAAACTAGTATATGAAAAGCCCAGTTCCTAGGCTGGTTAGAGCACTAGGATGGGAATGTGGAGACCTGGGCTCTTTTTATGGCATTGCCATAAACTCCCTGCATGTCCCCAGGTAGGTATGTTCCATCTCTCAGCTCATTTTTGTCATCCCTACATCAGCAACCTTGTGCCTGTGGGAGGTCTGTGGCTGGGGAAAAAAATGGGTGCTGGAGCTTCTAGGTTATTGGCTCTAATTTCGTCCTTGGAGGGAGTGTGGCATTGAGGCCCAAGAGCCATCTTTTGGACCAGCATCACAGGTGACCCTAGGGTAGTTACTCTAAGTCAGACTTGCAGATTCCCAAGTTGCCCCTCCCAGTTTCAAAATTCTGTGATTTCACCTTCTGCTAAGTGTAAAAGAGCATTTTCTTGAGGAGTCCACGTAGATGAGAAGGCAGCCCTGGCAGTGGGCTTAATGTGCATACAGACAGATCCCTGGAGAACAGCTGCCTGTCTGGAGGCAATGATAGCAGAGACATAATGACCTTAGCCTCCGAAAGGCAGCTGCAGAATCCTATCCTTTGCAGGGCTAATCACTTTTGGGACTTATACTTCCTGGATTGCAGTGGGCAGTGGCCCAGGATGCAGGTCAGATAGCTGAGAACTATGTGGCAGGTTCATTAGCTGGAAAACCTCCCCACCCCAACTAATCAATTGTGCAAGGCCTGAAACCTGGGAATGAGGGAAGCCAGCCACCTGCAGCACACCACAACCCCTTTCCTGGGTAGGTAATAGCTGGTTCATGCAGAAATGAGTTGTATTAGCACAAAGAGTGGATCCCAAGAAGAAACCAGGAGTTTGATGGAAAAAACTAACTCTATTCCTGTTCACTGTTCATATATACATATATATATACACATATATATTTGTTTTGTTTTGTTTTGTTTTGTTCTGTTTGAGATGCAGTCTCTCACTGTCGCCCTGGCTGGAGTGCAATGGCGTGACCTTGGCTTACTGCAACCACCGCCTCCCAAGTTCATGCATTTCTCCTGCCTCAGCCTCCCGAATAGCTGGGATTACAGGTGCACACCACCACACTCGGCTAATTTGTCGTATTTTTAGTAGAGACGGGGTTTCACTATGTTGGCCAGACTAGTCTTGAACTCCTGACCTCATGATCTGCCCACCTCAGCCTCCCAAAGTGCTGGGATTACAGGCGTCAGCCACCGCGCCTGGCCATTCACTTAAATATTTACGGTTGCACAAACAATCTTAGTACTGCCCTAATCATCCAGTCTCCTAGGGGTACACGGAGGCTTTAAAAAACTACATTTTGAAATATGGCATTGTTGAGAAAACTATTTCAAGTCCCACACCGAAGAGTTAAATGAAGCTCGGTTTTGAGATGGGAGCAGCCTGTCCAGCAGGAGGGCCATAGGTGACAGAGAAAAAGGCTTGTGGCCCAGTTTGGGGAGAATTGGTTTCTGCTGGGCTTTGACATGGAATTTGACTCAAGAAGAAGGGAGTTGGAGTCTTTCCAAACATAAAGCACAGCCAAGGATGAGGATGAACAGAGGTAGAAGGGCTCTGGAAGGCGTCTGGTAGACCCTGAGGTTGGTAGCCCATCATTTCATCCCAGTGATGAACCTGACCATTAGCACATGGCATTCCCCTGGTGACGATGATCTGCTAAGGGGTGCACACGTCCCCTAAATTGGCCCAGTCAGATTCAAGAAAAACTTGACAAGACTTAGAAAAGAGGTTTCTCCATCTTCTCCTTGTGGGTGTGGATAAGGCCTTTGGGAGGCCAAGGCGGGCGGATCACTTGAGGCCTGGAGTTCAAGACCAGCCTGACCAACATGGCCAAACCCTGTCTCTACTAAAAATACAAAATTAGTCGGGTATGGTGGCACAAGACTGTAAACCCAACTACTCGGGAGGCTGAGGTGAGAGGATCGCCTGAACCTGGGAGGTGAATAAGGAAGCATATTGACCTTGTGGTCACTGGCTGCCACCCCACAACCACGAGATGGACCAGCCTCAGGGTGACGTCAGTGCTGAGAATGGAAGAGCAAGAGACTGGAAAGGACGTGTTCCCTGATGCCAGCATCAAACCACAGGGTGTCCTGTACCTGAAGGCCCCCCTGGCTCTGCACTGCGAGCTATGTGAGATGCATTTCTTTATTGTTTAGCCCCCCTTTTTTTGAGACAGAGTCTTGCTCTGTTGCCCACGCTAGAGTGCAGTGGTGCGATCTCAGCTCACTGCAGCCTCTGCCTCCCGGGTTCAAGCGATTCTCCTGCCTCAGCCTCTTGAGTAGCTGGGATTACAGGTGCCTGCCACCATACCAGGCTAATTTTTGTATTTTTAGTAGAGACAGGGGTTTCGCCATCTTGGCCAGGCTGGTCTTGAACTCCTGACCTCATGATCCACCCGCATCAGCCTCCCAAACTCCTGGAATTACAGGCGTGAGCTACTGCACCCTGTTTAGCCCCTTTTTAATCAGATGTCTTTTCTTTGCTGCAAAAGCCTCTTGGCTGGTACAACATCCTGCAGAAGAAGTTGCACATGGAAATGTGGACAGGAGCCTCACAGAGAATCCTAATGAGTAAGGCAGGCTAGTGTGTAGGAACCTATCACGTTTGTTTCAAACATTTACAAAATGTCAGTTTTGATGGTGTTTTTTCTGCAAAGACACACTTGATTTGCATATTAAGTATTAGGAATATGCTTCCATTCCACCAAGAAAAATGTTCTCACCCATGTTTTGTAAAACCTAAAGCTCTCTCAGTGTTCATTTTCTATTTTTGAAAAAAAGTATAGGTAGGAGAAATATCTCACGTTTGTCTTTAAGGAAAAAAAATTCAGCGTAGGTGCAACGGCAAATTGTTAGAGCCACGTGGCCTCCATGTGAAGGAGACAATAGAGAGTGGTGGGGACTGGGGCAAAACGGAGAGCTCATGGCCCATCTAAAGGGCTTCAGCAGCTGGCGACATGTAGGACTGTGGGCCTAGGGTCACCTGTGTCTACTAAAAATACAAAAATTAGCCGGGCATGGTGGCATAGGCCTGTAAACCCGACTGCTCGGGATTCTTCAACAGAAGCTATAACATCAAATTTGTATGTGAATTCTCCAGACTTTCCCATTTTAAAAAGAGTAAATCAACACTGTGTGAGCCAAACATCATAAATCTGAAGTTGTTTATGCTTGACTGAGGCTCGGCATAGCAGCTCTCATGCTGCACGGAACAGGCCCAGCATCTCCAAATATATGGCCAACTAGGTACAACGTGTGTCGTCCCACTGTTATTTATAACACTGGCAATGTGGAAACAACCTTAATTTCTGTAACAGAGATCAAGTAAATTATGGCAAATCCACTTAGTGGAAGATTATGTAACTGTTTAAAGAAGATATTTACAAAGAGTAACTTGAGAGAAGTGCATATGATACAATGTCAACTGGGGAGAAAGAGTCTGAAGATCTGTCTACCAACTTGATTACAACTCTGACAAAGAATACAGAACAGAGCAATGCCTTAAAAATTAACTCTGAAAGTAAACAAACCAGATAGTAACAGGAACTGTCTCTAGGTGGAGAGAATGTTGCTCAATCTTCATTTCCTTATACTTTTCTGAACTTTGCAAATTGTCTATAATTTTATAATCATGAAAGAATAAACTTGGTTTTCAGCTTTCTAAAGCGCTAGGGTGATGACTTCCCTGAGCCCTGTCTTCATCCACATCACCCCCAGCAGGCCAAGTTCAGTTGGGTTCAGGTCTGCAAACTTTTCCAAGCCAGCGATTTTGTGCCATACTCTGGTCCAGGCATGGAGAGTGGAGCCGAGTTAGAGCCAGTCTCTGTCCTGGAAGAGCCCACGGAACAGTTGCACAAACCAGATAACTTTAAAACCAGGTAGTGAGAAGACAGACAGCTCAGAATACCACCTGGAGCCCAGAGATTGAATGGCCTGATCTTTAGTTGAGAGATGAGGAGACAACATCCAGGCTGAGTTGGGAGGGCTTCTAAGAGCCCTCTAGCTGAATAAAGGTGGCAATGGGGTCCTAGGAGAAGATCCTCATGGTGCAAAGGAGCAGAGGCAGGAACCAACCTGGCCCACGCAGGGGACCAACTTACCTGGGGAACAATGAAGGCCAGGCCTCATGTGTGGGCCTCAAATTCCTCAGATCATCTGTCTCGACCACTGTTGGGGGCGAGTCAGGTTGTATGAGTCTCTCACTAGGGAGTGGGTCAGTTGTCCACTTGAGGCTTGAGTCACCTTTGGGTCACCCAGGTTCAAGGACAGAGGCTCTGCCATTGGTCAGTTCAACTGCATCCTTGCATCTAAGGGGTGGGGTGGCCTAAGCGCAAAGCAAGGTGCCTGTCCTCCCAACACACCTGGATATCCACTGAGATGGGTTACACGGCACTGTTTTGGGGGTGTCTGATTCTGGGGAGACTCTGAGACCATCAGTGTAGTTGCCTCAACCATTGTCCAAGATGGGAAGGAGAGAAGGAAGGAAATAAACATTCTGAGCGCCTGCCAAAATGTAGGAAAGAGAGGAACCAGACTTTCTGGCACTTTGCTAATTGCTTTTATACATACTACCTCGCTTAATCCTAGCCCAGTGCGGTAGGTATAATTGTCTTTGCTTCAAAGCTGGAAAAGCATGCCTCAGAGAGGGCAGGTAGCTTGCCTGAAGCCACACAACTAGTCAGTGGTGGAGCCAGGACTAGAACCAGGCGTCCTGCCTTCCAGGTGTGGGCTCTTCTCACCAGTCCACATTACCTCAATGACAGGGACTGGGTTTATAGACTTATTGAGCTTTCTTCACTCCATAAGTGAGTGCACATCTGGACTCCTTTGCCAAGCATTTTAGTACCAGAGCTGCAATGAACACCGTCTATCTAAGCAACCTGGACTTTTGAGCCATTTCCACTCTTAATTGCTCCTCCACAGAGCACATGTCTTCTGGGGAGGGAAAGAGTGTATCAACACAACTGGAGAATGTCACAGCAGAGCTGATGCCAGGCTCATGATTCCTGGGATGCTGTCTCTCAGGCATGGCATAAAGATTCCAGAACTCTCCTTCTCTACTTTCCTATGGGTTAGAGGTAAGCTTCTGATTTGTTAGCAAGGCAACATTTAACCCTTCTAAGAAAAGGCAAATGATGTGGCAGTGAGATGGGGAACAGCCACCCAGGGGAGGCAGCCAGGTATGGCAGGCAAGCCATCCATGGATCACAGAGGGCGGCATTTAAATGATGCTGGACAAATCATGGTCCTCTCTGTGCCTTAAGGACTAGGGCTGAATTGGAGCCAAGGCTTTCAGACTTGGGGAGGGAGGAAGAAGTCATCTGTGGCACTTGTTACAAACTTGCAGCCCCTCGCTCTCTCTAGATTGTCCATTTTAAACACTCTGCCCAGCTGAGTCTCAGAAAAGATGATTCATAACAAATCTTAGTCTGTGGTCTGAGCTCCTCTCAGGCTCCTGACCTGCGCACAAGTCAGTCTGCTTGACTCCTTTGCTCTTATTTTCCTTAGGTGTCTCCAACTAGAAGTGTTCTAATCAGAACCTCCAAGTCTTCCAGGCCACCCTCTACCCGCATCCAGCCTCACCTCCCACAGGCTTCCCCAAGTCTGCCTTGGTTCCTCTCTTTCCTGCATACTCCACATCCAATTCATCAGCAAACCGCACCCTCTTCCTACGCAGTGTATCTGCAGTCTACCACTTCCCTCACCTCCCCGGCTACCCACTCTGGTGAAGGTGACCAAGACTACAGCCATAACCACATACTTGGTCTCTCAGGTTCTACTCTTGCCCCCTAAAATCCATCCTTTGCACAGCAGACACAGTGATCCTTTTAGAGGACCTAGCAGATCGTCACACCACTGCTTACATCGCCCCTGCCCCCAGTGATTTCCCAGTGATGCTGGTACAGGTCCAGGCCCTGGGTGATGTCAGGGTCTGCATTTCTATGAAATTCTTGGCCTTTTCCTCATGGTCACAAGAAGGCGGCCTCATCCAGGCAGGAAATGGTTGAGATCTGTGGCTTTCCAGTTTCCAGTGATCTCATGCCTTGAACCATGCCCAAGGGCACTTTCATGACTTGCATGGGCCCAGTGAGTACCAAGAGAACTCCGCTGGCCTCCTGGAGCTGAGCCCCTTCTATGTGTCAGTGGCTCTACCACACACTTGACCTCAGCTCATTGTGGTGGGAAGAATCCTAAAGATGCCCTCAATTCCCATCCGCTAGTTCTTCAAGCAAACACTAACCTAGGTACTGCTGTGAAGGGACCTTGTCAAGTGGGCCTGATGTGATCAGGTGAGCTCTTTAAAAACAGCACATTTTTAGCTTCTTCACCCCCTAAAGAAACAACCAGCAGAGTGAAGAGACCCCCTACAGAATGGGAGAAAATATTTACAAACTATTTATGCAACAAGGGACTGACATCCAGAATATAAAGGGAACTCAAATAACTCAAAGCCAAAAAAGAAATAATATCATTAAAAAGTGAGCAAAAGATCTGAATAGACATTTCCCAAAAGAAGACAGACAAATGGCCCACAGGTATGTGAAAAAAATGCTCAACATCAGGGAAATGCGAATCAAAACCCCAATGAGATATCATCTCACCCCAGTTAGAATGGCCATTAGCAAAAAGACAAAAAATAGCAAATGCTGGTGAGGACACAGAGAGAAGAAAACCTCTATACACTGTTGGTCGGGACGTACATTGGTACAGTCATTATGGAAGACAGTGTGGATGTTTCTCAAAAATCTAAACACAGAACTATCATATGACCCAGCAATCCCACTACGAGGTATTTAAACAAACGAAAGGAAATCAGTATATGAAAAGGATACCTGCACTCACATGCTCATTGCAGCACCATTTGTATCAGCAAAGATATGAGAACAACCTAAGTATCCACCAATGGATGAATGGATCAAGAAAATGTTGTATATATACACAGTGGAATACACAGCCATAAAACAATGAAATCTTGTCATTTGCAGCAACATGGATGGAACTGGAGGTCATTATGTTCAGTAAAATAAGCCAGGCACAGAAAGACAAATATTGCATGTTCTCACTCATGTGTAGAAGCTAAAATGTGGATCTCATGGAGGTGGAGAGTAGACTGACAGTTGCCAGAGGCTGGGAAGGATATTGCAGGGCCGAGGGAGATGGAGAGAGGTTGGTTTAGGGGTGCAAAATACAGTTCAATAGAAGGAACACATTCCAGTGTTCAATAGCACAGTAGAGTCACTTCAGTTAACAACATAGTGTGTATTTCAAAATAACTAGAAGATTTGAAATATTACTCACACAAAGAAATGCTAAAGGCTCAAGGTGACGCATATTCTCAATACACTATTTGATCATCACACATTGTATTCATGCATCCAAATACCATGTGTATCCCATAACTATGTACAAATATTATACGTCAGTTTAAAAAACAGAACAGTTTCTCCAGTTGGAGGCAGAAGTCAGAGTTATCAGAAGCACAGAACGAGGTCTATACATCATTGTTGTCTTTGAGGATGGAGGAGGGAGGGGAACATGCCAAGAAATGCAGTGGCCTCTAAAGGTTGAGAGTGGTCCCCGGCTCACAGCAAGCAAGAAAATGCAGGCCTTGGTCCTACAACTGCAAGGAACTGAGTTCAGCCTACAGCGTGAGTGAGTTTGGAAGCAGATTCTTCTTCCAGAGTCTCCAGATAAGAGCCCAGCCTGGTCAACACCTTGATTTTGGCCTTATTAAAACCTAAGCCAAAGGCTGGGCCTGGTGGCTCATGCCTATAATCTCAGCATTTTGGGAGGCCGAGGAGGGCAGATCACTTGAGGTCAGGAGTTCCAGACCAGCCTGGCCAACATGGTGAAACCCCACCTCTACTAAAATTACAAAAAAATTAGCCAGGCATGGTGGCATGCACCTGGATTCCCAGCTACTCAGGAGGCTGAGGCAGGAGAATCACTTGAACCCGGGAGGTGGAGCTTGCAGTGAGCAAAGATCGTGCCACTGCACTCCAGCCTGGATGACAGAGCAAGACTACATCTAAAAAAAAAAACTCTAAGCTGAGAACCCAGCTGGCCTGCCTGGACTTCTGACCTACAGAACTTGAGATGACAAATGGGTTTTCTTTTAAGCTGCTTCTAAATGTGGGGTAATTTCTTATGCAGCAATAATAAACAAATGCACTCCTATAATCTTCCATCCTTAATCCACTAATCCTGCTGGGTAGATATTTTCATCCCCCATCTTAAGGGTGAGACTCAGAGAGGTCTAGTCCACCAGGGTTCCCCAGGGGACCCCAGCCTGGAGCCTGACCTCTCTGACTCCCTGCCTCACCTCCCCTGTCTTCGGAGCACTCATGGTGTGCAGGCCCAGGGCTGGGCGCTACAGACTCAGAGATGAACCTGACAAAGTCTTTGTGGCTGAGGAGTTCACGGTTTGGTGGTGGAGAGTTACCAATGAGATGGGAAGAAGACAGGAAGAAATTAACCAGAGAGAATCACAGAACAGAACTCAATCACAGCTTTCACAGTTAGTTAGAAACTTAGAGACCAAAGCCTGCTCTCTAATCCAACATCATTTTCGGACTAGAAAGGGGAGTTGGAAAAAATGTCCAAGCCTAGAACCCACTTCTGACCCCTGTGTGTGCTCTCTCTGTTAAGGGGCAATGGTGGGCTCTTTCATCCCTTGAAAAACAAGGAACCAGTGAGGACCAGCTGCCACGCTGCTGCCTCCAGGGCAGCAGAACCCGTCCTCTGGAAAAGCAGAAAACACTGACATGCATGCCAAGGCTGGGAGGGAAAGAGGAGGTGGGGACGGAAGTGCCACCCATCTTCTTCCTCCCCTCTCCCTCCCTACCTTCTCCCCCATCCCCAGAGGCCAGGACAATGGGGGATGAGTGGGGGTGGGGGAGGGGGAGAGGCAATGACAAGAATAAAAGAGTCAGGGGACGGATTGATTGATTGATTTGCCTTCAAGAGCCCAAGGGTAAAATTCCAGTGTGGCAGGAGCCTCATCTCAGGTGTCCCCAAGCTCCCTCCCCAGCTGTAAGCGACTGCCTGTCATAAAGAAGCCAGGGAAGATGAAGCCCAAACCACGGGACTTCGCAAGCACTGCTCTCTGGCCACACGCACTGTTCCTGTAACACCACATCAAGACACAGGGGAGCTTAAAACCCTGACCAGAGGGGTGGCATGGCCAAATACCTTTGCAGCCTGGATCGCCTGCCTGGGGCAGAGGAATCCTTAAGCATGAATATGGAACAAATGTTCTTATGGCCAAGGATGGAATGTGACAGCACAAAGAAACACTGGGCTGTCACTTCCCTTCCAGGCTGGCACACCTCTCTGTCCAGGAAGCCAGGGAACACGTGGTTCTATGCAACCCAACAGGAGACTGATGTGGGCTCTGTATAGGAATATAGGAACCCCAGAGAGGTGGAGCTGCCACTTGCAAACATGTCTCTCTACCAAAGGGGAAAGATCGTGTTCTATGAGAGGCCCTTCTGTCCTGCAGAGTACGGGGTGGGTTTGGACAGGTAAATATGGGCTGGGGAAGGGTAGATTGCCCTGAGGACCTGCAGGGAGGGTGGGGAAGGAGGAAGAGAAGGGGAAAGACAGAGTCATGAATTTGTAGAATGGCAGGAAGCCAGGACTCTAGGCTGGCAGGGAGAGACCCAGTGGAAAGTGGCCAGAGGGTTTTATAGGCGGGCACGGCTGGTGGCATTGCTGCAATGCACACCTCCACCACCTTCTCCCCAGACCTTCAAGAGAGTGGGCTACACACTCTCAATGTGCAGGGTTGTCCTATTTCTTTTGTTTGTGGAAATGGGAGAGTCGAGTTCCACGTTGAGCTTGACACAACACTGGTGAGACACGGGGCAGCGAGATAAGCCCTAAATTGGAAGCAGATGCTTGGGGCCACAGGCATCCTTGGGAACTTAAACCCCCAAGACATCCTGGAAAAAGCCAATCGTATGTAGGTTGCAAGAGTCAGGGAAATCTCTGCTGACTGCAGGCCCACGTCATGAAAGTCTCTCTATCACACATGCCCACACACCTGGCCACCCCCTAGTGCCAGGTCAGAGTCCCTCTGTGAGTGCCCACTTGCATTGTGCCTATGACTGCCACTGGGCCACCCACCACACCATGTCATCATGGCCAGTTCACTTCCCTGCCTCCCTGTTCAGTCTCTGGGATCCTCAAGGCCAGGTACTGCATGCTAATCATCTCAGACACCCCACCACCTCGCTCAAGCCTCAACAAAAATTGGCGTTGGGTGGAAGAGAACTGGATGGACACTTCTGGAGTCTGACATTGTGCCAGGCTCTGAGGGTACAAGTTGACTAAGACCTGCAGCCTGCTCACAGGGTGCTCAAGGGCTCAGTGAGATGGGTGTTCTAAGAGGCAGTGAGGTCCTCATCCCTGGAGGTAGGGAGGTGGGCTGGGCCCCAGCTTGGCAGGAAACTGAGAAGGGTGATCAAGCTCCCATGGGTGAGGGTCTAGATGGTTTCAGTGTCCCTCTGGCCCTTGGATTCCCTGACTTCTGAGATCTTGGTCCTGTAAGACACTGGCTCCAAAACATTCAGCTGCCTCTCCACAGTCTTCCAGTTGCTAATGAGCAGTCCATGACCAGAGGGAGGTAAACAAGAGCTGAGTCACCCTGTGGAATCCCCGAGTAGAAGTCACCTCCCTTCTTAATAGCCATTATAAACACATTACCAGCAGCTCTGTTTATTTGCTGTTTGGAGTTTATGTAGCTGCACGGAATGTAATATGGAGGATGAGCTACAAACATCTGACCACCCCACATTTAGCCATCTTTGTGTCTGGTCTGTATGTCATTCCACATTCAACATCCTTGTGCTGGCCAAGAAGAAGAGGTGGGCGGGCTACTGCCAGCCCCACCAGGGGAGCCCTCATGGGCCTCACCATCAACTAAATGGTGTCCTCATCTCATGGGAAGCTGAAGGACCCTTTGGGCTGAACCCCGGGGAGCCACAGTTTTCAGCACCTGTCTCATGCTGTTTTCTCTGATCTTCGACTGCCATCAATCCCTCAGCAAGGCTGGGTTCCTCTCTCCTGGCACTACAAAAATAAATCCATGGCCGGGGGCGGTGGCTCATGCCTATAATCCCAGCACTTTGGGAGGCCGAGGTAGGTGGATCACCTGAGGTCAGGAGTTCAAGACCAGCCTGACTAACATGGAGAAACCCCATCTCTACTAAAAATACAAAATTAGCTGGGCGTGGTGGCGCATGCCTGTAATCCCAGCTATTCTGGAGGCTGAGATGGGAGAATCACTTGAACCAGGAGGCAGAGTTTGCAGTGAGCCAAGTTCGCATCATTGCACTCCAGCCTGGGCAACAAGAATGAAACTCCATCTCAAAAAAAAAAAAAAAAAAAAAAGATCAGCCAGGCACGGTGGCTCATGCTCGTAATCCCAGCACTTTGGGAGACCGAGCTAGGTGGATCATGAGGTCAGATCGAGACCATCCTTGTAAAACCCTGTCTCTACTAAAAAATACAAAAAATTAGCCAGGTGTGGTGCACGCACCTGTAGTCCCAGCTACTCAGGAGGCTGAGGCAGGAGAATCGCTTGAAACAGGAGGCGGAGGTTGCAGTGAGCCAAGATCATGCCACTGCGCTCCAGCCTGGGTGACAGAGCAAGACTCCATCTCAAAAAAAAAAAAAATCCGTAAATTGCTGGGGACCCATAGCATGTATCAGATGAACTTGTTGTTTCTGGTTTTCTCAAAAATTGAGCTTTAAAATTCCATTTCACAGATCAGGAAGCAGAGACCAAGTAGGGTAAAGGATTTTCCTAGGGCCCCAGTTGGCCACAGGCCATCCCGGCTCTAGGTGGCAGGCTCTTTTCCTGCCACTCTGATCCTTCCAAACCTGTTACCCTTCCAGGGTTCCGAATTTTAGCTGATAGCATCAACCTCCACATGGTCTTCATCCCCACTGTATGTGGTAGAATTGGCTTGAACTCCATGCGTCAGAAATCCAGCTCCAGTGGCTTAACCAAGGAGGGATCTCTGTGTTATGTGGCAAAATATCTGGAGGTAGGCAGTCTGGAGCTTTGCACCTGTGTGAGAAAGCCACTAAGAGCTCAGCTTCCTCATTATATCCTGTTCCACCCTCCTTACCTCAAAACTCTCTTCCTCATGATCACAAGAGAGATGCTCTACCTCCAGACATTGCAACAACTTTCCAAGCAGGAAGAAAGGTTTATGTCACCTGAATTTTTCCCTTTTATATAGGAAACAGCAGCTTTGCCTGGTGGATTTCTGTTTACGTTGCATCGTCACAACTGGGCTACTTGACCACCTTTAATTGCAAGGCACCTAGGAAGGTGAGCAGTAACTAATCACATTGCTTCCCTGAACAAAGCTGAGTTTCTGCTGGGAAGAAAGAGAAGAATGGATATTGGATCAGCAATCAGCTGCCTGTGCCTGCCACACCCACTTCCTACATTTACCCAGCCTCTGAGTCCCATGCAGTCTAACTACTCAGTTTCTTGAAATCCACTTTTCTTTTTCTTGCCAAGATTATGCCCCAGTGCAGCCCCCTCTAACCCTGCTGTCTGCGAGGCACAGTGGGGTGACTGGCTGCTGTCCACTCCCACCCTGCCACTATCAATCTTTCCAAAGCACAGAGCATGTGGCTTCCCTGTTCTCAAATCCGCAGTTCCTCTCCATTGCTTATTAAAGACATCCAGATTCCTCAAGCTGACACTGACGTCCCTTTACACTCCAGCCCTAACCTAATTCTTCCCTTGCCTCCTAGAACTCCCGATGTCCAGCCACCCCACTATCTCCCAATCTGTGGGCAGTGGGTTCTCTCCCAGGCCTCCTAAACTTGGCTTGTGCGGTCTCCCTGTGCTTGACATGGCTTTCTTCGTGCCTATTCTACTCATTGGAAATTATCCTTTAAGTCTCAGCTCAAATGCCACGTTTCCTGTAACCATTTACTAAGCACCCCAATCAGAATCCACCTCTCCCTCCTCAGCGCTCCCCTTGGATGTACAGTGTGACATGGAGTCCAGCTGGTTGTTGCAGAGTCTCTGATGGCTAAGGCTGCCCAGCACCGATCTTCTTCCAGTAATAGCCTTTTGGGGATCCGCCCCTTCCCCATCCTTGGTCCATGGGGTCGTGAGGTTCTGGTGACATCATATGATACATTAACCTGCTTAAACATCTCCTGACCTGGATATATCTCTAGACTTTTCAGTTACATTAGACTCTATAATTCCTTTTCACTTGAATCCGTTGCTTTTGAATTTTCTTTCAGGTGTGGTCAAAAGTCTTCCCAGAGAGTGCTGAGCATCTCTTCCTGGCTGGGTTGGAAACTCCTTGATGGACAAGGTCTATAGTTCATTGCACTTTGCTCCCCTTGCCTGGTACAGAACACCTTCCTTGGGAAGGAGGAGGGATGGGGAAAATGAACTGAGATACTGATGAGATAAGGGATCCACGCCCCCACCCCTGACACCTGTGCGGCTTCATCCTGGAGCCCTCTGGGTCATCACCTGTTTCCCGATGCCTTAATTCTGCTGAACCGCATTAGCCATGTGTGTTCTGAGGCCTTTCCCTGACCCCTGGCATTTGTTTAGCAAAGTCACACTCAGTAATCTGTGCAAAATGAAGTCTCTCTGCTGGCATCTCTGGTTCCAAGCCTTGTTCTGTTTAAGCTGGCAGGGCCTGGCTCATAGTAGGCATTTAACACTGTCAGTTGTTTTTATTACCAGGCGTTTAATGCATGTTCATTGTATTTATTGTCCAATTCTTTGGGTAAGCTGTTGAGTGAAACACCTGCCGCCTATCAGTGCTCAGTAGACACCCACTACCGTAATCACAGTGTGGTGTGAACATGTAACAGTGGCTCACCTTCCTTTTACGATCCCAAGTGATCCATAGAGATCCAGTGAGCCCCCAGCCTCAAGCCACCATCATCTCTCTCCTGAATTGTTGCAAAAAGCTCATGACCATTCTCCACCACCCACCCTTGCCTCCCTGCCATCGGTTATGAACACAGCAGCCAGCATGATCTGTTGAAAGGTTAAGTCAGATCTGTTGCTCCTCGGCTCAGAACCCTCCAGGGCTTCCTCCCATCCCACGCAGAGTAAAAGGCAACATGAATCACTTGGCTGGCCCCCAGGCCCCCCAGATCTGGCCCAGGACCCCTCACCTCTCTCCAGGCTCACTCTGACCCGGCTCCACCGCCTTTCCTTGGATGCTTAGGATATTCCAGGCTCCTTCCCATCCTACGACCTCCCCAGTTGTGCTTGCTTCTGCAAAGCTGCTCCCCCAGAGAACGGCACACCTTGTCCGCTTCCCTATCATTTGAGATCCTCTAAAGTGTCATTTCATCTGAAATAGCATGTCCCCCGACCCCCATGCTCCACATTCCCCCTCGTGCTGTCACGTTTTCCAGCATGCCATGCTCACTGCCTGACATACGGCTTAGCTACATGCTTACTCATTTAGCGTCTGTGTCCAGGGCAAGCACCGTGTCTGTTCACAACTGTAGCTCCAGGCCAACTGTGCACAACACACAGGAGTGCTTTCATCCTCCAGAAAAGTATCAGCAGAACCCCTCGCCAAAGGGTATAGTTGGTGAAGCCCTTCTGGGGCCATTCTGCACTTCCTGTCTGAGAAGAAAGGACGGATAGAAAAGTGGCAACGTTTATTACGCATCTGTTATGTGTCAGGCAAAGGGTTAGGAGTTTGCCTTCAATGAACACATGGAAGTGGAAAAATAAGTCTTCACCCACTGTCTTTGTCTGTGTGGGCTGCTGTAAAAAAGTACCTTATACTGGGTGGCTTATCAACAACAGAAGTTTCTCACCTTTCTGGAGCTTGGGAAGTCCAAGATCAAAGCCCCAGCATGGTCGGTGTCTGGTGAGGGCCCTTCCTGGTTCACAGATGGCAGCTTCTTGCTGAGTCCTCACATGGCAGAAGGGATGAATGAGCTTCCCTTCACCTTTTTAATGAAGGCACTAATCCCATCCATGTGATTCCACCCTCATGACCTAATCACCTCCCAAAGGCCCCACTTCCTCACACCATCATTTTGGGGGTTAGGATTTTGACATATGAATTTGGGGAGGTGGGGGGGCAGAAACATTCAGATCATAGCACCTGCCTATGCTGACCACCGTGAGCCATTATTTAAAGTACCACATTCTCTCCCCTTCCACTTCATCTGCTTGGGTGCCTCTGCTATGTGGGTGCCTTAGGCCCCCAGCTTCATTGCCTGTTAGACAATCCAATAGTGACTAACTCCACTTTACAGGTGACAAAACTGAGGCACAAAGACGTTCAAAACTTGCTCCATGATTCAATTCAGGCACATCAAATCCTAGAGCCCCCCGCTAACCATCCAACCCCAGATGGAGCACCTCCTGTGACATCCCAACCTGCCGGTTCCCATTTCACTCCTGACCCTGCTCTTGAGAGAGCCCTGCCAGGGCTGATGCCTGGCCCAGGAAGACTGAAATCTAACTCCAGGTGCCAGATCACATGTACATCTCTCAGGTGGGTCTGCTGGATTTGGGTCCAGCTTTTTTTTTTTTTTGAGATGGAGTCTCGCTGTGTCGCCCAGGCTGGAGTGCAGTGGCGCGATCTCGGCTCACTGCAAGTTCCACCTCCCAGGTTCACGCCATTCTCCTGCCTCAGCCTCCCAAGTAGCTGGGACTACAGGTGCCTGCCACCACACCTGGCTAATTTTTTGTATTTTTAGTACAGATGGGGTTTCACCATGTTAGCCAGGATGGTCTCGATCTCCTGACCTCGTGATCTGCCCGCCTTGGCCTCCCAAAGTGCTGGGATCACAGGTGTGAGCCACCACGCCCGGCCTTGGGCCCAGCTCTTAAACCTACCACCCCAATGTTGTTCACCTCTCAGCAGCAGACACACCAGAGGCATGGATGCATGTTGAATTCTTTGAGTCTGTTTGCTGCTGTTCTCAAGAGCAGCATATTGTCTGCACTGGGCCTCCGCATGGATGATCTGGGTTGTTGATGGGTAGAGTCCTAAATGTAAAGGTGGGTTAGCATCTCTCAAGGACTTCAGTGTCCTACAACCCCAGGAGACTGGATTTCACAGAAGGCTTTTCCTCCTGCACCAGGTGGCTGCCTTCTTTTCTCTCTGGTTATGAGGGACATAACCACGGCAAAGTCAAGAGACCTCTGGCAGCCCCTGGGCATTGCCAGCTCCTGTGTCTCTTGCTGTTCTTCCCTGTCCTGTGCCAGCCCCACTGAAGCTGCATGGGGTCTGCCCTGGCACATCTCTCCTGCACAGCCACAGTCTGTGGACACGCCTGGCTACGCTGAAACAGACCCTTCAGTCATGACTTCTTCCACTCATCTCATGGGCTGGTAGCTGCCTCTGAGAACCTGGAGGCCTCAATCTGTCAGGCAAGATACACTTTCTGAGCCTCCACTATTGCAGGCACCTTCTAGGCACTGGGGACACAGCCATATGGATGGACCTCTGCCCCCAAGGAGCTGATGTCCTAGGGGCAGAGTGTAAAGATGTAAGATACACATGAGTAAGACAAAGCCAGAAACCAAGGGTGTCTGAGAAGAAGAGCAGGGCTCATGGAGAAAGTGACAGGGCAGCTCTGTAGAGGTGGCGTCTGTCTGAGTCCTGAATGTCAAGAAGGCAGCAGCACCAAGATCTCAGGAAGAGGCATCCAAATGGAAGGAGGAGATGCGTAGAAGCACAGAGGGCTTGCAGGGTGTGGAGCCAGGATAAGGTCTGTGTAGCTGCAGCTCAGAGGGAGACCTGGGGACATGAGGGTGCGAGACAGGCAGGGCAGGGGCGCTGGCCCAATAAAGGGATTGGGATCCCATTGACAGTGTGATGGGACCCACTGGAGGGCATTAGCCGGGGCGTGGCATGATCTGACTTACACCTCAGTGAGACCACCCAGCTCTGTGAGGAGAGGGCAGGTGGGACATGGGTCAGCGGCCGCTGCAGGCCCAGGGGAGCTGGTGGCGCCTGGGCTCAGGGGAAAGGTAAGGTGCTGAGGGGCAGTCACCTCAGGATCAGCTTTAGAGGTAAAGCCATCAGGAGTAACTGCGGGGTTGGTAGTAGGGTCTCAGGAAGAGAGGAATCAAGGGTAATGTCTGAGTTTTGACTGAGCCACAAGGCGCGTGGTGATGCAATCTCCTGTCTCAGGGAAGACTGGAGAAGCAGCAGCCTTGGCGGTGCGCTGAGAGTCAGTTGTTCTACCTTGTCACATTAGTGGGAGGTGTGTGTTATTCATCTAGGAGAAGAGGCCCAGTGCCGGGTAGACAGAAGGGCCTGGGGCTCAGAGGAGTCCAGGATTCAGAAGGGAATTTTAGAGTCAGCGTATGGCAGATGGCATTTGAGCGGTGGGGCTGCGTGAGCTCCCCTAGAGGTTGTAGACAGAGGGAGGAAGGCTGAGGCTGGCCCCAGGGCGCTGTACCTTCCAGGGGTCTTCTTGGCGAGAAGGAAGATCCAGCAGAGGAGACAGACAGGCAGCGGCTCGTGAGGCAGGAAGCCTGGAGAGGGAAGAGCTTCCGGAAAGACAAGGTTGGTCACATCACATGATATAGGAGATTGAGTCAAACGAGGACAGAGAAGTGAACACTCGCTGTGGCCACATAAGGCATCAGTTACCAGTAGAACCATCTCATGGGGTATGATGGAGACAAGAACCCAGGTAGAGAGGCTCTAGGAGAGGGTGAGAACGTGAGCCAGCAGCCAACGTGACTCTTCGAGGTGCTGTGAAGGAGGCAGAAAAGGAGGTGGTGAACAGAAGAAGATGGACAATCCAGGGGTGTTCAAAAGGGGCTGTGCGGGCTACTTAGGGACGTCTGGCAGGAAGGTGTCATTGATGACAGGGGAAAGAGATGGAAATAAGTAGAGAAACAAAGTCCTGGAGAGGGGGAGAGGGAAAGGGATCCTGAGCCATGTGCTTAGAAGCAGAGACCCATCTTCCACGTGGAGCATGTGGAGACCAAACATGCTGGCAGGCTGGGACCTGCTGAGCACTTCTCATCTGAGTACATAGACTCTCTCTATCAAACATGACAGGAGGCCACTGGCCAAGAGAGAGAGAAGAAAGCACCGTGGAAGATGTAGAGGAAGGAGTGGTGAACTAGGAAAGTGAAAGAGTACATTTCTAGGGAAGTGTGATGGATTTAGAGAAAGTGTTCATTGCCCTCTAGAGATCTGTGCTCCTAAATTTAAAGTGAGAGCAACTAGCAGCATTGTACGATGTTTCCCAGCCATAATCAGCTTCCAGGTGAGGGCTGAGGAAGAGCAGAGTTGGGGCAGAGATGTTTTGGAAGGTCATGAGGTGGAAAAATAGGAGACGATAGCAAGAGGGATTCTTGGAATCAAGACTGAATGGGGGTTGGGCGCAGTGGCTCACGCCTGCAATCCCAACACTTTGGGAGGCCAAGGCAAGTGGATCACCTGAAGTCAGGAGTTCAAGACCAGCCTGGCCAACATGGTAAAACCCTGTCTCTACTAAAAAAAATACAAAAATTAGCCAGATATGGTTATACATGCCTGTAATCCCAGCTGCTCTGGAGGCTGAGGCAGGAGAATGGATTGAACCCGGCAGGCAGAGGGTGCAGTGAGCCAAAATCGTGCCACTGCACTCCAGCCTGGGCAACAGAGCGAGACTCGATGGGTGGCTGGGCTGGGTGGCAGAGATGATCACTGGCTGTCCCTTGAGATCAGGCAACTGGAAATGCTTGGGATTAGACAGCGAAGTGGCTGCTGCTGGTGCCCTGTCCAAGCCCTTTCCAGACCCCAGGAGGCTGTGCTCTGTGCACTCTGCAGACCTTGGCCAATGCCAGCCTCATGGCTGCCACAAAGTTTGCCCCGGAGATAGAGGCACTAACTCATTGGTGCGCCAGAGCCCCCCATGGGATGAGGCAGAAGCTGGGCTCCAACCAGACCACCTGCTTAGCTTTTTCCACCTGCTGTATCCTGCTTCCTTTGCCCCCCTTTTCATGGGAGTACTCCCCAGTAAATCATCTGAGCAAGAATCCAACCTCAGGCTCCGCTTTAAGATCTATGAATTTTCATGTGCCAAGAACCATGATGGGGGTGGTGGTGGAGAAAGAGCCAGTGAATCCAGTACTAACAATATCGGTGAGCAAGGAGGGTGATGGGGCAGTCAGGAAATGACAGCTGGCAGGAGTCGGGGTCATGAAGAAGGACCATGCCTGTCAAAGGGGCTTTGAAAAGGAAGGAGACAGGTAGGGGACTGGCTGGAGGGCAAGGAAGGTATTGGCCCTACTACTTCCAGATCCTGCAATTATGGAGTGTGATAGAAAGAATTAGCCACGTAAGAAGATTTGGGGGAAAGCAGGACTTTCAACAGACAGCCAAGTTTGGGATGGTATAAGAGGGTGAAATGATCAGAACTCATGATAAACCAAGAGTTTTGGATGGCTCACAGGAAGGGGTGGATAAGCAAGGAAGGATGGGTGATGGGGTCAGATTAGGAAATATTCAGAGCATCTGTAGGAAGTGGAAAGTCTCAGATGATTCAGGAGGCTAAGGTTCTGCCAGAAGCTGAGGGGAAGGGACATTTAATTCTTGGTGGATTTGGTCCTGGGGCTGAGCGCTCATACTGACAAGTGCCCCAGGGCAACAGACTCAGCAGAAGGATGTCCGCCATCATGGATGGGAAGAGCAACTTTCTCAGGCCATTTATCCAGGTTCCTGAAAAACTAATTTAACTGGTTTGCATACACAAAACCAAGGGTTTAGTTGGGGTCTCCCTGCCTCTTGGGGATTTGGAGGAATTTCACCCAAACTCCCAACGTGTGGGCACTGAGCCTCCCAAGGATTCCTCCCCACCCCACCCTCCAACCCTCAAAATGATTTTTCTGGCTGTTTGACAGCTTGAATCTCCAGCGCTGCACTCCTGTATCCCGGAGGGACTGACTGTTTCCTGGCCTCAGCTCTCTGAACGTGAAGCTCAGGCTTTGCTTCAGCTGCCAAATTTTGTGAGTTGAGCAATTTAAGGCACAGAGGAGCAGGAGGAAGAGGGGCAGTGTGCGTGCATTGCTCTCTGCCAAGCTGGGGCTCACCGTTCCTCTCTTTTTCTCACCCCACTGACCTCAGCGTGAGTGCATGTGCACACACACACACACACACACACACACATGCTCACACACATCAGAGTAGTCAGCATCTCCCGTGGTCTGAAGGAGGATGTTTCTGCCCACACGCAGGCCCTGGGGGCTCAGCTTCCATTCCAAGTGCCTGTCCAGGAATTTATTTCCAAGACATACAATGCTCTTATTGAAAGAAATTTGGAAAGCAGTTTTGTCCCTCTGCGAAAACAATGTGGTGTCGTGGTCAGGGGTACAAACTCCGGGATCACGCCACAGCAAGGAGCTGAACCTTCCTGAGCCTTGATTTCCTAATCTAGACAATGGGGGTGATAATACCACAGTTGACATTTTCCAGCACTTTTCTTGGGCTTGGCACTAGGCCAAGCACTTTATAACCATCATCTTAGTTAATTCCAACATTAGCCTTACGAACTGGGAATTACTCTCACTGATCAAAGGATAAAAATGAAGTTCAATGAGTTTAAATAACTTGCCCACCATCTCCTGGTTTTTAGTTGGCTGAGCTAGGATTCCATGGCGGGTCTTTTTCACTTTGAAGCCTTTGCTCTTAAACTCTCTGCACCATACAGAGTCAGGAGCCCTCGGAGCACCTGCTGGCTCTGCCACTAACTTGACCCCCCTCCCCTTGGGCCTCAGTTGCCCAATCTGTAAAATGTAAAAAAGGTCCCTTCCAGCTCTATCTCAATTGAATTTTTGAAAATGGCAGTCTTGGCCTTGAAAGAGTTAACACAGATGCATGTGAGTCAAAAGTCCCTTCTTACTCTGCTTTGTCCCAAGTTTCCTAAGATAGCTTTGAAGACCAAAAGTGCATAACGGCTTAAGCTTGAAGGCAGAGTTTAGGAGGAGGTGAGCGTGCAAATAGCCACTGCAGTTCTTCTGGAAGGCCAGTACATTATCCCTAAATATTGCTTAACTTTTTATAGTGTCCTATTTTATCAGTGATGAGGCTTCCACCATGAAATCACAATATTAGAAACCGACTCAGAGAGCACTTGGGTTTAACAGAGAAACAGGCAGGGGAGGGGGGTTTCCTGAGGCCGCTCACATGCCAGGCTTCATCACAAGTTCAGTACACGGAGGGGAAGCTCAGGTCCTGAGAGGGTGGGGCGTACCCTGCTCCACCCACACACAAATCGCGGCAGAGCCAGGACCCTGAGCAGATCTTTGAGCCCAGGGCGTTCCTTCCGAGAGCTCCTCTGCCAGTGCCTGTCCTTTCTCATCTGTGTTTTTCCAGAATTTCTTAAACAACACTGGGGGATGAGGGGGGCTGCCCAGTGACCAGGGCTCTGGGCCCTACCTGGCTTCAACCTGAGCAACTTTGTTTTTATCAATCTAAGATTTTGTTGGAAAAAGGCTTTGGTTGCTTACAAAATTTTTTAAAGTTTATGTTCCAGCCTGGGTAACATGGCCAGACCTCATCTCTACAAATAATTTAAAAAAAAAAAATTAGCCAGGCATGTTGGCTCTTGCCTGTAGTCCCAGATACTAAGGAGACTGAGGAAAGAGGTCGAGATTGCAGTGAGGTATGATCGCTCCACTGCACTCCAGCCTGGGTGACAGAGCCAGACCCTGTTCCCCTGACAAAAGCAGTTTGGAAATGCAGCTACACTTTCCACATTCATTTTTTTTCTTGCTCCTAAATTGATTTCAGCAAAAAATGGAAGCTCCCTGACACCAGGAATGCAGAGAAGGGAGACATACAAAGCAGCTCTGCATTTGGGGCAAGGAATTCAATTGCGCTGTAGCAGTGTGAGTGTGTTTGTGTGTGATATGTGTGTGCATGGGTGCACGTGTGCATGCCCCACACCCACTCACAGCGAGTCAGGGTGACAGGTTTTGCACAGACATCCTGATCCTTGCTAAGAGGTAACCACAGCTGGCACCCATGGCCTTGTTTATGCTCCCAGATGCTGAGCAACACAAATGATAAATCCAAGCAAGTTGTTTGCCTGCAGAGTTCCCGGCCTGCTCCAAAGTTGCAGCTGGGGGAAACCCACAGGGCTCTAGACCCACCCGTGCAGGTAGAGCCCTTCCATGTGCTTGAAGATGGCACAGCGGGAAAGTCCCAGCAGCCAGGCCATCTGGTGGCTAAGAAATGAAGTTCCAGACAGAGCCCTGGGTTGGACACAGTCTGGTCTCAGATCAGACCTTGGTCTCTAGACCCCTGGCATGTCCTGGGCTTCAGCGGCCTTCCCCAGATGTCTTCCGGAGCCCTCAACTTCATGTTCACCCAGCTACAACCATCCCTCACCTCAGTGAGCTTCTGACTCTGTTCCAGCGCACACCTAGGCCAACAGGAAGCCACCCAGACCCCACGGCATGATGTGCGAAGCCCTTCATAGCCTGGGCCCACCAGGAAGGCACTCCATCAATTCACTCCTGACTTTATTCCTGAATTCAGGGATACACAAATGCATGATCCAGGATCTGTCTCCCCTCTGCGCCATCCAGAGCCTTGCCAGCACTTGGCAGAAAGGAGGTGGGATCAGAGCTGATGGAGAATAGAATAAATAAAAGAACCAATGAAATATGCAAGAGTCCACTGAACACTATAAAGAACTGAAATCATAAACGAAAGAAATTATTACTATTAGGAAGAATGTGATTATCACCTGCCCCACTGGGCAACTTTTTTGGCCCTGTGACAGGGCTTTATGGAAATAAATAATTTAGCTTTAAGAAAATCAGTCAACCAATTTTAGAAAGTAATGACACCTGTTTTCTCATTGTAGAAAACTTTGAAAACATGATGACAAGATTAGTCACATATAGTCCAAACAACCAGATATAGCCCAATGACACTGGGTGTATTTTCTTCCAGTCTGCTAGGCAAGTGTGTGAATGTAAAAAGTAATGTAAGTGGGATGAAATTGCATACTGTTTTATATCCTGTCATTTTCAGGTAATATTTTGCTGTTTATACTTTGCTATGTTTTGACCCCTGAAGTCAGGTTCCAGCATCCCCACTTTCTGGCTCTGTGACCTTGGGCCATTCATTTCACCTTGCTGAGCCCCTATTTCTCATCTCAGAAATAACCACACTCTTACTGGAGCCAATATCAATTTTCTCCTCTTTGTGAACATATTGTTAAACTATATTTCCCAGCCTCCTTTGCAGCTAGATGAGGCCACATGACGCTCTTCTGGCCAATGGGATGTAGGAGGAAGTGATGTATGCCGCTTTTGTGCTTGGCTCATAGAATCTCCCACCAATGGTCCTCCAATTTCCCTCCTTACCCTCCAGGGCCCCCATGCTATTGAGTTGCACTAAGGCATTCAGGAAACCATGAGATGGAAGAGCCACCAGCAGGACCCAGGATGGAACAGATCTGGGTCCCCATGTCAGACCCTGGAGAGGGAGCCAAGTGGCCTATGATGTGAACAAGAAATAAACCCATGCTGCTTAAAGGTATCAGGATGTATTTGTTGCTGCAGCCCAGCTTAATCTGACAGCTACTTACCTCGTAAGGCATGCTGTGCCATTTAAATGAAATATGTGACATCAGTAGCCCATAAAAAGCACTTCAAATCTGAGCCATTACAAATTAAAGAACATTAAAGGATAAATAAGCCATTTAGTAAATTGGATAATACACACCGTAAGGTTTGTGGGACTTCAGGGAAGAGAGAAATCACTTTGGACAGCAGCGAGCAGTAAAAGGCGTGTTGAGGGGAATTTCTAGGATGTGTGTGGCTGTGGATCAGAAGAAGATTTGGAGATGTTTCATTCAACCAGTGTGAGTTTGCCAACCTCCAGGAGGCAGGAAGAGCAGTGAATGGGGGTTGGCGGGGGGGCCCTGTATGATTACAGGAAGGTGAGAAAGCACCCGACTGGAGACTCATGCCCAGCTCCCAGGGCCTGCCCAGCAGAAGCTGATCCCGCCTCACACAGAACCTAGGCTCCTCTCTCCAATCGGCCTCTCTGTCTGTTCAGCTTCAACACAAAGCCTGAGGACCCCCTGACATTCCAACTCCCTCAGCCACGCCCAGTCCTTCATGAAGTCCTACAATTCCAGCTAGTAAACACCTCTCCAAACAGAATCAGCATCACCACCTCCCTCCTACCATCTTCGAACAGTCACCTTCATCTCTCCCCTGGGCTGCTCCTTCTGTACCTCTCCACACACATGCCCGCCAACCACACACATGCACGCCAACCACACACATGCACGCCAACCACACACATGCACACCAACCACACACATGCACGCCAGCCACACACGTGCACACCAAACACATACATATATGCAGGTCCATCTCCCACAACAGCAGAGCGCCCTGGGAAACGCCCATTGGATCATGTACCACACCCCATAAATACACACCATGATGATTAATGTAATGTGTCAAATCAGCTGAGCCACTGTGTCTAGATGTGTCGTCAAACATTATTCTGGATGTTGCTGTGAGGATGTTTTTGGAGATTAACATTTAAAGGGGCAGACTTTGAGTAAAGCAGACTGCCCTCCCCAGTGTACAGGGGCCTTACCCAATCAGTTGAAGGCCCAAATAGGATTAAAAGACTGACCTTGTGCTTAATATTCATCTTTCCCAAAAATCAATGTCCTCCATCAAGGAGCCGACAGAGCCTGCTTTGTTCACATGGAGTCCCCAGTGCCTGCGGTTGGGGCATGTCATAGGCCTGCATACAATTTAAAAGACTAAATAAATGAATATCTATTATAATCCAAATATGTATTTCCAGCTGGACACAACAATGATCGTTCCTTCTCATTTCCGATCACATATTGTTTGGCTGCATGACGAATGCTCACACTCAAAAATGTCTCCATCATTACACAATCCATGATGGGAAACTGACTAAAGCAGGTTGCCTGTGGCAGCAACCCCACCCGGGACATTCAGCCACGTAGCCAAGCGTCCCTGCTGCCCCTCCTAGCCTTTCCCTCCCCAACCCTCACCATCCAGCCGAACATCCTGATCTCAGATGCCAAGGCCCCCAGGTCTCCCCCCAGCTTCCCTCCTTCCTTTCTAATAAGAGGAGACTCCGCTCTGAGGCTAATTCTCTGTGTAGCCTGGGTCATATTCCTTAACCTCTTTGGCTCTGGATCCTCCTCTATAAAGTGAGAGACTGGATCAGAGGGTTGTCGGAGGCCCCCTGGCCCTGACTATGCGATCCACAATCATCTACGTCTTTCTGCACCTTGGCCTGACTGCCCCTTCTCACACTGCCAGGACTTCCGGTGGCTCAGAGCCAAAACCCACTACTCAGCCGTTCCAACCCAAGTGATTCTTAAGCCACCGCACCATGCCATGCCAGCCTTGCCAGCCTGGAGGTAAAATCAGGATCACAAATATAAAACAGGATTCTTCTCCCTCTTTCCTTAACTGCAATTGTAGAAGTGGACTCAGCTGTCCTCAATGGGTCTCTCCCACACACTCACTCATATATGCACATACACATACACAAACACTCACACATACACATTCACATCACATTTTCTTTGTTTCAGGCAGGGTGTTTTCATTATGAGCAACAGAAACCAATTCTGGCATATCTAAGGAGGAGGGAGAGAGGAAGCAGAGAAGGACCATGAAGAAGAGGATGAGAAAGAGGAAAAATTGGAAAGTCTCCCAGAATCACAGGAGCCTGAACAGCGAGGTCTTGGGAAGGACAAGGAGCAGCCGGGTCAGAGATCCAGGAACAGGAACCAGCCAGCGACCTCTTCAGAGCTGGACAAGCAGGATCACCAGCCACCACTGCATCCTTGTTTTTGTTATCAAATTACGTCATACACATAAGAGATTATATTCAGAACATATCAGTATCATTTCAAAAATATACAAATAAACTGGCCTCCATGGATCCAACAACCAGGTCAAGAAATAGAACTTCACCAACAGGTCTGAAACCCCCAGGAGCCAGTTTAGTCTGCAAAGCCTTAACTCTTGTCCATCCTCACCTACACGCACTCAAGGGTCAAGCTGCTCTTCCAGGAACTTGATTGGCCCAACTCAGTCATACGCCAACCACTTGATTTTAAGTCTCAATGAAACTTCGTGCACTGGGGAGCCAGAAGGCCACCAAAAGGCAATTGGGGTACTACTATGAGAAATGTGGACCTGAGTACTGGCTGGCACAGCAAGTGTCCCCTGGTAGGTTACCCTTGGAAGACTTGCCCCAAAAGATGCTTCTTTCACCTGTGTTTGAGGAGTTTTTTTTGGTTTTGACTTGCTTTTCTTTATACCTCCTCTTTGACTTAGATGTGTGTCCATGGGACTGAGCCAAAACAACGCTTAAATGGCAGACAGCAGGCTGTGCCCACAACCTCTTTTCTCCTATTTTGGCCATTTTTGTCTTGAACTTAGCAAAAATGGATTATTCCGCTAGAAGGAGTTATTTCCCAAGAAATCCCTGGCTTCTTTATATAAAGACGCCACTGATGGGACTGGCCTATGGCTTGAATCCTAAGGTGTGCCCAGCACCCCCTTCCCAACAAAGAAGGCAGAGATGAGTTGAAGCCAACGTAATGGTTTCTCCTGTTGCTCAGTGTGATCAGGATTACTAGCTGTCCGCCAAAACTTATTCCCCTGATTTCTTAGTTACAGGCATGTAGCCAGTGATGGGCTGCCCAGTTAGATAACACTCCCCAGGCTATCTTGGATGTGATATGTGCTATTTGCAGGTCTAGAATTTAAGCCTCAGGGCACGCTTCCTTCTCACTCTCTTTTTCCTTTTCTCATAAGCTGGAACCTGGACATGGCAGTGACCCAACTCTAATCACAGAAATGACCAAGGTGACCTGGAGAATAATGGAGTGCCACCACCCTGACAAGCTGAATGGCTCGCTCCAGGACTGTTACGTGAGAGCGAGAGATTGCAAGCCAGTCCTCACGTAAATGAATACACCTACAATCAAAAAGGCCTTTATCTCAGTACCTAGAGGAGGCATCCCATGATGTGGAACCAGGAAAAGCCTTCTGGTCAACAGATACCAACCCAACTTCTAGCCATTTTGTAGGACCTTGGCCTTTTGGTAAAAGCATTTCACCCCAGCACACTGACCAAGAAAGTGCACATGAATCCTGAATAGAATAATGCATTTCTCTATATTTCATTAGCCGAGATAAGGGGATCTGAAAGAATGATACACAAGACTGACAGAATTTTGGAAGGCAGGACAATAAAAAAAAACGCTAAGACTAAATTATAGTCTGACGAAGATTGAGGAGATAGGGCACTGGGGATACCAGAGATTAATTTGTAAGAACTGCCAGGTGCAGTGGCTCATGCCTGTAATCCCAGTACTTCAGGAGGCTGAGGCAGGCAGATGACCTGAGGTCAGGAGTTCGAGACAAGCCTGGCCAACATGGTGAAACCCTGTCTCTACTAAAATTACAAAAATTAGCCAGGCGTGGTGGCAGGCACCTGTAATTCCAGCTACTCGGGAGGCTGAGACAGGAGAATCACTTGAACCCAGGAGGGGGAGGTTGCAGTCAGCCGAGACTGTGCCACAGCACTCCAGCCTGGGCAGCAAGAGTGAAACTCCATCTCAAAAAAGAAAAAAAAAACTTTGTAAGAACCATGAGGGGAAAATGAGAAGCCAAAGAAAAGGACACAGAAAAAAACAATGAGAAGCATAGACAAAAAAACAGATGCGAAATCTGCTTGCAAAGTAAACCTTAGATTCAGAGGGAGAACTCTCACCAACAAGGACAGAGGGGAAGGGAGATAGAGACGGAGACAGAAAGGGAAAGAGACAGAGTGAGAGAGTGAGAGAGCAAACAAGGAGGCTGGTGTTAATGATCACATTTACCCACATCAAACCCTAGGATTTCCATCTGCTCCCTGGTGCCCAAGTTCCATCATTGCCAAGATGGAAACCATCTGGCTGTATGCACGCGGCCCTCCCAATGTTTTTCCCACAACACTGGTGTTTTTCCAGCTCCCCGACCTCGTGGGGAATTTCATGCCTGAGTCAGAGGCACAATGTCAACCGGGCCTCAATCCTCTCCCCCACTGGTCTGTCATTGCCAGTGGAAGCCATTGCCCAGTGTGTTGGCCCCGCGCACATTCACTGAGCCAGTCTCCCTCTGACCCCTCACTCGGCTGGTTTCTTACGGTGCCATCTGCCCAGAGCATAACCAGAGACTCAGGTATTGTCCCAGGTCAGGGGAGGAGGGAATGTGAAGAGCCTGGGTGGGCGCTGAGATAGGGGACCTGCCCGCAAGAGCTGACCCTTCTGTCTCTCAGTTGTGTAACCTGAGGCAAGTCACTGCTCCTCTCTGAGCCTCAGTTTCCCCATATATAAGATGGGACTGGTAATACCTATTTCACAGTTGTGTTTGAGGATTAAATAACTATTATAAGAAGACTTAAGCCAAGTTCTAAGGAATAGGAGAGGCTGACTCATAGCTGATAATCTTGTATTATTATTGGTAGGCAGGTGAGGAGGTAAAATCTTCCTGGCTGGCTCCATGGTTTTTTAAAACATGCCCCTAGACTATATCTTTGTGTGGGTCCCGGTCCAGGCAAAAGCCTCCCCAGTCAGTGGCCAAGCCCCAGGGCCAGGCATGAACTCCCATGACCTGGAGCCACAGAGAACGAAAAGCCTTGAGCTGTCCTGATGTTGTTGCCCTCATGAGTAATGAGGAGGCACTAAATGAGCACAATATTAAGGAGATGTGGTGGGACCCAGAGTGACCTTGGGGAGGCGGGGGCAGGGAAGGGAGCAACGTCCCTGTAGTGCCAGGATCTGGACATTACACAGGGCACGTAGCTGCCTCTATTTTCAGCCTTTACTAACCTGACTCAAGTATGCCACATTCTCCTCCAAAGATGCAGGAAGGCAGTTCTGGAAGCTTCCTCCTACCCATGGTCATGGATCAATTGCCTAGAACCCAGAATAATAGTTCCTGAGAGATGCATGCAGGCACTGTGCATGCATTAGCTTGTTGAATCCTGGCACAAGCCTAGCAGATAGGTTCTGTTGCAGCTGCATTGAACAGACGAAAAATCAAGCTAAGTACCTTGAGATCTGCAGCAGAGGCAGAGGCAGAATTTGGACCAGGCAGTCCACCTCCCTGGCTGCTGCCCTGCCTGCCATTCTGGGACCACAGGGGACCTCTCTTCACCATGCTTCAGAGGGCTTGGGTGTCAGCACCCCGAGTTCTGGAGGTTTGGCTGACATGGACCCCAGAAAGCTTCCAGGACAGAGAGAGCCCATCCAAGTTCAGTCAGCTCCTCCTCAGGGTCACACGGGCTATGCCCTGGGTTAGCAGCCTCTGGGCTGGATGAGATGGACACACAGCACCTCTGAGACTCCACAACATCTGATCTTAGCACCACTGTGTCTGCAAGTGGATTTGAGAATGCCACAAACACCCAAGAGGCTGTTTCTTAACCTCTCAGAAGCTTCATGTGCAATTTAAGGCTTTTATTTCCGAGCTGGGAATGGACTACTTTGTCTGTTGTAAGATAGCTTAGGGCAGCAGTGAGCATAGTGGTGATGCCTGGCAGGCCAGGGGCCACCAAAAGTCCATACTCATTCTAGGAGATAGCCCACTGCATCTACTATGCACCAGACACTGCTCTAAAAGCTCAGAGTCCACTGGTGAACGAGATAGGCAAGGTCCTTGATGTCTTGGAGTTTACGTTCTAGTGAAGGAGCACCTCCAGTGAGCGAGTAAACCCATGGCCCTCAAAAGCAGGACAGTGGTAGGGCTACGAGGAAGACAAACAATGGTAAAGAGATAGAGGTCAAAGCCTCCGTGCATGTGTGTGTCTGCGTGCGTAGCATCCATGGGGTGTGTACGTGTGTTTGTGTGATGTGTATGTTGGTGGAGTTTGCATTGGTGTGCACATTGTGTGTGGTTTATCTGTGTGATGTGTATGTGTGTGTTGTGTGTGGTCTGTGTTGGTGCGTGTGCGCTGGTATGTGCGACGTGTGTTTCTGTGTGTGTGCATATGTGTATGTGTTGTGGGCTACTTCCGATTGGGCGGTCAGGCAGGCTTCTCTGGGAGAAGTGTCACTTGAGCCAAAGTGGCCAGGGGACCCGGCTATGGAAGATGAGACAATCAGGGTGATGGTTGGAACTGGCCGCCCCCAGGATTAGGAGGCTCCCAGCTGTGGCATGTGGTGCCCCATCAGCCCTCCTCTTATGTGAGGTCGCTCCTGGTGAAGGAACATGAAAGGTGTCCTCCCTTCCAGGGTCCACAGAAGGGCAGAATGCAAACCCAGGCCTGAGCTTCCCAACCCTTTTGAACTGCTGGCAAGATTACAGCTGTGCTGGTGGAGCTTCCCAAACACCCGGAGGAAACCCATGCCCCAGTGGGGCCTTTCTCCAAACAAGTCATTGTTCTTAACTGCCTCTTGCAGGGACCCTGCCCAGCAGGCACAGCCCTCAGGCATCCACTAGCTGTCTAGAGAGCCCGGATTCCCTGGGGGACTTTCCAGGCCTCTGTGGCCTGCCCAAGGTCACCCATCTGCATGGAGCTCATTCATTTCTTCTCACTCTGGAGTGCAAGAGGCCAGACGTTTTTTGCACAGCAAAACTCCAAAACCAAAACCACAAAAGTCCTGTACCTGCTTATCTACGCGTTCCATTCCATCCATCAGAGTGAAAATCCAAGCAAGGTTTTCATATGCCTGATACTGGCTGACTGGGTAACCATGCACACATAAAATCATTTTTTTACTCATCCACCTTTCTCAAGTGACCACAGGATTGGAGACAGTGATGTATAGAAGATGAGATCGCTGCCTCCAGGACTCCATGGGAGGGAGAAAAGACATCCATCCAAATAATCACTGAGCACCTGCTCAGCTCCAGGTGCCCAGGGAAGGGGAGTAATCTCTTGGCAGACACAAAGTAAGACAGGGAGGTACAGGCGCAGTGGATACACATGGCAGGGCAACAAGCCCCTGCAGGCTGAGCTTCCAGAGAAGGTTCTGTGGGGCACCGACGGTTAAGCTGGGGCCTGAATGATAAATGGGTGTTGCCAGATGCAGGGAAGAGTGATGAAGCAGGTGGATTACTTGAGGCCAGGAGTTTAAGACCAGCCTGGCCAACATGGTGAAACCCTGTCTCTACTGAAAATACAAAAATTAGCCGGGCGTGGTGGCAGGTGCCTGTAATCCCAGCTACTCAGGAGGCTGAGGCAGGAGAATTGCTTGAACCCAGGAAGTGGAGGTTGCAGTGAGCCAAGATCTCACCACTGCACTCCAGCCTGGGTGATTAAGCAAGACTCCATCTTAAAAAAAAAAAAAAAAAAGTAACGAGGAGAGTTCCAGGACTAGCAGAGGAAAGATTTAGCCAGTACACACTGGATATTAAATACCAACATACTTCCTTATGTATGAATAGATACCTTCCCACATCCCATCCCAACACTCAGCTCACCCCAACCCCTGCTCCTGGAATCTCCTTTTATGGGGTAAATAGTGTCCCCCAAAAAGGAGTTGATGTTGTAACCCCCAGTAGCTGTGGACATGACCTTATTTGGAAATAGAGTCTTTGCAGACAATCAAGTTGAAAGGAGATCATTGGGGTGGCCCTAATCCAATGTGTTCTTATATAAAAGGGAGTAACTTGGACACGGATGCGCACACACAGGGAGAATGCGATGTGCAGACAGGAGTTCTGCTGCCACAGCTAAGGAGTTACCAGAAGCTACAGAGAGGCCTGGAACAGATTCCCCCTAGAGCCTTCACAGGGTTCCCGGCCCTGCCCACACCTTAATGTCAGACTGTTAGTCTCCAACACTGTGAGACAATCAATTCCTGTCGTTTAAGCCGCTCCATTTATGGTACTTTGTTGTGGCAGCCGTGGGTAACTGACACACTCCCTATGATCCAAACGTTAAAGAGGAAACTCCTGGTAGACCAAGAGGTCTCCAAGAGGCTGTTCCATCATATTGCCATTGGTAAAGATTTTAAACATCACTCCTGGAGAAAGCAAATGTAAAAGTCCTGAGTCCAAGATCTCTCTGAAACTGAAAGAAAGCTCCAGGGGACAGGAGAGAGAGCGTGAAAGTGGGAAGAAGAGATAGCAGGAGCCAGGCACCACCGGTGGCTTGGTCCTTACTCTAAGAGCAACAGAAGCACGGTAGAGTTTTAAGTGACAAATGCTGACTTACGCTTTTGGAAGGGCCCTTGGGCTGCCAGGAGGGGAAGGGGCAAATGTGGCCGTGAAGACACTTTGTAGGAAGCAGAGCCTTATCCAGGCCGGAGAGGTGGGTGGCAGCTCTGTGCTGGGGGTGGGAACAGCTGGGGGAGTCCTCACTTCTGTTTTGTCTGTAAAGTAGCAGGAAAGGTTATTTGCGTGGGATGATGGGGAACTAGAAGGTGTCAGGGTGTGAAGGACAAGCAGATGGGAACCCCTGGGAGGCTCTGGGCAGCCCGTGGGGTGCTGCCAAAGCTGGTGATTCTGAGTCAGCAGTGGTGTTGTGTGTGGTCTGTGTTGGTATGTGTGTGCTGGTATGTGTGACGTGTGTTTCTGTGTGTGTGCGTATGTGTATGTGTTGTGGGCTACTTCAGATTGGGCAGTCAGGCAGGCTTCTCTGGGAGAAGTGACACTTCAGCCAAAGTGGCCAGGGGACCGAGCTGGGGGAGGCCCATCGTCAGTGCCCTAGCGAATGTGGAAGTGCTCGAGGGACAGGGAGGGGCCGACGGCCATCGCACCAGTGAGGGGGAAGGCAGACGCAGTGTGAGCAGTCCAGTAACTTATCTGGAAGGCAGGAGGGTTATAGGCAGAAAATTAAATGACAGTATTGGCTAAAAGTGGCAGATTCATCACACGTCAGTGTGCTCCCTCTCCCAAAACCCCTTTAAAAATATTAGTAAAGGTGTTGCGATTTTTCAAAAGATGTTGCTGTACAAGAACACAGCACACAGAAGATGCTGCAGTAGCAGCTGAGAGTCAATAAACTGTTAGTTGACTGAAAGCAAGCCAGGGATCTAGCAGAGTGAAGACGGTGTCCACCCAAGGGCATGAGGAAAGGGTGCCGTCAACAAGCCACTTGACCACAGAATCTAGGTGCTCAGTGTTTTGAAGTGGCAGGTGTCACAAAAGGAGGGCGTTAGATATGAGACTCAAGAAAAAGGAGATTGGATAAAAATTTGTCTGCAAAATGGTTGTGTTCTCAGTCCCCTCCTTCTAGCCTCTGTTACGCTCCCTCTGACCCAAACATTAAAGAGTAGACCAAGAGGTCTGACTCCAGCAATAGCTTCTTCTCCCTTCCCCCACTAAATACCTCCAGCCCCTACACTAGCTTTACTCTCTGGGAAAATTAAATGGGAGAGATTAGAGGTGAGGCATGAGGCTGAACAGCTTAGGGTTCCATGGAAATCTGTATGTGGAGCTCTGGCACCCCAGGCTCCTTCTGGGTCCTGTTCCCACAAGGCCGATGCCAGGCATATGCTTGTCAGGCAGGGACTGCAGGGCTCTAGAGGGAACACCTGCAGAGCTGACATTGGAAGTGCTGACGAAAAGAGTCAAACTCTGTAAAATATTTGAAGAGATTTATTCTGAGCCAAATATGAGCAACCACGGCCCATGACACAGCCCTCAGGAGATCCTGAGAACATGTGCCAGGGTGGTCAGGGTGCAGCTTGGTTTTATACATTTTAGGGAGGCATGAGACTTCAATCAAATACATTTAAGAAATACATTGATTTGGTCCAGAAAGGTGGGACAACGCAAAGTGTGTGGTGGGGAGGGGTGTTTCAGGCTATAGGTACATTTAAACATTTTCTGGTTGACAATTGGTTGAGTTTCTCTCTTTTTTTTGGCATTCCTCCTTTTTTAATTTTTTAATTTTTATTTTTTATTTTAGTTTAAGTTCTGGGATACATGTGCAGAAGGGGGAGGTTTGTTACATAGATATACATGTGCCATAGTAGTTTGCTGCACCTAGCAACCCATCATCTAGGTTTTAAGCCCCATATGCTTAGGTATTTGTCCTAATGCTCTCCCTCCTTTTGCCCCTACCCACAGACAGGCCCTGGTGTGTGTTGTTCCCCCTCCCTCTGCCCATGTGTTCTCATTGTTCAACTCCCACTTATGTGTGAGAACATGCGGTGTTTGGTTTTCTGTTCCTCTGTTAGTTTGCTGAGAATGATGACTTTTGGCTTCATCCATGTCCCTGCAAAGGACATGAATTCATTCCTTTTTAAGGCTGACTAGTATTCCTAGTGTATATGTGCCACATTTTCTTTATCCAGTCTACCATTGATGGGCATTTGGGTTGGTTCCATGTCTTTGCTATTGTAAATAGTGCTGCAATAAACATACGTGTGCATGTGTCTTTATAGTAGAATGATTATTTAATGGGTGCAATATTTTATCCTTGTGAGGTTTTAATAATAATTTAATTTTTTTTGATAGTCTTCACTGCTTATTCTTGGTCTCTTTCCTCTTTGCTTGTTTAGTGGGTTTCTTCAAATGGCCAGTGCTGCTGGCCACCTGCTTACACTGCATAGTGAGCTGGGCCCAGGGTCTGCACAGCTGGTCTGGCCTCAGTGCCAAGAGTGCTTCATGGAGGAAACATCCAGCAGCAAGCTAGGAATGCCGGTGGGGGCCTTTCTGAGGACTAAGCTCTGATTTTTCAATCTTGCCCAAATTCCTATCTAAGGGGTCTTGGGAGTCATGCCTTACAAACCATACATTCTCATCAGATGTGTTTTATTTAACCCTATATATCGTGACTTACTTTCCAACCTGACTCTGGCATAATATTATGAGATAAGGAGGAAAATCAAAATATTTTACCCCAAAACATTTTTCTTTGCTGTATCTTGAAATGGCCCTGCAAAGCCGTCCTTTGTGAGGGAAAATTTGCATCTGAAATGAATCTCTATTAACATAGCTAGATCTTTTTCTTCCAGGCCCTCCCAATCCTGAAGAGATTAACTAAGAGTCTAGCACATTTTAAAGATCTGAATAGGAAAGATTTGTCATCCATTGTCTCTAAGGGCAGCCAATATAAGACTTCAAAAGAACCCTGGTCTCCACAAACTTTTATCTTAACCTGAACATTTCCTTTCTATTGATCCCAGGTCTTTAGACCATTTGACTCAGCAATCCCATTACTGGATATATACCCAAAGTATTATAAATCATTCTACTATGCAAACACCATCCTTGGGGATGTCAATGTTTTGCCAAGCAGGAAGAGCAGCAGGGACAGACATCAGAAGGGCTCTTACTGTCCTCATGGGATCCAAAGGGCACAACACAAAGGCAGTGAGGAAAGGGAGGGTGGCTCTAGGCTCAGAGCCTGGTGGCGCTGCCACTGTGTGCAGTGACCATGCAGTGGGGATGGGGCCTGCTGGATGGAATTAAGTCACAGGACCTCACTGGATGAAGCTCGTTAGGAGGGGCTCAGATGGTGGGGAGGGGTAGGAAGCGGTCCTCTTGCCCAAGGACCCATGGCACTGGTATGGGTGAGCAGCTCAGGGGACCAACTCTGGGGCAGGCATTACAGCAAGCAGCGGCCGGAGTGTGAACAGAAGTTTGCTCATCTGACACCTGGGGCTGGGCAGAGCCCCTCCCGGGGGCAGCTCTGGGCAGCCTGTGGAGAGACTGATGCAAGACAGGCAAGTTCAGAGAACGAAAGATTCCTTCCAGCTGAGGGACACCTGGAGGAGGGGACATTGGCGCTGAGACGTTCTAGAAGGTGGGACTTGTAACATGGAAAGATGGGGAAATACACAGCGTGGATCTTGCTAAGTGCAGGGGGCTGTTCAGGCAAAGGCTCAGAGGCAGAGAATGCCAGGGACATGTGGCCCAAATATGGGAGGTCTGGAGCGGGGTCGTTGTGAGTGTATTGGTTCTTGTGGGTCTTTCCTGCCTCTCTGAACACCCTTTCTGGGTGTGGGGATTCTCCACCTGATGAGGGTGGCAAATGCTCTCCCATTCTTTTCTGCACCTGGGGTGCAGGTGGTAACCAGGATTCCCTCATAGGATGCTCCCACATGGGCCTTTGAACCAGGAGCCAGTGATGGGGAGAGGTGAGCACACTAGGAACCCGTCCAAGGAGGGTGGCAGAAGCTGCAGCCAGCTCCCAGATGCATTGGGGCAGCGTGAGACTGTCCAGCGTGGCCAGGGCTCAGCAGCAGCAGCAACTCCAGATCTGTGACCACAGAGGCAGCGGCAGTGTCTACGCAGGAGCAGCTCTGAGGTGACGTTTGGGCACCATCATTCCTGGCTGCTTGTCCCCTAGAATTCCCCTGACCCCCACCAGCCAGAGAACTGCTGAGTCCTTTTCGGGTGGAGGAGATGCACAGACCGCCTGGGTTTCTATTGTTTGTCTTGAAGCACTCCGTATTCAGGGGAAGAAGGCGTTTGTGATTCAATCAATAATTATTCACGACACACTTCCCTTTGCCAGGCACCGTGCCAACCTCCATAACAACGTAATTCACTTTTGCTTCCATTAGATTGCTAAAAATGTCCCCAAATAAACCCTGGAATCAAAAAAGGGACCTTCAGAAAAGGAAAGGTCACCTTCTCACTTTCTGAATCATCTGGTCTGGGAAAAGAGCCTAGCTCGGTGCCCGGAAGGGCGGCCAATCTAACAGCCTCCACCCACATGGGCTCTGCTGCAGGGGGCCCTGGCTATTCCTGGCAACAGGGGACTCTGGATTCTGCTTCCAACTCTACCCCTTGGGGTTCGTTCCAGGGCCACGTTTAGGAAGGTGGTGTCTATTTACGGGGCAGGAGCGACAGGATGTGTTGCTCAGGGCCACCTTGATGTCTCGGGGCTGGCTCCTCCCTCCGTCCAGCACCCCTCCCCCAGGACTGCCACATCTCCCAGGACTGCCACTCTCATGACTCGCCAGGAGACCAGGGGACCCTTTGCCACCTCCGATGTGTAGCGGGTAGAGGGCTGGGGGTGTTCATCTTGACAGGGAGAAAGCGGGACCAGCTTCCCAGCTCAGGGAGTCCTAGGCTGGCACATGGGGACAGAGGTGGCTTCCATGGCCATTTGAAGGGCAGATGAGTGAGAATTCTGGGGGATCCATGAAATGGAATAGGAAGGGTATAGACTGAGGAGTCAGCCAGAAACTGGGTTCACAGCTGGCTGCAGCCTCTCTTTCTCTGGCCAAGGGGTGTTTATCAAGCACCTGGCATGTGCCTGCCTGCGGATCAGTGGATGGCACAGACACAGCCCTTGCCCTCTGCACGTTCATGGTGACACGGGAGAACAGCAAATCAACAAGCTCACCACTCCATAGAGGAGGTATGCTGCATGCAGGGAGGGCAGAAGGCACCTCCCTAAGCTGCTGCATAGGGAGGGCAGAAGGCACCGTCTTCGTCAGGATGGCAGGGGAGGCCCCTGAGGAGGAGCCACTGAGCTTGTGCCTTGGGGAGGAGAGGCGCTGGACATGGGGGGCAAGGGGAGAGCTTTCCTGACATAGCCAGTGGCCTGCGGCAGCACGGGGCAGGTGAGGAGGCCTGCAGAGGGTGGTGATGGGGGCTGGGGATTGCTGAGAGACGGTCGGAGGTGTGGGGCACTGGTGAGAGACGGTCGGAGATGTGGGGTCCTGGGGCTCACACCCGGCAAGGTGAGAGGGTGTTTGGGTTTTATTGTGGGTGCAGTGGAAACCAGAGGATGGCATACCTTCTTAAAAATTTCTCTGGACAGTGGTTGCCAAGGGGTTGGGGGTTGGGAGGACTTTGACCACAAATGGGACACGCAGGCCACGAGGGTGACGCACTGCTCCAGGGGGCCAGAGCCGTGGTTCTGCACCTGTCAAAACCCACGTAACTAAACACCACAGAAAGTGAACTGTACTGTTGTGCAATGTTTTCTAAGTTCTTTAATTGAAAAGGCCCTTCCAGCAGCTGTATGAAGGTGTGGCCGAAGTGTGGGAGGCAAAGGAGGGGAAGTGAGAAACCGGCCAGAGTCCCAGAGGAGACCCCTGGTCAGAGTGTCTGGGTGAGGTGGGTGATGGCCGTGGGGAGGGGGCTATGAGCTCAGGTCCTCTGGGAGCCTCTGAGGAGCCTCAGTTTCCTCATCAGGGACACTGTGCAGCAATTTCCACTCAGGAGCTGTCCATGTGGTCTGGGGATGGTGCCTATAACCTGCCTGGCAGGGCCTGGCTGGAGCAGGTGCTCAGCCCTTAGGAGCTGGATGATTGACCTTTTTCCAGAGGGTGGCTGTGGCTGGCCTCAGGGTGCCTGGAGGTGAGCCATCCACCCACGGAGCAGGGAGGGGGCCACCTTCAGAAAACAGACCTGAAGGGGAACTGTTCAACAGTGAAGGACACCTGGCTGGAGGCCCTTGGCCTACAGATCAAGTGACGTCACCCCAAGCCGAGGAATGTGACCCAGAATGTTGTGTACTTAGAGGGCTTCTCTCTCCCAGGGAGGTCTGAGCATTTTTATGGGGGCCAAATCAGGATCTGGCTGAAGCACCAGCCTTGGGAGGGGGAAGGTGCAGGGCGGGCAGCTCCCAGGGAAAGGTGTTGGCTCAGGACTGGAGCTCCAGGCTGCAGACCAGGGCACTGGGGTCAGAAGGACTGGATTCCTGCTTCAACATGGCCACGCATTACCTGGGCGGCCCTGGGAAGGTCACTCGCCTCTGCCTGTTTATAAGGTCAGATGAGTAGAACATGGGAACGTCCCTTGGTGCACTATGAAATACTCTCCCAACACAGGGATGGACAGGATGGTGATGCTCACGGTGACATTTGGCACCTTGAGTGGGTAGAAACTCCACTGCCCCTGGGTCAGTGTCCTTCCAGACTCAGTGAGCTGTGTTTGAACCTGAGAGTGGAGATCAAAAGACAAAAGGGATATTGCTGGTAGGAATGTGCAGCAGCCACTGAGTAAACAGTCCAGCCACTCCTCAAAAAGTTAAGCATAGAGTTAACCACGTGACCCAGCAATTCTCTGGGTCTTCCCAAAAGAATGGAAAACAGACTCAGGCAAACACTTGTACGTGATTGTCCCTAGCAGCATTAGCCACATAGTCAAGAGATGGGAATAGCCTGAATGTACATCAGCTAGTGAATGGATAAACAAAACATGGTATATTTAGATAGCCTTAAAGAAGAATAAAGTACCTACGCATGGTGCGATATGGATTGTGTTAGTCTGTTTGCATATAAATACCTGGCCGGGCACGGTGGCTCTTGCCTGTAATCCTAACACTTTGGGAAGCCGAGGCCGGTGGATTGCCTGAGCTCAGGAGTTCAAGACCAGCCTGGTCAACACAGGGAAACCCTGTCTCTACTAAAATACAAAAAAATTAGCCAGGTGTGATGGTATGCACCTCTAGTCCCAGCTACTCAGGAGGCTGAGGCAGAAGAGTTGCTTATACCTGGGAGGCAGAGGTTGCAGTGAGCTGAGATTGCACCACTGGAATCCAAACTGGGAGACAGATCAAGTCTCCGTCTCAAAAAAAAAAAGAAAGAAATACCTGATACGGGGTAACTCATAAAGACAAGAGGTTTGCTTGGCTCACAGTTCTGCAGACTGTACAGGAAGCACAGTGCTGGCATCTGCTTCTGGTGAGGGCTCAGGAAGCTTCTGATTGTGGTGGAAGGCAACTGGAAGGTGGCGTGTCATGTGGTAAGACAGGAAGCAAGAGAGAGAGGGAGGAGGTGCCAGGATCTTTTAAACAACCAGCTTTTGAGGGAGCTCATCGTGTAAGAACTCATTACTGTGAGGACAGCACCAAGCCATTCCTGAGGGATCCACCCCCATGACCCAGTCATCTCCCCCTCAGCCCACCTCTAACACCAGAGGTCACATTTCAACATGAGATTGGAAGGGGACAAATATCCAAACCATATCACGGATGAGCCTCAAAAGCGTTTTGCTAAGTGAAAGAAGTCAGACACAAAAGTTCACATATTGTAAGGTTTCATTTATACGAAATGTCCAGAACAGGCAAATCCATAGAAACAGAAAGTCAGCTGGTGGTGGCCAGGGGCTGGGGGTAGGAGGGGGTTCTGGGAGCAACTGCTTAGTGGGCAATGTGGTCCTCTCTGGGGGTGATGAAATGCTTTGGAACTAGATAGAAGGAATAGTTGTACCATATTGTGAATGTACTAAATGCCAATCAGTTATACACTTTAAAATGGGGAATTTTATGTTATGTGAGTTTCGCCTTGATTTTTTCAAAAGGGAGGAAAAGAAGGGGTGCTTGTGGCCACTGCCAAGAAGAGAGGAGTAATCCAGTGAGGACTGGGCTTTACGCAGATTCCCACCTGGCCATCCCAGTAGCCCTGTGATGGACCTGTTCATATTAATACTTCCATTCTACTGGTGAGGAGCCTGGGGCTCCTGCCCAGGCTTGTGTGGGTTGTGAGTGGCGGCGCTGGGCTTGAAGGCGAGGTCCGTGGCTGTCTTGTGCAGTCCTTGCCGCAGGCCTGCCGCTCTGCTGCTTGCCTTGTAGCAATCGTCTCATCTAATTTTCACAAGCCGTGCAGCAGGTGCTGTCTCTGTGTTATAAAGGGCATGGGTGGACCGGGGGGTTACAGCCACCCTGGTGACAAGTGATCAGAGGACAGGAGGTCCCTGGCCCAGGGCCTTGAAGGAAGACAAGTCATGGGTCACTTGGGAAGGCACAGACCGACAGTAAGAGGCTGTGACAAAGCGGCTCAGAGGGAACGCGGGCTTCGGGAGCAGGCACATCGTGCGGGGCTGGAGAGCAATGGGACTGGGTCTGCAGCGCTGTGAGGAAGGGAGTCCAGGGGAGGAACAGCACACGCCAAGCACAGTGTGAGCCAAGAACAGGGCCCCAGGGGACTGGAGGCCTGGTCAGGTGAAGGAGCTGATTGGTAGACAGGCGGACCAGGTGGACATGGCTAGATCATGGAGGGCTCCTGCCAGGTGCCAACCCCCACTCCTGTGTCTTCTCGGAGGCAAAGGCCCCTTGTGCCACCTCTGGTGGCCAATAGGCTGGAACCTGAACTTGGGATATGGAGGGCAGATAAGGGTGGGGAGGGCTATTCTATGGGCAGGCCGAGCGGGCAGCCTGGGACTCTGGCTCAGCTGTCAGTCCCAGAAGAGGGGTCTGAGGAATTCCAGGAAGCGAGGGGAGGAACCAGCCCCACTGCCCCTGCCTCAGAATCCCCCAGGCGGACGTCCCAGCACCAGGAAGTGAGTAACTGCCTCTCCAGACCTGCAGACGACAGCCCCGCTGCCAAGGATAGAATTAGGAAGAGTGGCCAGGCCGACTGCCAGGCTGAGGGCTACTTCCCGCCAAACCTGGGAACCCACCGTCACCTCCCAGGGCAGCAGAGGGATAGACGGACAGAGGAAGGACTGGCCTCTTCTTCACCTTGCCCCCACCTCAGGTCCCTCTCCATCTCACTTCTGGAGGTTTTTGCACCAGGAATAGCCAGGACTTTGCTTGCTTTAAGCGTTTATTTCTTCCAAACGCATTTCATAAACCCTTCAGAGGACTTTGCATATTTTCTTAACACTAAGGACCTCTATTTATAAGACACCAGCTTTCAAGGGAAAGAATAATTGCAGATTAAATCTACCCACTTCAATTTCTTAAGTGTTAGAGTGGAGAAAAGTCTCTGAGTTGGGGAAGTCCCTGCCAAGCCCTGGGTGAGGAACTGGGCATTCCCTCTCTCCCTTGTTTGCCCAGCAACCCCCAGAGGTGGAGGGTAGGGCTCACTTCTCCAGAGTCTCGTCACTCCAAGTCTCTCTGCTGGAAGCAGTGGTGCCCGGTTCAGAGACACTCAAAGTGAGTCCAAGGCGTTCCATCCAGAGGCCACGCTTTCCATTCAAACCAGGACTTGCTTCAAAGGCAGAAAGAAGGCAGCGGCGTTCTAACAGATACCAAGGCAAGAGACCCGGTCACATCCTTCCTTACTGGTGTTGTTTCCCTACATTGGCCAACCACACCCACCGAAAAGGGGAGGGCAGGGCCCCAGAGTTCCTGCTCCTTTGAGTCCCCCCACTCCCTGTGAGAGGAAGGTAGAGAGTGCTGATGAAACGTGCACATACCAAGAAGTGAAAGGAAAACAGATGAGCTTGTTTTCTGCAGTGTTTCTGCAAGCTGTGAAATAGGCACAATTCTGGTGGTTTTAAATAAGAGCTAAATGCACTGGTTTTTGTGCTTATAACTGGCATTGAGTGATATCAAGGTGAATGGTAAATGCATGCTAATAATTTAACGTTTTAATTTTTCTATACTCTCAAGGTGAATGGTAAATGCATGCTAATAATTTAACGTTTTAATTTTTCTATACTTAGAACAACATTAAACAGCAAATTTTAAAAACACCATGACAGGCCAGGAGCAGTGGCTCACTCCTGCAATCCCAGCATTTTGGGAGGCTGAAGGCAGGGAGATCACTTGAGGTCAGGAGTTTGAGACCAGCCTGGCCAACAGGGTGAAACCTCATCTCTACCAAAAATACAAAAATTAGCTGGGCATGGTGGCACACACTTGTAATTCCAGCTACTCGGGAGGCTGAGGCAAGAGATTTGCTTGAACCCGGGAGGTGGAGGTTACAGTGAGCCAAGATCACACCACACCACTGCCCTCCAGCCTGGGGGAGCAACAGAGTGAGACTTGGTCTCAAAATAACAAAACAACAACAACAACAAAAAAGAACACTTGTCATGACAAGTCAAAAGAGAGACCACAGAAGAAAGGAAAAAGCCTTATGGCTTAATACCTTTACCAACACTTCTTTCCTGCTTTTTGAGGAATGGGCCCATTTTTCACTTTGTACGGAGTCCCACAAATTCTGTAGTTGGCCTGCCTGTCATACGTTTCCGTGAATGCTAAGGAAAGGATGGTGGCTGGAGGCGGAGCTGTGCAAGAAGAAACAGCAATACAAAAGGGGGAAATTCGGCCGGGCGCAGTGGCTCACGCCTGTAATCCCAGCACTTCGGGAGGCTGAGGAGGGCGGATCACGAGGTCAGGAGATCGAGACCATCCCGGCTACCACGGAGAAACCCCGTCTCTACTAAAAATACAAAAAATTAGCTGGGCATGGTGGCGGGCACCTGTAGTCCCAGCTACTCGGGAGGCTGAGGCAGGAGAATCGCTTGAACCCGGGAGGCGGAGCTTGCAGTGAGCCGAGATCGTGTCACCGCACTCCAGCCTGGGGGACAGAGCGAGACTCCGTCTCAAAAAAAAATAAAGGGGGGGGCGGAATTCCGCTTACAACAACAGCATACATAATATGATCCTGTTCATGTAAAGTGGGATATATTGAAGTACGGACATATATAACACTATATAATGAATATATGTAAACACACAGAAACATGGCATCAAATTCTTTTTTTTTTTTTTTTTTTAATTTGAGACACAGTTTCATTCTGTCACTCAGGCTGAAGTGCAGTGGCGCAATCTCGGCTCACTGCAACATCCGCCTCCTGGGTTCAAGGGATTCTTCTGCCTCAGCCTCCCAAGTAGCTGGGATTACAGGCTCCTGCCACCACACCTGGCTAATTTTGTATTTTTTAGTAGAGACAGGGTTTTACCATGTTGGCCAGGCTGGTCTCAAACCCCTGACCTCAAGTGATCCACCCGCCTGGACTTCCAAAGTGCTGGGACTACAGGCGTGAGCCACCGCGCCCAGCTGGCATCAAATTCTTAATCATCTCCAAGCTGTACACTTTTCAGTTGATTTTCACTTTTTATCATACACATTAAGTTCAAATAATAGAGAAACAATACATCCATATTATGTATATGATCAGCTGTTTTTTTTTGTTTTTTTTGTTTTTTGAGACAGAGTCTCACTCTGTTGCCCAGGCGAGACTGCAGTGGTGCAATTTCGGCTTACTGCAACCTCCACCTCCCAGGTTCAAGTGATTCTCCTGCCTCAGCCTCCTGAGTAACTGGCATTACAGATGTGTGCCACCATGCCTGGCTCATTTTTGTATTTTTTAGTAGAGACGGGGTTTTGCTATGTTGGCCAGGCTGATCTCGAACTCCTGACCTCAGATGATCCGCCTGCCTCGGCCTCCCAAAGTGCTGGGATTACAGGCGCGAGCCACTGCACCCAGCCATGACCAGCTTTTTTAAAAAGCTGCATTTTCATTTGGGGAAGGGGAAGACATGCCGATGGAGTCAGACTTGGACTCAGCTCTTGGCTCTGCTGTTTCCACTGTGCAGGATTTAGGCCAAGTTAAGTAACTCCTCTCAGCCTCTGATTCTCCATCTGTAAAATGGGGATACTGACTGGTAACCATCTCATCAGGCTGTTGTGAAGGGTCGTGTGCTTACGTAGGGCCTGCTACAGAGATCACTTGGCAGCGAGTCGCCATGCGGGGCTAGGGCTGGGGGGCTCATGCCTGTGCCAGAGGACAGTGCCCCCACAGGCTGTGCAGGAGGCCTCTGGGAAGGGAGGCCAGAGGCAGAGAAGGCAGGCCAGAGATGGCACGCATGGGCACATGGGCTGGGAGGCGCATTGGGGACGCAGAGGCTCTCTAGAGTTCTTAGCTGTGAGTGTTAGTGCCAATCAGGCAAAACTACAGGCTCTGCATGGGTTTTGCCATGAACCCAAATCAGCACTTATCCTCTGACCCTGCTTTCCAGTTTCCCTGCTGGTCTGTCTGACCTGTGTGTAACTGGTCAGCCTTTTGCAGGGCGGCTGCTGATTCACAGAGGACCAGGGAGTGCCTTTCTGGTCAGCACTGTGGCATTCTGGACAAAAGCACAGCCCGCTCCTGGAGGCCGACGAATAGAATAATGGCCTTCCCGGGAGGACCTGTGCCTTACACACAGACATGTGGAGAGAAAGATCTGGAACATTGGGGTGGAGGGTGGACTTTCATAAACAAACATGTACACACATGTCTACAGCCCGCTTTTATGCTGTTCTGTTTGGCCTGGTCTTTCCTTCATCCCAGTAAGGTTGGATCTGGGCACTTTTCCCTATAGACTGCTTGTACTCCTTGCAGAGGGCACCTCCTATGTGCCGGGTGATAAATAGCAATAAGTAAGACGGGGTCCTTGCCTCGTGGTGTTCTCAGACCACCAAGAACAGTTCCGGGGTGTGTTAGAAAACAGGCATGCAAGAGGTGCGGACAAGACCAGGGGCTTCAGGAAAGGCCCCCAGGCAGCCTCCCAAGAGAAGAGCAGGCTTGATTCAAGCGAGGGCGAGAAAGGGCATTTCAGGCAGAGATTGCCACATCAAAGGCCCCGGGTCAAGTGCAATCCTGCCCCACTCAGGAGTGCGAGGGGGGTCTGTGGGGCTAAAGTACAGAGGGCTGGCCGTGGCTGGGGAGGCTGCAGTGGCCGGGGAGGAGACAGCAGGAGGAACAGCTTCTTATCGTGCCATGTGAAAGAGCCCTGCTTAGTGGGGCAGGGTTTTGCCAAAATAACTGGATCCCTCCTGTGGTCCTTGCTGAACGCAGTTGGGCTGACTCGAACCTGGAGGCTTTACAGGGCTGAGCCACCCCCTGCAGACCCCAGCCAAGGAGACTGAGTGGTGAGGAGTGTGATGAGGCTGCCGCTGCAGGGACTTTGCAGGGGCGTTGAGACAAACCTTCTCATAGCAAAAATGCAGTACAAAAGTGTGCCACTCCAGACATAAACTGGGTGCTACTGAGTCCTCAAGGAACACTTTGAAATCCTCCGCCTGGCTCTGCCCATAGGCAGGGGACTGGCCTCAGGGTAAACTCCTCCGAGGCACGGGGATGTCTGAGGCATGGGGATGACTGATTCATTCACTTCTGCTTGACAATGCACTGCCTGGCTATGTGGGTATCTGATAAATGAGTGTGTGGGTGGATGGATGGAGGGAGGGAGGGAGGGAGGCAGTGAGAGAGGGAGGGATGGACTGATGGATGGACAGACAGACGGATGGATGGATGGACGGATGGACGGACAGATGGATGGATGGATGGATGGTTGGATGGATAGACGGATGGACAGACAGACAGGCGAATAAGTAAATGAATGGTTGGATAGGTGGATAGGCAGGTGGGCGGATGTGTGGGTAGATACCAGTGTAGATGAATGGAAGAGTGTGTAATTGTTTTATAAGATTAAAATATTCTTTTGATGGCAGGACACAACACAGTGACACTCAGATAAATGAAAGGTAGAACTTTTGTTTCTTACAGCTCCAAATGAGAGGCTGTCAGGCTGGGCCACACAGGATGTGCAACTGGGGACAGGGTCCAAGCAAGCTGGAGCTATAGGCGGCAGCTATGTGTGGCACGTAGGGTGGTGTTAACGAGGTTTCCTTGGCTCCCTATGGATTGGCTAACTTAAATAAGTTTGTGAGTTCCAGATGATGGGAGCTGTCCATTATTGTTTGGTACCTGGCTCCAAGGCCATCAGGGCAGGTGGCTAGTGGCCCAGAGTGTGAGAACCTGGTAAGAGAAAGGGCCAGAATGTGAACTTAATCAGCTGCTCATGAACTGGCTGGCCTCCAGCCAGGACCTCAAAACTGGTTTAAAGTAGCCTTTTTAAAAAACTATATGACAGAGATGGATGGAGATGTGTGCAGATGGACAGATGTCTTTTAGAGATTTCTGTCAATGATATTTACAGAAGCATCAACATTGGATTCAGATCCTTGAGGATTTTCAACTCATAGATACAGAGCTCTACAATATCTAAGTTGGAAGAGACTTCAGAGGGTCTCTGGACGCTCATGCAGGTCTCAATATGTTGTGGATCTCAGAGCTCTTCAATATTTTAGTGAAAGCTATAGATGAGGCTCCATAGGGGATAAAGCACAGACACACCTTTTCAGAGGGCTTGTGGACTCTGGGCAGCCTGTCCATAGACCTCTGTCCCCAACTGGCAAGTCAGGAAACTCCAGATTAAGGAGCCCCAATGTGGTTGAACAGCCAGGTGCACAGATGAGTCAACCACACAGCCAGGCCAGGGAGGGCCTTCACTCAAGAGCCTACAGCCAGTTCACAGCCAAGCCAGGGCTAGCGCCCAGGCCACCCATAAACTGATCTGAGACTCTGTTTCCCTGTCTCCATGATGATGGGATCAGGCTTGATTGCTGGTTTGTAGGCTTGTTATGAATCAAGTCACAGGGAAGAGGAGCTGATGGGCTGGGGGGACGTCCTCTGGCCCTCCTGTCTCTTCCCCAGATCCACTGGGCCCACTCTTATCTGTTCTCTTCTGAAGGAAGGGTTTTAAGGCTTCAAAAAAAAATGTTTTGAAAGTCCCTGCCCTTTCCAGCTCCTACCGTCTCAGCCCTGGGAGTGTAAAGTGCTGCAGATAGTTAGTAAGTCTTTGAGCAAAACTGAGAAAGCCAGCCTGAGCCTTGACATGGGAGAAACCTCCGCCATACATCTCCGAAGAAACGGCCGCGTGTCTCAGGGGAGCGCAAACACCCGTACCCAGGAAACAGGACAGCTTCTGCCACTGTCGCCCTTGGGAGCCGTACGTGGCATACAAAGAAATCCCAGGACTCCGCCTGCCCACCTGGCCACCCTCTGTTTACACCTTCCGCGTAAACGCCCACTGTTTACATCCAAAACTCAGACACAAAATAACCACCTCAAGAAGATAAATAATGATAAGAAATAAATGTTACGCGAGGCAAATTTATTCACATGGGGCTTCCCAGGCCACTTTGTGGTCAGCCGGGAGGGACGTTTTTGCCGTCCCACGACTCCAACGGGCAGCCGGGCTACGCAAACATGGAAATCTTCCAAGAGCCTCCCTGGCCCCCAGGGCTCAGAGGGTGGCAGAGCGGAGAGCGAAGGTGGCCGCAGCCTTCCCGGCCCCACAGCCAGCCTGGCTCCAGCTGGGCAGGAGTGCAGAGCTCAGCTGGAGGCGGAGGGGGAAGTGCCCAGGAGGCTGATGACATCACTACCCAGCCCTTGAAAGATGAGCTGTTCCCGCCGCCACTCCAGCTCTGGCTTCTGGGCTCCGAGGAGGGGTGGGGACGGTGGGGACGGTGGGGACATCAGGCTGCCCCGCAGTACCAGGGAGCGACTGAAGTGCCCATGCCGCTTGCTCCGGAGAAGGTGGGTGCCGGGCAGGGGCTGCTCCAGCCGCCTCACCTCTGCTGGGAGGACAAACTGTCCCAGCACAGAGGGAGGGAGGGAGGGCAGGCAGCGGGGAGAAGTTTCCCTGTGGTCGTGGGGAGTTGGGAAAAGTTCCCTTCCTTCCGGAGGGGAGGTCTGACAGGCGATGGGGAGAAGGGTTCCCAGCAGGAGGAATCGCCCTGTTTGTCTGTTGTAGGTTTCTCTTCTCTGAATCAAGGTGACAGACAGGCTTGTGTGTGTCCAGTGTGTGAGGGATTTCGTGATTGGATTTTCACATACTTTGAGTGGACACCTTGGAGTAAGGCAGCGAGGTGTGTGTGGTGCAGCAGGGACGGGTGCTGGGTGGAGGCTCCAGAACCTGGCTTTTCACCCACAGCTGTGCCACTCCTTGGCCCTGTGTGACCCTGGACAAGCTATTCAACCTCTCTGAGCCTCAGTTTCTCTGTCTGCAAAGCAGCCAGCTCGCTGGCTCCCTGGGGGTGGCAGGGTTAAATCAGAAGCAGGCGGGGGTGGGGGGGTTTGTGAATGTTGGCTGATGCGCCTCCAGGAGGCAGGTGGTAGTGACTACCTCAGATGGGCTTAGAGACCCTCTTCCCACGGTCCTGGCTGACCAGGGCAGGGGGATAGGATGGTGCAGGGGTTCCAAGCACCGGCTTTGCATCCGGCCCAGGTTGCAGCTCCAGCCCTGCTCTCACCCTGTGGGTGACGTTTTTGGGCGAGTTATTTTGTCCTGTCTCCTGAGCTATAAAGAAGACCTGGAAGTTCCTCTTTATGCAAAGATAGAGGTAGGCTCTTGCCTGTGAAGCACCACGTATGTCATAGGCACTAAATAAATGGCAGCCGTGATTCGAGTTGCTGAGAGTAGGTCGTTTCCGCAGCCTGGGTGGAGGTGAACAGCAGGTGTTGCTGTTCCAGGCAGGTCAGAATGTGCCTCACTGAGTCACAGGCCGCCTGTGGCTCCCCAGCCTACAGGAAGTGGGAGCCCTGGCCTGGGTGTGGGGTGATGGGGGCCTCCCTGGCCAACCCCGCCCCTAATTCCATTTCTGAGTTGGAGAAGGGCTTAGGTGGTGGGGGAACAGGTAAGCAACCCCAGAGGACATTGCAAAGAGGCCCTGCCCGAGGTTCTCTGGAGAAAAAACTGTGCTGCGTCCTTCGGGCCCTGGCAGCAGCAAGAGACATTCCACAGTTGTGAGCCCCACAAGCTTGGAGGAAGCATTTGCTGTTTCCCCTGCTTGGGGTGAGAGCAGGGGACAGCCAAGAGAAGGCGTCTTTGGATGAAAAAGAGGAAGCATGCGTGCTGTCCCCACAGGCAGCACCCCAGGCCTCATCCCAGCTCTCCCTGCAACCCTGCACTCCAAGCCTCTCACTGCACTGATGAGGAAACTGAGTCTCAGAGGGGGAACATGACCTCAGCCAGCCCTTCGCTCAGTGTCCAGGGAAATGCCTCAATCTCTTTGGGATTCCCTCCCTTGCAAACGGGGAGGTTCCCATGGTTGGGCCTGCATGATGGATCTGAGGACTTTGAAAGTGGTATTTGCCTGCCGGTGGGACCCAACCTGGAAATATTAGGTTGGTGCAAAAGTCATCTCGGTTCTTGCCATTAGAAGTAATGCCAAAAACCGCAATGACTTTTGCACCAACCGAATAGCTGTGCCACGTGGTTTTTGCTAACACAGTGACTGGCTCAGTAACAAGTTTGGTGGCTCCAGAGGTAACATTAGGGCGGCCTCCTCACCTGTGCTGCTTGTGGTCAGGGAGGGGCCCACCTGGGCGCGGTGGGGGGAGCCCTGCAGATTTGCCCAGTGTCATAGCCTGTTTGAGCTGCTATAAGAAATACTTTAGACTGGGTAATTTATCAAAAAACAGACATTTATTGCTCTCGGTGCTGGAGGCTGGGAAGCCCGAGATCAAGGCACTGGCAGATTGGGTGTCTGGTGAGGACCTAGTCGTCATAGATGGCACCTTCTATGCATCCTCATATGGTGGAAGGGTGAACACGCTCTCCCAGGCCTCCTTTAAAGACCACCAATCCCATTCACAAGGAGGGGGACCTCATGATCTAATCTCCCCCCAGAAGTCTCACCTTTTAATATCACCAGCTTGGAGATTAAGTCTCAACAGGTGAATTTTGGAGGGACACAGGCATTTGGATCATAGCACCGGGGGACTCTGGTTTTCAGAATGAAAGTAGGGGCCTTGTCTATCCGCTCAAGCTGCCTCCTCTGCACTGAAAACGATGCCTAGCCCAACATGGATGGATCAGTGTTTGCTGAAATGCTGAATGGTTAAATGAATAAATAAATATTGCTCATATAGCAGGCAATAAAAAAGCATACAGAACCTATCACTAAGTGAATGAAGCTACTCTGAAAAGGCATATGCTGTATGATTTCAACTATATGTGACATTCTGGAAAAAGGCAAAACTATGAAGACAGTAAAAAATAAAAAAAATCAGTGGTTGCCAGGAATTAGGGGAGGGAGGAGAGAATGGGAGGAGCCCAGAGACTTTTAGGGCAGTGAAACTTCTGTATGACACTGTAATGGTAGAGGCATGTCATTGTGCGTTTGTGCAAACCCACAGAATGTCCATCACCAAGAGTGAACCCTGATGAAAACTATGGACTTTGGGTGATGATGATGTGTCAACGCAGGTTCATCAATTACAACAAATTGACTGCTCTTGTGGGGGATGTCAGTAACGGGGGAGGCTACGTATGTGTAGGCACAGGGGATATATGGTAAGTCTCCGTACTTTCTGCTCAATTTTGCTGTGAATCTAAAACTGCTCTTTAAAAAAAAAAAGGCACACAGAGCAGATCTGCATGTTGTTTTGAGGATTCAGAAGGCACTTAGGACAATTACGGTACCTCAGGGTCATGAGTCAAACAATCAGACCTGCCAAGACTTGACACCCCAAATGCATCACTTCTGACATCCATTGGGTCCAGGAATCCCCTGCCTCATGAATATCCATCTTAGTGTGCATGCCTCCAAGAATGGGGAGCTCACTACTTTGCGAGGCAGCGCATTCCATCTTAGGAGAGTTCTACTGTTTAAAAGCTCTTCCTCCAACTGCCCCCACTGAGCAATGGGTCCACTTTCATTTCCTTGGGGTTTGTACCATTCTAGTCCTATTGCTTCTCTCTGAGCTAAATATCCACAGCTACTAAATCTGCCCCCCTTGAAAAGTGTTAAATCCTCAATTCCTCCTCTGAGCTCCTCTGGTTTTCCTGGGGACCTAAGGCTCTGCTTCCCCAAAACACCCACTCCAGGGTTGTTTTCTAGAACAAACGTAAGGCATGAAGTATTTCTTTGACTCTTTCATCACAGTGGGTTCTGGAAGATTCTGGAGGCTGGAAACATATGTGCCTCCCCCTCCCCACACACATTCCAAAAAAGTCATCACAGCAGAAAGCACGGTGGAACAAACAGCTCTCGGTTCGAATTCACCGTCACTTACTGGCCAGGAAAGTTATCTGAGCCTCAGTTTCTTCTCCTGTACAATGGGGAGCATCATTCCTATTTTTGAGGACCACTAGGAGGCTTACCTCTGTTTGTGCTGATGTAGTGAAAGGGGATGTCAGGCACACTGCAGGAGCTCAGGTACCAGACGGACTGTCTATGGAGGCAGGAGTGAGGGCCTGGGGCGGTCACAGAGGTTGCATTTGCTTTGCAGTAAGGCCATGGCCGCTTAAGGGTGTCCAGAAAAAAGCCCTGTCCGACATGCACACACTCCTGTGTCCAGGCAATGAGCCTGTGGGCACTGACAGCAAGAGTCCTTCTCACGCTTCTCTTCAGGGCTCAAACTTTAGATTTACTCCGGCCTGTCCCATCCCATTCACTGCCAACCCCTCTGAGCCTCTCTGATCTGTGCCACCGGTGAAGGGCAGTCGTGGGGCACAGAGAAGTGGCCCAGCTGAGTGACATCTGGAAATGAGCAGTGCCTGAGGGGACGCCCGTGGGGTGTTGTGACCTGTACAGTGCCAGGCTCCAGCACAGCCCCGTCGCTTCTGTGGTTCTTATCATGGTCATGAGGTCGCTTCTCCTCTTCCCTGCGGGTTTCCTAAGTGGTCACACTCCAGTGGCAGGGTGGTCTGCCGGAGAAAGACCAAAATTTGTCATACTTTAGAATCACCTGGAGACTGGTCACCCACGCAGGTGCGGGGGTCCTGCTCTGGGGACTGTGATTTGAAGTCTGGGTACTATTCACTGAAATGACAGACTGCGGCAAATCTCAATCAATCAAGGTTCATCGAGTTGATAAACTTCAATTGACATTTATCGAGAGTTTGAGGGTGCACCTGGGAAAAACATGAGCCACAGAAAATGTGTGTGGCCTATGCTCTCCGAAGAGTCATGAGACTTAGTGTTGTAAATCAAAGAGAAACTGACTGAAGCAGGTCTCAATTATTTTTGAAGTTTATTTTGCCAAGATTAAGGATGCACCCAGGAAAGAGGGACACGAAATCACAGGAAACATCTCTGGCCCATGCTTCTTTCAAAGAAGGGTCTTCACTATTCAAAGGGAAAAAAGCAGGCAGTAGGGGAAAGAAGGAAAAATCGGGGGAAGGTGGCCAAAAGAGGCAAGCAGTTGCACCCCTTTGAGCCTTTTCATTAACTTCACTGAATGCACATTTTTCATGTGAAAGAAGCAGGTGGAGGAATCATCAATTCCGCATTCACCTGGTGCTCAGTCAATCTGCATTTTTATATAAGATAAAATAATCATAGGGCTGGGCACGGTAGCTCACAACTGTAATCCCAGCAGCTTGGGAGGCCAAGTTGTGTGGATCACCTGAGGTCAAGAGTTCGAGACCAGCCTGTCCAACATGGTGAAACCCTGTCTCTACTAAAAATACAAAAACTAGCCAGGCACGGTGGTGCATGCCTGTAGTCCTAGCTACTTGGGAAGCTGAGGCAGGAGAATCATTTGAACTCAGGAGGCAGAGGTTGCAGGGAGCTGAGATCACACCACTGCACTCCAGGCTGGGTGACAGAGCAAGACTCTATCTCAAAATAATAATAATAATAATAATCATCATCATCATCATCATAGCATATAGGAAGCTGTCAGCTATGCACTCGTCTCAGGTGAGCAGAGGGATGACTTTGGGTTCTATCCTTTGTTCCATACCTGTGAAGCTAAGCTGTTAATTTATATCATGAGGGTGAAATACAACAGAGCTGCTTGAAGGCAAAGATCCTGGGGCCCACAAGGAATTTCACTGTGAGCAAAATGTGAGGGAAGTAAATAGTTATCCATTTAGACACAAAACGGGAGGCGGGTTGCATGACCCAGCTCCCAGCTAGACTTTTCCCTTTGGCTTAGTGCGTTTGGGGTCTGGGGATTTTAATTTTATTTTTCTTTCACAGTATTTACACATGTCCTTGAAGTGGAGAAAGCATGTAGGAAGAGGAGGTTAGGCAGAAGGAGGCCTGATCTCATCTTGCCTTTGTCTTGCTTTTATGCTGTACCTGGGGAGATCAGCACCATCAGCGTGACTCTAACAGACTTGAGTGTGAGGAGCTAGGCTTGGATTGCAGACCTCAAGTTACAATTGATGTGTCCTTGTTTTGTGGTAAGATCCACATCTTGAAAGGTTTCACCCAGCAAAGAACAATTTGTGGGGGCAGTCATGGGGAGATATCCGAGGCCTTTTCCTTTCTGTGGGGGTCTGGCTAATGTCTAAGGTTGTGGAGTAACAGCTGTCATTAGGAATAAGGATGACAATGTTGGCTGACTCAGTCTCCAGGCTTAACTTTCCCTTTGGCATAAAGAGTTTGGGGGTCCCAAGATTTCTGTTTTCCTTTACAGTACTCAAGGACTTGCTAATATCTCAGGGGATTTCAGCCACACTTTGAAACAAGCTACCTTAGCAAATGGTCTGTCCTGGACCCAAAAGCCACTCTCCTCAGGCCCTTCCTCCTAGTCCCACCAGCCAAAAAACTTGGGGACCCCAAACCTGTTCTTCACTCTCTGGCACCTGTGCTCATGTGCCTGCTGCCTCAGGAAAGGACAGAAACCCTCCCCGATCCAAGTTATTAGCAAACTGCCCATCTCCACAAAAATTTAAATGGACAGATTGTTAAATGCACACAGCTCACAGCCAGCTCCTTTCAAGGTAGATTTGGGCCCAAACATTTCGGGAAGCATCAGGCTGTGCCCCGCCATCCCTACCAAACAGGAATCCTCTCGAGGGAAAAGACTGGGCCTTTCCCTCAGCCCCTAGCACCCACTCATGCTTGGCACCTGCTGTGCTCTAAGAGTGCAGGGGTCACTCCCTGACCACAGAGGGAGGCTCTCTGGGGTTCTCCCGGAGCCTCGGAGATTGCACCTTGTGCATGCGCTGCTGCACCTGGGGTACATCACCCCCACTCTGGAGCCCACTGGCCGGTTAGCAAAGTGAGAGGTGAGAGAAGGACCTCTTGGTCTTCTTTGAACAGAAAGATCCAGAAAGCAATGGCTAGAACACAAGAACAGGTCAGGGGAGGCAGGAGAGGGTCTGCACACCTGCTACAGGTGTGCTCACACGTGGGCCAGGGCCTGCAGATGAGGGATCTGTGCTGATCATTTGTGATAGCCAAAAGTAGTGAAAACCTGGGGGGACTCCTCAAATGAACTGTAGCACATTGGGGAGATGGACTCTGTGAAGATGATTCCTCTCTCCACCCACTTCCCTTCTCCCTCCTCCTCCCGCTCCTCCTTTTTCGGAAGCCAGGCACAGGGATTGAATCCCACCCCATTCCTCCCCTGCTGTGTGACCTAGGGCAAGAGATGTGGTCTCTGGGATCCTTCGGTTCCTTCAGCTATAAATAGTAGTAGAATTGCAAACTACCTACGAAAACTGGGAACTCCCTGCGAAGGCCGGTGCATTACAGGGCAGTCCTACTCTGAAATACTGTGAGGCTATTGAAAAGCAAGGTGGGTCGACAGATTGTTAAATGCAAAGAGGTGAGGACACAGCCGGCGGTGCATTTAGGGTGCTTCTGCAGGCGTCCTTATACATGGATATGTGCACATCTGCTCCTGAAAGCTCAGAAGATGTCTGGAAAGCAACAGGAGACACCAGTGAGCCTGGCTGTCTCTTGAGGCAACAGGCAGGGACAGAATCTGGAGGGAGACCTACCCCTCACTGTATTCTTTTTCGCACTCTGAAATGTTACCATGAGGATGCATATCTCTTTGCAAAAATTTAAATATAAAAAGCAAAACAAACTTGAATAGAAATAAACTACTTGAAAATTTTAGAAAACACTGTTACATCAAAGAGACAGATCATCAAAACTGAAATTATAGATATTTGAGAAACAACTAACTATAAGAACACTGCTTACCAAACTTATGGGATGCAGCCAAAGCCATAGTCAGGGGATGAGTCATGCCTTTAAATTTTTAAATTATTAAACCAAAAAGATTGCAAAAAAAAACTGTTCAATTCAATAAACTAGATAATAATGATCCAAAAAAGTAGAAGAAAGAAAAGAATTACAAAAACAAAATGACAAGTTAGAAAGGTAAAAAGCATTAATGTCAGTAGGCCATCTAAGGATGGCTCTTTGAAGAGCAGACAGGAGAAGGGCAATCCCAGGAAGTGCTATGTGCTATGCAGAGAATTAGAATAAGTTGATGGCAGAGATCAGTGGGTGGCGGCTCACTTGGGTGGTAAAGAGTAGCCTGCAGCCAAAGTTGGGCACAGCAGTGCAGTCTTCACTGGGGGAATGCCTGGGAAACAAGATTTGCCTGGGTAGGAGTTTCCATCAGCACCCCCAGAAAGGTCTCCTTTCTACCCTGGCCCCCAGTTCTTTGATGGGTTTTGCTGATGCTCCTGTGTCTCTGAACAGCAGGCGCCTCACCTATAGAAAGGTAGGATAGCAGGAGTTAACGCCCCCTCCCCCATTCCATGGCCCCTGCCTGGGATTCTACCATCTCTGCTTCATATGCTTTATAGGAGTTCGGTCTGAGCCCACAACCCAAACAGGCTCACAGATGTGCTAGCTATTTCGCCACCAGTATTTTTTTAATAGTCAATATTTAGAAATTGGCACCAACTGGCCCGATTGTTCAACAGTCCTGGGTTAGGTTACTAGGCCAATTACTTGCTGAGTAACCCAGGACAGGTCACTGACCTCTCCGAACCTCTCCTTTCTCACCTGTGTGATAAAGACTACTGCTGTGCCAACACAATAGGACTGTGTATGAAAGTACCCAGACTGTGCCTAGACTCAGGAAGCTGGTTTATTCCTTCCTCCCCTAACCACTTACTGAGAGACTGCTCAGGGCTCCCCTCAGCTCAGAGATCTTTCCCCACAAGGAGCTGAGAGCCTGGTGGGAGAGACAGGCAGAGACCCAAGTGGTTCTAACACAGCTCTCTGAATCTGTAACCCCAAGTCCCATCCCCAGAGGACACTGGGACAGTCACACTGATGGTTTGTCCCTAAGCCTCCAGCATCAGGAGCCATGTGGCAGGATCTCCACTCTTCTTCTTCCTGGGCCTCTGTCTGGACCGACCCAAACACACACACACACACACACACACACACACACACACACGTGTACACACACAAGTTGCTTCTTTGCTGCCTGCATGTCCTCACACCAGCTTATGACACACCTACAATGTTTGATGTGTCATTGTGGGCAGGTTTCAAGTTGGAGGACCTAGACCTAGGTAAAGTAGAGGGTCTCCCTAAGTAAGGGAGGGTGCACAGTGGAGAGAAAGGGTAGGGGAGACTGCCCAGTGCCATTGACATATGCCTGAGCCCCAGGGCACCCTTGGCCCCCCAAAACAATCACAAGTATCCCCCCCGACAAACCTGCCAAGTAGGCATTGTGTCTCCACTTGACAGTTGAGGAAATGGTCCCTAGAGGGGAGACAGAGCTAGCTAGAGACTGGGCTGGCCCTGGAGCCTGGCCTGGGTCTTCCCATCGCATCCTGCCTCCCTACATAAGCAAAGGTCGAGAGGTGGGAACTCCCAAAGATGCTCAGGCAGGGCCAGGGGAGACCAGTGGGGCAGGGAGGGGACAGGAGGGGAAGGAGGAGCTGGGGCTGGAGAGATGGGTAGGAGCATGAGTCCCTTGCCTGGGCCTCCCCATGGTGGGCGGTGATCCAAAAGCCCCAGTCAGAGCCCTCTGCCCTGTGACGGGGGCACCCTGCATGTCCCCTCACTCCCTGCCCTCCAGTCCCCGCCAGTCCTCATGTTTTCCATGAGGATGAGTACAGCCGCAGGGACTTTCCCTGCAAGTGGTCTGGGCCATATCTTCCGGGAGTCTGTTTGGACTGTGGTGTCTGTGGCTGAGGGGGTGGAGGTGAGGGCACCCAGGCCCATCACTTGACAGAACAATCTGTGGATTTGGGGGAAAGAGGAGGCGACTGTCATTCCTGAGAGAGGACGGGAACCAACAGGAAGGATTCCTGAGTGCCAGGGATGACCACACTGGATCCTCACAACAGCCCTCCTGCCGGGGACAATGCTCCTTATCCCACAAGCGGGGACCTGGGCTCTGACAGGAGGCCACACACTTACAGTCCCTCCCTTAGTGACCGGCAGAGCTGGGATTTGAACACCCCTGGTGAGACTCCCTCGTCCAGACCCCTTCGTTGTACAGCAGGTTTGCCTCACATGCCAGAGTCGGGGTGGCCTCAGGGCACAGCCAGGAGATGTCCCCAAATCCCGAAATGTGGTTTGAGTCCCAGTCCCTCATCTCTCCAGCCTCCAAGCCCTCACCTATGCAATGGTGCCTTGCCCGGCTCACAGGTTATGAAAAGGGGTGAGACGAGACAGTGTCCCCTAAATACATCTGACAGCACTTTTGAATGGAAAAGAGAAAAAGAAAATACTATAAGCATCCAGATTGACTGGAGGTTGGGGAGTTGGTGGGGGCGGGGACAGGCAATCCATAAAGCAAGAAAAATCAGGCTGGGTTCAGGCTTTTCTGCAGCAGCGAATGCATCAGAGCTGCCAGGGGGGCAGCTGTAGACCTAAGAGAGTTCCTTTAAGCACAAATTGGCTGATTATCTTTTTTACGTAAATAAACCCATAATTCATTCCAAACACTTGGCTTATTTAAATATTTTTATTGCCAAAGGAATATATGTTCTTCACAGAAAACTTGGATACCATGACAAACAGTAAAGAAAACCCAAAAGCAACCTATGATCCCATGCTCAAAGACAACCAGCGCCAGTAATAATTTGGTATTTTGCCTTCTCAACTTTTGAACTTTGTTGTATGTACAATTTGGTTACCCAGCTTTTTGTTCCCCTAACATGTTATCAGAAACATTCTCTCATTTTTGGTGAACTCTTAGAAGCATCCTTTTTTCATGTCTGCTTGACATTTGTTGAATGGATATAAGATCATGTATTTAACCAACTGCCTGGTCCTAAACATTTAGGTTGTTTCCTGTGACCCTTCTTCTGCATGATGAGGAACATCTCTGTGCATAAAGCTTTTCCTGTCCTTTTGATTATTTTCAAAAATGCCAAACAAAAAAAAAAGGGAGGGGGTTGAAGGTTCTGGGTTTTCTTCACTGAATTATCCAAATATTAAATGATCTAGAGACAGGTTTGGGAGCCACTAAACCCTCTCCTCCTGTCTGACCCTATTCAGAGAAGACATTGGAAGCTGCCATCTGCTTTCCTCTCACAGTCTGTAAGTGGCTCATTAAATACTTGCAAACTAGATTATTTTTATGTTGTCTTGGCTACAGGAGTTTCTGCAGGAATCAGAAACAGGAAGAAAAGGCAGGTCCTTGGAGACAGAGGAGCTGGCATCTCATCAGATGCAATTTCTTATTAATAGTCATCCCTAACATTGATTCGGCATCTACTAATAATCAATCCCTTCTTACAGATAAGGAAACTGAGTAGCAATAATCTATCCCATCTTACAGATAAGGAAACTGAGACTCAGAGAGGTTAAGGGCACTGCAGTAAGCGCAGACACAGAGCTATGACTCCCGTTCTCCCTGTGTCAGCCCCTGCGCAGTGCGAGTGGGAGGTGAGCCACTGTTGCGTGCCCTCTGCCAGACACAGGCCTGCAGGTCAGACTCACAGGAGCCAAGCAGAGCATCTGGGAGGATTTTGTTTCTGGCTCCAAAAATGAAATACCAAGGAAAGTAGGCAAGCTCATGCATGTCAGAATCCTCAATCTCAGCTCAGGAAGTAGGAATTTTCCACCTTTGTTAGCAGCAGAGATGACAAACCCCAGGGCCCCACATATAGCCTGTGCCTTAGTCACTGCCTCGGGCCAGGTTGCAAGACCCCTCCTACCAACTGAGCTACAAATCACAGTTCCTGGAGGGTGGGCCTTTATATAACAGGGAACAGAACTCTTCTGTACCTCCCACCTCCCCGCAAGAAGTAGGCCAGGCATGGTAGCTCATGCCTGTAAATGAAGCATTTTGGTAGACCAAGGTAGGAGGGTCACTTGAGGCCAGGAGTTCGAGACAAGCCTGGGCAAGATCCCATCTTTAAAAAAAAATTTAAAAATTAGTGAGCTGTGGTGGCAGGAGCTGTGGTCCCAGCTGCTTGGAAGGATGAGGTGGGAGGATCGCTTGAACCCGGTGGGTAGAGGCTATGGTGAGTTATAATTGTACCACTGCACTCCAGCCTGGGCAACAGAGCAAGATCCTGTTTCAACAAAAGAAAAAGAAGAGAGAAGAGGAAGAAAGAAGGAGGAGAAGAGGAAGAAGAAGGAGGAGGAGGAGGAAGGAGGAGGAAGGAGGAGGAAGAGGAAGGAGGAGGAGGAAGGAGGAGGAGGAGGAAGGAGGAGGAGGAGGAGGAAGGAGGAGGAGGAGGAGGAGGAGGAAGTAGGAGAAGAAGAAGGAGGAGGAGGAGGAGGAGATCCTACAGCACTGTTTGGAAGATTATGGGAAAATTAGGCCCACACATCTGATATACAATCGGCACATCCTACAAATGTAAAATGTGTGTCTTGAACCAGAAAGCCCAAGGAGTGAGGGGCTGTGGCATTGAGTGGGGTAGCTATACATAGCCCTAGGGCTTAAATCTATAGAATTTAAGTAATCCTGGTCCAAATTCACCAGAAACATTGCCTAGACTTTACTTGAATACCTTTAGTGACAGGGAACTAACTACTACCAAAGGCAACTAACTCAGCTCAGCAAACATTCAGTGATAGCTGCGCTTCCCCAGGACCAGAGATTCAGATAAGCAAACACCCTGTTCTGTGCTCAAGGGACTGATGGTGTGTGACAATCGAGATAGTGTGAAGAAAAAGGACAGCATATGTGTGTCTCTGTGCATGCATGTGCAAACACTGACACTGCAGTATGTATTCAGAGGAAGTCACTACAATGGTGAGGCCCACCTGGCACCAGAATGAACAGATTTAAGAAAGCTAGTCACCGCAGACGGTCACAGCTGGAAGGATTTTACAAAATAATCTATCTTATCATCCTCCTTTGCCCTAGAGATGGGGAAACTGAGGCCCAAAGAGTGAAAGCCACCTGCTCAAAGGCATATTGTTGAGTCTAATAATAAAAATAACCATAGCAATAGCAACACTGAGGGCAGCTGTCCCAGATGGACGCTGGCTCCATGCCAGCCCCTGGGCTAGGCGTCTGGTGGCACTACCTCATTTCACTGCCATAACAACTGGGTCCCCCATCTTGCAGATGAGGAAGCCCAGGTTCAGAGAGGTGAAGTGGGGGGCTGGGGGTCTATCCCAGACCTTGTTGTCACCTCCTCACTCTCCCAGTAGCGCCAGCCAGAGCACCTGTCTTGGGAGCCCCGAGGCAGGGACAGGCTATGCATCCAGGAAGCCCCCAGGCTCTAAGGAGGCGGCCCTATAACTGCTGGATGACCAAAAATCAGGCAGCGATCCCTAAGTCCCTTCTGAGCCCCAGGCTCCAGACTCCTCCAACCAGGTCTGCCTTACGCTTTTGACCACAATCAACCCGGCTCTTTCTCGGTTCTTTTCATCTCTCTGGTGGTTTTGTATGCAGAGTCACCCAGGTCCCCACTTACGAGCCTGTGAGATGGGATAAATCACTTCCCTTTGCTGAGCCTCAGTTCCTTCACCTGTAAATGGGCATAACAAGTTCCTCCAGGACAATCGTGAGGCTCAGGGAAAGGACTGTCGTGCAAACCCACCATGGCATGAGCTGTCGAGTGCAGTGCCCGCTGCCACTAAGGAATGAGTGCCACTCTGGGATTGTGGAAAGTGCAGACGGGCAGGGTTGAGATGCTCGTGCATGACTTTGGACAGGTCACCTCCCTCTCAGAGGTTTAGTTTCCTTACTTGTTAAGCTTGGACTAAAAATATCTAAATGGTGAGATTTTTCCAACTTCTTTGGCTCTAGCATGTCTGTGGTCCTTGATGGTTTACAAAGCGCTTTTGCACTTGAGACCCCTAAGTGCTAATTCTACCACATCCCCATCCACTTCATAGTGGGATGACCTTAGCCAAGGCTCTTCACCTAAACCTCCATAAGCCCCTCGCTGGAATTTGAGCCTGTTTTGCTTTTTTAAAGTGAGGGCAATGCTACTGGCCCCACCCATCTTACAGGACAAGGGAAGCCCAAGGACATGAGAGCTTTCTGAGCTGCATCCCAGGCCCTGCTCTGCCACTGACTCGCTGAGGCTGGGTTTCCCCATCTGCAAAATAAGGACATAAAAACCCATCTAGAGCTGGGCATGGTGGCTCATGCCTGTAATCCCAGCACTTTGGGAGTCCAGGGCAGGCAGATCACTTGAGGTCAAGAGTTCGAGACCAGCCTGGCCAACATGGTGAAACCCCATCTCTACTAAAAATACAAAATATTAGCCAGGTGTGGTAGCTCATGCCTGTAATCCCAGCTACTAGGAAGGCTGAGGCAGGATAATTGCTTGAACCCAGGGGACGGAGGTTGCAGTGAGCCAAGATCACGCCACTGCACTCCAGTCTGGGTGACAGAGCGAGACCCCATTTCAAAAAAAACAAACAAACGAACCAAAACAAATAAAAACCCATCTAGAGTGTTGTGGGGATTAAATGAGTTAATATCTGTGAAGTGCTTTGAACAGAGCTGGCACGGCCGGGCACGGTGGCTCACGCCTATAATCACAGCGCTTTGGGAGGCCAAGGCAGGGATCACTTGAGCCTAGGAGTTCAAGACCAGCCTGACCAACATGGCAAGACCCTGTCTCTACTAAAAATACAAAAATTAGCAGGGCGTGGTAGCATGCTGCTGTAATCCCAGCTACTCAGAAGGCTGAGGCAGGAGAATCGCTTGAACCCAGGAGGCGGAAGATGCAGTGAGCCAAGATTGCGCCATTGCACTCCAGCCTAGGTGACAGAGCGAGACTCTGCCTCAAAAAACAAGAACCAAAAACCCCTTAAGAGAAATGGGGTTTTCTCTTATGAGAAAAATAAATATCTCCGGTGTTTCCTCTGACTTGCCCAGGGCTGCACAGCTCACAGGGGAGGGGTGGGGACCGGGACCTGGCACTTGGCTCCTGCTGCTCTGCCCTATGCCCTTGGGGACTTCTGGACAAGGGTGGGCTTCTCTGGGCTGACAGAGGAGACAGAGGCAATGGTGTGCTGGTAAATGGTTAACAACTGGCTCTCTGGAAAAAAATGCCCTAACTGTAGCAAAAAAAAAAAAGAGACTAGAACTGGCACATTGCAGATGATATAGGCATTTGCTGTCACTATCAGCATCAGCATCATTACTTGTCCTTTCAACAAATATTTCCTGAGCCCCTGTCGTAGGCCAGGCCCAGTGCTAAGAGGTGGGGACACAGTGGAGGGAAGACAGAAAGTTAAGTGTGCTGTTTCCATAAAGTGTGCTGACAGCCATATAGGAGCACTGGGGCTGGGGTGTCTCTACGGTGCCTGGGAGGGTCTCCTAGAGAAGGTGACATCAAGCAGGTTCTGAAGGATGAGTAGGAGTTGGAAGGAGTTGGAAGAGCTCCTGCCCTTTGTGGAGCAGGAGAGGGAGGTGGTCCAGGGACCTTTCTGGCCGACCAAGCCTAGAGCCAATTGCAGTGAGCCATTGTGACATTGGACTTGAAACTGGTCACTGCGAGAGTATTTATACCATAGAAATTTGCAAATGCTACGGTTAGGGCATTTTTTTCCAGAAAGCCCGTTGTTAACCATTTACCAGCACCCCACTACCTCTGTCTCCTCTGTCAGCCCAGGGAAGCGCACCCTTGTCCAGAAGTCCCCAAGGGCATAGGGCAGAGCAGCAGGAGCCCAAGTACCAGGTCCCAGCCCCCACCCCTCCCCTGAGAGTTGTGTGGTCCTGGGCAAGTCAGAGGAAATGCCGGGGGTATTTATTTTAAAAAGTGTCTATCAGGACTCTACATTATGCCAGGGGTCTCAAAGGTGAAAGAGGCATGAGTTTGTCCCTCAAGCAGCTCAGGAGGAGCTGGAGGAGGTTTCCTAGGCACGAGCTTATCCACACCATGACACATAGACCCTGAAGTGTTTTAAATCAATTACAAAAAGCAAAAATACAAGGAAGCTGACAGATCTTTACTTTGGGAGAAGTGGAGGCTTGGGAACAAATGAGATCATCAAGGTCTTTTTGTCCGTTTTCTAAGGAGTTGGGGTCATTGGCTGAGATCCTGCAGATCTGGAGGTACCAACATGAGACTCCGAGGGCCACCTCCTCTGCCCCTCCCTCCCCACCCCCTTTAAGGCCCTCTCTGGAATCCATCCCTTTTCCTCCATCTCCCCAGACCTGGCTGAGGCCTCCGTTGTGCCTCTGGTCTGGTGCCTCAGCCCCCTCGCTTCCTGCTTCCAGATTTTGCCAACTGCCCCCCACCTTTGACCATGTCCAGGCATCCTGGCTCAAAAGCCAAGATGAGATCTATACTTGAGAGCGTATATGAGAGGGATGCAACTGAGGCTACCTGGAGTGCGTGGACACAGCCATGGCCTCAGGTCATCATCTCCCCCACGAAGCCTCCCACACCTCCTGTCCCCAACTTGGGCACACTTCCCACCACCTGGGAGACCCCTGAGGGCAGGCACCATCTGTCCTTCACCACTATATCCCCCTATAAAGAGAGATAATGCAGTGAGGTGCCGGGGTTCAAATCCCAACTCCACCCATCACCAGCTGTGTGACTCTGGACAAGCCACCTCTGTGTGACTCTGGACAAGTCACCTCACTGCTCTATTCCTCCAATTTTTATAAAATTGGGATAGTACCAGTGCCTGCATCTAAAATAGGTGTGGATTACATGAATTATTTCATGGAAAGTGCTTAGAACATTGCTTGGCATTCATAGTAAGCCTCCAAAAACTGAAGCTATTATTATTCCCTGGTTGCTGGCCCAGACTAAGCACTCATAAATTTGTTGAATGAATGCAATGTAAACAGGGAAATGCTCTGTAAATGCTGGTGCAAGCTCATCAGCTTCGTTGTCGTCATCAGCATTGTCCTGATGCTATTCATGGTGGGTGTCCTGTCTGGAGCCCTGCTGGCTGTAGACCACCAATGTGGGCACAGTCCTAGCCCCTCGCTCAAGTAGGGTATGCGAGGACTCAGGAGACGTCAACAGACATTCACAGTATTTACACTGGGACCTTGGAACCAGTGTGGTTGAGTAGACACCCGGAGGACAGAGTTCTGAGTTTATTTGGGAGGGGTTGCCGGGGAGAGTCAGCTGTCTGGAAAGGCTTCCTGGAGGAGGAAGATTTGCTAGAGGTGCTTGAGTGGTTGGTGCAAGGGGGCTTGTGGGGAACCAGAGCGTCCTGGTGTTTAGAGCAGCAAGGAAGAGGCTGGGTAAGGACAAAGGACATTGGGACAGACAGAAAGCCTGACTCTAGAAAGAAGGGGCCAAGGTCACTGGAGAGGAGAGAGAGGAAGGATTAAGGACGATTGAGTGGGTCATAGGGGTTGAGGGCTCTGTGTAGGGAAAACAGTTTCCCACTCAATCCTTTCGATGCCACTGTGATTAAATGTGTGGGTTTATTTCCTCAGAAATTGTCTTACAATTCCGTTCAGTTCTGACATTATCTGCCCGGAGGCAGCACAGGATAAGAGCTCAGTCCCACAAGACTGCCGCCACTTCAGAACCCATCGCAAGTCTCAAGTGGCCTGCACTTCTGACCAACCAGCTGTAAGGCAGGGTTCCCACAACCCCCTCCACGGGTTCAGTAATTTGCTAGGATGGCTCACAGCATCAGGGAAACATTTACTTACATTACTGACTTATAATAAAAGACACCACTCAGCCACAGCCAGGTGGAAGAGAGGCACAGACCCACACGTGGGGCAGGGGCCTGGAGCTTCGGTGCTGTCTCTGGGGGCACCACCAGCTCAGCACTTCCCTGCGTTCACCAACTCGGAAGCTCTCCCAATCCTGTCTTTTAGGGATTTTGATGGAGGCTTCATCATATAGGCATGATGGATAATAAATTCAATCTCCAGCCCCTCTTCCCTTCCTGGAGGATGTGGGGTGAAAGTTCCAAGCTTTGTATCATGGCCTGGTCATTCTGATGACAGCCCCCATCCTGAGCCTATCCAGCCACCACCAAGAGCCACCTCATTAGAACAAAAGATGTGCCTATCATCTAGAAATGTCAAGGGAGTTAGGAGCTCCGTGTCAGGAACTGGTGTCAAAGACCAAATATGTATTTCCTAATATATCACGATATCACAGGTTGTGAGAAGAATGCAATCAATGGTCAAACTCCAGAGCTGCACACTCTCCAATATGGCAGTGACCAGCCACATGCAGTCACCAAGCACTTGAAAGGTGGCTGCTTCAAACTGGTATGCTAAGTGTAAATACACACTAGATTTTGAAGAGTTAGCAGGAAAAAATAATAATATAAAATAACTCAATGACTTTTTGTATTGATTACATATTAAAATAATGTTTTGGATATATTTGATTATATCTCATATATAACCAAAATTGATTTCACCTGTGTCTTTTTACTTTTTTTAATGTGGCTACTAGAAAATTTGAAGTTACTTCTGTGGCTAACTTTATAGTTCTATTGGACATCACCGACCGCTCTAGGCTATGGAAAATTCTGTAGAACAAACAACTGGAAGTTGGAAGAAAAGACAGTAAGAAATAGCAAGGAAGGGTGTGCTGTTGGGAGTTGCTTGGAGGTTGGCGGCACAGGGCTGAAGGCTAGCAAACCGAGCGATCATGTCACACAAACAAATTCACTATTCGGACAGATACGACGACGAGGAGTTTGAGTATCGACATGTCATGCTGCCCAAGGACATAGCCAAGCTGGTCCCTAAAACCCATTTGATGTCTGAATCTGAATGGAGGAATCTTGGCGTTCAGCAGAGTCAGGGATGGGTCCATAATATGATCCATGAATCAGAACCTCACATCTTGCTGTTCCGGCGCCCACCACCCAAGAAGCCAAAGAAATGAAGCTGGCGAGCTACTTTTCAGACTCAAGCTTTACACAGCTGTCCTTACTTCCTAACATCTTTCTGATAACATTATTATGTTGCCTTCTTGTTTCTCACTTTGATATTTAAAAGATGTTCAATACACTGTTTGAATGTGCTGGTAACTGCTTTGCTTCTTGAGTAGAGCCACCACCACCATAGCCCAGCCAGATGAGTGCTCTGTGGACCCACAGCCTCAGCTGAGTGTGACCCTAGGAGGCACAATGTGCTCTGTATCCAGAACACACTTGGCAGATGGAGGAAGCATCTGAGTTTGAGACCATGGCTGTTACAGGGATCATGTCAACTTGCTGTTTTTGTTTTTTCCTGCCTGGTGTTGTATGTAAGGTCACTTGTGGATTTATGTTTCAGCGTACTGGAAACTTTCCATTTTATTCAAGAAATCTGTTCATGTTAAAAGCCTTGATTAACAAGGAAGTTTTTATAATCTAAAAAAAAAAAAGAAATAGCAGGGAAGGCTGTAGGTGAAAAGAAACTTAAGAGACCTATCAAACAACCCAATGTGTAAAGTCATTTGCATTCTGATTCAAGAAAACCAGCTGTGAAGAAAGTAGCGTGAAATTCATATGATTGAAAGTTGTAATACTTCCTGGATAGTTGATGCCATTTAGGAATTATTGTCAGTTTCTTCGAGATGTGATAATGGTTGTCTAGTTATGCTTTCTGAAATAAGAGTCCTTAGCTTTTAGAGAAGAATAGTGAAATATTTACAGATGAAATGACAGACATGCAGGATTTACTGCAAATATTACAGGAGGGGTAAGGTAGGTTTGGGCATAGAGAAAAAGATTGGCTGCGAGTTGGTAATTACTGAAGCTGGGTGAAGTATGTGGAGTTTCATTATGCTAGTCTATCTACTTGTGGGTATATTCCAAATTTTCCATAATAAAAAGTTAAAAAGCAAAAAAAAGAACCATCATCTCCACCTGAGGTTCTGGCCCAGACTGCTTATGTTCAAATCTCAACTCTAGTCTTGCTAGCTGTGCCTCTGTTTGCTCGTCTGCAAAATGGGGATGATAATATTAGTCCCTACATTGCAGGGGTTTCTCTGTAATGTGCTTAAAAATATGGAAACAATATAAATGAAATGAAGATATGTTGCAGGCACTTTGCACATTGTCACGGTGCTCCCAGTGCCTTGTTCCAGGGAGGTTATCCTTATTTACCAAGAGGTTAAGTCACCTGCCCTAGGTCTTCCAGTCAGTGGAGGCAAAGCCAAGACATGTCCCGAGTTCATCTGACTTCTGAGTTCAGGCATGACCTGAATGTTCTTGCCTCGGGCTCAGGGCTCAACATTTCCTGTCTTCTCTGCTTCTCCAGTCCTGAGAGATTCTGGGCCCGTTTCCCTGCAGATCAGCTCTAAGGAACATGCTTCTCTCCTGCTCCTTTCTAGAAAAGGCGTAACATTGGCAGAACCAGGAACTCTGGAATTCTGAAGGTTGACTCCCTCAATTCCAAGGGGCTCCACCTCCTGAGCGGAATTGGATAGAAGACAAAGGTCACATGGCTAGGGTGAGGCTTTGAGATGGGCGAGACTGTGAGCAGGACTGACAGGTCAGGGCCAGGACCCAGGATCTTCAGAAGCCACAGGGAGCAAGGCAGGGAGCAGCCTCCTTTGTGCCACACCCAGTGAAGGGGAACTTGCTAAGACAGATTTGTTCCTCCCATCTCCAGAAGAGCCGTTGGATGCCAATGGGTGAGGAGCTGAACCTCTGCAGACTCAGTGTGCTGATCCCATTGCCTCTGCTTGCATGCCTCTCAGGATGGGGAGTTCACTGCATCCCCCTCTTTAAAGACATTACGGTTGTACAAAGGTCTCCAGAATCATCTGTTACATCCCCTCATTCTCCCAATGAGGAAATTAAAGCTCAGAGATGCCGAGGCATTTACCCAAGGGCACACCTGGTCCTGGGCCTACGACCCTTAGACAATATTCCTTCCACCTCTTTGCTATAGAGTCTCAGACTAGGGATCTTGGCTGGCTGAGAAATCAGGGAAGGCTTCTTAGAGGAGGTGAGATTGGAGGTGGCCCTTGTAGGGTGGCACTAAGATGTCGCTTGATATCCTAATTTTTTTTTTGGCCCTGCCCACCATGTGTGTGCCTGTGCTGCCATGTCACACTAAGCAGAGTAAAATGAAGGAAGGAACGGATGAAAGGGGCAGGAAAGCGACTCCCAGGAGCTGAAAGGGCAATAGTATAGGTCCCTTCAGCACCTAGGATATGTTGTGGGAAGCCCTTAGACCCCAGATACTACCCTGTGCAGATAGGGATAAAACTCCACCTGTCCCAGCTCAGTGCTCTCCCCGGCTCCTCTGGCCTGCTTGCTGGGCAGGGCCCAAACCAGTTCAGGATTCCTTTTTCTCTGTGACCTACCAGTTAGGGTTCTCTGTTTACTGTGTCTCCTCCTCCTTGTTTTGTATACCCAGCTGGGTGGGAAGAAGGTCACAGCCCAGGTTTGCACGTGGTGGAGGAGCAGGGCCAGTAACTGGTTAGGCAGAGACCCCGCCCACCACCCTCCACTCCCACCCTAGCAGGGCCTGTGCCATCCCCAGGACACCGGAGACCACCAGGGGGCTGGAGAGGCTGCGGGAGAAACAGCCTTCCTGGACACACCCAGCTACGGCTCACTTCCCAGCCTGAGCTGTTCCTTAGGAATTGCTTTTCTGGGAAACACACCCTCTTCCAGACCTGCAGCCTTCCTTTCTATGTGGTTTTTGGTTTTGCTCTCTGGTGAGGGTTTCTATTTTTTCCTGGTATACATGAATGGCATGCAGGAAAGTGGAATGAGGACATCATGACCACCATGCAAAGGCCATTGCTCTTAAGGTTTGATGTAAGCTCCCCACTCTCCACCCCCACTACCCCTCTGCCTCGGCCTGGGGTATGAGGTCTTGGTTTTGACAATCAGACAATGTTAGCACACTGCTGTGTCTTCCACCTGCAATGGAGCACTGTAGGACGATTTTAAAAAGCAAAGTGGCAGGCCAGGTGCGGTGACTCAAGCCTGTAATCCCAGCACTTTGGGAGGCTGAGGCGGGCGGATTACCTGAGGTCGGGAGTTCGAGACCAGCCTGACCAACATGGAGAAACCCCCGTCTCTACTAAAAATACAAAATTAGCTGGGCGTAGTGGTGCATGCCTGTAATCCCAGCTACCTGGGAGGCTGAGGCAGGAGAATTGCTTGAACCTGGGAGGCAGAGGTTGCAGTGAGCCGAGATCGTGCCATTGCACTCCAGCCTGGGCAACAAAAGTGAGACTTGGTCTCAAAAAAAAAAAAAATTACAAAGTGGCTGAATACCAAGATCCTAGGAACTAGGTTCAGCCAAACTGGCTGTGTGTCCTGGTAGAATGCCCACCCTCTGTCTCTGGGCCTCCATGCCCATCTCTGTAGCATGAGGGATTCTGATGAAATAATTTCCAAGAGCCCTTCCCACACTAATACTCCAGGATTCTGTAAGGTTAATTTGGCAAGAATTCCAACGGCGGAAGAAAGATGGAGGGAGGAATATGTCCAGTCTAATAACCCTATGCTCAAGTCAGAAAGCCCCTCGGGCAGTGTCCGAGAGGGCTACAGCCCTGGCCCCAGAACCTGAGTCCCTCTAACCTGGGTCAAACCCCTAAAAGCCACTCCAGCAAGAGACAGGCAAAGCCCGGGCTCTTGCTCCAGGCTGGCATTGCCTTGCCGTGTGGCTGTAGACATCGTTTCACCTCTCGAGGCCTCAGTTTTCCCTTCTGCAAAAGACAGGCTGGGGGAGGTTGGGCATTTTCTTCTTAACTACCAGGAGTCTTTCCTCCAATAAAATTGTGATGGAAACCGGATGTCACACAAAGGGAAAGGAAACACTGGCATTTCTGGAGTGTTTGAAGCATGTGAAGTATTGTTTAAGGGCTTTGCAATCATTAATGTACTTTGTGCTCACATTAACCCCACAAAGTAGGTGCTATTATTATCCCCATTTGACACATGAAGAAACTGAGGCCCTGAGGAGTTAAGCCACTTGTCCAAGGTAAAGAGTGGGAGCTGGGCTTCTGATAGGGAGTGGGCCTCAGTCATGAAACCACAAGACTTGTGTAGTTCCAACCCCCTGGGGACATCTCCAGGCACTTGACCCATGCTCTTCCAACATTCATGTATGCACGCACACGTGTACACACACGTGCACACACAAACACACACATGTGTGCACAAACACATGCATGCACACACAAACACATGCATGCACACACAAACACACACACATATATACACACACCAACACAAACACACATGTGCACAAACACACGTGTGCACACAAACACACACATGCACACACACACACAAATGCACACACATGCGTGCACACTGTGGCTACTCCTCTGTAGCCTGCTGGCCACACTCGGCTCAAGCCCCAAATCAAAGGTGACTAGCAAGATTGCGAGACAGATTTCTGGAGATGGGAAACTGCGTCATCAAATTGTCTCAGGGACGGAACACCCATCAGAGCCCTGGGGGAGAGAAGAGACACGGGGTGGCTGCCAATTTTGCTGACCTATGCTGCTGACTTTCCAGCAGCCCCCGACTCCTGTGGCCAGCTGAGCCCAGGTCCAAGCTGCCCCCTGCACAGGGCTTGTTCCCTGGAGGGCTATAAGCCACAGCATCCCCTCCAAGACAGCCAGTCCTGTGAACCTGCTCAATCCCTCACTATTCCTTGGGGCCTGCCCTGGGAGAAGGGAGAGTTCCCTGGACCCCTTCTTGGGACTTGCGGTGACAGGGGTGTGGCTCACTTGCTCAAATCCCTTGTGTGAGGGGAAGCATGCAAGCAAGTGGGTGCTGGGGCCGGGGCAAGCGCTTTTGGGCTCTGGCCCTACAGTACCGTCTAGGGTTGTGTTACAATTAATGCTCTTTTAGAAGTTGCCATTCACTGATGGCTAAGTGTTAACCAACTCAGTGGAGAGTGAGGGTGACAGCCTTTTACACCCTGCCCTCTTGGTACCTGGGTCCTTGTCTGGCATCCAGGAAGAATCAGGTCACACGGACTTGAAGGATGGTGAATGCAGAGGTTTTATTGAGTGATGGAGGTGGCTCTTAGTCGGGTGGGGAGCTGGAAAGGGGATGGAGTGGGAAGGTACTCTTCCAGATGGCTGAACTCTTCTCCAACTGTCCAGCTGCCTCTTCCACATTCAGACACTTCTTCTCTTCTCTCCTTCTCTGCCATGCTGCTCTGCTCCTCTGCCAGTGGAGTTTGGGGTTTTTATGGGTATAGGATGGGGGGCATGGTGGGCCAGGGTGGTTTTGGCAAAAGCAACACTCAGGTGGGAAAACAGGAATGTGAAGTTCTCATTTAGGGCCGTGGGCCCAGGCTTGTGGGTGGGGCTTTTGCCAGAGAGCTGTCCTCCTCTACCCAGTATTTCCCTGCCTCCTGTCCATATCACCTGCACCAAGAACCTCACTGGGTGGGAGCCAATCCAGAGCCAGAGAAAGGACTTGACACTTGGCCTCAGGCAGACCCAGGCTTGAATCCTGGCCCTGCCTCTGATGAGCAGGGTGACCTGAACTGTCTCAGGTTGCCTCGCTGACTCTGCTTTCCCATCTGGAACATGGGAATAGCAATGCATCAGCCACTCAGTGCAGTGTTGAGGCTGGAACAGGTGGGGCACACTGTGAGCTCCATTTCCTTTTGCCTCCACCCAGCAATTATGTCTGCTGGGGAGAAGAGGAGAAATAAGGATCACACCCTGCCCTCTATCAGTCAGTCAACGACCATTTATTAAACACCTACTAGGTGTCAGGCACTTGACAGAGAAATGAAATAACAACACAAGCAACTCTTATAGCTATACCCTATAATAAATGTTATAGAAGCAGGAGGCAGGTAGAGGTGGAAGAGAACCTTCTGCTTGCAGGGGGATATCAGTCAGAGAAACAGAACCAATAGGAGACACAGATTAAGAGATGTATTGCAAGGAACTGGCTTATGTGATTGTAGGGATGACTAGGCAAGTCAGAAGTCGCTTGGGAATGCCAGAACACTCAGCCTTGGACCGAAGCTCCTGCCCGCAAGCTGAATTTCTTCTTCTTCCAGGAAACCTCAGATCTGCTCTAAGTCCTTTCAACTGATTGACTCAGGCCCATGCAGGGAGTTGAGGACAAGCTTCCTTAGTGAAAGCCAGCTGGCTGTGGGCTGTCACCACACAGACAAACTGCTTCACCCCAACACCAAGATTAGCTTGAAATGGAATAACTGGGGCCTGTCATCCAGCCAGGTGGACCCACAGACTCACCGCAGCAGAGCACCTAGAGGCGGCCACGGAGGGTTAGTGACAGAGCAGAATCAGGCAGGGCACCCGGGCAGGGGGCAGACCCAGCAAAGGCTCCTAGGGCAGATTGTAGAAGAGGTCCTTGGAGATCAGGGAGTACAGCAACGTGGCTGTGGCACTATTAAATTAAATTAAATTAAATTGAAAATAAAATTAAATTAAAAAGGATTGGTGGCTCACGCCTGTAATCCCAGCACTTTGGGAGGCCGAGGCAGGTGGATCATGAGGTCAGGAGATCAAGACCATCCTGGCTAACACGGTGAAACCCTGTCTCTTCTAAAAATACAAAAAAAAAAAATTAGCCAGGTGTGGTGGCGGGCGCCTGTAGTACCAACTACTCGGGAGGCTGAGGCAGGAGAATGGCGTGAACCCGGGAGGCAGAGCTTGCAGTGAGCCGAGATCATGCCACTGCACTCCAGCCTGGGCTACAGAGCGAGACTCCGTCTCAACAAAAAAAAAAAATTAAAAAGGATTGGAATAAAGGAATGGTTTAGTAAACAAAAATAAACAAATGCAATGCCTTTTTTGAAGGCGTCATTACTACAGCCATGATGGAGCAACACGGATAAATTCCCATGACAGGAGGTTTCATGTAAAACCACGGTGACAGAACATAGTTGGATGTGGCATACATAAACAGCTGTGCCCAGGGATGGAACTCTGGGAGATTTTCCCATTAGTTTTAAATGCTCTTTCATGTAGTTATTCTTTTATTTTTATGTTTTTGAGACGGAGTCTCGCTCTGTCGCCCAGGCTGGAGTGCAACGGTGCGATCTCGGCTCACTGCAACCTCTGCCTCCTGGGTTCAAGTGATTCTCCCGCCTCAGCCCCCCAAGTAGCTGGGATTATAGGCGCCCGCCACCACACCCAGCTAATTTTTATATTTTTAGTAGAGACGGGGCTTAATATTAGTTTTAAATGCTCTTTGCTGTAGTTTTTTTTTTTTTTTGAGATGGAGTCTCGCTCCGTCACCTAGGTTGGAGTGCAACGGTGGGATCTCAGCTCACTGCAACCTCTGCCTCCCGGTTCAAGCGATTCTCCTGCCTCAGCCCCCCAAGTAGCTGGGATTATAGGCACCCACCATCATGCCCAGCTAATTTTTGTATTTTTGTAGAAGTGAGGTTTCACCATGTTGGCCAGGCTTGTCTTGAACTTCTGACCTCAGGTGATCCACCTGCCTTGGCCTCCCAAAGTGCTGGGATTACAGGCGTGAGCCACAGCACCCAGCCTAGTTATTTATTTATTTATTTTTTTTTTAAAGAGAGAGATGTTATTTTTTTTAAGGGGAATGAGTGGTATTAGGATGTCAAATGAAATTGCTTATTTAATAAAACTGAAAAGCCCAGTTTGGGGAAAGAAACAAAACACACTGAGCAGAATAATCTAACCACAGTGAACAGGAAAAAAAGCCAAGAATAAAATAAGTTCCGGGGTATCCAAGGGTGAGCAAAGCCAGGCCGGCAGGCCTCCTCCTCCCTTGCAGAAAGCAGGATGGATGAGGGGCTCTGCTTCTCCAGGCTCCCTCATGTCCCCACTGAAAGTGTTTCCAGAACATTCCAGGCCCATAAAGTGTCCAAATGCTGGAAGGACTTACATGTATATGTCTGGGATTGAATCAAATCTTCTGACTCAATTCTCTTTGGGAGTTCTGAGAATGGAGGTCACTTCCCAGAACCCCGTCTTCCCCCTACAGACAGCTTTGGCCTTCTTTTCAGGGAAGAAAAGAAAAGGGACTCTTGGAAACCCTGCTGAGGGCCACGCAGCTCTGGTTGTTGAGGCTCATATGGTTTATGAGGCGCCATCACCCCCTTCCGCCACCCCCTGCCTGCTGTGGCCTGAGGCTTACCTTCGTGACTGCCCTAAAAACAGCATCCAGACTCAGTAACCACGTCAATCAGCTTTTAGAGGAAAACATTTATTCTGGGGAGGTGTCAGGGAAAGGATTCAGGAGATCTTGGTTCTTTCTAGCTCTGGCCTTGACATCGACTTGCTGGGTGGTCTGAAGGATTTCACTTATTTACAGAGCGAATATTGTTCAAGAGTTTGGGATGTGCAAAACTCAGCTGCAGGCGTGATGCAGGGTGGGAAGATGAGCAAGGCAGGGTCCTCCTCTCCAAGTACAGCGAATATGGTGGGACAGATGCACATGCACTTTATGCACGCATGCACGCACACCATGTGCTCAGCTGCCACTGAGAGGAGATAGGAGATGCAGAGGGAGAGGGAGAACAGCCGCCCTCTGACTAAGGATGGAGCCCAGCTGTCTCAAGAGCTCTCCTGGATGGACAGACTGGTGGCGTCCCAGCAAAATCCCCCATCTCTCCATCCGGCTGTGTAATGAATGACTGGAAACCTCAGCTGGCCTGTGAGCAGGAGATCTGGCCAGGTGGAAGGGAATCCCTGACACCCCACAGCCCCTGGTGTAGCTAAAGCAGACGGGCCTCCTGGGCTGGTGCAGGAAGAACAGCTTATGTTCTCGAACACATTGACCACGTGCTCCATGCATCTGACACACACGGACTCGTCTACTCCACACAGCACCCTAGGAGATGGGGCTGTTTAAAATACCAATCCCCACTGTATAGTTGAAAAAAACGAGGTGCAATGAGGTTAAATAACGAGCTCTAGAGAGGAGGACTCAATTCACAGTCAGCTTCCAGAGCCCATCGGCCTAACCGCCAGGCTGGCTTCCCGTCCGTAATGCACGTTTCCAGCTAGAGGCTTTCAGGCTGTGTTTCCCACACTTAGCCATTGACATTCACGTTCACAGTTTTTGCCACATCCATGTCACCTGTACAACCATTTCTTTAGTAGTGACTTACTTTTGAACTGCAACTTCATGTCACCAATTTAAATGGAAAATGAGTATCACTTATCATAAAAAAGATGATAACTGTACAAAATAAAAGCAATAGAATGTGAACAATGCTATTAGAGCCTGGGTAGATTCGGGGACCAGCCAAGGCTCTGAACCTGCTCAGTCTGTTGAAAAAGGAGATTACGCACATAGAAAGGCGTTGAAGTGCACGGACACCACGCTGAGACGTTCTTGTTGGCCTAATCAGGAGGAACGACTAGATTATTCAATTCAAGGTTGTTTACCAGGCCAAACTACTTCCCTTGCTGGGAAATGCTTCCCAGCTCTAACGTGCAGTCAGAAAATACGGGACACAAGTTGACATCCGAAGGAAAAATATCTTTTCCTTCTCCACTTCCGAGTTCTTGGTTGGGGGCCCTGAAACAAAAAACAGATGAACAAGAGAAAAGTGAACAAATTAATTTAATGTAAGTTTAATGTGACATGGGAACCTTCATAAGGAAATGAAGTGATTAAGCCTGAGTGCCTTTTTGTTTTTTTGAGACAGAGTCTCGCTCTATAGCCCAGGCTGGAGTGCAGTGGTGCGATACGGCTCACTGCAGCCTCGATCACCCCGGGCTCAGCTGATCCTCCCACCTCAGCCTCCCAGGTAGTTAGGACCAGGACTACAGGTGTGTGCCACCACGCTCACCTAATTTTTTGGTACTTTTTGTAGACACAGTCTCGGCTGTGTTGGCCAGGCTGGTCTCCCACTCCTGGGCTCAAGCGATCCGCCTGCCTCAGCCTCCCAAAGTGCTGGGGTCACAGGCATGAACCACTGTGACCGGCCTGAGTGTTTCCATTAGATGTCATGAACAGTGGAGAATCATGGGGCTGTGGTGGGACCAGGGGGCACGAGCGAAGTACAGAGAACTGGAGAAACAGCAAGGCCTGTCGGGGCTCCTCTCAGTGTCCCCAGTGCTCGGAGTGGACGGTGCCCCTTTCCTCTGGCTGTGGAGTCTGGTGTCCTGCTTCAGGGAACAATCACATAGTCCTTCTGCGCCTGCTGTTTCTTGGATTCTTTCCACTTAAAATATTCAACATGCGAAGCTGCCACATTTTGGGGTAGCGTGCCCTGAATCATTGGCTACAAGGTCGCGGGCCCCACATGAGGCACAGTTGGCCCTTGAGACAGTGACACTATGTATTTCGTGGAGGCCACTGCTTCAAAGGCCCTAAGGTGTGGATTCCTGGGAAACCAAAACAGGCTGTCTCCAAGGCTCAAGTGGAATTGATTTCTAACAGCCCAGGCCCACGGTGTCTGTGCGAGTAAATGAAGAAAGTGTTTTTACAGTAAGTCTTCTTGGATAGAATTCTGAGGGAGAGAGAGAATGAGTGAATCAGAATGTTGGATGTTCCCTCTAAGGCATCTGTTTAAAAAATCAGGGGAAAAACCCAGGAGCAGAGTCATCACCTGTCCCCAGCTCTGAGGATCTGTGTCTGTGAGGCACATGAGTCCACCCTCCTAGCTCTGTAGACAAGGAAACTGTGGTCCAGAGAGATGGAGATCCCACAGACAACGGCCCACCTGGAGCACCCCCTCCCCGCCTGACTTTATATTCCCAGGATGCATTCATCAGGGTCTCAGTAAAAAAAAGAGGGCACATTCCAATTGGGTAATAGGAAGAGGATGTTAATGAAGCGTTTCTTTACAGTGCTGTAGGCAGCATATTGGGGTTCTGCGAAGAGCAGGCAGCACCCTGGGTGCCTCAGGGCTGGTACGGCAAAGCCTCAGCACCCTCCCTACCTCCTTCCCCCCTCGCGATCAGGCCCCTGATAAAAGCAGTGAACTCTGCTCCAGGTCTGGCCAGCATAAAGGCCCCCAAGAGAGGAGCCAACAACACCCCATCCTCCCTCTCACCCTCCCTCAGGCTCCTGCTGGGGCTCCCACTGGCCAAACCCAAAGAGAAGCCGGAAGGCAAAGAGCTCCGTGGTACCCATCAGGGCTCCCAAGCAGGGGCCACAGAGGAGAAGCCAGGAGGTGACCTGGAGCAGGACACAGCAGCTCCCTGACAGGGATCCTCACCCAGGGCACGCCTCTAGAGCAGATGGAGAAAACAACTCAGTAGACTTCAGACTCCCAAATTCTCCCAGTTCCTCAACCCGCCTGCCCTCTGGACTTCGGGAGAAAGTTGAGAGGGAAAGCCCTCAACTTTGTTTTGAAAATGAGAGCAATGTTTACAGCCACTAGCAAGCAATTAGGATCCAGCTGGGCTGATGTGGCCAGATCTGGGGACACCCAGCCAGGTAGATGCACAACAGACCCATAATGGAGGCCAGCGAGGAAACGCTGGACACGTCCCCCATGACTGAGCTGTGAGGACCTGACTTATCTGTGCGGCGGTCACTGTCGTGTAGAAATGGAAGCTGTACATGCAGGCTGAGGCTTCTCAGCTGGACAGTTCAGCCCGAGTGAGCCCCAAGAGGACAGGGGAGGCTGGTCTTCATTCTTCCCCTCTGAATCACCAGCAAATGATAGACCGTCAATAATTTGTTAAATGCTTTTTAAAATGAATGCTTTAAGCCGGGTGCAGTGGCTCACATCTGTAATCCCAGCACTTTGGGAGGCCGAGGCGGGTGGATTGTTTGAGGTCAGGAGTTCGAGACCAACCTGGCCAACATGGCAAAACCTCATCTCTACCAAAAATACAAAAATTAGCCAGGCATGGTGGCAGGCACCTGTGATCCCAGCTACTCAGGAGGCTGAGACAGGAGAATCGCTTGAACCCGGGAGGCAGAGGTTGCAGTGAGCCAAGATTACGCCATTGTACTCCAGCCTGGGTGACAGAGAGAGACTCCGTCTCAAAAAAAAAAAAAAAAAAAAAAAAAAATTACGCTTCAAACACATGATCTCTCACCACTGTTGAATTTTCTTTCTATGAGCCCAGGAGGGCCTCTCAGAGAGGAAAGCTCCTAGGTCTTCCTTTCCCTCTGCAAACTCCCTGCCTTGAAGGATCAGAAGGACTGTGCTGCTCGTTGCATCCTTTGCAAGTTCCAAACCCTGATCCCAGCTGTGCTTAGGGGTTCCTGCAAACCTTTTCCAGGTGTTAATTACCTCCCACTTCATTTCCTGTTTACCAACTCAGCTTTTTGTTTTAGTGTGTTTGAATTCCCTGAACTGACCGTTGTCTGATCTCCACCTCCCAACTGAATTAGGGGAGCTGGGCTTCTGGAAACCCAGGTGCCGGGTGTTGCAGAGTGGCTGAAAGCTGGGATGTGGCAGATCCGTGGCTACATTCATGCACACACACACACCCACATACCCACACATGCACACACACACACACACCTGCACTCACACACTTGCACATGCATAGACCACAGCTTTCCACACCCTTCCTAGACAGGGGTCACTTGGTGTCCTGGAGAGAGTGTGAAGTCTGGAAGGGAAAGAGGGGGGATTAAGCCCCACCTCTAGCCATGGGACTGAGACAAGTCACCCCCACCCATCTGCGCCTTGTTTCCTCCTCTGTGAGGCAAGCACAGAGCCCATGCCTCCCTCCCTGGATGGGAGTGATGTGAAACTTGAAGAGGGGTAGAGACAAGGGTCGTCAATGGAAGCCCCTTGGGCAAAAAGGCCCTTTCAACTAGGGGCACAGAGGAGGCCCTGGGCTGAGAACTTGACAGCACCTTGTATTGGTAACCAGCCGGAGGGACTGGAAATACTCAGATGTGTCTGTCTCCCTTATTAGGTTCAAAGTCCCTCGAGACCCTGTCTCCATCACAGTGCTCCAGTCCAGACCCCTCCTCTGAGCTCCAGACCCTGCTGGACCCAACAGCCATCCCCATCCCCACCTGCCTGGAATTCTCCAAAGAACCTCCCCTTTAACAGTTCCAGCCTTTAACAGTTCCAGTCTAAACACATGACCTTTCTCCTCTAAATCAGCCCCCCATCTCTGCCTTTGCAGGAGATGGAAGCCATGACACCTGCCTCGCCCCTGTCCTCACCCCATCCATGTCCAATCAAGCACTAGGCATGTCAGGTTTACCCTCTAAACTCCTCTGGAATCCAGTCTCTCAGTCTCCATCATCCCAGGTCGAAGCTAATGGGCTAACTGGTCCTTGCTTCCACTCTACCCCCACTGCAGTCCTGACTTCCTGAGCAGCAGCCAGGGCCTAATCCATATTCACACCAAGCGCCTTCCTGACTGAGATATCCTCCTGCACCATCATCCCTCCACCCTGTTTAGTTCTGCTCACCCTCAGTGTTCTCATCAATAATCCACTCGCCCTCACAGGCGCGTTTGGGACCCCATGTTCTATGCTCTCACAGGACCTTTTGCTTGATTTTTCACTGTACTCAGGTCAGTTTGCAGTTATTAAGTGACTGAGCAATGTCTGGCTTCTCCAGTAGACTGTCAGCTCCTAGCCATTGTATCCCTAGCACCGCTGTGTGGGAGCACTTCACAAACGTCCATTGAGTCAGGGACTCAGCAGTCTCCATTTCTCCTCCCTGCTGGAGAATGCGTGTATTTTGCAATCCCCAGCCCCTGTGCCATCTAACCATCTTTTCTTCTCTGTTCAGCCCAGGTGTGGCCTCACTCACATCCCACTCTGAGTCCAAATGTTCTCTCCCTGGAAGATATCAATGTTTCTGTCTGTTCGTGAGGACTCCGTGCCCACCACGGCCTCTTTCAGGTGAGTCAAAGGGATTCCTCAGTTCACTAGTTAGGGGAGGTGGGCAGACACCCTGGAGAACTCCCTGGAAAGCTCAACTCTCATGCCCCGGACAACAGTTGAAGGAACCAGTGATGTTAAGCCCAAAGACAAAACCTCTCAGGTGTCCAAGTCCCTGTAGGCCTGTTGGGAGCAGAGGGAATGTTCTGCGGAACTAGAGGAAGAGGGGCTCAGGGAGAAGAAGGGCACATTCCTGGTTGTCATATGTGATCTATCCCAGATGAACTTGGAAGTGAAGGGAAGAGAGTTAAACATTAAAGTAAATACCCAGTGGATCAGACAGCAATGTGCCAGATTGCCTTGGAGACAAAATATCTCCAACACATGGCTGACATTTGGTGGGAGATCAGAACACCCTAAAGAGAGAATTTAAGGGGAGGGGGAGGAGGACCTGAGCCAGAGTAGAAGCAGAGGATAGGGAGATCTGTTCTTGGGGACAGCATTTGCAAGAAACAAGGCTGAGGGGTCCACTCCAACCTCTCCACCCTGCTGCAGGTGCTGCCTATGATGAAGATGAGCAGATGGCCATCTCAGCTGGGGCCACAGTGCACTGGACCTATAGTTTCCAATTCCGCACTCAGCAGGCATCTTTCTGATGATCCGATGGCTTCTCAGAGCCAGGGATGGGCCAGGATCCATCCCCTTGGCTACTGTCTTGCTGAGAAATTAATAAGCAGCATCTGGTGCTATACTTTGGTCTCTAGTGAGTTAGCTCATGAAAGATGACAGACTCTCCAAGCCAGGGGTATGCAGGAAATGGGTTTTCTGTAGCTACAGAAATGGGGTTGAGGGTTGGACCAAGGGGACTACCCAGGGGAAGTCTTACCTTCAGAGGACTCTGGAAAGGAGGCTGCAAGTTTTCATGGGTCAAGAATTCAGAGCCCAGTAGAGACAGCTTATCTCTGTTCCAAGATGTCTGGGGCCTTGGTTGGAAGATTCAAAGGCTAGGAAACCAGGAGCCACCAAAAGCGTAACTGGGGCCAGAGGATCCACTTTCAAGGTGGCAAGTTGGTTCCCCCCATGTGGCTGCTTGAGTATCCTCACATGGCGGCTCACATCCTTCCAAGTAAGCAATGCAAAAGGCCAAGAAAGATGCTGCAAAGCATGTTATGACCTAGCCTCAGAAATCACACACCATCCCTGCCACCATTAGTAAGAAGTCCAGCCCACGTCCAGGAGAAGAGGAAGCAGATTCCTCCTTTTGAAATGAAGAATATCAAGTAATTCGGGGGGCATATGAAAGCCACCACACACCACAGGGATCTTTTTAGAGCATACTTCTTATACCATCACTGTAGTTCCTTAAGACTCAGGGGCAAAGCCTCACTTCCTTAGCACCCAGTGAAGACCACGCTTACTCCCTCACTCAACCTCTTGCTACTTCCCACCTCTCCTGTCCAACATCTAGTGTCACTTTCCAGAACATACCAACAGCTTCCCCAGTTCTGTGCCTCTGCTCAGGCTGTTCCCCCTGCCTGGTCCACTTGTCCTCCTTCTTGTCCCGTCAAAATGCTTCTTATCCTTCAAGACCCAGCTCTAGAGTCACCTCCAACCCCTTACCCACCAGCCCCCTCTCCAAGTCTGTGTCCCACAACCCCCCTGCTCCCTCCAGGGCACCCTCCACCCTCTGGGCCACAGTTGTCAGGAGTCAGGCAGGGCAGGGGCCGGGTGGTGTCTTCTTTGTGTTCTTGCACTCAGGGCAGAGCTCAGCACAGAGCAGACGCTCAAAAAACATTTAAAGGATAGAAGCATTGATTTGTGGGTCCCCCAGTCTGGCTCCAGGATGCCAGCCAGCTGCTCCTAGAAGCAAACGGACTTTTCCTGGGAAATCCCAGAGGTGATGATCAGTATCTCTCCCGTGACTCGTAGTTCAGCTCTTCCTCCATGAGCCTGACTATCAGTGGACCTTCCAGAAAGAGCCCCTTTTCCTTCTCTCACCCACAGCACAGGGCACTGGGAAAATGCCCAATGAGTCCTGCCCTCTGGGTTGTGCTTTGGACTTTTCAGTGTGTCTTCGCATCCACTCTTCAGCTTGAATGTTGCAACAGCCATGAAAAAAGAAATGCAAAGCGATTCAGGATGAGAGCAATACCCTACTCCAAAGAAGGCAAAATAGAAGCTCAGAGAGGTCAAGCATTTTGCCCAAGACCACACAGCTAGGAGTGGAACTCATGGCTGTCCAAGCCCCACGCCTCTGCTGAAGGTAGAGATGAATTACAGCAACAAGTCTAGAAAGGTGCCTGCCCTATGGTCTGTGAGTCTTGCCTAAGAATGAAAGAGGAGCCAGTGGGTTAAAGATGAGGTCACCAACAAACGGTGGTGTTGGAGTTTACCACTGGTTATTTTAATGGGTTTGCAAGAATTGTTAATTACTAATGTTTATTGAGCCTAGTGCAGTGCTTGGGGCATTTTGCACATTGTCTCTGATCCCTATCACAACCCTGAGAGGTAGTTTTTTTAACTCCCATTTTACAGGTGAGGTCATTGTGGTTCAAGGACGTTAAGTAACTTCCCCAGCGTCACACGGCTTATAAGTAAGGCAGCCAGGATGTGAACCCAGTAGGACTATCTGGCTGCAAAGTCCCCACCCTCCCTCGCCATCTGTATCCTCCAATCATCTTCAGTGCTTTGCTGATAGAAGGTACGGAAATACGATGCCACAGACTGTCCAGGAAGACAGAAACTAGGCAGATGGGCTGGCCATGGTCTCCAAGCCAGACTGGAATCTCCAGGTCTGGAATGATATCATTTTTCTCTTTTAATAAATTAACTCACCCACCACACGGCTTTGAGAGGCTCAAAGGTGACCAACTCCCTTGGGAGGGCCCCGGTTGATAAGGAAGGAATGTGAATCCTCCCATCACGGAAGCTTCAAGGAGGTCAAGGGTCCAACACTTGAGATTGTTAGTGCTGTTGGTGGATACTGGCCAAGGAAATATCCCAGTGGAGCCTCGAGATGAAGAACATGAGGCCCCCGTTTAGATCCAAGGATCAGAGGGGGCTCTGTAAGACCCAGGGGAGTCAGGTGCACTGGAGCGCGGGCTGCAGAAAACAGCCTGAGCTCCACCTCGGCTTCTCCTTGCCCTGGCTGGTTGTCCTTAACCCCTGTCTCCTTCTGGACCAGTTTTTGTCCTTCCCTTGTGACCCTGAGGGGTAACAGCCTCTTTTCCACTTTCTTTCAGCGCCGACATGCTCAATGTCACCTTGCAAGGGCCCACTCTTAACGGGACCTTTGCCCAGAGCAAATGCCCCCAAGTGGAGTGGCTGGGCTGGCTCAACACCATCCAGCCCCCCTTCCTCTGGGTGCTGTTCGTGCTGGCCACCCTAGAGAACATCTTTGTCCTCAGCGTCTTCTGCCTGCACAAGAGCAGCTGCACGGTGGCAGAGATCTACCTGGGGAACCTGGCCGCAGCAGACCTGATCCTGGCCTGCGGGCTGCCCTTCTGGGCCATCACCATCTCCAACAACTTCGACTGGCTCTTTGGGGAGACGCTCTGCCGCGTGGTGAATGCCATTATCTCCATGAACCTGTACAGCAGCATCTGTTTCCTGATGCTGGTGAGCATCGACCGCTACCTGGCCCTGGTGAAAACCATGTCCATGGGCCGGATGCGCGGCGTGCGCTGGGCCAAGCTCTACAGCTTGGTGATCTGGGGGTGTACGCTGCTCCTGAGCTCACCCATGCTGGTGTTCCGGACCATGAAGGAGTACAGCGATGAGGGCCACAACGTCACCGCTTGTGTCATCAGCTACCCATCCCTCATCTGGGAAGTGTTCACCAACATGCTCCTGAATGTCGTGGGCTTCCTGCTGCCCCTGAGTGTCATCACCTTCTGCACGATGCAGATCATGCAGGTGCTGCGGAACAACGAGATGCAGAAGTTCAAGGAGATCCAGACAGAGAGGAGGGCCACGGTGCTAGTCCTGGTTGTGCTGCTGCTATTCATCATCTGCTGGCTGCCCTTCCAGATCAGCACCTTCCTGGATACGCTGCATCGCCTCGGCATCCTCTCCAGCTGCCAGGACGAGCGCATCATCGATGTAATCACACAGATCGCCTCCTTCATGGCCTACAGCAACAGCTGCCTCAACCCACTGGTGTACGTGATCGTGGGCAAGCGCTTCCGAAAGAAGTCTTGGGAGGTGTACCAGGGAGTGTGCCAGAAAGGGGGCTGCAGGTCAGAACCCATTCAGATGGAGAACTCCATGGGCACACTGCGGACCTCCATCTCCGTGGAACGCCAGATTCACAAACTGCAGGACTGGGCAGGGAGCAGACAGTGAGCAAACGCCAGCAGGGCTGCTGTGAATTTGTGTAAGGATTGAGGGACAGTTGCTTTTCAGCATGGGCCCAGGAATGCCAAGGAGACATCTATGCACGACCTTGGGAAATGAGTTGATGTCTCCGGTAAAACACCGGAGACTAATTCCTGCCCTGCCCAATTTTGCAGGGAGCATGGCTGTGAGGATGGGGTGAACTCACGCACAGCCAAGGACTCCAAAATCACAACAGCATTACTGTTCTTATTTGCTGCCACACCTGAGCCAGCCTGCTCCTTCCCAGGAGTGGAGGAGGCCTGGGGGCAGGGAGAGGAGTGACTGAGCTTCCCTCCCGTGTGTTCTCCGTCCCTGCCCCAGCAAGACAACTTAGATCTCCAGGAGAACTGCCATCCAGCTTTGGTGCAATGGCTGAGTGCACAAGTGAGTTGTTGCCCTGGGTTTCTTTAATCTATTCAGCTAGAACTTTGAAGGACAATTTCTTGCATTAATAAAGGTTAAGCCCTGAGGGGTCCCTGATAACAACCTGGAGACCAGGATTTTATGGCTCCCCTCACTGATGGACAAGGAGGTCTGTGCCAAAGAAGAATCCAATAAGCACATATTGAGCACTTGCTGTATATGCAGTATTGAGCACTGTAGGCAAGAGGGAAGAAAGAGAAGGAGCCATCTCCATCTTGAAGGAACTCAAAGACTCAAGTGGGAACGACTGGGCACTGCCACCACCAGAAAGCTGTTCGACGAGACGGTCGAGCAGGGTGCTGTGGGTGATATGGACAGCAGAAGGGGGAGACCAAGGTTCCAGCTCAACCAATAACTATTGCACAACCATCTGTCCCTGCCTCAGTTCCCTCTTCTGTAACATGAAGTCGTTGTGAGGGTTAAAGGCAGTAACAGGTATAAAGTACTTAGAAAAGCAAAGGGTGCTACGTACATGTGAGGCATCATTACGCAGACGTAACTGGGATATGTTTACTATAAGGAAAAGACACTGAGGTCTAGAAATAGCTCCGTGGAGCAGAATCAGTATTGGGAGCCGGTGGCGGTGTGAAGCACCAGTGTCTGGCACACAGTAGGTGCTCATTGGCTCCCTTCCACCTGTCATTCCCACCACCCTGAGGCCCCAACCGCCACACACACAGGAGCATTTGGAGAGAAGGCCATGTCTTCAAAGTCTGATTTGTGATGAGGCAGAGGAAGATATTTCTAATCGGTCTTGCCCAGAGGATCACAGTGCTGAGACCCCCCACCACCAGCCGGTACCTGGGAAGGGGGAGAGTGCAGGCCTGCTCAGGGACTGTTCCTGTCTCAGCAACCAAGGGATTGTTCCTGTCAATCAATGGTTTATTGGAAGGTGGCCCAGTATGAGCCCTAGAAGAGTGTGAAAAGGAATGGCAATGGTGTTCACCATCGGCAGTGCCAGGGCAGCACTCATTCACTTGATAAATGAATATTTATTAGCTGGTTGGAGAGCTAGAACCTGGAGAGCTAGAACCTGGAGAACTAGAACCTGGAGGGCTAGAACTGGAGAGGCTAGAACCAAGAAGGGCTAGAACCTGGAGGGGCTAGAACCTAGAGAAGCTAAAACCTGAGCTAGAAGCTGGAGGACTAGAACCTGGAGGGCTGGAATCTGGAGAGCTAGAACCTGGAGGGCTAGAACCTGGAGGGCTAGAATCTGGAGAGCTAGAACCTGGAGGGCTAGAATCTGGAGAGCTAGAACCTGGAGGGCTAGAACCTGGAGAGCTAGAACCTAGAAGGGCTAGAACCTGGAGGGCTGGAATCTGGAGAGCTAGAACCTGGAGGGCTAGAACCTGGAGGGCTAGAACCTAGAAGGGCTAGAACCTGGAGGGCTGGAATCTGGAGAGCTAGAACCTGGAGGGCTAGAACCTGGAGGGCTAGAACCTAGAAGGGCTAGAACCTGGAGGGCTAGAACCTGGCAGGTTAGAACCTAGAAGGGCTAGAACCTGGAGAGCCAGAACCTGGAGGGCTAGAACCTGGAAGGGCTAGAACCTGTAGAGCTAGAACATGGAGAGCTAGAACCCGGCAGGCTAGAACCTGGCAAGCTAGAACCTGGAGGGAATGAACCTGGAGGGCTAGAACCTGGAGAATGAGAAAAATTTACATGGCAAAGAGCCCATAAATCCTGACCAATCCAACTCTGAATTTTAAAGCAAAAGCGTCAAAAAAAAGATTCCCTCCTTACCCCCAACCCACTCTTTTTTCCCACCACCCACTCTCCTCTGCCTCAGTAAGTATCTGGAGGAAGAAAACAGGTGAAAGAAGAAGTAAAAACCATTTAGTATTAGTATTAGAATGAAGTCAAACTGTGCCACACATGGTGAATGAAAAAAAAAAAAAGAGGCTGTGTTTTGTCACACAGGGCAGTCATTCAGCACCAGAGCACGTGATGGTCTGAGACTCTCTTAGGAGCAGAGCTCTGCCGCAATGGCCATGTGGGGATCCACACCTGGTCTGAGGGGCAACTGAGTCTGCGGGAGAAGAGCGGCCCTATGCATGGTGTAGATGCCCTGATAAAGAACATCTGTCCTGTGAAAGACTCAATGAGCTGTTATGTTGTAAACAGGAAGCATTTCACATCCAAACGAGAAAATCATGTAAACATGTGTCTTTTCTGTAGAGCATAATAAATGGATGAGGTTTTTGCATAGCTCTAGCATTTGTTACAACTCCCGAAACCCCCGAGTTTGGTCCCTGGGGTACCGCCTTGCACACTCAGAAGCCTTTGGGAAGGGGTGCTATTCATTTCTGCTCAATCTGTTAACAGGCTTCTGGCATGTAGATCAGTGGTCTCCAAGCTTTTGTGATTGTATATTCCTATAGGAAAAAAAGAATTGATTATGCATACCCAGTATGTATACTTATTAATCTGTATGAAGATGTACATTCTAAAATATAATCAACCAGTAGAAATTTAAGAAAGAAGATGTAAAAAAAAAAAATATTAACAGTGCTTGAATATTTCCTTCCATCTTACATTTCTGCAGGGATAACTCATTACCAAGTTCCCACTACATGAATGTGAGACCCTCATGAGGCCTAGAATCATAGGCGCAGCAGCGATTCAATCATTTATTCATGCAATATAGACTTACTGAGTGCCTACCACTTGACTTCCCTTCAAATCAGGAGTATCTTCTACAATATCCTGATGAAAAGCCACTTGTTTCATACTCCCAGTGATGGGGAATTCATTATCCATGCCACTTTGGGATCCCTTCATTATTCATGTATTCATTCCTTCACTCATTTATTAAACAAAACTTGCCTAGTCTGTCTCCATAAATGCCCCTCCTCCATCCATGCATCCATCCATCCATGCCAGGAACCTGGGGCTCATCGCTCAACGTACCCTCTCCTTCATCTGTTCCATCTGGTGGGTCAGCACCTCTTTTATTTTTTTCTAACTTTTATTTTGAGTTCAGGGGTACACGTGCAGGTTTGTTACATAGATAAACTTGGGTCATGGTGGTTTGTTGTACAGATTATTTCATCACCCAAGCATTAAGCCTACTACCCATTAGTTATTTTTCCTGCTCCTCTCCCTCCTCCCAACCCCCACCCTCCACTAGACCTCAGTGTCTGTTGTTCCCTTCTTTGTGTCCATGTGTTCTCACCATTTAGCTCCCACTTACAAATGAGAACATGTGGTATTTGGTTTTCTGTTCTTGGGTTAGTTCGCTAAGAATAATGGCCTCCAGCTCCATCCATGTCCCCGCAGAGGACATGATCTCATTCTTTTTTATGGCTGCATAGTGTTCCATGGTTGTATATGTACCGCATTTTCTTTATCCAGTCTATAATTGATGGGCACTTACATTGACTCCATGCCTTTGCCATTGTGAATAGTGCTGCAGTGAGCACTCATGTGCATGTGTATTTATGATAGAATGATTTATATTCCTTTGGGTATATACCCAGTAATAGGATCAGCACCTCTTTTAGATTCTACTCACTAAGTGTTTCCTAAATCTATGTTTCCTTCTATGTCCAACCATCGTCTGTCATGGGTGCCTCCAATACTAACTACTACCATCTCCCAATTCTTATTCTTCACTCTGCAGCCAACATGGTCTTTTAAGAATGCAAATACATTCATGGGGAGGCTATAAACATAGAGAACTGTGTTCAGGAGCCAAGACTTTAGGATTAGGTAGACCTGGATTCCACTTGTGGTTCAGCCTTGGGCTCTTATTTGCTGTGTAGTCTTGGGTACCTCAGTTATCCTTTCTGAGTCAACATTTCCTTGTCTGCAAAATGGGGATAATAATGGTATCTACCTCATAAAATTGTTAATAGGATTAATGTATGAAAGCATCTAGCACAGTGCCTGGTACATAGTTGGCACTGAACATGTACTAGCTTTGATGATGATGATGATGATGATGATGATGATGATGGTGGTGGTGTTGGCAGTGAGTGTGATGGGGGCATCCTCCAAGGGAAACCCTTCCATAGTGTCCCACCCCTCTTGCGATAAGGTTCTACAGCTGTAACATGGCTTGCAAGACCCTTCATGATCTGGTCCCTGTCTTGTCTCTATGTCTCCCTCTCTCTGCTCCAGGCTCATTCTCTACCCTCCAGCCATTTGGACACAAGAACCTAGACAGATCCCAGAAGATATTTCATTCTGCCTCCAGTGCCCACTCTTCCCACCCAGACTGCACCCCCTCACTAAGTGCCCTGAACTTGGAGGAAGTTGTCCACAAGTGCCCAAGGGAGCTCACTCCTCCAGGGAATTTTGTTCACAGATGCCTGCATTACTCAAGGGAGTCTGCAATCCAGGGGAAACCACATGCCTGGAAACCTGAGCAGGGCTCTTAGCAGGCAAAAAAAGAAAAAAAAAATGCTGGGAGAGCCTCCCCAGCGAGGCAACAGGAGCAGCCCCTCAACTCCTGACCCTCTCTGGCTCCAGCAAGCTGGCGCAATGAGAAGAAGTCCAGGTGGGCTCAGGAGACCAGGCAAGGGGCCTAGCTCCTGAGTCTTCCCTGGCCACAGAGGGGTGAGAATAGGATGCAGAGATGCAAACTGGACACCAGATGACCTCATGGGAATTCATGCTAGTGCTGGAGCCTCTTGAGCACAGCCTTCATGACTCAGAGGGGGAGTGTCTCCATTGTGTAGATCCCAGCCATGTGCTGCATTATCTCCTTGTTACCCAATTCCTGACCCTTATGTAGCTCTGATCCTTCACCAAGGATGAGGGTGGGGAGCAGGGATGAGCAACAGAGGTCATGATTTGGCAACAGCAATGGCTGAAAGTTTAATCGTTTGTTCATGAGAGTTTTATTCTGGTTTTAGTTTTTTATTTTGTTTTGCTGGCTGAGGCAAAATAGTCCCAGGTCAAAGGGACCCCATCAAAATACTTCACGCTCACAACCACTCTGGGAGTTTGCATGATCACTGGTTCATGGTATGGAAACTGGGGCCCAGAGAGGGAAGTAACTTTCCAAGGCCATGCAGTTCTTAAGGAGGGTGCTCTGGAAATTCTCTCTGTTCTTGGGGTGTTCATGCCTTAACAAACCGAGGATACAAATTCTGTCACAGGAAAAGTCCTCGAAGTGCCTTCTTGCATGACGAGCTTATGACCCAGGGCTTGGGCTATTTCTGCCACAATAAAAGCTTTGCATCTCATAGGCCTTGTGCATACTTGCTTCCTGCAGATCACCTTCCCAGAGCTGGTGGATGTAATTCACATGCCGTAGAGTTTACCCACTTCAGCTTTTACTTAATAACCAATTCATGCAACCATCACTACTGTCTAATTCCAGAACACTTTCATCATCCCCCAAGAAATCGCATATTCATTAACAGTCACGTCCCATTCTCCCTTCCTCATGGCTTTGGGCAACCACTAATCTTTCTGTCTCTAGATTTACCTGTTGTGAAAGAAGCCAGGCACATGTTGTAGGATGCTGTCTCTGTAGAGCCTATAACACATGCCTTTTGTGTCTAGCTCCTTTTACCTCCTAACACTGAGCTAGAATGTTTAATTGTTGGGGGAGAATTTTGGGGACCAGTCCATGGGTTCCCTACCATGCCACTTGTGTGATCTCAGCAAGCCACTTTACTCATCTTCCCTCCCACCACCTTTGGCCTTAGTTTTCTCGTCTGTCAAGTGGAGAGATAATAAGTCATGACTCTAACAGGTTTCTGGCATGTAGATCAGTGGTCTCGAAGGACTGCCTTATGTGATGTTGATGCTGTCCTCTATAGTTTACGAAGGCCCCAGCACCAACAGTACAGGGGCTTGGAGGCAGGTTCCTGGTTCACATCTTACCTCTGCCACTTCCCAGCTGTGGGAATTTGAAGAAGGTCAGTGAATTTCTCTGAGTGTCTCTTTTCTCATCTATTAAATGAAGATCCAAGTATTGTGAAGATTCAGTGAGATAAAGATGTTGTGATGAGTTGAAGAGTATCCCTCCACCCCAACTCATGTCCACATGGAACTTCAGAATATGACCTTATTTGGGAATAGGGTCTTTGCAGAAGTAGTTAAATTAAGATGAGGTTACACAGGTTGAGCATTCCTAATCCAAAAATCTGGAATCACAAATGCCCCCAAATCCACAACTTTTTGAGCACTGACATGATGCTCAAAGGACATGTTATTGGAACATTTTAGATTTTGGATTTCTGGATTAAGGATGGTCAGCTAGTATGTATTCTGCAAATACTCCAAAATCCAAAAACATTCAAAATGCAAAACACAAAAACTTCTGGTCCCAAGCATTTCTGGATAAGGGATCCCCAACCTGTACTGGACTAAGGTGACCCTTAAATCCAATAACTGGTGTCCTTATAAGAAGAGGAGAAAAACACACAGAGACACAGAGAGAGATGGAGGCAGAGACTGGAGCGATGCTTCCACAAGCCAAGAAATGTGAAGGATTGCCCAGAATCACCAGAAGGGAGGAAGAAGCAAGGAGTGGCTTCTCCTTCAGACCCTCCAGGAGGAACCAACACTGCCAGCACCTTGATTTTGGACTTCTGGCCTCCAGAACTGTGAGAGGACAAATGTTCATTGTTTAGGCCACTTAGGTTTTGATACTTTGTATGGAGCCCTGAGCAAATGGATACAGGTATTTTAGTCTTTTTGAGCACATACTCACCATCCAGTTGCCCATTAAGGTACCTGCAGGCCCCTTCTCTCAACAATGAGAGGGCACACTGGATGTTTTTCTCAGGTCTTTTTAGGGTTAGAGATACTTGTTCGTGCAGATTTCCTAAGAAATAATACCAAATGCCATCTTACTAAATTGTAGAGGATTTTTTTCAAATGGAAGATACTGAGGCCTTTCCCATATTGCGGGCCAGCCCAAGCCCCCAGAGCGTGAATCATGGGCCCCGGGTGCTGAGTGTAAATGCCCATCCTTGCGGACCTAGGACCTGGGATCTGCTGATTCTTTCTTCCTTCCCCAGAACCAAAAGGCAGGCCAATTCAAAGAGTCTCAGACCAGGATTCAAATAAATAAATAAATGGCCTCAGAGCCCAGCTCCCAGCTTCCAGACAGCCCAGCCACCAACCCCACCCAGGTGGGAGGCTACTTATAGACAACCCTGAAAGATGGTCAAAGATGGGGTTCTGAGACTCTCTGGATGCCTCCCTTCATGCTGAGTCACCCTTTGCCGTCCACTCAGCCGGCGAGCAATGAGTGTCTGTTTCCTCTCTTCAGTTCTGGCCAAGACAGAGCACGGTGTGTGTGGGCCCTCCTCATAATGACACTACCATCGTCTTGTGCAACAGTAAAATGATAAAATCAGGAACAGTTACTGTGGGGTGCCTACTAAAGGCCAGTTGCATCACCACATTATCCCATGTGATTACCAAATTCTACAACATGCTCCACTTTACAGACTGAGGCTCTGGAAGGTGGAATTGAAAATGGTCCAGATTCTCCAATTGCACACAAAAAATGTGTTGCTTTCTACCATAATTTCCCATTAAATTGTCTCTTTCACAAAAAAAAAAAAGAAGAAGAAGAAGAGGAAGAAGAAAATGGTCCAGATTCACCTTCTCAGCAGTGACGGAGCTAGGGTGTCAACGCTGCTGAGGCAGCTCCACACCGTACACCTGCCTGCCTGGACTTCCAAATCAGACCTTAAGGACCAGGGACGGGACTTGTTTTTGCAGTCAGATTTGCTCACTGTCTTCCTGACCTCCCTAAGTACAGTAGTCCCCCCCTTTATCCATGGTTTCAATTACCTGTGGCCAATATAGGTCTGAAAATATTAAATGGAAAATTCCAGAAAAAAGCAATTAATACGTTTTAAATTATGCACCAGTCTGAGCAGTGTGATGAAACCTCGCCCCGTCCTGCTTTGTCCCACCTGGGACATGAGTTGTCCCTTTGTCCAATGTACCCATGCTATATAAGCTACCCACCATTACTGTATAGCAAAAAGCATAGTGTTATAAGGTTTGGTACTATCTGCAGTTTCAGGCATCCACTGGGGGTCTTGGAACGTTTTCCCCATGCCTAAGGGGGAACTGCTGTACAGAGCCTCATTCCTTTCTGTTTTGAAGACCACTGGATCCTGTTCTGTTTCTTCATAGAACTCACAATCACGATCCTGTACAGGTTTCTCTGTTAGTCTGTCTCTATCCCAAGTCTGTAGCCCCCATGAGGGCTGGGACAGTCAAGAATGACCCCAAGTCTTCAAGAAAAGTTATGGTTATCTTCAGCAATTTCAGTTCCCCTATACTCAGAGTTCTGCAGCTCACAGAAGCAATTTCAGTTTCCCTGGATCCGGAGTTTTGCATCCCCATCATGGGGACCAATATGATTTATATGAAAGATAAATGCTCACAGCATCAACTTTATAATATGGTAATCCAATTCCATCTCTTTAAAACATCATAAAGGAACTACTGGTTTCTAAGGAAAACATCTTATTCCATACCCCCATTCTTTGCTGTACACATGGCTTAATTAGGCATCTAGGCTGATTGAAAAATGATGAAAGAGCTTTTCCATATGGCACTTGCTGCTAGATTAAGAAAGAAGGTCATAATACTGAGAAAAGATGCATCAACATGTACATATTCATCTTATCCTGGGAACATCTATACAGCACGATACTGACATTTCCCACACAGTTATTTGATCCTCACAGCAACTCTCAGAAGCAGGCAGGACCAGAGCATTCCAGGACCACCGGCCCTGCTCTCTTCTGGAAGCCCTGCAGGTGGGCTCCACCTGCCGTGAGCATTTATCTTTAGAATAGATCATGCAGTTAGAGCTATAAAACTCCAAGTACAGGGAAATGGAAATTGCTTCCATGAGCTGCAAAACTTTATGCACCTGCTCTCTCAAAACACCCTTACTCTGGGCTAAAACTATCATTCAATTCTCTTCCCTGAACCAAACCAAGAGCTGCACAGGGCCTGCTGGAGGGTAGGGGATATGGGATATTCATGGATAGCGTGAGTAAGTGGGGTGTGGGGCTTGAACCTGGGCTTTCTGACCCCAAGTTCCAAGTGAGCCTTCCACAAAGGCTTATGAACATGTGTGCGTTATAATACAAATGCTGGTCCCCCCACCTGCGATGGTTTTCTCAGCTTGCTTGCCTTCCAAACTCCTATTCAGCCCTGAAAACCTAGTTTAAATAATCCCCTGCCATGAATTCTTCCCCAACTCTGCATAATAGTCGAGGTTCTCTAGAGAAACATAACCAACAGAAAATAGATAAATATAGATAGATTTGTTATAAGGAATTGGTTTATGCAATTATGGAGGCTGAGAAGTCCCACCATCTGCTGTCTGCAAGCTGGAGACCCAGGAGGACCAGTGATGTAGTTCCAGTGGGATTGTGAAGGCCAGAGACCCAGGATGGCCAGCGAGAAGGTGGGAGAAGACAGATGTCCCAGCTTGAAAACAGCCAGGCGGAGAGAACCAATTCTCCCTTGCTGCTCCTTTTGGTTGTATTCAGGCCTCCGACAGGTTGGATGCCACCCACCATGTCAGGGAAGACAATCTGCCTTACTCAGTCTACCAATTCAAACATTAATCATTCAAATTAACCTAGGAAGGTTAAACTCGCTCACGGCCCCCCCAGAAACCATGTTTAACCAAATATCTGGGCACCCCATGGCCCAGTCAGCATGACACATAAATTACCCATCCCACTCCACCTCGAGCAGAACTCATTTTTTTCAAACCTCACACTCAGACACAGCCTCAGAACTTCATTGCCACTCTGCTTTCTACAACATGTTGTCACTGGATGTCAGCTTGTCCCTGTCCTCAGCCATCCCAAGAGCTCCTTAAGTGGGCACGGAGTGGGCTGTGTTCGTCTATGCACCCCCTGTGCCCACACAGGGCCTGGCCCCCACAAGGGGTTTGGCACATGTTTGTTGACATAAGACAAGCTATTGCTATTATATACTTATTTGTAATACATAGTTATGAATACACTCAGCAAATATTTGAGCACGTGCTACTTATCAGCCCTGTTGTACAAGTTGGGAAGATGAACCTAATCAAAAGAGATAAATCCGTTGCCTGGTGGAGCAGGTGGCAATAGGGCTGTGAAGAGCAGTGGAGCAGGCCAAGAGGAGGAGAGGTTATTTCAGGAAAGGTCTCTCTGACAAGGGAGGATTGGTGAGGACCAGAAGGACCTGGGGGAGCAAGCATGGGGCTCTCGATGGGAAGGTGCTCCATGTAGGGGAACGGACAGTGCAAAGGCCCTGAGGTGGGAGAGGAGGTGGTACATTCAAAACAGAGAGGAAAGGCTGGGCATAGTGGGGAGTGCCTGTAATCCCAGCATTTTGGGAGGCCGAGGTGGGAGGATGGCTTGGGCCCCCAGGAATTTGAGACCAGCCTAGGCGACATAGTGAGACCTTGTGTCAAAAAACAAAAAACACAGCTCGAGGAAGCCAGGGCAGCCAGGCACCATGAGACGAGTGCTCTGGGAGGCGGCTGGGTCTGTGCATGTGCCCTGGGAGACAGCTGGGTTTGCGCGTGTGCTCTGGGAGGCAGCTGGGTCTGCGCATGTGCTCTGGGAGACAGCTGGGTCTACGCATGTGCTCTGGGGGACAGCTGGGTCTGCGCATGTGCAACCTTGCCGCCGTAAGGTCTCTGTTTTCCTGGGCCTGAGACAGCAGCAGAGGAGTTCGAGAAGAGACATGAGACGGCCTGGCTTCGGCTTTAGGAGACAGAGAAATGCAGCTGATTTTCCTGGTACAAGCCCCTTCTGAGAGCATGTGCACTCCTGGGATTCTCGAGGCTCCCTAAAGAGGAAGGTCTCGTGATCCCCTGCTCTGCCTGGGCGAGAAGGCTTTCATCTCCCAAAGCAGGGCCACACAAGGGCGGGGAGGAACCCCTGGCCCAGTGGAGCTTTATCTGCTAAGTGGGCACCTTCCCACCCCAGAGCCAGCACCCAGGACCCTTCACTTCTGGGCTGGCTGCCAGGCCATGGCAGCACCTGGAGCTGCCTGAATGCCCAGGACGTGCTCATGTCCACCCTGTCATCCTGTAGATCTCCAAGTGTTTGTGCTTTGCTAAATGTATATTTGGGATTTTCTGCTTACCTCCCCCCTTACACTTAGACACCGTCTGTTCACCCCATCCATTCCCCGCTTCCTATGTGCTAGACACGCATGCTCTTCTAGGGTGGCATTTGCCTGGCACCAGCTGGGTGCTCCATATGTGTTTTTAAAATAAAGGGGAAAGCACTCAGGCCCCGTGCTTAGAGAAAAGCAGAGGATTACACCAGGACTTGAGTGATGGATGAACACTGAACAGTGCGAGGAGGAGGAGGTCATTTTCAGCAAATGCTCACAAGCAGGATGCATTCAGAGCCCATGAGTCACTCGCTCAGCATGGAGGGTGGCTCTGGGTGTTACAGCAAGACCGTTGGGGAGCTCTTGAATTCCAAGGGGTTGGGTCGTTGTCCTGTGGCATGACAAAATCCAGGTGTTTCCAGAATATTAATCCAGCAGAAGGATAGACTGAAGGAAAGGAATCAGAAAGCCAGGAGATTGGTTTACAGTCCTTTGTTGCAGACTTGTATGTACGTTGCATGAGTTTCTAAACCCTGTGATGGGAAGAAAGGTGTGACCGCCAACAGCCTTGGTCGGGGGTGAAAGGACACGAGCTGGACCACAGTGAGGGTGCTGCATTTCATCCTGGCAAGAATTCTGCCCAGCTGTGGCTTTCTGTCCTCCGTCTACAATTGGGAGAATACTGGAGACATCAGATGTCGTGTAAGGACTAAGAACGAACCCTGGAGAGGCTCAGCATCTGGGTGCTATTTGTAGAGGTCTGCTGGGTGACATGTACTAGAGTCTTTCATTTTGAAGAACCTGCTGGATATGACTAGAAAAGTAAAGGAGAAAAAAACTCCAGGACTGATGGATGAGAGAACTGAAAAGTGGCCCTTGATGTCACAGTGGGCACTGGGACTGCATGTCCCCAGGGGCTGCAAACTCCAGAGCTCACCTTCCCTTGAATACACATCCAGTATGGCCCAAGCCCACGCATACTACAGGGAGTCCAGCCTGCCTGGAGTGCCCCCTCACTAGTATTTAGGACACCCCAGGGAAGGTTGGCCTGTCCTCTATTTCCAGAGGCAGGCCTTTATCCTCTGTGACCACCTCTTCACCCAAGTACCCAGGGGACTTCATCAAGCACAGCACACATCAGACTGTAAGGTTTAACCAAACCTTATAGAGGCTGTGGGAATTACAAACAACTAAATTCAGAAAAGGCAAGCATTGGCCGGGCACGGTGTCTCACGCCTGTAATCCCAGCACTTTGGGAGGCCAAGGTGGGTGGATCACCTGAGGTCGGGAGTTTGAGACCAGCCTAACCAACATGGAGAAACCCCGTCTCTACTAAAAATACAAAATTAGCTGGGTGTGGTGGTGTGTGCCTGTAATCCCAGCTACTCGGGAGGCTGAGGCAGGAGAATCGCTTGAACCCAGGAGGCGAAGGTTGCAGTGAGCCGAGATCGCTCCATTGCACTCCAGCCTGAGCAACAAGAGCGAAACTCAGTCTCAAAAAAAAAAGAAAAAAGGCAAGCGAAGCCTCAGAAGAGGGTCCTCAGTGCCTACCCACTTCTTAGTCCCCTGCTATCTTCTGCCACACTATAGGGACCTGCTTTTCTTTCACAGATTTGGGGTCCCCTCCCCCTGCCCTCAGCCCCACTCCCTTGGCCCCAGAGACAGTAGGAGACCCTCTGCTCCCCTGAGCCCGGGCCTGTCTCGCATTTCCCGTGGAGATGAGCAACAAGGGGAAACGTGGGTCTTCTTAAAGAACTTTCCTTTCCGCCCTCCACCACCTTGGCAAGGCAGCCAGATGCATCTCCGAAGTCCAGCTCACTCAGGCCAGCTCTCTTCACAGACTGTCTTCCAGCAAGAGGCAAAGCAGAGATGAGACCTGCACGTGCTCTTTGTGGCAGAGCTGGCCTTATACGCACTCCTGGGTGAATAAACAGGGAGACATCTCCTAAGAACAAACGCTTCTCAGAAACAGTATAGTCTAAACTCATACTGAAGGGAGAATAAGCCAGCCACGGGCTGGAGAGACCCCCGCCTACATTACTAAGTAACAGGAAAGGCTAAGATTTGGAGCCTTCCTCCGGTTCAGATCTATCCCGGGAGTAATGGAAGATGCTTGCCTGTTGACAATTTTTTTTTATTAAAAATCCCACCCAGGAGGTCTCTCCTGATAGGAGGGGACCATCCTATCCTCTAAGGCAAATTCCAGCTTCTTCCCTGAAATGTACATCCGCTACTGAGCCTCAGAATGCTATTTGTTCCACCTACTTCCACAGTTTTAAGGTCTTCAGCAACAGGAGAAGACAGCAGGAAAACTTGAAGTGCAGTTGGCTCCCGCTGAGATGTCACTAGCAGAAAAAGGGAACACAAGCAAAAGGCAAGATTCTAAAGACAGAGGTGACACCTTCTGCTCCAAACATTTGGAGGGTCACCTTTCCAGAAGTCAGACTCGAAGTCCTGAATTCTGGCATGAATGAGTTCTCCTACGTGTAGGGGGTGGCCTGGAAAGATCTTAATTTGTAAGTTGACAGGTAAGGGGCCTTCAGTTGGAGAATCTTGTCACCTGATTCTCAAAGCCAAAAATATCTTACTGTCTGAAACATGAGGTCTTGAGTAGTTCAACTTGACCCATGCAGACATAATTTGAGAGACGCCAAGGAGGATTAGGAAAAAATGTATCTGGTCTTACTCAACTCTGAACATTGCATGAGTCAAACGTTTTCCTAGCTCTCTGTTTGTGTGATGGGTCCACTCTGATGGATTCTTGGCGATGTATCTTTCATGACCAAAATTCAAAAGAGGCCATTCGAAGTGGCTCCCACAAAAGCTGCTGCAGAGCCCCAGACATTCAGAAGCCAATAGTGAAGGGGCCAAAAGCCATCCCTCAATGTTCACTGACACTTTGCGAGCCTTGGGGCAAGTTGGCGATGTCAAAACATGTTTTTAGGGCGTGTTTGCCAACATACAGGTCTTGGGCAGGATTGCAGACCTCTGCAGATGGTACCAAAGTAAAGGGGGAGATGGTAGCTGAATAATCTCTTATCATCCCTAAAGTGCAAAGTGAAATGAGAGTGGATTTTTCCTTCCAAATCCACTTGGAGTGAGTCCCGAAAGACTCACTTTTGCGGCAATCCCCACAATGACATCACTGGAGCGGAGGTTATATAATTTAAAGCAACCACATCTCCACAGCACTTCCCAGAAGAGAAAACTCCTCCAAAAGCAGCTCTCACTATCAGAAAACCCAACTACAGTTGTGAACGCCTTCATTTTCTGCCTGAGTAAGTAAATGACCACCTTTTTTTTTTCTTTTATGAGAGTACAATATGAGAGGAAATCTGTGTCTCTTAGAAAAACAAAAAACTTCCTTTTACACCTACCTATTGGCAAAATTTTCCACTTCTGTGAGGGTACTTTTTAAAAATAATTCTAAATCAATTTAAGAGACTTTTATTTCATGCCTAGTTTGGGTCTTAATTGCTTTTCCAGAACAGGAGGAGGAGGGAAAGGTTTTAGAACTCGTAGGAAGGTTCCAGTAGCTCCTTATATCAAAGTCAGGTGAAACATGTCAGGGCTGAATGCAGCCACCAGAGTTCGCATGGACTGACCAGTTACAGCCTGCAAATTCTGAATCATAAAAATTAAATTAGTCTCTCTGGGATGGCTTACAAGATTTCATAAGACCAATAACTGGTTGGGTTATTCGTGGCTTGAAAGTAGCATCTTACTATGTGACCGTGCTGATGGTCTTTAACATCTGTGGCTGAATTTCCAATGCCTTTAACATCACCATGCTGTTGAAATTGGAGTTAATTTGAAGAATTAACTAATTTGTTGAAGAAAGTCACACTGTCTCATAGCCTAGGTTAAAATGTGCAGAATTCAGAAAATACCACACAGGAATTACAGAATTGCCATCTCTTGTAGACTTGCCCAGTGCCCCTTCTGAGTTCTTCAAATAGGGTCACATATTACTAACAATATCCAGAGATATTGTTTATTGAGCACCTACTATGTTCCAGGCAAATATCAGAGCTAAAGCTGAAAACTGGCAAAGGAAGATTTCTCCTCTCTAGCCAACTTTATAAACACAGACAGCAGCAGGTGAGGACAATCCCTTTAAAAATAAGCCCCATGTGAGCAGACACATGCTGTGGCTGCAGTGGCCCCAGCCACCTCCCCGTCCTGGGGATGGGGGCGGTGTCCACTGACCTAATCAGGTTCGAGCTAAAGTCCCTGCGTAGCTGGTCGTCTCTGGCTTCCTGGGCAGGGTGCAGCCTCACCCCCGTGCTGGTTTCCTAAGGCTGCTATAATTAATTATCACAAAGTGAGTGGCTTAAAACGATGCAAGTTATTATCTTACAGTTCTGGAGATCAGGAGTTCAAACTCAGTCTCGCTGAGCTAAAGTCAAGATATTGGCTTGGCTTTGTTCTCCATCCCCATGATTCAATTATCTCCCACCAAGTCCCTCACACAACACGAGAGAATTATGGGAGCTACAACTCAAGATGAGATTTGGGTGGGGACACAGCCAAACCATATCAGTGCTCAACACCCTCCCATCTCTTCTCAAACTCTCAATGCCCCAGCCCCTCCACCACAGGTCAGGACCTCGCCTCCTTTCTCCCTGAGAAATCCCAACCAATCGCCGGGGAATTCTACAGATTCCCACCTGCCAGCCTCTGTCACCATAGACCTCAGCTTCCTGGCCATCATCAGAGATAGCTAGGAGAGGGATGGTCAGGCCATGTGTGTGCACACTGCCGGGGCACCCCAATAGTCAAAAATTATTTCCCCCAAAAATTAGTATTTACAGGTAGAAAGAGAGAGGAAAGAAGGAAGGAAGGAAAGAAGGAAGGGAAGGAAGGAAGGAAGGAAAGCAGGATGGGAGGGAGGGAAGAAGGGAGGGAGGAAGGGAGGGATGGAGGAAGGAAGGAAGGAAGGAGGGAAGGAGGGTAGGGAGGGAAGGAGAGAAGGAGGGAATGAAGGGAAGGAAGGAAGGAAGGGGAAAAAATCCAACAAAATGGTTATATTATATTGATGGTGTTATAAAGTAGTTCTAGATAAAAACTATTTTCAAAAAAGTCTTTAAATATATATGCATACACCTATGAATATTAAAGCAAAAGAAAACATGTTTATGTTAATCAACTGAACATTTAAAAATAAGATAAGCAAAATAATTGTTCTTGTTGTATATTCACATGCTACAGTTTCTTGTACCTGACTGATACCCTGTCACTGGCATTTTTCACAAGAATGTATTTTCTTCAGTGGGGTCTTGTTATTTTTAATTTTTCCATATAATTGCCTGAAATCTTTTTTCCACAAATTTTACAATTAACAAATTTAAATTAGTACCTTCAATTGACTCTTCTCTTGAACCATAATATATTGAGAAAATGTTCCCTGTGCAGGTTCTGAGTGATAAGCTCTCAGCAAATTCTGCCAGGCAGAGGCTGTTCTCAAGTCCAATTCTTTGCATATGGAATTGCATAAATATTTTAGCCCAGATATTTTCACAGGTGCTGTCTTTGTGCCTTAGTTTGGAATGTAGTGGTGCGATCTTGGCTCGCCACAACCTCCGCTTCCCAGGTTCAAGCAATTCTCCTGCCTCAGCCTCCTGTGTAGCTGGGATTACAGGCGCCTGCCACCATGCCCGGCTAATTTTTGTGTTTTCAGTAGAGACAAAGTTTCACCATGTTGGCCAGGTTGGTCTTGAACTCCTGACCTCATGTGATCCACCTGCCTCAGCCTCCCAAAGTGCTGGGATTACAGGCATGAGCCACACCGTGCCCAGCCCACACGTATTTTTTTTTAACCAGATTAAACCTTTCAAATAAGTTGTACCTACTTATAAGTTTTGAATGTTTTGTCAGATTCAGATACTGCAAAAAAAAAAAAAATCATTGGCTTTCTCAATTTCATCTCATTTCATACAGAACATGAATTTATCCAATTAAAAAGATTCTTCCCACAAGCTGAAATGTTCCAGAGCTCATTTTAGAATTTCAAAATTAACTCTTGTACAGCATTTGATTTTGATCATTTTCTGATACATTTTATAATTTTTCTGCATACCAGCTTTGTTTTCAATATTTATAATTCACTAAAAGCTTTGAAAGTTGACGTTTTGCTGCTCTATTCATTGAATAACTTGACTAAATATTTCCAACTGATTTGGAACAAAATTCAACGAAAATTTATAGATCTGTTTTAATACACTGTTTAATAACATTTTAGGATGCTGAGACTCAATGTCCACTAAAATTGATTGATAATGGGAAAATAAAAGAGAAAACACATGTGAAAGTCCAGTTTTTTAAAAAAATTCATGAACAACTTTATCACAAGTTTGTAGTTCAGTAAATCTGTGCATATGTTTTAACATTTTGTAAATTTTGTCACGTACGTCTATAAATGTCAATTTATAGAATATTGACATTTATTTATATGCAATAACAAATTGTGTGTGCACCATGACCTGTTCCAATCACATTTCTGTTTCATTAGTGTCTTAATTTAGTAGGAATATTATTGTTACCATGACGCTGGACTCCACCACAATTTGTGTTTTATCCTCACAAAAATGCAATGACTTTATTTCCAATGTGGAAAATTTAAACAACTTAAATAGCATTCACAAAAAGTCAGTTGTTTCACTTTGCCAGAATGAATGTCCCAAAGCCCTGCTTGGCTTCCATGAGCTGAATGAAAGAATGAATTGTGATTGGAATTAACAGGTTTTTCTGTCTGAAGAGTCCGAGGATACTGGTGTTGAGCTGGCACCATTTTGCTTTCTGTGATGTTCTTCTTATGGAGCCAACACACAGTCAGCCATCACTTCCACTGTTGCACGTGCACAAGAAAAGCTGGAATTAAATGTGAGCTGAGTTAACTTAAAGAACAGTCATTTGATCTAAGGGAAAAGTCATGCCTCTCAGAATGATCTTATATCAGCATCTTTTGCAGCTACATGGATGAGAACCGTGTCTTAGGGTGCAATTTTTTTTTTTTTTTTTGAGACAGAGTCTCACTCTGTCACCCAGGCTGGAGTGTACTGGTGCGATCTCAGCTCACTGCAACCTCTGCCTCCTAGGTTCAAGCAATTCTCTGCCTCAGCCTCCCAAGTAGCTGGAATTACAGGCACCTGCCATCACACCCAGCTAGTTTTTGTATTTTTAGTACATACAGGGTTTCACCATCTTGGCCAGGCTGGTCTTGAACTCCTGACCTCATGATCCACCTGCCTCGGCCTCCCAAAGTGCTGGGATTACAGGCTTGAGCCACCACGCCCAGCCTGGTGCAATGTTCTTAAAATTACTAATTTCTAAAGTAGCAGCTCTGTGTCTTAGGTTTTCTTGCAATCAGTGAAATTGCTACAGACCCCATAGTGATGCAAATGTCAACAAACGTTCTATGCAAGCTATCTGCTCATCAACAACTTCCTTGAGCAACAGAAGTGCAGTACTTAAATTTCCATTAAATATTTGTTTTTTAGCTCATTACTCCAAAAGGGTTTATTTCAAATTCTTTAAGTATTGCCAAATGATAAAATACACATAGTTTTGGATTTATGCCCTGCAAAAAATGACCAAACTATTGTAACAAGAGCCTCCAGCCTCCTCCATATTATGCTCTGGGTGGGGACTGCTCAGCTTCCATGTGCCATGGACATTTCACAACCACCAAATCATAATTTCCCATGTCTCCTGTTGATCTGTCAACCGGCAGCTGTGCAACTTCTGCTCTTTTATCTACTCTCTCCCTTGGTGATTTCATCCAGCCTTGTGGCTTTAAATGCCATTCCTATAGTTACAACTCCCAGTTAGGTCTCATCATCCCAGATCTTGTCCCTGAATACCACACTTGTCTACCTAATTGCCTGCTGGATGTCCCCATGTGATGTCCAATTTATATCTCAACCTTAACAATTCCAAAGTTGAACTCCTGTTCTTCCCCACCCCCCACAAAAAAAACTGCTTCATCTTCATTCTGTCACCTTCATTTCAGCTGATGACAACTTCATACTTCCCAGTGTTCAGTCCAAAAACCTTGGCATTGTCCGATTTCTCCTTTCTCCCACCCAGATCCAACTGAAAATCACGGTGTTACTACCTCCAAAACACCTCTAGAGTTTGATCACTTGATCACTTCTCACCACCTGCCCTGCTACTCTCCCCAGCTGTCACCCGCCAGCATGTTTATTTAGTGTGTGTATTGTTTATCAACTTCTTCCTCCTGCTAGGCTTATACGCACACTGAGAGCAGGGATTTTTGCCTGCTGTATTCACTGCTTTGTCCTAAATACCTAGAACAGTGCCTGGCACATAGTACATTCTCAGTAAATACTTGTTCAGCAAATAAATAACTGGAGGAACCAGTGAATTATACCCCGGTGTGAATAACTCCATGTGAGTGACATGACAGAATGTCAGAGCTAGAAGGGCCTCTTGAGGACATCATGTCTTCCTTAGATGAGGAAAGTCAGGCTCAGAGACATGAACTGACTCTCCTGAGGTTACACAGCCAAATATGCTCTTCCAAGGTTAATTCTCTGCTACACAATAGCTTTTGTTGGTATCTGTGAGGCTTTGCGGGGTTGAAGGAATCTCAGGTGTCACCCATTAATAACAATCATGACAGTGACAACTAATGTTTGCCACGTGCTTACAATAAGTCAGGAACCCTGCCAAGCACCGGGCGTATATTAACCTATCCAAGCTGGGGAAGAATGTTTAGGCTCTGAAGATTGTCTGGAGCCGCATAAATCCCGCAGTGTAGGCAGCTGCTCATTCTGCAGATAGTATTCTGTGGATCCCTGAGTTGGCTGTGGCCGGTTTTGCCAGCAGGAGGCCACGAAGCCATGAGCACAGGATGGGATCTACCCCTTGTGGGATCGCAGAGGGCTGGGAGATGCAGTCCTCCCTATGGAAAGAGACAGAGCTTTCTATCCCTCTCCCGGTGAAACTCAGCATGGGAGCATGGGAGGCAGGTCAGCTGCGTGGCTATGAACATGAGCTATGGGGTGCATGCAGACCAAGGTTCATAGTGTACACTGTACCCACCAGCTGTAGCTCCTCCAGCAAGCGTGGGAGGCCAGTCAGCTGCATGGCTGTGAGCACGGCCTCTGGGGTCCATGCAGACCAAGGTTCCTGGCGTAGCACTGTAACCACCACCTAGGTCTTCTCCGACAAGCTGGTTAACTTCTCTGAGCCTGGCTTTGTCATTCATCGCGTGGGGACAGGTGCAGCAGAAGAGAGCAGACAGAAGCACAGGATCTCAATCAGGCTCTTGAATCAGACTGCCTGGGTTTGAATCCAGGCCCTACTGACCAGCTGTGTGACCTCAGACAGGCGACTCCGGGTCTCAGCACTCAATTTTCTAATTGGCCAACTGGAGATGACAATGGCCCCTACCTTGAATGGCTGCCAGGAAGATTAAATGAGAAAATACTTAAATGTGAAACACTTAGAATGGCGCCTGGAACACAGACCATTAATACCATCTAACAGATGTTAGTTGTTATCCTTATTTATTACTCATGCTTTCCTTTCTCTTTTTTCTTTTCTCTCTCTCTCTCTCCTTTTTTTTTTTTTTTTTTTTGTTGTTGTTGTTGTTGTTGAGACAGGGTCTCAGTCCGTCGGCCCAGACTGAAGTGCAGTGGCACAATCATAGCTCGCTGCAGCCTCGACCTTCCAGGCTTAAACGATTCTCCCACCTCAGCCTCTCGAGTTGCTGGGACCACAGGTATGCACCACCATGCCCAGCTAATTTTTGTATTTTTTGTAAAGACAGGATTTCACCATGTTGCCCAGGCTGGTCTTGAACTCCTGGGTTCATCTGATCCATCTGCCTTGGCCTCCCAAAGTACTGAGATTACAGGTGTGAACCACCACACCCGGCCAATACTCATGTTTTTCAAGCCTGTAAGAGGAACCTCCTAGCACTGTCCCCACCCCGGCCACCACACTGGTCCCAGCCCCAACAGGTCAGCTTCCTTTGCTGTTCCCGGGCTTCCCTCAGCTCTATCTCAAGCCATGACCTCTGCCTCCATGTCTGCAGCCCCATGAGGCTGGGGCTGCTCTGTCCTGCATATCTCCAGTGCCTGGCAAGGGGCTGGCAAGAGGTAGAGGCTCATTAAATGCCTGTTAAAACCCTAATAGTAATAATAATAATGGTACAGTTGTTACTAAGACTAATCACTACCTTCCAAAGTCTTTCCTCTATGCAAGGCACGGAGCTAAGCACCCTGTAGATCCTGACAACAGCCCTCCCGTGATCCCACAAGAGAGACACGATTCTCTCCAATGTTTAAAAAGGAAAGTAAAAGTCAATGGTTCTAAGTAGCTCACACTGAGTGATTGTACCGGGATTTGGACTCAGGCACCATCCCTTAAACCAGAGGTCAGCAAACTTTTCCCCCTCAGGAACAGATGGTAAATATCTTCAGCTTTGCAAGCCAGACAGTCTCTGTTACAAGCGCTCGACTCCCCCTTGTAGCATGAACACAGCTGTAGATAATACGTCCAGGAATGGGTGTGGCTCTGTGCCAATAAAACTTTATTGTCCAAAAACAGGTGACAGGTTGGTTTGGCTCATAGGCTGTAGTCTGCCACTTCCTGTTTTATTCTACCTTCTGTTCATTTCAGGTCACTGTGCATGGCATCATCCTGGCCCCCTCTAGAGCTCCAATCCTCCAACCAGAGCCAGCTCTTCCCTCAAAATGCTACGGCCTGTGACAATGCTCCAGAAGCCTGGGACCTGCTGCACAGAGTGCTGCCAACATTTATCATCTCCATCTGTTTCTTCGGCCTCCTAGGGAACCTTTTTGTCCTGTTGGTCTTCCTCCTGCCCCGGCGGCAACTGAACGTGGCAGAAATCTACCTGGCCAACCTGGCAGCCTCTGATCTGGTGTTTGTCTTGGGCTTGCCCTTCTGGGCAGAGAATATCTGGAACCAGTTTAACTGGCCTTTCGGAGCCCTCCTCTGCCGTGTCATCAACGGGGTCATCAAGGCCAATTTGTTCATCAGCATCTTCCTGGTGGTGGCCATCAGCCAGGACCGCTACCGCGTGCTGGTGCACCCTATGGCCAGCCGGAGGCAGCAGCGGCGGAGGCAGGCCCGGGTCACCTGCGTGCTCATCTGGGTTGTGGGGGGCCTCTTGAGCATCCCCACATTCCTGCTGCGATCCATCCAAGCCGTCCCAGATCTGAACATCACCGCCTGCATCCTGCTCCTCCCCCATGAGGCCTGGCACTTTGCAAGGATTGTGGAGTTAAATATTCTGGGTTTCCTCCTACCACTGGCTGCGATCGTCTTCTTCAACTACCACATCCTGGCCTCCCTGCGAACGCGGGAGGAGGTCAGCAGGACAAGGTGCGGGGGCCGCAAGGATAGCAAGACCACAGCGCTGATCCTCACGCTCGTGGTTGCCTTCCTGGTCTGCTGGGCCCCTTACCACTTCTTTGCCTTCCTGGAATTCTTATTCCAGGTGCAAGCAGTCCGAGGCTGCTTTTGGGAGGACTTCATTGACCTGGGCCTGCAATTGGCCAACTTCTTTGCCTTCACTAACAGCTCCCTGAATCCAGTAATTTATGTCTTTGTGGGCCGGCTCTTCAGGACCAAGGTCTGGGAACTTTATAAACAATGCACCCCTAAAAGTCTTGCTCCAATATCTTCATCCCATAGGAAAGAAATCTTCCAACTTTTCTGGCGGAATTAAAACAGCATTGAACCAAGAAGCTTGGCTTTCTTATCAATTCTTTGTGACATAATAAATGCTATTGTGATAGGCTAAATGATTACTCCCGTAGATTGGGGGGTACCTAATCCCTGGACTTGATGAATGTTACCAAATTAAGGGTCTTGAGATGGGGAGATGATCCTGAATTATCCAAGTGGGCCCTATATAATCACAAGGGTCCTTATAGGAGGGAGGCAGGAGGCTCAGAGTCAGGAGATGTGACTATGGAAGCAGAGGCCAGAGGAATTCAGGACGGCCACTACGAGCCAAGGATTGCAGGCACCCTCTAGAGGCTGTAAAGGGCAAGGAAATGGCTTCTCCCCTGGAGCCTCCAGAAGGAATGGGTCCTGCCAACTCCCTGTCTTCAGCCCAGGGAAACAGATTTAGGATTTCTGGCCTCCAGAACTGTTAGAGGATACATTTGTGTTTTGTTTTGCTTTGTTTGCTTTGCTTTGCTTTGCTTTTTTGAGATGGGGTCTCGCTCTGTCACCCAGGCTGGAGTGCACTGGCACAATCACGGCTCACTGCAGCCTCAACTTCCCAGACTCAAGGGATCCTCCCACCTCAGCCTCCTGTAGCTGAGACTACAGGTGTGCACCACCATGCCTGGCTAACTTTTCTATTTTTTGTAGAGATGGTGTCTTCCTGCATTGCCTAGGCTGGTCTCAAACTCAAGGGCTCAAGTGATCCTCCACTTTGGTCTCCCATAGTGCTAGGATTATAGGCGTGGCCACTGCGCCTGGCCCCATTTGTATTTTAAGCCACCGAGTTTCTGGTAATTTGTCATAGCAGCAGCAGGAAACAAATAACAAGTATCGGGTAATGGCCTCTCTTATTACACTTCCATTTGTCTATTCAAAGCTTTCTAGGCTAACTGCCAGGAATACAGGGATGGTATAGCTAGAAGTTCTATATTCAAGGAACTTACATACATCTAAATATTATAATATAAAAAATGAAATGAGAAATTGCATGAACACACCACGGATCCAGCATCTTGCGCCTTCAGCGAGAAAGGGGATGGGTTCCCTCTCAGGTTAGCAGAGAAGACGCTGTGAAGGGAGTCAGCCGTGAGCCTGGTTTCCACAAAGGGTGCAATCTGGATACGTGGAGACAGGGAGGAAGGGCTGGCAGAGGCGGGAAAGGGTGAGCTGCTCACAAAAGAATGCTTGTGCATGCTCTTATTGAACGTGTAATGCATTGGTGCGGGTCTTGCTATGAGAGACCCAACGGTGAGCCTAACGGTGTCTCTACCCTCCAGGGGCTCACAGCAACCAGGACAATAATTAAGGGATTGTCATAGAGCAGGATGCCCGCCACCATCAGGGTGAGGGGTGCCGTGAGAACCAGAGCAGGGCTCCAGTCTGGGTGGCTGGGAGGGATGGTTAGAGAGGGGTTCCTGGAGGAAGAGACACATAAACTGAATCCCAAAAAATGAGAAGCTGGCCAAGCAAAATGGGGGAAAGGAGTGTTCCAGACAGAAGGAACAAAGTAGGCCCAGAGGCAGGTGGGGTTACAGGTTAGGAGGGAGAGGTTGAAGGATGGCAGAGGAGGAGGCGGGTCATGGAGAGAATTGGGGCTGGAGGAGAATGGACAGGCTGGGTCCACCATGGTCAGCTGGCAAAGACAGTTCACCCAGGAAGGATGGTGGGCTCCAGGCAGCTTTGAGGGCCCCATTGAAGCTGGAAAGCGTGGCTGTGTTGTGTGAATTTACTCTGATAATGCTCGACAGACCCAGGAAAGGATTGCTCTGGAGTAGGGTTTAGCCAGATAGACGGCCATACGTCATGGGAGTTGGGGATCCTGGTCAGACTCGGGGGAATGATGGAGAGGGAAGAAACGAGCACAGGGAGAGAAGGAAGTGAAGTGAGATCAGTGTGTTAAAGGATGGATATAGTGAGAGAACCTGGGTGACAGCAAGAAACAGAAGAAGAGCCAGGCGTGATCTTCTGTACACTGTGAAGGGAATCAGCCGTGAGCCTGGTTTCCACAAAGGGTGCAATCTGTAATCCCAGCACTTTGGGAGGCTGAGACAGGTGGATGGCTTGAGCCCGGGAGTTTGAGACCAGCCTGGGCAACATAGCAAGACCCCGTCTCTACAAAAAATACAAAAATTATCCAGGCGTGGTAGTGCGCACCTGTAGTCCCAGCTACTTGGGAGGCTGAGGCAAGAGGATCATCTGAGCCCAGGAGGTCAGGGCTACAAGCAGTGAGCCAAGATTGTGCCACTGCATTCCAGCCTGGCTGACAGAGTGAGACCCTGTCTCATTAAAAGAGAGAGAGGAAGGCATAGCCACAGAGCAGGAATGTTTGAGTAGAACATTCCAGAGGCAGAGCCATCTCAGGAGATGACAAGGACCAAGTGTATCCCTGGCACCAGGTGGCTGAAGTAGAGGGAAGAAGAAGGAGGTTGGAGACAACATAGAGAATGGAGAGGTCAGGTGGTGGGTGGGCCCTACCTGGGCCCTCACAGGCAGGCGGGACATTGTCAGGCCCTGGGGAGGAGAGAGTCCGTGGGCCAGGAGGCCATTCCAAGGTCAGTTTCCATGGAGTGGGGGAGAGGGTGTAGTGACTGGACTCCAAGACACTTGGGGGAATGGGGAGAATGGCAGTCCCCACAGCTGCACGGGAAGGGCTGGTCCTCACAGAATAGCAGCAAAGACTCATTCATTCCAGGAATGGAAAGAATGCCATGTTCTTGGAGCCTGGAGACAGGGTTTGAGAGGCTGGCAGCGGCTGGGCCACCAGGACCTCATCAGTGATAACCCTGTGATCAGTGTTCCAGCCCCTGCAGGTTTCCTGGAGAGCAGAGTGTCGTCAGAAGGCCTGGAGCTGAGCCAACAGGCAAGATCCAGCCTGCACATGTGTTTAATTTGAACCACATGGTATTTTTTAAAACTCCAAGCCCCCAGGCTCTTGAGTTGGTTACCAGTACTGAAACTCCCCATTGGGAGCCAGCTTTCCAGTTTCTTTTGAAAGTTTGGAACATCCAGCAACACTGATTCAATTTCATTCATTCAGCAGATATTTATTAAGCATCTACTTTGTCAGACACTGTTTTGGGCACTGAAAATATGGCAGTGAACAAAAGAGAGGAACATCCCTGGGCCCTTGGAGTTGACCTTCCAGGGTCCCCCCGGGGCTCCAATTCTTTGGTGCTGTGTAGCAGAGGCCCCGTGAACAGGGCGCCCTCCCATCAGGTTCACACGCATGGAAGCTATGGGAGGTTAAGTTTGCAACCCCTCATCCAGACCATCCCTTCACATACAGTCTAGGAAACAGAGAGCAGTAAGACCTGCCCAAGCACACCCAGTGCGACTCAGCAGCCACACACAGGAGTAGGCTCAGTCATCTCATTTAATCGCCTGACTCCCTTGTGAGGTCTGTTTCAGGATGTCCACTTTCTAGGTGAGGAAGAGGAGGCTAAGGAAGGCAGTGCCTGCTCAGACTGCAGAGGCTGGATTCACCCAACTCATCTGACTCCAACACCAATGTGATTTCCAAGCCCCCAGGCAGGAATTCATTGGGCAAAGGCTCTGTGGCAAAGTGGCAAAAGTAGGCAGGAACAGGCAGGAATAGAGAGTGGGAAAGGGAAAATAATACCTGATTCCTCTTCTATTCCGAGTGAGCTGACCCACATATGCCCTCCTTTCTTCTTTTTCAGCCGGCCTTAAGCAGGTGGCTTATCAAAATCCTTTCGAGGTCTTGCAAAAACCAATCCCACACTCGAGAAGAACGTGCTGGCCGGTGAAATCGGACAACATTGCTCACGGGATGTAATTCAATGGTAGACTGCAGCCACAGCCTGAGAACTCAGACACCTGATTTATGAGACGCACATAAGTAACGTTTACCGAAGCCCAGCAAATGGCCCCACAGTGGGAGAGAAACTGGCAAACCCGTACAGTAGAATTCTGTTGCCCTTCTGTGGGGAAGGCCAGTTATTCATTTACAGAGGGAGAAATTTCTGCCTTGACTAAAAGGATCGATGCTGTGGGAAAAGGTAATATATCTGAGTTCCCATGGATCTGGTTGATAGGTTCACCTGGCGTGTTCCATATGGGGCCAGGCCCAGGCCACACCTGTGGTGCTAACACCTGGGGTGGAGGGAGGAATTAGCAAATAGTCTTCCAGCATCCCCAGCTCCAGCACCCATGTGGGCTTCCACTCTCTCCCTGAGAAGGGCCAAGTAGAAAGAGAGAACAAGGTTTCACTCCAATCCGTTCCCAGCTCTGGGTCTGTCCTGGGCTCCAGAACCGCGTGATCAGGGGCCATATGTGGCCTTCACTGCTCTCTGCAGTGGGAAGGTAAGAAAACTGCCCCCACCCTGCCCCATCATCACCCCAATCCATCATGGGGAGTGGGTGGCACTAAGGCCCTCCAAATCCCAGCCTCGGGGAAACTCCCTGATGTTGCAATGGCCACAGGCAGGCTCTTGCTCTCCGGAGATGAGTCACAAATTTGATGAGGAGCAGGTCGGAAGCAGCCCTGGAAAGTGTTCCTCCCCACCCCTGCTCCCACCACAGCTCCGAGGAGCCTGGGCATCCAACCAGGGCTGATCCAAGCCTTGGCTCCGGCTGAGCTCCGCTCTGGCCTCTGTGCACCTTCAGCTCCTTCCTGCCCTTCTCTTTCCCTGTGCCCAGCCCCTTTCTCCAGACCCCCTTGATTCCTTCTCAGCATCCTCTTGCCTCCCCGGACCACCCCCAGCTCAGGCCCCTGCCCAAGAAGGGCCTCACCGCGGGGCTGCAGAGTGCACAGTGCAGCCGGTCAGAGGTCCAGGTCTCTGAGTCACACATGCCACTGTTCCAGTCCTCACTCCACCACCGCATGGGCCTGGCCGACCACCGAAACTCGGCATCCCATCTGTAAAATGGGAATGAGGAGAGCAGTGCCTCACTGTGTCGTTGTGAAAATTAAGTGACCCAAAAGGACGGCCTTATTCCCTTTTTGGAAAGAGGTAATGGGCAAAGAAAGGGAAGGAAAGGCGAGAAAGGACAAGAGGAAGGTCAGAGATGTATGTGAGACACCAGGACAGCGCCACCCCAGCAAGCACCAACAACCATTTTCTCCTATGAGCAGAAGAGGCTTTAACTATGACTGAAATGAATGCATGTCAAAGCACAGTCTGAATAAAATCCCAAAAATGGTGTCCGTGTCACTCTCCTGGTTGTGATATGGCACGATCCTTGTGTAAGATGTTACTATTGGGGGAAACTGAGTAAAGAATAATGGGGCCGGGCACAGTGCTCATGCCTATAATCCCAGCACTTTGGGAGGCCGAGACAGGCAGATCACATGAGCCCAGGAGTTCAAAGACCAGCCCAGGCAACATGGTGAAACCCTGTCTCTAGTAAAAATACAAAAATTAGCCAGGCATGGGGGTGCACACCTGTAGTATCAGGTACTTGGGAGAATGTGGTGGGAAAATCAGTAGAGCCCAGGGTTCAAGGCTGCAGTGAGCCATGATTGTGCCATTGCACTCCAGCCTGGGCAATAAAGTGAGACCCTGTCTCAGAAAAAAAAAAAAAAAAAGAATGAGTACAAGGCATCTTTCTTATCACTGTATGCAAATCTACTAAAAACCTTAAAAAGAATGCATCATTAAGTTCAACCACTCTGCCTTACAGATGAAGAAACCAAGGTCCAGAGACAAGCAGACTTGTCCAAGGTCACCGAGTAAGCAGGGCTCCTGCTGAAGGGCTCTGTTCAGACCCAAGATGCCCGCTGGGCCCTGGTGACAGGTCTCAGTCTCAGGCTGAGGTCAGAGAAGAGGCCTGAGTGCCAGGGTTCTCATTTGAGTGGCCATGATGATTGCAGAGACTCCCTATGGCCAGGATTGTGTTTAAGGCAGTAAACAGGAAGCCAAGCCTACTTTTCAGGAGCTTCAGGGGACAGAAAACTATCAGGAAGGATTGGTTGGGACCCAGCAAGTACGAGAGGAAGACATTTCAGGGCTTCAGTCAACAAGGGGCTCAGTGTACTGTAGCTGCCAAAATAGCTGCCAGCTCTCAGCTGCATTCAAAGGAGTATAGCCTCTAAAATGAGGAAGGTCATATTCCCTTAATTTAGCACTGGACAGGGTCCATTAGGAGTATTGTGTCCAGCTCTTGGCTGATTCCAAAGACAGGGATCAGACTGGTGAGAGGATGCAACAGCACACCCTCCAGACACATGGCGGCAGAGGGCTTACCACAGAAGATAAGACTTATGTGGAGAGAGGAACAAATGCACTTAGTGTTACCCCAAAGGGACCAAAGAGAAAAAAATCCTGAGAAACACTTTCTGTCTTAATTTAAGGATGGGCTCTTTGACAGGCAGAGCTGTCCCATGATAGAACTGATGGCCCTCAATGACGTGGGTTCCTGGTCTCTGGAGGAGCCCAGCGAAGCTGCAGGATCTCTTGGCAGGAGGCTGCAACAAGAATCCAGGAAGCATCTACTGCACACTCACCCTTGAGGAGCTCACTGCATGTAAGGGAGGCAGAAAAGAAAAGAGATCATTCCTCAGTGTGAGATGTCTCGTCATGGGGTGACGAAGTCTGCTGCAAGGAGTTCCAGAAGGAAAGGGGGTTCCTTGAGCTGGATCTTAAAGTTAAGTAGGACAATGAGAGTGTTGGCCACCTGCAACTTTTCCCTCACGCGAGTTCTCAGCCAACAAAATCAAGGGCTGGAAGATGTATGCCAATCCCAAGGAGTGACTGTTGTCCTCTGGGCCATGTGAGTCAGTGAAGACTGAACAAGGAAGTGGCATGTTTGGAACTGCATTTCAGAGAGATCACTTTCACTAGAATATGGATGATGGCTTGCACAGTGTATCAGTTATCTATGTTGCATAAAAAACCACTCCCACACTTAGTGGTTTAAAACAACCACCTCAACTCATAATTCTGTAATTGGCCATTTGGGCTGGGTTTAGCCGGGTGGTTCTTCTACTGGTCTTGGCTGGGCTTACTCATGAATCTGTGATCAACAGCCAGGCAGCTATCACTCTGCTTCTGGAGAATGGGCAGGAGGCTGCAGCAAGCACAAGGCCAACATCAGATGGAATTAAAACCCACTGATGGGGCCGAGAGTGGTGGCTCACACCTGTAATCCCAGCACTTTGGGAGGCCAAGGACGTCAGGAGTTCAAAACCAGCCTGGTCAACATGGTAAAACCCCATCTCTACTAAAAATACAAAAATTAGCTGGTCATGGTGGTGCATGCCTGTAGTCCCAGCTACTCGGGAGGCTGAGGCAGGAGAATGGCTTGAACCTGGGAGATGGAGGTTGCAGTGAGCCGAGATTGCACCACTGCCCTCCAGCCTGGGTGACAGAATGAGACTCCATCTTAAAAAAAAAAACCAAAAAAAAAACCCCACTGATGGGTTAGGTGAAATTATGGCAGACTAGGGAGTACTCCAGTCCTGACCTCCACAATCTAAGACAGAATCAGAGCAGCTTCTTCATTCATGGCTTTGTGTGTCCAACACTTACTGAGTGACCAATACATGGCATGTAAAAGTAAAATTGTAAAAGTAAAATATAAAATCCCACCTTCAGTGAGTTCACAGGATGTGAAAAAGCTCATCATGCCCATTTTATAGATGGAAAAACTGAGGCCCAGAATGCTTTGCCCCAAGACAGAGCAACTTCGTCAGTGTGAGGTCTGGGATCAAGTGCCAGCTCTTCTACTCTGAGTACTGTAGCCCAACACAGTGCTCCCTAGAAAATGGTTCCTGAGCAGCTTGTCTTTTGAATAGAAGTGCCATTTGGTCAATGTTGATTTGGGGTTGGGAGCTGGTGAAGGGCAGAAAATTCTTCTTCCTCATTCTTCTGTGGGAGACATTACTACTGCTCACTGAGAATTCCAGTTCTCCTCTTCTGAAAAATGGGAGGTTGAAGGTGCTAAACTTCCTCACCCTATAGAGACTAAGAATGGCTTCTTGCTTGCTTTGGCCAATGTAAGCAAAATTGTGTGTCACTTCTAGGCAGAAGAAAATTCAAGATCATAGTCCTCCATTCTTTCTCTGCTGTAGAAAAACCTGAAAAGCTATGTTAATATAGTGATATCATTAAGATCTGGGGACTTTATCAGCCTGAACCTCTGAGTGACTAGGAAAAGCAAAGTTTCCTACCAACCTACATCAAACATGTAGGTGAGGAGAAAATAAACATTTGTTGTTTTAAACCACAAAGAGTCAAGGGTTTTGTTACTGCAGCAGAACTCAGCTCATCCTGACTAACTCATCAGGTTTTGATGAAGAGGGATTGCTCCCTAAACCCTTGGCTTCTTCCCCACCCCTGACTCCTCTCCCTGGAAGAGGAGTGACTTCTCTGATTATCCGGTTTCAAAAAAAAAAAAAAAAAAAAAAAGGAATTGGGCCTGGCCTGTAGAGCCCAGTTCCTTACTCCATTCTCACTCTTTGGGAAGTACCTGACTGCAGATTGGTCTTCTCTTGCCCATAAGGTAAGCATAGAGTTAAAGGCTCTGCCCTAGTGGGGGAAGTCATCAGCATTGCCTGGGCCTGCATGAGTCAGCCTGATTCTGGGATTCAGTATCAAAAAGTCTATTTTCTGGCCGTGTGCCTGAGTGATACCTTCCAACCTAGCCCTTATCAGTAATAAAGAGGAGAGTGCAGGCCCTGTGCACTGACTCCACCGTCTGCCTCTTTAGTGCAGAACTCATGAGGGAAAACAGGAGTGTCTTCACACCCCAGCTCCTATGATCCTGTCCATCTCTTACTATAGAGGATGCAAATTTCAAATATCTGTTATCCCTTGGAGAAAGCTTGTTGGTGAACTACACATCTGATTCATGGGAGATTTTTCACAAAATCCTTACTAATATCTTGGTGAGTTCTGATGTAAGGTGTATTAGCCTTATAGATATTTTGGACTCGATAGTTCTTTGTCATGGATGTCTGTCCTGTGCATTATAGGATGTTTACCAGCATCCCAGGCCTCTATGTGTTAGACGCCCAGAGCAGCCTCCCTCTCCTGGTAGTGGCAACCAGCATGTCTCAAGATATCACAGATGTCCCCTACGGGGCAAAATCACCCCCTTCCCCAGCTGAGAAACACATTTTAGCTGATCTGATCAAGTTATTCAACAATAGCCTCAAGGAAAGCCTGGTTGTCTGGAGAGACTTCTTGGAGGTGGTAGGACTGAAACTGAATCACAGGTTCAATCACTCGCCGCTGGCAGAGTCCAATTAACAAGAGCAGGGCCTGGTATAAAGAAAGTGATTTATTTCCAAAGCTTCACTTAGGGGAAGAAGTACAAGCTCCTGCCTTAAGGGTACTGCTTTGCTTCCGGGGCAGAAAGCAGGGGCTGTTAAAGTGGGACTTGGCATGAATGGCACGCAGGGGAGGGAGCGGGCAGGTGGGGGTCTACATGATTCTTCCTAGTTCTGCCTGCAGTGGTGCCAGCTCAACCATCTGGCAGAGCAGAACTAGGTTGTAACGTGGCCCGTTGTCTCGAGATACTGTCCAGGTGGGAGAGAGTTTTCTAGCGGGCATACTTGAGGTTGTAAATTGACTAATGTCTCTCGAGGCAGTCTCCTGGTGGGAGAGGGGCTGGGCTCTGGAGCTTCTAAGCAAGTACATGGTTAGATAAGCTTGCCCTGTAATGAGTGTCTGGTGAAGGGAAGGTTATAAATTGCATTTCTAAAGAGCTAAGTAGGAAGTGGGGAACAGGGGGGAAGGGGGAAAAAGAAGAAAATAATAATTTAAAAAATCCAGCTCACTCTCTTTCTCTTAGAAAAATAGGTCTTCAGCCCTTGAAGAATTGGACTTTATGAAATGAAGGAGGGAGGCCATGGTGCTGGGAAGGAAAGAGTGAGCAAAGGGAGGCTTGGAGGCAGGCGCTGATGGGATGGCAGGGTAGCAGGAGGATCACACAAACTGCAGCTGGAATGATGACATAGCCAACCATGCACAATCAGTCCTAACCATCTCTGGCATGCATTGCACGTACAAGTATTTGCTAACATCATTAGAGCAGAATCTCTCTGTAAGTGCAATACGTGGCGTCAGCTCCTAACAAGTCGCTATTATTGATTTTGGGGTCTTTCCCTGGTGTTTCACAACACCCCCAGCCAATGCCTTGTGGCTTCTTCCAGTGTGATTTTCCCTTCACTGTCCTACAGCCAACCTTGTGGCAGGGAAAATGTAAGCCTGGGGAGCGGTGAGAAAGGAAGAATGGGATTCATCCATCATGAACAAAATGCCAACGTTCTTAGAACGATCAGGATCCAGTGGGACCAGGGTGACCTTGAGGGAAGTAAATCAAGCATGGAGATGCCATGTCAAATCATGTCTTTATTTAAAATTTTGAGGTTTCGTTCATCATGGATGTTTTTGCATTACTTTTTATTTTTTAAAACTTTGCATTATTGTTTGATGACAGATGTGCTCCCACCTTAGACTTTGCGCCCAGCTGAGAGCCTCACTTGCCTCACCCTAATCCCACCCTGAGTGGGAGGGTGGGGGCTGCATTTCCAGCAGAGGGATCTGGCAGAGAAGCTTCTGCAGGCTTCTATTTCACACTCATCTGTAGACAATCCTCAGAGAAGGCCACAGAAGCTCTTTATCTGTATACAAAGCACATTTCTATTCTCTCATGCCCCAAACATGGGCTTTATCAGTCTGCCGTGAAAGTGCCACCAGGGGCAATTTTCATGTTGAGAGAGGGCCTGGTGTGCTGGCCCCCAGCCCCATGTTTACAGCGAGAAATTAACCATGGAATAAAATGATGTTTTTCTTTTTAATCCACGCAGTGTCCTTGACTAAGAGGAAGCTGTCACCGACAAGCCTCGTGAGAGAGTTAGGATAGTTAGGATGTTTCCAAGTCCTTCCCACCGCGCGTGGGGTCGGAATTTGCACGGGCTCGGGTGCCATGCTTGGTAGGGGGTGATTTCCAAACCAAAGTTCCACTGAGAAGAGGGCGGGCGCCCCCTGCTGGCATCAGGGGCAGACTGCTCTTTCCCCAGACATGATTCTGCACCCACTTTCTCTCAAAGCAAACCCTTACATGGGATTCACTACAGATCCGTTCCAAAGCGAAACAGAACACAGAAACAGGACAAGGCCTCTTGAAAGGGGTTGTTTAAAGATCTCTTCAAAAAAATTTAAAAATAAACCTGTTTTGTGGGCATGTCAATAGATACAACTTCCATGGGAAGGCAGTTGACAATAGCTACCCAAATTTCAAATGGTGTCCCATATTGACACAGTGTTACCCCTTATGGTGATTTATCCATCAGATATACTTATCAGAAATGGAGAAGCAGCAAAGTTAAGTGGCTCAAAGTGAACCTTTAGGGCGGAGATTTGGCTGAAATTCCAGTTCATTGGCACCAAAGCAAATGGAAATAAAGGCTGGGCCACGTTAAGATTGCTTTCCAAATAGAACGCGGTATGGACAATTAAGAAGAAATTAAAACGGAATCTGGTGTCAAGAAAATAGTTATGTCCTGAAAGAGTGGGAGTTGAGGGGGAGTAAAACTTTAAGCTGAAATGGAGGCGTGAGGGAAACTGTATTTGGCCTTTGAAGTGTTTATTATTAATGGAAGGAGGATTTCTGTCTACAGCATTAGAACATTGATACTGTATTGAAAATAGCATAGATGTTGGCATTTTTTTCACTTGTCTTTTACTAAATGCTAAACAGTTTATGGAGGGATTGCCTTGAAGTCTCCATCACTGAAAATAACTGGGCCACATCTGGGCTGACAAAATGTTCACGTTAAGAGTTCTGGAAGTCAAGTGAGTACTTTGCACTGAGCAGTTGTGTTTTCCCCTATACTTCAGTGGAATCCAAATTTGAAAGAATGGTTCGTCCTCTTCTGGTAGCCTTAGAAATTCTTACAGTAAGGATGCACTAGTGTTCATTTTTCTCAGTTATTCCAAATCTCAAAAAACTTGGCCTCCAACACCCTTTTTGAAACTGATTTTTAAATACGACCCTTGTTGTATCTCTAAGATTAAATTTCCTTGTAAGTAGGCAATCCTAAATATCAGGCTAAAAAGGAGCTGGCTCCCCCACCTACCCCGAGGCCACCCCGGATCTGCGTTTAATGCCAGGGAAGCAGAAGTCCAGACACCCAGAAACAAGACAAGACCAGGTGGTGTCTTCAAAACCAGGAATTCCAACTCTAACAGTGCTCTCAGTGGTATATGTTCCTTTCCTCAGCATTGTGAACTGACACTCAAATCTCTCGGGGAGCAAAGCAAATTGATTTACATTTGTAAGGAACAAATGGCTGGGATGATTAACTGTTTGGTCTCTTGCATATTAGAATTTGCCATCTTTTTTTTTTCTTTTATCTTTTCTATGGTGTGGAGAGTTTGATGTCTTCTCACTGGATTCTGAGCTCCCTGGGAGCAAGGACCATATCCTTCCTCTCCAGCGCAGGCATTTGCACACAGTAGGCATTCAAGAAATGGTAACAATATCTAAGTCTTATACTTACCGTGTGCCACAGAGACACTGTTCAAAGCACTTGAATCCTCCTACCAATTGTATTATTATTTTATACAGAAGGAAACTGAAGCACAGAGAGGTTAAGTAACTTCCCCAAAGCCACACAGATCAGAAGTAGTGGAGCTTGAGTTCGACCCCAAGTAGCCTAACTCTAACGTCTACACTCTTAGCCACTGTGTCATGGTTCCCAATCTTGTCTACACATTAGTCCCCTGGGGAGCTTTAAAAATACACCCCAGGGATTGGGATTTAGCTGGTCTTGGGCATGGCCTGTGCTTTGGCATTTTTGAGAGATCCCCTGGTTCTCATGTGCAGACAAGTTCTGAGACCCAGTGCATTACACTGCCCTGCCCCATTCACCAGCAGATGTTTGCTGAATGGGATTTGCTCTGTGTGGAACTGCTTTCAGGGATATAAACAAACAAGCCCAGGGGAAAATACTCCTAACTCTGGCAACAGCATATTATCTTCAAGTGCAGCAGAATGTAATTCCAATAGAGCATGTAAGCACATGGGTCTGCAGTCAGATATTCCTGCATTCAGAGTCTAAATGGGCTGGTTATGATCTGCAGGTACCAGTCAGGCCAGGTGCTCACCAACCTCACTTTCCTTCCTTCCTGGGTACACAGGTAGACTCCATTACCCATGTTTCCTGTTGGCTGTGACCATGTGACAGAATTCTGACCAATGTGGGCATAAGTGATGTTTGCTCCTGTCTCCCTGGCTATGTATGTCCTGGCCACAAAAGTGGTCCTCCTGTCTCTCCTGTGCAGAGATCCCAGCTGGGGATTCTGAGGTTCCAGGGGATGCAGAGCCACAAGATGGAAGGAGCCTGGGCTCCTCCATCACTGCTTGAAGGAGAGCTGTCAGATATTCCAGACTGCCAACCAGACTTTCTGTAAATGAGAAATAAACCTCTCTTTTTGTTAAGCTGCCGAGGTTTGGGGATCTAGCTGTCACTAGTGACTCATGTCCCTTAACAAGTACATGGTGTGGCTTGGGATAGGTTACTTAACCTAAGCCTTAGTTTTGTCATCTGCAAAATACAAATAATGGTACAAATATGAACAAGACAAAATAGATACACTCTCCTCTCTTCTGCCCCTCTCCACCTTGCCCTCTGCCCAGAACCCTGTGCCTTATGGACTGGGCATGAGCCACATTCTACCCATGGGAGGTTCCAGCAGGAGATGGGAGGGCAGGAGAGTGGGGGTGGGGGTCTATCCCTCTGGCTGCTTCCCTCCACCTAGGGTCATAGCTCCGGTCAGGCAGCCCTCTTTCAGCTATTAAGTTTTGGGAATCGCTCCCTTCGTCTTTTCAGGACTGTGGCTGTGCCTGGTGTTCAGTCTCTTGAGAGATGGATGAAGAAGGAGGGGCATCCTAATCCCATTCCCACAAGGAGAGCCACAAAAGGTGAGGAATGGCCATTGGCTCACATGACTTTGAGGCCAGGGCAGGCCCAGAGCTGAGAGGGGATTAGAGAAGAGCTACCAAGTCTTCACTTGGCTCAGAGACAGCCACGAGGTGCCTGTGGGCTTCCCTTACCCTGTGCTGCCCACCATGTGCTGAGTATTTCCTTCCTAGCACCTGTCTGTCACATGGAGTGGTCACATCTCTTGCTGGGACCCTGGCTGATACTGAATGTGAATGTTACATTGTCAATACTGATACTGAATGTGAATGTTACATACCCTGGCTGATACTGAATGTGAATGTCCCCCTGCCCTGGTGAATGAGGCAGGGCAGTGTAATACACTGGGTCTCAGAACTTGTCTGCACATGAGAACCAGGGGATCTCTCAAAAATGCCAAAGCGCAGCCCACACCAAAGACCAGCTAAATCCCAATCCCTGGGGTGTATTTTTAAAGCTCCCCAGGGGACTAATGTGCAGACAAGTTTGGGAACCATGACACAGTGGCCAAGAGTGTTGTCGAGTGCCAAGCAGAGGAGTCGCCACATAGGAAATAGTCAATCAATGATGAACTTTTATTTCATATATATTTATATTTTAAAAATTATTACAAGTATTGCTAAAATCAAGAAAACGTGAGCTTACATTGAATAAAGGACATCTGTAAGTAGTAATCATGTGATCTTGGGCAAAGAATTTCCCCTCTCCGGGCTTCGATTTCCTCACCTGCAGACAGGACTAGATGACCACTCGGGTTCACTCACTCATTCATTCATTCATTCACTCATTCACCATTTGCTGATCCCTGACTCTGGGCAAGGCACTGTGCTAGGCACCGGGTCCCTAAGTCCCTTGCCCTCCTGAAGGAAGTCAAACAGGGAAACAGACGTGGATCTACAGTATGCGGGGAGTGCCGCAAAGTTTAACAAACAAAAAAAAGGAAAGCATGCTATAGTGGGAAACAGAGAGGAAGGGAGGGTGGCCAGGCTGCCTGAAGTGGAGCCTCCGGGCTGAGACAGCAGGAGCAGCCAGAGATCCCGACAGAGCATCCGAGTTGGGGCGGCCATAGCGCGTTCTTGCCCCAGGCTGTGCATGATTTTCCCCAGGAGAGCTCTTAGCCCAGTGATTTTTAACAGGGGATTTTTGTCATATTTGGCATATTTGGCCATGTCTGGAGACGTCTTTGGCTGTCACAACTGGGGGAGGGGAGTTTGTTACTGGCATCCAGTGGCCAGAGGCCAGCGGGGGGTGGGAGGGTGGCAACATCCCCTGCATCCTACAATGCACAGGCTGGTCCCAAATGTCAACTGCTGAGGTGGAGAAACCCGACTTTAGCCCCATTCTGAGATTTTGCTTTAATCAGTGTTGACTGTGGCCTGTGGTGCAGCATTTATAGAAAGAAATCTTCCAGGTGGTGCTAACCCCTACTCACGGGCATGCAGAACTGAACCGCTGGGGTGGCTAAGCACAGCCAGAAGAGGGGAGAGGGGCTGGAGACGCCAGGAAGAGATCAAGCACATTTTCTTGCTCAAATATTCTAAGAGCCTTTAATCTCAATCTTCTAGCAAAATTCTGTGGTTTCCCAATTAGTGAAGACTTTTTGCTAAGTTAGGTAACTGCTCCAAGCTTTTCTTAAATGAAGTCCTGGGAAGAGCATGAGGTCTGGAAGTCAAACCATGTGACGGTGAGCAAGTTTCTTGACCTCTCTGAACCTGTCTCCTCATCTGGAAAACAGGGACTCTAGTAACTGCCTCTGAGTGGGGGCTGTGAAATTATAAAAAGACAGTAGGATACTTGGCACACAGTAAGCATCTCACAATTGTCCCCATCCCTTTTTTCAACAAGAGCCATGGGTGAAGTGTGACTTGTCATTTTTTCCCTAATTGTTCAAAGTGGATGTTATATAGTCACATCTGTCACAACAAAATCTTTTAAAGTAAATTGCCCTTAAAAATAAGTATGTCTGGCCAGGCACGGTGGCTCATGCCTGTAATCCCAGCATTTTTGGAGGCTGAGGTCAAGAGTTCGAGACCAGGCTGAGGTTAACCTGGCCAACACGGTGAAACCTCGTCTCTACTAAAAAAACAAAAAATTTGTGGGGCGTGGTGGCAGGTGCCTGTAATCCCAACTACTCAGGAGGCTGAGGCAAGAGAATCGCTTGAACCCAGGAGGTGGAGGCTGCAGTGAGCTAAGATTGCTCCATTGTACTCCAGCCTGGGCAACAAGAGCAAAGCTCCGTCTGAAAAAATAAATAAATAAAATAAAAATAAGTATGTCTTTTAAATATTCCCTTCATAAGTAAAAATACTCCTCCAAATAGTTATCAGTTTCGTGATATCAAACTAGGAGGTGTGTTTGCTGCAAGTCCTTATTGCAGGGATAGGATAACTAATAGAGGGACTAAAATCCAAAGCAGGGAGGGAAGAACTGTTAAAACTCCATACAGCTCAGCAATCAGTAGCAGACAGACCCAAGATCTGCTATCAGAAGCATCAGGGGCACTGGAACATCATTTCCCAATAACAAGGTCTGAGGCAGATGTACACCCCACCCCAATAAGTATTTTACACAAGTTTTGGGAACACTTCTTGGTGAAAGACAAGTGTTTAAAGCAAAATCCAAAGAGTAAATATTTTAATTTTTTCTTCAAGAGTATTCTTATTTTCATATTATTTAAATAGTCACATTAACAAGGTACATTTCCACAAAAATATTTGTACAGCATCAGTATTCTTATTCACATCCATAATTGCCATAATTAGGAAAAATTAGGAAACTTAGCAAAGACAGTCAATACACATGTTCTTTTACTTGTGGTGAGATAAATTCAATGTCTAAAATAAGTCAGGATGGATCAACATAAAAGCTGAACTAGACACCCCTACCAAATTTCTCAATGAAAAAGCAAATAGCCCTGGGTGACCAGCAAGTTATACAAACAATGCAAGACAAATCCAACTAGAAATCGGAAGCTGCCATTTCGTATACACAAAATACAAGTGAAACAGTGAAGTAAACATATTTTTAGAGGGAGGTGCTGCTACCCGGGACATTAGAGATATAACTGAGCCAGCTGAGATGACATTTACAATCTCTTGAAATGCAGCAGATGGCACTCTGGTGCTTCCTATGAAGCAACATGCTTGAAATCAAGGGCCAACAATTGTTGTAGGAAAGCAAAATATACCTCTAACACCTACGTTTACCAAAAAAGCTGACATCTCAAACTCTGAGTTGTTGAGACTCAAATTTCTCATCCCCAAAGAAGCCTATTACGGTAGTGTGTTGGATGCTTTTTGTATCTCTGATATGCAGGCACTATAATGGGGGGAAATACTTCTGAATAAAAACATTGGCTGACTTGCAACTGTGCATATAATGTCTATTCAAGGGGGCAGTGTGCCTAGCATGATCCTGAAATGTTGAGATAAAAAGAAGTTGGCATTAAAGCACTATTTGTCTTATATGAAAAGAGTGACTCTATCTTCCAGTAAACAAGATTTCCTGCAATGAAAAAGAAATTTTTCCTTCATTATCTATAAACTATACAAATAACCTTCCTTTTTAACCTAAGACTCAAACATTTATATTTGATTTTATTCTATTTGATACCAATTGGTATGTCCAGCTGATGCATTTGCAGATACAAAAGAATATTGCTTTGTGTTTGCACAGTCCCTTCCTTTCAAGGAACTTAAAGAACTTGATGGAGAAAAGAACTTGACGGACATTCTCTCTGAAGTCTTAAGGAGGTCAAAAGTAATGAAGGAAAACAGAAGGGGAGTGCTCGTTAGAGCCCACCATGCCCCACAGTTCTGAGGATGCGGGTGCGAGGACTCTGAAGCAAAGCAAAGCAGAGGGATCTCTCAGACGCCAAGTCACACAGCTCTTTACACATTGAAAATCTGAGTTAATGTTAAGACAATGATTAGTCAATCCTGAAACCATTTAGTGCAATTGGGGATTCCTCATTTTAAGTCGCTGCTTTAGAATTCCGCTCCCCTGCTGTCTGCATTCCGGTGGAAGCGGCATGCTGCCTTTGGACAAACAGCCTCTGCAGGGGCAGACACAGTTGTCTGGACTCTTTTGGAAATGAACAAAGACACTAAACCTACAGAACATCGTTTTTAAAGGAGATAGTTAAAAAGTAATGCCCTAAAAGCCAGAAATATTTCAATCGGCTTGAAAAGTGACACACAACAGGAGCAGGAAACACCAGTTTTTAGTATTTTGCCATCTTAGGCACACTGCTACTTGGAAAGATTTTTTAAGTGAACTTTGCCTTATAAAAATATTGATAAATATATGTACTTAAGCGAGAATCCAAATCGTACCCAAACTTCATGAAAGTGAAAGTCTATTGCTATGACATCTAGAAGAAACACTGAGTTATCTAAAAGGCAATGTTCAGTGGTGGGCAGAAAGGAAGAGAAAACGGGGGGTTCCGAGTTAGCTCCATTCAAGAGGAAGACACGGTTGTGGCCTCAGCTGCCTCTCTACTCGTCATGTAAGGGGGTCTTAACATGTCAGAACATTGTGGGGTCCTGCAACTTGCTGACAGATCTCGATGGAGCTGCTTATGGGACTCCATGGGGGGAACTGTAAGGACTCAACGTATCACTGGTGGACATGCGCGATCTACTCTAGTCAGAAGCATGACACCAACCCAACCACCCAGGCACAGTGGCAGTTCAGAAAAGTATTGCTCTGAGAGATCTGAGATCTAAGGTGGCCCCTGGCTGCTCCGCGTGTGATGTCGCCAGAGAGGACTCTCACTGGACGAGGCCCAGTGGTCTGAGGCTCTGTACAAAGCATGACGCCACATGTGATCATTCTCACACGCACACACAGCCTAATCATCCAAAACCTCCCTTTGGGCTTTGTCGTAAAAAACCCTCCATTTACCAGGAGGGATGCTGAGGCTTACAGGGATCAGATGTCCTGGACAAGTCATCCGTTTGGTAAGCTGCAGATGTGGCAAACCACGGATTCTAGCCACGCTCTTTCTACTGTGTCATCACAACACCAAAGTCTGAAAAGACACTTGTAAAAAAGAAAAAGCTTAAGGACATTTAATAATGTAGAAGTGTTCCGATATAGATAAACATCTTTCCAGAATCTCAGGTAAAGAACATCTTGGCTGAACTGACAACGAATCTTTTTGAGACACAACGTTTCTGTTCCCAAAATGATTACATCGACAACAGGTGCAGGAGGGTAGAACAAAGAAAGAACCGCGGAGATTACATTACAAAGATATATGTTTAAATGAGATTTGTAAACTTAATTTGTTTGCAACTCCGGGTGCAAAGAAGAGAATAATTATTTTTCTCTATACTGTAGTTAATTGAACTTAAGTACAACTGTGGAAAGTATATTTAAAAGTTAGACAGATTTTACAATTTTAAGTTTGATCAAGTGTTTTCCAGTTTGACTAATCATAACTGGGTTAACACACATAGCAAGTTTCCTTAAGGGCAAATGGAAAATGCTGGCATCTGAGCGGGGTGGTCAGAACGCACCCCACAGCCAGAGGCGCCTTCCCGGTAACACAGCACGCCTTCCTGTTAGTGTGTCGCCAGGACCAGGCTCTACCCGAATAAGAGATGGTCCCACGGTGCTTAAACAGGTGGTTACGCTGTTGTCTTTTTAAGTTTTTTGGCAGTAAAAAGGAAACTAAAATTAAAAGCTATATAACCCCATTTTTATAAATTCTAAACATTTTGATTTTTGGTTTACATTGCTTTCCTGCTTAGAAAATTTAGAGAACGAAATTGATTTAACTACATTTTCCAAGCCCCAAATTGAAATGCAGTTCTGAAATTGAAGTTCAATAATATTCCCCCAACTTTAGAAAACAGGAAGTCAGGTCATGCAACTTTCAACAGTGGATATATACAAAGTTCCACCTTTTCTTTCTGCTGGATCAATCTAAAGTCAGGAATTGACAACAATTTCCCTCTTACTCCTAGGTAATGATTTACCTGATATTAACCAAAATCGATTTTGAGAAAGTGTTCCCAATTATCTTGTGGTAAATCACAGTACTGCATCTATGAATATGCTCTAAGAAAAGCAAAATATTCATGGAAGCATAAAACAATATCACCTTTAAATAAAAATACTTTATTCATTCCTGATAGGTTATCAAAATGTACACTGTTAACCAAGTAAAAATGGTATGCTGAAATAGTTAACTAGGGCATATTTGAAGAATTTTGTTTACTTTTAAAAGAGGAAAAATCACTTCCAATCTTCCCTTCCACACATTCCTAACAAGCCTGCACTATACCTGCTTAAAACTGAAAATATAAACAATTACATGGGCCCCACTTCATTACAGAATGCATTTTCCTGTACTCTTAAAGGAAGCTATTACATTGAAGTTACCTTCCTTTGCCAAAAACTTTCAGACAAGTTTACTGCTCTTTATATTTTGTGTAACTTTGTAAATTATACAAGAAATATAGCACACAACTTGAATTAATCTAAAAACACATACACATAAACACAGGATAAAGTGCAACACAACAGAACATGTCTGCAACATTCACTTTCTCAAACCCCCACAGAAGGATTTTCGGAGTAAATGGAAATAATGTTGTTCTCAAGTGCATGAACACTAAATTCAACAGAATAGGTTATTTTTCCACACTGATATTTATATTGAAAATCCTATTTGCTTTGCTTCCCCTGTGGCTTCTGTCTCTCATTTTCAGTTAAAAGTTCCGAAGCTGTGATTCTTTTTAAACCTTAAGAAAATCCAACTCCACAGAGCTACACAAAGTGTTAGAAGGCAGCTTCCAATGATCTCTCGTCGGTAACAAGGAGAATTACAGTCATCTTAACAAAAGTGAGCCTTCCACTAACTTGGCAGCAAATGCTTTAAGGACCTTTGACACCAGCCACCAAACATTTCTATAGGCAAGTATCAACTATAAATGTCAGAAGTTTTTGGTTGCATGTTGTTTTGATGTTAAATTATTTAACTAAAAAATGCTTTTGTTCCTGAGATGAGCACAATAAAATTAAACGAGCTTCCTCTGAAGCTGCTGTCAGGACTCTGAGCTCCTGGTTCCACTCTCCTTATCTTCACACTGTCAGTTCCAAGCCATCAGTCATCCCCGTGGCGCCATTTCTGTGACTCGTCTTGCCGGACATCTGGCCTAATTTGGTTTCTCATGCCACCCAGCACGTTTGACGTTGCTTCTGTGGCAACAATCAGAGGTTTCACCACTGCCGGAGGAATCTGGCGCAGAACCTCGCCCACGGCACCAGTCACCCCTCTGCTCTCGTGTTCTCGAGCCGCAGTTTCATAAATGGTCTGAGCCGTGTCTGTGATTCCCTGCGTAGAGGAGGGAGGTAGGAGAGAGGAGGGCAGTGAACAAACTCTGGTCGGAAAACTCTCTAAGCTATCCTGCAGTACACACTTTTAAAGCAGGTAACATTATGTTTGTAACCAGACAAAAAAAAATGCCATGCTTTTAGATAAACCAGGATTATTATTTTTAATGACAGAATTCTAACTATAAGGGAAAGAGGCAATTATGACTTAGTATTTTGTTGTGACACTAGTGCGTGGAAAATGTAGGTAAACTAAAATTTCGCATTGGGAAGACAGAAATACGGGCTTTGCTGGTACTATTAATCACTCCAGTTAAATCAAACTTGGCAAACAAAGCTTCTTGAATATATTCACTAAAGAAATATGGTGATAGTTCCCTTTGATTCAACCTAATTCTACTAAGCTCTGGGAAATTACTTAATTTGTTTTAAATTACTGGCTATGTATTAGGAAAAAAATGGAAAATTCAATTAAGATAAAAAGCTCAATAGAACATTTTATTGGATTAGAGAATTCTGAGAACAAAAAGCAGGAACATGTTTAATAATTCTCAACAAAACTTTAGTAGCATTTTCCATCTTTCTCACAACATAATAAAATAATGATGATTGCTAAGCTTTCTTTTTCATTTATTCAGTCTCTATGCTAGTAATGACTTCTGAGCTTTGAAGCTGAATATACAAACATGTAGGTCAAACCAATGTGGTAAAACTTCACATGACTTCTGAATCTTTACCATTTATCTAACTCAGAAATCCCTAGGGAACTCAAAGCAACATTCCATTATTATTATTATATTATTATATTATTGTGACAGCTTCAGTGATGGGGACAGCATAAAGGAACTTTGAGTTCTCCAGGGAAATCAAGGACCTTGAACTAACCCAGAATCTAGCCATCATTTTGGCAAGTTAACAAGAGCGTCCTATCTACCCAGTATATCTGGCAAAAACGTAATACCACAGAGCAATAAAAAAGATGTCCAGAAGGCCGGGCGCGGTGGCTCACACCTGTAATCTCAGCACTTTAGGAGGCCGAGGCAGGCGGATCACGAGGTCAGGAGATCAAGACCATCCTGGCTAACACAGTGAAACCCCGTCTCTACTAAAAATACACAAAACTAGCCGGGCGTGGTGGCAGGCGCCTGTAGTCCCAGCTACTTGGGAGGCTGAGGCAGGAGAATGGCGTGAACCAGGAGGCAGAGCTTGCAGAGAGCCGAGATCATGCCACTGCACTCCAGCCTGGGCAACAGAGCGAGACTCCGTCTCAAAAAAAAAAAAAAAAAAAACGTGTCCAGAAAAACTCAAAGAAATAATAAGTACTACTTTAAAAACTATCTAGAGGATAACAGCCAATAAGAGAAACCATGAGCACAACAATGTTTACAACTTGTACATTTCCCTGCACCATCTCCCTCCCCTCTCCACCAGCTCTCCTCCCTATCCCACCTGCGATAAACAGGAGTAGATGAGTAGAGTACGAGGCCGACCACCACTACGTTTGCGGACAACAGAAGTAAATTCCAGTCTCAGCCCTATTATTTAGCTGTGTGACCTTAGATAAGTCATTTAAAGAGGGAACTAAAATGCTGCCTTCCTCCTACGGTGATTGTTAGAATTAAATAATTCATCTCAAGAGCTTGACAGAGTTTGGAAGACAGTAAGTGTTCAATAAATAATTCCTACTACCACCCTCGTAAGTGCCTGACTACCACCAAATAGAACTATGTAAGTAGGGGTTGACATACTTTTTATGTAAGGGCCACACAGAAGGTATTTGTGGGCCATGGTCTCTGTTATTTATTTTTTGTTTTGTTTTGTTTTACAATCCTTTAAAATTGTAAATACCATTATTAATAGCTCAAAGGCCCATACAAAAGAGGCATGGCTAGTCTACCCTGCAGCCTAGTCTGCCAACTTCTGATCTAAAAGATGAGCCTATCTATGACACACACAAGGCATTTTCTCTTCATCTTTGACTTACTGACATCTAAAATGGAAAAGAAATACCAAGCACCACTTAGGAACTTTTTTTTTTTTAACTTTAATAGAGAATCCAGAGCAAGTCCAAACAAGCACATCCTACCATCTCAATCCACACTTACTAATCTCACCCTCCCTTCCCTCATTCTTCCTAGTGACAGCTTAGAGAAAGAGAACTAAACTTTAAACCCAAATACCCAGTTCCAATCCTGGCTCCACTCCCTTTTCTCTGTGGTACTTGGGGAAGGCCACTGTCTGGCAGAACCCGTTTCCTCATCTGTAAATTAGAAATATCGCCTATCTCTAATGGTGATTACCATATATTTGGCACAAAGTAAGCACACATTTATTTTAAAATTAATATAGATTAAATTAGGCAACCACTTCACAAGTTGTTAAATCAAACTGCTATTACATCTTACTGCCCACTGCCCTTACTAACCCCAGTGTCTGTTTCACAGATCTAATTTTAGCCTATTGATAGCTGGCTCAATCCTGACATCTGTAGGAGCAAATCTGACTGGTAATTATCTCTTTATTCTCCCCAGTAAATCTTTTTTTCAAAGCTGACCATTGGTCTTACCTTTATTTATCCACTAATACATTTCTTGGGGCCCTACCTTCGTGGACTTCCTGCCGTTTGGGACCACAGAGGCTACTTTTCTCAAGTAAAAGACCATCCTAGGCACGTCTGACTGTTGTTAGAATATGACTGAGAAAAATATCTTTCATGAAATCCTAAAACACAAATCATAAGTCAAATGACCTCAAACTCCCTTATGTCATATTAAAAAGAATGTCAAAAAGAGTATGCCAGGGAATGACGCTGACAACACCCAGAAAAAAAAAAAAAAACAGGGTTCACTGGCACAACCGTGTCAGAGAGCAATTCAGCAATGCTTAATACATGTCGAGATTCCAACGGTTACTCCCCAGTTGACCCTAAAGAATTTCTTGTACATATGAACAAAAAGAGAGTTAAATGAGCACTCCCCATAGTGGTGTTTCAGGGGAAAAATGGAAACTGAATGTCCACCAACAGGAAAATAAATAAATTATGATATATTCATACAGTGAAATACCATAAAACTGTGGAAATTAGACCTACATGGATTAAGATTAACATGGATCTATCTTGAAATAAGTTGCAGAATGAGACACATAACACCATTTACGGAAACTTTTAAAACATTAACACTAGTATGTTTTGCTTATAAATACATACTAAATAAAAATACATACATAATAAAACTATATAAAAACATGTACAAAAAAATATGTTCCACGTTCAGCATAGTGAAGGCATGGGAATAGGATCAGGGTGGGAGATTCATCTGAAAAGTTCTAGTTCTTAAGCAAATCTGAGGTAAGCAGGGCAGAGTATAAATGTGTTAAACCTAGACAGCGATCACACGGCATTTGTTTCTATCACTCCCTGAGTGCTTCTGCAGGTGAAGAGAGAGAATCCATCCACCCACGCAATCACTAGTATTCCTGTCAGCCTATTGGTCCCAGACTGGCCCTTTTCCATCACCTCACACAGATATGGGCACATGTTATTAGTGGCAGTTGCCATTCTGCTCCCAGGGATTTCTACAGAATACATTTAAGCCATTAAATGCTCTTTAGGTGAAAGTTGGGAAAGCGCACAGAAGGGTTCTGATGTGTCCACCCAAGTATTCAGTTACCTCTTTCACAACACTGTAGGCCTTGGCCACACCTTCCCTCAGGTCTACTGGCTGGTGGGCTAACCGGTGATGAGGAAACCTTTTGGTCTTCTTGGGCTCGATAGAAAGGGTACCAGGAGACACCATATCATAAGCAGTCTCTGCAGCTGCCTGGATCATTTTGTCAAAAGGAAGAAATGAATTAGAAGAAAGTCTGAAGAGTTACGGACCAGCAGAGCACTTCCTACAGGGAGTGAGGAAGAGCAGAGGAACTCACAAACCCTAATGAAGACACTTCTGCGTATCTGAATTCTTTACCACAAGAATTGATGACTTTTATAACGAGAACATAAAAGTATAAATTAATAACTAACACCTGGATTGAGCTAAATTTTTAGCCCCTCCTCTGTTCACTGAGAACACTCAACATTTCCACATCAGTCTATGGAGCTTAATACTTACTAGAATGATCTTTAATACTTCTGTTTAATCTACAACGCCTTCTTCAAATTTAGCTACGATCCTTTCATACAAATATGGTGAAATCAATCCTCTGCTAACTTAATGTTTACAATTTACCTGAAATAGGCAAACAAATCTGACACTGTATTCCACTGCTTTATTCTAATTATTTAACACTAAACATTTAAGCAATAAAACAAGCATGACATTAAATCACTACGAATAAAGTATCTACTCACAACATTTTGTATATCTTCACAGTATCGTTTTAAAAACAAAAGGACCCAACCATTTCACAATGGCTCTTTTTGGATAGACTAAGGCAGTCTAAAAAGATACCTGTATGGTTTGAACCATTCTGTTTGTGAGTTCTAGAGCAGCCATCGCTGTCGAGGTACCAAAGGAAGCAGCGCCTCTCTGAAACCCTCTGACAATGCGGCCATCCTTCCGGTACTGCTCTATTGGGAGCCAGACCAAGTCCTTTAGGCCTTGTACTACAACAGTCAACACAAAATCAACATCAGTGCCACAGTTCAGACTTTTCTATCATTCTAACCCTGGGGTTTTTAACTCCTAAAACTGGAGGCAAAGTTTTGTGTATATGAGTACATATGTGAGTTTTCTAGACTAATGGTCCTCACATAAGTTCTCAAAGGGATAAGAATTACTCATCTGAAAAAATAACTTATCTTTTGATTAAAAAAGAAGAAAACTCACCTAATTGTACTAGTGAATGCATAGGTCCAACACCTCCCAGGATTCCTGGTAGCTGGTTCTTCTTAATGTCATTAAGCCACTCAGTGATTGCATATGAGAATAATTTGTCAACGCCTAGTAAACTAGAGCAAATGATTATTAGTATGTCAAAAGGAGAAATACATTTATAGACACAGATTAGTTTGAGGGTTTTTTTTTACTTAAAACAAATTCTACAAATTATAAGGGCAAATATTACAGGTGCTTCAAAAACAGGTAACATTTTTCAAATCAAAAAGAAACACAAATCATCCTTTTAACTCACAACCTGAATTTCTCTAAATATACATATACATACATACACACACACATATATATAAAATCCAATTCTAATGTTAATAATTTCTACAAGACTCAGGTAATACGTATTAGTGTGTTTTTCCAATGTTCTTATTTCTTGAACATCTTAAGGCTTTGGCATAAGATTAACCCAAAGTTTCTAAATTGCCAGTAATTGCTACTAAGAACTTCCAATCTTTTCACTGAATAAGCTAATTTACAACCTTAGAAAATTATTTAAAATATCCTAAACTATAACTGTTTTTTCCAAATACTACTCTTTTCAAACTACTTCTAATCCCTCAGAATAGAAATCAGTGCCTAAATCTTAAGAGTCCTCTAAAAATGAGCTCTCTAAATAAAATACTGTAAAATTGTGTATGCATGCTAAGAAAACTCAGTTTTTAAATTTGTTGTACACTAACTTTGATAACTTCACTTAAAGCTTCATATAATAAATTCACTTACCCATGTCGATAGGAAAGCCTCTTGAGCTTTAGTTCAGAGCAGTTTAACTGAGCCAGACCAATCAAAATCCCAGCTAGCGTACCCTTCAAAATTAAAAAAGGCCAAATTAACCTTACTGTAAATTAAGAGACTCAACATCTAAAATAATTGTTATTTTGAAAGTCAAAGCAGTAGTCATTATTGATACTAAAACACTTAAAATATTTACAGTAAAAATATATATCTTACAATACATATGACCCAATTTATACCAAATTTTACTCATGGTACTTAAGTAAATATTTACATTAAAAACAATTAAATTTAAAAACCTTGCACTTCATTTCAAACATATATATAAACTATGACAAAGCAAAGTTAAAAATAAAAACGAGCTCATTAGAGAAACATATGATAATTTTGTGGAGTATATTTGTAGAGTTTCCCAACCTGATCCATTGATACATGTTTGCCATGATAATCAAGTCGAATGGGAACTTCTGACGTGAATCTAAATTCTCTGAAGATAAAGGAAGGAGGGAGTTATTTACATTTACAATTACTAATAGGTGAAATTAGATATAAATTAATTTGTTCAATTGGAGAATAAAAACAAAACCACAAAATAAATCATATAAATATCTTAAGAACTAAATAAAAGAGAATGTCTTTTAGCTCTATCTTTTCCTAATATAACAATTAAACAGATGTTAATCATCTCATATATTATTATATTTGCATTTCTCACAGAAAGCTTTTCTTAGTTACGTCTATATAGTGTAGGAAAATAAAAATAATACTAACATAAAATGTAATAAAAACCTTTTCTCAGTTTATGAAATAATGTACACTTACAAAAATTTATTCTTATATATATTCACAATTCATTCAAAGAATAAATTAATAAAAGCAACCTTCAAGATTAAACCAGATAGTCATGACCAAGAAATATAAAGAGAAGGCCTAAGGAATTATTTTGACTGTCTGGTAAAACAGAGCCAGCAATCCTGGCATGAACCCCAGGTTCATCTATGACATGCAACTGTGGGCAAGTCACTTGAACTCTCTGCTGCTCAGTCTTCAGAAATTGTTAAAATGCCACCTACATTGTTAAATTTTGTGAGAATCCTTGAAACTAATGATTCTAAGTAAACAGAATTATCGACAAACAAATATAGGGAACGGTGTGAGAATGAAATTATAATTATACAGTTGTCCCTTGGTTTCTGAAGTGGATTGCTTCCAGGGCCTTTATGGATACCAAACCCCTTGATGTTCAAGTCCCTTATATAAAATGGGATAGTATTTGCATATATGCCACACATATCCTTTCATATACTCTAAATCATTTCTAGATTACTTATAGTATTAATACAATGTAAATGCTGTGCAAATCATTTTTGTATTTTTAATTTGTATTATTTTTATTGCCTTTTTTAATTAATATTTTGGTTGAATCTCAGATGTAGAATTCCAGATATAGAGGGCTGGTTGTACACTGATGGTACACATCTAACAAAATGATCTGGCTTCCAAAAGTTGGCTGCAAACAATGTTTGGAACTTGAAACACAGTTTTCCCACAGAATTAATGTTGGTGGTTACATCCTAAGCCATCTCACCAAAGTCCACTGCGCCTACAACAAAATGGAGATGCTATATTTACACCAATCACTACCAGAAGCCTCAGACCCCAGGTCACGCCCATCCCCTGAATACTCAGCTCCACTTGGCTGTCGGGCCAGTGCCCTCCAATACTCTCCTTTCTCACTTTTTTTTTCTCCATGGCACATATTAATAGGACAAACCATTTATTTTAATTATTTGTAATCTCAATTTGTAAACTCAATTAAATATTTTCTCTACTTTGTTCATTTGTGCCTAGATCAAAACCTGGCATACAGTTAAGTGCTCAGTAAATATTTGTAAAATGAATAAATGTTTGGAGGAAGGGGGCTCTCATGACATTACTAAAAACTGTACTGGATTTTCTGGATTAGAGATAAGAAAATCTGTGTTCTAGTTGTGCCTTGGCCACGAACTGTGGTCTTGAGCAAGTCAACTAATCTCTCTGGGCATTCATTTCCTCATTTGTAAGGTGTGTAATTTAGACTATGGCACTGATTAGGAGCCTTTGAGAGTACAAATGAAAATCTATAAGCTATTCTCAATATTTTAAATAGTCTAATGGAAAAAATAAACATTTACCTAAGTAAGTATAGGGCTTGTGTACTTTTTAAACGTAAATAAATGGGTAACCCTACTTCCTCTGGGCTAAAAAAAAAAGGCAAAATTCTTTGCTTTCAGGCCCATGTTTACAAAAACCAAATTGGCAGTTTATAAATGTGACTAATAAAATAAGAATGCATATTATCACTTAAGATACATGTTTTTGTAAAAATAAAAGGATCAATGTAGGAAATTAATTTTAAAAGGTCCTTCTTTGGCGGTGGAAAGATTTAGAACCACCAGGAATCATCTATTCCAAGATCTTTCCAATTATCATATTCCATTTTTTCTACCTATTTTCATCACTATGCAAAATATTTAAAACGTGACAACCCTTCCAATTAGTAATACTGCTGACTTTGGCCCATGCCTAAAGTCTAACTTCAGAACCTAGAGAGAAAGAGAGAAATCAGCAACCCGGGACATATGAGAAAGCAGCACAGAAAATCAGGGAAGATGTAACTGCTCCTCATAACAAGGGGGCACTGATCTTCAGTCCCTTCTCTTTCCCATAGGGCCAAGCCACCATCCCTACCATCCAGTTTTGGAAAAGAAAGAAGATGAGAAGAACAAACAGGTCTGTAAATGAGGAAACTGCAGTGTGCTGTGCTCGAGCTGGCCGAGCCGTTGGGCAGCAGTCACAGCCGACGGCAGCAGCACAGCGGACCTGGGTCTCTTAACAGTGCCCACTGAGCAGGGAGGGAAGGGTCAGGAAAGACACATAACGACTGGGAAGGGCAGACAGAGAAAATAGGTAGAAAATCCCCACAAGGGAAAAGACAGACAGGCATAGCCAGGTTGAGATACATAAAGGAAAAAAAGCAAAAGGATGATATCCTGCTGGGCTGGTACAAACACACCATAACAGTGCTGGAAAGAGGGGACAGAGGAGAGAAAAAGAAGGAAGAAGCTAGAAGAAAAGGAAATTCCTGCCAGAGAATTGAAAGAGAGACGAATTTGGAACCAGGTTACTATGTGCAAATAAGGGGGGTGCAATTAGATGGGGACCACAAACAGATAAATACACCAGCTGATGATTTGGCAGTGCAAAGAAAAGCTGACGGAACCTCATGATTACCAGCACACATACATCACAGAACAATCTTCAAAAGTCTAAAATAACTTCATTTGTTATTAAAACTAAATTAGTTACCTAAAAAACACAGGCTGATCCCTAAAAGATGCTTCTTCAGCAGAGAAGTTCTTCTCTTCCATGCCATTAACCACTTCCACTGAATTGGCACTATCATTTTGGGAAGGCTGTTTTGGCCCAGAGAAAGAAATAACCAGATTTGGCTCCTTTGAGGTACTCAAATGCCTTGGCAAACTGCAGGTGACATCAGCTCCAGGAGACTTTTTAACTGAAAATGTAATGTGCATGTTTGAAAAATTAGATATGCTTCTTCTTAGCAAACATTTAAATCAATCTTGATCTAATTTGTTTTTCTACATTTTATTTAATCAAAATACGATTCTTGTTACAGAGAAAATTTGCTTTCACCTTTTAAATTATTACTTTTATATAAACAGTATTCGCGAATCAACAAAAATAAACACAGAACACATTTATGTAAGTGGGAATAAATATTGTAAGTACATTCTCAAAAAAGCCTCATAACAATTAAAATCAATCCAAGTACTTGGTATAGTCTTTTCAACTATACATATTTAATACCTTCTGGATCTGGAGTCATTTGAAGCTCTACTTCTGCAGAAAGACTTGTGAAGAAATCCTTCAGGAAGAACAAAGCATCCTAAAATTAAGAGATGTAATTTTAACTAAGGAAGAAAAGAATCACCTATTTCTAAAACTATGAAACAAAGTATCTTAAACTCATATATTTTACTCATTGTTCAAATATAGCTACAATTTATTGAATTCTTTCTCCATGCTAGTCATTATTCCTATTCTTCCCCCCACCACACACACACACACACACACACACAGATACACACTTCCCTTTTAATTCTCATAACTTTATGAGGAAATTAATTTATAGGTATGAAAACTGAGAGACAGAAGTTAAAGATTACAAAAGTAAAAAGGACTAAATCAAAGTACATTTGAGTTTTCTTAGAAATGGAGCACTCTCACTCTTGGCCCTGGCTCTCATTCTGCATTGTGGTGATATTACCAACAATCATGTGCTGGACACTTTTTTTTTTGAGACGGAGTCTCGCTCTGTCGCCAGGCTGGAGTGCAGTGGCACAATCTCGGCTCACTGCAAGCTCTGCCTCCTGGGTTCACGCCATTCTCCTGCCTCAGCCTCCCAAGTGGCTGGGACTACAGGCGCCCGCCACCATGCCCAGCTAATTTTTGGTATTTTCAGTAGAGACCGGGTTTCACCATGTGGACACTTTTAAGTGTCTTCAAAGTTCCAAATGACTTAACTTCTGCTTTTCATACATTATATTGCCTTAATACATTTCATCATTGAACATGATATTCAAAATAATGAAAATAATCCATTCAGTATGGTCTCTCCTGAAATTACATAATTACAAACAAAAACTGCATGGCTCTGTCTTCACTTTGTACGTACATGCCATATTTGCCCATTATAGGCAGCTTCGTTTTGCCTATCTCACTCAAACTGACAAATATATCTTCGAGGATATATTTGTATATATGCCTGAGCCTGATCTTATTCTTTCCTTTCATAATCCTAAACTGGCCGGGTGCAGTGGCTCACATCTGTAATCCCAACACTTTGGGAGGCTGAGGCGGGCAGATCATGAGGTCAGGAGTTCAAGACCAGCCTGGCCAACACAGTGAAATCCCGTCTCTACTAAAAACACAAAAAATTAGCCAGGCGTGGTGGCAGGTGCCTATAATCCCAGCTACTCAGGAGGCTGAGGCAGGAGAATCACTTGAACCTGGGAGGCGGAGGCTGCAGTGAGCAGAGATCACGCCATTGCACTCCAGCCCAGGCGACAGTGCGAGACACTGTCTCAAAAAAAAAAAAAAAACCCAACAACAAAAAACCTAAACTAATATAAAACATTAATACTGTGCCAAAATGCAATGTGAAGGGTCAAAATATTTAGTGGCACGCCAAAACAGTTTGACAATTCCAAAAGCTCTGTCTACTGATCACATATCTCAGAAGTACAAATGATGCAAATGAGAAGGATATCCTAGGTAACATGCATATGGGAGACTAAGCAATGGACTGCAGCACAAGCAGGTGGTTTCGTCAGTAGTGGAAATATTCTGATTCTGAAGCGGGGTAGTGGGTTCATGAATTGTTCATTATATTGTTATGCTTTACATATATATTCATGTATGTATTTTATGTATTATTTCCATCATACACATTTAATATATATAATTCATATTATACCAAATATTACATGTTTACAGTTTAACAGCATATAAAATGCTATTCTTTGGCCACTAGATGGTGATATTTTAATGCCATAAATGGTGGGACTCCATGATTACCTTCAAAAAAACAGCAAATTTTCAGGTATCAATTTCCTCTTTAAAAAAAAAAAAGGGAGACTAAAGATACAATGGTTTCTACTCATTTTTCACCACAAATGCACAAAACAACAGATAAAGAGATGCTAATCACCAGCTTTTTTTGTTTTGTTTTGTTTTGTTTTGAGACAGAGTCTCGCTCTGTTGCCCAGGCTGGAGTGCAGTGGCACGATCTCGGCTCACTGCAACCTCTGCCTCCCGGGTTCAAGCAATTCTCCTGCCTCAGCCTCCTGAGTAGCTGGGATTACAGGCACCCGCCACCAAGCCCAGCTAATTTTTGTATTTTTAGTAGAGACGGGGTTTCATCATGTTGGTCAGGCTGAGTCTCGAACCCCTGACCTCGTGATCCACCCGCCTCGGCCTCCCAAAGTGCTGAGATTACAGGCGTGAGCCACCGCACCCGGCCACTAATCACTAGCTTTTTAAAATGTTCTCAAAATTTTTTGATTTTGGTATTTATGCTAAACTCTTTACAAATCAGTAAGACCAACAACTCAATTTTATTTTATTTTATTTTACAGATGGGGGTCTCGCTCTGTCACCCAGACTGGAGTACAGTAGCATGATCATGGCTCACTGCAGCCTCCACCTCCTGAGTTCAAGCGATCCTCCCACCTCAGCCTCCTGAATAGCTGGGAATATAGGCAGGCACCACCATGCCTGGCTATTTTTTTTTCTATTTTTTGTAGAAACAAGATCTCACTATGTTGCCCAGGCTGATCTTGAACTTCTAGGCTCAAGCAATCCTCCTGCCTTGGCCTCCCAAAGTGGTAGGATTACAGGCATGAGTAACCCGCACCCGACCCAAACAACCCAATTTTAAAACTAGCAAGACACAGACACTTCAGACACACAAAAGAAAATACACAAATGGCTAATAAGCACATAAAAAGATGCTCAGCATCACCTGTTACCAGGGAAATCCAATTTAAAACCACAGTGTACACAAAGCATCCCAGCTAAAATTTTAAGAACGACAATACCAAGTTTGGCAAGGCTATGAAGCAGCTGCAGCTCTCATGGCTATTGGTGGGAATATGCAATGCAACAGCCACTGTGAAGAATTGTTTGGCAGCTTCTTAAGAGAGCTCAACATATACTTATCTTATGACCCAGAAATTCTACTCTTATATATGTATTTATTCAACCAAGAGAAGTGAAAACGTATGCCCATAAAAAGACTTCTACATAAATTTCCTAACAGCTTTATTCCTAAGAGCCAAAACCATGGAACAACCTCAGTGTGAACCAGCAGGTAAACAGATAAACCGTGGTATATCCACAGCAAAATCCTACTCAGCAATAAACATCACTGTGGATACATGCTACAACATAGATGGATCTCAAAGACTTAACGCTAAGTACAGGAAGCCAAGTACAATTCCATTTACATGAAGTTGCAGAACAGGAAAAAACTAATCTATGGTGACCAAAAGATCAGTCAGTAGTCACTTTGGGATGGTGAAGATGAACTACAAAGGGACATGAGTGACGTCTTCACGGTAAGGAAAATGTTCTATATCTCAACTGGGGTAGTAGCTACTCAAGTGTGTAAATCTGTGAAACCTCCATTGAACACTTAAAAGCTGTGCATTTTAGTGTATGTAAATTATACCTCAGTGCAATCAATGTTTTTAAACTTTAAAAAATTGTTTATGCTAAACTTTGACTGTAAAATGTCTAGTTTGAAGATCCTATGATAAAGGATATTAATACTGCACTATGACTTACAGTGTTAAAAGAATTCCTTTTAATGTCATACTCAAGCAATGAAGCAATAATGATGAAAAACACAATTGTGCAAACTGGTGCTGCTCCATGTTCATCCTATAGAGCCTGGTTGAGCACTTACTTATCTTCCTTAGCAGAATGGTCTCCCAGTCCCAGTCCACAATCAGAGTAAGGCTTTTGGTATCTTTACAAAAATCTTCACCTGCCTAGCTCCACTGCACTCCTTAAGGCCCACCTTGAATGTCACCACCTCCAGAAAGCCTTTCCTGAGCATCCCTCACCCTTCCAAACTCCCAGTCTAGGTTAAGAGCCATCTTCTGGTCAGGCATACCATCCCATGCCTATCTGTATCACTTGTACTCACCACAGCACATTAAAACTATCTCTTTTATGTCAGTCTTCTATAAAGAGATCCTTGAAGATAGAGATGTCTTATTCATCTTTGTATCCCCAGCATCCTAATATAAAACTTGGGACAAGGCAGGCATTCACCAAATGGTCTTGAATGAATTGATACGCTTTCCCGGCAGAGTTCCAGGCAGTACAAAACTAAAATGGATAATAGGCTAGCAGAGTCAGGAAATCCGGCCCCCTTCCTATTTTGAATCTCAAACTGCCTAGCTGTATGACCTCCATCATCCACTTATCCACCAGATGGAACTCATTCCATCTGCAATGCTTACTGCCTGCCCTAAGGGAACACTGAGCTTTGGAAGCAGTTGCACTTACCTTCAATGGCAATGCAGCTTTTTCAAAAACATGAAAGAATAATGTGTTGCTTTCATACTTAACATGATTCAATTAAGAAGAATAAGTGGGGATGTGCTCGGTTAGAAAAATAATACTCAAAGCATTATCATTCACCAACTGATTTGTTTTCACAAGAAAAAATAAACAAAAATATTTGATTTTCTACTCAGACGACCATTTACTATCCCAAAATATGGTATAGCAATCTTAAAAGAGGCGAACTGAAAAGAATTTTTGTGTCAGGTGATATACCTCATTAACGCTTACATATTTGTGGTGTGGCTTTGTTTTCCTAGCTTTTATGTCTTAATGAATTATTTCTCATTCTTCCTCAAGGTAGTCATAAAATTTATTTCCCTGATGGTTCTAAGATTAATAACTCTCCACTTTAAAATCATAATGCTTTATAGTTCTAAATAAGAAATTGTGTTCAATATTAAATTTAAAAGTCTATTAAAGAAAATTAGGGTGGGCACAGTGGCTTATGCCTATCATCCCAGCACTTTGGGAGGCCAAGGTGGGAGGATTACTTGAGCCCAGGAGTTCAAGACCAGTCTGGGCAACATAATGGGACCACGTCTCTACAAAAAAATAAAAATAGAAAATTAGCTGGACATGGTGGTATGCGCCTATAATCCCAGCTGTTCAGGAGTCTGAGGCGGGAGGATAGTTTGAGCCCAGGAGGTCAAGGCTGCAGTGAGCCATGATCTACACTCCAGCCTGGGTGACAGAGTGAGACACTGTGGCGGGGGAAGAAAAAAAGAAAGAAAATTGGGCTTGCTAAGTTTCGTAAAGTCATGCCAGAAAGATGTATCTTACTCAAAGTCTTGTTCACACTGGTGATCGCCACAGATCAATTTTCCCACAAATATTTCATTGTATTTCCACTAGGCCAATCAATATATGGATAAATTTAGTTAAAGTATGGATATCAAAATATCTTCTTTTCATAATGATAAAACATAAACTTAAAGTACTGATTGGCAAGTCTAACCTAGGTCAGAGGCTATAAGCATTAATGTAGAGCTATGCTAAGCTTCTGTACTTCACAGTACATTTTCTCTAAGACAGCGCCTATTTTTTGTTTATAAATATTATTTAAGCTCAGTCTTGAAATATTTGTTACCAGCTTTTAGTTATTCAAGTTTTATTTAAACAACTAATGAACATTATTCAACCAGTACTATTTAAGCAAATTAATAACGTCCACCCCACAAATAAATACTCTACTTCCAAACCTGAGCTCATATCAACACAATTTCTGTCAAGAAGGTTTTGTTATTTCACAGCAGATTAGTTAAAAACTCCATTTATGTTCTGCAATTATCATATGTTATGTTATTATTAAATAACAACAGTTAACATTACTGATCCCTAACCTAGTGTGTCAGGCACCCAGTTAATGTTTTTCACACACTGATTTATTTAATCTTCATTTTAAAAAGCATTATGATACACATATTACTATTTCTCCCATTTTATCAGTGAAGGAACTAAGGCTTGGAGATGTTCAGTAACTTACCCGAAGCCATACAACTAGTAAAAGCTACAGAACTAAGACTGGAACCCAGGTCTGACTCCAAACCCATGCTTCTCGCCATTCTATTACTATACCTTGGCTGCGCATCCTATTTTCATACATCTTGGTAAAAAGTTTCTGGAAGAGGCACCAGCTATGTTTTAAACAGATCGCTGGGTCAAAGCAAAGCCCAGAAGAATTTGATGGGATGCCTGCTAGAATACGGGAAAGTGGATTTCACTGTGCCCAACTCCAGTTTTTTTTAGGGAAAGTCTAAATCTCTGTTGTTTCTGACCTCTTTATGTATACCAATTTACTCATTTGTCATTTTGCCCAGCACAGAAAGAATTCTCTTCCAGATGCTGCAATGAAGACAGAGCAGCATTCAATTCATCAGGGAATCCTCTAATACTCTCTGAAAATGTATGCATATCTGAACTGGGAGTAGAGTACTTGAGGATTAGAGAACAAGAAGCAGGTATTAAGGTCTACATCACACCATGAGTAGGAGACTGGGGAATAACATCTAATGATGTTGACTCAGCCATAGTTCAGATTCCAAACATCTAATGAATTTGCCCTATTCTTTATCAGAAGTTTGCTTTATATATGTAACCGCCATAAAAGTTCAATAATGATAAACATTACAATTTCTTTATTCTGAACATGCAGTCTAATCTAACTGTAACGGCAGGAATCACGCTCATGCTACAAACCTGGTCAATATTGAGGCGGAGCGGCATCAGCGACACTCTCAAGCAGCACTCCTGTGGGGACCTGCCAGATTCTGGACACACGTGTAAGGCTTTCACTGTCAACTACAAGGCAAGAAAGAGAATAACATTTTTCCCCAATAATATGATGACCTTCTTCTCTTTAAAAATAAGAAAAAAAAAGAAAAATTCCTATTCCTATACCATATGAGAAAAAGAGGAATTGTTTACCCTCTTTCCTTAAAAGTCTGAATCAAACATTTTTGGGTCACATGCCCCCATCAATAATCTGATTAAAGGCTGGGCACGGTGGCTCATGCCAGTAATCTCAACACTTTGGGAGGCTAAGGTGGGAGGATTACTTGAGTTCAGGAGTTCCAGACCAGCCTGTGCAATATAGGAAAACCCCAACTCCACAAAAAACAAAAAATTAGCCAGGCACGGTGGTGCACTGCCAGTAGTCCCAGCTACTCAGGAGGTTGAATGGGAGGCTAGTTTGAGCGCAGGAGGTCACGGCTGCAGTGAACTACAATCTGCACTCCAGCCTGGGTCACAGAGTGAGACACTGTTGGGGGGAAAAAAAAAACTGCTTAAAGATGTAGACTCTCTTTAGAGGAAAAATTGCAAATGGATAATGTTGTACTTAGTAACAGTTTACTGAAACCCTGAAGCTAACCATAGGTCCATATGCCAAAATCAAATTCTGTGAGGGACCTCCAAAGTCCTGAAAGAATCATTTCTACCTTACTAAAATGTAAAGAGTGTTAGAAATCTGGAACACCTTCAGCAATACTACCTATTTTGTACTGATCACTAGGGACTTCTACTTTTCCTCAGATATCAATTTATTAGCAATTAGAGTTAATGGACCCTAGAAGTGACATGCAAAATAATTTTTTAAACATAAAACTTTAAGCAATACATTCAAAAGGGACTTTTCACATTAAAATGAGAAAAGATATCTAGTAATTTTCCCTACTTTAACTCTCCTGAAGTTAGATATAATAAAAACACGTTTCCAAAACTAACATAACACAACGATGAGGTTAACTCTTACCATGTTGGAGTGAGCTTTTCGAGGCATTTCTTTACTGCAATACAGGTATAAAAATTTATTCATTTGTGATGTTGCCAAACGATCTCGAATCTCAAGATCCTGAACAATGAACACCTGCCGGGAGACTGGGTGTTCTGAGAGGCTGGAATCACAATCAGGTTTGCATGGCGGGTAGACTTCATGCTGAAACTTCACCTTAACGGGTAAGGAGGAAGAACGCGGAACAGTTCTTTACATTCCTTTTATTAAATTGTATTTTCTCTTTAAAATGCAAAATATCACTCATTTTTCCTCTGAATTCTACCTCAGCTTACAATTCCACCTTCAAAAAACTCAACAACATGACATTCCTTCACTTGTTCACTCATTTATTAATCTACAGTGCTCCCTGCTTGTCCAAGGTTTTGCTTTCCACAGTTTCAGTTACCCATGGTCAACTGAGGTCCAAAAATATTTCAGTATTTTGAAACCAAGAGAAATACCTTCCATATAACTTTTATTTTAGTATAGTGTTATAATTATTCTATTTTATTATTCATTATTGTTAATCTCTTACTATGCCTAACTTAGAAATTAAACTTTATCATAGGTATGTATGTATAGGAAAAACACAGTATACATAAAGTTCAGTACTATTTGCAGTTTCAGGCATCCACTGAGGCTATTACCATGTATGTCTGTGGATAAGGGGGACTATGTGGACCCTACCATACACAGAGAAGCTTGACTAATATTTCTATTTGACCTTGGTAAAATCCCTTATTTCCAAGGAAAATTCTCAATAGGAATAAGACATAAAATTATTATCTTGCATACCTATGAAATTGCTTTAAAATGAATCAGCAGAGGCAGGGTTCAAGTTCCAAAAGGAGGCACAGATATGATTAAATACAGGGAATTGTCATCACTACAATATTGCCATGCTAACTATCCTAAAATATGACACTTGGTACAATCTCAGACAAGCTGGTAGAATTAAATGCGTGTGATGCCATCAGTAGTCTGGCCCTACTGGTCTCTAGTCTCACAAAGGACCTGCCAGATGCACTGTCCAAACACAGGCTTTCCCAGACAGATGCTCTAGGGCAGCATCTCCTCAGTCTGACCCTACCTCAGACTTCCTGAATCAGAAACTCTGGGGTGGAGCCCAGAAACCTGTGTTTTAATAAGCCCTCCAGGGGATTCTGGGCTTGCTCAACTGTGAGAACCACCGCTCTAGCGGTAGCCCAGACAAACAAAAATAAAAGAAAAACACCTCAGTCTTCTTAGAACATTTGAGAATGAAAAAGAGGTAAGAGTTTTATACAAGATCCTTGCACTTTTCCAATCCAAAGGGTTGGGACTTAAGGCTCAAGACTACGTGGTGGGGGATAACAAAAGAACCCCCCGCCAATATCCTACTTAAGTGGATTTTTCCTTCAAATGCCATCTTACCTTGCTTAGCTGTATTTCCATTAAAAAGTCATGGTTCCTTCCTTTTCCCCCACATACTGTATTACGTCCATGTCTCGTGGGTGTGTGAGAAGGCGAACTGTGGGGACTACTAAAAATGAGCAAAAAAAAAAAAAACCCTTTTGTTAAAGGAATATTCAAAGAAAGTCAATGAATGACATTAAGGAAAATGATAAGATGAAAGACAAAGTAAGAGTACAGAGCTATCAGAACGCTGCCACAAATTACTAGAAACCAAAACCGTATCTTCTTTACTCTGTAGACACTGAAACACGCGTTTCATTATTGCCATTAGAGTAATCACCTGCTTGCTAAATACTCAAAACTACAGGAAAAGCTAATTATGATGCTGGGATCCGTATCACAGGATACACTTAGAAATGAGACCTCCTTATAAGCTTCTTGTTACTTTGGAAACCCTTTATAGTCAGAACACAAGTCCTAGGAATCCCAACTAATACACAAAATAATTATAGTAAAGTTGGACGTGTTTTAAAGTCGCTTTTAAGTAGAAAAAGCTGCTGAACTATAGTGTCAAATGTTACTGCTCCACGCAGCCTCCATGCCATGCCCCACCTCAATAAGGAAGTCTGCCCCCTACAGGGATTCTGTCCACCTGATTCTCCCAGCGACCGGCACACTGCACTCGTCTCACAGGCGCTCAATGACCACAGGCTCTCTGCTCAGTGCCCTGCTGAATGCTGGGGACAGGGCATGCCCGACCCCACCTCCTGACACACTTCCTGCGTTTCACTGCCCTCTGTCACTCACATGACTCACAGGACCTACTCATTTTTGTGAAATAGGTACATGGTAGATACCTGAAAATTTCTGCTGAATGAAAATGATGAGAGTCAACATTTTAGTAAAAATACAAATAATACAAATAAGTTCACAATTGGAAAACTGTGAGAGTAACATTTAAATTACAGTTTTTAATACTACTTTATTAATAATTCTTAAAATGATAAATCCTATTTTTCTTTTTTCTCTCTAAAGGGGAAATGGAAAATTCTATTTTTCTAAGAAAAGAATATATTGGCCTCCCAAATAAACTTATATAGAAATTAACTTACATATAACTTTTAGCCGGAGAAGTGGGAGGGACTATTCCAAAATCCTTTCCTCCATAAAGATGCCAGACAAGAGAGACCTCCTTCACCACATAGCGAATCACAGGAATGGGAAAGTGTAAGGGGGCTTTGCTCGTATCGGTCTTATTAACGGGCAGACTGAAATAATTGTCTCTTATCACAATTGCATCATCAACCATGATTTTTATAACTGGTTCTTCTTCCTTCTCCTAAAATAAACAAACAGGTAACACATACTCTCTTTTCTAATTAGAAACAACTGATTATGCTGCACATCTCAAGGGGCATTCTTGCTTCTACATTCTTTTTAATAATTCCAGTATATAAAATAAGGTGATGGTTACCGACATTAGTCACCACAAAGATATTCTGCTTTATTAACCATAAAATAAACTCTCTTTGTTCTACGTAAACCACTCCATAAGGATTTTTTATGGTTTACAATTCGGCTTTCACTACTTGTTTGATAATAAAAAAGCACAAATTTAGTGTGTGGGTATTTTTTTTTGTTTAAAGTCAATACTGCAAACCAAAAGTTAACAAATTTCAACATATGGATGATATTACCATGTTTTTAATAATAGGTTTATCCTGAGTTTGATTGTTTGGATTTTTAAAAATTTAACCAGAAGGTTCTCAGAACTTTGTAAACAAATACGGTCACCTACTGGACAATTCCTGGAAAGTTTCCAAATACACATACACACACACACTTATATCTATACATACACACAAACACACCCCAACCATCAGCCTTCACACAAACCACATCTTATCTTTCCCGATTCTTGGACTAGCAATTCTGTCCAGCAGATCCTTCTGCCATTTAATTTCACGATCCTTGAATAGTCATCTTACTATATAAAAAATCTGGAGTTCAATAATCTATGTTGGAAATTTTGCAAATAGCATTCTTCTCTGAGTCTTTAGATGTGTCACAGAAATAGTACAGTAACCATTCACCAACTGTCAATAGTATATTAAAAAAAAAAAAGTAACTCTGAACTATAAAGAATTTACAAAATCAACAGAATTTTCTCCAGGTACCCTTTGGTCAATTCATTTGTAACACCATTCAAGGCTTCAATAATGTTATTAATTTATTACCTGCATGGCTGCTTTTGGTGCAAAAAGAATGCAAAAGTCATCATTCTCAGTGGGCACACCTGTCATTGCATCACTGATGAAATGGTGAGAGAATGAGGCATAGGTGGGGCCGGACTCCTGGGATACATTCCCACTCTCGTCAGGAAACAGGAAGAGGTCTGAACAACATGGCTCCTGAATTTGAGATTTTTCATCCAAAACACCTAGATAAAAAGATTACAACATTTTGGCACACTTTGAAATATCAACAACAACAAGCATTTTAACCATGTGTCAGATATATGTTGTGTGCTTTTACCTGCAATATCTCATTTATTTCCTAAAATAAGTCTATGAATCTGAGGCTTAAAGAGAGCTAAGTAACATGCACCAAAACACCTCAGCAAGAGTCAGAAATACATCAAAAACCACTAATAGGCCAGGCATGGTGGCTCATGCCTGTAATCCCAGCACTTTAGAAGGCCGAGATGGGTGGATCACCTGAGGTCAGGAGTTACAGACCAGCCTGGCCAACATGATGAAACCCTGTCTCTACTAAAAATACAAAAATCAGCTGGGCATGGTGGCACACACCTGAGTCCCAGCTACCTGGGAGGCCGAGGTAGGAGAATTGTTTGAAGCCGGGAGGTGGAGGTTGCAGTGAGCTGACATCACACCACTGCACTCCAGCCTGCGTGACAGACCAAGAACCTGTCAAAAAAACAAACAAACAAACAAAAAACAACAACTAATAAAAAGACAAATGATAAATTCGAAATGGCAATGTCACAAAGACAGTTTCCTCCCAGTTAGTTGGCGTTGGGGAAGCTCAGCAGTTGCTGGTTAGTGTTGAGTGGAGTTTTGCTTTACCCAGAATTTCACCTTTGACAATTCTGTCCTATAGGCGGAGCTCTGGAAGAAACTTCTTGGACAATATTACAATGTGAGGGGAAACTGGTTACATTTAGCAGAGCCTAAATGTAGGGGGAGGGAAGGGGAAGGGGAGGGAAGAATAGCTGTTGAGCAAGCATTAGGTGGCAGAGGAGGCAGTGATTCAAGTATGAAAAGAAGACCTCTTCCTGGGGCCTGGGATACCCAAACTGGATACCTAATCTTAGGTAGCTATCGCAAAAGATTACATGTGCACCAAAATCTGCATGTCAACATATATTTTAATATGTTTACATTACATATTAAGAGTCACTCATTCTTTTCCCATTCATTCATTAAAACCAAACACTGTGATGAGGCTGAGAACACTAAGCTGAATCAAGAGACATACTGGCTTTAAGAGACTCACAGATTAGATTTTAGATTCTTCTACAGCAGTACCTCAGAATTACTCATCCTTACAGGTACCCAGGGCCTAGTACAGAATCTTGTATATTGAAGCCACCCAGTAAATAATCACTAAATATTCTTTCCCATGTAATTAAGGTAGCTGCATATATACATATACACACACACACATATATAAATATATATAAATACATAAATATATATATACATATATATATAAATACATAAATATATATATACATATATATATATATATATATACACACATATATATATATATATATATATATATTTTTTTTTTTTTTTTTTTTGAGACAGAATCTCGCTCTATTACCCGGGCTGGAGTGCAGTGGCACAATCTTGGCTCACTGCAACCTCCGTCTCCTGGGCTCAGGTGATCCTCCCACCCCACCTAAGCCTCCCAAGTATCTGGGACTATAGGCGCCTGCCAACACATCCCACATCTAGCTTTTTTTTTTTTTTTTTTTAATTGGAGAGATGGGGTTTCACCATGTTGCCGAGGCTGGTCTCAAACTCCTGAGTTCAAGTGATCCACCTGCCTCAGCTTCCCAAAGTGCTAGATTACAGGCATGAGCCACTGTGCCCAGCCTAGCTGCTAACATTTATTACAAATAATGTAGTACATAGAACACTAAAAGCCCCAGTTTGCTTCCTTAGTTCTAATTTATCCTAAATTAGCAAGACAGCAACAGTTAACACTAGACTTTTACAACTCCATGAAATAATTTTTAATTAAGATTTCCCAATATATAGATATAGCTATGACCATTCAATTAGAAGAAAATACTGTTGAAATAGAGGCTTTAAAATGTTTACCTGCTTCCCTTTGGCTTTCAAGGATCTTGAATCACCTGGGTCCCTCTTTGCTTACCCAACTTTATTATCTAATTCTTTTCAATAAGAGAACTTTTGTTTCAGTAAGAACCCGAATGTCATGGCTAAATAACTGAGGCTCATGCATGCCTTTGTCTGTGCTCTGTTGATGTTAATGACCTTGCCAAGATTACCTTCTCCTCCCTCTTTACATACCTAAATCCCAACCACTTTTAAAAAGCCAAGCCATCTTACTTTACTAAAGTCTAATAAAATTATCCCAATCCTTTCCAAACAGTAGAGGATATACCACAGTTGAAGTATTTTCTTACATCATTTATCAATCAGTCTAAGTACTGGCACCAGTTTTGTGCCCATTTGTTTTACTAGGCTACAAGCTACCAGAAAACATAAGCACTGTCTTCTACTCACTCTGCATTCCCGACACCAGCCTGGCCAGAGTTACCTATTTACTAGACACTGAGTAGACACAAGCTGAATGATTAACAGATATCCATAAAAACTCATATGCGTCTTTAATAAGTGACTTATTAAATTTACGAGAACACAAATAAAGTAAGCCCCAACATTAACATCAGTGCTCCCTGAGAAGAGTCCTGGTCTTACCATTAGCCTGTGGTTTTACTGACGAGGTGCCTTGTTGCATGTCGATCTCCTCCATAGCATCACTCATCAGATCTCGTAACATTTGTTGATCTGCTTCAGGAAGTACTGGACCACGTGAGGATGATCGACCACTGGAATCTACCTATAGCCAAAAAACCTAATTAAAAATAACTGAAAATGCTCTTAAAAACCAAACTACTTACATTTATTTTATCCCAAAAATACATTACATTGTACAAAAACATCAGAAATAGAAACCTACTCATTTTTCTATGCCCAGCAGCTGTTATATTTCAAGTTTTTAGTATTATCACCCTAACAAATACTGGCAAAGAGCAATAAATGTGTCACCACCTCAAAGCAAGCACAGTGAACTGGGATCTTGAAGAGGCAATGCATTTGAAAACAGGGAAGTTGAACAAACTGCAATAAAGCTGGGAAAGAAGGGATAACTAAATAAGTTTGATCTCCTCAACTCTGATGGTTGCAATGACTTTCATCCCTTTGACATAAAGCCCCTGTAGGACGAGGCCTCATTTCTTGGACACCTAACAACAGTAGGGGGCACACACAGCAGGGGAAATATACTAAACGGTGATTCAGAGCTCAGTTCCAGCACCAAATACTTAACCAAATACTTCACCAATGGTTGGTGAACTGTAGATTCATTAAACCCAGATCGTGCTTTTTATATGTGAGCATGACTCTAAAATAGCAAGTTCCAAGCTGAAAGGGATAATTTAAAATAAGAAGAATGTTTTTTAAAAGGGAATAAATAGTAGGCGGGGTGTCATAAATCACCTTATCGTGAGAATACAGCAGGAACAAGGAGTCACAAACAGAAATTAACACAAATAAAGTGTAAAATAATCCTGAACAAAAGACAACAAACACGATGCCAGTCAGGCCTTTACTAGAGTACATAACAGAGGCTCTAGAACCTAAGGGGACTGAGATTTCTGTTCATAAGAGAGACCACAAAGAATAACAATGAAAAAGAAAAAATGCTAAACAAACTGGACATTCTTCAATTTGGACATAAGAGAAGTTAGAAAGGTGACACTTGGGGCAGAAAAGTGCATTGAACTGGACACCAAAATATCTGGGTTTGTTGCTGTTTCTGCTACTCTTTAGAGCAATCATCTAAATTCTCTGGGTCTTATTAATTTTTAACCTCTCTATCTCACCAGGTCATCATGAAAGGAAAAGGAAGTCATATATGACAAAGTACACTGAAAACTGGATTGTCTTAGAGATAAAAAAATAGGGAAAATATGATGATATAAGTAAGTCTTCTGGTAACAATACTAACACCTGCCATCTATCTTTTCATAGCATTTTTACATACAACTTGCATAGAACAAGCTTTTGCATGATAAATGTTTTCTTTCTTCCCTTAGGACAGATGAAAATAACAAGTCTAGAAAAAAAAAAGTATGATGTTTGCTAGGAAGATTAATGGAAACAAAGAATATCAAAACAGCAGAATGGTTTTCCAAAAAGGCCCATGAAACCACCGTTTCAGACCCCATTATTCTGAAGGTAAAGAACAGATGAATGACTTTCAAAGTTTCTTTTCTACCTTATGACTGTCATGAAGACCTCAATAATGTAAACATGTCACGACATGGCAGGGACTGGAGGAATCACATTGCTGACTGTACCTTAGACCTTCTTTGAAAGGCTCCAGGCTTCATATCTGCCTTGTTAGGTGTCTGCAAGTCACCATAGCTTGCAATGTACTGAATGAGATTCATTAACGCAGCACAAGAGTCTGAGCACGTTCTGATATGGACAACATCGCTGGAACAGTGTAACTCAAAGCGGGGCTCAGTCTGGACAAGACACAGAAAAAGGGATGAAAATGTTTTCCAAATGAGACAAAAGTTTCTTTTTTTGCATAGATTTACATTAAATAAGATTCATGATAATCTGTCTCGCTACATAAAAAAAGTATTTAAATAAATCCATTTTTAATATACTTACTCTATTTCTGACCAAAATTAGGTACACGGAAAAATGTTAAACTCAATTTTTTTAATCTCTTAAAAAATAGAACTTAAAATTTTCATTTATTTTAATAACTCACTTGCTCTCCATCAGAATCAGACTTCACTGCAGTTATGGTTAACTCCAAAAGCCCCATATCCATCACACGAACATAATCTAAAATTTTTAAAATTAAGAAAATCTCTTCAGTACAGCTTTCAAAAATGTGTATCCAACCAACACCCAATACAACTAGCATTCCTTTAAAATTCATTGCAGAGAGCACTACAAATAATTATAATGCAATGAAAATAGTTTCATCCCATAGAAGTCCTAAAATTCACTTTATTTTTTGTTAGAAACAAAAATTATCTTAAATAAAAATTTGTAGTATATATAGTAATTTGATGTACTTAACTAGCATTATAAGAACATTACAATTTCAAACTGAAAAACCAGTATCTGAAAAATGAAGCTGTGAATATATACCACATGATCACTATATACTTAAAGACCCTTTAATCTTTAAGGATCTTTAATAAGATTCTTAGTTCACTAGCATTATCCCAGAGTTAAAATGCTTTAAAATTATTTACGCACAAAAATAAAGCAGAATTTATCTACTCCATTTGTTTTTTAACTCTTACCTCTACTCAGATTTATAGTGACAGTATTGCATTTGTCAGATAGATGTAAAGCAGCTTCATCCAAGATTATTCTGAGGCAAGAAAGATAAAACCAACATCTGAAAAACTAAGCTTTGAGTATCATACCCCATAATCACTATATGCTTAATTGCATCATTCTTTCTGGTATGAACATTGTTGAAATCATAAGCAGTTTCTAACTTATAACTGTCATCTAACATTTTTTAAAAACTGTTTATGAATGCTAGGAATATTTAAATGGTGTAAAGAATTAGATTAAATCATCTACTCAAATTAATTCTAAATTTTTGGCAGTTTTTAAAGAGATGCCCAAATTCACAAGGTTTAAACTATAGTATAAAGATAGAGTGGGCCAGATGTAGTGGCTCACACCTGTAATCCCAGCCGTTTGGGAGGACAAGGCAGGAGGACCACCTGAGGCCAGGAGTTCTCAACTAGCCTGGGCAACACAGCAAGACCCCTTCTCTACAAAAACAAAACTTTTTTTTTAATCAGCCAGGGATAGAGGCACACGTCTATAGTCCTAGCTACTCAGTAGGGTGAGGGCAAAAGATCACTTGGGCTCAGGAGTTGAAAGCTGTAATAAGCTGTGATCATGCCACTGCATTCCAGCCTGGGCCACACAGAGCAAGACCCTGTCTCTAAAAAATAAAAAAATTAAATAAAAAGTATAAAGTGTATCAGGTAGCATGGGAAGTTTACCATATGTTTTAAAATGCAAACTTTTTAAAGAATCTCCAGAATTAATTTCTTCCCTAAAAATGAAATGCAATAATAAATGGGTAGATGAAACATGTCACCTGAGAAAAATTGGGTAATTTGGGTAAAAGGTTATAACTATTAGTAAAAGAACGTTTAACAAAAAATTGAGACTTTAATAAAATGGTTTAGGTAAATATCAATTGGTATGTTTCGAACAGCTTTGTTTAGTATACAATGAAGTTTACACAGGTACCTGAGAGTAGAGGAAGATTTATCCAATGCAACGCTACTGGAAACACTGAATGTTTCCACGGTAAGAAGAGATCGGATTGGCAAATAAAGGGGTCTAATGCCAAAGAGAAACAAAAGAACATCAGTTTGATACGGCTCCAGAAACTCTATTAAAAACAACAACAACAACAACAATTTGAACCTTAACTCTACTGAATTATGTATTTTTTTCAAAATTTAGTAGCATTTTAAATAAAACTTTATTTTGTTCCATTTGTGAACTTACCTATAATCAAGTGCACAGCTCCAAAGATGAACATGAAAAGTTGTAAATGAAGTTGGAGGATTATATCCCAAAACAGGTTCATCAGCAATATTCAAGAAGTATAAAATCTATAATCACAAAAAATTAAAACGCCCTGCTTTAGAAGAAAAAAAAGGTTTCATATAATATCCTTAATACCAATGTAAACCAGAATATCTCACAGAAAAAATCATTTAATTGGAAAATCATAACGGTAAAAGGAAAAAAATCATCATTTTGAAGGAATTAGTTTCAAAAAGTACTTGCATCAGAAAAGAAGGTAATGGATACTGATGGATGTGTTCGTTTGACTACAATAGGCATTTTACTATGCATATCAAGACATGTTATTCACCTTATATATAATAAAAATAAATTTTTTAAAAGTATTTGCAAAATTAGAATTTGAAATGCAGAAGCCTATCCAACAACTCCAATGCTACAGAAATCTTAGAAAATCACACCTTATGAAATTAATAACAATGTATGCATAATATAATTTCATATTTTTTGGCTTGGAACAATTCTCAGAAAAAATAAATTTTGCTAAAGACTGCTTAAAACTATCAATCTGGCTTCTTATATAACTCATTGTGTGCAGGGGCGATTGGTTTTTCATATAAGTCATTGTTGAAGGAAGCTCTTTTTCCTTAATGTATACCTAGCTCAGTCTAAAAACCAGTCCCTCTCACCAACATCTATTCTTTCATATTTCTAATCCAAACAAATAAGGAGGTTCTGCTAAATGTCTCCCTTCCAGCTGGTTATTCACCCTAACCACTTCTCTACTCCTACCAGATAGAAAGTCAGACAGATATTCTCATGTTTCCTAAATGCTTTCATGAGAAAAGAATTTTGAAAACACTCAAGTTTTTAAATAATGTATTATTTTCCCAGCACAATTAAGAAGTTCTCCTTTATAAGAAACATGAGAAGCAATCATAGTGCACTAGTTTTCATTCTCACATAAGGAAAAGCTAACTTCTTACTCAAAGTCTCCTCTGAAAAATAACCAATTGTATTTTATTACCATAAAAAGTTGTTGAACTGGAAATTAATGAGAGAAATCCTGATAAAATGCTTTAAAGCAACATCATATTATTGGCCTAGGGAATTATATGGAAATATTGCACTTAAAGAACTTCTGATTATAAAAGCAATTCAACACACCATTCACTGCTCCTCTACGCCAGACATTCTACAAGTCCTGGGATACAGAGTCCCTTCCCTTCCTTTAATGACATATAAGATAACTCTGTCATTGAGAGGTTTTGAGGACCACACTTTAAGGTAAAAAACCAATTACATTCTGAGGTGATAATACTGTTTTGTTTTGTTTTGTTTTGTTTTGTTTTGTTTTGTTTTGTTTTTTGAGACAGAGCTTCGCTCTTGTCGCCAGACTGGAGTGCAGTGGCACGATCTCAGCTCACTGCAACCTCCGCCTCCCGGGTTCAAGCGATTCTCCTGCCTCAGCCTCTCCAGTAGCTGGGATTACAGGTGCATTCCACCACGCCCAGCTAATTTTTGTATTTTTAGTAGAGACGGGATTGACCAAGCTGGGCTCGAACTCCTGACCTCAGGTGATCCACCTGCCTTGGCTTCCCAAAGTGCTGGGATTACAGGCATGAGCCACCGTGCCCGGCCAATACTGTTCTATTTCTTAACCTAAAAGGTGGTGACACCGTAGTATTCACTTAATGATAATTCACTGAGCTGAACATTTATGACTTACAAACTTTTCAGTATGTGTATTAGATGTCAACACAAATTTTTAAATAAATTAATACATATATAACAGCTCTCTTACCTGCTCATGCCAGCTAAGCCCAGAAGGAAGCATTCTATGCTGGAGAGTGGCTCCTTTCAGTCCTACGGCAATGAGAAATTCCTATACAGAACAAGACAAAGAATGACATTTACCACCTATGTAATCCTATAACTCAAAAGTTTTTCCAAGAAAATAAATATGTTGCCTTTTATGTAATTATTTTTAGCTAGAATCAAATCAACAGTGGCATAAAAGTACAAAACACAAACCTTTGTATTGGACTCTGATTTATCAGACAATATTTTAACGGCAACAGACAGCATATTCAAACTGTCTCCTCCAACTCCATCTGAAGAAGTTTTACTGAGGCCATCTTCTTCAGAGGAATAAATAGTAGGTTCCAACCAGTGTGGGCGGGTTGAGCTGGGAAGTCGTGTTTCTGTCGGGAGAATCACTCCATTCACTATGCCTAGAGATCCACATTGAGGTAAAAATAGTAACAAAATGATTACTTGAAATTAGCTAATCAACTTACATGACTCAAAACAAAAATCCACGTACTTCCACTGAATATAACTTAAGGAGGCATGATGACAAAAACCAGCATGGCATTAATAATCCACTCCTCTTTGCTAATGTTAGTGTGACTGACCGTACACAGCTTAAAGAAACAAAAGATTCTGAAATGCTAGGAAAATTAAATAGAAAACTATCACAAACATCTCATGTCTATGAAACAAGGTAAACTCAGGTAACTGCTCAAAAAATGGTAGGTTCTATATCTGGAACCAAAAGGAAATATTCCTTAAAGAAGAATAAAGAACATATAGTCCCATCGACTGATGAATGGATACATAAGATGTGATCTATCTTTACAGTGGAATATTATTTGGCAATAAAAAGGAATGAAGTACAGATACAACTTGGATGAACTTTGAAAGCGTGTCAAATGAAAGAAGCCAGTCAAAAAGGCCAAATATTGTATGATTCCATTTATAAGAAACTTCTGAATATGCAAATCCATAGAAACAGAGTGTAGGTTAGTGTGTTTACGGGAAGGAGAGAGCGGAAGGGGTGAAAGTTTATCACTAAAGTGTATGAAATTTCTTCATGGGGTAATAAACATGTTTTAAAATTGACTATGGTGACGGTTGCATAACTCTTGTGAAATACTAAAAACCACTGAAAGGTACACTTTAAATGAGTATGGTGTGTGAATTATACCTCAACAAAGCTATTGCAAAAAAAGAACCTGAAGTTGACTTCTAATTTGTAAATATTACTTTGACAGCAGAATGAGAGCCCTCCACAGAAAATAATTTCTAATACCAAAGTTCTGTTCTCAATAGATTTTCTTTGTTAAACAAGAAATTTAAACATGTCTAAAGAGAAGAAACCAAGACACGTGTTTGTCCTACCTTTATGGTACAGACTGAAACTGCTAGAATGAAGGCAAATGTAGTGCTTGTCATCAAAACCTTCATATTTTGTCACACAAAATAATGAACCACTATTGAACTCTAACCAGAATTCACCATGCTTGTTTTCCAACAGATCTCCATTATCTTGCTAGTAAAAAGATCAGAAAAACACAGAAGTTATTACTTAAATGCAGAAAAGTAAGCATGTTCCTTGAGATGCTCTTTGTTGATTCAGCTTAGGAAAATCTCCCATACTGCAGCAAAGCAGTCTAATCCTTGAACTATTCAATATCATGGTATAAAATAAAACTGGATAACTTAAATGCTATGTGGAACCTCTTCTATCAGATGAATCTCTGTACTTTGTTGTCACCCCAGAAGCAGAATTAGCACCTGTTTTCCAAAGGGAGAGCCCCACAAAGTTTGATCTGCAACGAAAGCTAAATCCCCAAAGTTGCTATCATCATGGTTTGCCCCAGGACACTGGTCTTCATCAGTCCCTGAAACAACTTCAAAATATCAAATACTTCAATCACTAGATATGTATCCTAGCAGATTTATTTAAAGTAAGATACATTTGAAAAAACACTTCGGATTTGTAAACCTCACCTTCACATCTGTGAACACTGCTATTAATCCATGATTAATATTCAGAAGAACTGAGAGAAAACTCTGAGAGTTCTTGTTCTGAGAGTCTAATTTTTTTTTCCTGCGAGAACGATAGTTGGGATCAACAGTGGAAAAATACTGCAAAGTCTCCTCCTCAGATCCACTTTCCTCATCTATGAGAAATAAACATACAATTACATTCTGATAGCATATTAAAACAGCAACATAAAAATGATCATGAAAATATTTTATATAACCTGCTTAGTTTTACAAAGAATATGGTGTGAACACAGAAATACATACTGTTTTTCTCTTTAGCTTTGAACTTCAAACAATGTGCACACTATCATTCTAAAGAGAACATATTTAAGTGATAATGATATTCTCAATATACAGATAGAAATAAGGAAATATTCTTATAAATTACTAAAAGAAATTGCAAAATATAGTTACAATGAAACATAAAGATTTTTAAATCCACAATTCAAAGGTTAGTACTTTGTTAATTGATAAACTAGGCATTTTAAATCAAAACAAATTAAAAATATATTACCATAGTGAACTGCAGATTTAAATGCACTAAAACTATCTTTGTTGAAAGTATTAATGAGCTGACTGGCTACTGAAAGCCCAATGCCATAGGAAATATTCTCGAATGTCTCCACTGGTGAAGGAGCTGTTGGTTCCCACAGTAGCAAGTCATTAAAGATCCTATAAAGACAAAAGTTGAAAAATAAGTACTTAACTCCTAGTTCAACAGAAGGCAAACTTAAAAAAAAATCCTTTTAAAAGATCGTATGAACAATAATTTTTTAAACGGCAAAATGGAAATTAGATCCTACAAGAATTTGGAAAAACAACAAAAATAACAACTGCATTCTTTCAATGAAAAAATAACTGATATGGCTATAATGCAGGGCAGTGACAAAAGAATCTGCACAATTAGATACCTAAATAGATACTTGCCTAATTTTACCTATGTTATATACATCAAATTACAAATTCATATTACATTTCAAAATATACCTTAGAAACAGAAGCTCATGAAAAATAAAAACCCACAAAGAACAGAAAAGGAGGACGGCTCACCTATATGAGAGCACTTTGTAAACTGGAACTGATCCTGCATCATCTCACTGACCCTCCCCTCAGTCCTGTGGGGTGTCCAGGGCAGAATCATTATTCTCACTTTACACCTGAAGAAACTGTCTCATAAAGGTTATGTGACCTTCCCAAAGTCACATGGCTAATTAGTGGAAAAATGGGGATGAAAGTCCAGATTATGTAGATTACATCCAGCTCCCAATTCAGTTCTTTTTTTAAGGCAAGTATTTATCTGTGGGATCAATTCAGTTCTTTCCCTAGAAATACCTGATTTTTCTCTCATCAGCAACAGAAAGCACAGCTTCACTGGGAAGACTTCATGAGATGAAGAATGCATATGGAGCAAAAAATAAGGAGAGAAAAACCCTTATGACTAGCGAGACTAGCCCAATCAATACTGGCAACCAATGGGAAGGCATATGTCATACCTAGGCTGTCACCACATCCTACTTTTTCAAAGAACTACCTGTCACTGCTCAGATGCCCCTGTCCTAGCCTCCTCCCCTCATCCATCCTCGAAGTTTTCAAGAAAACTCAAACTTCACCACGTCTTCTAGTAAACCCATCGTAAGATCTGGACCCACAGCATATGCTTCACACAGACCCACTTAAATCACAGCACCTACAGCACCCTCCTGAATTTTCTCGTTTCCCCTTTTTAGACTGCAAGCCGCCCAAGAGAGGGACTTGTGTCGATCATCTCTACATGTGCCTAGCACAGTGGCTGTCACATAACAGGCACGGACAGTTGGTGAGGACAGTGAATGATTCACATGGAAGTGCTGCCAAAACCCAGACTCATCGTAAAGCCTGGTGTGAATACCGGTCAAGGCGCCGCGTGGTGAGGCAGCCCTGCCCCCTTCTGTGAGAAGCCACTGCCAGGACAATTCTTGAGCTTCTGAAGTCCTAGAAGGTGTACACCAGGACTGAGGATTGTGACTCTCAGGAGATTATAATCCACTCACCTATTATGTTCTCCTTATTTATATTTTGGTCTAAACACAGTCTTGATACCATTAGTACTATCGAATATTGGATGGTGCTTGTAGTATCAAGAAATATCAAGAAAGAAAACAATGCTTAAGATACATAAGGACATATCACCATGACTCTGTGTCTATGAGGCTGAAACAAAATAGATGCTCAGTACATATTTAATGAAAGCAATTAGAATTCTTTTTTATATTCTATTTTAAACAATTTTCGACACAGAAAACATTCTCCTGTACCTAAAACCATACTGCTAAAAACAGCCTGTTGACCAAGGCACTAAAGGAGTAAATCAACATTTTAAATATATAAAGGCAGAGTTGGTTATAACTCCTGCTCAGAAAAAAAAATGAAAAATAAAAGGATAGTATTGACATATTAAGTAAAACTTGAATGGGGTATGAGGATTATATGGTAGTACGTATCCAGTTTAGCTTCCTGCTTCTGAGAGCTGAATTACCAGTTAATGTAGAATGTCCTTGTATGTGGGAAATATGCATTCAAGTACTAAACATTGAAGGGACTCAGGTCAGCAACTTACTCTCAGATGGTTAGGGCACGGGGAGTTCTTCGTACTGTAAAGCAAATCTTCTCTGAGAATGTTTGAAAATTATTTAAACAGTATTAATTTGAAAATACAAAGCCGGATAAGGGGCAAAGGATGCAAACCCTGAGGAAGTTAGATATGAGATTTATATGATCCCAGAAAGTGAGGGAGCGCTTCAGTATTTATGCAATTCTAGGGGCCTGAGAGACCAAAAAGTGGTTAGTGGAAGGTATTTAATAGAATAGAAACTCTCTTAAGCAATCCATTAAACCAACTATCCAGATTAACAGATACATACTCTAATACACGATTCTAATACATACTCCCTGACTTAAGCAGTCAGCTACCCAATTACCCCCAAGTGCCACAACAACGGAAGCCCCCAATATGCTAACTGCCTGCTGTTGGTGGACATCTCTCTAGTAGAGCTGAGAACTGTTCCTATCAGTGGAGTTATATATTTCATATACTCGCCAAAGACCAACTGTGTCTGGCTTCAAATCTGCTTGTATTTGTTACTTTTAAGTATAGTTTAAATAAAAACTGTACCGTTTTAATTAATGCAGACTGGGGTAAAAAAAAATCTTAAAAACCTACAAAGATTCTCCTCTTACATATCTCTGAAAAAATTTTTTTCACTTCACTTTAAAGAAACTGGAACTAAAAACGGTAGACAATGCCTTCTGGGTACACTTTATGCAAAAAAAAGACAAAATAGTCAGATGCCACATGCAGGATTAAAAAAAAGGAAAGGGGGAAAAAAAGACAACATAGAATTCCAATCAGTGGCTCATATTCAAAGAAAAGGCCTTGTCCTGTATTTAGAAATGAAGTGGTAAATAAATATACATTTATAAAGTGAATGTTTAAGGTATGTATTACTGTTCTTGATGCCCTGATTTAATCAAAAGCAATCTGCTCAGTCAATGCAGAATGAGAAAAAAATAGGTCAAGTGTTTTTGATCTCTGGGCTAGGCCTTGAAAGAGTCATTTCATTTCCCTCAATCTCAGCCTTGCACATACATCAGCTCTTTGCGGACACCCCTGAACTATGAAATAAAAGGAGGAGCCTAGAGATCAGTCATTTTGAAACTGTAGATCATATATAAACAAACCCCAACATTTAAAACCAATTTGAAACCTCTCTAATGTGAATTGAATATACATTAGGTGCTATTTATAATGTATATTATAAAACAAATATAAAAATATAAATTTTAAAAGATTATTTTTAAAGTTAAACGTAAGTGATAACATTTTCTTCCTATACCAGAGTGGACTGTTCTCTGAATCTCATTTTCAAGACCACTGAAGTAATGTGAACCCTAGAAGAATCCTGGAACTTAATTTTCTGATTCTAAGAGCAAAAGTCAATAGCACCCAGTGAGAAAACCCAGGGTTTATTACTAACATTTAAGGAATAAATACCGAGTGGTATCTGATACCAAGTAAACCTACAGCAGAAACAACAGTCTGAAGTTTCTGAAGATTAATGGAAACTAGAATAACTTGTCTACATGTAGGAAGCTAGTGATGACAAACACTAAGGACTTCTTTTTCTAGAAACCCACATGACAATCTTTCAGGTATGCTACGGAGAAATCCCTTCAGTGGGTAGGAATTATAACAGACAACCACTAAGTTCTTACGATATGCCATACACTATTCTCAGAACTCTCCAAGTGTTATATCATTTAATCCTCCAAACAACCCTTATAGGTGGGAGCCAGGATCATCTCCATTTTACAGAAGAGGATGCTGAGTCTTACAGAGGCTAGATAAACTGCTCAAGGCCTTCAGAGTCTATGACCTAGAATTCCATTAGTATCAAAATACCTGCCTGGCATAAATATTGAGGGGTATCTAAATATAATAAATTTAAATTTTGTACACGTTCACAGAATTTTGAATTCCAACAAGATATCTTTTTGAATGCTGAAGAAAAGATGCTTCTTGTACAATGAATGGGGTTCTGATTCTACTCCAGCATTGGCTAGCTGTATTAGCATCTCTTAACTCTTCACGTCACTGCACATAAAGAAAAAAATTGTATTTGATCGGTAACCTGCAGTAAGCTGACAGAGGGCAATCAGCCAACCTCAGGGCTGAGGAAATAAATATCTCACACACCCGGCACCACGCTAGTTAGGAAACTCTGCTATGACAATAGCACATCATAACGGCAATAGTCACCATCAACACCACACAAAGTACACAGAGATGGCATATAATATTCAGGCAAGGAAAGGAAAGGGGGAAGAGGAAAATCAGGGAGGCAATTAGAAAATCTGATTCCAAAGATTCAACTAAATGTGTATAAACTCACCTATTATAAAGCTTCTCATAAAAGCTCTTATTAGGTAGTGTTACATAAATATTTGGTAACGTAAGTTCCAGCACATAGTGAGAATTGCTGATTGCTTTATCCTGAAATTCTGTCATTTCTACAGGGTCTCCTGGCATCACCATCTAAAACATAATAGTTCAGTGCAAAAAAAAAGGCATCCATGTTTAAAATAGTAGTAGCATCTTCTTAGCCTATCCATAGGACTTGGTATGTGAGAAATAAATAAGCATGAAACATTTAACTAGAGAAAATATACACCAAGAAAAAATAGGTATTATTCAATTTTGAAGTTTAAGACCTAGCAAAAACAGTACACAAGGCATTTTTTTAAAAATAAAAAATCAAAAGCATTGCTCTATGACAGAGAATAATAGTATTATTCCTTTGTAGCTTGCTCACACTTTTACCTGTTCATTTTCAAACATTACTCTACGAGAAGAAAAAGGAGATGGGGCTGGTCTTCTTAGATCACAAACATCTTTCAAGGAATGAGCACCTCCTTCCTCTTCCTCCTGGTAGTGACCATCATTCTCCTCTTCTTCTTCAGCTGCAATTCTCTCCAAAATGGAATGCATGGCTGGTGGATTTATTTTCAGTACAATTCTGATAGCAAAGACAATTTTAAAAAGACCAAGATCTAAGTGTAAACAGCAAAACTTTAACTTTTGTGCAAATTAATACACACACCACTGGTTAAATCTTAATGATAGAATTAAACTTCTCTACAAAGTCTAATTATGTCTAAGGTAACCCACTTATGAACATGTTGTAAACTTACAAGTGTGGAACTGAAACAAGTAAGTAACAGAAAGACATAAACATTTTATACTTGGGTAACTGAAGGGGGCAAAAAGGTTATTTTTAAATTTCATTAAAAGTCAGCAAACTTTACCTAAGGATTCTAGTTATCATTAAACCAAATCTTCTCACATATAGTCTGTTCTGCTATAATAAATTACTTGTCTACCTAAGAAACCTCATGTTATATCAACCTCATATTATATCAGTTGTTCAAAGGGAAAAGGGAGAAGCTGATTAGGAAACAGTTTCAAAACTCTAACAACAAAGTTATGTTTTCATCTAGTAATTTCAATAATAAAGGGCTGGTGCTGTTTCTGTTTTATAACCACAAAACCTAAAGATCACTGAGTTAATGCAGCCTATGACTACAAAAACTAATGAGCTTTTTACTCCAGAGTAATCCCTTTCCTAAGCTTCTACAGAACATCTCTAGCACAGACTTTTCATTCTCCTTTGATTACCACATCCACCCATTGTTATAAGGAGGCATGGAACCCTCAAAGAGAATAGCTGTGCTGCAACTGCAACTCTTATTCCCTAGGTAGTGGTGTTATTTGGTTTGTAAATGATCACAGGCTTTTTTCCTAATTGATACATATCCTAATATAAATTGTGCTTCTGAATTATTTAACCGAAGTAGATCCAGTCCTTATGAAACTTGTGCTCTAAACTCATGCTTATTACCAGGTGTGTATGAGCAACATCTGTCCTAAGAATCTAATCGGTCTAATAGACAGTGGAGAGGAGGAGTAAAGCAAGGCAGGCAGAAAAATAGCACAACAAGGTTTGAGGGTGACACATCTCACACATTCATGTGAACACCCAATCATCACGCTTATGAACCACAAAAGAATCAAGGATGGACATGTTTAGCTTATATTTAATAGACAAAATGTTGGTTTAAAAGAATATTTTATTTTTAAAAGGAAAATCCTATTAAACCTATGCATTTGCTTACTCACCGTGGCCAGTCAAAGTCATCTGACGATGTTGTATCTCCATCTACTCCACTAGACACATGGAAAAACTTAATAGATGGATCTCCTTTCTCTTCCTGGAACGATCCTAAAAAAAAAGACTGATTTACTGAAATGTGCTTCTTCTCAAGTACTAAAAGAAGAGATGGAGGAGCAAAGATCCTCTCAATCAGGAACATAATGCAACCTTAAGTTCTACAGCATTTTTCAGTTGTTCTGGTTTCATGTGCACGTGTGGTAGACAGAATGAGCCAATAAATTAAAGATTCTGTTTTGTGTTCAAACTCAAATTCTTAAGTACCAAGGTACACTGCATAAAGTACATAATGACATAGTAAATAGAGCAAGCACTTACCACTTACTAAGTGCTATTAGTGATTATTTCTTCATAAAGTCTATATAATCTACCACTAGAAAAATAACTACATTTCTTAAATATGTATTTTGTACCAAACACTGTAAGAAACACCTCTGTTCAAAATAATTCTACACGGGCTGGGCGCGGTGACTCACACCTGTAATCCCAGCATTTGGGAGGCTGAGGCAGGCGGATCACCTGAGGTCAGGAGTTAAGAGACCAGCCTCTCCAACATGGAAAAAACCCGTCTCTACTAAAAAATACAAAAATTAGCTGGGTGTGGTGACATCCAACTGAGGCACGAGAATCGCTTGAAGCCAGGAGATGAAGATTGCAGTGAGCCAAGATCATGCCACTGCACTCCAGCCTGGGCAACAAAGCAAGACTCTGTCTGAAAAACAAAAACAACAACAACAAAAATTCTATACGTGTTTTTTCAATCCATTTTACAAATGAAAAATGGCTTTCCTCCAGAATAATGAGTTTCTCACCACTGGAGATAAGGGATGATCTCACAACACCTGAAGGCCCTTTCATGAAGTCATAATTGACAACAATCAATTTTAAATACCTCTTAAGATACGTAAAACCGAGAGAGAAAAGAAGGGGAACTTTTGCAAACTATTCTCATGAGGGGTGGGAGTGTGGTTGCGGAGAGAGGGTGTCGTGGCAGAGGCAGGTGGTCTAGGAACCACAGGATAAAAGGTTTTCCAGGTCTTCATAGACTTGGTTCACTTTAAAGTTTTTATAAATTCCCTTCATTAACTGACAAAAACAAAGTAATGCAGAAAAAATCAAAACGAGTTTTACAAATAAAAGTCACTAGCGATTAGTTAGTGTAATGGTTGAAAGCTCAAGCTCCACTGTCAGACTTGGGTTCAAATCTTGATTCTGCCATTGACTACAACATGATCTTGGTAGATACTTCCTTCTAGGTCCACAGATGGTCTCATCTATTAAATTATAAAAATAACTGGAAAAATAAACATATGGTGATTATGATGACTAAAAAAACAAGAAAATGTGTATCAAGTGCTTAGCATAATATTTAACATACAGTGGCACTTAACAAGTTCTATTATCAGTCCTACAATAAATAAACGAGAGGTGGTAATAAAAATGTAGGCTAAAGTACTACACTCTCCTGCAGTAAACAGGAATTTTAACAAAGTGAATGAATCATCATCCTTAGTTTTTAAAAAATTACCTATATCACATATTTGCATACAATACTAGAAAGACATTGTTGCTGTTGATTTTAACATAATGTTCTTTAATTGTACTATATTGCAGGGCTGTCAGATACTTTTGTGATGTTAAGTTTCAGTAGCAGTTGTTTGTTATCTAGGATGGTTCTTTTACAGGCACATTCAATCTTACCAATTAGTTCTCTAAAGGTAAGTTCCAATTTAATTTGTTCTGGGGTTGATCCTCCTATAAATTCAGTCTTAAATTCTAGATCTGTGAAGGCTAAATAAAGGATCTCCTTCTGAAGTGACTTCTTAAACCATGGTCCTCTTTCTTGATCAGATCGAAGATCAGGTATTGGGAAGCGAACAGAAAGGTTTAATGCTGGTGTGGCAACTTGTACTGATATCCGACAATTTGCAGGACTATGTGAATCATCTAGAAACACTTCAGTGAAAGCCTTGTGCTAAAACACAAAACATCAAAAATATGCCAAAATATTAAAGTAAATGAACATAAATTACACAGTATTCAACATTACAATATGTATAATCACTATCTCCCCATTTGGTATAATGCATTAAAAGTCAATTCAAATTAACCACTACCATATTAATTTAGTGTAAAAAAATTTTATAATGCAACAACTATTAGCAAAAGTGAAAACTATTGGCAAAAGTTAAACTCTGAAATAAAAAATTAAATTAAAAACTGAGCCAAAGTGAAGACAAAGGCACTATATATTAATATTTATCTTACTATAAATTTATAAAGAATACGGTGTAAATTAGCCTACCAACAAATTCAATACGGTTAAAAATCACTGTAGTGTCCAACATTCAGTTTGAAAGACTTTTCTACCAATATATGATTTTAAATACTCAATGTGAAATCAGATGAATTATGCCAAATACAATCGCTGACTCAACTTTGTACTTCTAAGATAAAACCCAGAGGCTGGCACATCACAGGTTCTAAATAAATATTCACTAAATGACGCACTCTGAGCTCCTATCCAATCCAAGGGTATGATCTCATCAAATGGTTCTATGAGACCAAGATATATGCACCATTTTACCCAAAGCCATCTTACAATAAAAGGGTCAAAGAACATCCCATTCAAATAGAAATCTATTTCTATTTTTTCTCTAAAATATATTGAAACTAAAAAAGCTTTATTCCACTCTACGTTGTAACACTCCTCAGTTTCTTCAATCAATTTCTAACCTCCATGATTTGAAAACTCCCTGCATATGCTAGACTTACAATTTTTGTGTTTGTTTTTTTCGAAACAGGTCTTGCTGTATCACCCAGGCTGGTCTCAAACTCCTGGGCTCAAGCAATCCTCCTGCTTCAGCCTCCTGAGTTGCTGGGACTATGGGTGCAAGCCACCACACCCATCCAGACTTGGATTTTTAACAAATCTATTCTAACTCTCCCCATTTGATTTGCTAATATTTAACCACCACTCTCAGGCAAAAATAACCCAACAGATTAAACCATCATCCAATTGCATATATAGTTACAGCTAATATACAGACTACCCCACAGAAACTAAAATAACTAGCAATTGATAACAATAACAAAGAATGCCCAGCCTGGGAAACATAGGGAGACAAAATATAAAAACTTAACCGGGTGTGGTGGCACATGCATGTAGCCCCAACTATTTGGGGGGCTGAGGTAGAAGGATCGCTTAAGCCAAGGGGGTCAAGACTGAAGTGAGCTGATACCGTATGACAGCACTGCGGTCTGGGCAACAGATGTCTGTCTCAATAATAATAATAATAATAATAATAATAATAATAAACAATGCTAATTTGATGTGAATACTCAATACTAAGAGAAAAGCAAAGAAGTAGAAAAATAAAATATCTTTTTCCTTTTCTTTTTAACTAAGGTTGTCTCCATCTGATCCTGGTCCTCTGGCCCCAAAATTCCTAACAGACTTCTTGCAAACTTGACTGATTTAATTTGCTTAGAAAAGACCCCAGGCACCAGATGCAAGTAAAAGTGATATAATGTGATGTTCAATAGATTATTTTCAAAAGTATATCCCATATTGTTTGGGCTTCATGTTTTAGGTAGTTCAAGTAACTTATCAAATGTATAAATAGATAAAATTTTATAAAGTCGTTATAATCACAGCTTATAAAAACTCTGATAGACATGAAAAGTAAAGGAAACCTAATTCCACTGTAATATAAACAATGCTACTGACTGGCATATTTCTCGCCATTCTTTTTCTATACATCAATTTTATTTACACAGGTGTGACAAGTTTATGTAAAGCAATATATTCTACTTTTTCATTTAATCCTTGATGAGCCTTCTTCATGTTGTTATACCATCTTCATAACCATCATTTTCTTTTTCTTTTTCTTGAGACAGAGTCTCGCTCTGTCACCCAAGCTGAAGTGCAGTGATGCGATCTAACTGCAACCTCCGCCTCCTGGGTTCAAGCTATTCTCATGCCTCAGCCTCCTGAGTAGCTGAGATTACAGGTGTGTGCCACCATGCCCAGTTAATTTTTGTATTTTTAGTAGAGACAGAGTTTCGCCATGTTGGCCAGGCTTGTCTCGAACTGGCCTCAAGTGATCCTCCCACCTCAGCCTCCTAAAGTGTTGGGATTACAGGTGTGAGCCGCCACGCCTGGCCATAACCATCATTTTAAATGACCACATAACATTTCATTCAGTGTGTCTCAAAAACTTATTTAGCTAGTCTACTATCAAGACATAAAAGATGTCTCCTTTTTTTATTATTACAAATAATGCTATTTTAATTATACTGTTTAATCTATTAAAAATACTTAAGTTCAGAAATTATCTCAATAACCCTATTAGCTAACCATAATTATGATTAGTATTTGCAGCTTTTGAATACTTACCAGACTAATATGTTTATTATATGAAGTATACATGTGGGATGCCATCATCTCTACTGTGGCAAGTTTCTGTGGTTGAAGCAAGGAATTTAACCTGTCCACAATACTGATATCCAGCTCACAACACACTGGATTTAATTTAATTTGCAATTCTGCCTTGTGAGGAACTGAACTAAGTCTTGCTTGATTACCCTTTTAAAAAAAAAAAAGAAAAGGCATTAATACAATCACTAAAAACTACTATATAATTGGGTTAAAACCTTATAATTGTGACAAAATATATATCAGATTAAAATTTACAGGTGGCAATTATAGAAAAAGATCTCTTACCTGGGGCCCTCTATTCTCAGAATGCTTATAATGAAGCTGAAGACACACAGGGGAATGGGAACCAGTTTCTTCTTTGGAATGGAACGTTAAAAGCTTAAAAGTAAAGATGAAGATAAATTAAATGTATTAATCACAAGAATTTACAGAGGTGCCCATACAATAATGAGAAAGGCTTTCTGAAGTCAGAAATCTGGTTTTAAGTTTCATTTTTGTCACTTACTAGCAATGTGAACCTTAGACAAGTTAGTTAACTCATGTGATATCTCATCTGTAAAATGTAGGCGAGGATTCAAATAAATTCATTTCCAAGAAAGTGTTTTTGAAATAAAACACTATAAAGGGTCAAAGTAACAGCAATGAACATAACTTTGACAGTTTTCTAAAGTTTCTTTAGGTCACACTTTTACATTAGGAAAAATATCAGAAAAATGGTGAATGAACACAAGACATTTAACTTGTCTTAAACAATGCTTAGCACACAGCAGGCATTCGATAATTATTTGTTCAATAATCAAATTCTTCTGAAATGAAGAGTGCTTTGAACATGAGTGAAATGAAGTCATTTCTCTCATAACCCACCTGTCACTCCTAAACAAGTCAACTCTAATTTAAAATTCTAACAGATCCTTATAACGATGTTGAGTGACATTCTTAAATATATTTCTATAGAACACAAGTGCAAAAAGAAAATGACAATATTCCTCCTATGGCTTTCTATACATTTTTAAAGAAAATCATTGCCTCATACAATCATTAAAAAGCAAGGTAGATTTAAAAAATAATCTTAAAGAAAAAGTATTCAATATTTACCTCTGTATAGTGAGGAGGAACAGAATGAAAATCAGTTGGAAATAGGCACTCCAAAAATTCCATTTGCCCAATGGACATATCAGTACTAAAATATCGGGAAGCTGATCTTTGTCTTTGTTCATAGGATACTTTAATGCCAGTACCTATAAATCTATTATAAAAAATGCACCATTTAAGATTATTAGTGTTAAAATGTAACAATTATCCACCTAGTCTGACAAGTTCAAGTTATCAATAATTAATACTCCTAAGGAAATTAACCAGAAAGATTGCTTCAAATTTCCCTTTCCTTAAGATAAAAAATCAGTTCTGTTGATGGGAAATTTTCCAGGATCTGTTTATTTCCCAACACTGCCCTTCGTCTTCCACATTTAAAAATTTACATTGCAAAGGCAAAATCTTTCAGATCTGTAAAATATATGAAATAGTCTCTTAAAATTATCTAAAAACATTATGCAATATTTCAAAAACTTTAGTCGGTGAAGCCCAAATGAGGTCTACCTATATTTTCTGCCGCTTTTGTTCTATTTTCCTACTGGCAGATGTTTGAAACTTTGTCAAAAATGGGAAAAAAAAAAAAAAAAGTCCAGGCACAGTGGCTCATGCCTGTAATCCCAGCACTTGAGGAGGACAAGGTGGGCGGATCACCTGAGGTCAGGACTTCGAGACCAGCCTGGCCAGTATGGTGAAACCCCATCTCTCTTAAAAATACAAGAAAAAAAAAGGGGGGTGGAAGAAAACAAAATGTTTTTACAGTTTGAGTATAAATACTATAATCCTAACCTGTAGAGTTTTTCTTGTATTAGGTGTAAAACTACTTTTCATATCAATTTTCATACTTTAAAAAAGTTAAAAAGATTAAATAAACGCCCAAAGTATTTTCTAAAAATACTAATATATGATATGTTTAAACCACCGTATAAGATGTCATTCAACAATTTATAGATCACTTTCACATTAAAATTGTAAAACAGAGTTTGCATGTTAACAATACTAAAGGCTGGGCGTGGTGGCTCACGCCTGTAATCCCAGCACTTTGGGAGACCGAGGCAGGTGGATCACTGGAGGGCAGGAGTTCGAGACCAGCCTGGCCAACATGGTGAAACCCCATCTCTACTAAAGATACAAAAACTAGCTGGGCATGGTGGCACATGCCTGTAATCTCAGCTACTCAGGAGGCTGAGGCTGCAGAATAGCTTGAACCTGAGAGGCAGAGGTTGCAGTGAGCCAAGATTGCGCCACTGCACTCCAGCCTGGACGATGGAGTGAGACTCTGTCTCAAAACAAAAAACAAAACAAAACAAAAAAACCAACTATATTACAAATTCAATTATCTCCTCATCTGTTAAGACTCAACCCATGAAAGGATCACTCACTGGCTATTTGGATAGCTTTGATTTTTCTTAAGCAGAAGTTGAAACGTAGCATCCAAGTTTCAGGATCAGCCTTGGTAATGTTTCCCACCCCATGGCCAGTGGCATATGGATCAGTTCCAATAGTATTATTTTATTTTTCATCACCACTGTCATCTCTGCTAATGCCAGTGACAATAAGAACTGTTTTCACGACTGCAGTGGTGTCAATAGGGATGAAGGCAAAATGTGGTTAAAGAAACTTGACAAGAGCTGGGCAGGGAACTAAAGAGATCACTTTGAAAACTCCTATTATCTAGATCTGTTATTCTGCATGCCAAATAACCTGAATGAAAGATTCTAAACACCTTTGCAGCACTGCAAGAAAACTTCACTCATTCCATTCATTTACAAATAAAATGTGAATTAGAAAAACAAATGCAGATAGGCAGATACAAAAGTCCACATGTGGTTCTTTTTCAAGGATCATTAGCATATGTGGAAGTTTAAAGGATCATTAATACATATGTGAGAGTTTACCTAAGGTGATCGTGTGAGCAAGCTTCTGCAAACACTGCTCGGAAAGACTTAAAATCTTCTGTTGAAAATCTTGCTGGATCAATCTTTTCTATACAAGTAAAGAAAGCTACTGCCATAGGTGTCAATGGATTAAGGTTCTGTGACGTTTCAGGTGGAGATAAAGGATCAATGTGAAGCACAGAGATTGAAAAAGTTCCCACAGCTAGTCTAAAAATAAGTTCAGGCCTTGATTCATCCACTGAAACAGATCTAGATGGGAGAGCTAAAATACAAGTATTAAAATTATATACATAAAATTTGACACATAAAACTATTAAAATTATAAAACATTTACTCATTTATTAGCTTTAAAAAACAGATGATCATACAACAGTTTGAATGATATTAAACAATTAATTTAAGTAAAATCAACTGCTATCTTGCTGCATCTTACATCCAAGATTTTTGTACTAAAGTACAAGAGTACGTGACAACAGTAAATGTACAAACCAAGCTTTTATATTAATAAAAACATACTGGAAAACTCAAGATTAACCAAAAACTGCTCACCAAATTTTCCTTTAAGCCTTGGGTCTATATCAATTAAATTTTGCAGAAAAGAAACCTGAGGTTCTCTTCCAAGGAAAATGTAAATAGTGAAACAAAAATCACATGATTGACTGAGGGTCCTGAACTGCAATAATAATATGAAACTTACAGTGTACTTTTAACTAAAAATATTTAAGTATTTAAATACACAAAGAATACAATAAATGAGCAACTATTCTAAAACACTTCACAGTGAATTGTTTAACAATGGTTCATTTTGCTTTCTGAACTTTGTAAATGGCCAAGACCAGAAAAAAAAAAAAAAGAAAGAAAAGCACCAGTAGAATGGCATTTTAAAAATTCCAGCGGAAACTAACAACAAATGTCTTATTTTTACTTACATGTCTTCTGTAAAGGTGTTGGGTGAACTAGGTTGGATGGAAATGTTGACCCTCTTACTGGCTGTTCTTTATGATGATCAAGGAACTCTCCCCAAGTGGGCTGAAGCTATAAAAGATTTTTTTTAAGCACATGAATGAAGTGTAGAATTTTAGAAGCAACTTTTCAGTCTAGAAGAAAAATTAAGTAATACTTTACCACAGTAGCACTTAATGGAGATCCTGCTGGGGTATTTGTATATGTACTAGTTAATGATAACTCAAGGTCCATGTTTGGGGGGTCCCCAAGGGGTGGAAGAGAAGAGAGACTATGAGACATGTCCATATCAGCCATGGAGAAGAATACTTCTTCTTCTAGAGAGAATTAAACTATGTCACTTGTATTATAATCCCACCAATTCAAGTCTTTTAAGTAAGTTAATATACGTTAATACAATCCTCTTCCTTCAGATTATATGAGATACAGCGATGCCCCAAATTTTATGTTACTTACAGTGGTGTAATTTATGAGTCCAAAATATTAATGGCATAGTAAAAACTCAATATAAATTAATAAAAAATGAAGCTACCCTACTGATGAACATGTTTTCTTTTGTTTTAAATATATAAATGTAGTATTACCTGGTATATTTTTAATGTGATATGCCAGTTTAGGAATTAAAATCAGATATTAAAATAGTATAAATATATTGCAACCTCTAGTTTCATCTGGATACAGTTATTTCTTTTATTCAGAGCCAAAAACATTATTTGGAATTCCATTTACATTTCAGTTCCTTCTTTCGGAATTGTTTTACTCTCATGCAAATGAAGTTTATTATGGCCAAAATTTTTTGAGTAGGGTTTGATTTCTTATTTTGTCCAACATTCCATACTTAAATTGATCCATATTATTTATGTTATTAGCATTTATACATTGTGAAACACCTATAAATGTAAAGTAAGCTGGGTAGAGATCATTATTTACATATAACTGATGGAAAGATCAATAAAGGAAAGTTTCCTTATTAAACTTTAGTAGTTCAGTAGTTTCTTAATCTAGAAATCATTACATGAGCACATAATAATTTGACAAAATATATAACTACCTAATTTAACTTTCACATAAATTTACATTTTTATAAATTGGTTTTCCTTAGACTAAATCATTTAGAAAACAAAACTACACAATCAAAATCAAAAAAATATACTATAGCACCTATGTGCTGGTGCATTACTGTAATGTTGTGATTAGATTAATCGTAAATTAAAAGTTGTGGATTTCTTACAATGTGGATCTTTTTGTTCTTTCATTCCTAAACTTCTGTTCACAGCAGCCAAAATTAAGTGTAATTTTATCTATGATTATAATATATGATTCTGGTGTCAACAGTTTGAGTTGCTTACCACGGCTAGAAGGTGTACGAGCTGTTTCTGTCTCATAAAAGCTTTGCTCTGAAGATACACCCACAGAGAGGGAATCTTTTCTCAAATAATACCGGTTTAATTCCATCTGAATTCGATACTCGTCTTCCTGCTGCATGGGTCGATTTTTCCTATCTTTATTAGCTAACCCTATTTTGCTAGAATTTTCTATAAGCATACAAAAGGAAACCAAAACAGTAATTAAATTTGGAGTTAATTAAGCATTTCTTTCCCAAAACCCATTTATGGAACAACAATGGCAACTTAACACCACAGTGCAAAACCACTGCTATTTAGTGAGTCAGAGCTCTAAGCAACAGCTTTAAGCAACTAGCCAGGAATCCCAAAATCTTATCGCTGATAGATAGAAGCCATTGAAAATATTTTAAAATGTGTACCACTTACTGTGTTCAAGAATTATACTTTCTCGATTGTATGAAGTACTATCCCCAACCAAAGAAGTCAGAACAATTTTAGAAAAGTTAAGAATGTGACACACATAATCTGAAGTGAATATGTCCCATGGTAACACATTCAAAACACCCAATCAAATTTTACTACTTAACATTCTTATTTGCTTCTTTCAATTCAGATATTCAAAAATAATAGACTTTCCTACATGTACATACATTACATATTTTAAAGTTTTTTAAAATTTAAAAAAGTAACAAGTATATATAATAACAGAATTATACTTGCCTGGTCCAGCAATAGCTGCCAACATATCCAAAAGCAAGTGCACCTGTCTTGGTGACAGGAGTAGATGAATAGAGTCTATCTGTCCATCAACATCCAACTTAAGGGAAAAAAAAAAACTATTCATGAGGAGTATTCTTTATAACCTTATCACCATAAACGTCAGTATATTTTAATGAACTGAGATGAATACTGAGTCTTTAGTCTTGGAGTCCTTCATCTGAGACTCTCTCTACTAATTCACACCATCTAAATGAAAAGACTTAAAGGCCACCAAACTGTTGTTCTAAAAGGAAAAACCCTCCTGAGAAATTCCATGCTGACGAGTCCAATGTTATACTTTTTGTCTCTTCAAGTCTTCTGAGTACTTAAAAGTATTTGAGGAGGACTTAAGACATAGTCTCCAAGGATGAATATTAAGGTAGCAATAGCACAGTATTCATTGACTTTCAAAAGACTGAAATCATAATCCTTAAAGTCTGATTCACATCAAGAACAAATAAAGTTGGCTTTCTTAAGTACACTACCAATCATACTCTAGCAGAGCATGTAAGGACCTTCTCCTCCAACACTGTGCCTTCCCAGTACCTACTGTGGTCCACAAAGCCCGCTCTGCATGCAAGGGGACGCCACTACAGAAACGTGGACAGAAGATGGTGCTTAGGTGGACTTCCTTTCTCTTTTCCAACTCTTTGCCCACTTTTCCATCTAGAAATAAAAGCTCCATCCCACTCTCTTGATGATTCCTGAATACTCTGACAAAAGCAATTACTTTATTCTCTATATTACATTCTAAAAAGCAGAATATCCCTGCCTTACTTTTCATTCGCCTCCTCTTAACACTGACTCCTATTATTTTTATGTCATTTTGCAACTGAAAAATAATAGAATTAACAAAACATTTATATCTAGAAAATGACTTCTTCCCAGGAGAAAAAGGGATTCCTTCTGATTCTAAAACAAAACAAACAAAAAATCAAATAAACTACATAATGATTGAGAAATTTCGATGACCTAAGAAATCCAGTAAAATAAATCATTATTATCACTTTTATTTTTAGCATTGGGGTACCATGCTAAGTGCTTTTATATATATTTCCTCTAATTCTTATTAATGTTCCTGTTTTATAGGTGAAGAAATGAGTTCACAAAGATTCAGTGAATTGCACAAGGCCCATGTAGCAGATCCAGAGCTGGATTTTCACCTAGGCTGACCTGGAGGAAAAGCCCTCACTCCTTCCACGGCATGGCTCCCTTGTTCTGCCCACAGACAACTTATTTTACGGGGCACCTTCCTGACTACTGACATCCCAAGCCATGAGCCAACCTAAGGCTGAGAGGAGAGAGAAAATGTGTTTCTAACTACATGCCAAATTTAAAAATTGTTTTATAATTTCACAATTGTTGTACTGAAAGCACAATCTCTGACTTTCATTAGAATGGCCAATCAAGAGTTTCATTTCTAATTCATTGAAATTAAAATTTTCATAGAAATATTTCATTATTTGTACATTCTAAGTTTGGCATAAAAAGAACAAAGTACTTACTACTTTCTTTTGAAAATATAAAAGAACATAACTAAAAAACAAATTTCAACTCAATGTAACATGGTAACTGAAACAAAACATCTCTAAATTCAATACGGGCAGTCTCCAATTTTCAATAAAATGCATTCCTAAAAACATAGGCTAAAACTGAATACATGAAACACAGACTTACACACTACTCAAGGGAATACTATTCAGAGAACTTAAAAAAAAAAAAAAAACATGAAATCTTTCATAACATTTTGAATCCACAGTTGAAAGAGTTAAGGCTAATGTACATCAGAAAGAGATTAAAGATCTGACATTTTCAGCACCCCTAATTAATGCCATCTTTATCTACACTATATTTTATGAGATCTATGTTTCTCAATACTAAAATCCAGAACTTGTCTTTTTCCATTTAGCATCATTTGCATTAAATAAAAACAAATTATACTCAAATACTCAAGTCATTACACAAAAATTACTCTATAGGCAAGGGTAGTACTTCTAAATATTAAATATTGGCTGGCACACAATGCCACTACGCAGTTTTTCCACATGTTCATTTGTCACTAATATACAGAACTCTAAAAGTAACATATATTTATACATTTGTACAAATGTATACATAATGTTTTATTATAAAAGACATTTGTACAAATCAACACATCATGTACAAAAGTTTGGGTTTACATAAATATAAAAGCATACAAATGTTGAGGACTACATATAATTAACCAAAACAGAACTATAAAAGTTATTGCTATGCTTCCTCCTTACAGACATGGCAAATGCATTCCCCAGAGACATAAACATATTATTAGTATAGTTTCCCAAGGATGTTACCACAGCAGAGGATTCCCTGTAGAGTTTACATAATCTTTTGACTACCTGTTCTGCTAACAATCCCAACATGTTACTTGTAAAGGGCCTTTTGACATTGTAAAAGGATTTTGCACCATCTGAAGAAGGACAGAGCAGTAAACAGAAGGGGCCTGAGTAATCAGTAATAGGAGTGTCTTCATTCTACTTTCCTCCTCCTCCAACTCTAGTCAGAGGTTCCAATCCAAGGAGGGATTTCCGGAGATTCTTCAATCCTCTGAAAAATCATTTTATGTATATTGACATGTACTTAGTGGCTCCCTCTTCTGTGTCCCCACAGCAATTTCCATACCCCTTACTGTATCTTTTACCAAGGCAAAGATTGTATCTGATTCATCTTTGCATCTGTCCGAAAAACTGGGACAGGTAAGTGGCTGGCATGTGGTAGTCACTTGAACATCTACAACTAGGGAGATCAGTAAATAAACAAATGAATAAATCCGGGTATCTTCTTAATTAAAACTACGTTTTATAGAGATTATGTAGAAAATTTGTTTTCAAGGTGTGAAAATAATGCTTGACAAATACATTTTTAACTAAGTAAATGCAAGTTTCCTGGTTCTCCATAAGACTGATCAATATGATTCCCTAAGAGGCAAATATAGTTGTATTTATACAGTGTCTTTATACAGTGTCAAAGCTATGAGAAGGAGAACCCTCATATGCTTTTGGTGGGAATGCAGATTAGTACAACCACTACAGAGAACAGTATGAAGGTTCCTCAGAAAACTAAAAAATATGTTTTTGTATGCTTTGTCAAAGATCAGTTAGTTGTATGCATTTGGTTTTATTTCTGGGTTCTCTATTCTGTTCCATTGGACTAAGTGCCTATTTTTATACCAGTACCATACTGTTTTGCTAACTACAGCCTTGTAGTATAATTTAAAGTCCAGTAATGTGATAACCCCAGATCTGTTTTTTGTTTAGTATTGTTTTGGCTGTGGTGGGCTCTTCTCTGGTTCCATATGAATTTTAGGGTTGTTTTTTCTAGTTCTGTGAAAAATGACGGTATTTTGATGGGAATTGCATTGAATATGTGGATTGTTGTGGGCAGTATGGTCATTTTCACAAAATGCATTATTTCCATCCATGAGTATGGGATGTGTTTCCATTTGTTTGTGCCATCTATTCTTTCAGCAGTGTTTTGCAGTTTTCCACTTGTAGAGAGATTCAGCTCCTTGGTTAAGTATATGCCTAGGTATTGTATTTTATTTTATTTTATTTTATTTGCAGCTATTGTAAAAGGGATTGAGCTCTTGATTTGATTCTTAGCTTGGTCACTGTTGGTGTATAGCACTGCTACTGATTCGTGTACGCTGATTTTGTAACCTAGGAGTTTACTGAATTCATTGATCAGATCTAGGAGCCTTTTTGATGAGTCTTCAGGGTTGTCTAGGTATATGACATAGCATAGGTGAACAGCTATAGTTAGACTTCCTCTTTTCCAATTTGGATGTCCTTTATTTCTTTCTCTTGCCTGATTGCCCTGGCTAGGACTTCCAGTACTATGTTGAATAGAAGTGGTGAAAGTGGGCATCCTTGTCTTGTTCCAGTTCTCAGGGGGAATGCTTTCAACTTTTCCCCATTCAGTATGATGTTGGTTGTAAGTTTGTTATATATGTCTTTTATTACACTTTGAGGTAAGTCCCTTCTGTGCCTATTTTGTTGAGAGTTTTTATCATAAAGGGATGCTGAATTTCATCAAATGCAAAACCATAAATTGGTTAAAACACCCCCTATTCAATAAATGATGCTGGGAAAACTGGCAAGCCACATGTGGAAGAAAGAACCTGGATCCTCATCTCTCACCCTATACAAGAATCAACTCAAGATGGACCAAAGATGTAAATATAAGACTTGAAACCATAAAAATTCTATAAGAAAACATTGGAAAAACTCTTCTGGACATTGGCTTAGGCAAAGAATTCATGACTAAGACCTCAGTGAATGCAACAAAAACAAAAATAAATGGGACCTGATTAAATTAAAAAGCTTCTGCTCAGCAAAAGAAATAACCAGCAGAGTAAATGGACAACCCACAGAGTAGGAGAAAATATTTGTAAACTATGCATCCAGCAAAGGACTAATATCCAGAATCTACAAGGAGTTCAAACAAATCGGCAAGAAAAAAATAATCCCATCAGAAAGTGAGCAAGGGACATGATTATATATTTCTCAAAGAAGATATTTAAACAGCCAACAACCATGAAAAAGTGTTCAACATCACTAATCATCAGGAAAATGCAAATTAAAAACACAATGAGATACCACCTTACTCCTGCAAGAATGGCCATAATTAAAAAGTCAAAAAACAATAGATGTTGGGATGGACATCGTAAAAAAGGAACACTTTTACACTGCTGGTAGGAATGTAAACTTGTACAACTATTATGGAAAGCAGTATGGAAATTCCTTAAAAAACTAAAAGTAGATCTACCATTCGACCCAGCAATTCCACAGTGTGTGTGTGTGTGTGTGTGTGTGTGTGTGTGTATACATATATACACACACATATATACACATATATACACAAACATATATATACACACATATATATGTATGTGGTGTATATACACACATGTGTATATATGTATGTGGTGCGTGTATATATATATGGTGTATATTTATGTGGTATACATACACACCACATACACATATACACCACATATATATACACCATATACAAATATATGTATATATATTTACACACAGTGAAATACCACTCAGCCATAAAAAGGAACAAAATAATGTCTTTTGCAGCAACTTGGATGGAACTGGAGGCCATTATTCTAAGTTAAGGAACTTAGGAATGGAAAACCAAATACCATATGTTCTCACTTATAAGTGGGAGCTAAGCTATGAGAATGCAAAACATACAGAGGTATATAATGGACTGTAGGGACTCAGGAGGAGGGGAGGTTAGGAAGGAGGTGAAGGATAAAAGACAACATACTGAGTATACCGTACACTGCTCAGGTGACAAGTACACTAAAATCTCAGAATTTACCACTAAAGAACTCATCTACGTAACCAAAAACCACCTGTATCCCAAAAACAACTGAAATTTTTGAAAAAAGAAAACAAAGGGACAACAACAAAAACTAAAAATAGAACTTCCATATGATTCAACAATTCCACATAAGGTATATACCCACAAGAAAGGAAAGCAATATACCAAAGAGATAGCTGCACTGCCATGTTTACAGCACACTATTCACATAGTGAATATATATGATATATATGAATATATGCTATATGTGATATGATATATATGAATATATGCTATATAGAATATATGATATATATGAATATATATATCATATATGATATATATGAATATATATATCATATATGATATATATTCACACACACGTATATATATTCACACACACATCTTTGTGTGTGTGTGTGTGTGTGTGTGTATTTATATATATGGACTCATCCTATATATGGACCCATATATGGACCAAAATATGGACTCATCCTACATATCCATCAACAGATGAATGGATAAAGAAAATGTGGTATATATGAACAATGGAATATTATTCAACCATAAAAAATAATGAAGTCCTGTCATTTGTAACAACATGAATGGAACTAGAAGCCATTATGTTAAGTGACATAAGCCAAGCACAAAAAGATAACGCATGTTCTCACTCATAGGCAGGAGCTAAAAAAGGGGATCTCATGAAGATTCCCCTACTCACGAAGAGTAGACTGATGGTTACCAGAGGCTGGGAACAGTGGGGAAATGAAGGGAAAAAGAATATAAATATACTGATTATCACTTAACTTACACTTAAAAATAGTAAAGGGTCCTGGTGAGGTGGCTCATGCCTATAATCCCAACACTTTGGGAGGCTGAGCAAGAAGGACTGCTTCAGCCCAGGAGTTCAAGACCAGCCTGGGCAACATAGTGAGACCCTGTCTCTACAAAAAACATAATACAAAAATTAGCCAGGCATGGTGGCATGTGCCTGTAGCCCCAGCTACTTGCGAGGCTGAGGCGGGAGGGTTGCTTGAGCCCAGGAAGTCGAGGCTGCAGTGAGCCAAGATCTTGTCACTGCACCCCTGCACCCCTGCCTGGGCAACAGAGGGAGACCCCATCTCGAAAAAAAAAAAAAAAAAGAATGAAAGATGATATATTATATAGGTTTATTTTATGTCAAAAAATTTTAAAGCTATGAGACAATGGAAAAAGTCTATCTCTTTTCACAAATATTATACAACTATATAAAAATGGTCATTCTGTTCAAAATAGATGGGTAGATATTTTTACATACATATAATTATAAAAACATCTTCTACAGATTTCTTGCTTGCCAAATCTCTTTTCCTTTAAACTTAATTTTATGAAAATAGAAAGAATTTTTTAAATAAATTCCTAGTTATCTGAACTAATGAAACCATGTTTAATACCAAAAAGAGAGGTTTGTCAGTTTCGAATTGTCGGAATACGGGAGAGTGAGTGTAGAAGGCAACTCTTTATAAAACTTGAGCTGCAACAGTAGGGCAAAGGCAGTCCTCACATAAATTTTGTGACCTAGGATAGAAGCATCAACTGAGAGTAAAAATGCTAACTCGGTGACAGCAGTACACTAGTTACAGGATAATCTGCAGTAATCAATCAGTGAATCACTGCATAGAATAAAGAATACTTGTACTTTTATTTTGGTTTTACTACAGAAAGTGAAACAAACACTGACCTTAGCTCCAGGAAGCACTTCATTCTGTTTCAACGTGAGACTCAACTCCAACCTACCAATTAACCGTCCAATCTGCACTGGGTCAGAAGGTGCTATCTCTGGTAAATTTCTAGTTAGCTGTGGGTGTGGCTCATAAATAATTTTGGGGTTCCAGCTAGGTGAGAGCTTTGGCTCAGTTTCCTACAATAAAGTGACAAAAATAATTATTTAAAATACTTTCATATAAATAAAATGAAATGTAAAATATAAATGTCAACTTAAGAAGAATAAAATATTTGACATGTAAAACTGTATGATGTTACAATGGACAAACCAGTATCGTATAGCTAAAATGAAACACAGTCCACTAAAATGTTAGCACAGTCCACTGGTAATAAAAGCAAGTCATGAAAAAGGACTTCATGAAAAAAAGCACAGTATCTGTTCAAGTTACAGCAGTAAGAAAACCTAATGGGCACTGTATAATTAAGAAAATCTGATTTGTAAAATAACAAAAAAGGCAAATTATACAGTGACTGACTTATAAAAGGACTCTCCTCTTGGAAGGGATTTAACAGAGTTCCTTAATTATAAAGCTTTTTAAAGAGATGATTTGTAGAATAAAATTTCATCAATACAGTCACTATGTAAGGTAAATTTGCACACTGCTTAATTTCCTCTGTTTTGATTGTAAAAAAAAAAAAAATTAGACGTTAATATAGGCTAAACATCTCTAAACCAAAAACCCAAAATCCAAAATGCTCCAAAATCCAAAACTTTTTTGAGTGCCAACATGACACTCCCACAAGGTCAGGAAAATACACCTGACCTCACGTGATGGGCTGCAGTCAAATATTTGTTTCATGCACAAAATTATTGAAAATATTGTATAAAATTACCTTCAGGCTATGTGTATAAGGCATATATGAAACATAAATGGGCCAGACGTGGTGGCTCACGCCTGTAATCTCAGCACTTTGGGAGGCTGAGGCAGGTGGATCGCCTGAGGTCAGGAGTTCGAGACCAGCCTGGCCAACGTTGCGAAACCCCGTCTCTACTAAAAATACAAAAATTAGCCGGGCATGGTAGCATGTGCCTGTAATCCCAGCTACTCAGGAGGCTGAGGCAGGAGAATCCCTTGAACCTGCGAGGTGGAGGTTGCAGTGAGTCGAGATTGCGCCACTGCACACCAGCCTGGGCGACAAGAGACTCTCTCCAAAAAAAAAAAAAAAACAAACATAAATGAGTTTTATGAGTTTTGTATTTACACTTGGGTCTCATCCCCAAGATACCTCATTATGTCTATAAAAATATTCAAAAATCTGAAACACAGTCCCAGCATTTTGAATAAGAGATACTCAACTTCTACACCATTTTCCCCCAAGATACAGTACCCAACATTTCTCTTTCAAACTAATACACAGCACACTGGTAGGAATATAAATATTAGTATTTTCAAATCTCTGAAACATATATTACCATTACTGAATATTTGCATTAAATCTCAAGACAGAGATTCATTAAGACATATTATACATCCTAGCAAAATTTAATAGCCCCCATTTAAACCTTTTAAAAAATCTATGATTATGGTTTTAGGGTTTTTGTTTTTTCTTACCACTGGTGCAGTTGAACACACTGGGGAAGATTTGGCTGATGCAGAAAACTCATCCCAGAAGAGAGACACTCCAGAGAGCTGAAGTAACTTGTGAGCAAAAGCAGTGGGTTGATGCACATTAATTCCTGAGGATTCGTCAGCAGTTTCATCACAGTACACAGTTCTGAAATTTTTTTAAAAAGCATTTACAAAAAGCTCCTAGGGGTGCAGCGCACCAGCATGGCACATGTATACATATGTAACTAACCTGCACATTGTGCACATGTACCCTAAAACTTAAAGTATAATAATAATAATAAATAAATAAATAAAATCTCCTAGGAAAACCTATTTACAATAAGAAACGCACATAGCTTTTTTAAGTTAAGGGGTTTTTTCAAGTGTTAGCACTTCTTAGAATATGCCTATAATATGGTCAGTCTCACCATGCTTTACTACCATAAATATTTTCATGAAGAGGTCTTAACTCCAAAAAGGTAACTTTATGAGGCTTAAATTGAGAGAAAAAAATTAATAACTCCCTTAAGTTAGTTTTAAGGAAAACAATTCCTGTACTCCCCCACAAAACATCTCTTGGTAACAGTGTGACAGCATTTGGCTCCAAGTCACAAATGACGTTTCTTGAATTCCTATATGTGACTAATTTTCAGTTTAAACAAAACACATAAGGTGGTTCTAAATGCATGAAATTTTAGATTTTTTTAAATCTACTATTTAAGGCAATGGACCCTTATTCCAAAGATCTGCTAACAATAACTGTTTTACTAATAGGTGTTTTGTGAAAGACAGAAATCTTAACACAGCTGCTTAAAATTCAGTAGAGACCCCCAGTAGATCCATGTACGAAGTGTCTCTGGTGCTCATGCAGTGTACACGCTTCATCCTGCTCATTTCTGTTGGCAGTTCATACAGCATTAACACACGGGTGACCAGTTACTGCCTCAAATCAATGCTTAGGTGTATGTATGTAAATTAACCTTGCTTTACAGCTATGTATAAGAGCTTCAAGTGGGCATATGCAAAAAACTAAAAGCAACGTACTTATATTTTTTTAAGTAAATATTGCACATATTAACCTTAAAATAATCCGTAGAGGATCCTCAAAACAGTGGCCTTAGCCTTTCTCACTAAAGCAGCACTTAGATTAAGCACAGCAAAACAAAAATGTCTTTCACGTTAATGAAATATGCCTAAATATTGCATTGTTAATATGAAAAAACTGAAACTTTCCCACAGGAAAGCCTTAAATTCAGTGGCACTCAAATGCTTATTATTCTGATCTGATATTAACTAAAACAGAATAACTTGCTTTAAATTCAACATGGTATTATATATAATTATACCCCAACTGGCACTTTCAAGTTTTCAATAAGGGAATTAGAATAATAAAATTAGCAAATAACTTGAAGAGCAGCACTTTACTCTGAAATTATGCAATATTTTCATATCATTAGCTCTAATCTCCAAAACCTCCCTGAAAATGTAATATCAGAGTTACAATAGGGTCATTTATTTTCAGACATAAGAATTCTTACCTTTCTATTCGAATTTCAAGTGCAGTTCCAGTTTTGGAATTTTCTGGCACATGTTCAATTCTCAAAACAGTATCTATAAAAGTGACTTTTACTCTTCTTAGTACTAAAGTAAACAAGTAATTGTCAACGTAAGAGACCACATATATGCTAAATAAAAACCTCCAAAGAAATAAATAAGTACTAGTTTGATAAGAACTTTTGTTTACAAAATAAAGAAGCTGAATTTCTTTCCATTAAAATCCTTAAATCCTGAGTTTTGTAATAAATATTTTGTCTTACTGAGCACTTAACCATGTTACATCTCAACAGATGCTTGGGACAACGACTAACACTATCTGTTATATTCTAATCCATTCACTATGCAAGCATAATAAATGGAGAAACTAAGGTACAAAAAAAAAAACAACATGCAATTAAATGGAATATTTAAAATACCTCAATTCTAAAGTTCTGAAGTGGGAACAGTAATTCTTTTAAAAATCCATTCCAATGGATTTGCCTTATACAAAGCTTATTACATGAAGGTACAAAACTACTAAATCAAATCTAAATTTTTGAAAATTCTCAGTAACACCAAACCTGTTTCAATGGTTTCAGCAAACTTTTCAAGTCCTTCAAAAGGCTGGGATCCTTCTCCTTGTTCATCTGTTAGTTTCTGGCTAAGACATTCTTTTGCCAATTGCATACTGCTGGTCATAAAACTTGACCAATACATAGGCTCAGAACCAGTTGCTGTGGAAAATATAAATTAATCCTAAATAATTTCTTAAGAGTTACAACAATGCCAGTTCTTAAAATAATACATTTCAAATAGACAAATTCTTAATCTTTTAAGAGATTTTTAACATCATGATGTTACCCAGGTAAACAATATTCTAGAAAGTACTCTTGAGATTTAAAATCACCTTATAATAACCAAGAAGGAAAAAAAGATCACAGAAAAAAGTCCAGAGAATGTGCTCTCACAACATGTTATATTTTACCAAATATCAATTCATGTATTCATTCAACAAATACTTAATGGATATCCTACAGATGCATGGAACTGTTCTAAATATTATAAGCAGGGGTTGACATACTTTTTTCTGTAAAGGGTCAGACAGTAAATATTTTATATTTTGTGGGCCATATGGTCTGTATCACAACTTCTCAACTCTCATATTATAGCACAAAACAGCCATTAAAGTAAATAAACAAATAAGCATGGCTGTGTTCCAATAAAACTTTATTAACAAAAACAGACGACAGGACCAATTTGGCCTGCAGGTTATAGTTTACTAACCCTGCTGTTGAAAGTAGAAAAAATAATAGTAAATTCTGCCCTCAGAGAACCTACTATATAGTTAAAGAAATAAGATACGATTAGTAGACAACTATTGAATGTCAACAGAAAACATTATGAAAGCTAAAAGAAGAGGTTAATTCTTCTTTAGTTAATTATTTCCTTCTAGCTGAGAAAATTAACAGGAAATGTGGCAGAAGTAGTAGATGATACAGGCTTTGGAAATTAGTATATATGTAGATAAAATAAAAGAGCATCCTTGGAGGAGGAAACATATGAGATGTGAAAAATCATTTCCAGATCTTCCCTCATGAGAAAATTCTCCCCACACCTCCCTACATTATTCAAAGCAAAGTGACAGAGATTGCAAGAATTACTGCCTTCCAAAATGGAATTTAAAAGTCTTTCTAATGGAATGCTTTAAAGAGAAAAATATTTGAAAGTTTGCCTTCCCATAGAAAAATATTATATCCACTCATCATAGTTAAAAGATAGAATATTCTTGTAAATTAAATGCCAGATTACTAAAGACGATTTCCATGCATGCATAATCGGTTTTCAAAATACAGAGTTTCACTTTAATTCTACTAAATATAATTTAAACTTTCATGTTTTGGGCAGTACTTGGGATTATAATTCTGTCATTGCATACCAACATACCTGTCACCTAGATTGTCAATTCTATCTAATTCTATCATTTTTTTCTCTATTTATAAGTAGCTATTCTGCTATAAAGAAGAGCATTCCTTCTCCCTGTCCACCTTACATACTGATTTATCTGTATCAGTATGGTCCTAGAGATTTTTTATTTCATGTGTTATAAACCATTATTGTCATCATTCTTTGTAATACTCAAATTTTCCCAAATATGGCCAAGGGAAGCCCCCTGACACTCAATCCTGTGTCCCTTTAACATTTTTCCAACAATCTTTGAGCATTCTTCTTTGCTTTCTGGCACAATACTTTTTGAATCTTTAAAACCCAAGTCTCATTTTAGATAACTGATAACAAATAATTAAATAAACCAAACAATCTGTATACTAAAGTTTCTGTGAAAAATCGGGGAAAGAAACAACTCTAAATTTGTAAACATGCACATTCTACAAAGAGCCAAGTCGTAATGTATTATCAACTGAAAATTTCACAAATACAAAGCAAAAATACTAAATTTAAGGTAATCAGGTTACTTTCCCAGTCTCTGAAGAATAAAAACACATAAAACAGAAACATACAACACACCAACCTGGGCGAGGTCTAGGCCGGAAGACCATTTCTAATCCTCTCACTTCCAGTGCACAATTATCCTGCAGTAAAGAGCCCCATGGAACTGACAGGGAAATTGACTGAATGAATCCTTCAGTGACTTCTAAGGGTGCATCTGCTGACTCCAAGATCTCATTGAGACACTAAGGAGAAAAAACAGGTTCATTATGAATCACAAGAACAAGAACACAAAGTTGTGAACTTATTCAAAGGTGTCAAATATGCCCACACATGTTAGGCACTAGGTATAAAGAAAGCAGAGACTTCCACAAGTACAGGCAATCAAAGCAAAAGTGGACAAATGCTTCTGCACAGCAAAGGACACAATTAACAAAGTGAAGGGATAACCCGCAGAATGGCAGAAAATATTTGCAAACTATCTATCTGACCCAGGATTACTAATCAGAACATATAAGGAGCTCAAACAACTCTACAGGAAAAAAATCTAATAATCCTACTAAGAAATGGGCAAATGATTTGAATAGACATTCCTCAAAAGAAGACATAAAATGGCAAACAGGCATGTGAAAAGGTGCTCAACATCACTGACCATCGGAGAAACACAAATGAAAACTACAATGAGATATCATCTCACTACAGTTAAAATGGCTTCTATCCAGAAGACAGGCAATTAACAAATGCTGGAGAGGATGTGGAGCAAAGGCAACCCTCATACACTGTTGGTGGAATTGTAAATTATTACACCCACTATGGAGAACAATTTGGAGGTTCCTCAAAAAAACTAAACATAGAACTACTATATGATTCGGCAATCCCACTGTTAGGTATAGCCCCCAAAAAAGGAAATCAGTTTATGGAAGAGATATCCACGCTCCCATGTTTACTGCAGCAATATTCACAATAGCCAAGATTTGGAAGCAACCTAAGTGTCCATTAACAGATGAATGGATAAAGAAAATGTGGTACATATACACAATGGAGTACTATTCAGCCATGAAAATGAATAAGATCCTGTCATTTGCAACAACATGAATGGAACTAGAGGTCATTATGTTATATGAAATAAGCCAGGCACAGAAAAACAAACTTTGCATGTTCTCACTTATCTATGGAAGCTAAAAATTAAAACAATTGAACTCATGGTGATAGCAGAAGGATGGTTACCAGAGGGTGGGAATGGTAGTAGGGTAGCAGGGATGGTTAATGGGTACAAAAATATAGTTAAAATGAATAAGCCCAAGGGCCAGGCATGGTGGCTCACACCTATAATCCCGGCACTTTGGGAGGCTGAGACGGGCAGATCTCTCGAGGTCAGCAGTTCGAGACCAGCCTGGCCAACATGGTGAAATCCCGTCTCTACTAAAATTACAAAAATTAGCCAGGCGTGGTAGGACGTGCCTGTAATCCCAGCTGCTTGGGAGGCTGAAACAAAAGAATCACTTGGACCCAGGAGGCGGAGGCTGCAGTGAGCCACTGCACTCCAGCCTGGGCGACAGGGGACTCCATCTCAAAAAAAAAAAAAAATGAGTAAGATCTAGTAATTAATAGTACAACAAGGTGGCTACAGTCAATAATTTATTGTACATTTTTAAATATCTAAAAGAGCACAACTGAATTATATGTAACACAAAGGATAAATGCTTGAGGTGATGCATACCCCTTTTACCCTGATGTAATTATTAGGCATTGTATGCCTGTGTCAAATATCTCACGTACCCCATTAATATATATACCTACTATGTACCCACAAAAATTAAAAGTTAAAAATTAAAAAGAAAGCAGAGACCAAGATAAAGATGATCTCGGTCCTCACTAAGCTTACAAGATAGTATACCATGAAAGAGACAAGTAATTAAAGTGTGATGATTATATACAGAGGAAACACACTGTGCTATTTGAACACATAATAGAACCTAACCTGCAGATTCAAGGCAGCCCACTTGAAGGAGTGCTATTTTAAGCTGGGACCAGAAGACCAGAAGGAGTTAATCAGGCAAAATGGTCCAGGCAAAAACAAAGCATGTGGAAGGATTCAAAGAAAGCAGAAGTCAAAGAAATACATGCAGGCATATTTGATACATCGCAGTATTTGAAAAAGAAAAGTTGCTTTAGGCTTCAGTGTGCCAGGGCGAAGACCCAGAGACAAGGCTATGTAGATAAAGAGGAGTAGGATCCAAAGAGCCTTGTAATGCATGTTAAAGCGTCTGAAATTTATCTTAAGGGTGATGTGAAGCCACTGAAGGGCTTTAAGCAAGGACGCCATGATGAGATTCAAACTTTGAGTGGGCCCCTTCAGTTGCCATGTACAGCATGAAGGGAAGATGCCAGCAGGAAGGCTGTTATGAGTAATAGAAGCTAGAGAGGCTGGTTTGGCACAGATAGCAACACTGAGGACAGTCACAAGTGGATAAATTTTTGTAACATATTTAGGAAGTAGAATGATTAATTGGCATCATGAGGGGTAAAAGAAAGAAAGAATTATGAATGACACTTAGGAGGCTGGCTTGGGCAATTGCTTAGATAGAGGTGTCATTTACTGAGATACAGAAACACAGGGAAGCAGGTTAGAGGGAAGATGAGAAGTTCACTTCCAAAGTACACATTTAAGGAGACATCTAGGTAGAGGTGCTAAGGAGGAAGCTGGAGCTTCCTCCAGCTAGAGCTCAGGAGAGCCATCTGGGTGGGAGATACAGATTAACATTACAAACACAGAGGGTAGGTCAGGTATGGTGACTCACGCCTTTAACTCCAACACTGGGAAGCCAAGGCGGGAGGATCTTGAGCTGAGCAGTTTGAGACCAGCCTGGGCAACACATCAAAACCCTGACTCTACAAGAAATTCAAAAATTAACCAGGTGTAGTGGCACATACCCGTAATCCCAGCTACTTGAGAAGCCGAGGTGGGAGGAATGCTTAAGCCCGGGAGGCAGAGGTTATAGTGAGCCAAGACTGTGCCCCTATACTCCAGTCTGAGCAACTTAGTAAGACCCTGTCTCAAAAAAATAATAAAATAATAAACAAATGGGTAACTGAAGCCACAGCACGAGGAGAGAAATGTTTGGGAACTTATACAGTGTAAAATGAGAGGTGGCTTAAGACAGAACTCATAGACACCAATATTTAAGAAAAGGGTTATGAAAGAGGAGCCTGCAGAAGAAACTAGAAAAAAGCAAACAGAGACATAGAAGGAAAATTGAAAGAGGTTCATGTCCCAGAAAATCATGGAAGAACAACATGACAGAGAAGAGTGGTCAAGCTCAACAAAAGCTAACAAGAAGTCAAAGATTTTTAAATGTCTACTGAAATCAGTAATATTTAAAGTACTAGTGATCCCATTAACTGCAATTTCAGTGGCATGGTGGAGCAAACCAGACTACAACAGGAGACAGACAGAAAGAACGTAAATGCGATTTTTAAAAGACAATTTACTTTTCAAATTAAAATAACATATTTATTAAACGCCAGCTTATATGTAAAGTGCTTCCTGCATGCTATATTGCATAGGGTAGTATAATTCTTTGTCTGTACCCTAGTGTTGAATAGTGAGACTTGATCGGCTCGTTTTATTTTTGGAGATCACTACTTTAAAAGGCTTTCTTCATGCTGACATTTGCATAATCCTAAAGACTTTCCCAGTAGTACATGGGCATGGATGGTTTTAAGGTATAAGCATCCAAACATATTCTTTCCTAAAATGGACTGAGAAGACTACAGACAGTGGTGGCATCATGCTGGGTCTCCTGTCCCATAGTTCCTTGTACAATCTTCCTTCTCCCATTTAGCCAAAATAGCCATATTCTTCCTCTCTTCAGAAATTCTCCCTTATGTACTGTCTAAGGTATAAAAACCTCCAGACAGGGCCAGCAGTACATTTTCTATCTTTTCCCATCTTATACTTTTTTTGGCATGACACTCAGAAATTCAAAGAACTCAGTGATGTTGCTCCTGCAAAATCTCTCAATTCTCATCTACTGATTTATAACATCAGTATTTCTCAAGCTTGTATCTACATTTTAATTTAGAATAAAATGTGTGCCGAGCCCTGCTGAATTCCAGCTATAAGTATATTCACCTATGGATGCACTAACAAATTAGGGAGGAGGGGATCACAACCAACCTCTATCATTAAGAAATTTATTTCCAGTAAAAGTTTTTATGTTTGCTGGGTACAGTGGCTCATGCCAGTAGTCCCAGCAATTTTGGAGACTGAGGCAGAAGGATTGCTTGAGTCCAGGAATTTGAGACCATCCTGGGAGACATGGTGAAACTCGTCTCTACAAAAAATACAAAAATTGGCCAGGCGCAGTGGCTCAAGCCTGTAATCTCAGCACTTTGGGAGGCTGAGGCAGGCAGATTGCCTGAGGTCAGGAGTTTGAGACCAGCCTGGCCAACATGGTGAAACCCTGTCTCTACTAAAAGTACAAGAATTAGCCAGGCATGGTGGCCCACGCCTTTAATCCCAGCTACTCGGGAGGCTGAGGTAGGAGAATCACTTGAACCCGGGAGGCGGAAGTTACCGTGAGCCGAAATCGCGCCACTGCACTCCAGCCTGGGCGGCAGAGCAAGACTCCGTCTCAAAAAAAAAAAAAAAAATTAGATGGCATGGTAGCCCGTGCCTGTAGTCCCAGCTCCTTGGCGGGCTAAGGTGGGGATAATCGCTTGATCCCAGGAGGTCAAGGCTGCGGTTGAGCTGTGATCACCCACTGCACCCAAGCCTGGGTGACACAGCAAGACCTTGTCTCAAAAAAAAAAAAAAGAAAAAAAAATTTTTATGCTTATCAAAATGCATAAATTTATACTGTTTTGATCAACTATACACTTAACAATAATTGTAATTACAACACAATCCAGAAGAAAAGTAACACTTAAAGCCCCATGATTATCTGAAGGAAATAAAGTTATGCATCACAGAAGGACATCTGGTCAATGACAGACCATGTATAGGATAGTGGTCCTGTAAGATTATAATGGAGCTGAAAAATTCCTATCACCTTAGTGACATCGCAGCCATCATAAGGCAATGTAGCACAACACATTACTCACATGTCTGTGGTGATGCTGGTGTAAATAAACCTCTTGCTCTGCCAGTCATAAGTCTAGCACAAACAGTTATACACAGTACATAATACTCGAGGGTGATAATAAACAACTATGCTACCGGCTTCTGTTTTAATACCTATACTATACAATTTAATCATTATTTTAGAGTATACTCCTACTTTAAAAAAAAAAAAGTTAACTGTAAAACAGGCTCAGGCAGTTCTTTCAGGAGGTACCCAGAAGAAGGCATTGTTATCATAGGAAAGGACAGCTCCATGCATGTTACTGTTCCTGAAGACCTTCCAGTGGAACAAGATGTGGAGGTAGAAGGTGGTGACATTGATGATCCTTACCCTGTGTAGGCCTAGGCTGTGTTTTTTTGCGTCTTAGTTTTTGACAAAAAAGTTTAAAAATTAAAAAAAAAAATTAAAAATACAAAAAAATGCTTATAGCATAAGAATATAAAGAAAAAGTATTTTTGCATAGCTGTACAATGTGTGTTTAAGCTAAATGTTATTACAAAAGAAACAAAAAGTTCAAAAATTTTTTTAAAGTTTATAAAGTTACTGTAACCTCAGGTTAACTTATTATTGAAAAAAAAAAGATGTCTTTATTAATATAGTCTAGCCGAAGTGTACAGTGTTTATTCTAGCCGAAGTGTACAGTGTTTATAAAGTCTACAGTAGTGGACAGTGATGTCCTAGGCCTTCACATTCACTCACTGACTCACTCAGAGGAATTTCTAGTCCTGCAAGCTCCATTCATGGTAAGTGCCCCATACAGCCATATCAATTTTTATCTTTTTAAAATTTTTATTTTTTATATTTTATGCCATATTTGTACATACCTTTTCTATGTTTAGATACACAAATACCATTGTGTCACAGTTGCCTACAGTATTCAGTAACATGCTGTGCAGGTGTATAGCCTAGGAGCAATAGGCTGTACCCTATAGCCTAGGTATACAGTAGGCTATACCACTGGGTTTAGGCAAGTACACTATGACGTTCACACAACAAAACTGCCTAATGACCCATTTCTCAGAACATATCCCTGTCGTTAAGCAACACATGACTGTACTGATAAAATGAATATAGTAAGCCCTAGAGCAACCACTAAGAAACAATTTAAAAATACATACTGGGCTGGGCATGGTGGCTCCCACCTGTAATCCTAGCACTTTGAGAGGCCAAGGTGGGCAGATTGCCTGAGCTCAGGAGTTCAAGACCAGCCTAGGCAGCATGGTAAAACCCTGTCTCTACTAAAAACCCAAAAAATTAGCCAGGCATGGTGACATGGGCCTGTAGTCTCAGCTACTCGGGAGGCTGAGGTACGAGAATCGCTGGAACCTGGGAGGCTGAGGTTGCAGAGAGCCGAGATTGTGCCACTGCATTCCAGCCAGGGCGAAACAGTGAGAATCTGTCTCAAAAAAATTTCATATTTTATATATATATATATATAAATCATTAAAGGAATTAAAATGTTACACTAGAAAATATTTGCTTAATGCAAAAGAAAGCCTAATGCCAACAGAAAAAATTTAATATAAACAATTTCAATTTATATGTTTTTATTGTAGAGAAATGGCAGCATGATCAATAAAAGACAAGCATAAACTATATAAATTACAATGGAATCTTGCAAAGTAAAATGGACACAGGAGTTCAATGGAAAAAGACACGATGTTAAATTTCCAACTTTAATGAAGAGATTGTTCAAGCATTTTTTAACGGATAATGTGTACGATTTTTAAATCCCACTGGATGAAAAAAGTTATATTTTAATATCAATATTTAAACAAGTTATTCTCTACAACTATTTAAAATTATAATAAAAAGTAAGTCAATTTTAAACATACAAGGAATATGTAGTTTTTTAAAAAAAATTTCAGAGATAATTGAGCAAACATGGTTAAAGACCACTCCTTCATTTATTTTTTCCAACTTTTAAGTTCAGGGATACATGTGTAGTACATCCAGGTTTGTTACATACGTAAATGTGTCCCATGGTGGTTTGCTGCACAGATCATCCCATCACTTAGTATTAAGCCCAGTATCCATTAGCTATTCTTCCTGATGCTCTCACTCCTCACCCTCTGACAGGCCACAGTGGGTGTTGTTCCCACCATGTGTCCATGTGTTCTCATCATTCAGCTCCCACTTGAGAACATGCAGTATTTGGTTTTCTGTTCCTGCATCAGTCTGCCAAGGATAACGGCTTCCAGCTCCATCCACGTGCCTGCAAAGGACATGATCTCATTCCTTTTTATGGCTGCATAGTAGTCCACTGTGTGTATGTATACTTTCTTTATCCAGTCTATCACTGATGGGCATTTGGGTTGATTCCGTGTCTTTGCTATTGTCAACAGTACTGCAATGAACATAAGCGTGCATATATCTTTATAATAGAACAATTTATATTCCTTTGGGTATATACCCAGTAATGAGGTTGCTAGGTCAAATGGTATTTCTGCCTCTAGGTCTCTGAGGAATCGCCACACTGTCTTCCATAATGGTTAAACTAATTTACACTCCCATCAACAGTGTAAAAGCATTCCTTTTTCTCCACAATCTCACCAGCCCGTGTGTTTTGTTTTTGTTGTTATTGTTGTTGTTTTACTTTTTAATAATAGCCATTTTGAGTGGTGCGAGATGGTATCTCATTGTGGTTTTGATTTGCATTTCTCTAATGACAGTGATGTTGAGCTTTTTTTTCCACATTTGTTGGTCACATGTATGTTGTCTTTTCAGAAGTGTCTGTTCACATCCTTTGCCCACTTTTTAATGGGGTTGTTTTTTTCTTGTAAATTTGTTAAGTTCCTTACAGATGCTGAATTTTAGACCTTTGTCAGACGGATAGCTTGCAAAAATTTTCTCCCATTCTGTAGGCTGTCTGTTCATTCTGATGACAGTTTCTTTTGCTGTGCAGAAGCTCTTTAATTAGATAACCATTTCTCAGTTTTTGCTTTTGTTGCAATTGCTTTTTGCTTCTTCATCATGAAATCTTTGCCCATGCCTATGTCCTGAATGGTACTGCCTAGATTTTCTTTTAGGGTTTTTATAGCTTGGGGTTTTATAATTAAGTCTTTAATTCATCTTGAGCTGATTTTTGTATATGGTGTAAGGAAGGGGTCCAGTTTCAATTTTCTGCATAGGGCTAGCCAGTTCTCCCAGCACCATCAGGGAATCCTTTCCGCATTGCTTGTTTGTGTCAGGTTTGTCAAAGATCAGATAGTTGCAGGTGTGAGAAGCCCACTCCTTTAAAACAGCATATGTTCAGGTTACTTACTAGCTAGCTGGGTGGCTCTGAACAAATCCTTAATTTCCAAGTCTCAATTTCCTGGTCCATAAAATAGAAATAGTAACTCCACAGAGTTACTGTGACCATTAATGAGGTAATATATGTAAAACTACCAACATATTAATAGTTCCTGGTACTAAGCAAACACTTTTTAAATGCGGGCCATTGGTCTTTATCTTTCACAGTACCTACCTAGTACAATGATGAGCTCTATAAAGGAACTCAAGGTGTGCTTGACAATATGAAAAAAAAGCAAACATTAAATTATATATTTCTTCTTAATACGTAATTCCATAGATTAACTAGGCAAAGAATACATCTTTATTAGTTTAAACCAAGGCATCAGAATTCAAATCGAGATAAGACAGAGCATAAAAACGCGCATGAGCTGGCTGAGGGCGGTGGCTCACACCTGTAATCCCAGCACTTTGAGAGGCAGAGGCGGGGGAACACAAGATCAGGGGATGGAGACCATCCTGGCTAACATGGTGAAACCCCGTCTCTACTAAAGATACAAAAAAATTTGCCAGGCGTCGGGGTGGGAGCCTGTAGTCCCAGCTACTCGGGAGGCTGAGGCAGAAGAATGGCATAAACCCGGGAGGCGGAGCTTGCAGTGAGCTGAGATCACGCCACTGCACTCCAACCTGGGTGACAGAGCAAGAATGCGGCTCAAAAAAAAAAAAAAAAGTGCATGAGCTAATTTAGATTAACATTTCATCAGCACCTACTACAAACAGGACACTAGAGTGTACTATTTTATACCTACATTTACACCTGCATTAAATCTTCATAATAACCCTCCGAATTAGGTATTTTTGTGCCTACTTTACAAATATGGCAATTGAGGATCAGAAAAACTAAGTAACTTGCAAAAGGTCTTCAATTAATCACTGCGGAAACCCACAAAAAAGAGAAATGTATTTTCACATGGAAGATTTTGCAGGAGGCTAAGCAAAATCATGTGTTAACATATCATAATTTTTTTTAACGTAGTACTGGTTTGGGGGCTGGCTCATAGAACAAGCTTTTAAAACGCAATGGAAAAACTCTCCATTCCTTTAGTGCAAGTATTTTTAAAAATGCAGTCAAGGATCACATGTATCAGAATCTCCTAGGATGTTTATTAAAAATGCAGATTCTTGAATTTCTAGAGCCAAAATCTGTATGGAAGGGGCCAGAAGCCTGAATGTTAGCAAATTCCCAGGTGAACCCAGTGCTGTTATGTCTGAGAAGCTCAAGTTTCTTGAATCTGGGGCAGTGTGGTGTACAAAAAAAAAATATAAAGTCAGAAAGACAGGTTTCAAACCTTGCTGCACTGTTTAATACTAAGCTTGAGTAAGTTATTTAACCTCACAGTAAACAGAAAGTTAGTACCCAATTTAGAGTAAAATAATGTATGTAAAAGCACCCACACAGTACAGTATATAGAGATGGAAGGTATTTAATAAATGATCATTATTATTTTCAAAAGTAAACTAAAACCCCTAACCTTGCTCCATGTTCCCCCTAGCCATCAACCCCATTTTCTCTGTCAAGGTAGTTATCTGCTCAAACTGCAAACTACAAGCGACCTTCTAACCCTCAGCTCCTCTGAAACTGCTTGTAACCACCATTAAAATGACAAATGCAATAAACAATATTTAGTCCTCATCTTTATTGAATTCTCATCTCTACCTAGTTCCTAGGACCACTCACCTTTTTTGAAATTCTAACTTCCCTTGACTTCTGTAACACTTCACTCTCTCAATCTTTTTTCTGATCCTTTACAATTTAAAATGTTGGAGTTCATCTAAGTTTCATCTTCGGCCTTTTTTGTTTCTCAAGCTGATCTACTTACTACCCACGCACTTTGTGCAGTTCCATCTCCTGCCACTGTTATTCACTATTGATACTCTGATAACTCCCATATCTTTACAACTGCAATCTTCCTATACGTATATTCCCAGTGCCTCCTGAGCTTCTCTACCTGGATCTAAAGCCCCCACATTCTAAAGCCCCCTCAAAAATCAATATAGTAAAACTTATTCTCTGTCCAATCTCAATCTCCTCCTCCCACTCCCAACTCCAGACAGTGGAGAAAACCTGCTCCTTCTCTAGAATTTCCTATTTCACCATCAACTAGGTACCACAAGTTACGGTCATCAAGGTTCTTCCCTCTACTTGTGTTTTTCAGATTTTTTCATAGTTTTTTTTTTTTAAGAATGTTTGACACATTCCATTAAAAAAATGGCCCATCATAAAAGACTTCAAAAGGTAAGTAGAACTGCTTGCTTCATGTATTAAGTATTTCCACAACTAAAAGTTTGAAACTTTTGTACCATATTGTTATCTCTGGAAGAGATGGGATTAAGCTCTATTACTTCATACCTCATATATTTCTTTACTGTTTGAATTTTTTGTAATGAGCATATATTAATTGTATAGTAAAAATGAACTATTAAAAACCTAACAGTGTTTAAAACATATGGAGGCAATGACTTAGCTTCTGCAAACTGTCAACCTTAGACAACTATGAGAGAAACGGGACTTGATGGAACTCTCTTCTCAGTAAACACCAAGTTTTCGTCCCAATTTTGTGGCAGAGAAGTTGAAATAAAGTTAAACCTCTAAATACAAAAAGGTTTATTACAGCAGTGAAGAGTAATATTAAAGGGGCCTGGTACGGTGGCTCATGCCTGTAATTCCAGAAACTGGGGGGGGCTGAGGTGGGAGGATCACTTGAGCCCAGGAGGTCAAGATCAGCCTGGGCAACATAGTGAAATCCGGTCTCTACAAAAATTAAAAGAAATTAACTGGGTGTGGTGGTGTACATCAGTAGTCCCCACCTACTCAGGAGGCTGGATTGGAGGATCGCTTGAACCCATGAGTTTGAGGCTGCAGTGAGCTGATCACACCACTGTACTCCAGCCTAGGTAACAGAGACTGTCTCTAAAGAAAGAAAAGGAAAAAAAGAAAAAAACTGATAAATGTTAACAGTTTTGGAGAGTCAACAGTTCCAGAATTTACATTGCACCACTAAGCTACAAAATAATTTCCCTAAGTATAAGATGTTTAAATAGGTTATATTTATGCCCAGTCTTATAACCACTTGAGCAAAATCCCATATATCTTGTAGCATAAGGTACCTTGAAATTCAGTCATTCTGGGAAAATCCAAGGCTACTATAGTATATGAGTAGTAAAAATTCTCAACCTACTTGGCTCAAGCAACATTTTCCACACCAGTCCTATGAAGTGTTTCCTCACCAGTCCTATCAAGTATTTTTTTTTTTTTAGTCACCACTATGCTAACGAGAAAATAACTCTTAAACTAAAAGTGGAGACACCTGAACTACTCAGCAAATAAATGCCCCACCATAGAGTCCTTTAGAGCTTTTTATTCTTCTGTTTAAGGGTATTTTGCTTTCAATTATCATCAATGAGTTTCACGCATATAAACAGAAAAAGTGAAGGTAACACTCTAGTCTCCAGGTGACCTTTGACAAATAATCAGTAATCAATGTTTCTTGAACTGAAGATAATTTTATTAAACACCAAGAGAATATAAGCAGCAATCGAAACATTCTTAAACTGAAGTTAAAAGGCCTCAGTGGCCAGGCGTGGTGGCTCACGTCTGTAATCCCAGCACTTTGGGAGGCCGACATGGGCAGACTGCTTGAGTCCAGGAGTTCAAGACCAGCCTGGGCAACATGGCGAAATCCCGTCTCTACAAAAAATACAAAAAGTAGCCAGGTGTGGTGGCATGCACCTGTAGTCCCAGCTACTGCAGGGAGGGGAGGAGAGGTAGGAGGATCGCTTGAGCCTAGCAGGTTGAGGCTGCAGTAAGCCTAGATCACGCCACTGCACTCCAGTCTGGGTGACAGAGTGAGACCCTGTCTCAAAAAAAAAATAAAATAAAAGGCCTCAGTGTAATAAATTGTTAATGTGTATCTTCTTGAGCTCCTGTAAGAAAAGGGTCTTTGTTTAGTTCACTGCTATATCCCCCAGCCCCTCACAGTGGCACATGCTAAGAGCTCAATAAATGTACTGAATCGATTAATGAAAGAAATTCCATTTAAAAATCAAAAATAAAGGCACAGTCATAGAGTTAAAAAGGAATGAGTCATTAAATCCAACTTCCCACCCCAAATAGAATTTCCTCCTTTCAACATTTTGCCATTTCAACCACTTCTAGGGACAAGGAGTTTATGAAATTTTTAGACAGTCTATTCCAATGATGGAACAATCCCAAACCCCTTGCCTCTATTTCTCCCTCCACTTCATGCCACGTTTAAGGTAGTAATCTCCAAAACTGGATGCATATATCCTAAAGTATTATCAGATGATTCATAAGGATGTGAGAGGAAAATGAGACATTCTATATTAAATTTTCCAAATTTAGATTGAAAAGTTGTACTTATATTTAATATACAAATGGGCACTGGCACCTTCCTTCAAGCCACATATCAAACTGGTACAAAGAGAAAACTAGTAGTTCCACAACAGAGAAGGATTAAGAGTGGTGCCCTCAGTTGGATGTTCCTTCCACTTCTGCACACTGAAACATTTCCACATACATTCTATAGAATAAAACCAGACCTTTAAACAGTAGAATCTTTGTAAAGAGAAAGTGAATGGCAATTACCTTCTGGTTTCCTGGTTTCTCCTATGGCCAAGTGTTTAAGGGTTGGATTTAAAGATAAGCATTTTCCTTTTACACAGAGAAGAATTCTCCACTGACTATTTATGTATTTATGACAATGACTATCAGTAGTACATGCTACCTAGCAGATATTTTCCAAAAAACAAAACATACTTAATCTGTCTTTTCAAAATAAAGATAGCACTTTAATAATGAGTAAGAAAGCAACCACTTTTCAAAGACTACTTGTACTATGAGGAGAACATTTGAAAAACTGTATTTGGAAATGTTTCCATTGTTCCATGATTTTGTTGCTGAAAACAATGTCTATTAAAAACATTGCTTATTTTTTAAGTCATTATCTATATAGTTTACAAAATGTTTAAAAACATGAAAAGACTATTCCAACCAATCTAAGTCTTCTGAACAAAGAGCTTGAAAAACTGAATTTTAAACCTAATTGTGTGTATATATGCAATGTCAATTAGCCATAATAGAAAAACTAATTGAGATCAGGAATGAAAGGAATGTCATTGCTGAGTTCAACAAAATTCTTTGCATAATTGATCATTTAGAATTGAAACAGTAGGAGTACAGCAATTCTTCAATTAGCATCAGTTTTTCCATTAGGATCTGTGAATCTCCGAAGGTACCTTTTTTTCAGTCATGTAAGTCATTAAAATCAAGTATCTGGCTGGGTCCTATGGCTCATGCCTGTAATCTGAGCACTTGGGAGGCAGAAGTGGGAGGACCACTTGAAACCAGGAGTTCAAGACCAGCTTTGGCAACAAAGCAAGAGAATGAATCCTCTACCAAAAAAAAAAAAAAAAAAAAATCAAGTGTGAAAATAAACTGAATTTGGAATCAGAACTCTGAACAGCTGTATCTAAGGGTCACACTAAGATTTATCCTAACCATCAACACAGCACATGAAAATAAATCAGCAACAGCAAATGTTTACTGGATGCTTTGACATTATCATTTTAGTTTACAAAACCCGCCCATCAAGAACAAAACATCATCCTCAGATTAAGTTTAGTAATAAATCATTTTGCCAATGATTCTGAACTCAAACTATAAAATTCAAATATCACTACCTCTGATTTCCCATAAGGACTAAATAAAACCTCACAAATGAAAGTGCCTAGTACAATGCCTGACATAAATACATACTCAATAAACATTAACTGCCTTTCTTTTGATCTTAGGCCATGTGATGTAATACTTGCTAGATGTGTGATGGGGCAAACTGCTTAACTCCATCTGTAAAATGGAAATATTAATGCCCACCTTATAGGGTTAAAGTCATTAAAGGATAATGCATACAAAGCCCTTCCACCCACAAAAGGCATTAATAAATCCTGAACCCTCTTTTTTCAAGATAACCTATTCATAACTGTATCAAAAGTATAGAATCATGGGTTGTTGAATTCAAAAATATCCTTCAGAATCCCTATCTTTTGGAAGAATTACAGGAATACAATACCATAAGACGGACGACACAGAGATGAAGTGTGTGCTCCATTAGTGTTTACTGAACTCAGGTGAATTGCTAAGTCCATTATCACTCGGCTAATTGTGGCGGTCTGGAGAGTCTCTCCAGGGGTAGGACTCTCACCTCCTGGTGAGCGACTGGGTCTTACTGCTCTCAAACCAGGGCTCTTTCCACTATCTTGTGTCCTCTCCCTAGTTTATGTCAGGTACATACTGATAAAATTATATACTGATTTATAGTCTCTAGCACAAATTCGCTTAAGGGTCATAATAAGGTATTTCCATAATTTAAGATTTTCTGTGGCTAAGGAAGTAAGGGTTGGGCAAAGGGTAGAAGTCACTCTATTCCTGTCAAACCCAAAAGTGAATATACTTTAAGTAAAATGCTATGCATTGAACACACAAATGCAGGTACGACTGCATGTGGTGAGTCGAAATTCAGATGAAGCACCTGTATAGCAATGAGTGAATTCACAGCCTCTAGATGACAAGTAGAAGGCAGGTTTTAAAATGTCTGAAAATTGCAACTTCAGCGCTTTTGCAACACCTGCTTTTACGATCTGTCACGTGGAGCAAAGAGGCATAACTCAACAGCACTACTAGGGCCAGACGACCATTCACAGGCTGGATACACAAACCTATCTTGTAAACATATAATCAAGCAAAAGCAGGCAAACCGGCACAAGAGGCCTTCACCTAACTTTCTTCCAGATGGCAAACGCTGCACGATGACAAACAAGGCAAACATGGTGCGCAAGCAGCCAACCCAAAACAAATAACTAGGGATTCTGACATCCAAAGGTCCTCTTCATCCTTAATCCTTCCAGAATGTCATCCCACAAGGCAGGGTTTGTTTGCCACAAAACCCTGCGGCCCCTCACATCCCGAGGGACAGTTCTGGTCACCTCCTCCCACGGACCTATTGAGCCTGCTTCACAGACCCCCGAAGCACTGACTCAATTATTCCCACAGTGTAGATTCCATTACATCTGTTAAAGTTTCCGGAACACGTGATTTAGGAGAGCAAACTTGTTAGAAACAGATTAAACAACACTCTAACACATTTCTCTGAGCCGTGTCACACTCGGGTCCAAACAATTCCCAAGGAGGGACTGACTGTCACCAATCTTGGATGGCACTGGTTCAAAGCGCCCTAAAGAGGGGAGCGAGCCCCGCCCGGCTCGCCGCCGGCAGCTCTTACCCATTTGTCCAAGGGGACCTGGGCGAGGGACCCGGTGCCTTGGTACAGGTCCAGGCTGAGCTGCTCCAGGCTCAGCTTCTCCTGCAGAAAGTGGCCCAGGTACCTCTGCAGGAGGTACCGGCAGGCCCTCTTCTTGATGGACTCCGAAAACGGCCAAGGCATAGTGACTGCTGGCAGCTGGGCTGACTGCGGCTGCGGGTTGCGACGGCTCCGGCCTCGGGGTAGCGACTCCGGCTCCAGGCCGCGGCGGGGCCTAAGCCTGGGGCGGCCCCTCCATCCCTATTTGGTGCCGGGAGTCCCTCAGGGAGACCCCATCGCCGGCGCCGCACCGCTCGCGCTGGGCCTGGCGGAGGCAAGACGCAGAGGGGTCCTCCTGGCCCCAGGCCAGGGGACTTCCGAGGAGGGTCCCAACCGGCTCGGAGAGAGTGCAAGAGAGCGCGAGAGGAGGCGGCAGGGGCTGAGGCAGCCACCGCCACTGCCGCCGCGCGACGAATTTGTTGTCATCCGCGAGGCGCGTTCCCGGCTGTAGGGACGCTCCTGGCGCGTTCACGAGACCCAGACTCCCGGCGCGCCGCCGGGCGCTGGCGGAAGTGACGCCACACTGGGGCCGCGGAAGGCGGGCAGAAGGGCGGGGGCTGGAGCAGTTCCGGCTCCGAGGGGGCGGGGCGGAAGAAGGCGGGGAGGGAGGGGGCGGCACCGCCGGTCGGCTCCAGTCGCCTCCGGAGGAAGGAAGAAGAGGACGCCGGGCGCGCAGGTGAGCGGCAGCCGGGGTGGCTGCGGGCGAGGGGCGGCCCCCGAGAAGGGCTAGGGGCTCGGGGCGCCGGCGGGCCGTCAGGCCTTCCGGATGGGGACGCGACGCCATGCAGCTGGCTGGGCCGAGAGGGGCGGCAGGCTGCAGGGGCCCCGCGCCCGTGTTAAGAGGGGTCTGGGGGCCGGTCTGGCCGGCCTGGCTCTCCCGGCTCCCCTCAGACCTCGGCGCCCCGGAAACGCACACTTGGGGCTCCGCCGTCTCCGCTGGGAGGACTGGAGCCCTTCTCGAGCATCCCCGCCCGCACCCGAGCATTGACCGGTGCCCATTGTCAGCAAGTTCTTCGGCCCCCGCCTCATTCAGGTATTGTTTCTGAGGCAGCTTCTTCGTTGCCGTTTGCCTGGCGGTTTGCAGAGCGCTTCTCGCATACGCTCGCTTAATCCTGGGTGTGTCATAGCAACGATCAGGAAACTTGGGTTTTCGAAGCATCTGTGGGCAAAACTGCATTCCTTGAGAAATGCTAAAGGCTCCTGACCCCGCCGGAACCTGGGTGAAGAACTTGGGCTGTTCTGGCAGTCTGCGCAATCGTATTTCTGCCTTTTGGGAGGTAACTCCTGCAGAGGCGGAGCCGGCTGTTAAGTTAAGTCAACCTCGAAAGGCCTGGGTGCGGGTGTTCTATGGCCCAGAAGCCAGATGTCCTTCGTTAGAATCCCGGCACTGACACCTATTAGCCGCCCAGCCACTTTGAGCGGCCACTGCCCTCCCCGAGCCCACGTTGCCTCCTTTGCCGAGTGTGAGCGGATTAAAATCTTATGTGCATGGATTTGTTGGGAAGATTAAATGATATGAGTAGGGCACGAACCTGAACAGAGTCCTGAAACATACAGCTGTTTAATCACAGTGAATTAAGACGACCAGTTTAAGGAGTGAAATGTTTACTGTCTCGGCAACTTTCATGAATGCCTTGGAAATACAGCCCAAAATATTGGTAGATGGAGAAACATCTGGTTCCCCTTTCCACAACCACCTTTTCGTTTTAGAACCAGGGTACTTTGTATGCAGTTGCTTGGATTGTTGATTTCCCTCATTCTTTGTAGACTCATCTCAAGTATTCTCAGTAACTTAGATTCCCTTGCTCTTCATTCAGAAATATTTGTTAAGGTCCATTAAATGAAAGTCACCACAGTTGATCATGTGAACAGTGTCAAGAATCAGGCCGAACCTTCAAGGAGTTTATGTTCTAAAACGGAAGCATGGTGGTACCTGCTTGTGGAGGCTGAGGCGGAAGGATCGCTTGAGCCCAGGACTTTGAGGCTGCATAATTGCATTGACGCTATCCATAGAGTGCCTGCAATTTCAAATATCAGAAAGGATCGTACGAGCTATGATCATGCCACTGCACTCCAGCCTGAACCACAGAGCAAGACCCTTTCTCTCAATAAAGTGGAAGTTTGTTCATTTATTCAGTAAATATTTATTGATTGCCTTCTGTGTGCCAAGCACTGTTCTAGGTACTGGGATTACAGCAGTGAACAGATAAATCTCTTCCTTCCTGGAACTTACATTTTATTGAAGGGAGGAGACATACAATAAATGAGTGAATAATATGCTTTGTGGTGATAAGGGCTGTTGGAAAAACGAAAGCAATGTAAAGGGAGTGGAGATGGGGAAGAGAGAAGGGACTTGCCATTTTTATATGAGATGGTAAGAGAAATTCTCTTGTTTAATAAGATTACATTTTAGCAGAAACTTGGAGAAAGCTGGGAAGTGAGGCACATGTATACCTGGAAGAGTTGTTTTCCATGCAAGGGGAACAGCAAGTGCAACGCCCTGTCACGGGAGAATGCTTGATGAATTTAGGGAACATCAAGAGTGAGTGAAGGAAAAAGTAGAAGCTGGGCAGTTTGGGGGTGGGGGGTGGGGCGGGCGGGGCGCAGAGGAAGCACATCATGTAGGGCCTCGTAGGCCATTGATAAGAACTTTGGAGCCGGGCACAGTGGCTCACTCCTGTAATCCCAGAACTTTTGGGAGGCCGAGGTGGGCGGATCACTTGAGGTCAGGAGTTCAAGACTAGCATGGCCAACATGGTGAAACCCTGTCTTTACCAAAAATATATAAAAAATCAGTCAGGTGTGATGGCGTGCACCTGTAATCCCAGCTACTTGGGAGGCTGAGGCAGGAGAATTGCTTGAACCCGAGAGGCGGAGGTTGCAGTGAGCCGAGATTGTGCCACTGCACTCCAGCCTGGGCAACAGAGTGAGACTCTATCTTAAAAAAATAAAAAGAACTTTGGCCTTTACTCTGGGTGAGGTGGATTTAGGAGAGGAGTGACACAGTATGGCCTAAGTTTCTATGGGATCATGCTAACTGCTGTTAAGAATAGTCTGGTGTGGAAGTGGGAGGGCCAGAGTGAAAACAGCAGAACCAGTTAGAAGGATATCACCGTAATGCAAGGAAAAGATGACAGTGGTTTGGACCAAAGCGGTAGCGGTGAAAATGATTAGTTAGAAGCAGTTGGATTCTGGATATATTTTGAAGATAAGACATGTTTGTAAATAATAATTCTAATATTTGCCATAAAAGGAATACAAACAAGGTGGTATGAAAAGGCAAAGGTGGGATCTTGCAAGAAATTAGAATAGGCTTTGGAAGGTTTGAAATAGACTTCTGACAAATAGATACAATTTGGACTTCTTTCAGCAGTTATTAAATAAGTGGTTTCCTTTTTCAATATAGAATTGCATTCGGGCTATCCATAGAGTGCCTGCAATTTCAAATATCAGAAAGGAAAATTAAAACGACGGTTTTGCAATAACAAATATGCTCTATTCAGAGTATTGTGTGTTGCCTTGTAAACTTTATGCTTTCTAGGAGAAATTCAGTATAAATGTTAAGGTTTAGGACCTGTCATTATGATATCTTTGGCTACAGTAGGGTACAAACTCATCTCAAATCACAGTGCCATTTTTGTGTTTTGTCAAAGACAAAGTACCTGTCACAAAATGTTAACACCTTGCATTAATTAAGGAAGATGAAAATAATTACCCTGGCCAGGTGTGGTGACGTGCCCCTGTAATCCCAGCACTTTGGAAGGCCAAGGCCGGAAGGATCACCTGAGACCAGGAGTTTGAAACCAGCCTTGGTGCCAGAGCAAGACCCTATTTCAAAAAATAATAATAAATTTTAAAAAAGAAAATAATTACCCAACCGAATATTGTCAGCTTATTAAGAATTATGTAAAAGTTTGAAGTGACAGGTGAGAGGCTGTATGCCAGAGGCTAAATGGGTCATGTCAAAATAATCCTCCTTCAGAGAAATCTGTTAACATGGGAAATGAAAGAAAAGCCAAGGAGATGTATTTGACCTTTTTTAATGACTTGCACCTGAGGTAACAGGACGACGCTGTCAGGGCTCCACACCTCACGGCTCTTGGAGGAATTGTACAACACAGCAGCAGCCAATCCCCCACATAATGTAAAGAGCACCTAACTTGGAGCCACATGGCTTGAGCTTCAGGGTCAGGCTTTCTTCTTGAAAGATAGTGTTAAATACTTTTAATATAATAGATTATATTTTTTCAGCTGTTTGCCCAGCACAGTTCTAAGCACTTTCCATGTATTCATTCATTTAGTTCTCTCAATATCACTTAAAGGTAGATGCTATTTTAACATCATTTTAAAGAGGAGGAATGTGTGACTGAGAAAGATTAAAACATCTTTTTCCAAGTCCCAGAGTAAATTAAGTGGCCAAGCTAAAATTCTAGCCCCAGTCAGTCTGCTTGAGAGCCTGTTAACCATCACATCTTCCTGGCCCCTTGTTCATATTGAGAGGATTTACCAGGTTGTAGTGTGTGATACAAATAAAGGTAATCATGATTAAGATATCGTATCCTGCCCTCAGCTGACTGTTAACAATGTCAACTGAAAGGTCAGACTTTCAAAGTGAAAATTTGCACTCCATATGTTCTTGAAATCTTTCTGGGGCTGTTCTTTTGTCAGACTAAGTATATATGACTGTCTTTGCCCATTTTTTTGTCATCAAGGATAAAGCTCTTTGATGCTCTGAACTCGTAATGAAACAAAATAGTCTAATAAATTAGGAAGTAAAGAATAAACGATTTAGTAATCAATGTCATAATAACCAGTTGGATGAATCCTCCAAAAACACAAACACCCGAACACCGCCCAAAAATTATGGAGAAAGAGCTGGTTCCTAAATAATTTATGTATGATGTTTTAAGGAATCATTTATGGAAACTTTACATCAGGTGATACAACCTACCAGAATAAATAATAGCAATTGTCAAGTATTCCAATTTTTGTCTCTTTGCTAGAAACAGAATATTGCTCAGGATCTGGTAGAGAACCAATTTGGAGTTTAAATGGAAAGCAGTGAGGTTTTCTATTTTATGTCTCTGTAGATATTGATTTATGTTTGTTAGAATGTACTTTAAATATAGTGCCAAGTAATACTTATTTCCTAGAGGATTATATAGAAATAAGAAACTGTAATAACTGGAATTTTTTTTTTTTTTTACATTCCATTTTTGAGTGTCTTTTCCTAGAGTCTCATTTACAGTTTCTGGTTTCGAAGGAAAGGTTTACAAGGTTGTATTGCTACTCTTTTTTTTTTTTTTTTGAGACAGAGTCTCACTTTGTCACTCAGACTGGAGTGCAGTGGCACGATAGCTCATTGTAGCCTCAACCTCCCAGGTTCAACCGATCCTCCTACCTCAGCCCCTAAGTAGCTGGGACTACAGGCTTGTGCCACTAATTTTTGTATTTTTTTGTAGAGACAGGGTTTCACCATGTTGCCCATGCTGGTCTCGAACTCCTGGACTCAAGCAATCCACCCACCTTGGCCTCCCAAAGTGCTGGGATTACAGGCATGAGCCACAGCACCCAGCCAGTGTTGCTGCTTATTTACAGTTTGTAAAAACTCAAATTAACCCTGTGTATTTCTTTCTTCTGAGTTCCCTCCTTAATCAACAAAAGCACTGCTGTGGTTTGGATATGGTTTGGCCCCACCAAGCCTCATGTTGAAATTTGATCCCTGGTGTTAGAGGTGAATCCTGGTGGGAGGTGTTTGGATCATGGGGGTGGATCCCTCATGAATGGCTTTCTCTCTGTATCTCTCTGTATATCTGTCTCCCTCCCTCTCCCCTACTCCCTCTTTCTCTCTCACTTCCCCTCCCTCCCTCCTTCCTTCCTTCACCATGTGATCTGCATATCCCAGCTCCCCTTCTGTCATGAGTGGAAACATCTAAGGCAGAAAATTGGTACTGAGAGTGGGGTGTTGATATAAAGAGACTTGAAAATGCGGAAGCAGCTTTAGAACTGGGTAATGGGCAGAGGTTGAAAGAGCTTGAAGGGCTCAGAAAACAGGAAGATGAAAGAATGTTTGGAACTTCTTAGAGATTGGTTAAATGGTTGTGACCAAAATGCTGATAGAAATATAGACAGTAAAGGCTATGCTGAGGAGAGCTCAGATGGAAATGAGGATCTTATTGGGAATTGGAGCAAACATCACCCTTGTTACACTGTAGCGAAGAACTTGGCTGCATTGCCTCCATACCCTAGGGCTTTGTGGAAGGCCCAACTTGAGTGATGACCTAGAGTATCTGGTAGAAGAAATGTCTAAGCAGCAAAGGGTTCAAGAAGTGGCGTGGCTGCTTTTAACAGCTTACAATTAAATATGGGAGGAAAGGAATGACCTAAAGTTGGAATTTAAAAGGAAAGCAGAGCATAAAAATATGGGAAAATATGCAGCCTGGCCTTGTGTTAAAGAAGGAAAGAGCATTTTCAGGAGAAGAATCCAGTTAGTTCAGATAAAAGGGAGCCAGGTGCTAATAGCCAAGACAATGGGGAAAAGGCCCTCAAGGTATTTCAGAAATCTCCTAGGCTGTCCCTCTCATCACAAGTCTAGAAGACAAGAATGGTTTCCACAGTCAAAGCCATGGGCGCAACTGTCCTGTGCCACCTTGGAATGCTGCTCCCTGCATCCTGGTTGCTCCAGCTCCAGTTCTGTTTCAAAGGGCTCCAGGTACTCAGCTCAGGCTGTAAGCTGTATGTCTTTGCAGCTTCTATGTGTTGTTAGGACTTTGGGGCACAGAATGCAAAAGTGGCAGAGGCTTGGCAGCTTCCACCTAGATTTTAGATTTTAGATTTTAGATTTTAGAGGATGTATCAGAAGGCCTAGGTGTCACAGAAAGACTCTGCTAGGACATTGCCAAGCAGAAATGTGGTGTTGGAGCCCCGATGGAGAGTCTCCACTGGGGTATTGCCTAGTAGAACAGGGATGCCATGGGGACCACAGAATTGCACAGCCACTGGCAGTGTGCACCCTCATCCTGGAAAAGCCTCAGGCATTTGACTCCAACTCATGAGAGCAGCCACATGAGCTGTACCCAGCAGAGTCATAGGGATGAGACTGCCCAAAGCCTTGGGAGCCCACCCCTCATACTGCTGTGCCAGGATGCAGGACATGCTAAAAGGAGATTTTGGAACTTGAAGGTTTAATGTCTGCCCTGATGGGCTTTAGATTCTCATGGAGTATCTTACCCTTTTCTCTTGGCCAATTTCTCCCTTTGGAAAACAGCATTTATCCAATGACTTTTCCGTCATTGTGTATCTTGGAAGTAAATAACTTGGTTTTTTACTTCACAAGCTTATAGCTGCAAGGAACTTGCCTTGAGTCTCATAAGAATTTGGACTTTTGAGTTGGTGCTAGAACAAGTTAAGACTTGGGGACTATTGGGATAGAATGGTTGTATTTTGAATGTGAGAAGGACACTAGATTTGAGAAGCGAGGAGTGGAAGGCTATGGTTTGGATATGGTTCGTTTGGCCCCATCAAGTCTCTTGTCAAAATATGATCCCCACTATTGGAGATGGGACGTGGTGAGAGCTGTTTGGGTCAGGGAGTTGGGGCGGGGTAGGGTTGGGGGGCCAGTTTGAGGTGGGAGAGGTGTGGATCTCTCATGAATGGCCCGGTGTCTTTCTCCCAGGAATGAGTGAGTTTTCACTCTCAGTTTCTGACAGAACTGGTTGTTGAAAAGAGCCTGGATCTCCTGCTTTCTATCTACCTACCTACCTATCTGTCTATCTCCCCCACCTCCACCCTTTCTGACTGTGTGATCTTCACACACTGGCTCCCCTTCCACCACGAGCGGAAGCAGCTGGAGGCCATTGCAAATGCCGGCACTGTGCTTTGTGTACAGCCTGTGGAACGATGAGCCAAATAAACCTCTTTTCTTTAGAAATTACCCAGCCTCACATATTTCTTTACAGCAATACATAGAGACTAAGATAAGCACAATTCTGTTGTCTAGATTTATAATTACAAGAATATAAATATGTCTGTGTTATTGCTGAAAATGGGGTGCAGAATAATTTTATAAACCAGAGTATAAATGGGAAAATAGCCATTCTTACTTGAATTACAAATACTTTATATTTGTGATACTACACATGATTCTGAATTAAAATGTTTTATTTCAAAACAAATACATCTGTAAGCTATTGAAAACAGATTAAATGTTATGTGTTACAGAAAACAAAGGTTAAATTGAGTTTTAGCTTTGCCTAAATTCTAAATCTTGCTGATAATAATTAATAAACTTTATTCATCTTTACTTTCAAAACAGTTGTTGGAAATGCAGATAAATTCAGAACTCTTGTTTTATTTGTAACTGATGCTACCAGTTATTTTAAGTGTCTGAATAATAACCTGACTTCTCTAAGAAAAAGATTTCTGCTTCCTACACCCTATACTTTCCAAAAGACTGCAATTTTTAAATTGTTTTTTCTTATTGAAAACATAATCATTTTCTTTTCACCATAGGAAAATTAGAATATTAAAAAATTAAAGCTATCAACAATCTTTTTTTTTTTTTTTTTTTTGAGACAGAGTCTCACTCTGTCACCCAGGCTGGAGTACACTGGTGCAATCTCAGCTCACTGCAGCCTCTGCCTCTCGGGTTCAAGAGATTCTCCCGCCTCAGCCTCCCCAGTAGCTGGGATTATAGGCACGTGCCACCACACCTGGCTAATTTTTTTCTATTTTTAGTAGAGATGGGGTTTCGCCATGTTGGCCAGACTGGTCACAAACTCCTGACCTTGAGTGATCCACCTGCCTCAGCCTCCCAAAGTGTTGGGATTACAGGTGTGGGCCACCACACCCAGCCAAAACTATCAACAATTAATTTTTAACAAAGAGCAATAGCATAACTGAAGTGGAAAGAGTTGCAAAAACTTAGAGAAGGCCTAACTCAGCCCTAACCTTGTATCCTTTTACCAGCTCCTGCCTCTGCTTGTTAACTTTATACTGCCAGACACGGTGCCTGAAATTTTCATCTTGTTGAATTAAGTCCTTGGGTTAGGGCTATACTTCTAAAACGTATTTTTCATGCCAATATTCCTCACTCGAATGTACCTTTTAGAGGCAAAGGAAACCCTAGACGCGTAGGGGTATAATCTAAAGAGGATGTGGCTTGAGACATCCAAACATTTGTGTACTTTTTCATTAAAATTCTAGGCAGTTCTGTAATATTTCCTGATATTGATATAGTAACAGTGATATGTATTTTCCAAGAATATCTGCCATGTTTGTCCTGAGTCTTTGTATACTCCTTGTCACAGAGCCGAGTATCACACCTGAGAAGCAGAGAGTTAGAATTTTCTCTGTTTTATTCATTCAGGAAATATTCAATGAAGTCCTGCTTTATGCCAGACACTGTGCTGGTGATGTGTATATCACAGGCTCCCATCTTCATGGGTCTGTAGTAGTACAGACACAAAAATTATTTGCCATGAGGCTTAAGTACAGCAGTACCAAAGCAGAGATGCTGTTCAGGAAGATACAGTGATTGGCCATCTTGAGAGCAGATACACAATCCTGAAATAGGTTTGTCTGAGCTGAATTTTAGAGGACTAAAAGTCTTCAAAGTCGTGTTAAAATAAAATTTTTTAAGTTAAAAACATGGATCTCATAAAACATATGGTGAGCATGTGTCAAAATGCATTTAATTCATTAATGAAACAAACAACAAGATGGTAAAAGTTGGTTCAGAGTAGTATAGGTGATCCCTGAGAAGCATCATACAAATATGGTGAGCCTGTTGCCCTATTGTATTGCCTAGAGCCAGGCATGGCACTGGAAAGAAAAATCCAGGTAAAGCCTGATGGTCTCCCTGAATTGAGGACATAGAGCTGGAAACCCAAGAAGGCCAAGGCAGCTAGGACAGAGTACTAGAAAGTAAATAGCTTCACAGAAAGCAAGGACTGTGAGGATATAGGAAGGGTCTCCCTCCAGCCTGTAGCTGAATACTAATTCATGAGTTCACTGCCCTAGGCTGGGGAAAGAACTACCAAAAAGAATGAGAGGAGGGGCCAGGTGCTGTGGCTCACGCCTGTAATCCCAACACTTGGGAGGCTGAGGTGGGTGGATCACTTGAGGTCAAGAGTTTGAGACCAGCCTAACCAACATGATGAAACCCCGTCTATACTAAAAATACAAAGATTAGCCAGGCACGGTGGTGGCCACTTGTAATCCCAGCTACTCAGGAGGCTGAGGCAGGAGAATGGCATGAACCCAGAAGGCCCGGATTGCAGTGAACTGAGATAGCACCACTATACTCCAGCCTGGGTGACAGAGCGAGACTCTGTCTCAAAAAAAAAAAAAAAAAAAAAAAGAAAGGAGGATACTCAGTTTGGGACTTTCTGAAGCAGAGGTGATATGAAAATTATACATCTCCTCATTTCTTTGGAGACTAAGTTGCTGGATCTTCATCTTTATTGGATAATATCAAATCATTTTCCAAAGTGTTGTGCCAGTTTACACTCCCACTCAGTGTCTAAATGTTCTGTGTTCTGCATCCTCAATAATACTTGATTTAGAAAATTTTTTATGCATAGACTCAAAAAGGAAAATGTCTTACTGATCTGCAAGATGTTAAATGTTACCTCATTTTAATTATTTCTATAATTTCTAACTGTGAGTGTATTTTCATGTGTTTAATAATCATTTCTGTTCTTCCATTAAAAAAAAAAAAGAATTACAGGAAACAGTTTTCTGAGCTAAAGCAGGACTAGGGATAATTCCCATTCTTATCACACAGAATAGAAACCCTCGTAATTCATAGGGCATTGGGTAGAGTACTCAGAAAGGTTTTGCCTCTGTAATGGGACAGAATTAACTAGAGATTAAACGCAGATCTTGTCTAAAAGCAAGACCCAGAAAGATCAAGCTGTTTCCAGATAACTACCTCCCAGGACAATGCTCAACAATATTTATTACTTTTTAAATTTTTTCTCACCATGCGTCTAACCAAATGAATTCAATAATATTTAAAATAATATAAAAACATTCAGCACCACATTCACAATGTCTGGCATCCAGTCAGAAAAGACCAGGCATGCAGAGCAGCAGAATATAACCTACAATTGAGAAGAAAAATCTGTCCGTTGAGAGTAACCCAGAAATAATACTTGAAATTAGTAGGCAGGACATTATAACACTTATTATGGCTGTATTTTATATGTTCAAAAAGCTAGAAAAAAGATTGAGCAAATTAAGCAAAGACATGGAAAATATGTTTAAAAGATTAAAAGACACAAATAGAATAGATACTGAAGAAAAGACTAACAAACTTGAAGACATATCAATAAACAATTCAAAATGAAACAGTGAAAAAAATAAATACAGCAATGAGGAACAGGACACCTTCACTTGGACTAATATACATAAAATTAGAGTCCCCAAAGAGGATAGGGACACATAAATGTTTGAAGAAATAATGGCCAGAAATTTTCCAAATTTGTTGAAAACTCTAAACCTACAGATTCCAGAATCTCAATGAAACCTAAGGAAAAGAAGCATGAAAAAACTACACCAAGAGGAACAAAGATAACAATCACATCAAATGTTTCATGGGAAACAAGACAAGCAAGGTGTGATAGTCGAGAAACATCTTTTTAATTTTTTTATTTTAGAGACACAGGCTCTTACTATTTTGCCCAGGCTGGTCATGAACTGAGCTCAAGCAGTTCTTCCACCTTAGACTCCCAAATAGCCGGGACTGCAGGTGTATGCTACTGCATCCAAGAAACATATTTAAAGACTTGAAAGAAAAAAAAACTGCCAACCTAGGATTCTCTACCCAGCAAAAACATCTTTCACAAATGAAGATGAAAAGGAGACTAGTTCAGACATAGGAAAGTTGAAAGGATTCATCAACAGCAGACCTACACTACAGGAAATGTTGAAAGAAGTTATTCAGGCAGAAGGAAAATGATACAGATAATACATGTAGATATAGATCAGTACAAATGAAGGAGCACAAAAAATGGTAATTATATATTACATATAAAAAGACTTATCTAATCTCTCTGAAAAATAATTGACTCTTTAAAGCAAGAATAATAACATTATGATGAAGTTTATAATTTATGTAGAAGTAAAATATGTGACAAAAATAGCAAATGCTATATAGTAGTGTTTTGTAAAGTTCATATACATGAAGTAGTATAGTATTAATTGGAGGTACATTGTGATAAAGATGTATACTATAAGCTTTAAAGCAACCACCAAAAACACAACAAAAAATATCGTTAATAAGAACCAAAAGATATAAAATAGAATCCTAAAAAGTGGTTAATTCAAAAGCAAGGAGGAAAATAAGGAAAAGGGAGTAAAGTACAGATGGGACTAAAAGCAAAGAAATAGCAAGACAGCAAATTCACACTCAACTATATCAATAATTACAGTAATCAAATGTAAGTGGTCTGAACACCCTTAGTCCATTTTCAGTTGCTTATAACAGAATACCTGAAACTCGAAAATTTATAAAGAAAAGAAATTTATTTCTTTTTCTCTCTTTTTTTTTTTTTTTGAGACAGCGTCTCACTCTGTTGCCCCGGCTAGAGTACAGTGGCGCAATCTCGGCTCACTGCAACCTCCGCCTCCCAGGTTCAAGCGATTCTCCTGCCTCAGCCTCCCGAGTAGCTGGGACTACAGGCATGCACCACCACGCCTGGCTAATTTTTGTATTTATAGTAGAGATGGGGTTTCACCATATTGGCCAGGCTGGTCTCGAACTCCTGACCTCGTGATCCACCCACCTCATTCTCCCAAAGTGCTGGGATAACAGGCGTGAGCCACCACGCCCGGCTTGAAATTTATTTCTTATAGTAATGGAGGCTGAGAAGTCCAAGGTAGAGGGGTCACATTTGGAGAGGGCCTTCTTGGCGGTGGGGACTCTGCAGAGTCCTGAGGTGGCACAGGGTATCACATGGTGAGGGGGCTGAATGTGCTGGCTCACATCTTTCCCCCTCTTCTTACAGAGCCACCAGTTCCACTTGCATGATAACCCATTAAACTATTAATCCATAAATGGATTAATCCACTCTTTGGGTAGAGCACTCATGACCCAGTCACCTCTTAAGGCTTCACTTTTTGGTGCTGCCACGTTGCATTGGAAATTGAATTTCAACATGAGTTTTGGAGGGGACAAGTATTCATACTAATAGCACACCCCAATTAAAAGAGGTTGCCAGATGGATGAAAAAGCAGGACCACACTACATACTGCCAGTAAGAAACCCATATTAAATAAAAAGATATTTGTATTTCCATTCCGAAGACCTTAAAACAGCCTATTATATCAAAATCAAATTCCTCTCTCTAGGTGTCAGCATGCTGTCAGATTGGGCCATCCCTGCATATCCTTGTATTTTAGCCCGACTAGTTCCTGCCACACCCTGTGCTGACCTTTGCTTATGCTTTGTTCCCTACACAGAATTTTTCACAACTCTCAAGACCTTTTTGCTTATTTATAACTCTTTATTCATGCTCATTCCAAACCAATTTTGACTGACCTGTACCCTTAGTCAAGCCCCATCATAACTAACCATTACGTCATAGATTATAGAATGTCAAAGCTCTTAGAACAGTAAAGAATTTTCTGCCTATTTACCTTATTTTGTAGATGAGACCTCCGTAAGACCAATGAGATTATGTGCCCAACTCAGGTTCATACAAGTTTAGTGATAAGAGTTTGTAGTAGGACGAAGACATATCATTGTTTTCTGTAATTATCTGCCACTCACAATTAAGTACATTTGGGGAGAATAATTATGATGTGTGTGTATGGCATTAATATTTGTGCAAATATTTCATGTGCCTGTTTTCTTTCCCAAAGTAGACTGCAAGCTACCAGTAGATATCTTTTATTAGTATTCTAGTGCTTAAAAAAAAGTCGGCTATGTAGGTACCGAGTGGATTATGATATTTGATTAATAAACTTAGAATCCAAGTAGACAAGATTATAAAACATAGGATAATGATTCATTAGTTTTTACTATTTGAAACAATGATGATTGATTCCTTTACATACAGTAATTAAGATTCAATTATATCTCAAGTTCCAAATTTTGCTACTCATATATAAAGTTTGATTCAGTGCCTTTACATCTGCTGAGATTTTTCAACCTTAGTATAAACTCTGCTTATTATATTATCTGCAAGTTTTCACAGAGGTCTAGACCTGTGCCATCTGATACAGTGGCCACTAGCTATTTAAATTTAAATGAACCAAAATTAAATAAATTTTTAATTCAATTTCTCCATCACAGTAGCCAAACTTCAGATGGCTATTAGCTGCTGTATTGGAGGGCAACAATAAAGAACATTTCCGTCATCACAGAAAGTTCCATTCATTTAGAATTTCTTATATGATGATAAATTGTTTTGTGTACAAAAAGGGAAAGCAAAGATTTTTACAGGATTCACATTGATGAGTCAACCATTCTGGTAACCTGATGGCAGTTCTAAAGTGTTGATAGTAATTCTAGTGGTTGTTCCTTCGCTGAAATGGGCGTGTATTTTCTCATCCTCAATGGTACAGGCTTCTAGTCAGGTACACAGATAATCCATTGAGCAGAAAATATATCTATATTCCATCTTTACCTTCTGTTTAAATGTATATTTATATGTCTTAAATATTTTAATTGTGGTAGAATATTTATATAAGTGCTTATAATAAGGTGTCTGCTCAAAATATTTTTACCTTCTGGGGTACATAATCCAAAGTGTGGAAGCTGCTTCTCAAGTGTCGGTCAACATAGCAACCTAGCTGCTCACTGCTCTGCCTCTGTAACTCCTGTCATCACCAGCTAACTGACTTCATGGTTTTTGGCTCTTTTCAAACTCCTTGAGAGAGCATCTGATTAGCTAGACCACCATCCGGAAGTAGTTGGACAAAGCTCTTGACTTGGGACATAAATAAACCCCTTGCCAACCTTGAGATGGTGCCTTTAATTGGAATACCCATCCCCAGTACATGTTGCTATGATGATGCTGGAATTAAAATACAAAGCATGAAACCTATGATTCAGAAACCTTTCCAGAGAAGGCAATGGGCTTGGCAAGTACTCTAGGCTTCCTTTTAAGAGAAGCATGTAAACTGCTTAGCACCTTATGTTGCCCATCAAATGTGTTCACTGAAAATAAATTATGGCCAAGCGCAGTGGCTCACACCTGTAATCCCAGCATTGTGGGAGACCAAGGCAGGAGGATTGCTGGATCCCAGGAGTTCAAGACTAGCCTGGGTAAACATAGGAAGACCCTGTCTCTCCAAAAAATAGAATCACCCGGACCTGATGGCACCCACCTGCAGTCCCAACTACTTGGGAGGTTGAGGTGGGAGGATCATTTGAGCCTGAGATTGTGCCACTGCACTATGGCCTAGGTGACAGCAAGATCCTGCCTCATAAATAAATAACTCTCCAAAAAAAAAGGAAGAGCAGAAAAAGAAGTCATTTGAATGTTTTTATTATGTTAAAGATTGAGGAAGGTACCATAAGCTAAGGAATTCAGATGGCCTCTAGAAGTGAGAAAAGGTAAGGAAACAGATTCCTTCCTGAAGCCTCTAGAAGGAATACAGACCTGCTGACATCTTGCTTTTAGACTTCTCATCTCCAGAACTGTAAGAGAATAAGTGTGTGCTATTTGAAGCCACTAATTTGGTAATTTATTATAGTAGCAATAGGACACTAATTGATATCCAAAGATTTTGGATATTTATCTATAAAGCTTTTATTAAGCACTTTCTACATGGCAGGCACAAAAATATTCATCATGATCACCCGAGCTCCATTTTCTAAACCTTTTTACCTTCATAGGGCTGTTATAGAGCTAAATCAATCACTGCCTTTCATTATGGGTAGACTCCTAAATCCAATAGAATGCTTTCTGTTGCCCGTAAGATAATAGGAATTTGTTGGCTCCGATAACTGAAAAGTGCAAATCCTGGGAAACCAGCATGGGCTCTGGCCACATTTCTCTGTGAATCTCTTGGCTCTGTTTTTTTCTGTTGTCAGCATCATGCTTGGGCTAGTGGCCCCATCTCAACATGGCTACTTGGAACAGCTTGAGCTGTGTGCTGTGACTGAACTAATCTGATTAAAGTGACCAAGAAGTCCGGGCGCAGTGGTTCATGCCTGTAATCCCAGCACTTTGGGAGGCTGAGGCGGGTGGATTGCTTGAGGTCGGGAGTTCAAGACAAGCCTGGCCAACATGGTGAAACCTTGTCTTGACTAAAAATACAAAAATTAGCCGGGTCTGTAATCCCAGCTACTCGGGAGGCTGAGGCGGGAGAATCACTTGAAGCCGGGAGGCAGAGGTTGCAGTGAGCCGAGATCATGTCACTGCACTCCAGCCTGGGCAACAGAGCGAGACTCTGTCTCAAAAAAGTAAAGTGACCAGGAAGAATTTCATGTATTAATTAGTTTGAAGAGTCTGTATCTGGGGATTGGAGTCAATCTCAGCCAAATTGCTTGGTTACTTTACTTAGTACGGGAAGGGAGCATTATGGTTGCCCTTGGAAAATATGGGTGGTCATAGGCAGGGAAAAGGATATTGGTAAATAATCAAGAACCTGCTTCAACCAACAAAAAACAAGTTGTAATCATACCTTAAAATAATAGCTAAAAATGTTATTTATGTAATGCTCCATTACTTTAATTTATATGTATCATCAAAAGTTCTAAATTGTATGTTATTCAAAGACATTTCAGGGAAAGTGTCTTAAAAGTTCAGTCTTAGGAAAGGTGTCTTCCTCTTTTTTGCAGCTCGGTGCTGATTATCACAACTGTTTGGTGACCTACTTCACTGACCTGTGAGGATTCCTTCCCTTCAGGTACTGGATTCTTGATCTTTCTGCATCATCAAGGTCCTAATTGCAATGAATTACACTCTTGCTTAAAAAAAAGCTTTATAAATGTAAAACTTTCTCATATAAACATCTTTTTATGTAATGATCATTATTTCTGACATCTCCAATTGAAGTACTTGATAACTTAAGCAAAATTAAGATGTTTGATATTCATGATGTCAAGAGATTTATAGTAGTCATTTCTAAATCTTCAAAACTATGTAAAAAAGAAAGGGCTCATTTTGTATGTATAAGACCAAATATAATCTTGAGCAGTATACTGATTATTTTTGGAATAAGGTAAAATTTGGAAAGCCAAATTTTTTTTCCTATATAATAAGTCAATTTGAGCTTTCAGTTACCCAACAGATTGCTCCAGCAATAATTGGTAATTTTATAATTAACTTCTGTTGTTTGTAGCGAGTGACTAATTCTGTAAAGTGCTGTGAGAGACGAGATAAAGAGTCTTTAAAACATTATTAATTGAAATAGGATTGGAGGAATACATTATACATTTGCTATGTAAGTTTTTGAAATAGCTTTACATATGTTATTATAAATTGCATTCAGCAAGTAGTTCTGACTTTTGTAATGTGCAAATGACATTCAGCTGTAGGAACTCCAGCTTCTTAAGATTTTTGCTGATAATTTAGAGCAGTGGCTGCACAGCAAAATCACTCAGGAGCTCTGAAAAAAATAACTCGTCTTCCAGAGATTTTGATTTTGTTTTTCTGCAGTGAGGAAAATGTATCTGTAATTTTATAAGCTCTTACAGGTAATTCTAATGACTAGCTTAAAGGATTTTGAATGTCACTATCTTGAAGGATTTTGAATATTACACAAATAGGGCATAACTTGGAAATAGCAATGGACTGTGCAGTGTACCAGATCGGTGTCCATATTGTCAGAAAAAAATTGAGACTCCTTCTAAAAATGCATTTAAGAGCCAGGTGTGGTGGCTTGAGCCTGTAGTCTCAACTACTCAGGCGGCTGAGGTAGTAGGATGGCTTGAGCTCAGGAGTTCTAGGCTATAGTGCACAGTGATCACACCTGTGAATAACCACTGCACGCCAGCCTGGGCAACATGGTGAGACCTTGTCTCTTAAAATACAATGAGTTTCTTACCAGTCTAATCTAACTCCAGTGTGGTGAGGGGGTGGGACTAGACCTTGACCACAGTGCCCAAGTAGATAGGAAATGAATGTTGATTGAATATGTGAGTGAGTGAAGAGTTATGCTTCATTCACGACAGCAGATGCTTAATCCATATCAGAGAAGTGAAACTTTACTTTTAAAACCTGCCAAGCAAAAAGAAAGCACAATAGCTCACCATAACTTGTTCTGTAAAGCCTTTTGTACATTCCAAAGCACTTTCACATTAACTTTTCTCATTCATACATTTCAAATTTTAACAATACATATAGCCAGGAAGATCTTTTTTAACCCCAGTTACAGAAGAAAAGCTAAAACCACATAGCAGCCTGGCAGTAATATTTGATCAAGTTAGCGTGAGAAATTAGAAATAATATTTTTCAAAATATAACATTTGGGTCAGTTCAAATTAATGGTGAAAAGATGAGTTATTCAGTAAATGGTATTGGTACAGTTGGCTATCCATTTGGAAAATAAAGTTATGCAAAATAAATTCCAGATGGATGAGTTAAATTCAGATACAACGAGAATTTAGGGGATTTTTAAAATGTAATCATGGTATGGGGAAGGCCTAGAGCAGAACCCCAATCCAGAAGTCATAAAAGGAGCTACTGAGACTTACCTACTGTGGTAGGTAAAGACTTGCACTCTGATTTCATGCAATTTAGATTTATTTCCATTTCTGCTTATTGCAACTGTATGATCTTAGAACTAAAACTATCCTTTAAACATCCAAACAGATGTTTACTCAAGGAAATACATATTACAACAATGAGCTATCATTCTTTGCCTCTTAAATTGGCAAAAATTTAAAAGAATTGGAAAGAGGTGAAAAAGAGTACAGTCCCTCATATTCTATTGGTAAAGTATAAGTCATACTCTCTTTTTTTGTTTTTTTGAAGGGTAAATTGACAGTATCTATTAAAAGTTAAAATAAGTATGTCCTTTGACTCAGCAATTTCAGTCCTAAATATCTGTCCTAGAGAAATAATTATACATTTAAAAATATGTACTAGGATTGTTACTGAGGCATTATTCAAAATAGCTAAAAAACACAATATTCTAAATGCTTATCAATATGGAAATTGACCTGTTGGGGGTAAGTGGAGAAGGGAGATTCTTTTTTTTGAAGATCTATGGGTGTCGGTGATTTTGCTGTGAAAAACCACTAGAAATGTTTTTAGATAGTATTTTTCCTAACAATTGTTAGCTAGTGTTTTGTACTAAGGAGCAATTGTAAGGCATAGCTAATTTTAATCAAATGTAGTAGTTTGAATGTCTTTCTATAAACAAATTTTATAACTGCTTTTTTTTTTTTTTACAGAATGGAAACAGACTGTAATCCCATGGAGCTAAGCAGTATGTCAGGATTTGAAGAAGGTTCAGAGCTGAACGGTTTTGAAGGAACTGACATGAAAGACATGAGGCTCGAAGCTGAAGCAGTTGTAAATGATGTTCTCTTTGCTGTTAACAACATGTTTGTCTCGAAAAGCCTGCGGTGTGCGGATGATGTGGCCTATATCAATGTGGAAACAAAGGAAAGAAACAGATATTGCCTAGAACTCACTGAAGCAGGGCTCAAGGTAACTCACTTTTCCTTTTAGAAAAAAAAATTATTTATGTCTTTACCACTTTATCAAAAAGAGGGGTAGTGGGGAGGGGAAGAGTGTTAAAAGAGAACTGGATATTCAGTAGCTTCCAAATTTTTTTAAGAAAAACTTTTAACCTAGAAATTTTTATTAATTTTAAAGGCTTTTGATCGATATGGGGAAACAGAATTTTTTTGAAAAACATTTGATTTGCAGGGCGTGACTTTGTTTTAATCATGACCCCCAAAACTAATTTATTTCTCATCTATAGCTAAATGTGTTCACCAGAATTATACATACATTCTTTGCATTGAATGGGTTTTGCAGTCACTGTGTTGAAAAGATTTTCAACACCTCTTGAAAATGTCGCTTCTGTTAAAATAACATACTTGACAACACTGTTTTCCAACTCTGAGATCAGAAATAAATCAGAGCAGAACATTCCACCCCCAGATTTCCAAGAGTGTCCCATTAACCCTTTATTATGAGTATCTCTTTATTATGAGAGCTTTTCTAGGCGGATTAACCTTTCCATTCTTTAAACCAAAATCATGAGTTTAGAATAGTAGAAAACATCACCTGAGAGCAACTTTTAATTAAAAAAGAAAAAACTATAGGCCAGACCTGCGGGCTCTTACCTGTAATCCCAGCACTTAGGGAGGCCAAGCTGGTAGGATCATTTTAGAGCAGAAGTTCAAGACCAGCCTGGGCAGCATAGCAAGACCGTGTTTCTACAATATATTTTTTGTTAATTAACCCAACATGGCAGCACTTGCCTGTAATCCAGCTACCTGGGAGGCTTAGGAGGGGGCCTATGAGTTCGAGGTTGCAGTGAGCTAGGATTGGGCCACTATACTCCAGCCTGGGTACACAGACCCTGTTTAAAAAAAAAAAAAAACTATTATAAAATCTTTGACCTACTGAACAAAGGGATAGACATTAGAAAATCTAAAATCTAGTTTTAACCTTACTAATCAGTGAATCTTCAGTCTTAGAAAATGTCATACATTTCTGTGTTTCTATATTTATTCAAAGTAATTGTACATTATCATAAGGTGGTGAGCAAGGCCTGCCTAAGCAAGTAAGAATGTCACATGATATCAAGTACATAAACATCTCTTTAATTCGCTGGATTCACTTTGCTGAAGATGAGTCGTGTATACTGTATATTCCTTGATGGAGCAAATTGCAAGGCCAGCATCTGTACTACCCTCAGTTCCCTCACAGCTGCTGCAAAGATAGCTGCTTAGCTTTAAGCATAGTACCTGAATTAACTAATTTTTGTGCACTTCTTTTCACATCCTTAAATTTGTACTAAAAGCTCAGAGTATTTAGAGGTGAATCTTAAATCAGAAGTAGAGATAAATGACAGAATTAGTAAGATAATTCTGTCTTGTGTTGGTTAATTCTAAGTTGACTGTGGAGAGGTAGAAGGAGTTCTGATCAGAGAGTCAGCAGTCTTAAATGTGAATTTAAGTGATCTTGAGTGAGTCCGTCTACCCCTGAGAGAGTTTCTGCTTCTTAATCTATAACTTGGAGATTTAAAAAAAACTTAAAACGATTTGGGGAATGATTATATGACTGTATGATACAGAAAGATCTGAACCATATGTAAAACCTGACATGTAGTAGGTGCTCAAATATTTGTTTGTTTTTCAGTCTGATTCAGTTAACATTTATTGAGCAACTATCCTGTGTCAGCAATTGAAAATCAAACCATGCATAAGACATGATCCCTGTCCACCAGGAAGATCACAGTCTAGCAGAGATAAGAGGAAGAAGGCAAACTGAACTGTACTCCACTGTAGAGAGTGCAGTAATAGAGCATGGATCTGAAGAGGTGTGATTCATTTTCCTTAGGTGTCTGCCTCTGCTTTTCATTTAAAAAAAAAAAAACTCAGCTTCTATTTCTAACACAAACTTTCACCTCCTATGGCTTAAATAGATGTCATAAAAATTTAGGATTTATATAGGGAATGTACACACTTAAGTCAGCAAAAACTAAATTAATTTTGCCCTATATTGTGCTGGTGAACCATGATATACCTTATAATCTTGTCAAAAAGAAAAGTTGTAGCTGTGTTCACAGGAAAAAAAAAAAAAGAAAAACACATGGCCTGTCAGCCTTTTGCCTAAGATCAATTGGAGTATCTTTTCTTATCAGTTTAATATCTGTTATGTCCTCTATCTAAGGACAATATATTAAATGGATTTTTGGAGCAGGGAGATAGAATAGGCTCTTGCTCCATTAACTTCACACATCGACCTGGTATTGCAAATACCTCCAGAAATAGTGTACCCCTACCAAGAAAAAAAAAACACATTAACATGTTCTTTTATCTCACAGAATTGAGCATTTATTCCCTGTCAGGTAAGAAATATATTAGGTGAAAGTGGCCTTTCAGATTACTAATAATAAAGCTAAACAGTTATTAAAACTAATAAACTATTAAACCAATTATTAATAAACAATTATTAAAATTAACAACTAATTATTAAAACTAAATTATTAGGAATAATTTTTAGAATTGTTTATAAAAGAAGTGAAAAATAATGAAAAAAATATGAACTAATGATATATTACCTATTATAGTACTTAATATAGTGGACCCTCAATATATGTGGAATTAAATGGGGTAAATAATAGATGCATGTTTTAGAATATGAAAATGAAATACCATTTTTGTGTAGCTTTTCAAATTCTTTCTCTGCATTTCCTTGAGCTTCTAAGTAAAACCTTTTAAATGTTGAAAATTCTATAGGGAGCATTTTAGTGGTGTTTCTGTGTTATACATTATAAGTTGCTGAAGTATTAAAGGTTGTATTTAAAATGTGTATACTCTGACTTTGAGAAATAGTTTCACTCAGTTACCCATGTATCTGGTGGTCTAGTGGCTAGGAAAAGAAATAATTTATTTTTTTGAAAGGATGATTACTCACATAAACACTTGGATTTTGCTTTCTGTACCAACATGAAAACTAATGAATTCACTGTTGCATTTCTCTTGTAGGTGGTAGGCTATGCTTTTGACCAGGTAGATGATCATTTACAGACTCCCTACCATGAAACAGTCTACTCCTTGTTGGATACACTCAGCCCCGCCTACCGAGAAGCATTTGGAAACGCACTGCTTCAAAGACTGGAAGCTTTGAAAAGAGATGGACAGTCATGACTACACTTTTTCCTTTCAGAGGGGCTGGTGCTGGTACAGAATGTTGATATAAAGCTTAAAATTCTTGCATATGGTCATAGAAAATGCATCTTTGGTTTTGTGTTTTTATCACTTGCTTCCAACTTAGGCTTTTGGCTCAGAAGATTATTGAATAATGATTTGTCTTAGTTTCTGTTTCAGTAAGGGAATTCTGAGGCCGTTGCTATGATACCATCATTAAGACATTCACATGTCTTCATATAATATCTCTTCATTTCAAATCCTAATCACTATTTCATACTATTACAGGGCTTTGATGCTGCCAGCACTGTCTTTTACATAGGAAATTCTAGATTTGCACAGTAATAGAGGAATTAGAAGTACCTAACTATACACTTTGATTCAGCCTGCTAAATCAGGGGTTCAATACTAGCTTGGACAAACTTTGTAGTAATTAATTGCTACCAGCCTTATTGGAAACAAATTATCAACTAGTTTCCCCTGCACAAATTTTGAAATTCACTGCTTCACTTAATCTATTTATATTACTAATAATGGATTAATAAAGATGAATTAATTATATATTACTTAACTAGTATTAAATGAAAAACAGGGACTGAAATAGTTCTGTATTCCGTGTTTGCAACAGCCAGCCAACTAAGCAGAGGATAAACCGTTAGCAAATGAATGTAATAATTACTCATTTCCAAGATATCTAAGCACATAAGCAAATACAGGAACAGACTTCATTCTTTTTCTTAACAAAAAAGCATCTTCAGTGTGTGATTTAAAAGAAAGAAGATTCTGGTTTCCTAGAAAACAATATTTTGGCCTGTGTTGATTCTTATTCTGAATGTGTGTTTACATAATGTACAGTATATATTCAGAAAGTATTTTTGCTTCAACGTTTACTTTCTATGATGTAGTGCTTTGGTATTCCTACAGCACCCCACCTTCCCCAACAGATGTACAGTGTTCTGTCTCCATTCGAAATCTACAATGTAATATGAGTGCATTGTATGGGTTTGAAACCAAAGGATGAATGAAGCATTCAGAGACTTAATATTTGAAAAAGGAATAGTCAGTATTTTATATTTTATTACAGGTACTGATATTTATAAATTTAATAAACTGTACCATGCTGCTGCATGTTTTCAAGTACATGTTGAACAGTAAGGATTGGGGAGTTGTTTTTTAATGGTCACCTAAAGCAGCTGCTATAGAAATGTTGAACTAAAATTTTGCATCTGGTCATACCTTCATGCATTTATCATTTGCAGATATTTTTCCATCATTATTAAAAAACAGGAACTTTTAGGCTCTGAAGATCATGTGGACCAGAGCAAATTAAAGTTCAGTTTGTGTCACAATTCATTGCCAGACTTCATTGGAATGCTTTGTTTGATGATGTATGTTCATTCTCAGCTTTATTTTCAGATGCTTAACTGGGCAACGAAGTCTAACTTCAGGTTGAACTTTCTCATGTTTAATCTCAGGCTAAATGTAAATGATATTTGTAAAGTTTGAATAAAATTCTGTTTACTCATTTTGAGTTAGTATGAAAAAAAGTGATTGTATGTTTAAGAATTGAAATTGTTCATTTTGTGATAAATGATTAATTCCAAGAGCTTGTTTCCATTTTTTAATTCTGCATTGTTACATTTGGATTTGAAATGACTGAAGTGAGCTTTCTCTTGTTACTACTATGAAAGAGCAATGAGGAACAAGAGGAGAGGACATTAATAAAACTACACAGATATACATGAGAATCTAGATATTAAAACCTCCATTTTACCTGGTCTGTTTAAAGAACTTAACCAGCAGATAGGCCAGGTGTCGTGGCTCACACTTGCAATTCCAGTGGTTTGGGAGGCCCAGGCAGGAGGATCACTTGAGGCCAGGAGTGCAAGACAGCCTGCGCAACATAGATCCCATTTCTACAAAAAATTATAAAAGCATGGCCTGGTGACACATGCCTGCAGTCCTAGCTATTAGGAAAGCTGAAGCATGAAGATTGCTTGAGCCCAGGAATTGGAGACTGCAGTGAGCTACAATCGTGCTGCTGCGCTCCAGCCTGGATGACAGAACAAGACCCTGTCTCTTAAAAAAAAAAAAAAAAAATGAAAATTATAAAACTTAACCAGATAAATTAAGCCTTGATTTCACTTCTAAAGGAAAAAGAAAAAAAAAACTTTTATATAAATAACTTTTACAAATCAGTAGGAAGAAAAAATGCAAACAGTGGGCAAATAATATGGTCAACTCAGAAAAAAAAATAGATGTCAGTAACTACTTGAAAGAGGCCCAACCCAACCATTAACTCAAGAAAGAGAAATTTTAAGTTATTGGGTCATTTCACCTGCTACTTTTGTGATTCTTCTTATTTAAACTTAATACCAGTAAGGATTTAATGAGGAAGCACTCTTACATTCTATTGGAGGGTATATTGTTGAAATCTTTCTGGAAACATTGGTAATAAATCCTTTACAAGTTTATAACTTCTGAATTGGTAATATACTAGCAACCTAGCATAGGGAAATGATTCAGCAAAAAAACTAGTATATAAGGATGTTCATTTCCCCTAATGAAAAATTGGGAAGGCTCTAAAGAGTGGTAAAGTGATGCTACATCTTTTGATGGAAAAATATGCAACCACTAAAAATCATGAAAAAATGGCAATGAGAATTATGCTACACAAAAAAGGATATAAAACTATACATACTTTTTTGAAAAATAATTGTATATGTAACAAAAAAAGATTATAGGCTGTTAGTAGTCATCACTAGGTGATAAAATAGATAATTTTCATTTCCTTAATACTTTTTCACATTTTATACATTAGCTTGTATGTACTAATTAGAAGCAGGAAATGCAATAGATGTGGGGTTTAAGCTACCTAGAGGCTGTCTAGCAAAAGCACCAATCCTTGCTGAGTTGTATCTGCTCCCAGATCCTTGAAGAGGGCAGAATGATTATGAAGAGAAGAGTGCACACCTCATTTCCCATGATGACACTCTTCCCACCTTTCCTCCAGGTTCGGCTGCTACTAATGTACTTACAATCATTAGCTTCTTCTATTGCACACTGTGCTGTTCTCTCCCCGGTGTTCAAAAACAGAATGTGCTGTTTGAATGTTGAGGAACATAGTAAGAAAACACTGAGATTCTGATAGGTGCCACATTGACTTCAGAACTTTCTTTCCAATCCCTTTATTTTCTGGATGATACAGGTGAGATAGACAGATTGAGCGACTTGCTCAGCAACTGCTTGTGAGCAGTGTAGTTGGATCAGAACCTAGGTCTTCTGACTCCGCCAGCTGTCCCCATACAGTACGTGTTAATAAAAACCATCACATTAATTTTGTGTTTATACGAAAACTGATTTTAAAAGAGGGAAAGAATAACAAACATGTTAGTTGGTATACTAGAATTAGTAGAATCTCTGGCCTGGGTGTGGTGGCTCACACCTGTAATCCCAGCACTTTGGGAGGTTGAGGTGGGTGGGTCACCTGAGATCAGAAGTTTGAGACCAGCCTGGCCAACATGGTGAAACCATCTCTACTAAAAATGCAAAAATTAACTGGGTGTGGTGGCACACACCTGTAATCCCAACTCCTGGGGAGGCTGAGGCAGGAGAATTGCTTGAACCCGGGAGGCAGAGGTTGCAGTGAGCCAAGATTGCCCCCTGCACTCCAGCCTGGGCGACGAGTGAGACTCAATGTCAAAAAAAAAAAAAAATAGAATCCCCTTTTTTAACCTACCAATATATATAAAATTATCTAGAAGCTATCCCCCCTGTAACTGTGGCAAGCTCATTTCATGAAAGAAACAGGTAAGTTAAATATTTCATTGTACCATGACTGGTTGAATAACTTTCAAAGTGTTTACCTGCTTAACTGCATATCAACAAGGAATGCAGAGATAAACTAAAAATTTGAAAATGAATCGTGAATTTTAGAATAGTTGAACTAGTAAGTCATTTGAAAGAATGCTGAAGTATATTTTCTAAGTTTTGCACTAATTTTGCATGAATACTTTTACATTTAAACTGACATTACTTTCTTGTTGATTAAAGAAAAGCAAAAAATTGCCGGGCCTGGGGGCTCACACCTGTAATCTCAACACTTTGGGAGGCCGAGGCGGGTGGATCACAAGGTCAGGAGTTCAAAACCAGCCTGGCCAAAATGGTGAAACCCCCATTCTCTACTCAAAATAGAAAAACTAGCCGGGTGTGGTGGCACGCGCCTGTAATCCCAGCTACTGGGGAGGCTGAGGCAGGAGAATGGCTTGAACCCAGGAGGCAGAGGTTGCAGTGAGCCGAGGTCGCGCCACTGCACTCCAGCCTAAAGGATAGAGCAAGACTCCATCTCAAAAAAATAATAAATTTGGTATGAGCAAACTGTTCCCAAATTGAGTTGGCAAAACTTCAAAGCGTTAGTTTATCAAAACAAGTTTTAATGAGAGTTGCATGTATAGAAAAGAAAATGGGGTGGGGACAGAAAAACGAAATATAAAGGCTCCCATCTGTACAAGTGTGCCTTAGCCTTGCAGGAAAAAAAAGCAATAATTTCACCTTTGGCGACCACTTCAGAAAATGCTTCACATATGTCTTATTTAATCCTAACAGCCTTGTTAGGCTGGTGGTATCACTCCTATTTTACAGACAATTTAACAGCATAGGGAAAGTTAAAAGATTGGTCCCAGCCTCCCACAAATCACTGGAGAGCTGAAACTCAAAGCCAAGTCTCATGAGTGCCTGAAAGCCCAGAGCCTCCAAGCTGTCTGAAGATGTTGGGCCACCTCCGTTTTTTGAAACAACCAGTATTTTTTAAAAAGAAGAAGGCCAGGTGGGGTGCCTCACACCTGTAAATCACAGCACTTTGAGAGGCCGAGGCGGGTGGATCACTTGAGGCCAGAAGTTCAAGACCAGCGTGACCAACATGCTGAAAACCTGTCTCTACTAAAAATACAAAAATTAGCCGGGAACGGTGGTAGGCGCCTGTAGTCCCAGCTACTTCGAAGGCTGAGGCAGGAGAATCGCTTGAACCCGGGAGGCGAGGTTGCAGTGAGCTGAGATTATGCCATTGCACTCCAGTCTGGGTGACAGAGCGAGACTCCATCTCAAAAAAATAAATTAAAAATAAAAAGAACAAGAACGCTGGCGTGGTGGCTCATGCCTGTAATACCAGCACTTTGGGAGGACGAGGCAGGAGAGTTTCTTGAGCTCCGGAGTTAGAGACTAGCCTGGGCAACAAACATAGTGAGACCCTGTCTCTATTAAAAATAATAAAAAGAACGAGAAGAAACCACGCACACACAATTGCTGCAAGTGTTAAATATTTGCATTTAAGGAGTTAATGCTTAAGGCATGAAAACAGTTCAATATGATCAGGCTATTCCAAGGGAACTGCGTATTCTTAGTCCACCACAACCTTTATGGTCCAGTGATCACCGAGGTGAATGTTATCTTTTAATTTGTGGATTTATCTCAGCAACTGCATGTATAATCTCTTGTGGAACGGTCAAGTCTAAATTTCTTCCCTTGGTGAATGTGAGCGAATCCCGGGCGCCTACGGGCTCTGGTCGCCCCCAGCCGACACCAGGGGTCTTCCCGGAACGTGCGTCTGGAAACAACCCCCAAGGGAGCTGAGCCGGCGGACCAAGCCGCACCTGCCGCAAGGCGGGACCACGCTAGCGTCGCTCGGGTGTTCGGGAGCCCGAAACTCCATGGCAACAGCTTTTCTTCGCAGCTGAGGCTTACGTCCCGTCGCCCCGGCCAGACCACCCCATGGGAGCGTGCTGAGTAACTCCCACGTGTCGGGGAGAGGCCTAGGCTGTGGGCCATTCCCTCTTCTTCAGAATTCTCATTATTTTTAGTCATCGGGTCAAGCGGACACAGGGATGTGTTTCCAGACTTTCCGAACAATGGAGATTAAAAAGGCACAGCAATCACATGGCCCCCCGGGACAGACGCCCAGGGAGCTTCGGAAAGAAACCATGCACTGCCCAAGGGCTCCCAGTGGGCAGCAAGCCAGGGTGAGACCCGGGCTGCACGCGCGGCGCCGCGGAAAGCACTCGCAGGGACATCCGCCTGGCGCCCAGCAGCCGACAGCGCGCGCAGTTGCGAGCCCTGAGCCCCGCTTCGCCCGGCGCGCCCCGCCCAGCCCACTGCACTACACACCCCGCCCTGCCCGGCATGCCCCGCCCAACCCCCCGGCACGACTCGCCCCGCCCTACCCGGCACGCCCCGCCCAGCGACCGGCACAGCCTGCCCCGTCCCGCCTGGCACGCCCTGATTAGCGCCGGGCACGACACGCACCGCCCCGCCCGGCACTCCCTGCTTCGCCCACGACACGCCCCTCCCCGCCCGGCAAACTGCCCGGAGCCAAGGCCCCGCCCCCAGAGAGAACCTGCCCCGCCTCCCTGGCCCGGGCCCCGCCTCCTTGGCAAGCGAGTGGCGCTTTCACCTTAGCAACCAGCGCGGCTCCCACCATGGCTGAAGAAGAGGAAACTGCTGCTCTCACGGAGAAGGTTATCCGGACCCAGAGGGTGTTTATAAACCTGTTGGATTCCTACAGCAGCGGAAACATCGGGAAGGTGAGCGGCGGCGGCGGCCCAGAGCCTCACGCCAGCTCTCAGCTCCCAGCCCTCGGCCCCCGGTCCGCAAACCCAGCGAGGGTCTGCGCCCCAGGGCGCTGTCGGGGCCTTTCCTCAGGGAGGGTCCCGCGTCCTGGGCACCACCAATGCCCCCTGGACCCCAGTCCGCACCCAGGCTGGTCAAGAGATTCTACATGGAAGCTCAGGTGTCTGGAAATCACTGGTCCATCCCCTGTTCCTCCTTTTAATGAGGGGAAACTGAGGCTAAGAGGCAGGGACTTGCCCAAGATCACATAGAGAGTTGAGGCCAGAACCTGGACAGAGACTCCAGGTCTCTTGCCCCCTCCTAGGTTCTCTTTCTACCCTTCCATCGATTTTGAAGCAGGCAGCTAAACGAGAAAATAAATCAATTTTTTTTTTTTGAGACGGAGCCTTGCTCTGTCGCCCAGGCTGGAGTGCAGTGGCGCGATCTCGGCTCACTGCAAGCTCCGCCTCCCGGGTTCACGCCATTCTCCTGCCTCAGCCTCCGAGTAGCTGGGACTACAGGCGCCCGACACCGCGCCCGGCTAATTTTTTGTATTTTTAGCAGAGACGGGGTTTCACTGTGTTAGCCAGGATGGTCTCGATCGATCTCCTGACCTCGTGACCCACCCGTCTCGGCCTCCCAAATTACAGGCCGAGTAAATCCAAAAGGGATTACAGGCGTGAGTAAATCAAATTTTTATATTGCCCATGAAGCGTTTTTCATTCATCCATCCCTTCAATATATGGTTTTTGAGCATCTATTATGGACCAGACACTGTTTGGGTCCCCGAGTTCCATTAAGTTTCCTCACCTTTCTGTGTCTTTATCCCTGGAAAATGAAGATATTCAGAAAAAGGGCTCTGGGGCCCTTCATGCTAATATGATCAGTTGTCAAAAGAAAGCCATGATTTTATCATTCCCTGTGGGTAGGACCCGTCCATCTGAATTCTGTCCTCTAGAGCTACAGAGAAATCTAATCTCACCCTGGACAGACTTCTCTGAGGCTAATGACTGCACTTTCGAACAGGACAAATCTGCTTAAAATAGGATGAGGCTACAGTACGTACAATCTGTATTAGTTTTCTAGGGCTGTGGTAACCAATTGCCACAAACTGGATGACCTTATAAAACAGAAATTATTCTCTCGCAGTTCTTGAGGGCAGAAGTCCAAGATCAAGGTGTCAGCAGGGTTGGTTTCTACTGGAAGCTCCAGGGGAAGAACTGTTGCTTGCCCCTCTCCTAGCTTCTGGTAGTTGCCAATAATTCTTGGCACCCCTTGGCAGTAGACTCCAATCTCTGCCACCTTCTTCACATGGTGTTCTCTCCCCTGTGTCTCTGTGTCAAAACTTCCCTCTTCTCATAAGGACACCAGTTGTTGGATGAGGACTCACCCTATCCAATATGGCTTCATTTTAACTTGATTACATCTGCAAAGACCCTATTTCCAAATAAGGCCACATTCACAGGTTCTAAGAGGACAGGAATTTGGTGGGGGTAGACGCTATTTAACCCAGTGTACCATCTAAAATGCATCCATCAAAAAACAGAGATTTAGGGTGGGCGTGGTGTAATACTAGCACTTTGGGAGGCCGAGGTGGGTGGATCACCTGAGGTCAGGAGTTCGAGACCAGCCTGGCCAACATAGTGAAACCCTGTCTCTACTAAAAGTACAAAAATTAACCGGGCGTGGTGGCAGGCGCCTATAATCTCAGCTGCTCTGGAGGCTGAGGCAGGAAAATCACTTGAACCCAGGGGGCGGAGGTTGCAGTGAGCCGAGATTGCACCACTTCGCTCCAGCCTGGGCAACAGAGTGAAACTCCATCTCAAAAAAAAAAAAAATGGTGACATTTAATCTAACATACACAGGATGAGGCTCAAGCCAGAGAAAATAGTTCTCAGAGGGCACAGCAAAAGCACAGGTTCCAAAGTAGGAATAGGGTTGGCGGTTTTTGTATGCACAGTGCTAGGGGGCAGTGCACCAGGGCTTCCTGGGCCCACTTCATTAGGTGCAGCAAGTACCATGCCCAGGGCCCATGAGACTTTTAGGGGCCCACAAAAAGTGTGCTAATTTCTTTTAAAATCAGAAGGAAACAAATGAAATCTTAGAGTCAATGAATGTGTTTTTCTTTATAGCATGCAATTGAGAAATATAATGTTTAAATTTTTTTTTTAATGGAGGAAGGGGCCCAGGGAGCCCAGAATGTGGCCCTACTCAGCTCCTAAGCCGGGATGCACTCATGGTCTGTGCTCCATAGAAATTTATTACATAGATTAGTGGAGCAGAGGCCAGCACAGAGGGCCAGGTCATGGATGGCCTTGGCCAGGAGTTTGGTTTATCCTCTAAATTCAGTGGGAAGCCTTGAACAACGCAGGGGTTAGGGGTTTTGTTTTTCAAAAAGATACAGATACAGGCTGGGCACAGTGGCTCATGCCTGTAATCCCAGCAATTTGGGAGGCCAAGGCAAGCGGATCACTTGAGGTCAGGAGTTCGAGACTAGCCTGGCCAACATAGCAAAATCCCATCTCTACTAAAAATACAAAAATTAGCCAGGTGTGGTGGCTTGCGCCTGTAATCCCAGCTACTCCAGAGGCCGAGGCAGGAGAATCATTTGAACCTGGGAGACAGAGTTTGCAGTGAGCCGAGATCACACCACTGCACTCCAGCCTGGGCAACAGAGTAAAAATCTGCCAAAAAAAGAGATACAGATATAGAGAAGACAGTCGAAACTCTGCACATAACTCTTATTTATTTATGTATGTTTAGAGACATGGGTCTCATTAACGTCGGCCAGGCTGGACTCGAGCTCCTGGGCTCAAGTGATCTTCCCACCTCAGTGTCCTGAGTAGCTGGGACTGCAGGCTGTGTATAACTTTTGTCTCCCCAGAACTAAACTACTAATAACCTATTGTTAACAGGAACCCTTACCAATAACATAAAAAGTCAACACATATTTTGTACACATCAAATATACTGCGTTCTTACAATAAAGTAAGCTAGAGGAAAGAAAATGTTTCTAAGAAAATCATAAAGAAGACAAATATATTTACTATTCATTAAACAGAAGTGGGTTGTCCTAAAGGTCTTCATCCTCTTTGTGTTCATGTTGCATAGGCTGAGGCAGAGGATGAAGAAGAGGGGCTGGTCTCAGGGGTGGCAGAGGTGGAAGAAAAGAAGTGGATGAGTGGACCTACAAAGTTCAAACCGGTGTTGTTCAAGGGTCACCTGTACAAAAAACGGAGGTGATATGAACATGATTGAGATTAGGAATGAAGGAGAATCTGGGCATGGTGGCACACGCCTACCTTCCCAGCTGCTCAGGAGGCAGAATGGGGAGGATCACTTGAGCCCAGTTTGAGGCTACAGTGAGCTGTGATCGCATCACTGCATTCCAGCCTGGGAGGTATACATAGGGCAGAGTAAAACCTTGTCTCTAGAAAAAAAAAAAAAAAAAAAAAAAAAAGAATGAGGGAAGGGAGTTTATCTCCTTCCTTAAATTAATCCCCTTTTGATTTTGAATTTTTTTTTTTTTTTTTTTTTTTTTTTTTTGAGACAGAGTCTTGCTCTGTTGCCAGGCTGGAGTACAGTAGCATGATCTTGGCTCACTGCAACTTCCACCTCCTGGGTTCAGGCGATTCTCCTGCCTCAGCCTCCCGAGTAGCTGGGATTACAGGCATGTGCCACCATGCCCAGCTAATTTTTGTATTTTTAGTAGAGACGGAGTTTCACCATGTTGGCCAGGATGGTCTCGATCTCCTGACCTCGTGATCTGCCTGCCTTGGCCTCCCAAAGATCTTGATTATTTTTTATAACAATATTTTTGTAATGAAACTTCTTTTAGTATACAGAGATCTTTTTCTAGCAATCCTCCTGCCTTGGTCTCCCAAAGTGCTGGGATTATAGGCATGAGCCACCACGCTCTGTCCAGAGATCTTTTTCAAAAACTTTTCAATAACAGAATTTTCTAGTTGGTCCTTAATTAATTAGGGCCTTTCTCAAATTCCAGGTAATTACTGATCATCTGCTCCAAGGAATATGGGAGTGGGAATATGAGGAATATAAGAGAAATGGAAGCTGTGTCTCGTCGTTAGGCTTACAATCCAGTTGGGCAATGCCACCCCAGCCCCATCTCTTTTTGCTGGGCTTCAGTTTCCTCAACTGTGAAAGAGGATAATAAAATTGAATATGTATGTTTGAGAGATAAATGAAATGAAAACATACATAATTTACTTGGGAGAAAAATATTCCACTAGGAGGTTGAAGCTGGCAATCTTGCATGCTAACCTGGACTGTTTTCTATCAAAATAAATGAGGTGGGACTTTCTGTTTATTTGGTTTTATTATATCTTTATTCCCAAGGTATGGTAATGCAATGATTATTTATATATGCTTAATAGATAAATTAAAATAAAATGATTGTTGACATATATAAGTAAGTATTGACATATAAACGAATGAAACTCTTAATCACCACAGAAGCCACTTCTAAGGATAGCTTTTGGAAAGCAAGAAGAGAAACTTCGCCAACTTCTTTCTATTTCATTATTCAATACTGTAGCCACTGGCCACATGTAGCCATTGAACATTTAAATGTGGTTAGTCCACACCAGCCTGGGCAACAACAGCAATACCCCATTTCTACAAAAATAAATATAAAAATAAAAAATTAGCCAGGCGTGGTGGCACACACCTATAGTCCCAGCTACTCAGGAGGCTGAGGCCGGAGGATTGGTTGAGGCCAGGAGTTTGAGGTTGCAGTGAGCTATGCTTGCACCACTGCACTCCAGCCTGAGCAACAGAATGAGACTCTGTCTCAAAAAAAGAAATGTCGCTAGTCCAAATGGAGATGTACTTTCAGTGTAAAATGCAGATTGAATTTCAAATAAAAATAAAATATCTCAATAATTTTTATATTGATTACATATTAAGTTGATAATATTTTGGATATATTGCATTAAATACCACAGCATTTAATTTTTTTTTTTTAGGCGGAGTCTTGCTCTGTTGCCAAGGCTGGAGTGCAATGGCACAATCTAGGCTCACTGCAACTTCCACCTCCCAGGTTCAAGCAATTCTCCTGTCTCAGCCTCCCGAGTAGCGGGGACTACAGGTGTGCACCGCCATGCCCAGCTAATTTTTGTATTTTTAGTAGAGACGAGGTTTCACCATGTTGGCCAGGCTGGTGTCGAGCTCCTGACCTCAAGTGATCCACCTGCCTCAGCCTCCCAAAGTGCTGGGATTACAGGCATGAGCCACTGCGCCCAACCTCACAGCATTTAAATTAATTTTACCCTTTGTTTTCACTCTTTAAAATGTTGCTACTAGAAAATTTAAAACTACATAAGTGCCTGTAGTCCCAGCTACTCAGGAGGCTGAGGCAGGAGGACCCCAGGAGTTTGAAACCAGCCTAGGCAACATAGCAAGACCACATCTTTAACAATAAAATAAAATAACCTATGTGGCTCCTATTACATTTCTATATTTCTGTTGGACAACACAAACATCATCACTGTGACCCAGCTCTGCCTGCTGCTAGAGGAGTGCAGTATCCGGAAACAAGTTAATTAAGCTCTCTGACCCTGAGTTCCTCATCTGTAAAATGGGGAATTATAACAGTACCCACTCCTCCAGGAATGCAATCAACTTAAATGAGATGACAGTGTGCAAAGCATTTGCTTTGCCTTGGTGGCACCCAGCAAGCACTCGGGAAAGGTAAGTTTCTAGAATCATCATTCACTGGCCCCCTGACTCTAATTTTCTCTTACCATTTGGGAAATTTCTGTTTCCTTGCAGTTTCTATCTAACTGTGTAGTTGGGGCTTCGCTTGAAGAAATTACAGAGGAAGAGGAAGAGGAAGATGAAAATAAGTCAGCTATGCTGGAAGCTTCCTCAACCAAAGTGAAGGAAGGCACATTCCAGATTGTGGGCACGCTGTCCAAGCCTGACAGCCCGCGGCCTGACTTTGCGGTGGAGACGTACTCTGTAAGTCCCGGAGGCTCTGGCCAGGAGTAGACAGAGGGAAGAGTCACCTTCCGCTCCAACGCCTTGACAACTTGTTTTACTGTTTGCCTCCCCTCCCCTCTCTTCCACAGACATGGCCAGGTTGAGGGAATGGCTTTCTCCTGTAATGGAGATTTACCTCACAGACCCCACTTTTAATTTTCGGCCAAAGCAAAGAGTTTAAATTAGATAGTGTTGGAAAGGATGGATCTAAGTTGGACTTTCAGACTCATACAGTTCTCCTCTTCAGCATATTCTGCCTTGCATTATCCAAGACGAGTCTGTGCCATGATGGGTGCCATCTGTGAAGGAGAAATAGGCCAGGCGCGGTGGCTTACGCCTGTAATCCCAGCACTTTGGGAGGCTGAGGAGGGAGGATCGCTTAAGGCCAGGGGTTCGAGACCAGCCTGGGCAACATAGCAAGATCCTGTCTCTTATATTTATGAAAATAATTTTTTAAGAGAAACATCCTTTGGTAATGCACCACTCAGGAATAATATACCACTGCTGTCTCCAGAAACAATGCTGTCTCCACGTGACAAATTCAACACAGTCCTAGTCCTGAGACATTTAAATGTCTGAGAAGAAGTGGCCCTCTTCTTCTCCTGGGCCAACTCCTCCCTTACCCTGCCTGCTACTCTCTGGAGCCTACCATACAGCTTTCCACATGCTGTACCCTGGAGTGGCCTTCTCTCTTTTTTTTTTTATTCATCCTTCAAGAGTTGTGTCTCTTCCTCCAGGAAGCCGTTCATGATTCCTACTTCTCCCTCACTCCCAGTTTGGATTCTGAGCTCTTTTCTGAGCTCCCATATCATCCTTTGCCTGCCTAGATCATAGTGCTTTTCACACTCGTTGTTATCACCTGTCTATCGTGGGGGTCCATGGACACTGACTGTCAGCTCCTTGAGGGTGGAGACCGTGACTTGTTTATCCCTGTGTTTATCCATGTATCTGTGGCACCTAACACAGCCACTGCCACAAAGTGGCCTCAATAAACACTTGTGGAATGGACGAATGCATCCCCTCCAGACATCTTTGGGACCTTCCCATTCACCTCCTTCCCCTGTCTTCCGGGTATTCTTTCCCATTCACCTCCCTTCTCTCTCTTCTTGCCACTGGCTTCTTCCTCTATACCTACACATATGCTCAAATCATTCCTGCTGTAAAAAACACTTAACTTGGCCTCCCTGCTGGCCACCAGCCTCTTTCTCTGCCCCGGCCCCTGCCACCACTGAACTTCAGGAGACCAGCCGCATTTGCAGGTCTCACCCCTTCACCCCCGCCATTCACTGGTCTATCCAATGCTGGCTGGCCCTGCCCACAACACTTCACAGGAGGTGCCCTGGCCGATGTCACCAGCAGTCCCCTGACTCCCGAGGGGCTTAGCTCACCTGGCTTCACAGCAGCAGCCTGGCTTCCCGAGAGAAACTCGCCTTCCCTTCTTGTGCCTCGGCTCTGCACTGACTAAGCGCCCAAGTCCTCCTTCCCAGCTTCTTTCTCTGGCTCCTTTTCCTCTTTTACCCTTTAAATGCGGTTTTCCCCAGAGCTCACTCCCTTCCTACAACAGATGACCTTCCTAAATCTTATCCAACCCTATAGCTTCAGCTCCCCATATAGCCAGTGCTTTTTTTGCCTGTCTGCAGCCTCCAAATCCGACTGCCTCCTAGACCAGTCCCCGGTTGTCCTGCAGGCATTGCTGAATCAACATATCCAAAATCATATTTATTAGACCCCGCTACAAAAACAATCTTTTTTTTTTTTTTTTTTTTTTTTTTGAGATGGAGTCTCACTCTGTTGCCCAGACTGAAGTGCAGTGGCGCGATCTCGGCTTACTGCAACCTTCGCCTCCTGGGTTCAAGCGATTCTCCTGCCTCAGCCTCCCGAGTAGCTGGGACTACAAGCGCGTGCCACCACACCCAGCTAATTTTTTGTATCTTTAGTGGATACATGGTTTCACTAAGTTGTCCAGGCTGGTCTTGAACTTCTGGTCTTAGATGATCTGCCCACCTTGGCCTCCCAAAGTGCTGGGATTACAGGCCTGAGCCACCACGCCCGGCCCAAAACCACTCTTTGTATGACTTTGTACTACTGATTTTTATTAAAGACCTTGCTATCTCTATCAATTGGGGCTGTGTTGGACCGCATGTAATAGAAAACAGAGGTGACCCAAACTGGCTTAATAAATAAGGAAATTCATCAGCTTATGTAGCTAGTGGCCCAGAAGTGGAACCGGCTTCAGAGCTGATCCACAGGCTCCAGCTCCTCTTCCTGCCCCTTCCTGGGCTCTGCCCTCCTTGAGGGATGACTTTATCTTCAGGCTGGCAGTAAGGCTGCAACAGTCCAGGGCCTTAGTTCATACACAGTGACGCTCTGGCAAAGCAAACTTCCAGAAGGTCTCAGAGAAAGGACGATGGACATTGCCAGCAGTCCCTGGCAAGCATCTCTTTGAGTCTCACTGTCGTGAATGGAATCATTGTCCCTTTCCTGAGCCAGTCACTTACCCTTAGATCAATTAGGCTCATCCTTTAAGCCAGAAGAGGGAGTTAATTTCCCGCAGGCTGAGGAGTATCTGAAGCAAAATTGGGGTTCTGTTGGAGAAAAGGAAGAGGAAATGTAAGTTTGTAGACAACGAATAGTGTCTTTTATCCCGTTCATTATGCACTCGCCTTCCATCAAAGCTGAAAACCTCAGAGAGCTGTGGGCTCTTCCCTTGCCCTTGACTCCTGAATCCTATTGGTCACGGGGTCCTCAGCACACCTCTCTGTCAGGTGTCCAGTCAGCCCCTCCTTTCCATTCTCATAGCCATGTGCCTTAGTCCTGATCTCCAGCATCTCTCACTACTCACCTGAATTTGATTCTGCGAATGTTTCCTGTGCACCCTAATGATCCACAGATGAACGTGGAGCTCACGGCTTGGCAGGGACTCTGTGACAGTAGATGTGGGGACAGAGGCATGCACAGAGCATCACCCAAGGCTCTCTGAAAGGGGCACCTAAGGAATTCTCAGTCTTATCTAGAGAGACAGGCAAATGAAGCTTCAAATCCCTCCTGCCAAACAGATCGGGGCCTCCTGTGCTCTGATCTTGAGATCCTGGAGCCTCCATTAGCACAAAGTCCTGCAGATGGCCCTCCCTTGGAAGGTTGGGATCTACTGGAGATGGTGGGGCTGAGGCTGGTCTTCCGTGGTTGAGTGGAGCTTGCAAGACAAGTAAGGGAGGAAGGAAACACCATGCAAGGGGGAATGCCTGGGAAAGTATATGGTGCGCTGTGGCAGAGAAAGAGCATGGGTTATGGGAACCACAGGGAAGACACAAAGGTGGCAGAAAAGGTGGGGGAGAGTGCTCGCTTCAGCGGCACATATGCTCAAATTGGAATGATACAGAGAAGACCAGCAAAAAATGAATAAAAGGTGAGGGAAAGGTGAGAATGGAAACCGTTAGCCTGGTTCAGGTTATGAAAGGTGCCTCTACCTGGCTCAACAAGTCACCTGCTATTCCCTGAGCATTCTGGGCTCTGCCAGGTGAGCTTGTATTCATCCTTCCAGCCCAACTCAAATATCTTCTCCTATGAGACAAAATCATGTCTTTCTCTTAGTCCATTGAATCTCAGATGTACCTCTATGACAGCCCTTTCCACATTTGGGTCTTCTGTGTCTGGCTGTACAGGTTGCACACTGTACAAGAGTGCCTGGCTAAGGGCGTGAGTAGGGGCTGAAGAGCAGCCTGTTATGTTGGCTGTCCTGGGCCCCAGAGTTTAGCCCTTCTTATAATTTTTTCACCAAGCAGGTTACCTTTTTTCTCATTTGTACAACGGCTTCATATGTGCTTGGTTGGGCCCTTGTCTACATTAGACCATAATTATTTGGTATAATATAAATCTTCTCAAGAAAGTGCATACACAGATGCACACACACACACACACACACACACACACACACAATTCTTCTTAGTATCAGCAGCTATATATTATTCATTTTTGCCTCTATTACTACAGTCAAAAGCAGGGCCCACAAATGTTTGTTGGGTGAACAAATGAATGCACAAAAATGGTCAGTCCCCATCGGGTCAGGACAACCATTCTCCTGAAAATGCGGCTGTTTCATCTTAAATAGAGCCAACCATAATTTGACACGTGTGCGTGTTTTTCTGTGGACACCACTCCCACCTGCTTTTACAAGCTGGAAACATAGATGCTGTATCTTCTTTCTCTTGGGCCACATCTAGAATACACATCTTTGAGTCCTCGTATTCTCCCAGTGTTTTCTTCTTTTCTTTCATGTGTCATTTCTGGATCTTGATCCATCCTAGGTGTACTGGGAAGGTAGTTTCCTTTCCCACTGTCATGCTACTGGTAAAGTAAAAATCAATGTTTGGATCAAAATTGTCAGTGGCTTCCCTCTTGCACATTCAGCCAAGAGAAGGAAGTGAATGGCTGGTGGTATGGGTCGAGTTGTTTCTCCCCCACCCCCAAGAGATATATTGAAATCCTAACCCCCAGTATTTCTGAATATGGCCATATTTGGAGATAGGGTGTTTGCAGAGGAAATCCAATTAAATGGAGGTCATCAGCCAGGCGCAGTAGCTCACGCCTGTAATCCCAGTACTTTGGGAGGCCAAGCGGGCGGATCACCTGAGGTCAGGAGTTCAAGACCAACCCGGCCAACATTGTGAAACCCCGTCTGTACTAAAAATACAAAAATAGTGGGTGCCTGTAATCCCAGCTACTCGGGAGGCTGAGGCAGGGAGAATTGCTTGAATCTGGGAGGTGGAGGTTGCAGTGAGCTGAGATTGTGCCACTGCACTCCAGCCTGGGCAACAGAGCAAGACTCTGTCTTAAATAAATAAATAAATAAATAAATAAATAAATAAATAAATGGAGGTCATTAAAGTGGTCTTATCATCCAATATGACCAGTGAGCTTATAAAAAGGGGAAATTTAGACACAGATGGCACACAGGTAGAACATCATGTGAATATCAAGGTGGAGATCAGGGTGATGCATATACAAGACGAGGAACAGATTGCCAGCAAACAAGCAGAAGCTAGAGGAGAGGCACAGAACAGACTCTCCCTCTCAGCCCTTAGAGGGAACCAACCCTACAACACCTTGATCCTGGGTTTTTAGCTTCCAGAACAGTGAGACTTTGGTTGTTCAAGCCATGCAGTTTGTGGCAGTTTGTTACAACAGCCCTAGAAAACTAATGCAGATTCATCCAAAAGAATCTAGGGAACAGGGCTGGAGAAACTAGCAACCTAGTGCATGCTGTTGAATTTAACAAGGACGTATTAACCTTGCCAAGGCAGAACTGTCATTTCCTAAGGAAAGGCATCAACTTCCCTTTGTTTTTCAATAAAGGAAGAGACCCAGCTTGGTCTAAAAGGTTCTGCTTTAATACAGTTGGTCAAGGAACTGCGGAAAATAGCTGATGTTCAGGACAATGGGAATAACAACTAATGCAAATCTTAGTTTGGAAATGCGGGGTCCTTTTATGGTTCTCTTAATGCACTCAAGGTATTGTACTATTGGGAAGTGTACTGGTATTCATGCAGCAAGGATTGACTAGTTAAAACACAATGATCAACAGCTGGAACCGAGATTCACGCCTGTAATCCCAACCTTTTGGGAGGCCAAGGTGGGCAGATCACCAGAGGTCAAGAGTTTGAGACCAGCCTGGCCAACATGGTGAAACCCCATCTCTACAAAAAAGAAAAAAAAAGCCAGGCATGGTGGCATGTGCCTGTAGTCCCAGCTACTTGGGAGGCTGAGGTATGAGAACCACTTGGACCTGGGAGGGGGAGGTTGCAGTGAGCTGAGATCACGCCACTGCACTCCAGCCTGGGCAAAACAGAGTGAAACTGTGTCTCAAATTAAAAAAAAAAAAAAAAAAAAAAACACCAAAAATGATCAGCAAAGCAGCAAAGTTACTTCTATTTAATGTATAAACTTTACATTTTTAATCATTAAAAGTTTCTGTATTTTTAAAATATTCCCGGCTGTCAACTGTAATAAGGTACCTTACATCTAGAAAGAGAACAGATTAAATCCATCTTGAGAATTCTATGACAATCCACATTCATCATTCATCAGCACTTCTGAGTGATTCGTGGTATATAATTGCTCAAATAATCTTGCATAGAGTTTGAATTAGTTTTAAATGCCTCACTCATTTTCTTTCAGTGTGTTCTAATTCTTCCCTTCTGAATTGGAGTTTAAACAGCATGCAGAAATAGAACCTAAGATTATTATGCAATTTTTAAATCATCTGTTCCAAGCTGTTTTCATAAACTTCTTTGTTACTTGAAAACTACACACAGAAGAGAGTCACAATTTCATTTTAAATAGAAATCCTCCTGCAAGTGTTTCCTGTGGGACTCCTCAGTGTAGCATATGTATTTTGAAAATTATCATTTCATTGAAATATGAAGGTTACCTTGTTAGCGTCTTGCTGCAAATGGCTGTCAATTTTCTTTTTCAGGCCATCTCTCGAGAAGACCTTCTCATGCGCCTGCTGGAGTGTGATGTTATTATTTATAACATCACTGAGAGCTCACAGCAAATGGAGGAAGCCATCTGGGCAGTCTCTGGTCAGTGAGGTGTACTCTTTTATCTCCAGGGATGCTATTGTAGTGCTGCCTACTTCACCTAATAGTCATCTAGGAACACTAGACAAAGTAGGGCTATAGAAAAACTGGTCTGAGACTTACCTAAAGTATGAAATCCATGATAATAATATGGATAGATACTTCTGAAGAATAGAATATTTTTAATTATCAAAAAAATGAAGGCCGGCACACTGACTCATGCCTGTAATCCTAATACTTTGGGAGGCCGAGGTGGGAGGATTATTGAGCCCAGGAGTTCAAGACCAGCCTGGACAACGTGACAAGACCTCGTCTCTACAAAAATAATAAAATAAAATAAATATATGTTTTTAAAATGAAACATTACCAGGCTGAAGTGACCTGATCATAGCTCACTACAGCCTCGAACTCCTGGGCTCAAGAGATCCTCCTGCCTCAGCCTCTTGAGTAGCTGGCACTACAGGCTTGTGCCACCATACCCCAGCTAATTTTTTTTTTTTTGGCAGAGATGGGGACTTGCTATGTTGTCCAGGCTGGTCTCAAACCCCTGGCCTCAAGCCATCCTCCAGCCTCAGCCTCCCAAAGCACTGGAGTTACAGGCGTGAGCCACAATGCCTTACCAAAACATTTAACTTTTAAAATGCAACCTGACTCATTCCATAGGCGCTGCTTAAGGAGGTGGGGTTGAATGTACAGGGCAGATACAAAGACAGATAAGAAAAGGTACCCCAAGGCACAAGTCATCACACAAGAGACAAGGCACCCAAGAGAAACTTTAACTCAACAAAGGGGGGTGCGCTCACAAGGAAGTTGTGTATAAGAGCCACGTGACTTTAAGAGGGGAGGAATTATTTCCAACTCTAAATATTTGATTCAATTCAACAAATGTTCCCTGATGCCAAAGGTCAAGGAAGGCTTGTAGAGAGTGCTTGTATTTTGAAAGTGCTTTGAAAAATGTAATGAATTCTAAGGACCTCAAGTCTAAGAGAATGAAGTGGTGTCTAGCAAGGTGGTGCTTTTGTGATTCACCTCCTCCAAAGCAACCTCTTTTTTTGTTTTGAGACAAGATCTTGCTCTGTCATCTTGCTTTGAAAAGTGTAATGAACTGTAATGTAAGGACCTCAAGTCTAAGAGAATGAAGTGCTGTTTAGTAAGATGGTGCCTTTGTGTTTCATGTCCCCCCAAAGCAACCTCATTTTTTTTTTTTTTGAGGCAAGATCTTGCTCTGTCACCCAGGCTGGAGTGCAGTGGCACTGTCTTGGCTCACTGCAGTCTCCACCTCCCGGGTTCAAGTGATTCTCCTGCCTCAGCCTCCCAGTGCTGGGATTACAGGAGTGAGCCACTGTGCCCGGCCAAGCAACCTCATTTAATACATCCAAATGCCTCCATAGGTGCCTCTTGATTGTGAATTTCAGACATTAACCACTGACTTCCTGCTGTCACAGATGGGCATTGGCCTTTCTTAGGACCACCCTCTCCCCCTCAAGGAAATGTAACCTTTTCTCAAGCTTTGACACTGCATTTCCTTTCATGAGCTTTAAAATGTAGAGTGTTTTACTGCTTCCTTCTAATAAAGAGGTTCGAATCATCAAGAAAATTTTCCTTTTCTATTTAGAGGAAAACTTTTAGCTGAATTACTTCATTTTTGAGATATAGAGTGTTTGTGTCTGCAAGAAAATATAGTCAGAGATCCTTCAATCTGTCACCAGAGTCACCTGGGGGGTATGGGGTTGGTAGGGCATGAGGTTGGTAAGGGATGGGGACTTTGTCATTTTACCTACTGCACATTCTTAGATTTTGTTTTTCTCGCAATGGATATGTATTCCTTTCTTTTTTTTTTAAAGATAGGGTCTTGCTCTGTCACCCAGGCTGGAGTGCAGCAGTATATCATAGCTTACTACAGCCTCAAACTCCTGGCCTCAAGCAATCCTCCTGCCTCAGCCTCCTGAGTAGCTAGAATTACAGGTGTGCATCCAGCTATTTTTAAAAAATTTTTTGTAGAGACAAAGTCTAGCTATGTTGCCCAGGGTGGTCTCCAGCTTCTGGCCTCAAGCGATCCTCAGCCTCCAACAGGGCTGGGATTACAGACGTGAACCACCACACCCAGCTATGTATTATTTTTAATAATGTTTTATTAAATTATTTTTAAATGTCTTAGAATTCTCCTACCTTGCCTTTCGCAGATACTATGGAAGGAAGGCAAGATGACAGAAGAGAAAGGAATACATTATTAGAAAGGAGAGAAAATATCTGCATATAGATGAAGGGTGTGTTCAAAGGGGAACAAGCAGATCATTCTAGACCTGTTATAAATATCATAAATAAAAAAGGATAACCCAGTTAGAGGACCTCAAAGTGTGCCAAGTATTCACAAAATAGGCCAAACTAAAGCTCGGCAGGGCAGAAAGGTTAAAAGAGCAAAATTAAATTGAAGAGACAATTTTTGTTATTAGACTAAAAATAGAAACAAAAGTAACACAAAGTTTGGAATAATACGTGATCATAGTGTTCTTAGACTTAATTCAATAACGCTTTCTCGTTTTAGGGTAGAAATCAATACACTTAGATCCAGGATATCAGCATTTCATTTTGTTGCTTTTGTTTAGGGAATCACCTCATGATACTAAAATCATACCATGGCAGCTGCATTACTTAGCCCCTCTGACAGTTTAATTAGACCTCACTTTGCAGCTCTGATATGTTTCTTTCTTTCTTTTCTTTTTTTTTTTTTTTTTTTGAGACAGAGTCTCGCTCTGTTGCCTAGGCTGGAGTGCAGTGGCGCAATCTCGGCTCACTGCAAGCTCCGCCTCCCGGGTACACGCCATTCTCCTGCCTCAGCCTCCCAAGTAGCTGGGACTACAGATGCCCGCCACCACGCCCAGCTAATTTTTTGTATTTTTAGTAGAGACAGGGTTTCACTGTGTTAGCCAGGATGGTCTTGATCTCCTGACCTCGTGATCCGCCCGCCTCGGCCTCCCAAAGTGCTGGGATTAGGCTTGAGCCACCACGCCCGGCCGATATGTTTCTTGAAAATTATACATCATGAAGAATATGTTAATGGAATCCCTTAGCCAAATACATTCAAGGAGAATCAATGCTTAAATGTGTAGAGAGCCTTTTTGCAAAGCAGCAAACCCTTTGGAAATAAAATGCTCTCCTTTCTCTCCACCTCTATCCTAAATATGAATCCCTACAAGTTGTTGATTACCAAACGTTTCTGCCTTATCAGTGCTCTCCACTACAGCCCACAGCCCCAGGGGTGGAGTGGGAAGGGTGGGCACACCCCGAATTACTTCCTTCCACCATGGCTTTCACTGAACAGGGTTGCCTTATGGGAACTCCTAAGAGGCCCTTACTTTCTGATGTGGGGCCTCTGCTGCCCCATCCCCAGCCTGCTCCCTTTTCTGGGCAGCTGGCTAGGTGGCATGGTGGGTACAGCATGGGCCTGGCACCCAGACAGCCTGGATTGGACTCTGCCCCATCACTTCCCTCTATGATCCTGGGCAAACTGTGCCTCGGTTTCTGCATCTGTAACCCAGAATACCTATCTCATAGTGGGGGGAATTCAACAAAGCCCATGAGTTGTTCTAATAAGGATCCTATGATCCTTACTGTCACCAGCCCTCCCAAAAAGTAAAAGCACATGGCCAGAGGCCAGAAAACAGAAAGGGGCCACAATTCTGAGCTCAGCTCAGAAGGGATCAGGCAACTGATGAGCATAGTGGAGAGAAAGGGCTGCAGTGGAGAGCACTGATGAGACTGAAATGCTTGGTTGTGAACAACCTGCTGGGATCCGTATTTCGGATACAGGTAGCGAGAAAGCAGGGGGAATTTGAAGAACGGTGATGGGAACAGGTCAAAGAAGCATCAGAGGTAACAGCACCCTGGTGTTAAGTGGCTCCTACTGGTGACTAATAGTACACGTGATTTAGAAACCAAGTTGTGCATGGGTCCAAATAACCACTCTGCTTTTTGGCCCCACAGCACTCAGTGAAGAAGTCAGCCACTTTGAAAAGCGAAAGCTATTTATTTTACTGTCGACGGTGATGACTTGGGCGCGCTCCAAAGCCCTGGACCCCGTAAGTAGAGCGTTAGCTTTCCTTTAGGTAACATTTCAGCCATAACACCTTGTAATCTGTGTGTGGAGGGAACTTCCTATGGCGAGTTGTGTATTCTCCCACTCCTGAATCCTATCCCATAATAAGCACCCAGCAGAGTTTACTGACTCTAAGCACATTCAATTCTAAGGGATTTCATTGTTTTATATGCCTCTAAGAAGGAAAAATATGCTGCCTATGAAACTATAGCAAAGCTTGCTTATCACTTATGGTATGTATTTTAAACATATTGAAAGAGCTCTCTTTTAGACTTACTTAGACCCATATTTTTGTCACGTAAATTCTTGTGCATACATTAAAAAGAAATATAGGCTGGGTGCGATGGCTCATGCCTGTAACCCGGCACTTTGGGAGGCCGAGGCGGGTGGACCATCTGAGGTCAGGAGTTTGAGACCAGCCTGGCCAACATGGCGAAACCCTGTCTCTACTAAAAATACAAAAATTACCTGGGCGTGGTGCCAGGTGCCTGTAATCCCAGCTACTTGGGAGGCTGAGGTAGGAGAATCCCTTGAATCCGGGAGGCAGAGGTTGCAGTGAGCCAAGATCGCACCACTGCACTCCAGCCTGGGCAACAGAGTGAGACTCCATCTCTAAATAAATAAAGGAAGAAAAAGAAAATATAAGTAAAATATAGTGATTATAGTATTCCCTAAACTTCCTAATATTCAGAGTCCATCTCTGAATCACACCACATTCTGTCTTTTTCCACACAACTCAGTATAAAACTCCTGAAGTACGTGGTTATTACGTTGCAAGAAAACATGAGCCACAGTCATTCTTCCAACATTCTCTTGACTAATGTAAAATTGACGTTTGGTGCTCTGTTTCTGTGCCTTTGTGCCTATGCACTACCTTTCCATTTCAGTGCTGAATCACGGTACACTCTTTTAAAAGGCAATTAAATCAACGCGAGTAGTTGACTCAACTTGAAGTGATAACAATAGCAATGGTGTGTTCAAGGTCACTGAGTCACCGGCAGCGACATTGCCAGCGATTCCTGGCTGACCACAATGATACACCATTGATCCCAGATATGTTCTAATTTCAGAAATGCTAAATGTGAAAAAGTGAATGATATGGTCAATGGAATATATTATATATAACAAGGAGATATTTAGGGATTCATCACACTTATTGCATCAAATGCTTTGTATTTGTTTAATTGTCTCTCCCCTGGTGGACTGAGAACCCCTTGAGGGCAGGGACCACAGGTTTCATGCTCTTTCCTTGTAAAGTTTACTCAACTACTTTGGATGCCATCACCTCAAGGAGCAGGTCATGGTCATTTTATTCCTGTTATAATCCCTTCCCTCAGAGCGTCCAGCTAAGTGTCCACTATAAAACAATTATGAGTCAATGGACTGGCTGACCACTGTGCTAGCTTCCGGACTGATTGTCCCAACCAAAGTAAGCAAAATAATGAACAAGTTCAACAACGGACTTCAGGAACAGCTGGGCCCAGAGGATTCAACGATGTCCTCAGTGCTCACTGACTCTCTCTCTTTCTTTTATGGTTTCTTTTCTGCTCTGAGTAGACTTCACTCTCTAGTAAGCCTCCTACACTGAATGGACTGAGAATGGAGAAGAGATGGTTCCCCAAAGAAAACATGGAGCAGTGGCTCCTGTGTTAGCTCCTGTCCTTGTGGCATGCCCTCATCCTGTCACTGTGGTTTTAATTTGCATTTCCCCAATGACAAATGATGGTTTTAAATGATTTATCAAGGTATAATCAGTGTACTAAGCCAGGTGTAGTGGTGCTTGCCTATAATCCCAGCACTTTGGGAAGCCAAGGCAGGAGGATTGCTTGAGCTCAGGAGTTCAAGACCAGCCCGGGTAACAGGGCGAAACCACGTCTCTACAAAAAATGCAAAAATTAACCAGGTGCGGTGGCAAACCTGTAGTTTTAGCTACTCAGGAGGCTGAGGTGGGAGGATTGCTTGAGCTGGGGAGGTCTAACCTGCAGTGAGCTGAGATCACACCACTGCACTTCAGCCTGGGTGATAAAGTGAGACCCTGCCTCAAATAAATAAATAAATTTACTGTATTGTATACGGTTAAGTTAACCTTTTATAGTCCTGAGTTTCAACAACTGCATGCAGTTGTACAACCACCACAACAATTAGGATACAGAACACTTTCATCACTTTCCAAAATTCTCTACCTCATGCCACACACAAAGTCAATTCCAGTTGGATTACATAACTGAAATTAAAAAGCAAAAACTTTAATTTTTTAAAAGAAAAATTAGGCCCAGCCCAGTGGCTCACACCTATAATCCCAACACTTTGGAAGGCCAAGGCAGGCGGATCACTTGAGATCAGGAGTTTGAGAGCAGCCTGGTCAACATGGTGAAACCCCATCTCTACCAAAAAATACAAAAATTAGTTGGGTATGGTGGTACGCGCCTGTAGTCCCAGTTACTCAGGAGGCTGAGGTGGGAGAATTGCTTGAACCTTGGAGGCAGAGGTTGCAGTGAGCAGAGATCGCACCACTGTACTCCAGCCTGGGCGACAGAGAGAGGCCCTGTCTCAAAAAAAAAAATAAATAAATAAAGGAAAAATTATAGAATTTATGGAGGATTCCTCAAACAAGACCAAATACTGCTAAGTATTTTATAATTGACAAATCTAGCTGCAATAGGATTAATGAAGTAATAAATAATATTTGTGTTTGAGATTTGCTTCTAAATAATCCAGGAGGATGAGGAAGTCAGTGGGGGGTATAGATACAACAAGACCGATTACGCAAAACAAACAAGTTTGTCCCCAACAAGTCTAATTGAAGGGGGCGTGGCAGAAGATGTGGCATCCGTTCGAAGTCAGAGTGAGCTGAGTAAGACTTTTGCTTGCAAGCAACAGAATCCAGCTTTCTTAATCAGAAAGAAGACATGTTAGAAAGACATACACAATGTCTTACAAAACCCATGGTCAGAGATGCCACTGGGCGCCAAGGACTGGGAGCCATGGGGAGCTCAGTAAATTCTCCTACTTTCCTCTCTGCTTTTCTCTGCTTCTGTCTCTTTGTCATTGTCACAGGAAGTCTTTTTCGTTTTGTTTTTAGAGACGAAGTCTATAAAACAGAGCCCTCCAAAGAAGGGTTTCCTCTGCCAGATTTACCAGGGTTGGCTTTTGAAAGGAGAGTTCTAATCATGGACTCTAAATCGTAATCCCTATAAGATAGACTTGGGATGGGAAGAAGAAAGGTGAGCTGCAAGGACTCCTGGTACTTTCTTCCTTTCTTTCTTTCTTTTTTTTTTTTTTTTTTTGAGATGAAGTCTTACTCTGTTGTTCAGGCTGGAGTACAATGGCACAATCTCAGCTCACTGCAACCTCCGCCTCCCAGGTTCAAGCAATTCTCTTGCCTCAGCCTCCCGAGTAGCTGGGATTATAGGAGCCCGCCACCACACCCAGCTAATTTTTGTATTTTTAGTAGAGATGGGTTTTCACCATGTTGGTCAGGCTGGTCTCGAACTCCTGACCTCAGGTGATCCACCCGCCTCCGCCTCCCAAAGTGCTGGGGTTACAGACACGAGCCACTGCGCCCGGCCGTGACTCCTGGTACTTTCTTAGCTCTCCCTTGGCCTTGCAGTACTTTTTTTTTTTTTTGAGACAGTCTTGCTATGTCACCCAGGTTAAAGTGTGGTGGCATGATCTTGGCTCACTGCAGCCTCCACCTCCCAGGTTCAAGTGATTCTCCTGCCTCAGCCTCCCAAGTAGCTGGGATTACAGGCACATGCTACCACTCCTGTCTAATTTTTTGTATTTTAAGTAGAGATGGGGTTTCACCGTGTTGGCCAGGCTGGTCTCAAACTCCCGACCTCAGGTGATCTGCGCACTTCAGCCTCCCAAAGTGCTGGGATTACAGGCGTGAGCCACTGCTCCCAGCTACACAGGAAGTTTTAACAGCCAAGGAAACCGGTTCTAAGTAAAGAAAGAGTCACTAACATAATAGGTTGGAAAAAAATCATTGTCAGCTGATGACCTTATAAAAGATAAGCTCTGTCACTATGAAAAATGTCCCAACAGCAGCCCTTCTGAGCACCCCCAGTACACAAATTGTATTCTGTAAGTCTGTTTTCCAGTAGAAGTTAACTCCAGGACTCTGGAGTTGGGAGGGAGTTGATTCTGTGTCTTGGGCCAGTGAAAACTGGGATAGGCTGGAACCTATTGTTGATGCTACAGAGCCAAGATCTGTTCAGAGATGTCCTGAGTAGGCCTGAGAGGACAAAGAGGGTCCCCACCAGCCACACTGTGAGAAGGCGAGCATCGCAAAAGTGATTCTGTCTGTTGGTTGCTTCCCACCTGCCCCTCCAGAGCCACTCTCTGCTCTTCTCCACCCTGCTCCAAACTTGTAGTCTAGATCAGTAAGCAACCTTGTCCTCTGCTCCCAACTGGGTTTGGCCAGTGGGGCTCACTGGTGAGAGGATAGGGGAATTGAGAAGAATGAGGTCAGATCACTTATTCCCCTAGCTCCCTTCGGCAGAGTTGCTGTGGGTAGGCTGAGTCTCTGAACCCAAGCCACTGCGCCTGCCGGGCAACCCCTGTCCCTGGGCTCTAATCGTTGCCTGCCCACTCAACACGTTTGGATTTAGGAGTAGTACAGAGCACCTGTTCCTGGCTCCAGGTGACGTGGTTTCCCTACACCCTGCCCACATCTTCGTAAACAGTCCTGTTATTAAACTCTCTTGAAATTACCCAACATTGAATATGCTGTTTCTTTCCCACGAGGATCCTGACTAATACATTATGCTTAATTGAAATCAGTTGAGTATGTGAAAAGCCATGACTCCATAATGTAACTCAGAAAAGTGAATATTAGATTGTTGTAAATGCTACTGGCTTCCTGTCATGATGCCACCCCACTGTCTTCCTTGCCAGCAGAGCCATGACTTGTTAAGTTCAAGTGTCCACACTGCCCATGAAATCTAGAGAAGGGAGATTCTATTCCCATTCCAGGGGAAAATCCTGATTGATCCAAACTAGCCATGATGGTTCTATTCTTCTTGCCGATGATTGGCTAAGGGGTGGGCATGCAATCCAATTTTGGGATGTGGGATGTAACAAACCTACCCCCAAAATGTAGAGTGGCTTACACATGGAGGAAGTTTGTACCTTGCTCAGGTAAAATGTAAAACAAGTGTTGCTGATGATCAAGTCAGTCTTCTCCCAACTCTGATTCAAGATCCAGGCTCCTTCTGTTGGATGGCTCCAACGCCTTCCAGAATTACCTCTGGGGCTGTCGTGCACACTTGCATCAGGCCTGTGGAGGGGAGAGAAACACAAAAGATTATGCATGGGAAGCTTTATGAACCAGGCTTGGAAGAGATGCTCATCACTTCTGCAAATTTCTTTGACTAAAACTCAGCCCATAGCTGAGGAGCCCGGAATATGTAGTCTAACTGCATCCAGGAAATCAGTCTGGTTTAGTCTCTGGCACAGAGGAAAGATGGCCAGGAGACTCCCAGGAAGGGCTCATCCCTGATTAGGAGAGACTTCAAGGAAGACACGGGCTTTCTTTCTTTGTGGATGTTGTCATATCTGGATGTGAAGCTTGGACTGCTGCTACTAGTCTTGCTGTGATCCTGAAAAGGAAGGCCACACATAGGAGGCAGAGCTCAGAAGGCATCAGAACAGCAGAGCCAGTTTCCAGTGCAGGGCCTGGGGAAGGTGTGGTAGGCGCTATGTCTGGCCACGAAGGTGGCAAGAAAAAGTCCCTAAAACAGCCCAAGAAACAGGCCAAGAAGACGGATGGAGGTTGAAGAAGATAAGGATTCCTTCTTTTTTTTTTTTTTTTTTTTTTTAGTGTGGTGCAGGCTGGAGTGCAGTGGTGCAACCTGGGCTCAGCTCACTGCAACCTCCACCTCCTGGGCTCAAGTGATTCTCTGGCCTTAGCCTCCTGATTAGCTGGGACTACAGGCACCTGCCGCCATGCCCAGCTAATTTTTAAAATGTTTTTGTAGTGACAGGGTTTTGCCATGTTGCCCAGGCTGGTCTCAAATTTCTGGGCTCAATTAACCCACCTGCCTTGGCCTCCCAAAGTACTGGGATTACAGGTGTGAATGACCGAACATGGCTGAAGATAAGGCTTTCAAGCAGAAACAAAAAGAGGAGCAGAAGAAATTTGAGGGGCTAAAAGCAAAGGCCATGGGGAAGGGACCCCTCACCACAGGTGGAATTAAGAAATCTGGCAATTGGCTGGGCATGGTTGCTCACACCTGTAACCCCAGCACATTGGAAGGCTAAGGTGGGAGGATCACTTGAGCCCAGGAGTTCAAGACCAGCCTGAGCAACACAGCAAGACACCATCTCTAAAAATAAATAAATAAATAAATAAATATTTTGAAAAGAAAAGAAAAAAGGAAATCTGGCAAGCAGTAAGCTGTTCCTTGTGCCTGAGGCGATGGTGACCCTTGATTCCATGTATATTTGAACATCTGGATTCCCTGCATCACATCTTTTGCCACCTATAGCTGGAATGAAGTGTTGTCTTGGAGTCTACTGTACATTTAAAAGTAAACTCTTGGAAAAAAGAAAAACAAAGAAAAAACAGCAGAGGCAGGCCAGCCCATGGTGCCTGGAGCCACCCGACTTAGGAACACTACTTATGGGAGATGATTTTCCCAGTGCGTAGGTCTTTTTGAGTTTGGTTTTCTGTTGCTGGTAGCCAAAAGCATCCAAATGGATTAAAACTGCACAAAAATCAGTTTTGTTACAAATGAAGGGTAAATATTAATTTATTATTAATAAATTTTAATACATTAATTAAATTAATTAATTTAATACATTAATTAATTAAATTAATTTAATACATTAATTAATTAAATTAATTTAATACATTAATTAAATAATTAAGGTATCAATTTTAATAATAGGACAATCTTAATATATATTGGGGTTGGTTTTTCCCTTAGAACCTGTTTGTTTTTAAAGTCTAGCTATGTACTTGTTTCTGTATGTGTGAGTAAAGAGATATAACCCAGAGGTGACCCTGATTCAACCAAATACTCCAGAACAAGGGCCGACGGGCTCTGATTGTCACACGTAATAACCAGGGAGAAACGGAGTCCACCAAATGATCCACGTGGGCAACCAAACACAATCACCAATTAAAAAGAGAATCCAGGCCGGGCACAGTGGCTCATGCCTGTAATCCTAGCACATTGGGAAGCCGAGGCAGGTGGATCACCTGAGGCCAGGAGTTCAAGACTAGCCTGGCCAACATGGTGAAACCCCGTCTTTACTAAAAATACAAAAAAAATTAGCTGGGTGTGGTGGTGTATGCCTTTAATCCCAGATACTCAGGAGGCCGAGGCAGGAGAATTGCTTGAAGCCAGGAGGCAGAGGTTGCAGTGAGCCAGGATGGTGCCACTGCACTCCAGCCTGGAGACAGAGTGAGACTCTGTCTCAAAAAAAAAAAAAGAGAATCCAACAGAGTGCTAGAGTGTTACAAGAAAACAGATTTGCCCATTGGCCTGATAAAGGGCAGGGGAGATTACTCTGTAGACTATGTTCTTTACCTCCTAGAAAGAGGAAGCCTCTAAATGAGCTTAGTAATTATAACAAGATAGTAGTAAGGCAGGCTGAGTTTCCAGAAATGCTGACAGCCATCCATATATAATATAACAATGAAAGGATCACGGCTGTAACCCCTGCTAAAGGAAAGGTCAACCACTTACCCTTTACTGGAAAGACAAATGATGCAAACAGTTGGGAGGAACTAAAACCCATATTAAAGGTTTGGGTTCAAAATACACTTTATTTGTTGTGTTTGTAACAAGTGAAATTTAAGGACTAAAGGGAACACAGCCTAGCAACTGGTCGCAAAGGTGCATCATACACAAACAGATCTCTGTCCCAACCAGGAATCAAGGAATGACAGCTCAGAACCTGCGGCCCCCTCTGGTTGGAATTTATGGGCTCCAGTGCCACTGGCCAGAGAGAGATTGATCTTCCTTTTCTCTCAGTCACTTTCTCAAAATGTCAGGGAAGAGATTGGCCATCCAACCTATGGTTCTCTTATGGTTCACCTCATGGAATGTGACCATTTCCCTGGCAGCCGTTGAAGACAAAGGGTAGGGCAAATCCAGAAGAGGGGTGTTGGGCCAGTCACAGGGAGCAAGGAGGGTGGGTTAGGTGACCTGGCCCAGCATGCCATGTGAGCCAGGGCTACAGAGGGGCCAGGACTCAATTCATCCTGAAGGCAAAGCTGACTACACAGTTTCCAGACTGGAGCTGGCAAGTGAAAATACAGGACACCCAGTTAGATCTGAATTTCAGATAGACAGTGAATAATTGTTTAGCATACCTATACCCTGTGCAATATGAAGACAAGCTTGTACTAAAAATTTAGTCATTTGTTTATCTGAAATTCAAATTTAGCTGGATGTCCTGTGTTTTACCTGGCAAACCTACATGTAGGCCACTAGACCTGTTTACGAGGACAGTTAATTGTGCAATATGTATTCACTAGGTATCTACTGTGTACACAGAATTGAAGTGGATCTTCCCCTCAACAACTCATTCTCCCAGCTTTCTCCCAAGGACATCTCCTAGCATCTCAGTTGCTCTAGCCTCACTCCCCTCCTCCCAGCAGTCAACTCATTGGTAAATTCTGTTCATTCATCATCCGAAATGTATCATAAACACACTTTGCTCTCTTTGTATCTATGGCAACCTTCTAGCCAGCCTCAGCCTTTAGCTTCTTGGACTACTCAAGTGGTTGTGCAGCTGGGGCCTGCCTTTGCGCCCTCCAATCCATCCTCCATAGTACCACCTCAGCCATTTTGTTGAAATGTCATTCACAACTCTGATATATCAATAAAAAACATGTATCAGAATATCACAGGTACCTCCAGAATCTGTACAAGGGTGATATATCGAGTTAAAAATACACGTATCAATCAATAGCAAACCAGGTGGCTAAAAGAAAGAAATACATGTATTGGAATATTACATATACCCCAAATATATGCACTATGATATATTACAATATGTATCAAAATATTAAATTAAATATGAAATTCAGATCACTTTGCAGTCCTGCTTTAAAAGTGAAAAACCCAACTGGGCTTAGTAGCTCAAGCCTGTAATTCCAGCACTTTGGGAGGCCGAGGCAGGAGGATTGCTTGAGACCAGGAGTTTGAGACCAGTCTGGACATCACAATGAGACCCTGCCTTTACACAAAACAATTTTTTTTTATTAGCCTGGCATGGTGGCAAGCACCTGTAGTCCCAACTACTCAGGAGTCTAGGTGGACTCAGCTGTTCCCAGGAGGTTGAGGCTGCAGTGCGCTGTGATTGTGCCACTGCGCCCCACCCTGGGCAACAGAGTGAGACCTTGTCTAAAAAAAAAAAAAAAGGCTTCAAATCCTTCCATAGCCTTTTATTGCTATTGGAATGAATCTGAACTCCTCAGTGTGGCTCAGAAACCCTGATAATCTGGCTCTCACCTACCGCATCCCCTACCAATTCCCAGCTTGGCTCCAGTCATTTTCTCAGGAGCAACTGTACTCTTACCTCAGTAGGGCTTTTTGTTTTTGTTTTTGTTTTTGTTTTTTGAAAAGAATTTTTGCTCTGTCGCCCAAGCTGGAGTGCAGTTGTGCAGTCTCGGCTCACTGCAACCTCAGCCTCCCAGGTTCAAGCGATTCTCCTGCCTCAGCCTCCCGAGTAGCTGGGATTACAGGCACCTGCCACCAAGCCCAGCTAATTTATGTATTTTTAGTAGAGACAGGGTTTCACCATGTTGTCCAGGCTGGTCTTGAACTCCTGGCCTCAAGTGATCCACCCACCTCAGCCTCCCAAAGTGCTGGGATTACAGGCATGGGCCACCTCGCCTAGCCTCAGTAGGATTTTCATTGTGTTTCTCCTGCCTCTTCAGTTGTTTCCTTGTAAACTCTGGGCTCAAAAGCTTTGGATTGGTTATTTAACTTAGACCAATGTATTGTGATTGAAAGGTTCCATACTGAACACCATATTTTTAAAACCCTGAAACCCTGCTCCAACACGGATCTCTGAATTTGGAAGGATTTTTGCCAAATCACACTGTTGCATGGCTCTCAATTATTTCTTCTGATTCCAGTAGGTTTTAACATAGTTATTTTGGTTGCATCCCTCTATGGGACTGCACAGGCTGTGGGTTGTGGGGAGACTGAATATGAGGGACAGGTCAGTGAACTGTCAAGAAATGTTTTTAATTCCTCATTCCCAGGACGTACTTAATCTTAACCAGTGAAACCAATTTTTAAAGCCAGAGTCAGTGACCTGCACATGCAATGTCCTTTTTAACATGTTATTTATTTTGGGGAGGGCCCATGTGGCAAAGAAAAAAAAAGAAAAAAACAATTTAGGTTAAAAAAAATAAAACTACAGGCTGGGGCGAGGTGGCTCATGCCTGTAATCCCACCATTCTGCGAGGCCAAGGAGGGGGGATTGCTTAAAGCCAGGAGGTGGAGACCAGCCTGGGTAACAATTGGAGACTCTGTTTCTACAAAAAAATAAAATAAATGAGCTGGGCATGGAGGTGTGTGCCTATATAGTCCCAGCTACTTGGGAGGCTAAGGCAGGAGGATCACTTGAATCCAGGATTTCAAGGCTGCAGTAAGCTATGATCAGGCCACTGCACTCCAGCCTGGGCAAGAGAGCAAGGCCCTGTCTCTACCAAAAAAAAATTATATTTAATATTAATACCTTTATGGAATCTCAGTGGCAACCTGCTACCATCTCTGTGAAAGACTTTTAGTTTTTAATTTTGTTTAGATTAAATTTAAATTATAAAATTTGTCTCCTAAAGCATTTTTTTTTCTTTCTTTTCTTTTTTTTTTTTTTTTGAGACAAAGTCTTGGTCTTCTCCCCCAGGCTGGAGTGCAATGGCGCGATTTCGGCTCACTGCAACATCCGCCTCCTGGGTTCAAGCAATTCTCCTGCCTCAGCCTCCCGAGTAGCTGGGATTACAGGTGCCTGCCACCACACCTGGCTAATTTTTGTATTTTTAGCAGAGACGGGGTTTCATCATGTTAGCCAGGCTGGTCTCGTGCCTGCCACCACGCCTGGCTAATTTTCATATTTTTAGTAGAGACGGGGTTTCATCATGTTAGCCAGGCTGGTCTCGAACTCCAGACGTCAGGTAATCCGCCCACCTTGGCCTCCCAAAGTGCTGGGATTACAGGCATGAGCCACTGCGCCTGGCCTCCTAAAGCATTTTTAAGAAGAGTAAATCACTATTCAAATAAGTGGTATGGTTGGATGTGGTGGTTCACGCCTGTAATCCCAGCACTTTGGGAGGCTGAGGTGGGCAGATCACCTGAGGTCAGGAGTTCCATACCAGCCTGGCCAACATGGCAAAAACCTGTCTACTAAAAATACAAAAATTAGCCAGGTGTGGTGGCACGCACCTGTAATCTCAGCTACTTGGGAGGCTGAGGCAGGAGAATCACTTGAACCTGGGAGGTGGAGGTTGCAGTGAGCCAGGATTGTGCCACTGTACTCCATCCAGTCTAGGAGGATGCTACTATCATCATCGACAGAGAAAGACTCCATCTCAAATAAAAATGAAATGAAATGAAATATAATAAAATAAAATAAAATAAAATAAGCAGTATGGCCAGACTCGGTGGTTCATGCCTATAATCCCAGCACTTTGGAAGGCCGAGGCAGGAGGATTGCTTGAGCCCAAGAGTTCAAGACCAGCCTGGGCAACACAGCGAGACCCTGTCTCAAAAATAAAAAAATAAATCAAGCGGTAGTTTTAAGCTTTATTTGAGCTTAAAGGAACATATCTTTAGCCTTAGAAGTCACACATCTCTAATTCACCAAGTCTGTACCTTTTCTTTCTTTCTTATAATAGGAGGATTCTGAGGTTCCATTCACTGAAGAAGATTATCGAAGAAGAAAGTCTCATCCTAATTTTCTGGACCACATAAATGCTGAAAAAATGGTTCTCAAATTTGGAAAAAAGGTAAGTCTGGCATAGTGGAACATGGACATCATCTGAAGTCTTTAAACATCTCTTTGTGTGGTTTCCTGAGACTTACCCCACGGATGTCTGAGCTTTAGGCTCACCCCAGGATACACTGTCCTTAGGGGTCCTGGCCCAGGTTCTGGTCCAGCACACTGGGTTGAAAGCCCTGCATCACCACCCAGCCGAGCTTGAGCCATCACCCACAAAGGGGTCTGTGTGTCTGAAAAGCTGTTTGGCCCAAAAGAGGCAAATAACTCAGAGTTGTAATGGGGAACAGGGGAACCACATTTTCCCTGTTCCCAGAATCTATCTCATTTGTTTCTTAAAACAACTCTGAAAAGTGCCTATTAACCTCCTCTTATGAATAAGGAGATGGGAGCTTCCAGAGGTTAAATAATTTGCCCAAGGTCACATAACTAGGATTTACTGAGCACTGTCCTGAGCGCTTCTCAGCCTTGACTCATCTACTCCTTCTAACAAGGCTGTTATCTACGCACATTGATGTCCTCAGCGCATTTCCTGGCGTGGAGCTGAGATTCAGTCTGAGAGCCATCAGCCACCAAAGCCTGCTGGGTTCGCTTTTTTTCTTTGGAATCCAAAACCCCATCATTCAATAGAATTTATCTTGACACATCCTTGGTCACTCACTGGTCATTAAGACATTCTCGTAGCTTTTTTTTTTTTTTTTGAGATGGAGTCTCGCTCTGTCACCCAGGCTGGAGTGCAGTGGTGCGATCTTGGCTCACTGCAACCTCTGCCTCCTGGGTTCAAATCATTCTCCTGCCTCAGCCTCCCGGGTAGCTGGGACTACAGGCACGTGCCACCATGCTCGGCTAATTTTTTGTATTTTTAGTAGAGTCAGAGTTCCACCATGTTAGCCAGGATGGTCTCGATCTCCTGAACTCGTGATCCGCCCGCCTGGAACTCCCAAAGTGTTGGGATTACGGGCATGAGCCACTGTGCCCGGCCCCTTCTGTTGCAGCTATTGCAGTATCTGGCCAGCAGCCCGCAATGCAAAGGGGCTATCTCTTTGTTCCCAGGCGGATTGGCAGGTTGAGAAATAATAGACACACACAAGATAGTGAAAGCTGGGTCCAGGGGGGTCACCGCCTTCTGGTCCCGTGGTGCCAACAATGCACTGGATATACCAGCATTTATTATTAAGTTTAGTGAGGGCAGGGATAGGTTAGTGAGGGATTTAGGGTCATTTGATTATGAGGTGAGATGGTCACATGGGGATGAAGTAATTCTTTAACATAACATCTGTATGCAGAAGTACAGTATACAGGGATAAGAATTTACAATATAGTGTGTGCATCAGTAATTTCTAACAGAGCCTTAAAACAGAAACACAGTCTTTCCATAACCTATGATTAGCAAGGTATTAATCAGCAGTAACAGTTGCAGCCAAAGCTGGTTACAAACAATCCATAGATAGGAGACATGAAGCTAGACAACTGGTTAGACCAGAAATTCTCAGAAGGGAGTATGCCTTAACCCTGAAGAGGCCTAGAAGAGCCATGGCAAGATGAGGGTGTTTATAGTCCTATCTTATCCATATGGACAGGCGCCCCTCATGTGTCCATTTATAGGCTCCCCACAAGGGTCGCATTCCATTCCCAGAGCTATGAACATCTGCTTTTCTGGGATAGGAATCTTGGTGATGTGAAACCTCCCTGACTGCACTTCCATTCATAGGCTCTCTGCAGGGGGAAGCACATCACGCGCTGTTGGCTCATTCTGGCAGCCCAACCTGGCATTGTCTTTACACAATTCTGCATGCAATTTTGTATTTACAATAGTCAGGAGCATTTCATCTTTTATTCTGTAGCAATAGTTTCAGGGGGTCGCCCTATAGCAGCAAAATTCATCATTTTGACATGTCCATTATAAAATTATTTTATTTCTCTTGCCTTTCTTCAGAATAGATGATGGGAATGCCCTGACAATGAATAAGTAGTGACAGCTGAAAAATTATGATGATGATGATTTTTCATTCAGGGTTTTTATTTTTATTCAACTATCAGCAAACAGCAGAATTAACACAACATTCAGCAACTCCAGACCAGCTTTTCTTACCCCCATGAAGAGCAATCAATTTGACAGACACAGATGTAGGGATTCCTGATAAGCGGTCAGCTAGTACTGCTGCCCATCTACAGGGCCATGCCCCAACAACAGCAAAGCCACTCTCCCTACTCCTTTTTCCAGGATTGCTCTTTAAAGGGACCAGAGTGAGATACTGACGCCTATTAAGGCAACTGAGAGGCCCGTGTTGGGGCTGAGCCTCATTGCGAGCCTCTGGTTGTCTAGCGATGGTGCCATAAAAACACACTGCTACAGTTCTGGTCTCAGGATCACAAAGGCAGAGGCAACCAATCCTTATTTATTTATTTTTAACCTCCCTTAAAGATTCTTTGATGCTTTGCTCTATTACTGTAGACCTGGTCTATTTCTGCCAAATTTTTTCTTTAAATTCTGGGTTGCTATTTTCATAATAACAATTTGATGACCCCATCACAATACCAAAATATCCCCCAAAATGAAGTTCAAAATTGATCAAAACATAAAACAGAGTGAGTGACTAGAATGATAAAGGCCAGGCAGCAGGAAAAGTCACCCTAAGCCACCATCTCAGTGCTCAGGTCTTGTCTGTCCAAAGGGGAGTGGGAAGAGGAGAAAGCTATGGTACATGCAGCACTGAACTGGAGAACACAGCTCGGGGCCTCCAGGACGGTTCAGGTCGCCGAGCTGCCCCCTACTTCCCAGACAGCTGCTCCTACAATTTGGGCACATAGTCGTCCCACTCGGCCTGGTAACACGTGCCGGCCACCGGGACCCCGAGCGCGTACTTTTTACGGGGGGACGCCACCTTGAATTTGCCACGGTGGTCTCCGGAGCGGTTGCTGAGGATGGGCTCGTCACATTTCAGCGGCCTGTGCCTTGGGAGACCCCGAGCCCACATAATCCGGAGAGGACTGTGCCACTGCTGATGTCACTGCCCTTCATGTGGACCACCAGGAAATGATGCCATTCCCTGTATTGGGGATCCTTCCTGCTTGGAGCATCCGGGTCTGTCAAGACCCAGGTGTAGAGTTTCCCTAAATCAAGACCATCCCACGAAATGCTGGTGGGTCTGTTCTTCACCTGGGTGGGATCGGGCACGGTGCTCCGCTCGTCCACCGCCACCCCGTGCAGGTGACATGCAGCGGGTGCTGCGGCTGTTCGTCCACTTCCTGAAGGCTCCAGGGCCCGGACCGCTGTCTGAGGTTCACCCGCGTGGCGGGGCCGAGCGGAGCGCGCAGCCGGGAGTGCCGCGGGAGGCCAGGCGCCGGCGGCAGCGGCGACACGGGGGTCTCCGCCAGCTGAAAAATTACAGAGGGCTTACTGTGTTCTCAGTATTTTACTCATGGTATCTTATGTCATCTGTGTTTTACTCGTAGTATCTCATGAGTTCTCAGTGTTTTACTCATGGTATCTCATGTCATCTTCAAGAGTCTCATAAACAATTCCCAGAATTCTGTGAGGTAGGTACTACTATCATCCTCATATAACTTGGAGAAAACCCCAAACCCTCTGAAAGTGTCATTACATTGTTCCCATTAGTGGAAGACCAGCGCTAAGTGAACGCTAATAATAGTTCTAAGATGACACCTAGTGGTCTCGGAGGATATTACCATAGGAACTTCGGTCCTATAAAAAACACTTTACCAATACAAACACTGTGAGCATCAAACATTGGAAGAAACAACAGGAAATTAGGAATTCTAGCCCTTTTTCTGTCCATTAACTTATGACCTTAGCCGTGTTATTAAACTTCTGGGCTTAAAATAAGTAAACGGGCTAGATTAGATGGTTTAAATTTATTCCAGTTCTAAATTCCATAACTATGTTATTTTATTGGAACCCGTGATTTCTTGATCATTTATGTTTAATTTACAGGTGGAAAATGTATGCTTACACATATAAAGCTGATTTAACTGAATAACAGTCTAAAATGAGAAATATGATCATATTAATATATTTTTATTACAAAACCTTACACTTGTCATTTAAATAATAAAATCAAAATTTCGTTGTAAAAATCTATTATTTTTATCCCCAACTTTCTTACTCACTCTTTTCTACACCATTAATAAGATTGATTTGGCCAATTTGGTCATCCCAATGATCTTTTTTGATCAGTGATGCTAATGTTTTTATCTGGGAGATAGACCCTTGAAAATAATCATTTAACACATTCATTTAACTAATGTCCAGTTAGATCCGATTATGGCCCAGGCACTGTGATGAGGAGCTGCCCTCACAGCCATCGATAAAGCAAACACAGTCTATGCACTCCAGAGGCTGGTTGTCAAGTGGTTTATCTACTGTTATCACATCCTCAGCCAGCACATTCATATACAAGATTACATACACAAAAGGTAGACTTCTATTCAGTATTTTGAGGCAAAAGAGGAGACCCTAATAATTATACAAGTTGCCAAAATAGTCCTGAATTGCCTGATACCAAAATTGCTTTCATCTTTTAATGAGTCACACTGATTTTTTTTTTTTTTTTTTTTGAGACAGAGTCTTGCTCTGTTGCGTAGGCTGGAGTGCAGTGGCATGATCTCGGGTCACTGCAACCCCTGCCTCCCAAGTTCAAATGACTCTCCTGCCTCAGCCTCCTGAGTAGCTGGAATTACAGGCATGTGCCACCACGCCTGGCTAAATTTTGTATTTTTTAGTAGAGACAGGGTTTCACCATGCTGGCCAGGCTGGTCTTGAACTCCTGACCTCAGGTGATTCACCTGCCTCGGCCTCCCAAAGTGCTGGGGTTACAGGTGTGAGCCACCGTGCCCAGCCGTAGTTTGTCTTGAAAACTATTTTGTCTGATATAAGTATAGTGACTCCTGCTTCTTTTTGGTTTCCATTGGCATGGAATATCTTTTTCCATCCCTTTATTTTCAGTCTATGTGTGTCTTTACAGGTAGAGTGTGTTTCTTGTAGGCAACAGATCAATGTGTCTTGTTTTTTTCATCAATTCAGCCAGTCTATGTCTTTTGATTAGAGAATTTAGTCCACTTACATTCAATGTTATTATTGGTAAGTAAGGACTTACTCCTGCCTTTTGTTATTTGTTTTCTAGTTGTTTTATTGTCTTATCTTCCTTCTTTCTTTCCTTCCTACCTTGCTGTAGGGATGGTGATTTTCTCTGGTGATATGATTTAGTTTCTTGCTTTTTATTTTTTGTGCAACCATTGTAAGTTTTTTAGTTTGAGGTTACAATAAGGCTTGCAAATACTATCTTATAACCCATTATTTTAGTCGGATAACAATCTAACCCTCTTGGCATAAAGAAACCAGCAAAAAGAAAACTAATAACACTATGCCTTACTCCCATCCCCCAATTTTTAAACTTTTTGATGTTTCTATTTATATCTTATTGTACTGTGTCATAAAAAGCTGTTGTAGTTATTATTTTTTTTGGTTCATTGTATAGTCTTCCTACTTAGAATGAGATAGTTTACACACCACCGTTAAAGTGTTCTAATATTTTGTTTTTCTGTGTACTTCCTATTACCAGTGAGTTTTGTACCTTCAGGTGATTATTGTTCATTAATGTCTTTTTCTTTCTGACTGAAGTACTCCCTTTAGTGTTTCTTGTAGGACAGGTCTGGTATTGATGAAATCCTTCAGCTTTTGTTTGTCTGGGAAAGTATTTCTCCTCCATGCTTGAAGGAGATTTTCACCAGATATACTATTCTAGGTGAAAGTTTTTTTCCCTCAGCACTTTTCAATATGTCATGCCACTCTTTCCTGGCCTGTAAGGTTTTCCACTGAAAAGTCTGCTGCTAGATGTATTAGAGCTCCATTGTATGTTATTTGTTTCTTTTCTCTTGCTGCTTTTTGGATCCTTTTTTAATCCTTTACCTTTGCAAGTTTGATTATTATATGCCTATAGGTTGTCTTGTGTATTAGTCCATTTTCGCACTGCTATAAAGAACTAACTGAGACTGGGTAATTTATAAAGAAAAGAGGTTTAGGCCGGGTGTGGTGGCTCACGCCTGTAATCCCAGCACTTTGGGAGGTGGAGGCGGGCAGATCACCTGAGGTTGGAAGTTTGAGACCTGCCTGGCCAACATGGAGAAACCCCGTCTCTACTGAAAATACAAAATTAGCCAGGCGTGGTAGTGCATGCCTGTAATCCCAGCTACTCGGGAGGCTGAGGCAGGAGAATCGTTTGAACCTGGAAGGCAGAGGTTGCAGTGAGCTGAGATCACTCCATTGCACTCCAGCCTGGGCAACAAGAGCGAAACTCCGTCTCAAAAACAAACAAAAAAAAATTGGTTTAATTGACTCACAGCACAGTTCCACAGGCTGTACAGGAAGCATGTTTGGGGAGGCCTCAGGAAACTTACAACCATGGCAGAAGATAAAGGGGAAGCAGACACATATTACATGGCCTGAGAAGGAGGAAGAGAGAGTGAAGGGGCAGCTGCTACACACTTTTATAAACAACCAGAACTCATGAGAACTCACTCACTATTACAAGAACGGCAAGGGGTAAATATGGCTCCATGAGCCAATCACTTCCCACAAGGCCCCTCTTCCAACATTGGAGATTACAATTCGACGTGAGATTTGGGTGGGAACACAGACCCAAGCCATATCATGTTGTTTGAGTCAAATCTGCATACTGTTCTGTAACCTTCTTGTACTTGGATTGTTGATATCTTTCTCTAGATTTGAGAAGTTCTCCACTATTGTCCCTTTGAATAAACTGTCTACACCTATCTCTTACTCGACTTCCTCTTTAAGGCCAATAACTCTTAGAGGTGCCCTTTTGAGGCTATTTTCTAGATCCTATAGGCATGTTTCATTGTTTTTCTTTTTTTGTCTCCTCTGACTATATATATATATTTCTGCCAAAAACATATGGTTTTATTTATACTCAGAAACAAGTAGATCATGCACATATATATGAAGATAAAAATTAAAGGGATAATTGCATAAGTTTGCCTGTAGAGAGCTTTGAAAACCTGTTTACTCTTTTTTTTATTATTTTAAGTTCTAGGGTACATGTGCACAATGGGCAGGTTTGTTACATATGTATACATGTCCCATGTTGGTTTGCTGCACCCATTAATTCGTCATTTACATTAGGTATTTCTCCTAATGCTATCCTTCCCCCATCCCCCCACCTTACGACAGGCCTCAGTGTGTGATGTTCCCCACCCTGTGTCCAAGTGTTCTCATTGTTCAATTCCCACTTATGAGTGAGAACATGTGGTGTTTGGTTTTCTGTCCTTGCAATAGTTTGCTCAGAATGATGGTTTCCAGCTTCATCCATGTCCCTACAAAGGACATGAACTCATCCTTTTTTATGGCTGCATAGTATTCCATGGTGTATATGTGCCACATTTTCTTAATCCAGTTTATCATTGATGGACATTTGAGTTGGTTCCGAGTCTTTGCTATTGTAGATAGTGCCGCAGTAAACATATGTGTGCATGTGTCTTTATAGCAGCATGATTTATAATCCTTTGGGTATATACCCAGTAATGGAATGGCTGGGTCAAATGCTATTTCTAGTTCTAGATCCTTGAGGAATCGCCACACTGTCTTCCACAATGGTTGAACTAGTTTGCAGTCCCACCAACAGTGTAAAAGTGTTCCTATTTCTCCACATCCTCTCCAGCACCGTTGTTTCCTGACTTTTTAATGATTGCCATTCTAACTGGTGTGAGATGGTATCTCATTGTGGTTTTGATTTGCATTTCTCTGATGGCCAGTGATGATGAGCATTTTTTCATGTGTCCATTGGCTACATAAATGTCTTCTTTTGTAAAGTGTCTGTTCATATCCTTCGCCCACTTTTTGATGGGGTTGTTTGATTTTTTCTTGTAAATTTGTTTGAGTTCTTTGTAGATTCTGGATATTAGCCCTTTGTCAGATGGGTAGATTACAAAAATTTTCTTCCATTCCGTAGGTTGCCTGTTCACTCTGATGGCGGTTTATTTTGCTGTGCAGAAGCTCTTTAGTTTAGTTAGATCCCATTTGTCTATTTTGGCTTCTGTTGCCATTGCTTTTGGTATTTTAATCAGGAAGTCCTTGCCCATGCCTCTGTCCTGAATGGTATTGCCTAGGTTTTCTTCTGGGGTTTTTATGGTTTTAGATTTAACATTTAAGTCTTTAATTCATTTGAATTAATTTTTGTATAAGGTGTAAGGAAGGGATCCAGTTTCAGCTTTTAGATATGGCTAGCCAGTTTTCCCAGCACTGTTTATTAAATAGGGAATCCTTTCCCCTTTTCTTGTTTTTCTCAGGTTTGTCAAAGATCAGATGGTTGTAGATGTGTGGTGTTATTTCTGAGGCCTCTGTTCTGTTCCATTGGTCTATATATCTGTTTTGGTACCAGTACCATGCTGTTTTGGTTACTGTAGCCTCATAGTATAGTTTGAAGTCAGGTAGCATGATGCCTCCAGCTTTGTTCTTTTTGCTTACGATTGTCTTGGCAATGCGGGCTCTTTTTTGGTTCCGTATGAACTTTAAAGTATTTTTTTCCAATTCTGTGAGGAAAGTCATTGGTAGATTGATGGGGATGGCATTGAATCTATAAATTACCTTGGGCAGTATGGCCATTTTCATGATATTGATTCTTCCTGTCCATGAGCATGGAATGTTCTTCCAATTTTTTGTGTCCTCTTTTATTTCGTTGAGCAGTGGTTTGTAGTTCTCCTTGAAGAAGTCCTTCACATCCCTTGTAAGTTGGATTCCTAGGTATTTTATTCTCTTTGAAGCAATTCCAAATGAGAGTTCACTCATGATTTGGCTCTCTGTTTGTCTGTTATTGGTGTATAGGAATGCTTGTGATTTTTGCACATTGATTTTGTATCCTGAGACTTTGCTGAAGTTGCTTATCAGCTTAAGGAGATTTTGGGCTGAGACAATGGGGTTTTCTAAATATATAATCATGTCATCTGCAAACAGGGACAATTTGACTTCCTCTTTTCCTAATTGAATACCCTTTATTTCTTTCTCTTGCCTGATTGCCCTGGTCAGAACTTCCAACACTACGTCAAATAGGAGTGGTGAGAGAGGGCATCCCTGTCTTGTGCCAGTTTTCAAAGGGAATGCTTCCAGTTTTTGCCCATTCAGTATGATATTGGCTGTGGGTTTGTCATAAATAGCTCTTATTATTTTGAGATACGTTCCATCAATACCTAGTTTATTAAAAGTTTTTAGCAAGAAGGGCTGTTGAATTTTTTTTTTTTTTTTTTTTGAGACGGAGTCTCACTCTGTCACCCAGGCTGGAGTGCAGTGGTGCTATCTCGGCTCACTGCAAGCTCCGCCTCCTGGGTTCATGCCATTCTCCTGCCTCAGCCTCCCGAGTAGCTGGGACTACAGGCGCCCGCCACTACGCCTGGCTAATTTTTTGTATTTTTAGTAGAGACGGGGTTTCACTGTGTTAGCCAGGATGGTCTCAATAATCTCCTGACCTCGTGATCCGCCCACCTCTGTCTCCCAAAGTGCTGGGATTACAGGTGTGAGCCACCACGCCTGGCCAGGGCTGTTGAATTTTGTCGAAGGCCTTTTCTGCATCTATTGAGATAATCATGTGGTTTTTGTCTTTGGTTCTGTTTATGTGATGGATTACGTTTATTGATTTGTGTATGTTGAACCAGCCTTGCATCCCAGGGATGAAGCCCACTTGATCATGGTGGATAAGCTTTTTGATGTGCTGCTGGATTTGGTTTGCCAGTATTTTATTTTCATATCGATGTTCATCAGGGATATTGGTCTAAAATTCTCTTGTTTTTGTTGTGTCTCTGCCAGGCTTTGTTATCAGGATGATGCTAGCCTCATAAAATGAGTTAGGGAGGATTTCCTTTTTTTCTATTGATTGGATTCGTTTCAGAAGGCATGGTACCAGCTCCTCTTTGTACCTCTGGTAGAATTCAGCTGTGAATCCGTCTGGTCCTGGACTATTTTTGGTTGGTAGACTATTAATTATTGCCTCAATTTCAGAGCCTGTTATTGGTCTATTCAGGGATTCAACATCTCCCTGGTTTAGTCTTGGGAGGGTGTATGTGTCCAGGAATTTATCCATTTCTTCTAGTTTATTTGTGTAGAGGTGTTTATTCTCTGGTGGTAGTTTGCATTTTTGTGGGATCGGTGGCAATATCCCCTTTGTCATTTTTATTGCATCTATTTGATTCTTCTCTCTTTTCTTCTTTATTAATCTTGCTAGCGGTCTATCTCTTTTGTTGATCTTTTCAAAAAACCAGATCCTGGATTCACTGATTTTTTGAAGGGTTTTTTTGTGTCTCTGTCTCCTTCAGTTCTGCTCTAATCTTAGTTGTTTCTTGTCTTCTGCTAGCTTTTGAATTTGTTTGCTCTTGCTTCTCTAGTTCTTTCAATTGTGATGTTAGGGTGTCAATTTTAGATCTTTTCTGCTTTCTCTTGTGGGTATTTAGTGCTATAAATTTCCCTCTACACACTGCTTTGAATGTGTCCCAGAGATTCTGGTACGTTGTGTCTTTGTTCTCATTGATTTCAAAGAACATCTTTATTTATGCCTTCGTTTCGTTATTTACCCAGTAGTCATTCAGGAGCAGGTTGTTCAGTTGCCATGTTATGCGGTTTTGAGTGAGTTTCTTAACCCTGCGTTTTCATTTGATTGCACTGTGGTCTGAGAGACAGTTTTTTGTGATTTTTGTTCTTTACTATTTGCTGAGGAGTGCTTTACTTCCAACTATGTGGTCAATTTTGGAATAAGTGCAATGTGGTGCTAAGAAGAATGTATACTCTTTTGATTTGTTTGTGGAGAGTTCTGTAGATGTCTAGTATGTCTGCTTGGTGCAGAGCTGAGTTCAAGTCCTGGATATCCTTGTTAACCTTCTGTCTCATTGATGTGTCTAATATTGACAGTGGGGTGTTAAAGCCTCCCATTATTATTGTGTAGGAGTCTAAGTCTCTTTGTAGTCTCTAAGGACTTGCTTTATGAATCTGGGTGCTCCTGTATTGGGTGCATATATATTTAGGATAGTTAGCTCTTCTTGTTGAATTGATCTCTTTACCATTATGTAATGGCCTTCTTTGTCTCTTTTGATCTTTGTTGATTTAAAGTCTGTTTTATCAGTACAATTTGACTTCCTCTTTTCCTAATTGAATACCTTTTATTTCTTTCTCTTGCCGGATTGGCCAGAACTTCCTATGCTCCGTTGAATAGGAGTGATGAGAGAGGTAATCCTCTCTCTCCCCAGGATTGCAACCCCTGCTTTTTTTTTTTTTTTTTTTTGCTTTCCATTTGCTTGGTAGATCTTCCTCCAGCCGTTTATTTTGAGCCTATGTGTGTCTCTGCACATGAGATGGGTCCCCTGAATACAGCACACTGATGGGTCTTGACTCCTTATCCAATTTGCCAGTCTGTGTCTTTTAATTGGGGCATTTAGCCCATTTGCATTTAAGGTTAATATTGTTATGTGTGAATTTGATCCTGTCATTATGATGTTAGCTGGTTATTTTGCCCATTAGTTCATGCAGTTTCTTCCTAGCATCGATGGTCTTTACAATTTGGCATGTTTTTGCAGTGGCTGTTAGCGGTTTTTCCTTTCCATGTTTAGGGCTTCCTTGAGCCCTTGTAAGGCAGGCCTGGTGGTGACAAAGTCTCTCAGCATTTGCTTGTCTGTAAAGGATTTTATTTCTCCTTCACTTACGAAGCTTAGTTTGGCTGGATATGAAATTCTGGGTTGAAAATTCTTTTCTTTAAGAATGTTGAGGCCAGGCGCGGTGGCTCATGCCTGTAATCCCAGCACTTTGGGAGCCCACGGCAGGCAGATCACAAGGTCAGGAGAATGAGACCATCCTGGCTAACACAGTGAAACCCTATCTCTACTAAAAATACAAAAAAAAAAAAAAAAATAGCCGGGCATGTTGGCAGGCGCCTGTAGTCCCAGCTACTCGGGAGGCTGAGGCAGGAGAATGGTGTGAACCTGGGAGGCGGAGCTTGCAGTGAGCTGAGATCACGCCACTGCACTCCAGTCTGGGCGACAGAATGATGTTGAATATTGGCCCCCACTCTCTTCTGCCTTGTAGAGTTTCTGCCGAGAGGTCTGCTGTTAGTCTGATGGGCTTCCCTTTGTGGGTAACTCGACCTTTCTCTCTGGCTGCCCTTAACATTTTTTCCTTCATTTCAATCTTGGTGAATTTGACAATTATTTGTCTTGGGATTCCTCTTCTCGAGGAGTATCTTTGTGGTGTTCTCTGTATTTCCTGAATTTGAATGTTGGCCTGCCTTGCTAGGTTGGGGAAGTTCTCCTGGATAATATCCTGAAGAGTGTTTTCCAGTTTGGTTCCATTCTCCTCATCACTTTCAGGTACGCCAATCAAACATAGATTTGGTCTTTTCACATAGTCCAATATTTCTTGGAGGCTTTGTTCATTTCTTTTTACTCTTTTTTCTCTAAACTTCTCTTCTCACTTCATTTCATTAATCTGACCTTCAATCACTGATACCCTTTCTTCCACTTGATCAAATCAGCTACTGAAGCTTGTGCATGCATCATGAAGTTCTCGTGCCATGGTTTTCAGCTCCTTCAGGTCATTTAAGGTCTTCTCTACACTGTTTATTCTAGTTAGCCATTCATCTAATCTTTTTTCAAGGTTTTTAGCTTCCTTGCGATGTGTTCGAACATCCTCCTTTAGCTCGGAGAAGTTTGTTATTACCGACCTTCTGAAGCCTACTTCTGTCAACTCGTCAAAGTCATTCTCCGTCCAGCTTTGTTCTGTTGCTGGCAAGGAGCTGCGATCCTTTGGAGAAGAAGAGGTGCTCTGTTTTTTTCCTCTGACTGTATTTTTTAATAGGGGGTTTTCAAGCTCATTCTTTCTTCTTTGATCAATTTTGTTATTAAAGGACTCTGATTCATTCTTCAGTATGGCAATTGCATTTTTCAGCTCCGGAGTTTCTGCTTGATTTTTAAAAATTATTTCAATCTCTTTGTTAAATTCATCCGATGGAATTCTGAATTCCTTCTCTGTGTTTTCTTGATTTTCTTTGAGTTTCCTCAATATAGCTATTTTGAATTCTCTGTCTGAAAGGTCACATAGCTCTGCTTTGCCAGGATTGATCCCTGGTGCTTTATTTAGTTCATTTGGTGAGGTCATGCTTTCCCGGTTGGTGTTGATGCTAGTTGACGTTCTTCAGTATCTGGGCATTGTAGAGTTAGGTATTTATTGTTGTCTTCACCGTCTGGGCTTGTTTGTACCTGTCCCTCTTGGGAAGGCATTCCAGATATTCAAAAGGACATGGGTGTTATGATCTATGTTGTATCTGCTTTAGGGGGCACCCCAAGCCCAATAATGCTGCAATTCCTGCAGACTCATAGAGGTATCGCCTTGATAGTCTTAGACTAAATCTGGAAGAATTCTCTGGATTACCAGGCAGACTCTTGTTCTCTTCCCTTACATCTCTCCAAATATACAGTCTCTCTGTCTGTCTGTCTCTCTCTCTCTCTCTCTCTCTCTCTCTCTCTCTGTTCTAAGCCACCTAAAGCTGGGGGTGGAGTGACACAAGCAACCCTGTAGCCACCACCACTGTGACTGTGCTGGGTCAGACCTGAAGCCAGCACAGCACTGGGTCTTGCCCAAGGCCTGCTGTAACCACTCCCTGGTTACTGCCTGTGTTCACTCAGGGCTCTGGGGCTCCACAATCAGCAGGTGGCATAACCAGCCAGGTCTGTTTCCTTCCCTTCAGGGTGGCAAGGTCCCCCAGGCTCCAGGTGGGTCCAGAAGTGCCATCTGGGAGTCAGGGACTAGAGTGATAAACCTTAGAAGTCTACCTGGCGTTCTATTGTATTGCGGCTGAGCTAGCACTCACACCACAAGACGTAGTCCTTCCCAGTCTTCCCTCTTCTTTCCAAAGACAGAGGAGCCTCATCCAGTAGCCACCCCAGGCCACAAGGAGTACTGACAGACTAGTGCTGATGTTCCCTTAGGGTCCAAGATCTCTTAAGTCAGCTGGTCTTGACTGCTGCCTGGCCTGGGACTCACCCTTCAGATGGGACTCACTCTTCAGGAAAGTAGGCTCCCCTCTGGCCCAGGGCAGGTCCAGAAATGCCATTCAAGAGTCAAGTCATGGCAGGGACCCCAAGAGCCTCCTTGGTGCTCTACCTAACTTTGGCCATGCTGGCACCTAAGGTGCAAGACAAAGTCCCCTTTACTGTTCCCTCTGCTTTTCTCAAGCAGAAGGAGTTTTGGCCTGTAGTCACCACAGCTGGGAATGTGCTGAATCTCACCTGAAGCCAGAAGGCTCATCCAAGGCCCTCAACATAGTACCTGGGTATCACTGCTGGTTATTCAGGGCCCAAGGGCTCTCAAGTTAGCAGGTGATGAATGCTGCCGAGACTAGGTCCTTTCCTTCAAGGCAGCAGGTTCCTTTTCTGGCCCAGGGTGTATCTAGAAATGTGACTGAGCTGGTGTTCTAGATGCAAGACAAAGTCCCCCCTACTCTTCCCTCTCTGCTCCTCAAGCAGAAGGAAGGAGTCTCTTCGGAGCCACGAGCCATGCAGCTTGGGGTTAGAGGAGAGGTGGTACCAGTTCTTCCTTGGCTGCTCCAGCTGGTGTCTCAGTATGTTGCATGCCCTCCCCAGTCCACTGTCTCTGGGCCTCGCTCAGCACTGGAACTCACCTAGAGTTGCAGTCCTTATGGCCTGGATTGTCTTTCAAGTTTGCTTGGAGACACAGAGCGCTGTAGCCCTCGGTGGCGAGGTTTGGAGGCACTTAAATTACGACCGCTGATACCGGAGAGCCCCCTCTGACTCAGGCTGGTTTGAATGCTCCTTCCATGGGCTGGGCTGGCATCAGCTGAATTTGGTCTGGTTTTTCTTTCTGCTCTAACAGGACAGTGCTGAGTTCAATGCCTCTCAAATGCTGTGTTCTCCCTCCTGCAGCACCCAGAGATGCTCTCCTGCTGGTGAGGGTGGGTGGCTTTGGCGATTCCAAACTGTTTTTTCTGGTTCTTCAGTGCCTCTTTCAGCGATATGAAGTTAAAATAGGTACTGTGAGGGCTCACCTGATTTTTGGTTCTTATGAAGCTGTTTTTTCTGTGTAGGTAGTTATTGTTGTCCTTGCAGGGGAGATTTCCATCCCGCCATCTTGCCCTGCCTCTGGGATTATCTTTTGACTGTTTGGTAGACTTTGGTTGAAAAACTGTCTTGGACTGTGGGAAGGCAGTTAACAGGTGTTTGGGGGCAAGAAATGAGCCCTTTAGGCTAAATTTTCAAATCAATTGACAGAAAGTTGTCCTTAAGTCTGTCTTACAATTTTTAAAATCTCTATTGTATTTGTGGTTAAGTCCTCCTTTTCAGGCCTAATATTTGTGAGGTGAGATCACTACCTTCCCACAAGAGCCTGAGTAACATTCTTCCTAAAAACTCCTGTAGGCCGGGCGCAGTGGCTTACACCTGTAATCCCAGCACTTTGGGAGGCCGAGGCAGGTGAATCACTTGAGGTCAGGAGTTCAAGACCAGCCTGGCCAACATGGGGAAACCCTGTCTCTATTAAAAGTACAAAAATTACCTGGGCATGGTGGTTCTCACCTGTAATCCCAGCTACTTGGGAGGCTGAGGCAGGAGAATCACTTGAACCCAGGAGGCCAAGGTTGCAGTGAGCCTAGATTATGCCACTGCACTCCAGCCTGGGCAACAAGTGAAACTCTGTCTCAAAACAAACAAACAAACAAACAAACAAAAAACTCCTGTCTTCTTGCACCATCCCCTGTTCGCCTGAAGAAGTTCAAGCGAGTTTTCTGATTGGTGGGTTTGAGGAGGGCCTGGCCATGTGAGCTTGGCCCCTCCTCCTTCCCTTCTCTCTGGGACTCCAGGGATGGTGGCTACTGTGCATTTCACCTTCCTCATGCCCTGAGACTTACAGCAGCAGGCCGCCATGTGGAGGAGTCCCTCGCTGTCCAGTGTGGCCTGGGACTGGTTGGAAAAGTTCATCTTATTCTGGATTCAGGGTTAGGAAGCTCATCATCATGGCTCACCTAAGGCATGGCCTCCAGCAGAACTCATATCAATAATAAAGATGGTATTTTGAGCTTATCTGGTTAAATATTGAGGCAGAGAGTAGAGGCTGAGAAGGGTAGTAGGGGGTGGGGGGAGGGAGGGATAGTGAATGAGTACAAAAAATGTTGGAAAGAATGAATAAGACCTACTATTTGATAGCACAGCAGGGAGACTATAGTCAGTAATAACTGAACTATAGATTTTTAAATAACTTAAAGAGTATAATTGGAGTGTTTGTAATTCAATGGATAAATGCTTGAAGGGATGGATACCCCATTCTCCATGTTGTGCTTATTTCACATTGCATGCCTGTATCAAAACATCTCATGCACCCCCATAAATCTATATACTTATTATGTACCCACAAATATTAAAAATTAAAAATAAAGGAATACTGACTCCAGTTCTTACAGTGCCTAAACTGCTTGTCCAGAGTGAAGTGGACAATCCATGTGAATTTCCATCCTTGTGTTAAGGCCCATTACCAGCTTCTTGGTTTCAGGTACTAGATCATTAAAGATCCTCGTGGAAAGACCTGTTTTTCTTTCTCTTTTCCCCCTCAGTGCCGAGCATAGAGCTTACAGGTACAAAGTTTTCACAAAAACCCTGGCTTTAATTTAATTAGGAGTCCTTGTTAAATTTTAATAGTAGTCAGAGGTATTCCTGAATAGTGCGGGGGTGTCGTTTCTCTCTTTAAGAGATAGGATTTGTATCCCGAACAATACTCAGTAACCTGCAAGAGTTGACGGAAGTTCTGAAAGTGCTCATTTTAACTACTAAAATAATCTGGTTCAGTATGACTAATAATATTACATCCAGCTTTTTTTTTCTGTATTTTATCTAATAGGCCAGAAAATTTGCAGCATACGTAGTTGCTGCTGGACTCCAGTATGGAGCGGAAGGAGGCATGTTACACACATTTTTTAAGGTATGGCTTTCAATGATGACGTGGAATGTTTAAAAGTGTCTTACGATACAGATACGCAATTTGAAGGTGTTTTTGATTGCTTTGGGTGTGGTTAGTGCAGTAGAATAGCAGAAGATGAAGGCAAGTATGGATGTCACCACAAAGACCTACGTTTCTTTCCCATTATTAACTTGTATTCACCACTCTCAAAATAATAATGAAAAAGACGTATCTCCTTTCATTCATGAAACAGATATTGATGTAGTGCCCATCAGGTGCTGGAAACTGTTGTAGGTACTTGGGATACAGTAAAATAATAAAGTCCCTCCTCTTGCGAAGCTTACATTCTAGGGGGATGGAGAAAGAGATAGATAATAAGCAAGCCGGTAAATGTTGAGTATTTCAGATGTTGAAACAGGGTATGGAAAACAACAGAGCAGAGAAAGGCAGAGAGTGCTGGGGAGTAAGGTTGCGGGGATTGGGGCTGTTATATCTTATATAGGAAGGTTGAGGAAGGTCTTTCCAACGATGTGACATTTGAGTAGGAAGGGAAAGGCAATGAAGGAGCTGGCTAATCGGCTTTCTGGAGAAAGACATCCCAGACAGTGAGAATTGTTACTGCAAAGAAGTGAGGCAGAAATGTGCTGGCTACATTTGAAGACCAATCTAGATCAATCTAGCTGAAGTATGGGAGAACAGCGGTAATGAGGTCAAAGCGGTAATGAGAGAGTCAGACCAAGCCCAGCCTGGTAGCCCCTCGTGAAGCTCTGGCTTTCTTTCTGAGTGAGTTGGACAACCATTAGACTGAGCACAGAAGCAACATAATCCATATGATATAAAAGGACAGCTTTCTCCTTCTGCTGTGCTGAGGATGTACTATTTGGGGCATGGGCAGGAGCAGGAAGCAAGGAAACCAGTGAGCAGGGTAGTGCCTAAGACCTGGGTGGGCATGGTGGGGATACTGGAAACTGTTCAGATTTCAGACGTATTTTGAAGAGAGAGTCAATGGGATTTGTTCAAAGCTTGGATGTAAGGATGACAGAAACATAGTAAAGGATAACTTTAAGGATTTTGGTCTAAGCAACTAGAAGTATGGCACTGCCACTTATTGAAATGGGGAAGACAGGGAATGGAGCTGGTTGGGGTACAATGCAATGAAAAGTTCAGGAAGTTTGAGATAATTAATATCCAAGTATAGATACTGGGAAGGCTATTGGACAAAAAGAGTTTGGTGATCATGGGGGAGGTCAGGTCTGGAGATATAATCATGGGAGCTGTCAGTATACAGTGGGTACTTAAATCCTTGGGACTGGATGACATCAACTACTGAATGAATATGGAGAAGAGATAGGGGCCTGAGGACTGAGTCTTGGAACCCTCCAATATTGGAGGTTATAGGGAAATGGGAAGGAATTAGGAAAGGAGGTTGAGAAGGGTGGGCAGGAAGCAGGAGAGGAAATAAGAGAAAAGTAAATAATTATTAAAAAAAATATTTTTGGCCGACTCACGCCTGTAATCCCGGCACTTTGGGAGGCCAAGGCAGGCGGATCACAAGGTCAGGAGATCAAGACTATCCTGGCTAACACGGAGAAACCCCGTCTCTACTAAAAATACAAAAAATTAGCCGGGCATGGTGGCGGGAGCCTGTGGTCCCAGCTACTCGTTAGGCTGAAGTAGGAGAATGGTGTGAACCGAGGAGGCGGAGCTTGCAGTGAGCCGAAATTGCACCACTGCACTCCAGCCTGGGTGACAGAGCGAGACTCCATCTCAAAAAAAAAAAAAAAAAAGTTTTTAAAAAGAAAGAATGACAAATTGTGTCAGATACTGCAGATAATCAACTAAGATGAAACCTACAAATTGACCGCTAAATTTTTTGGCACTAGGTAGGACAAAAGTCTAACAGCCGCAGGTTCAAGAGGAACAGCTGGAGGGGAATTGAAGACAATGAGAACAGAGAAATATTTCAAGGAATTTTCCTGTAAAAGGAGGGGGGTGCAAAGAAAGAAGGCGGAGTTAAAGGATAAAGTGTAGTCAAGAGAGGTTGGTTGAACTGATTTTTAATTTTTATTTGATTTATTTATTATGTATTTATTTATTTAAAGAAGGAGTCTTACTCTTTCACCCAGGCTGGAGTGCAGTGGTGCAATCTCAACTCACTGCAATCTCCACCTCCTGGGTTCAAGCAGTTCTCCTGCCTCAGCCTCCCGAGTAGCTGGGATTACAGGTGTGTGCCACCATGCCCAGCTAATTTTTGTATTTTTAGTAGAGACAGGGTTTCACCATATTGGCCAGGCTGGTCTTGAACTCCTGACTTCGTGATCCGCCCGCCTCAGCCTCCAAAGTGCTGGGATTACAGGCGTGAGCCACCGTGCCCGGCCTCGAACTGATTTTTTTAATACAAGAGATATGACAGTTGCAGAGGAGAAGCTCAAGGAAGCTCTTACTCATTGTCCATTCTCAGCTACTTCTCACCTACCTGCTCACTGAATCTTGGCATTCGCAGGCCTCGGCCCTAGACCTTTTTTCTTCACCCTCTGCTCTCTCTCCCTTGGTCTGTTTATTCCTATGACTGATACCAATGACTCAAACTTCAGTCTCCAGCGAGGCTCTCTCTCCTAAGTTCTAGCTCTGTAGGTCCAGCTGCCTACTCAGCACCTCAACTTGGATGTCTTTCCCAAATCCAAACTATACCTACAGTCATCCCCAAACCTGCTCCTCCTCCAAGGCCCCATCTCAGAAAATGGGGTAACCCTCCAACCAGCTACATGATCAGAATCCAACTCCTCCCTCCTTACTGCAAACCAAAAAGTTTCTGAGACAGGTCTCAATCAATTTAGAAGTTTATTGTGCCAAGGTTAAGGATGCACGCCCAGGAGATAGGCCTGTGCCTTTCTCCAAAGATGACTTTGAGTGCTTCAATATTTAAAGGGAAAAGGGTAGATATTAGAGAAAGAGGAAGAAATTTTTTAAAGATGTGGGTAAGCCAGGCATGGTGGCTGATGCCTATAATCCCAGTAAAGCACTTTCGGAGGCCAGTGTGAGTGGATGGCTTGAACCCAGGAGTTTGAGACCAGCCTGGGCAACATGGTGAAACCCTGCATCTGCAAAAAATAAATAAAAGGTGTGGGTAGATAAGAGGCAAGCGGGCACATTCTTTTGAGTCTTTGATCAGCTGTTCGACATGAGGGAAGGGTAGAGGAATAGTCACTTATGCATTTATCTAGCTCAGCGAATCTGCATTTTTATGTAAGATAAAATAGACATAGGGCCGAGGAAGCAATCAGATAGGCATTTGTGTCAGGTGAGCCTAGGGATGACTTTGAGTTCTGTCCTTGTCCTGTACCTGTGAAGATAAGCTGTCAATTTACATTGTCAGGGTGAAATTCAACAGAACTGTTTTCGGGTAAAGCTCTTGGGGCCTACAGATAATTTCATAGTGGGCAAATTGTGAGGAAGGTATGAGGCCAGGCATGGTGGTTCACGCCAGTAATCCCAGCATATTGGGAGGCTGAGGCGGGTAGATCACCTGAGGTCAGGAGTTCGAGACCAGCCTGGCCAACATGGTGAAATCCCATCTCTATTAAAAATACAAAAATTAGCCAGGTGTGGTGGCACATGCTTGTGATCCCAACTATTCGGGAAGCTGAGGCAGGAGAATCACTTAAACCTGGGAGGCAGAGGTTGCAGTGAGCTGAGATCCTGCCACTGCACTCCATCCAGCCTGGGTGACACAGCAAGACTCCGTCTCAAAAAAAAAAAAAAAAAAAAGAAAACAAAATAAAATCTTTGAATGAGAGACAGGTTTGCTTTATGTAGTTCCTAGCTTGACTTTTCCCTTTGGCTTAGTGATTTTGGGGTCCCAAGGTTTATTTTCCTTTCACATTACCCATCATAAAATTCCCAGTTACTACAGTCAGCCTCCTCAATGTCTCCCTTCTCTCCATCCCCACTCCCTGCACTTCCCACCTCCAGGCTAAGCTACCCTATTTCGCCTGCACACCTGCCATCACCCCTCTGTCCCCACTGGACTCTCCTTCCCGCCACTTCTCCACAAGGCAACAAAAGCAAGCCTGCTGGTGTCACATCACTGCTTAGAACCCTTCAATACTTTCTGAAAGTCCAAAATATCTTACAAGACCCAGTGGTCTACTGTGACCCCTACCCCTACCTCTTTCACTCTTAACAACAATTCAAAATAATCTAATATGTGACACTTAAACAGTACTCATCATGTCTGTTTGGTTACTGAAATACTTAATGAGAAGAAAAGATGAGGATTTGGACTCTGAGGATCGGGGTTCCAGTCCAAGCTCTCACAAGTGTATCCTCCTGCATGCTACTTATCCGCTAAGCATTTCACCCCTGGACTGATGGTACTTATTTCCCCTCACCTCATCCCTACTGGTGGGGGTAATTTTAAATTTTAATTTGTCTTTTTGTGAGAATTAAGACATCATGCATGTGAAAACATTTCTTCTCTATGTGAATGCCATGCGTATAGCTACTAAATACGGCTGAGAGGTTGTAGATTTCTTGAAAAGTATTTCAGTCCCAGGGCTACACATTATTTCTCTTGGCAGAATTTGATTCAGTCCCAGGGCTACACATTATTTCTCTTGGCAGAATTTGATTCAGTCCCAGGGCTACACACTATTTCTCTTGGCAGAATTTGATCCTAAATCTCATCAGGGCTGATTTATAAAACACCCCCTAGAGGAAATTACTTAAGCAGATAGCTAGGCCTTTCAGTTGCCTCTGACTGTAGACTTATGTGTGAGCTGTAATAGCCATCCACATATAACTGGGGGACATGATTTTGCTTTTCTTCCTTTCAGATGGCTTGGTTGGGCGAGATTCCTGCATTACCAGTTTTTGGCGATGGAACAAATGTAATTCCAACAATCCATGTTCTTGATCTAGCAGGGTAAGCATTCGCCCAGAGACGTGACCTTCACAGAATTGGTTAATGTGTTTGTTTGTAGCCTAATACTTTTTGAGCATTTGCCTAGTGCTAAGACCCTTACATGGATTATTGTGTTCATTCTTCGTAACAACCCTATGCAGAAGGTACCGTCTTCTCCATTTTGCATCTAATGAAATAGTGCCCACTGTTCAAAAGTTCTACATTTCTGGTGACAAGTTCAGGTTCATCTCTTAGAAACTATCGACAGAATAGCAATGCCCTCCAATTTTGGAAAAGAAAGAACTTGGTGTGTACATTCTGAGGACGTAGTTTCTTATTCCTTTGTCCCAGATGAGATTAATATGTCTAACCCGTCAACTTAAATTCTAGAATTCAAATGGAAAACTGTAAACCTGAAGCTTTTTCCTTCTTTGACAGTTGTAGGTAAAGTTGACATATGTTTTTTATACTCACAGAGCATCTAAACCCTGTATTCAGACAGGTCCAGAAACCCTTCTCTTCCTTTGAAGACCCTGACTTAAACGTGAGGTCAATGAGTTGGTTCACTGTGTTTGTGGTTCATCAGCTCCAGCTTCCGGGGACTTCATTCTGTCACCCCTGTGGCACATCCCCAGAAAGGAGCAATTTCTGCACTTCCCTGAGGTTCTGGTTTTCAGATTCCCACTCTTTCTCTCATCCACTGGCCACTAGTAAATTAGTCACAATCTCAGATAAATTTCTAGACTTACTGGGAAATGAAGGAAGTTTAAACTTCAGGGCCACACCCCTGAGCAGATCCCTTTCCAAGACCCTGAACCTAATTTTTATTATTTTTCTTAAAGAAGGATCCTATGAGTCAGGGATATCCAATCTTTCGGCTTCCCTGGGCCACATTGGAAGATTTGTCTTGGGCCACACATAAAATACACTAACACTAACGATAGCTGATGAGCTTTAAAAAAAATAACAAAAAAAACTCATAATTTTTTTTTTTGAGATGGAGTCTCACTCTGTTGCCCAGGCTGGAGTGCAGTGGCACAATCTCGGTTCACCGCAAGCTCTACCTCCCAGGTTCATGCCATTCTCCTGCCTCAGCCTCCCAAGTAGCTGGGACTACAGGCACCCGCCACCATGCCTGGCTAATTTTTTGTATTTTTTTAGTAGAGATGGGGTTTCACCATGTTAGCCAGGATGGTCTCCATCTCCTGACCTCATGATCCACCCGCCTCAGCCTCCCAAAGTGCTGGGATTACAGGCGTGAGCCACTGCGCCCGGCCCAAAAACTCATAATGTTTTAAGAAAGTTTACAAAGTGTGTTGGGCCACATTCAAAGCCATCCTGGGCCTCACGCAGCCCACAGGCCCTGGTTTGACAAGCTTGCTGTAAATGGGCTAAGCTTCAGGCACTACAAAACCCTGGATCTGCTCCATCCCTGGGGATGGAGGGGCCGAAACATACCCATTTTTTTCTGCAGAGATTTTACATTATGACATTACTGGGTTTCAAAGATACAGAAGAGTCTTTTACATTATTAATATAACTTACTTGGCATTAATCCTTAACATATTACGTCCAAACATAAATTAGAGGGTGAAATGATTGCCATTACAGAAGGACTTAGAGCCTGTTAAAAACAAGTTATAGGAGGCCATTGTTTTGGAGTAAGTTCTTGTACTAGGCCCCAACAGACCAGACTGAAAATCAAAATGGAGTCACCCATGCCAAAGTTCCAGTCACCAAACTGAAACTAAGCTGTTACCTGACCTTTCGAGAAAGCCAAAGAGAGCAACAACAGCTAATTTCCCAAACAAGCCAGTTTCAGTCTTCAATAGGCATGATAATAAAGCTCTCTGTGTTTTAATCCTTATGGCAAAAAGTAGCCTAAAGTAACCTGGTACTAACCTATCGGTTATCTTTCCTTTTTTTTTTTTTCCTTTTGAGATGGAGTCTCGCTCTGTCACCCAGGCTGGAGTGCGGTGCCACAACCTTGGCTCACTGCAACCTCCGCCTCCTGGGTTCAAGCGATTCTCCTGCCTCAGCCTCCCAAGTAGCTGGGACTACAGGCGCCGGCCACCACGCCTGGCTATTTTTTGTATTTTTAGTAGAGACAGGGTTTCACCATGTTGGTCAGGCTGGTCTCGAACTCCTGATCTCAGGTGATCCATCCGCCTCAGCCTTCCAAAGTGCTGGGATTACAGGCGTGAGCCACCACGCCCAGCCCCATTAGTTATCTTTATGTTGTTCTCCTTGTCCCTGCCTTACAAGGAAACTAACTTTGAAATGACCAATGTGCTTTTTGTTCTTTGTTTCTGCTTTCTGCAGCCCTTTCTGCCTATCAAACTACCCGCCTCTGCTCATTTCACTGACACACTTGTTCTATTTTATGGAATGAAATGTTGCCTGATTCTAGAATCACAAATAAAGTCCATTGAAATCTTTAACTAGATTTGTTATAATTTTGTCTTTTGACAGACCCTTTTAAGTAGCATTTTTTCCCCAGAGGTTTCTTTGAAGATTGTCAAATATTTAACAGAGGAAAAAGCAAAAAGCTGAAATGTTCTGAGAAATGGGTAGAAAATAGGCTAGGTGCAGTGGCTCATGCCTGTAATCCCAACACTGTGGGAGGCCAAGGTGGGAGGTTCGCCTGAGCCGAGGAGTTCGGGACCAGGCTGGACAACATAGTGAAACCCTGTCTCTACAAAAAATACAAAAATTAGTCGGGTTTGGTGGCTCATGCCTGCAGTCCCAGCTACCCGGGAGGTGGAGGCGGGAGGATCACTTGACCCTGGGAGTTTGAGGCTGCAGTGAACCGTGATAACACCACTGCCTGCCAGCCTGGGCAACAGAGCGAGACTCAAAATAAATAAATAAATGAGTGAATAAATAAATAAATATAGAAAAAAAGAAATGAATACAAAATAAATGTGAACTGCACATTTGGAAGCGTGCATTCGATTTATTTTCATTTTATTGAAAGGAAGCTAAGATGGAGGTAGAATTGACAAGCCATTGTGATAGACATCTATTCACTGTTGTTTCTCTCTGGAATTTAATTTTTGTTCCAATCCCTGCTCTGCTTCTCACTAGCTGTGTGAATTTAGGGAAGTTACTTACGGGGATAGGAGCAGCACCTACATGCTAGGGCTGTGAAAATTTAGTGGGATCACACCTGTGCCACCCTCAGCACAGAAGCAAGCGCTCGGAAACCTTGGCAACTGGGATAGGAAAGCAGGCTCAGGCACTGTTGCTGCGTGACTTCCTTAAAGAGCCACAGCTTGTCTAAATCTGTGTCTTACTTTGTAAAATACCTCCCTAAAGCATTGTTGTGAGGCTCACACGAGCCCCTAGATGGGGAGGGCTTCATAAACTGGGGTCCTGCTGGGGGCCGGTCCTGCTGGGGGCAGTTCCCCTTGTTGGGAGACAGGGCAGTATGCTAGAAAGAAGACAGGTCCAGAACCAGATGCATCTGACCTCAAAAGCTGGCTCTTCCACTTTCGCAATAGCTCTTCAGCCTGAGAAATGTCACCGAACCCTTTAGCATCTTCCTCATGTGGAGAATGCAGATAACCATCCCAACCCTGACCGTATTGAAAATGGAGATAACTTATCAAAGCACCAAACCCCACGCCCAGCCATGGGGGTGGTGGTCAGTGAATTCTAGTTTACTGCATCTCTTTCGCTTTTTCCCTTTGATGATTATTTTACCTGTGGGTCTGCAGAGTGATACAAAACGTCATAGATCACGTGCCAAAGCCTCACTACCTGGTTGCTGTGGATGAGTCTGTTCATACCCTGGAAGACATAGTCAAGGTACAGTGGTTTCATCCCATACTTTGATGACATATCGTAAATAGTTTTGCTGGCTGGGCGCGGTGGCTCATGCCTGTAATCCTAGCATTTTGGGAGTCCGAGGCGGGTGGATCACCTGAGGTCAGGAGCTCAAGACCAGCCTGACCAACATGATGAAACCCCATCTCTACTAAAATACAAAAATTAGCCGGGCATAATGGCGGGTGCCTGTAATCTCAGCTACTCGGGAGGCTGAGACAGGAGAATCGCTTGAACCCAGGAGACGGTGGTTGCAGTGAGCCAAGATTGTGCCACTGCACTCCAGCCTGGGCGGCTGAACAAGACTCCATCTCCAAAAAATAAAAAATAAAAAATTAAAATAAAAATAAATTAAAAAGTTTTGCCCCCAATCAGTTGTGCTAACAAAACTGGGACTCCTAAGAAGAATATCCGTAAAACCCAAACTCACTATCTGCATTTGCAGTATATACTTTGAGGTTACTACCAAAATAGCCTTTCTCTTTTATATGTACAGAGGGAAATAAGAAAGACTGCTGTAGGGCTCAGGTTAAGAAGATGGCGATCATTGCACCCCAGACACACACGCAGATGACACACCAGAATACGAAAATCCGCCAATAGGCACTTGCCCCAAAGTATTGATATGATCAGGTTCACCAACCTACTGGCCAATTCCAGGAGTTCTATTTTTAATATTATTTATTTGTTTATTTACTTATTTTTTTGATACAGAGTCTCGCTCTTTCGCCCAGGCTGGAGTGCCGTGGTGTGATCATAGCTCACTGCACCCTTGACATCCTGGGCTCAAGAGAGCCTCCTGCCTCAGTTTTCCAAGTAGCTGGGAACACAGGCGTGCACCACCGTACCTGGCTAATTTTCATTCTTTTTCTTTTTTTGTCAAAATGAGGTCTCACCATGTCACCAGGCTGGTCTGAAACTCCTGAGCTCAAATGATCCTCCCGCCTCTGCCTCCCAAAGTGCTGGGATTACAGGGGTAAGCCACAGTGCCTGGCTAAGTTTGTTTTTAATGTTTTAGAGACAGGGTCTTGCTCTGTCACCCAGGCTGGAATGCAGTGGTGTGATCTTAGCTCACTGCAACCTCAAACTCCTGGGCTCAAGTGATCCTGCCACCTCGGCCTCTGAAAGTGCTAGGATTAGAGGTCTGAGCCATTGTGCCCAGCATCAGGAGTCTAGATCTGGGACAGCTTCCTCTTCCAGTCCAGGCTGCTCTGGCTAAAGCAGCTACCATGCGGCCCAGCTAGTGCAGCCTTCTCCTGCCCTTCTCCTGGCTACTCCCTATTCATTTTTAAGATTCAGCTCAAGCCTGGGCAACATGGTGAAACCCCATCTCTACCAAAAAAAAATATACAGAAATTAGCCGTGCATGGTGGTGTGCCTGTAGTCCCAGATACTCAGGAGGCTGAGGTGGGAGGATCACTTGAGCCCAGGAGGCAGAGGTTGCAGTGAGCCAAGATTGTGTCATTGCACACTAGCCTGGGTGACAGAGTGAGACCCTGTCAAAAAAAAAAAAAAAAGAAAAGAAATTCAGTTTATCTATCTTCCTGTGCACTCTCCCTGCCTCATTCCCACCTCCTGCACGCGACAGGTGTCTCTCTTCATCCCAGGTTGTTTTAGTCTGTTTGAACTGCTACAACAAAATACCATAAACCGAGTAGCTTATAAAAAATAGACATTTATTGTTCACAGTTCCAGAGGCTGGGAAGTGCAAGATCAAGGCAGATTCAGCCAGGCACGGTGGCTCACACCTGTGATTCCAGCACTTTAAGTTCAGGTGGAAGAATCACCTCAGGCCAGGAGTCCAAGACCAGCATTGGGCATAGTGAGACTCCCTCTCTATAAAAAATTTTAAAAATTAGCCAGGCTTGGTGGTGCACATCTATAGTTCCATGTACTTGAGAGGCTAAGGTGCGAGGATTGCTTGAACCCAGGAATTCAAGGCTGCAGTGAGCTATAATTGCACCACTGCACTGCAGCCTGGGCAATAGAACAAGACCCTATCTCTAAAAAAAAAAAAAAAAAAAAAAAAAAAAAAAAAATTACGGCATGGCCAGGTGTGGTAACTCACACCTGTAATCTCAGCACTTTGGGAGGCCCAGGCAGGCAGATCCCTTGAGGTCAGGGGTTTGAGACCAGCCTAGCCATCATGGTGAAAACCCTTCTCTACTAAAAATACAAAAATTAGCCAGGCGTGGTGATGCACGCCTATAATGCCAGCTACTCAGGAGGCTGAGGCAGGAGAATTGCTTGAACCTGGGAGGCAGAGGTTGCAGTGAGCTGAGATCGTGCCACTGCACTCCAGCCTGAGTAACAGAGCAAGACCCTGTCTCAAAAACAAACAAACAAAAAAATTGTGGGGAAAAAAAAAAGGCAGATTCAGTGCCTGACGAGGGCCTGCTTTTTGGCTTTATAGATGTCACCTTCTCCGTGCGTCCTCACATGGTGGAGAGGCTAAGGCACTCTCTGGGATCCTTTTATAAGACACTAATCTCATTCTTGAGGGCTCTACCCTCAAGACCCACTTTCCTAAAGGCCCCAGCTCCTACTACCATCAGCTTAAGGGTGAAGATCTCAACATGTAAATTCTGTGGGACACAGACATTCAGACTACAGCACAGAATCCCCTTTGCTGAGCTGCAAACACTCCACATGATAAATATCTGTGTACAGTTCTGTCTCTCTTTTCACACTGGGAGCTCTTGAGGGCAGATCCTGGGCCACACTCATCGTTATCTCCACTACTTGGCACTAATGCTATTTAAAAAAATTCAATTATGTTCACATTCATTTGAGGGTGTTTGTTTGTTTGTTTGTTTGTTTGCTTTTGAGATGGAGTCTCGCTCTATCGCCCAGGCTGGAGTGCAGTGGTGTGATCTCAACTCACTGCAACCTCTGTCTCTCAGGTTCAAGCAATTCTCGTGTCTCAGCCTCCTGAGTAGCTGGGACTACATGCACACGCCACCACGCCTGGCTAACTTTTGTATTTTTCGTAGAGACGGGGTTTCACCATGTCAGCCAGGTTGGTCTCAAACTCCTGATTACGGGTGATCCGCCCACCTTGGCCTCCCAAAGTGCTGGGATTACAGGCGTGAGCCACTGCGCCTGGCCCATTTGAGTTTTATATAAAGTAAAACCTTCCAGGTAAACCAACTAATATTTCGATTTTCCTCTAACAGTGTATCAGTAAAAATACTGGCCCTGGGAAAATCCAGAAAATACCCAGAGAAAATGCATACCTAACCAAGGACTTAACGGTTAGTATATGCGGTGTTTTTTTTTTTTTAACTATCTTTCTCAATAATATGGAGTATTGTTATTTTTTTAATATCAGATAGGTTTTGGCTAAATAACATTGATCTGTGAGGGATTTGGAGTCAGAAGGCCTGGGTTCCAATGCCATCTTCATCTCCTACCACACCACCAGATATTCTACCCTAAGACAACTTACTCTTGTCTTCAGTTGTCTTTCCTGAATAACCCCCAGAGGTCCTGGTCAGAAAATGTATTTGGGCCGGGCGCGGTGATTCACGCCTATAATCCCAGCACTTTGGGAGGCCGAGGCAGGTGGACCACCTGAGGTCAGGAGTTTGAGACCAGCGTGACCAACCGGGTGAAACCCTGTCTCTACTAAAAATACAAAATTAGCTGGGCATGGTGACACATGCCTGTAATCCCAGTTACTTGGGAGGCTGAGACAGGAGAATCGCTTGAACCCGGGAGGCAGAGGTTGCAGTCAGCCTAGATCACGTCATTGCACTCCAGCCTGGGCAACAAGAGAGACAGTCCATCTCAAAATAAAAAAAATTAAAAAAAAAAAAAAGAAACAAAACAAAATGTATTTGGAAGCTATTTGATACGTAAAATGCCATTCGAACACTGGGAATTATTTTCTTTGGCCTCTTTCTAAAATTCAAAGCAGGCTGAGATTCCAATTCCATCACAACAAAAAAAAAAAAATAGGGTTTTTTGCAGTGTGCTTTTCAAGCTTGCATTAGAATGCAATTCTTTTTAAGAATAAATTGCAAATAAATTGCATCTAAACACTGCACTGGAATATGTTTCTGAAAGGACTGATATTATTGGTTTCCTTGAGGAGCAGAACTGGGTGGGTGATGGTCAAAGGTCAGAGGGAATATTTTTCTCTTTTTTTTTTTTTTTTTTTTTTTTGAGACGGAGTCTCACTCTGTCGTCCAGGCTGGAGTGCAGTGGCGCGATCTCGGCTCACTGCAAGTTCCACCTCCCGGGTTCACGCCATTCTCCTGCCTCAGCCTCCCAAGCAGCTGGGACTACGGGCGCCTGCCACCACGCCCAGCTAATTTTTTGTATTTTTAGTAGAGACGAGGTTTCACCGTGTTAGCCAGGATGATCTTGACCACCTGACCTTGTGATCTGCCCGCCTTGGTCTCCCAAAGTGCTGGGATTACAGGCATGAGCCACGGCACTCGGCGGGAATATTTTCCTCTACACCTTTTGTTCTTTTGGATTTTGAACCATGAAACTGCAGTATTCAAAAAGTAGACACAATTAAAATTTTTAAAAAAGAAAATTTGGATTTCCAGTATCTTCCTACTTGTTCAGCCAGAAGGTGGCCCGCCATCAGAGTAGACATGGAGACTGTTTAGAAGTAACGTAGTATCACACAGATACTCTGTAAATACTCAGTGCTGGATTAATTGACTTCCACGTTTAGTGAATGTATATTGTTTTTCTTTAATAACTGTAGTGATTTTGGTCTGTTATGACAGTCAGAATTAAACAAAAAAAGACAAATCTCTAATTGTCCTCTATCTTTCAGCAAGATTGTCTTGACCATTTACTGGTCAACTTAAGAATGGAAGCGCTCTTTGTGAAGGAGAATTTTAATATTCGATGGGCTGCCCAAACAGGATTTGTGGAAAATATCAACACTATCCTCAAGGAGTACAAGCAAAGCAGAGGATTGATGGTAACTATCACTGTTTCCCACTGAAACTTCTGATTCAAGCAAAATGAATCAAACTTCTAGTGTGATGATGCCAACGGAAGTATTTGCTTTTTCAGACGTTCAAATTTCTAATTTCAAGTTTTTCAAATTTGACAAATTTGTCCAGGTCTAACAAATTTACATGTATATCAAATTAATACCTGTGAACCAAACATGAACAGTTTTAAATATTAGATAATAATGTATGCAAATTTATCTAATTTAATAATTAGATAATATCTAATAATGTATGCAAAATTATCTAATTTAAACATTAGATAATAATGTACGCAAATTGCACATGATAGCAAGCTCAAGAGTGATGTCGCAGTGTTGTCCATATAAAGAAGAATATTAAATAGGTAAAAATATCAACTGCCTTACTGGCTGGCTTGTTTCAGTCCTGGGTATACATGTGGGAGGTAGAAGAAACCTGATTACTACTTTGATCTCTTTCTAAGTGGTCAGAGGACTCACTGGTCATTTTAATTATCACAACTTTTCAAGGTAGATATTCTTTTTTAAAAAAGTAATTAATTGAAATGGACAAATAGATTATATACATGTATCCTGTACAACATAAAGTTTTGAAATATGTAGACATTGTGGAATGGCTAAATCGAGCTAATTAACATCCGTGTTAACTCACACACTTATCATTTTTTATGGTGAAAGGTGGATATTCTTATCTATATAGTATAGATTAGGAAACAAAGGCTCAAAGAGATGAAGCAACCTTTTTTTTTTTTATTCAGACAGAGTCTCACTCTGTTGCCCAGGCTGGAGTGCAGCAGTGTGATCTCGGCTCACAGCAACCTTTGCCTCCTGGGTTCAAGTGATTCTCGTGCCTCAGCCTCCTGAGTAGTACCTGAGATTACAGGTGTGCACCATCACATCTGGTTAATTTTTGTAATTTTAGTAGAGACGGGGTTTCACCATGTGGACCAGGCTGGTTTCAAACTCCTGGCCTCAAGCGATCCGCCTGCGTTGGCCTCCCAAAGTGCTGGGATTACATGCTTGAGCCACCGTGCCTGGCTGCATCAACTTTTTCTTTTTCTTTCTTTCTTTCTTTTCTTTTCTTTTTTTTTGAGACAGAGTCTTGCTCCATAGCCCAGGCTGCAGGGCAGTGGCAGGATCTCGGCTCACTGCAACCTCTGCCTCCCAGGTTCAAGTGCCTCAGCCTCCTGAGTAGGTAGCAACTTTTTCAAGGTCACACAGCTAGTCAGAGATTCAGACTAGGTAGGACGCAGACTTAACTAGAATGTCCGCATCTAACTGCAGGGCCGCCACACCTGCCTCTCTGAAATCAGATCAATGAAGCACCTGCGTAGAGCTTTGGATTTATCCCAGGGAAACATTCTAAAGACAAAAGTAGGTCATACATGAGAAAGTGTTTTGAAAACTGTAAAATGGCGTATGTGAGTAACAGGTGTCATCATAACCATAATTATCACTGTTGGAGGGAATGCTCCACATAAGCAAGCATAGTGTCACCATCATATCCTTAGAACCGTATTCTCTTGGAAAAAAAAACATGTCTAGTTAAGAATAAGCAAAACATGTACCACTTAGCAAAAGAAATAATGATCTCTTTAAGCATCTAAGATCCTCATGGTGGCTGTACTGGGAGGTTATCCTGAGATATACACCAACCCAACCTCAGAGGTTAGACTAATGTCCTCTCTAGGTCAACTGTAACAACAACACACAGAGTAGAAATATGACAAGACACTTTGAAGAGACCGTATGGTTCCCGATGAGCAAGACTGGACAAGAATATGATAGAAGGAATAGTATATCTAAAAACTAAATAGGGTATGTCTGTCCCTAGGGGCAGTTAGCCACAGGAAACACTACCGAGGCCAGTGTAGCCCCAGAGGTGTCACTCAGTGACATCCCCAAAAGATGGAGTCTCAAGCCATGCACTTGCGTGATCGCAGTTCCTTTAGCAAGGAAAAGTCATTGCTGCTTCAGAGACAGATGCATCAAGCCACCTTGACCCATTGCTTCCAGTCAGTTCATCCTACTCCCCTTGTTCTGATCAAAGCTCATCAAGCAGCCTTATAAGACTTGGCTCCCAGTGTCCATCTGCTTGAAGGGAGTAAATATACCAAATATGTGGACTTGGAGTATTTGATTCAGTGGCAGTCATACTTCTCATTGTAAATAAATGAATAGATTGGCATCCTGGTTTTACACCTGGATAAAGTGAGCCCATGCCAGGAGAAAGGACCCACCCTTGGTCCGTGGACAAATGAGACACCTGAACTTGCTCAGTTGACAGCCGGTTCTCAGGCCTTGGTGAATGCACTGCACCTCTCCAGGGGCCCAGCCCTGCTCGTCAGGACTCAGTTCCAGAACTGCTTTCCTTCACACCTGCCTCCTTCCACTGCCTGCCATCATCCCTATCTGACGGGGCCGCACTCCTCACCAGAACCATCCATCCTCCCTATCCGATGGGACCACACGCGCCAGAGCCATCCATCATCCCTATCCGATGGGACAGCGCTGCTAGCCAGAACCATCCTGTGTGCTGCCTACTTCCTTCACTGTCTTGGTTTCCTCACCTGTCAAATGGTAGTAATGATATTAACCAACTTGGTGGATGAAATTATATAATCTGTAAGCATACAGACACTCTACCAATGCAAATCCTTTTCATGAGCGCAATTCTAAAATTTACCTTGCAAAATATGGGCCCTCAGTTTCACAACTATTTGGACCATTTTGAAATAAATAACTATATGTTACTGATATTTTGACCTCTGTTAGAAATGAATATTTACTCATTGATTATGAACACCATAGGGCTTCTTTAGCATTCAATCAAGTTTATCAGCAGGAGAAATGGTGTTTTTTTTTTTAATGAGTATGTTTTTAAAAATTAGAATAACTTTTTTAAAAATTGAGACAGGGTGTTGCTCTGTTGCCCAGGTTGGAGTGCAGTGGTAGGACCACGACTCACTGCAGCCTAGACCCTCCTGGGCTTAAGCACTCCTCCTGCCTCAGCCTGGGCCACCAAGTAGCTGGGACCACAGGCACATGTGACTATGCCCAGCCAATATTTAAAAAAAATTTTTTTTTTTTTTTGTAGAGACAGGGATCTCACTATATTGCTGAAGCTGGCCTCGTTTTTTGTAGAGAGGGGGACCTCACTATATTGCTCAGGCTCGCCTCAAACTCCTGGGCTCCAGGGATCCTCCCACCTCAGCCTCCTAAACTGCTGGGATTACAGGCATGAGCCACGATGCCTGGCCTAAAAATTAGAATAAATTAACTGTGTTAAAAATAATTGGCCAGGTGCGATGGCTCACACCTGTAATCCTACCACTTTGGGAGGTCGAGGCGGGTGGATCACCTGAGGTCAGGAGTTCGAGACCAGCCTGGCTAACATGGTGAAACCCCATTTCTACTAAAAATACCAAAAAATTAGCTGGGTGTGGTGGCGTGCGCCTGTAATCCCAGGTGCTCAGGAGGCTAAGGCAGGAGAATCGCTTGAACCCAGGAGGCAGAGGTTGCAGTGAGCCGAGATCATGCCATTGCACTCCAGCTTGGGCAACAAGAGTGAAACTCTGTCTCAAAATAGTAACAATAATAATAGTAATTAAAGACCAAGCCAGGTGCAGTGGCTCACACCTGTTATCCCAACGCTTTGGGAGGCTGAGGCGGGAGGATTCCTTGAGTGCAGGAGTTTGGGACCAGCCTGAACCACACAGTGAGATCTCATCTCTACAGAAAGTATAAAAATCAGACGAACATGGTGGTGTGCCTCTGTAGTCCCAGATACTTGTGAGGCTGAGCTGGGAGGATGGTTTGAGCCCAGGAGTTCGAGGCTGCAGTGATCTGTGATTGCACCACTACACTCCAGCCTGGGCAACAGTGGGAGCACCTATCTCAATACAAAACAAAACAAAACAAAACAAATAATTAAAGACCAAATTCAGTACAGAAATAGTATTCAGGCAGTAAATTAGGCCCTTTGCACACCAAACCAGAAATTCTTTGCTTTGTTACTGTTCCAAAGGTAGCACAATGCCCTGTACTGTGCACTGTCTTGTGAAACTGGCAGTGTGTAATTCCTGAGCACTTACTCTTTAGTGATCTGAGTTGTTCCTGATACATCTTCTTATGTGGCCCTATCCACCAGCCCCAGATCAGCCCATGTAGTTGGTGCCTATTGAATACCTACTGAATGAATGGACATGAACCAGAACATGAACTGTCTGACCAGGCGGCAGACGCTTTCGGGATGATGTGGCAGTCACCCTGGTGGTGGTGGTGGGGGTAGAGGCGTGACTCTGGAGTCTCCACAGAAGAGTGAGAGTTAGCCTGCAGGGTCCAGAGACTTTATTTTCAAAAGGCACTCCCAGCCAGACGTGGTGGCTCACATCTGTAATCCCAGCACTTTGGGAAGCTGAGGTGGGTAGATCACTTGAGACCAGGAGTTTGAGACCAGCCTGGCCAACATGGAGAAAACCCGTCTCTACAAAAAATACAAAAATTAGCTGGGCATGGTGGTGCGCACATGTAGTCTCAGCTACTCGGGAGGCTGAGGCAGAGAATCGCTTGAACCTGGGAGGTGGAGGTTGCAGTAAGCGAGATCATGCCACTGCACTACAGCCCGAGCAACAGAGTGAGAGACTCTGTCTCAAAAAAAAAAAAAAAAAAAAAAAGCACTCCCCTGAAATAAAAAACCACTCTGTCTAGCTACAGATCATTCAGAGCTTGCTGTATGTTCCTTACTCTCTCCTCTTTCAGCCAATCAAGATCTGCATTCTTGGTCCCCCTGCTGTGGGAAAATCCAGTATTGCTAAAGAATTGGCCAACTACTACAAACTGCATCACATCCAACTGAAGGATGTCATTTCTGAAGCCATAGCAAAACTGGTAACACTTTAAACTATTTTCCTGGGCATTTTAATTAATTACTGTATTGTTCTTAGGGTATAAAGATGTATATGATTCGAATTAGCCAGCTGGATGCAGTTTAGATGATCCCAATTTTGTTGGCAACATCCAAGGTGTCCTAATCAGTAGCCAGGGGAACATCTGGCTTCTCTTCCCCCTCAGGCCTGAGAAGAGTGTTGACCTTGGCCACACTGGCGTCAGAGAGCTTCTTCACAGCCTGTTGGATGTGGCGCTTGCTGGCTTTGGCACCCGCAATGAACACAAGTGTGTGTTTGTGTCGTCTTCTTCGTGGCCAACTCAGGGGTCGGGGGATGTTAGTTGATGATGGCAGAGTGGTCATGCTGGTTTCTCCTGAGGACACTCTTGGGAGGATGTCTGGGCTGCCCCCGGAGCCACAGTGTCCTGGGACACCAGAAGGTGGATGACGTGTGGATCTTCTTTTCTCTGTGCCTGTGGACACCTTTCAGCACTGCCTTCTTGGCCTTCAAAGGTTTTGCTTTGGCTTCGGGAAAGAAAGGAGCTTCCTTCTTTACCTTCAGAGCCATCTTGTAAAATGGCTTTTTTTTTTTTTTTTTTTTTTTTGAGATGGAGTCTTGCTTTGTCACCCAGGCTGGAGTGCAGTGGCACGATTTTGGCTCACTGCAACCTTCACCTCCTGGGTTCAAGCAGTTCTCCTGCCTCAGCCTCCCAAGTAGCTAGGATTACAGGTGTGTGCCACTATGCCCGGCTAATTTTTGTATTTTTAGTAGAGACGGGGTTTCACCATGTTGGCCAGGCTGGTCTTGAACTCCTGAGCTCAGGTGATCCGCCCGCCTTGGCCTCCCAAAGTGCTGGGATTACAAGTGTGAGCCACCGTGCCAAGCCTGAAATGGCTTGTAACTACTTTATTGGGAATTTTAACATTTTAGAAATGCTTTTTTTAGTTTTATAATAAACAAGCAACTAATTTTGTATGTCAGTAAACAGGAGATTTGTTATTTTAATTGGATGTTCTTGTTGCCCCCAGTTATGAAAACACAACACTCTACAGGGCTGTCCTCTGAGACGGAAGCAGCTTCTGTGGGTTGCCCTTGAAATTTAGTCTGCCTCCAGCTGTGGTTCAAAGTATAGCTTGTGTTCTCTCTGTTGCCTGGAACGCTTGTAGGTGTTTTATTAGTGTTGTATGTTTCTCGGGGTATTATCAAACTTTATTTATAAACTGCTTTGTATCATTTTATTGGAAATGGCAGATACTGAGGTAGCTTTCATAAATGATTATTAAAAGTCTTGATTTCTGCAACATGTGGTTCCTTCAAGTAAGATACAACCCAATACCTTAGAATAACACATTAGAAAGATGTTGGCTCAAGCAGTTCTGGCATTAGCACAAAAATATACTATTCTCTTAAATATGCTGTAAGAAAAACCTCAAGGATCTCATGTGTCTTTGTGGATATGTGCATCCTGCAAAATTTTGCATGACAGCTGTCATAGGGTACCTGTCCTATTTGGATCCCAAGCTTTTTCCAGGATCACCTGCCAGCTGATTTGTGAATAGCAAATGGATGTGGGGCATCATCCAATGTGAATATCCCTGTGGTATGCAGGAGGCGATTGTTGCCCCTAACGATGTAGGGGAAGGAGAAGAAGAAGTCGAAGAGGAAGAGGAGGAGGAGAATGTGGAAGATGCACAGGAGCTCCTAGATGGCATCAAGGAGAGCATGGAGCAGAATGCAGGTAACACACACCCAGCAGAGAGCCACGCTGCTCTTGTGAACAGTGGCTATTTTTAAAAATCTGGTTATAAAAGACTGTTTAAAAAAAAAAGACTGAACTACAGGCGGGCGCCATGGCTCATGCCTGTAATCCCAGCACTTTGGGAGTCTGAGGTGGGAGGATCACTTGAGGCCAGGAGTTTGAGACCAGCCTGAGCAGCATGGCGAAACCCCATCTCTACAAAAAAATACAAAAATTAGCTAGGCATGGCCAGGCACAGTGGCTCATGCCTGTAATCCCAGCACTTTGGGAGGCCGAGGCGGGTGGATCACCTGAGGTCATGAGTTTGAGACCAGCCTAGGCAACATGGTGAACCCCATCTCTACTAAAAATACAAAAAATTAGCCAGATGTGGTGCCGCACACCTGTAGTCCCAGCTACTCAGGAGGCTGAGGCAGGACAATTGCTTGAACCTGGGAGGCGGAGGTTGCAGTGAGCCAAGTTCACGCCATTGCACTCCAGCCTGGGCAACAAGAGTGAAACTCTGTCTCAAAAAAAAAAAAAAAAAAATTAGCTGAGCATCGTGGCATGTGCCTATAGTCCCAGCTATTTGGAGGTTGAGGCAGGAGGATCACCTGAGCCTGGGAAGTTGAAGCTGTAGTAAGCCATGATCATGCCCTTGCACTCCAGCCTCAGTGACAGAGTAAGATCCTGTCTCAACAAAAAAAAAAAAAAAAAAAAAAAAAAGGTGAAGTACAGAAATTATAACAAAAAAAAAATCCTTCATAATCTCATTGTTAACATTTTGGTGATGATCTGTTGGTAGGATGGGGAAGAACTTCCTAAGTTAAAAAGAAAAAAATCGGCTGTGCCCGGTGGCTCACACCTGTAATCCCAGCACTTTGGGAAGCCAAGTTGGGCGGATCACCTGAGGTCAGGAGTTTGAGACCAGCTTGGCCAACATGGTGAAAACCCATCTCTATTAAAAATACAAAAATTAGCTGGGCGTGGTGGCACGTGCCTGTAATCCCAGCTACTCGGGAAGGTGAGGCAGGAGAATCGCTTGAACCCGGGAGGTGGAGGCTGCAGTGAGCCGAGATCGTGCCACTGCACTCCAGTCTGAGTGACAGAGCAAGACTCCATCTCAAAAAAAAAGAAAAAAAAATCACACATATGTTCATAAATCACTGGAACCCAGGAGGCAGAGGTTGCAGTGAGCCAAGATCACAGCACTGCACTCCAACCAATCAGTTGGTTGTCCTTTTAATTGGACAAACCAAGAAAAAATATTGCCACTGATATGATAAGTTAATGTCCTTAATATATAAAATGTTCAGGCAAATTGATAAGAGAGTTATGAAATCCTTAATAGAAAAAAATGGATGAGGCCGGGCACGGTGGCTCATGTCTGTAATCCCTTTGTAATCCCTTTGTAATCCCAGCACTTCGTGATCTAGGAGGGTGGATCACGAGGTCAGGAGTTCAAGACCAGCCTGGCCAAGATGATGAAACCCGTCTCTACTAAAACTACAAAAATTAGCCAGGCACGGTGGTAGGTGCCTGTAATCCTAGCTACTCGGAAGGCTGAGGCAGGAGAATCGCTTGAACCTGGGTGGCAGAGGTTGCAGTGAGCTGAGATCGCACCACTGTACTCTAGCCTGGGCAACAGAGAAAGACTCCCTCTCAAAAAAAAAGAAAGAAAAGAAAAAAATGGATTAATGAAATGGGCCAATACGTAATACAGGAAGACGTAGAAATAAATGGAAAATTATTCTTACTCAGTGATTCATTGTAGCCAGTTTGTTGAACAAAGTAATCACAGTAAGGTGTCGCTTTGAACTCAAACTGGATTCATTCTTTCCCTTGGATAGAATTTCAGGCTGGTTCCATTGCAACTCTTAGATAGTGAGTAGCCCCTTTGTTTATTCATGCTTTAGGAAGTCTGTTCCAATCAAATAATTACAAACTGGGTTTTGAACTGAGAGGTCTCTAAGGGATCTTGCTACCTGCAGGAAAGCAGTCAGTAGCAGTTATTAGAAAAATAAAGCCATTTCATCATGTTTACACTTGGACAGTTGAGCTCCTCCATCATCTGGTTATTGTAGTATCGCCTTCGGACTCATCTAATGCAGTTTCTCCCCTTGCCGTCTTCTCAACCACCTTTATTTTCTCTCCTCTTCCTTCCTCCTCCCTTCTTGCTGGTGGCCATTTCTGATCCTCCAGGGATCAAGGACAGGGGAGAAGGACAGAGAAGGATGTGGCCAACTCGGATGTAAGTTGGCATTGGGTGACAGACGGCATGCTTGCTGCTCCTTTGTCATCTCTCAGGGGCTCTTGAGATTCTCCTACTGAGAACTGCCCACTGCACCGCCGGGGCATGGCTCTTGACTGCCTCCATGGCCATCACTGGTCTTCTGGTACTCCACCCCTTTGCCATAGAGGTTGTCCTCTTCCCAGCTACTCACCTCCACCTGGGTTGGAGACCTAGTTTCCCTCTCCTAACTTCATCCCATTCCCTACCAGGTGTCCATGTCACCCATGTTCCACTCAGGGAGCACGCGACTGACCGGGGCTATTTGCCATTGGCCAGCTTAAGGAGGGTTCACTCTGGTCCCTGGCCCTGGTTCCTTATGTTTGTCACTGCCTGCTTCCATGGAGGTCTCTAGTCCCCCGACCCTTTCCCTGAAGGCCAGGTTAGCCCTGAACCTCTCTCCTCCTCCCCTCCACCAGATCAACCTAGTTTTCTGGGATGGAGGAGGTGGTTTTGCATGCAAACACCAAGTGTTCGCTGAAACCAGCCCATCATCTGAGTCTTGGTTTCTGCTTCATTGTGAGCTGCACCACAAGGAAATGGCATCTAGAATTCCAGAGAGATTTCCCAGAGGGGAAAGGAGTGCCCAGATGAATGCTTGGGGATGTAACATTGCCTCTGCCTTCCCATAAGACATTTGGGGAGCACTATGTTGGTTTTAGAGAGTCTAAAAGAGTGGAGTTGGGCACAGTGGCTCATGCTATATTCCCAGCACTTTGAGAGATCAAGGTGGGAAGATTGCTTGAGGTCAGCCTCGGCAACATAGCAAGACCCCCCATGTCTACAAAAAAAAGTCTAGCAGAGTTCTGATGCTTACCTTTTGGGTGAGGTGGAAAAAAACAAGATAAGACATTCCATTGTGAGGACATCTGTGGAAGGAAATCTGTCAAGGTCACATTGAGGGGTGTGGGACTGGGAGTTTTAGGAAGCCACAGTGTACATGGCCATGTGTAAGTAAAGCTTACAGCTGGGGTGTAAGGCTAGAAACAGGGTGCCAGGAGCAAGGAACTATGCCATCCCCTAAGGAGAGACAAGAATGTCTAATAATCAGGCTAACAGGACTCAGCAAACATTGAACTTTATTTATTTATTTATTTATTTATTTTTGAGAATGAGTCTCACTCTGTCACCCAGGCTGTAGTGCAGTGGTGTGATCTCGGCTCACTGCAAGCTCTGCCTCCTGGCTTCAAGCAATTCTCAGCCTCCTGAGTAGCTGGGATTACAGGCACACACCACCATGGCCAGCTAATTTTTTGTATTTTTAGTAGAGACGGGGTTTCGCCATGTTGGCCAGACTGGTCTCAAACCCCTGGTCTCAAGTGATCTGCCTGCCTTGGCCTCTGAAAGTGCTGGGACTACAGGCGTGAGCCACTGTGCTTGGCCAAGCATTATTTATTGACAAAGACATATAATTGGCCTTTGCAAGGGCCCAGAAATCTTATCCAAGGCTTAACCTAACAGTTAAGTACCAACTGAGCTCTTTTCACGCTTGGGGAGGTGACCACACAGAACAAGAATTGGAGCAGAGATAGTGCCCAGCTGAGAACACTCACTGAGGCCCCCAGGCTCCAGAGGGCCTGTCCTCTCACTCTGTTCTTCCCCCAGGTGTGAGAGGCCAAACAGGTTCAGCAGCCTCTGTCAGGAGAGATGTAAGAGGGGCCCTGGGAGGGGGCAGAGGAAGTGGTCGTGTGGGGAAGATACATCTTTAGAACAGCCAGCGTCCCTCAAAGCTCCTCACCCACATGTGACTCCCCACTTCCCCACTTCCTACAAGATTGGAATCATTCGGTTCCTTTTAACTTTCTCAAGTGTGTCCAAAAATCCCTCCTATCCGTATTTACCTGAGACGAAAACATGGACCTTGCCTATGTTTGAACAAAACAAGACCTTTGAACCCTTGGCACTGAGGTTACCTCACCTTTCCCTCACATGACTGCATTTGTTATCACATGATTCCAATGATTCTAGCAAAACGAGTTTCCCAGTCCCACAGTGAGGCCCCTCCATGTCCTAACTCCACTCCCATCGGCCCCTGATGGTGCAGCAAAATAAGGGCTTTGTTACACCATAGAGTGTGCTAATTACAGATTTTGTGCTCACTTTACATATTTCAAAAGCATTGTGAAATTACTGGATCTAGTTGGTAGGATTCCTGGTGATCATTGGACTATCAACTTTTCTGAGTTTCAAAATAAAAAGGGGAAGAAAAGTCTGTAAATGTACCAACTTGTTGATGTCTCTACTGTACATGGGTCATTGTAAAATCTTGGCTTGCAGCTATCTAATTTTTTTTTTAAACAAAACACATATTATTACTGTAATCAAGGCAAAATTTCTTAAAACAGTTAACCTTGGCCAGGCTTGGTGGCTCATGCCTGTAATCCCAGCACTTTGGGAGGCCAAAGAGGGCGGATCACGAGGTCAGAAGTTCAAGACCAGCCTGGCCAACATGGTGAAACCCTCTCTCTGCTAACGGTACAAAAAATTAGCCGGGTGTGGTGGTGGATGCCTGTAATCCCAGCTACTCGGAAGGCTGAGGCAGGAGAATCGCTTGAACCCTAGAGGCAGAGGTTGCAGTGAGCTGAGATTGTGCCATTGCAATCCAGCCTGAGCAACAGGGCAAGACTCCGCCTCAAAAAACAAACAAACAAACAAACAAACAAACAAAAAACCAGTTAACCTTGGCAGTGGAAGTCTAATCAGAACCATGACCATGACTCATGAATTAACATTGCGTTCTTTTCTGCTGTTGAGACTCGCTGTTTCACATACCATCTTCCACAAGACTTTATTAAACAAGAAGATGAAGAATGCACTTGGAAGTCACCAAGCATGGCTTGACCACTTGCTTAGTTCCTGACTTCAGACCAGTCACTGCCTCTCTCTGAACCTGTTTCATCCTGTGTTAAAAAAAATAATAATAATAAGAGAGAGGAGCCGGGCGCGGTGGCTCACTCCTGTAATCCCAGCACTTTGGGAGGCCGAGGCGGGCGGATCACGAGGTCAGGAGATCGACACCATCCTGGCTAACACAGTGAAACCCCGTCTCTACTAAAAATTCAAAAAAATTAGCCGGGTGTGGTGGCGGGCGCCTGTAGTCCCAGCTACTCGGGAGGCTGAGGCAGGAGAATGGTGTGAACCTGGGAGGCGGAGCTTGCAGTGAGCTGAGATCACACCACTGCACTCCAGCCTGGGCGACAGAGCAATACTCTGTCTCAAAAAAAAAAAAAAAAAAAGGAAAAAAAGAGAGGAGAGGAGAAGACAGAATAAATCCACCAGCTTGGAGGATTAACTGAGGTAACACAATGATAACCAAGAGAACATGAATGCAATTGCACTGTGAACTCTAAAAACTTACACAAAGTACAGTGTCACCAATAACAGGGAAGGGTGGGGTCACCGCCAAACAGTCTGTGTCTGTGGAAGCCTGGACGTGGCTGCATGACAGTCACTGAGAATTTGATCCTGGTGCAATGTTACCCCTTTCTAGGGGGTCTCATCCCAGATCCCAGGAGCAGGTTCTTAGATCTCACGCAGGAAAAAATTGAGGGTGAGCCACAGAGTATAGTGAAGTTAAGATAGTTTATTAGAGACTACTCTATTACAGAGTAGGGTGTCCTCAGAAAACAAGAGAAGGAATACCCCACAGTGAGAAGAGATAGTTTATTGAAAGCTACTCTGTCACAGAGTAGGGCGTCTTCAGAAAGCACAAGGGGGAAGGCCATACTATAAACAGTGCTTGCATGTATAGGTTGTTAAGAATGGTGTACTTGGCCAGGCGCAGTGGCTCACACCAGCACTTTGAGAGGCCAAGGTGGGAGGATCTCTTGAGGCAAGAAATTCCAGACCAGCCTGGGCAACATAGCAGGACCCCACCTCTACAAAAAATACAAAAAAAATAGCCAGGCGTGGTGGTGCGTGCCTATAGTTCCAGCTACTTTGGCGGGGACACAGGAGGATGGCTTGAGCCCTTGAGTCCGGGAGGTCAAGGCTGTGGTGTGGCCGAGACTCCAGCCTGGGTGACAGAGCAAGACCCTGTCCCAAAAAAAAAAAAAAAAAAAAAAAAGGAGAAAGAGAGAGAATAGTGTACTTTATTATAAAGGCTTATGGTCAACTTGTGACAGGCTATTAGTATTGTTTCTTATGTTACTTAAGAACATAAGTATGCTATGTTACTATTGATTTCAGTGAGAATTTACAAGTGTACTATTATCTTTAAAGCAAAACCTATTCTTAAACTAAGAATGCTTTTTGTTCTCAAAATATCAGGACATTTCTATAAGTTCTGGGTCTTTAGTTAGTTAGCATCATTAACTCAGTCCCTCAACCATAAATATCTTGTGACCAAAAGTGCTCAACCCCCTGGGAATGTCACCCAGCAGGTTTGGCTTTATCTGGCCTTTATTCAAGATGGAGTCACTCCGGTTAGGACAAAGGATATTCATGACCAAGTCTCCAGACCCACTAAGGATGTATCTAGCTTGACAAGCCACTTAGTATGGATCCAACTGTACCCTAGAAATATTTTGTCAGTTTTATTTTACCTCAATATACATTTGTACAGGCAATAATTAAACGACTATTACACAACAATTCAGTGAGTTTACTTGCTTTCAAGAATAATGCATGTAGTTACAAATGAGAGGCAGAAACACTGTATTAAAGACCTAAAAATAAGAACGGGTGCCGTGGCTCACGCCTGTAATCCCAGCACTTTGGGAGGCCGAGGCGGGCGGATCACGAGGTCAGGAGATCAAGACCATCCTAGCTAACATGGTGAAACCCCGTCTCTACTAAAAAATACAAAAATATTAGCCGGGCGTGGTGGCGGGTGCCTGTAGTCCCAGCTACTCAGGAGGCTGAGGCAGGAGAATGGCGTGAACCCGGGAGGCGGAGCTTGCAATGAGCCAAGATCATGCCACTGCACTCCAGCCTGGGCGACAGAGCGAAGACTCCGTTTAAAAAAAAAAAAGGCTAAAAATACATTAATTCTGGAATTCCATACAAATAAGGTAAAAATTACATTTCTTTGTCAAAGTAAAGGAAAACCGTGTTTCTTTTTGTTTGTTTTATCAATACACTAAAAGTAGATTAATGCCAAAAAGCTTTTATGAAACTTGTCAGAGTTCAGATTATTTTATGTAAAAGGATTAAAATAAAATCCTTTTATTTTACCTGGTGAATGGTTTATCCAAGTATTCAAGTAGGTGAGTAAAAGAACCAAAGAGGCCAGGCGCAGTGGCTCACGCCTATAATCCCAGCACTTTGGGAGGCCGAGGCAGGCAGATCATGAGGTGAGGAGTTCAAAACCAGCCTGGCCAAGATGGTGAAACCCTGTCTCTACTAAAAATACAAAAATTAGCCAGGTGCGGTGGCAGATGCCTGTAATCCCAACTACTCGGGGGACTGAGGCAGGAGAATTGGTTGAACCTGGGAGGAGGAGGTTGCAATGAGCCAAGATCATGCCACTGCACTCCAGACAGGGCGATAGAGCAAGACTCCATCTCAAAAAAAAAAAAAAAAAGAAACCAAATGATATACAACATAGGAAGGAACAATTGGAGGAAGTTTTTTTGGTGGGGGAGGTTAGGATTTTGCTCTGTCACCCAGGCTGGAGTGCAGTGGTGCACATAGCTCACTGCAGCCCCTATCTCCTGGACTCAAACAATCCTCCCACCTCAACCTCCCAAGTAGCTACCATGCCTGGCTAATGTTTTTAATTTTTATTACTTATTTATTTATTTTTTTTTTGAGACAGAGTCCTCGCTCTGTCACCCAGGCTGGAGTGCAGTGGCATGATCTCGGCTCACTGCAAGCTCCACCTCCTGGGTTCACACCATTCTCCTGCCTCAGCCTCATGAGTAGCTGGGACTACAGGCGCCCGCCACCACGCCCGGCTAATTTTTTTGTATTTTTTAGTAGAGACGGGGTTTCACCACGTTAGCCAGGATGGTCTCGATCTCCTGACCTCATGATCCGCCTGCCTCAGCCTCCCAAAGTGCTGGGATTACAGGTGTGAGCCACACTGCCTGGCCTTGTTTTTTATTTTTAGTAGAGATGAGATCTCCCTATGTTGCCTAGGCTGGTCTTGAACTCCTGAGCTCAAGCCATCCTCCTGCCTCACCCTCCCAAAGTGCTGGGATTACAGGTGTGAGCACCTGGCCCGTTCCTGGAGTGATATTAACTGCCTACATTCTTCATGACTAGCTCATTGGTGAACTGTCAGGATTAACATGAAAAATACACGGCCGGAGAGAGTTGCCCATTTTCCTAATAGAAAACAACCCTCATTTTTCACTAACGTCATGTAGAAACTCCATACCATTAACAAGCCTTTAGATCACCAACTTTGTTTTGGCCTTATTAAAATGCTGGCTTGATTTATGGTATTTTTTTTCTAATGCTGCCCAAATAAACCTATAATGAACCTAAAGTCTCGGGCAGCAATGCACATTCTGCATGCACAATAAAAAATGTAACTGAAAGCAAATAACCAACAACTCAGAATATTACTGAGGAAATCTGTAAGTGTAGACGAATATGTAAAAAAAAAAAAAAAAGGCAAAGGTTCTCATAAACACAAACTTTGACCAGTTAAAAGTCCACTAGAGATTACATAAGAATTTTGGAAAGTGTATATGTATAATCAAGTAAAATATTTTAAACAAGTCCGTTGTGCCTCAGTTAGTTTTAAATTGCAAACTCCAATACACAGTTCTTTTAACAAATTAGTGCAGTATGAAAGATTTTGCAATATTAATGTGTCCATATTAATTAGATCAAATTGAAGATTCCAAAATTTCTTCCAAGAGCCATCTTTTGCTGCTGCTTTTTTTTTTTTTGGCAACAGATTCTCACTTTCTCACTTTGTCACCCAGGCTGGAGTGCAATGGTGCAATCTCGGCTCACTGCAACCTCTGCTTCCCAGGTTCAGGCAATTCTCCTGCCTCAGCCTCCCGAGTCGCTGGGACTACAGGCGCACGCCACCACACCCGGCTAATTTTTTTGTATTTTTAGTAGATACACGGGGTTTCACTGTGTTGACCAGGCTGGTTTCGAACTCCTGAGCTCAGGCAATCCACCCGCCTCGGCCTCCCAAAGTGCTAGGATCATAGGCGTGAGCCACCCTGCCCGGCTGCTGCTTCTTAAGGTATTTCTTCCCTGAGCTGCTTACGGACATTACCTGATTTAGACAAATTTATCCAAATATCAAACTGCCTGGATGAGAATGTAGATTTTTAAACTTTTGTATCTCAGCAAACAATGGAGTTTTACCCATTGCCTGGTGAACTGAGTAAAAAGCCACTCATTTTGTTTCATTTCTCATTATCTTTAAGAATAACTGTATGGATAATTCTAGTTCTGAGGTACATTTATTTACCAAGTTCAAACTGGGACCCAAGTGGAACACTTTTGCTTCTGCTTCTATAAAGAAAAAAGTCAGATACGGTGGCTCACATATGGTGGCTCACGCCCGTAATCCCAGCGCTTTGAGAGGCTGAGGCAGGAAGATCACTTGAGGCCAGGAGTTTGAGACCAGCCTGGGTGGCATAGCAAGACCCCGTCTCTACAAAAAAAAAAAAAAAAAAAAAAATTAGCTGGGTATGGTGGTGTGCGAGGCACTAGGATTACCTGATCCCAGGAAGTAGAGGCCACAGTGAGCCAAGATCCCAACACTGCACTCTAGCCTGAGTGACAGGAGACCCTGTCTCAAAAAAAAAAAAAAACAGAAAGAAGGGTGATCTCTCTCATGAGGCAGACTTCCTACAAATACATAGCTTTTGCACTCTTTCCTTTTTTTTTTTTTTTTTTTTTTTGAGAAGGAGTTTCACTCTGTTGCCCAGGCTGGAGTGCGCGATCTCGGCTCACTGCAAGCTCCGCCACCCAGGTTCATGCCATTCTCCTACCTCAGCCTCCCGAGTAGCTGGGACTACAGGCACATGCCACCACGCCCGGCTAATTATTTTGTATTTTTTAGTAGAGATGGGATTTCACCGTGTTAGCCAGGATGGTCTCAATCTTCTGACCTCGTGATCCACCTGCCTCGGGCTCCCAAAGTGCTGGGATTACAGGCGTGAGCCACCACGCCCGGCCTGCACTCTTTCCTTTGTGAAATCACTGCTTGCTGTTTGGTCATCATCAGTTAAGACAGTACAGTTTCCTGGGGATGAGGGGACAGAAGCCAGGTTGTCATCTCAAATGCCGTCCCTCACATTCCCACCACTGCTCAGGGGAGCAGCTCTCTATTTTTAAACATGTTTTAGTAATTATGAATATGTGTTCATATGAACATTTTAAATATTACTGGCATTTGAAAGATACATTTAATTTTTTTTTTTTTTAGAAAAAGCAGGATGACATTTTTAAAAGCTATGTAGGAGGGCTGTGCTCATTCATTTTCAAACAGAAAGCGCAGTTGCCTGCCATACAGCTGAACCCTGGCCAAAGGTCATGAGATTATCTCTAAGAGATCACATTTCTCAAGAGAAAGGCACTTGGACTGGGTCCTTTGTGTACTGGGTCATGCCTTGTAAGCATCCCATAATTACCAAAAAATGCTGCTGGAGGTCCCTTCTTAATTACTGAGCACTTTCGTTCCGAATCAAGCAGAAATGAGTGGCTAAGCTCAGGGCCTGAAATAAACTGAGGGAGGCATTGAAGGGAATTGCAGCTAGATTTCTAGATTAAGTGCCTTTAATTTAACAACAAAGCCTTTGAAAAATGAAAATAGACTTAGGCCGGGGGCGGCGGCTCATTCCTGTAATCCCAGCACTTTGGGAAGCTGAGGCAGGTGGATCACCTGAGGTCAGGAGTTTGAAACCAGCCTGACCAACATGGCAAAACCCTGTCCCTACTAAAAAATACAAATAAAATTAGCTGGGCGTAGTGGTGCACACCTGTAATCCCAGCTACTCGGGAGGCTGAGGCATGAGAATCTCTTGAACCCAGGAGACAGAGGTTGCAGTGAGCCAAGATTGCACCACTGCACTCCAGCCTGGGTAACGGATGAGACTCTGTCTCAAAAAACAAAAAAGAAAATAGACGGCTTAAATAAAACCAGATTTAGAATATTAGTGAATCCCTTGACACGTTTTTATTTGGCTTCATTTCTTGGCACCCCTGTGAACCTTACTGGGAAGTAATGTAGAATCATTCAGAGGAATTTCATTATGTTAAATAATACTTAAGATCTTTTTTTGTCTTAGCCATAATATTTAAATTTCTGAAAGACAGTTATTTTCGGAACCTGCTACTGCCTAATGGATGGTGTGACACTGAAAGGTAGAAGAAAGGAGAGGTGTTTTGTGTTTTGTTTTTTGTTTTTTGTTTTTGAGATGGAGTTTCACTCTTGTTGCCCAGGCTAGAGTGCAATGGTGCGATCTTGGCTCACTGCAACCTCCGCCTCCCGGGTTCAAGCGATTCTCCTGCCTTAGCCTCTCGAGTAGCTGGGATTACAGGCATGTGCCACCACGCCCGGCTAATTTTGTATTTTTAGTAGAGATGAGAGTTTCTCCATGTTGGTCAGGCTGGTCTCGAACTCCCAACCTCAGGTAATCCACCCACCTTGGCCTCCCAAAGTGCTGAGATTATAGGTGTGAGCCACCGCGCCCGCCCGGGAGAGGTGTTTTAATTAGATCAGTTTATTGTCATTGATAGAGTAATAAAAAAGAAGCCTGAAATTATTTATTTTACATTATGTAAAATGAGGGGGGAGGAGGAGGGAAGGAAGAGGGGGAGGATGAGAAGGCGGAGAAGGATGAGGAGGGAGAGGAGGAGGGGGAGTCACTGATAAGGTAAAAGAATAATAGATTCACTGATAAGGTAAAGGAATAGTACAAACTCTGGAAAGAGCTTTGAAGATCAATTTCCCTAACTTGTCAAACTTACATTACTATAATGTACACATTAAGCAAGGTAAGGATGGGGCTGCGTTTTGAACATTGTAGCTGTTCAATAATTATGATGGAGTGATGGATATTGTGGTGGAGTTGCATCATGTTGTTATTAAACCACTGTGCCAGTTTTAGAACAAACTCCTCCCTCCTCATCCTTCCCAAGCAGTGCCAGGAACCCAGTGTCAGGGCTTGAGAGGGAACTGTCCAGTGGGGCTGAGGTCAGAAATGCCAACTGGAAAAGACACGGAGAAGGGAGCCGTGTTCTTTTCTGAAGCATTACAGAGAAAAGTGCCTTTGAGGGTCGGGTCAAGTTTGATTGTTAGTCAAATCCAGCACCTTCTTTTAGTAAATTATGTGCTGGCAACAAACATGAATGCTATCTCACAATTCTCACAACAGAAGCATTTATTATTGTATAGTAAGGTTACAGAGGTGTAATATCAAAACAGAAACCCTGCGGGCGGGCGGAGCTCTCTGCATTACTCCAGTTGCTGCTCCTCAATCAATTTCACCAAAAATTGGGATTACAGAACACTTTGAAAGTGCAGACATCGGCACTCGCCCATGCTCTTTCTTGCAGACAAGTTCACTGGGTTCTCCTACATTACTGTGCATTAGAATTCACATCATGTTCAAAGTACAAAATCACATATTTTTTACTTTAAGGGCCAAAATGTAATCCCAACATTTTGGGAGGCCAAGGTGGGAGGATTGCTTGAGGCCAGGAGTTCAAGACTAGCCTGGGCAACATTGCAAGATCCTTTCTCTACAAAACGTTTAAAAATCAGTGGGGCATGGTGGCAAGCGCCTATAGTCCCAGCTACTTGGGAGGCTGAGGTGGGAAGATTGCAGAGCCTGGGAGGCTGAGACTGCAGTGAGCTATGACCACACCACTGCATTCCAGCCTGGGCGACAGAGTGAGACCCCGTCTCTTTAAAAAAAAAAAAAAAAAAAAAGCAAAATAGGGATTTCCAATAGTACCTTTGACTACACAACAATTTTTGAGATAACTTTAAAACAACTCTTACTTAGAATGTGATACATTATAAGTAATATATACATATATGTTTTTTTATCAGGTCAACTAGACGATCAATATATAATTAGATTTATGAAAGAAAAGCTAAAATCAATGCCTTGCAGGAATCAAGGTTATATTTTGGATGGATTCCCAAAGACCTATGATCAAGCAAAAGACCTGTTCAATCGTAAGTTTGAGTGTTCTATTTTGAGTATTTATATTCAGATAAGTTGCAACTTTATTGTTCAGAGAAGTAGTCACTCAATTAAAGTAAACAGAAAACTAGAGAGACTATTTATTTTTGAGCTTTGGCTCACCTTTCTTTACGTAGCTTTTTTTTTTCTTTTTTTTTCCCCCTGGATGGTGGCTCAAGGTGCATAGCCTTTTACAAATTTTTTAAAATTTTATTTTATTGTATTGTGGCACAAATACTTAACACGAGATCTGCCCTCGGAACAAGCTTTTAAGTGTGCGATACATTATCGTTGGCTATAGGCACTGTGATGTTCAGCACACCTCTAGAGCTTATGCATCTTGCCTGATTAAAACTTTACGCCTGTTGATTAGTAACTTTTGTTTTTTCCCCTCCCCAGCCCCTGGCAACCACCATCCCACTCTTTCATTCTTTGAATTTGACTACTCAAGTTCCCCATGTAAGTGGAATCATGTAGCATTTGTCTTTCTGTCACTGATTTCACTTAGCATAATGTCCTCAAGGTTCATCCTTGTTGTTGCATATAGCAGAATTTCCTTTAAAAAAAAAATAGACCATCCGTCACCCAGGCTGGAGCACAGTGATATATACAATCATAGTTTACTGCAGCCTTGACCTCCTGGGCTCAAGTGGTTTTCCTGCCTCAGTCTCCCGAGTAGCTGGGACTACAGGCGTGCATGACCACGCCCGACTAATTTAAAAATGTTATGGAGGTTTCACCCTGTTGCCAGGTTGATCTCTGAACTCCTGGCTTCAGGTGATCCTACTGCCTTGGCCTCCCAAATTGTTGGGATTACAGGTGTGAGCCATGATGCCCAGCCATTTCCTTCTTTTTAAAGGCTGAATAGTATTCTGTTGGATGTATATACTACATTTTCTTTATCCATGCATCTATCAATGTACATTTAGTTTGTGAGACTATTTCTAAAATACATGTGCTATTTATGGCTAGTTTTCATTAGTGCTTGCTACTTAAGATATTTGGAATTTTTTGCTGTGATCCATAGTAATAATATATTAATAAACACAATGAGGAATATTTTGTTTTCTTAGAGGAAGATGAGGAGGAGGAAGATGATGTCAGAGGCAGAATGTTTCCCTTTGATAAATTAATTATACCTGGTAAGTTTATTTCCCTAAGATCACATTTAAAAGAATGTTCTCTGGGCTGGGCGTGGTGGCTCACGCCTGTAATCTCAGAACTTTGGGAGGCCAAGGCGGGTGGATCACCTGAGGTCAGGAGTTCAAGACCAGCCTGGCCAACATGGCGAAACCCCATCTCTACTAGAAATACAAAAATTAGCTGGGTGTCGTAGCGTGTGCCTGTAGTCCTAGCTACTCGGGAGGCTAAGGCAGGAGAATCACTTGAACCCAGAAGACAGAGATTGCAGTGAGCCGAGATCCTGCCACTGCACTCCAGCCTGGGCGACAGAGACTCTGTTTCAAAAGAAAAGAAGAATGCTGTCTGATATCTCTCTCTTTTCTCTTTGTTTTCCCCGGTAACTGGGACTACAGGTGCCTGCCACCATGCCCAGCTAATTTTTTTTTTTTTTTTGAGACTGAGTCTTGCCCTGTTGCCCAGGCTGGAGTGCAGTGGCGCGATCTCAGCTCACTGCAAGCTCTGCCTCCCGGGTTCACGCCATTCTCCTGCCTCAGTCTCCCCAGCAGCTGGGACTACAGGCGCCTACCACCATGACTGGCTAATTTTTTTGTATTTTTAGTAGAGACGGGGTTTCACCATGTTAGCCAGGATGGTCTCGATCTCCCGACCCACCCGCCTTGGCCTCCCAAAGTGCTGGGATTACAAGTGTGAGCCACCTTGCCCAGGCTCTTTTTTTTTTTTTTTAACTACTTCTTAAGGAGCAGGGCTACACCATAGGCAGTGTGCCTAGAGTAGCCCAATATCCCTTTTGTGCCAAAAGAATCTTTTTGAGTTTAATAAAGTAGGATTTTTTTTTTTAGGAAAAATATTAAAAGACATTCTCAAGCATAAACTTGCAAACTAGAGAATGCACCAACGGATAAACATGAGGAATATTAAATTGCTGAAATGAATAGAAATCCCTGTGGGAACGTTGTCTTCCACTGCTCTCTCCTGTAACAAAGCAAAAGGTAGCAAATCTGCTGATGGCTTGACTTCGTGAGTCATGTAGCCTCCTTCCCTGCCCTGGTTTTGGTGCTAACCGTGCCCTCATCTCTTCCAAAAGACATTCAGCTTCTGACTTGAGATTGCACAGGTCAAAAGCTTTTCAGTTCACTCTTAACTCCACAGTGGTTTTATTCTATCACATATTTACACAGGGATTTCACAAAGTACTCTTGAAAGCAAAGCATAAGCAATTTATCGTACACAACAGGATTTACTTAGTACTGAGCAGGCATTTCTTGTGACCTTCCTGTAAACGTTAAAAAGTGTTGTTGTTTTTAGTCAGTTTGCTTGAGGTAGATATTCATAGGGAATCATTTTGGGTCATATGATCGCTAGAAGAAAAGCTATTTTCAGCAACTTAGGACAAGGCTGTAACTGAAAAGGGCCTGCCTGCTCACTGGTATCAAGTCCCCGAGGAAGGCAGCTTGTGGCTGTTTTCTTCTCTTGGTCCAGCACAGTTTGCAGAGAAGCTTCTGGAAGGACTGAGACCACCAGATAGCAGTCATCCTTGGGGATGGATATTTATTGTTTGCCTGTGGGCTAAGTTGATTGGCCAGACACAGTGCCTGTAATGCCAGCACTTTGGAAGGTCAAGGTGGGAGGATCTCTTGAGCTCAGGAGTTAGAGACCAGCCTGGGCAACATAGTGAGACCTCATATCTACTAAAAAAAAAAAAAAAAAAAAATCAAAAAAATTAGCTGGGGGTGGTGGCATGCACCTGTAGTCCCAGCTACTTGGAAGGCTGAGGTAGGAGAATCACTTGAGTGTGGGAAGTCAAGGCTGCAGGTGCCCTGATTACACCACTGCACTCCAGCCTGGGCAACAGAGCAAGAACCGGTCTCAAAAAAATTAATTAAAAAAATAAAATAAAAAGTAAAGTTTGTTCATCTACTTTATTGTTGATTATTAAATTCTAGGTAGGTGTGTCCAGTGCATTTTGTTTATCACTTCTAGGCAATATTCACTCATTGCAAACTCTGTGCTAAATCATAACACCCATAACATCCAGGCAGCTGGATACATTTCAGTTCAACTGGCAATTGGTCGTGCACAATTTGTCATGTGCCAGGCACTCATTGAACCTTTCCACAATCCTGCAAGGCAGGAATTACACCCATGTTTACCCAATCCAGAAGCTAAAGCCTAGAGATTTATGCAAGTCCACTCACTAGTAAATGGTAGGGGGATTAAATTAAAACTCAGGTCTTCTCACTCCACTGCCTCCAAAACAATTAATGAAACCTGCCTGTGAGATAAGGAAATGGAAGCACAGAGGTCAAGTGACCAAGGACTCTTAAACGTAGGCCACTGGACTTTCCATTCTTTGTTGGACACAGTGCAAACACGTCTAAGACGTAATCTATTTGGAACGTTAATCTGTTGTTAGCAAACTTTTCAGAAATTGTCTTTATTTTCTATTTCTCTGAAAGAAAGTAGGGCATTGTTTCATTCGTACTTGTAGGATTTTAATTGAGGGAGGGAACTGAATGGTGACATAGAGAGGTCAATGCCATTGAAATAATTTACACTTAGGATTCCCTAGAGATGGGGGCACATGGGGAATGCCAGGTTTGGTCAGGCGGCAGAAGCAAGAACAAGGGGAAAGGTCTAGATCAATGCCGTTGTTGGGGTTTCTTTGGGAAAGCCAAGACAGGCCACAGTGAACCGTTCGGGACTGGCTAGTTTGAGTTTACGGGTGGTCTCTAGTTGCCTGGGGCCTGGTCCTGGGATGATTTAGGGCAAGGGAAATACTGGCTTGCTGTGTGAGATTAGATAAATGGATTGAGTGGCTTGCATAGGAGGGGCATTCCCAAGCAAGTTGTTACTATCTTTAGGTATTGGCTAGGCCTGGGAAGGACAGCAGTCTCTCCCCAGATCTGTAAGGCCCCCCTGAAGATGTCAAAACAGACCAGGTGTGGTGGCTCACGCCTGCAATTCCAGCACTTGGGGAGGCTAAGGCAGGAGGATTGCTTGAGTCCAGGAGTTGGAGACCAGCATGGGCAATATAGCAAGACCCCCATCTCCACACACACAAAAACATTCTTAATTAGCTGGGTGTGGTGGCATGTGCCTGTGGTCCCAGCTACTCAGGAGGCTGAAGTGGGAGGATCTCTTGAGCCCAGGAGGTCAAGGCGGTGGTGAGCCTTGATCATGCCACGGCACTTCAGCCTGGGTGACAGTGAGACCCTGTCTCTTAAAAAAAAAAAGAAAAAAAAAAAGAAATCAAAGCATAAGATACAGAAAATAAAAGAAACACATTCCAATCTATGGTAATACAGTTCTAGATGGTATTCTCTCCCATTGAGCAACCATTGCATTTTACCACTGCTGTTAGCCTATGTCCAGTTTGATTCTTTGAAGACCTCTTGGTTGAAGGAGATAAGTTTAAAGTTGTACCTACCTGATTAATATTTGGAAATTTGTTAAAACATAGCTTTTTCAGCCCAGCGCAGTGGCTCACACCTGTAATCCCAGCAATTTGGGAGGCCGAGGTGGGCAGATCACCTGAGGTCAGGAGTTCAAGACCAGTCTGGCCAACATGGTGAAACCCCATCTCTACTAAAAATATAAAATTAGCCAGGCACGGTGGTGCACGCCTATAATCCCAGCTACTTGGGAGGCTGAGGCAGGAGAATCACCTGAACCCGGGAGGCAGAGGTTGCAGTGAGCCAAGATCGCGCCACCGCACTCCAGCCTGGGGGACAAGAGCGAGACTTTGTCTCAAAAAAAAAAAAAAAAAAACCATAGATTTTTCATGTGATTCCAGATAGCCAAATACAGTGACCTCCTTGTTATCTACGGTCTTACCAAGCAGAAATCTATTACTCGCTATCCACAGTTAGCCAGTGCAAGGACAATAGATGTTCTGAATAACTGTCTTGAGATACTGCAGAATCTTGAAGTTCTCTGAGTCATAAAGAGAATGAACATTTTTTTAAAAATCATCTAGTGAGAAGTATATTTTATCATATTAAAAATCTTTGAAAATTGGAAAGCCAAGGATGTTACTCATTATTTGATTAACTGGAATCTTCCACCTCCTGATCAGCCTGGAAGAAAGATAGAATATATTTTTGAAATTCATAGATTATTAACATAGTTCATACATTTTCTAACAAATGAGTATCATGTTAGGGAAAAATCTAAAAAGAAAATAAGTTTTCATATAGATGTCCGACATCATAGAGCTTAAATGGATTCAATTTTCAGCGAATCTGTTGACATCCTTTTGATTTCAGTACCGTACCAGCATTTGAGGCTTCATATGTCTACCTTCCTTTTCAAAAGGCAGCCACTCATGAAAATCATGACAATCAAATGGTAAAAGATGAGCAAAAAATAGGAACAACTTACTTGCGAAAACACCTCTTGTATGCAGAATGGAGGTAGTATCAAACTATTATGAATTTATAGGATCTTATTCCACACGCTGTCTCAGCCTTTGTTTTCACAGTTAACATCTGCAGCAGATGATGTTCACACATGTCCACATGCCTCGGGGACACACCTCCTGTGGGCTTTCCCCATTACACTTACCTTTTTCACCCACTCAAGGAAGCTTATTAGAATGCAAGTAAACGAGAATGGCATTATGATGTTATAAGCCAATACAATTTTAGAACAAAAATCAAATCATTCCCAAGTTCTGTTGAGCTCTAATAGATAGCAAGCTATTTGTGATGCACCCAGACACTGATCTGGGCACCAGTATACCCTGCTCCTGTAGTTGAGAACATCTAAGAATCACAACTCACCTTGGAAAGTTTATTTCACTGATCCACACTTAAATCTCTCATTCACTCAACAATTATCTATTGAATTTGTACTAGAAGCTGGAGGAACAGCTGCTTTCACAGTTTAAAAGAAAATCACAGATGGGTAAAATGGTCATCATTATTAACATGATCTGTGTGTTGAATTTGATAAGTGCTGACCATAACATGTTGTACGTAAGTGTTTCATAGCCAATGGCATTGATGAAAGAGCTGGATCCATGAAAATTCCAAGGGGAGTTCCCATTTTATTAATTTGGCAAACTGGCCATCAAAGCATTTTGCTTGTAGCCATAGCTCTCTTTGGAAGCCTGTGATAATTGTGCTGGATAGGAGGCAGCGTGAGGCCAGGAGCCGTGGCTTATCCCTGCCAGCACTTTGGGAGGCCAAAGCGGGAGGATTGCTTAAGGCAAGAATTTGAGATCAGCCCGCACATAGTAAGACCTTGTATCTCTCTAAAATAAATATACATACATATAAGTATGTATTTTTTAAAAAAGAGAAAAGAGACAATGTGAAAATTAACTAGGAAGCTGATATCACAGGGTTATCTGAGATTTGCTACTTATGATTTCTGCTGCTTTTATTAGTTAGAAAGGGAGGAAGGAAGGAAGGAAGGACAGAGGGAGGGCGGGGGAAGGGAGGGAGGAAGGAAGGAAGAGAGGGAGGGGGGAAGAAAGGGAAAATAATAGATTGCACAAAATACTAATTGGGCCTCATAGGGTGGTCTCTGGAAATGGGGTGATTTTCATCTATTTATCCTCCATGAGAGGCAGCAAAGCCAATTGGACAGGCTATTTGTGGCAACAGGAGGTCTTGGCTGGTAACCAGGGGGCCATGCGTTCTCCAGCACCCTGCTAGTTAGCTGCGCTGTATTGTGCCAACTCTGGAGTCTGTCCTTCTCCCCAGAATTCGTTTGTGCACTGGATGCTTCGGATGAGTTTCTGAAGGAGCGTGTGATAAACCTTCCTGAGAGCATCGTGGCGGGGACCCACTACAGCCAAGACCGATTCCTCCGGGCTCTGAGCAACTACCGGGACATCAATATCGACGATGAGACTGTCTTCAACTATTTTGATGAACTTGAAATTCACCCGATACATATTGGTATGAAATGAATTCAAGGATAATGTGAATGTCCAGGACCCCCAGCAAAGCTTGGTGCAGGTCTAGCTGTAATTGTGGGGCTGGGGGGAGGGTGGGGAGTGTAATCATGGGTTGGGGCACAGGAAGCCATGAAATACACAGGGCACTCCTCCTGGGGAGTCATTCTATGTGGGGATTTGGTGGTGGGAGGGTGTTATTATCGTATGAGAATTTATGGATATATTGTGAAGTCAAATGACAAATCCTTTTTTTTTTTTTTGTGGGGGGATGGAGTCTCGCTCAGTTGCCCAAGCTGGAGTGCAGTGGTGCAATCTTGGCTCACTGCAACCTCTGCTTCCCGGGTTCAAGCAATTCTCCTGCCTCAGCCTCCCAAGTAGCTGGAACTACAGGCACATGCCACCAGGCCTGATTAATTTTTTTTTCTTTTTTTTTGAGATGGAGTCTTGCTCTATTGCCCAGGCTGGAGTGCAGTGGCACCATCTCGGCTCACTGCAAACTCCGCCTCCCGGGTTCACGCCATTCTCCTGCCTCAGCCTCCCGAGTAGCTGGGACTACAGGTGCACACCACAGTGCCCGGCTAATTTTTTTGTATTTTTAGTAGAGACGGGGTTTCACTGTGTTAGCCAGGATGGTCTCGATCTCCTGACCTCGTGATCTGCCCGCCTCGGCCTCCCAAAGTACTGGGATTATAGGTGTGAGCCACCGTGCCTGGCCGACAAACTCTTTTTTTTTTTTTTTTAAAGAAATGTGTGTATGGTGCTGGCTGCTTGGGCCATTCCCCCAGGTTCCTTGGGAGCAGTGTTCTGTCCCTGTTAAATTATTGGGCACTGGTGCTCTTCCAGACCCTTTCCCAGCCTTCTGACTGGCCAGCCCATCCCCGTAGCTACCCAGAAGAGCAAATAGCTCTTCACTGCGTTCCTTCTTGTTTCCTGTAAACACAGCTCTGAGCTTAGCACACAGCAAGCACTCATGATCCCGCATCACGTCAGCCTCATCGTCACCATTATCATTCCTGGCTCCAGTTCTCAGCTTTCACAGCTGCTGCTACTTCCCTTGGCTTGTTGAACCCCTGACCTACCTTTCTGGTTTTCTGGACCTTCGCACGTATTCCTCCTATGGGCTTGGTGAGAAAGAACCAGCTTCTGCCTGGTGGAAGCTTCCTGGCCAGGCCCACACCTTGGGCCTCCAGGGGCTGCTCTCTACCCCCAACTGCCCAATGGGACAGCATTTGAGCCCTGGAGTATCGGGAGGCTTAGTGCTAAGGGATAATGTCAGCAGGAGGCAGGAGAGCTAATTCCAATTGTGGCTGGGCCTCAGTTTTCTCATCTGTGAAATAGGAAAATAATCAGGCTTGCAGGATTGTTACAAACGGTAGAGATGAGAGATACGAAGTGCCTGGCACATTGAAGGAGTTCAACAAGTGGTCATTTTGTTATTCCTACCAACACTAAGGCATAACATGACATACTATTATGAAATAAAAAAATGACTGGGTGCAGTGCCTCACGCCTGTAATCCCTACACATTGGAAGACCAAGGTGGGTGGATCATCTGAGGTCAGGAGTTCAAGACCAGCATGGCCAACATGGTGAAACCCCATCTCTACTAAAAATACACAAATTAGCTGGGCGTGGTGGTGTGCACCTGTAATCCCAGCTACCCAGGAGGCTGAGGCAGGAGAATCATTTGAACCCAGGAGGCAGAGATTGCAGTGAAGTGAGATCATGCCACTGCACTCCAGCCTGGGTGACAGTGAGACTCTGTCTCAAAAAAAAAAAAAGAAATACAAAAACAATTTATAAATCTGCAAATTCTTCTTGTCTGCACCCTCAGAGCAGTGACTGGGTTTTGTCCTCATCTGGACATGTTTCTGCATGTTGGACATGCTTTATATGTAAAAGCTAAGGGTTCTGTACCTCCTAATATGGAAATTAGTTTACATTATTTAGAGAACTAGGAAAGAATGGAGAATACATTTCAGAAAAATAGTGATTGTCATCTTTTCAGTTAGGTCCCAAAAACTGTTTATAGGAAGATCAGGAGAGCCCAGGAGAAATGTTGAGAAAAAAAATAAGTAACAGGGAGGAATGAATGAGTGGCCATTGTGTTCCATCTCATCCTGTGCCCATCTCATTTGGCCTCATCTACAACTGACAACTGGGAGATAATATAAAAGCAGAAGGGAGAAATGTATCCTAAGGATGGGAGATGGGGAGGGCGTCTCACAGCCAGGGATGCAGCCCGGCCTCTGCAATGTCTGGAATGGGGCCCTGGAAAGATGCTGGGAATCACATCCTCTCATCAGCTCTGGACTCTGCTTCTCTCTCAGTGTCTCTTTGTCCTCTCTTTCTTTGGGCCAGTGTACTCTCCCCCTCTGTGGCCTGTGTGGTAGGCTGAGGCCACCCCACACCCCAGAGTTACAATGCTACCCTGGGAGCCAAGGCCAGAGCTGACTTCACTGTGTCCAATCCCACATTCCCTGAAGGGCAACTCTGCTGGTCACAGTTCGGGCTGAGGTGCCCCACCCCAGTCTAATCAGCAGTGGCCCCACTCTGGGGTCAGAGTGGAATATTGCTAGGGGGAATCATTCCCAAGTACCTTCTCAAAGGTGTCCAGTTAGTGATATCAAGGTTGTAACTACTCAGAGTAATCAGGGAGAAATGCATTTATTTATTTATTTATTTATTTTATTTATTCTTTTTGAGACAGAATCTCCCTCTGTCACCCAGGCTGAAGTGCAGTGGCGCAATCTTGGCTCACTGCAACCTCTGCCTCCTGGGTTCAAGCGTTTCTCCTGCCTCAGCCTCCCAAGTAGCTGGGATTACAGGTGTATGCCACATGCCCAGCTAATTTTTGTGTTTTTGGTAGAGACAGGGTTTTACCACGTTGGCCAGGCTGGTCTCAAACTCCTGGCCTCAAGCAATCTGCCCATCTCGGCCTCCCAAAGTTCTGGGATTACAGGCGTGAGCCACCACACCCAGTGAGAAATGCATTTAAATGTCACAGGTCAGGCAATGAGGAGCTACCGATATGACTTTTACCTTTTTTTTTTTTTTTTTTGAGACAAAGTCTTGCTCTGTCACCCAAGCTGGAGTACAGTAGCTCAATCTCAACTCAATGCAACCTCTGCTTCCCGGGTTCAAGTGATCCTCCTGCCTAAGCCTCCCAAGTAGCTGGAACTACAGGTGTGCACCACCACACCAGGCTAATTTTTGTATTTTTAGTGGAGATGGGGTTTCTCCATGTTGGCCAGGCTGGTCTTGAACTCCTGACCTCAACCTACTCGGCCTCCCAAAGTGCTGAGATTACAGGTGTGAGCCACCATGGCCAGCTGTTTTTTGCTTTTTTAAAGGTTTGCTTCTGTTCACCAACCAGTGCACTGGCTCTGCTCCTCCCCTCTTCCCATATTAGAACTTGGTGGTGCTTCTGGTCTAGGTCAAGGTCATACAAACATGGGAGGGGTGGCGGCTCATGCCTGTAATCCCAGCACTATGAGAGGCCAAGGCAGGAGGACTGCTTGAGCCAAAGAGTTCAAGATCAGCCTGGGCAACATGGGGAGACCCTGTCTCTATAAAAACAAAACAAAACAATAAAAAACAAACATGGGAGGGGTGGGCACAGCAGTGACTATGAATGGGCGTGGGGTAAGCAGCTACCCAGAGGAAGGTCTGAAGGGGCTTAGTACCAAAATGTGTCTGCTGCACATCGTTCTCTGCAGACACCTTCCAAGCAGCCCTAAGAGAGTGGCATAGAATTTACCACCTCAGTGACCGTGGAGATCTCAGTATTTATCAATACACCATTTCTCTTTTTCTTCTCTTTGGTCTTGATACTAACATTTTTCAGATATTCTGGAGTCTGGATATTTTTCCTATTCAAGTAGACTCACTGAAATGGTTATTTTTTTATGAATTGAAAATGTATCCCAGTATCATTGATTTTCAGAAAGGTCACCCTGTTTGGCCTCCCACAAGTGCAGGACTTCCTTCTGTAGAAACCTCTGAAAGAAGTGTCCCAGTCTTTGCTTGAATACTTCCAGGCATGGAGAGCTCATTACTTTTCAGGCAATCCATTCCCCCATTCAACCACTCAAATCAAGTCATTGTTAGAACTCATAGACCCAAGTCCAAATTTTCCTACCCACAGCCCTCAGACTCTGGTCTGATATTTGCCCGTGAGAGAAGAAATTCTGAACTATGCTGGCAATTAGAAAAGAAAACCCTATGTGGTAATTTACATAATTGACTATCGCAAGTTTATAGTAATAAAGAATTTTCCCAATTGCAGGCAGGCCTAGAATATAAGTATGTGTTGATCTCTCTCCTGGTATTTAAAGATGTAGGAAAACTTGAAGATGCTCAGAATAGACTTGCTATCAAACAGCTCATCAAAGAGATTGGGGAGCCTCGAAATTATGGTTTAACAGACGAAGAAAAGGCAGAAGAGGAGCGGAAGGCTGCGGAGGAGCGGCTGGCCAGGGAGGCTGCTGAGGAAGCAGAACGCGAGCACCAGGAGGCCGTGGAGATGGCAGAGAAGATAGCTCGCTGGGAGGAGTGGGTGAGTGGTGAGTGTGTTTGTGAGTCTGTGTATCTGTGGAACAGGGGTGCGGTGCCTGGCAAAGCCATTTAGGCCAGTTCCACTTCCCATCCTGCTCTAGGGAAATGTCATGGAAATACCCTAAACAAATTTGTGTTTGCTTTTTGTCATTTGTACCATTTAAAAAAGGATATCCATGGTCTTTTGCTTAGTTTTTTTTTTTTTCTTTTTCTTTTTGTTTGAGACAGGGTCTGGCTCTGTCGCCCAGGCTGGAGTGCAGTGGTGCAATCTTGGCTTACTGCAACCTCTGCCTCCCGGGTTCAAGTGATCCTCCTGTCTCAGCCTCCCCAGTGGCTGGGACTACAGGTGTGCACCACCAAGCCCAGCTCATTTTTCTGTTTTTAGTAGAAATGGGGTTTCACCATGTTGGCCAGCCAGGCTGATCTCAAACTCCTAATCTCAAGTGATCCACCCGCTTCTGCCTCCCAAAGTGCTGGGATTATAGGCATGAGCCACCATGCCCAGCTTGCTTAGTATTAGTAACAAAAACTAGCCATTAGCAGGTGTATTAGTAATACAAATTCCTGTAAATGTGTAACATTTTACTATGCATTGACCTCATGATTTGATTTGATTTTCCTCCATTTACCCATCTAACCTACCCAGGTGGTCAGCTTCTTTCCACCCCTCCTCATTCCCCAAATCACTGAATCTAGTAAGTGATTCTGCTTCCAAAAATAGCACTCTTAGGCTGGGCATGGTGGTTCATACCTGTAATCCCAGCACTTTGGGAGGGTGAGGCTGGAGAATCATTTGAGCTTAGGTATTCAAGACCAGCCTGGGCAACATAGCAAGACCTTGACTCTACTAAATAAAAATTAGCTGGGCATAGTGGCATGCCTGTAGCCCCAACTACTAGGGAGGCTAAGGTGGGAGGATTGCTTAAGCCTGGAGGATTGTTTGATCCTGGGAGACTGAGGCTGCCATGAGCTATGATGATGCCACAGCACTCCAGCCTGGATGACAGAGTGAGACCCTGTCTCAAAAAACAAACACCACCATCACCAAAAATGGCACCCAAATCTGTCCCAAGCTCTCTACTTCTGATCAGGGGCAGTGTTTCTCATCCGAATTACGCAGTGTCTTCTCACTGTCCTCCCCAACTCCACCCTGCTCCATCTCCAGTCTGTTCCTACGCAGCTGCCAGGTGATCCTTCCAAACTGCAGACCCACTATGGCCATTCTCTGCTTACAACTCCTCACAGGCTCTCAATTATCACAATTTGATAAAAATCCAAACTTGTCATTGTGGTCAAGGTCCTTTGTGACCTGGCTGCTTCTGATATTTCCCAATTTCAAACAGTGCACCAATGGTGGTCTTGGTCATCTGCATGACTCATTGCCTCACAGACACCTGGCATCTTTACCAGAAGTTGTCTTTCTAGTGAGGCATTTCCTGGTCTCTGTAAAATTCAATGTCTACCCCTCCCCACAACCTGTCACATCCCCTTTTATACTTTTTAATTTTCCTCTTTGTACTTACTCTACCTATTATATACATTTTATGTATTTATCTTGTTTCTTGCCTTTTCTCTGCACAGAACTTAAGTTACATGAGGACAGGGATGTCTGTGTTGTTCACTACCATATATCCAGTGCCTAGAATAGTGCCTGGCACATAACAGGCACTCAACAAATGGAAAGAAGGAAGGAAAGAAGGGAGAAAGGAAGGAAGAAAGGAGGGATGGAGGGAGGGAGGCAGGCCCAATGCACACATCTTTGGGTGCCTGATTAATCTTCTTAACATAAATTCCTAAAGTTTGCTGGGTCAAACTAGACATGGTTTGAGTTTTGATACATATTTAAAAACTGCCCTCCAGCAATGGTAAACCAGTTTATGTATCATCTAACAGGTGGCTATTTCCCTACACCTTCTCTAAACCTGCTTTCTCAATTTTACTCGCACATGTCAGGCTGATAAAAACTGTTCTCATTGTTTTAATATTCATTTCTCTGATCACTAATCTTACAGCTTTTTCTGTTTGTTAAGCATTTATGTTTCTTCTCATGTTGCGTATTTTCTTTGCCCCTGTTTGGGCTGTGTGACTTTTTCTTATTATTTTGCAAAAAGAACTCCTGATAAACTAGTTCAATAGAAACAGGAACGGCTCCAGTTGGCCTCCCAAGTCGTGCTGCTAGAGATCAAATCCCACTCCACTCTCTCTGTAGGTATGTGGCCTTGTGCAAGCTCCTGTCTGTGTCTCAGTTTCTCCATCTGTAAAGTGGGGATAATGATAGCACCTACTTCATACAGTCATTGTGGTGACTAAAGAGGTAATATACGTAAACTATGCACGTGCCTGGCAAGTAGTGTGCATCACATAGTATCCTCATCACATCTTAACTTTTTAATAATGTATTGCAGTTTTTCTTAATTCATGATTTATTTTTTAACATTATTTATGGTATTTTCTCTGACCACACAAAAGTTTCATGTTTATATGTACTCAAATTCACCCACCTGTTTCCCATTTTGATCTCTGGGTTGGCAATCTTGCTAAGAAAGACCTCCTTTCAAACAAATATCAGCTAGGACTTTTTTTTTTTTTTTTTTTGAGACGGAGTCTTGCTCTGTCGCCCAGGCTGGAGTGCAGTGTTACGATCTCGGCTCACTGCAAGCTCCGCCTCCCCGGTTCACGCCATTCTCCTGCCTCAGCCTCCTGAGTAGCTGGGACTACAGGTGCCCGCCACCGCGCCCGGTTAATTTTTTTGTATTTTTAGTAGAGACGGGGTTTCACCGTGGTCTCGATCTCCTGACCTCGTGATCCACCCGCCTCGGCCTCCCAAAGTGCTGGGATTACAGGCGTGAGCCACCGCGCCCAGCCCAGCTAGGACTCTTTATCTTGCAAGTGATAGAAAAGCAAACTCAAAATGACTTCACCATAAAGAAAACCAGAAAAGTCCAGGGGTAGGGCTGGCTTCAGGTGAGGCTTGATATAGTGGCTCAAATGATGTCACCAAAGACTTAGGATCCCCCTCTCTGTCCTGCCTTGCATGGGAGGCTTCATTCTTAGGTGCACCTACCATGCATGGCAGGGCACTTGATGTGCTGATCTTTAACTAGAATTTTTTAAAAAGACAAGTCAACAATTTACAAGTTATTATTAGTCATGTATTTGTACTCGTACTGTTTACAATTTAGGTATTGTAAATTGTAACCAATTTTGATGTTGTGCTGATCCTTAATTAGAATCTATGGCCAGGAGCTGGCTGGATGATGGGCTTAAATCCCACTCAAACCAAACCACTAGGCTGAGAAGGGAGATTTCTCAAAAGAAATTTGGAATTATGATTCCCAAGAGAGAGGGTGGCTGTATGCTGAGCAAAGAATTGCACATGTCACTATCCCAATGCCCTCCAGACTTTCTAGTGGCATTTCTTTTTTTTTTTTTTTCTATTTTGCTTCATCTGGGCAGCTAGAAATTATTTTGGTGTAAGAAGTGATCCAATTTATTATTTTCCAAATGGCTAAGTTGTTGTAACACCATTTATGTCTTTTCTCTGCTGATTGGAAATGCCATCTGTATCATAGATGGTGACCATTTCTAGCAGTGTCTCAATGCACTGTAGGGTGAACTGTGTGAGTGTTCTCCCCTTTCTCACTACACATTTACTTTACCACCAAATATTCTATTTTAGAATAAACGACTGGAGGAAGTGAAAAGAGAAGAAAGAGAATTACTGGAGGCTCAGTCAATTCCCCTGAGAAACTATTTAATGACCTATGTGATGCCAACTCTTATTCAGGGCCTGAATGAATGTTGCAACGTCCGACCCGAAGACCCTGTTGATTTTCTGGTAACATATTTAATTTTTAAAAAAAGATCAATTTGAGTTTGGGTGTGGCGGCTTACACCTGTAATCCCAGCACTTTGGGAGGCCAAGGTCAGGGGATCACTTGTGGTCAGGAGTTAGAGACCACCCTGCCAACATAGTGAAACCCCGTCTCTACTAAAAATACAAAAAAAAAAAAAAAATTAGCTGGGTGTGGTGGCACGCGCTGTAGTCCCACCTACTCAGGAAGCTGAGGCAGGAGAATCGCTTGAACCCTGGAGGTGGAGGTTGCAGTGAGCCGAGATCACACCACTGCACTCTAGCCTGGACGACAGAGTGAGACTCCGTCTCAAAAAAAAAAAAAAAAAGAAAAAAAAAGAAAAAAAAATCTGCCTGAATCTTTTTTTTTTTTTTTGAGACAGAGTCTCACTCTGTCGTCCAGGCTGGAGTGCAGTGGCACGTTCTCGGCTCACTGCAACCTCCACCTCCCGGTTCAAGTGATTCTCCTGCCTCAGCCTCCTGAGTAGCTGTGATTACAGATGTGCACCACCACCCCAGGCTAATTTTTGTATTTTTAGTAGAGACAGGGTTTCACCATGTTGGTCAGGCTGGTCTTGAATTCCTGACCTCGTGATCTGCCTGCCTCGGTCTCCCAAAGTGCTGAGATTACAGGCGTGAGCCACCACGCCTGGCCTAATCTGCCTGAATCTTAACAGAAAACCAGTTGAGATAGCAAAATTATGTTTCTGGTTCTTTGGGAAATAGCTTCTAATATATTCACCATTTATAATAAGATTTTTTTCCCTCATTGGTCAAACCCATGTAAGATTTTTATTATTCATTTGAAAGTAAAAAATGTATGTACTTTTACTTATTTATTTATTTATTATTTATTTTGATATAGAGTTTCACTCTTGTTGCTCAGGTTGGAATGCAATGGCACAATCTCGGCTTACTGCAACCTCCACCTCCCGGGTTCAAGTGATTCTCCTGCCTTAGCCTCCCAAGTAGCTGGGATTACAGGCGCCTGCCACCACACTCAGCTAATGTTTTGTATTTTAGTAGAGAGGAAGTTTCACCATGTTGACCAGGCTGGTCTCGAACTCCTGACCTCAAGTGATCCACCCGCCTCAGCCTCCCAAAGTGCTGGGATTACAGGCATGAGCCACCAAGCTTGGCCCAGGATGATTTTTAAATTGTAAACATTACTAATACAAATACATGACTAATAATAACTTGTAAACTGTTGACTTGTCTTTTTTTAAATTGTAGGCAGAATATCTCTTCAAGAACAATCCTGAAGCACAGTGAAACTTGAAAGATCTGGTATTATCTACCTTTACAGAACCACAGATCACTTATTATACTTTGAAAAATTGCTTTGAAAAATGCTTTTCCAGTTCTTAGAAAATTCTTTTTTTGTAGACAAATATTCTATAAACTAGAATCTCTATTAAAAGCTATATGACATGACTATGTCATTAAAACTATATTTGAAATGTAAATTGATAAAGACATTTGTGCATAGCTCATGAGACAAATACTGATTTAATATTTTATTCTTTAGTCAGATCTAAATATACCGCTTCTGTACACTAATGTTTATAGGTATTTATAGCATGAAGAAAATCAGACTATATATTGTAGACTATGTATTATTCTAACATGTAGGCTAATTTACATGACTTGTTATCGCCCCAATAACAATGTTATTAGAAATGGAAATAAATTGAAGTGATTTATGCCTGTTGACTCACAGTAAATCAGACAAGATTGGTGCCTGTAAGGTGGCTTTTTTTTTTTTTTTTTTTAAATGAAGCAATGGTTAGGGAAAGGTTGCTTTGAGTTCAGGGTCAGGATCCCAGACAATGAATCGGAGAGAACTGTAAACCTTTAGGCGGAGAAATCTGCATAACAGGATAATTCCAATCTTTGTGATAAGTGAGAAGTTGCTAAATATTTTCAACACACTTTATAACATAGGCATAAGTTATCAATCCTATAGTCTTTTCCAGTTCTAAAAATCCCATAAGATTCCTAGAATTACCCTAAATGAGAAATTAGTTTAGGTTTAATGGCATATGTATTTTATCTCTTTAAATAATGTAACCTAATATAACTGCCCGACTTTTTATTTGTGCTAAAATACATGTAACATAAAATTGACCACTGTAACCATTTTAAAGTGTATAATTCAGTGGCACTAAGTTCATTCACAATGATCTGCAGCCACCACTATCTAGTCCAGAACTTTCTCATCACCCCAAATGGAAACCCAGCACCTATTAGGCAGTCACGCTCCATTATTCCCTCCCCCCAGTTCCAGGCAACCACGAATCTGCTTTCTGTCTCTATGGATTTACCTATTATAAATAAAACCATATAATGGGTGGTCTTTCGTGTCTGGCTTCTTTCACTAAGCAAAATGTTTTCGAGGTTCATCTATGTCATACAATGTGTTAGTACTTCATTCCTTTTCATAGCTGAATACTATTCCATTGTATGAACATACCACATTTTGTTTAATTGTTCATTTGTTCATGGACATTTGGGTTGTTTCCACCTTTTGGCTACTGTGACTACAACTGGCATGAACATTTGTGTGCAAGCTCTTATTTGAACACAGGTTGTCAGTTCTGTTGGCTAGATACCTAGGAGTGGAACTGCTGTCATATGGTCATCCTATGCTCAACTTATTGAGGAACTGCCACACTGTTTTCCACAGTGGCTGCACCATTTGACATTCCCACCAGCAGTGTATGAGGGATTCCAGTTTTCTGCATCCTCACCAACACTTGTTATTTTCTGTGTTTTTATTTTTTTAATGGTGATCATAGTGGGTGTGACGTGGCATCATATTGTGACTAAGAATCTTTTAATGCACTTGCTTCCATTTCGATGTCTTCTCTGGAGAAATACACAGGCATACCTCATAGATATTAAGGGTTTGGCTCCAGACCCCCACAATAAAGCTAATATTGTAATAAAGCAAGTCACCCCAATTTTTTTGTTTCCTAGTGCATATGTTATTTTTCCACTATATTTTACACTATCTGTTAACTGTGCAATAGCATTATGTCTAAAAAACAAGGTACCTATCTTAATTTAAAAATACTTTATTGCTTCATGCCTGTAATCCCAGCACTTCGGGAGACCGAGGTGGGCAGATCACGAGGTCAGGAGATCGAGACCATCCTGGCTAACACGGTGAAACCCCGTTTCTACTAAAAATACAGAAAAATTAGCCAGGCGTGGTGGCAGGTGCCTGTAGTCCCAGCTACTCAGGAGGCTGAGGCAGGAGAATGGCATGAACCCGGGAGGCGGAGCTTGCAGTGAGCCGAGATCGTGCCACTGCACTCCAGCCTGGGCGAGAGAGTGGGACTCCTTCTCAAGAAAAAAAAAAAATTATTGCTAAAAAATGCTAACAATAACCGGAGCCTTCGGTGAGTTGTAATCTTTTTGTTGGTAGAGGGTCTTGCCTCAATTCTGATGGCTGACGACTGATCAGGGTGGTGGCTGCTGAAGGTTGGGGTAGCTATGGCAATTTCTTAAAATAAGACAGCAATGGGCTGGGCACAGTAGGCTCATGCCTGTAATCCCAGCACTTTGGGAGGCTGAGGCAAGCGGATCACCTGAGGTCAGGAGTTTGAGACTAGCCTGGCCAACATGGTGAAACCCCATCTCTACTAAAAATACAAAAATTAGTTGGGCGTGGTGGCGTGTGCCTGTAATCCCAGCTACTTGGGAGGATGAGGCAGGAAAATCACTTGAACCCAGGGGGTGGAGGTTGCAGTGAGCCGAGATTGTGCCACTGCACTTCAGCCTGGGTGACAGAGTGAGACTCCATCTAAAAAAAAAAAAAAAAAAAAAAAAGACAGCAGTGAAGTTTGCCACATTGATGGACTCTTAAAGAAAAATTTCTCTGTAGCATGTCACGTTGTTTGATGGCATTTTACCCACATTAGTACTTTTTCAAAGTTTGAGTCAATCTTCTCAAATCCTGATACTGCTTTATCAACTAAGTTTATTAAATATTCTAAATCCTTTGTTGTACATTTCAACAGTGTTCACAGTGTCTTCACTAGTAGATTCCATCTCAAGAAACCACTCTCTTTGCTCATCTATAAGAAGCAACTTCTCATCTGTTTAATGTTTTATCACGAGATTGCAGCAATTCAGTCACATCTTTTGTCGTCACTTCTAATTCTAGTTCTCTTTCTATTTCCATCACATCTGCAGTTACTTTATCCATTGAAGTCTTAATCACTTCAAAGTCATCCAAGAGGGCTGGAATCAACCTCTTTCAAACTCCTGTTGATGTTGTCATTTTGACCTCCTCCCATGAATCAGAAATGTTCTTAATGGCATATAGAATGGTGAATCCTTTCTGGAAAGTTTTCAATTTACTTCGCCTATATCTATCAGAGGAATCACTATCCATGCCACCTATAGCTTTATGAAATGTATTTCTTAAATAATAAGACTTGAAAGTCAAAATTACTCCTTGATTCATGGGCTGCAGAATGTTGTGTTAATAACATGAAAACATTAATTTCTTTATACATCTCCATCAGAGCTCTTGGGTGACTACATGCATTGTCAATGAGCAGTAATATTTTGAAAGGAATCATTTTTTTTTTTTTTTTCTGAGCAGTAGTTCCTAACAGTGGGCTTAAACTATTCAGTAAACCAAGCCATTGCACAGCGGTTCATGCCTGTAGTCCCAGCTAGTCAGGTGGCTGAAGCAGGGTAGTGCTTGAGCCCAGGAATTTGAGGCTGTGATGTGCAATGATCACATCTGTGAATCACTACTGCACTCCAGCCTGGGCAACATACTGAGACTCTGTCTCTTAAAAAAAAATTTCAGTAAACCATGCTGTAAATAGACATGTTGTCATCCAGACTTCATTGTTCCCTTAAGAGAGCACAGGCAGAACAGATTTAGCTATATTCTTAAGGGCCCTAAGGTTTTGGGAATGGTAAATAGACAATTGGCTTCAACTTAAAGTCACCAGCTACATTAGTTTCTAACAAGAAAGTCAGTCTGTCTTTTGAAGCTTTGAAGCTTAGCATTGACTTCTCTTTAGGTAGGAAAGTCCTAGATGGCATCTTCTTCCAATATAAGGCTGTTTTCGCTATGTTGAAAATGTTGTTTAGTGCAGCCACCTTCTTAAATGATTTTAGCTAGATCTTCTGAGTAACTTGCTGCGGCTTGTACATCAGCACTTAATGTTTCACCTTGCACTTTTAGATTATGGAGATGGCTTCTTTTCTTAAACCTCATGAACCAACCTCTGCTAGCTTCAACTTTTCTTCTACAGCTTCTGCACCACTCTCAGCCTTCATAGAATTAAAGAGAGTTAGGCCCTTGCTCTGGATTAGGCTTTGGCTTAAGGGAATGTTGTAGCTGGTATGATCTTCTGTCCAGACCATTCAAACTTTCTCCATATTAGCCATAAAGCTGTTTCACTTTCTTATCATTTGTGTGTTCACTGGAGTAGCACTTTTAATTTCCTTCAAGAACTTTTCCTTTGCGTTCATAACTTGGCTAACTGGCACAAGAGGCCTAGCTTTTGGTCTGTCTCAGCTTTCAATATGCCTTCCTCACTATGCTTAATTATTTCTACATTTTAATTTAAAGTGAAGACTTGTGACTCTTCATTTGAATAGTTAAAGGCCATTGTAGGGTTATGAATTGGTCTAATTTCAATATTGTTGTGTCTCAGGGAAAAGATAGGTCCGAGAAGAGGGACAGAGATGGTAAAATGGCTGGTCGGTGGAGCAATCAGAACACACATTTATCAATTAAGCTTGCTGTCTTATATGGGCATGGTTTGTGGCGCCTCAGAACAATTACAATAGTGACATAAAAAAATCACTAATGAGGCTGGGCGCGGTGGCTCAAGCCTGTAATCCCAGCACTTTGGGAGGCTGAGGCGGGCGGATCACGAGGTCAGGAGATCGAGACCATCCTGGCTAACACGGTGAAACCTCTCTCTACTAAAAATACAAAAAATTAGCCGGGCGTGGTGGTGGGCGTCTGTAGTCCCAGCTACTCAGGAAGCTGAGGCTGGAGAATGGCATGAACCCAGGAGGCGGAGCGTGCAGTGAGCTGAGATCTCGCCACTGCACTCCAGCCTGGGCGACAGAGCGAGACTCTGTCTCAGAAAAAAAAAAAAAAAAATCACTAATGAATAATAATAATAAAGTTAGAAATAGTGCAAGAATTATCAAAATGTGACACAGATATATGAAATGACCAAATGCTGTTGGAAAAATGGTGCTGATATACTTGCCTGATGCAGGGCTGCAAAAACCTTCAATTTGTAGAAAACAGTATCTGCAAAGTGCAGTAAAGCAAAGGACAATAAAATGAGGTGTGCCTGTATATTCAAGCCCTTTGCTCACTTTTTATTTGCTTTGTTTTTTTGTTGTTGAATTGTAAGAGTTCTTTATATGTTATGGATACAAGACCCTTGTCAAATGTATGATTTGCAAAGATTTCCTTCCATTCCATGGGTCTTTTCATTCTGTTGAGAGTGCCTTTTAAGACACAAAAGGTTTTAGTTTTGAGGAAGTTTAATTTACCTATTTCCTATTTTTAATTTTGTTTCACTGCACTATTTTTGGAAACTTTTTTTTTCTTTATAATTTCAACTTTTATTTTAGATTCAGCGGGTAACCTGTGCAGGTTTGTTACATAGGTATATTGTGTGATGCTAAAGTTTGGGACACAAATGACCCCATCACTCAAGTGGTGAGCATAGTACTCAATAGTTAGTTTTTCAACCCTTGCCCCCGCCTTTCCTCCCACCTCTAGTAGTCTCCAGGGTCTATTGTTGCCATCTCTATGTCCATGAGTACCCAATGTTCATTAGCATAGGATAATGGCCCCCAGCTGCGTCCATGCTGCTGCAAAGGGCATGATTTATTTTTTATGGCTGCACTCTATACTATTTTTGACCCTTATATTTTAATTAAAAATCCCAATAAAAAGAATACATTCTCCACAGTTTGAAATCATTAGTCTTTATAATAGTTACATTTTCGTGCCTTCATTTCATGACATTGCTTCCTGGTTTACTGAAAAACAAAAAACAAACAAAAAAAATAAGCCATCAAAAGAGAGCTTCTTTGTCTTCATGGGCGTGGAACCAGCAAAAGAAAAAAAAAGGATAAAAGAGAGCTTCTACATCCTCCCACTACAAACCTATCTCTACCTTCCCTTCTGCTACAGAGAACTGTGTGTGCTCCCGTCTGAGGTCAGCCCTCAACTGTGTCCTCGCTCCTGTCCCTCCTCACATAATCAGATTCTACTCTTAAAATTGTCTGCTTTCTCTTGTAGCTTAATTTTTCTCTCACTTCTGGATCATCATGCTAAGCTTTAAACATGAGGTACTAGCTTCCGTACTTCAAAACAAGACAAAACCAAATTAAAATGCAAAAACCTTCCCACACCTCCACATCCTCCTCCAGCTATGGTCCCAATATAGCAAGGTTACTAGCGAGCTCCATATTTCCAAATCCAATTGGTAATTCTCAGGCCTCGTCTTACTGGGTGTCTCTGAGCATCTGACACATTTTATCATTTCCTCCTTCAAACACTTTCTTCCCTCCATCTGAATGTCTAGTAGGCATGCTAAACTTTAACATGGCCAACTCTGATTCCTGATCCCCCTCCTCCCTCCCCTCTACCTGCTGCTCCCCCATCTTCCCACCTCAGTTATTGGTAACTCCATCCTTCCAGTTGCTCAGGCCCAAAACCTTGGAGTCATTCTTGATTCTTTTCCTTTTCTCTCTCTGCCTTTTTTTTTTCCCTAGATGGAGCCTCTCTCTGTCACCCAGGGACTGGAGTGCAGTGGTGCAATTTTGGCTCACTGCAACCTCTGTCTCCTGGGTTCAAGCGATTCTCCTGTCTCAGCCTCCTGAGTAGCTGGGATTACAGGTGCGTGCCACCACACCTGGCTAATTTTTGTATTTTTAATAGAGACAGGGTTTTGCCATGTTGGCCAGGCTGGTCTCAAACTTCTGACCTCAGGTGATCCACCTGCCTCGGCCTTCCAAAGTGCTGGGATTACAAGCGTGAGCCACGGTGCCTGGCTCTTTTCCTTTTCTCTTACCCCTCATCCAATACATCAATGTATTATATTGGCTCAACTTTCAAAACGTATCTGGAGTCTCTGTGCTTCTCATCCTTCCAACACTACCATCCATTAATCCATTAACCAATTATTGCATTAATCTATGAATGGGTTAATGCATGCAAGAGGACAGGGCCCACATCACCCAAACATCTCTTAAGGGTCCCATCTCTCTACATTGCCACATTGGGGATTAAATTTAAATATGAATTTCGGAGGGGACAAATATTCAAATCATAGCAAGTTGGTATCATTTACAATAAAATAGGTAGGGGTAACCTAAGGAAGATGTGTAAGACCTCTACTGAAAATTACAAAACATTACTGATAGTAATTAAACATGAAATAAGTGGAGAAATGAAGGGACAGACCATATTAATACTTTATAAAGCCCAATATTGTTAATACTTCAATTCTTCCCCAAAATGATCTATAGAATCAATGTAACTCCTATCAGAATCCCAGTATCTTTTTCCCTCTCTTTCGTTCACTCCCTCCCTCCCTCCCTACTCCTTCCTTCCTTCCTTCCTTCCTTCCCTCTTTCCTTCCATCTTTGCTTGCTTCCTTCTCACTTTATTTTTTGGGGGGATGAAAATCAGTAATCTGGGCCAGGTGCGGTGGCTCATGCCTGTAATCCCAGCACTTTGGGAGGCTGAGGCGGGCGGATCACCTGAGGTCAGGAACTCAAGACCCGCCTGACCAACATGGAAAAACCCTGTCTCTGCTAAAAATACAAAATTAACCGGGTGTGGTGACGCATGCCTGTAATCCCAGCTACTCGGGAGGCTGAGGCAGGAGAATCGCTTGAACCCGGGAGGTGGAAGTTGTGGTGAGCCGAGATTGCGCCATTGCACTCCAGCCTGGGCAACAAGAGCGAAACTCCGTCTCAAAAAAAAAAAAAAAAAAAAAAAAAAAAGAAGAAGAAAAGAAAAGAAAACCAGTAATCTGGTTCTAAAATGTATATGGCAATGCAAAGGACCTAGAATAATCAAAACAATTTTGAAGAACAAACCTAGAGGACTTACACTCTCCAGATATCAAGACTTATTACAAAGCTACAGTGATTAGAACAGACACATAGATCAATGGAGCAGAATCAGGAACCTAGAAATGGACCCACACATTTATAGTCACCTGACTTAGAGCAAAGGTGCCATGGCAATTCGATAAGAAAGTATGATCTTTTAAATAAATGGTGCATGGCCATCAACTAGAGATCCACATATTAAAAACAAAGCCAAGCCTTGACCTCTACCTCATACTGCACATGAAACTATTTTGAAGTGGAGCATAGAATTAAATGTGAAAGTCAAAATAATAAAATGGCTGGATGTGGTGGCTCATTCCTGTAATTCCAGCACTTTGGGAGGACGAGGCAGGAGAATCGCCTGAGGCCAGGGATTCCAGACCAGCCCGGGTGATGTAGCTGGGACCTCCTCTGCATTAAAAATAATAAAAAAAAAATTAGCTGGGCGTGGTGGCATGCACCTGTAGTTCCAGCTACTTGGGAGGCTGGGGCCGGAGGATCAGTTGAGCCTGGGAGAGGGAGGCTACAATGAGCTGTAATCACAGCACTGCACTCCAGCCTGGGTGACAGAATGTAAGACTTTGTCTCAAAAAATAAATAGATATATTAAAAAAAGGGGAAATGAATTTAATGAAAGGACTGCTCAAGAGTATAGCACTCATTGGATAAAAATGCTTGTATTATTATTTTTATTTTAGTAATTAATAAGTCTGATCTTTGATTTTTTGAAAAGTATTGGCCCAGTGGATCATCAGAGTTCACTACTGGGATAAAAATCTCTGTGTCACACAGTATCTCCTACGACTACTCCTAAATGACAGCAAAATACAATCCATGTAGTTCCCAATATATGAAGAGCTTCTGTTCTCAAAAACATTTTCAAGCATTTTTTGTTTGTTTGTTTGAATACACTGTGGGCTTCTGGGAACCAGTTTTGAAATTCTTTCCACTATTTATGACACTGTTCTGTGGAAAATGTAGTCCCCCGTTATCTGGGGTTTCTCTTTCCTGTTTTGATTACCTGTGGTCAACCGTGGTCTGAAAATAGTAAATGAAAAATGTTAGAAATAAACAACTCATAAGTTTAAAATACCATACCATTCTGAGTAGTGTCATAAAATCTTGCACCTTCTTGCTCAGGTGGACATGAATCAGCCCTTCGTCTGGTGTTTCCACACTGTATACACTGCCCACCAGTTAGTCACTCAGCAGCCCTCTCCGTGATCGGATCAACTGTCAAATATTACAGTGCCTGTTTTCAAGTCACTCTTATTTTACTTAATAATGGCTCCAAAGTGCAAGAGTAGTCATGCTGGCATATTGTTGTAATTGTTCTATTTTATTATTGTTGCTGTTTACCTCTCACTGTGCCTAATTTATAAATTAAACTTTATCATAGGTACATATGCGTAGGAAAAAAACATAGTAAATATAGGGTTTGGCACTACCCTCAGTTTCAGGCATGTGCTGGGACTCTCTGAAGGTATCCCCTGGGGGTACAGAGAGACTACTATACTTAAAATTCCAGTAGAACACATCTTCCCCCTTCTCCGCAGCCACAAGAAAACAGGCACTAGGTGATGGGGCAATAGTCACGGAGACCAGCAGCAGCTGGAGGGAGGTGTGGGCAGGACTCAGGACAAGCAAGGCAAGGGTAACAGTAGACTGTTACCAATATACTATTAATTGGTCTTCTCTTACTCTTCACTTTCCTTGGCTAGAGTTTTACTCTTAACTGGGTCCTAAATATGATCTGTGAGCATCTAGATTATTACTCATTCATGAAATTTGAGTTGGAGTAGTCGCTGGGTGTATATAAGGTCCTTCCAGAGCCAAAACATGATTCCAAGCCATGATTCTTGTTTTCAGAGTTTATAATGTTTCCAGCCCAAATTTCTCTTCTTAGCTCCGGAAGCATATTTTCAACTGCCTCATAGACATTTCTGAATGTCCCACAGGCAGTTCAAAATCAACACATAGCTACTACTCTCCCGATCTCATCCACTCACCCAGTTATCCTCCTCTATTTCCTATTTCATTTATCAGTAGCTCCAATCACTGTCACCCGCCCCCACTCAGAACCTCCGAAATCATTTTGGTCTTCTTCCTCTCCATCACCTCTCCCATCCAGAATTAACTATGCCTTCTAAATCTTTCTCAGATTGCTCCCTTCTTCTCTTCCTTATTTCTTCTTCTTTTTTTTTTTTTTTTTTTTTGAGACGGAGTCTGGCTCTGTCGCCCAGGCTGGAGTGCAGTGGCGCGATCTCAGCTCACTGCAAGCTCCGCCTCCCGGGTTCACGCCATTCTCCTACCTCAGCCTCATGAGTAGCTGGGATTATAGGCGCCCGCCACCACGCCCGACTAATTTTTTTGTATTTTTAGTAGAGACGAGGTTTCACCGGATTAGCCAGGATGGTCTCAGTCTCCTGACCTCGTGATCCACCCGCCTCGGCCTCCCAAAGTGCTGGGATTACAGGCTTGAGCCACCGCGCCCGGCTTTCTCTTCCTTATTTCAAACTTCATTTCTCATCTGAAGGATTGCAAGAGCCGCCTCACCCATCTTCCAGCTTCAAAACCTCTCCTAGTTCAAATTCATTCCTTACACTTTCAGTCATCTTTCCAAAAATATAAATGTAACCTAACTCCTGTTTTAAAACTTTCAATGGCTCCTCCATTCACAAAAACAAAAATTCAAAATCGCTCAGAATTAACTTCAGGTCTCAGCTCAAAGGTCAGTTCCTCTGAAAAGCCTTCTCTATCTGAAGTTGGCCTCCACCACAACTCTAATGCCTGGTTTATTAATGCCGCTTATCACCATCTATAATTCCTTTGTCTGTTTATGGAGTCATTATATGATCTCCCATCTCCCCCTACTTCCTTTATTTTTGAGACATGGTCTCATTCTGTCACCCAGGCTGGAGCGCAGTGGCATGATCTTGGCTCACTACAGCCTTGACTTCCTGGGCTCAGGTGATTCTCCCACCGCAGCCTTCAGAATAGAGGACACAGGTGTGCACCACTATGCCCCTTATCTTCTGCCTCTCACTTAACTTTGCAGCTTTATTTTCACCACTCCTCACTAAATATTTTGTGGTTTAGTCACTTCAAAAGTTTCCCTTTCTCCAAATAAATTATTTGCACGTTTTAATTTTTATTTATTTATTTATTTATTTCTGAGGCAGAGTTTTGGTCTTGTTGCCCGGGCTGGAGTGCAATGGCACAATCTTGGTCCACTGCAACATGTGCCTCCTGGGTTCAAGCGATTCTCCTGCCTCAGCTTTTGAGTAGCTGGGATTACAGGCGCCCACCACTATGCCCGACTAATTTTTGTATTTTTAGTAGAGATGGGGTTTCAACATGTTTGCCAGGCTGATCTCCAACTCCTGACCTCAAGTGATCTTCCAACCTCAGCCTCCCAAAGTGTTGGGATTACAGGCGTGAGCCACTGCGCCCGGCCTCATTTTATTTTTAAAAATTGTTCTCTTTACCTGAGATGCCCTTCTACTCCTTCTGTCCACTTACCAAACCCTAACATATCAGGACGTGTCTGAAGTGACCTCTTACATGAAGTCTACCTTGACTCCATCCTCAATCCTCAATATTGTTCCTTTTAAATGCCTTAGGCAAGTAGCGTGATATCTAGCACATTCTAGGTACTAAATATTCATCAGCTGTGCTATCTAGCTGCCTCATTCTATGGAAGGCTGAAACAAAAATAGTTTGAAGCAATTATAGACCAAAAGCATGGATGTTTAGCGTCCCTCTCTTCACTGCCTTCTGAGATGCCTGGCAGAGGACAACATAAGCTGAAAAAGTCCCCATTCTTTTATTCATAAAGTACATCGTTAGTGCATTTTTTTTTTTTTTTTTTGAACAATGTCTTGCTCTGTTGCCAAGCTAGAGTGCAATGGCATGATCAGGGCTCACTGCAGTCTCAACTTCCTTGCCTCAGGTGATCCTCCCAACCTCAGCCTCCCAAGTAGCTGGGACTACAGGTGTGTGCCACCAAGGCCAGCTAATTTTTTTGATTTTTTTTTTTAGTAGAGACAACGACTTGCCACGTTGCCCAGGGTGGCCTAGAACTCCCGAGCTCAAGGAATCCTCTGCCTCCCAAAGTGCTGGGATTACAGGTGTGAGTGAGCCACTGTGCCAGGCCCCAGGGCATATCTTTACAAGCTGCTTTGAAGTCCATAGCCTTAATACATTATTGAATTATCTGGATCTCAGATTTTCAGTCTTTTAGGGACAACTATGCTACTGGGTCTCCAGCCAAAGCCACCTTGATGACAAGAGGAAAAGAGACTAAATGGAAGAAATGACAATCAAATATAAGTCTGTTTGCAGATCAGCACTATTTAATGGAAATGAAGGCCACATATATAACTTAAAATTTTCTAGTGGTCACATTTAAAAAAACAGGTAAAATTAATTTTAATAGTATATTTTCTTTTTTTTTTTTTTGAGACAGGATCTCGTTCTGTCAACGCAGGCTGGAGTGCAGTAGTGAGATGACGACTCACGGCAGCCTCCACCTCCCACTCCAGGGATCCTCCTACCTCAGTCTCCGGAGTAACTGGGACCACAGGCAGGAACTACCATGCCCAGCTAATTTTTTTTTCTTTTTTCTTTTTTTTTTTTTTTTTTTAACTTTTTGTATAGACGGGGGTTTCCCTATATTGCCCAGGCTGGTCTCTAACTCCTGCCCAAGCGATCCTCCCACCTCAGCCTCCTAAAGTGCTGGATCACAGGTGTGAGACACCGTGCCCGGCTTACATTTTCTTTACTGCAATATATCCAAAATATTTCAACGTGCAATCAATATAAAAAGTGATCAGTGAGGTATTTCACATTCGTCGAACTGACACCCGTGCGTATTTTGCACTTCCAGTGCCTCCTAAACGAACTAGCCTCATTTCAAGTGCTCAGTGGCCCTAAGTGGCCAAGGGGCTACACTAATGGACAGGGCAGGTCTAGGTCCTGTGTTTTTCCCATTCGGAGTCACCAGTCCTACTAGACATTCTGTGAAAAAAGGGAAAGCCTTTGTGAAACTTCCTGAGGACTCACAAATGCACATTATTACATTTAGAGTTTAGAACTTTGGTTAAGGCAGCGTCCTGTATTTGATTCTTTCCCTCTTCCTCTCCGCTAACCCCCTATGTGACACCGTAGAACTTATAATTCGTTCTAATTCGCAGATGGAGGGCATATGAGAGAGGAGGCTCTGCCTCAAACACTTTCTCAAACTTTTGCCGAGGGGTGGCGAGAAGGTAGACTTCCAGGTCCCACCCGATATAGATTAAGGGCTGGAAACACAGTCAAGGGGAAATTATGACCAAGACAACCTTTGCTAAAATGCCAGCGGTGACTGCCATTGATGTTCCTATAAAAGGTCAGCTCTGTCAGGAAGTTCCAGTGCATCATTTGTTCAAAAGTAAAATCAGCCCGTGTTCCAGAATTCGCGGACTGTCGTCAGTCCTAACCTACACATTTATTCGTTCAACAAATATTTCAGCGCCTGGGTCAGGCATCAGGAATACACTGGTGGTTAAAACAGACGGAAAGCTCCATCTGGTGGGACGCAGTCTGGGAGGGAAAGGGAGTCCTGGGGACATGTTTTCGTCGGCTCTAGGCTAAGCACCTCTCGCCGTAGCACACGGGGTCGGCACCGCTGCCCGGCGAAGTACTTGTTACTTTGCAGTCCAGTACGAAGCGGCGGAGTAACCGGTTCCAACCCAAGGCAGCGACTCATGCGAGTCGTTCTAAGCGCCGCGCTGGGGGGTACATACGGTGCACGCGTGGGTGCCTCACCCCCTGGCAGCGCCTCCAGGGACGCTGCTCCGGGAAAGAGCAGCCGCCGCGACCTCAGGCGGCGGGAAAGGTGGGACCTCACAATGCGCCGGAAGCGGTGCCTCGTGGCTTGGGATCTCTCCGGGTTCTTCCTTGCGCCGTCCACGCCGCACTGCCCACGAGGGCGTCCCCGCCCGAGGGACAACTCACCGCCCGGGGCCTCCCTGAGCGTTCCCTTCCACCATCTGACACCCACTGCTAAGTGTGAGAGGACCCAGGGGGTAATTGCCGGGCCGCAGGCGGCCTTAGGAACTCCGCTTCCCGTGAGGCTTCGCGGCGGACGGCGCTGGTGCGCAGGCGCACGCACGGCGTGCGTGGTGGCGTCAGCAGTTCTAGAACGTTGCTGTGGTAGCGCTCGGGCGCCATGTTAGGACGAAGGGGAAGGAGGAGAAGCGCTTAAAGCGGCGGGAGCGGTGCGGGAGAGGGGTTGGACCCAGGGCTGAGGCAGGCCCCCCCCTCCCTCCCGCCTCAGTGGATCATGCCCAGGGCGGCAGCGGCGGCGGTTGCGGGGGGGAAGTGACTGGGCGGTGCCGGCGCCGGAGACGATGCCGTTGTAAGTAATTTGTATTCTGTTTTCTTTCGCTCGCCGGCTGGGCCTTGGGGGGCGTCCGGGAAGGGGAAGAGGTAGGCGGAGAGGGTGGCACGCGAGCCCGACCCTCCCCGCTGGTAGGAGGCAGGCAGGACTGGGGACCTTCCTGTTTCCTCGCTCGCTCGCCGCCGCACTTCCCCCCGTGTGCTGGGTTCCCGCGTCCCCCGACCCTTCCTGGCTGGGTCAGCTGCCGTCGGGCCGGGGGCCTTCCCCTTCCGGAATTGCTGGCGGAACCTCTAACTCGCCCGGCCACTCCAGCTTCTCCGCCCCGTCCACAAAGAAAATCAAAACAACCCGAAAACAAAACATTGCCTGGTGGTGGGGAACCACGACCCTGCTGCACGCGGGATCAGCACTTGGGGTTCGGGCTCGCTCTCGGCGCCCCTCGGGCCCATTCGATGTTGCTTTTCTGTTCCTGGTCTGTCTCAGTTTGCTCACTCTCTTCCTCCCATTTCCAGATGCCTGTCTTGTGCGCCGGAGTTAGCCCCTTTCCACTGACCTTGTCTGAATGTAGGAGCACGAGTTAAAAGCCCAGCTTTGAGCGTTGAGTCCGCCTGCCTCCACCTCCGCCTCCCTAGCATTCACAGGCGGTCGGAGAAGGGGGCACTTCACAGGGTGCCCTCCTCCAAAACGACTTATGTATTGCTTTCCCTGTTTTGTTTTGATGGGGTAACCAGGTTTCATTCTGTTTCCTTCTTTCTCTATCTCTGGTGATACTTTTTTTTTCCTGGTTGTAAGGCTTGAAGCTAGTCTCTTTATGCTTTCTAATGCCACTGCGCCTTTTTCTTTTCTTGGTGGGTTTTTAAAAAGTTTTTTTCTCCCCTCCCCCTTTCTGATAATGAGATATAATTTGGCAGCTCATTGCCAGTAGATTACGGATTTTTTTTTTCCTGCAAATATACAGCATTGTAGAGGCCTAAATAGTGAGACTGCATTTCTTCCATTTTTGAATATTGAAGCGTAAGAGTGCCTCTTTGAGACCAGGGACCGAGTTTTCTTCATCTTAGTAGCCTCAAAACGCAACATGTAATTGACACTCAAAGTTTTGGTTAAATTCAGGATAAAGATTTTTGTGGTTTCTAGACATCGAATGTAGTAACTCAGGTCTATTTTTTTTTTGTAAGTAAGGATAATTTCTTTAGCACATAATCACCGATTGTAGTTTTACAATTATATATGTGTGTGAATGTGTTTCTTTACAGGTGAGACTCTAACTTTGGCACAGACCTTAATGACTTCTATCGCAATTTATGTATTTTAAAAGGATTTTCCATGGCTCCCACCCACCCCCTTAGGTTATTAAGAAGTCTATCACATTACTTCTGTGATGAAAACGTTTGTTAGACTTAACTAACTATACAGGTCTAAAATCTTGGAATCTGCATGGTTTCTGTTTATTGATTTTTCCCTTTCATAGAATAAGAGACCCTAGGAGAACTGAGTCTAAGCAAGATTGTTGTGGTGTTTCTCAGTTCAATAGGAGATAAATGTTTGCAGTGATGTCGTGATGACTGCGTTATTAAGTTAACATTTTGCTGTCTTTGAAAAGGGACTTCTTTTTCTGATAATCATACCAGCATTAAAAATGATAGATGTAAACCTTAAAAGGCTTCAATGAAGAAATAACATTAAGTAATTTGTGTCTTATTTCTAGGAATTAAAAGTACTTTTATACCTACTTTCCCCCAACATTCTTTGAAGAGGGAAGGTATACATTTCTGTGAAAGACCTTAGGTATTTCAAATTCTTCGCGAGTTAGTTCAAGTGTGTAAAATGGAAGACGGGGCCAGGCGCGGTGGTTCACGCCTGTAATCCCAGCACTTTGGGAGGCCCAGGCAGGTAAATCGCTTGAGGCCAGGAGTTTGAGATCAGCCTGGGCAACATGGCGAAACTTCATCTCAACAAAAAACACAAGTTAGCTGGGCGTGGTGGCTCATGCCTGTAATCCCAGCTACTTGGGAGGTTGAGGTGGGAGGACTGCTTGAGCCCAGGAGGCTGAGGCTGCAGTGAGCCTTGATCATGCCACTGCGTTCCAGCCTGGGTGACAGAGCGAGACTCAAAAAGTAAGTATACGATAATTACTGTAGTAAACAATAGAGAGACCAAAGAATGCCTAGTTAAAGAAAAATAGGGCTTCTTCCTCATTAAGTTGCTTTGTTTTTCATGTACTGCTGTCACACTGTCATAAATGTTGTTTTTTTGATGTGTTGGATTGTGATTTCCCGGCTATATTGTGTTTGGCTTTCATTTTTGGTATACCTGTCCTAATGTTAAATTTGGATGGGTGAGTGGCATTGGGGCATGGACCCTAGGTGAGTTGTCGGAATGAATTTAAATCAAAATTATCGAAATTTAGGATATTACAGAACATTTTGATCAAGTGTCCATATTTTGTCTAAATTTCATATGTAGCTACAAACATACTTTTGGAAAGATTATAGTCTGATTTAAGAGTCATGGTGGTGAAGCTTCTGAAAGTTTTGATAGTCTTTGGATCCATTAAACAGTTTCTCACCTAGTCATTATTGACATTTATGCCAGATTCATTCCTTGCAGGTGCCTGTCCTGTGTATTGTAGTTTAACAGCAGCCTTAGCTTCCACCTACTGGATTCCGGGAGCTCCACCCCTCCATTTCCCCAGTAATGACAATCAAAAATGTCTCCAGATATTACCAGATGTGCCCTGGGGTGCAAAATCTGGTTGAGAACCACGGCATTAACGAAAAGTGTGATGCCCTTATGGAAACTAGATGTATTTCTGCCCTACTCTGTGTTGGTCAGATATTTTTGGCATCAGCTCAGTTCTGAGTATCACACATATGATAAAAAGGTGTGAAGGAGAGTAACCAGTATCAGTAGCATTTATGCCACATGCATAGAATGTTGTCAAAGTTACCAAAAAGAGTTACTGCAAGGTTTAGGCGAGACAATAGCAAAAATGTTTTCGGGGGCTGCACAAAAAAGAGGGAATTGTAGTAGTTTTACATCGCCATAACAAGCAGAACTGGTACCTGCTGGTGGATGGTCTGTGCTTCCCAGAGCGGGATCTGTGGATGCTTGGGGAGGGGGACCACTGAGATCTTTCAGAGGGTACATAATGTTCAAACTATTTTCATGTTATTGAGATGTTTTGTCTTTCAACATTTGTACTTAACGGTGCAAAAGCAGTGGTGGAAAATGCTGTATCCATCATAGGAACAATCAAGGCAGAGAACCGGTATTGTATATAGTCATTTCCTTCCTTCCTTCCTTGCTTGATTCCTTCCTTCCTTGCTTCCTTCCGTTCTTGACGGAGTCTTGCTCTGTCGCCGGGCTGGAATGCAGTGGAGCGATCTCGGCTCACTGCAACCTCCACCTCCCGGGTTCAAGCGATTCTCCTGCCTCAGCCTTCCAAGTATCTGGGACTACAGGTGTACGCCACCACGCTCAGCTAATTTTTGTATTTTTAGTAGAGACGAGGTTTCACCATGTTGGCCAGGATGGTCTCGATTTCCTGACCTCGTGATCCCCCCCCACCTCGGCCTCCCAAAGTGCTGGGATTACAGGCATGAGCCACGGCGCCCGGCTGTCATTTTATTTCTTGAAGACTGCACACTCATAGTTTAAAAAGCTTTTGATGAAACAGTAAAAGGAGGTTAATTTTATTAAATCTTGACACTTTGTTTATTTAATGTACTGTGACCACGGAAAGTACTTGTGAAGCTGTATACTGGGGAGTAGAATGGTGGTTTTGAGGAGCACTTGTATGTTGATTTGTGAGCTAAACTGGTGTTCTCATGGAGCTCCATTTTTATCTGAAAGAACAAGTGATGAACTGTGGATATTCATATTTGAGTATTTAGGAGACTTAAATGAGAATAAAGCAAGTCTGTCACTCCAAGGTAAACAACTGACTATTCCTGGCCAGTGAAAAATTGGAGCTTTCAAGCAAAATATAGAATTTTAGAAAGCTTGCTTTTCCATCATGAGCTTGACGGTTTTTCCCAATACTTAAAAGATGTTTCTGCTGACATTGGTGGTAATATTAATGCATATAGTTTTAATGCTGTATAATGTGTGCTTAAAAAAAGAATGTTTTTTAATATTTGGTAGACCTGTATAATTCAGTGAACCCATATTTTCCAAATGACCATTTGTGATGTAATAAAATCATATGTGCATTCAAGGGTACATTCAGAGTGCAAGGTAAACCAGATTTTAATGCAACAGAGTACCAAGGGCTTATTAATAGGGTTTTAACTTTCATATTGTAACTAATCTTTGCAAAACTGCCACTTGTGGAGTTCTGGTGTAGTATCAAAGAAGACTACTCATATTAATTGAAAATACTAAATACTCCTCTTTTCCAGTTATAATGTTGCTCCCAGCACTATGGGAGGCCGAGGTGGGAGGATTATTTGAGCTTACAAGTTCAAGACCAGCCTGGGTGACATAGCCATCTCCACAAAACAAAAAGAAACAGTTATAATGTTGGTTTGATGCCAGGTTTTCTTCATATGCTTCAACTAGAACAATTTATTGCAACAGATTGAATGCAGAAGCAGCTATGAGAATCCAGCCATCTTTGGTTTAGCCAGAATTAAAGAGATTTACAGAAATGCAAAAGCATGCCATTCTTACTAAATTTTTTGTTTTGGAAAATAGTTTTTTTTTTTTTTTTTTTTTTTTTGAGACGGAGTCTCGTTCTGTCGCCCAGGCGGGAGTGCTGTGGCGCGATCTCCGCTCACTGCAAGCTCCGTCTTCCGGGTTCACGCCATTCTCCTGCCTCAGCCTCCCGAGTAGCTGGGACTACAGGCGCCCGCCACTGCGCCCGGCTAATTTTTTGTATTTTTAGTAGAGACGGGGTTTCACCGTGGTCTCGATCTCCTGACCTCGTGATCCGCCTGCCTCGGCCTCCCAAAGTGCTGGGATTACAGGCGTGAGCCACCGCGCCTGGCCGAAAATAGTTTTTTAAAGCTATGTTAACATGTAATGAGTTTCTTGTTATTTAAATGAATAAATACTTTAAAAGTTCTTCAGTTATAATTTCCAATGTAGTGGATATTGGTAAGCATAATGCATGTAAGAAAGAGCTCTTTGGAGTGCTCAATACATTTTAAGAGTTTTACAACTCGTAAAGGGGTCCTGAGACCAAAATGTTTGAAAACTTGAGAAATCCTGCTTGAGAACAGCTGCCCCAAGATGAAGTAGACTTTTCAGTGGTGGTATGAGCTGTCCATGCAGCACCTCTGGTGTTTTTTTGTTTTTCGTTTTTCTTGAGATGGAGTCTTGCTCTGTTGCCCAGGCTGGAGTGTAGTGGTGCTAGCTCGGCTCACTGCAACCCCTGCATCCCAGGTTCAAGTGATTCTCCTGCCTCAGCCTACCGAGTAGCTGAGATTATAGGCCCGTGCCACCACGTCCAGCTAATTTTTGTATTTTTAGTAGAGACAGAGTTTCCCTGTATTGGCCAGGTTGGTCTCGAACTCCTGACCTCAGGTGATCTGCCTGCCTTGGCCTCCCAAAGTGCTGGGATTACAGGCCCACCACGCCTGGCCTCTGGTGGTTTTCTGAACACTGTCTGGTGGTTTTCTGAACACTGCACCTCAGCCCACCCCAACCGTCTGTGATTTAAATAAAATTTTTTTGTTGTTGTCAGTGAAAAACAATATAGTAGATAACCTTTAGGAAAGATAACAGAACTGTGGGAGATTTTGATTCTCAGATTTTAAAATTTGGAGTTTTTGTAGTGAATTGCTGCTCAGTAAATGTTGATTATGGTTTTGAGATGTGGTGTTCTGCCTTAAACATGTTTTCAGTCCATATTTTTTGGTAGAGAAGTTGGAAGGCAAGGTATTGGAGTTGAGTAAATTTATGAGCCTACTCAGTTCCTATCCCTGATTGTTTTCCTCACCTTCTTAAGGCAGAAGCCAGTTCTGGCTTGATAACAACTTTGAAAATGTTTTGGCTCATCAGAACATTCTATTCTTGGGTAACTAAGTCAACTTTAGGTTAACATTACAATTAAATTTCATCTTCAGTTTTATCTAGGCAAGTTTATAAAGCTAGCTTCTTTCAGGTAAAATGAGACCATTTGGCTTCTTAGCTAGTTCTCATTTTGGGAGGGTGTGTGTGTCTCTTTTATTCTGTATGTTCAGGGTTCTAATTACCTAGCAGCTTTTAAATAATTGGACAATGCCAGTTTATGATTTACAAAGCAGCAACATTATAGGAGGTAATTGGTTCCCCTAAAAGTTGGTTAAAGTTGAGGCTCAAAAGAATACCTGACCAAGGTCATAAAGGTACTAAATTGTAGATTGGGGCTTAAATCAGCTCTGGATTCTGTGTTGCATTGTCATTCCAGTACACTATACCATCTCCTGTGGACACTGTAGGGAACCATGTGTGGTTAGCTCAGTTGGAGTCTTTATTTATTTTTGAGACAGGAACTCACTGTTGCCCAGGCTGGAATGCAGTGGTGTGATCATGGGTCACTGCAGGCTTGACCTCCCAGGCTCAAGGGATCCTCCCACCTCAGCCTCCCAAGTATCTGGGACTACAGGCACGCACCACCATACGTGGCCAATTTTTGTATTTTTTACTGTGACAGGGTTTTGCCACGTTGCCCAGGCTGCTCTCAAACTCCCGGGCTCAAGCAATCCCACCTTGGCCTCCCAAATTGCCGAGATTACAGGTGGCTCATGCCACCATGCCTGGCCAGTTGGAATCTCTGTATAGTTTCAAGTAGAATTAATTTTCAAGCTCAATTTTTTTTGTGTGTATAACATGTAAATCTCAAAGTATTTACATAATAAAAATGTATACAAAAGTATATAAACAAAAGTAACATATAGTGTATACTTGTAGTATACACAGAATGTAACATACTATAGAACCTGAGATCTTGTGCATTGCTTAATGATTGGATATATTCTGTAAAAATGTGTTATTTTTCAGATTTTATTGTGGGAACAGTGTACTTAACACAAACCTAAATGGTATAGCCTGCTATGCACCTAGGCCTATGCACCAATGATATGGCCTGTTGCTCCTAGGCTATAAACCTGTGGCAGCATGTTACTGTACCGAATACTGTAGGCACTTGTAACACATTAGGAAGCATTTGTGTATCTAAATGTATGTAAACACAAAAGGAATAGTAAAAATACGGTATTATGCTGTTATGGGACCACTGTTATATGTGTGGTCTGTCATTGACTGAAGAATTCTGTTAACGTGGCACACGACTACTTTCAGTGGCTTTATTTGCATATATATTCTTATTTAAAGCCATGCACAGATTTGCCACTTAGACGCCGCTTTGTTGTGGCCAGTACCTTTTGTGGGAGTTGCTTTTTTTTTTTTTTTTTTTTAATCTTTGGATTGTATGTAGGCCTGCTGAACTGTATAGCAATCTCATTTGTGGAAACCTAAGGATTTGGGAAAGAAAAAATAAAGGCATTCTGTTAGATTTCTTTCTTCCTCTTTTGTTACAGAATTATTTTTCAAATTTTTATTCCCTCTATATTTTGTCCAGAAATTGGATTCTTGGATTTTACGGCAGTTTTTATAATTTTGAGGTTGATCAAGAATAGTGTTTGTCATTTTGATCATTAGAAACATTTAAATTACATTTCCTGAAATTAGTGTCTGTAATACTATGACTTACTATAATCTTGACTATTTTCTGATACATTTTCACACTCTTTCGTACTTTTTCAGGTCCTGTTTCATACTTTATTAAATTTACATTTCTTTCATTTTCAAGTTGTACTTGGCAAGTTGATGTAGCAGTGTACAATTTGGCTTTTTTTTTTTTTTTTAAGTTTCTCCTAGCCATATGAGAGAGAGGGACACAACACACACGCGCGCGTGCGCTTGTGCGCAAAGGGGCAGTTGGAAGTACCCTTTGGAAGTGAGGAAAAATAACTTGGCCATTGTAGTAATTGAACAGCAAGTACCCTTTCTCTGCATAAGCAACCTTGAATTTTCAGTTTGGCCTTGGGCTTTATCATACATACTTTATTCCCCTTGAGCATAAACAAACTATTAACATCATCTTTGAGCCTCTGCTGCTGCTTTACTAAATATTGGCTGGATGGCCCACCTGCAGTACGTTTTTAAGAATATAGTGGGATCTAAATATTTTTAGTACCACTTACACAGAACACCTTACGGTGGGCCAGTTAACCATCGTTTTAATTTCTTAGCAAATAGATTATTTTGGCGATAATCTTGCCTGTAAGCTACTATCATGCCGTATACCTTGTGAAAAAGGAGATTGTATTATTTTGGCTAATAATTAATATTTAATGCACATTGAGATACTTTAGAGAGATCCCTTGTATCTTTTCTGTTCATGTCCTTTGAATGAGCACATTAAGGTTAAGACCTTTAAACAGCAAATTCTACTGTGATGAATTGTTACTTTAAATAAGTTAACTGTAGTTTATCTGATTGGTTTCAAAGAAGAATATTTAGCAAGTTTGGCTTTCAGTTTTAACTCTATCATGCAAATAATAAAGTGTTTTCTGTTAAGTAGTAGCTATAAATTGGGGCAGTTGACTCTGTTAATATCATGGGCCACAACTTGTTCCAAATGCCTAATATCACTAGGTGGGGATTAATCAGTAGTGCCTGATGAGTTTTGTATAAATTGAGACACAGGCGGGCTGTGGTGGCTCATGCCCGTAATCCCAGCACTTTGGGAGGTCAAGGTGGGAGGATTGCTTGAGCCCAGGCGTTCGACACCAGCCTGGGCAACATAGTGAGATCCTGACTCTATTAAAAAAAATTAAATTGAGATGCAAAGTACTTAAACATTAACTATTTAAGGAAAACACCAATGGAAATATGATGTTCTGTCCTTTTGTGTGTTAGTCGTCTGCCTAGATTACGCCTCTCCTTTCCGATCATTTACTGTGTACACCTTCTGGCATAGTCATGATTTTATCTTTGTTTCTTTAATGGTTTTTTTCCCAAACTTCTACTTTGCACTTGTTGTTTAAGGATCTGAATCCCAGACTAAATTTGAGATTGTCATTGAAAACAGAGACTACCTTAAGCATCTTTGTATTTCTGATTTTATTTAGCATTGTCTTTTATGCATATTTAGGAATTTGGTACATTTCAACCTCATAAATACTGTACTTTCTGACAAAAGGTAGATGAGAAAAAAGTGCTTTTAGGAAAATTGAGTTGATGTTTAATAACTTGGCCGCCCTAGCAGCTTCCTGGAGCAATAAATAAAGCAATATTTGCTTTGGATTTACTATTTCTAGCCACAGAGTATTGCACTAAAAAGCTATTTTAAAAATCTTTGTTTATTTCACAAAATAGTGTTTTAATTAGCATAAACTGAGTTTTTAGCTAATAACCAAAAGCTAATTATTGTTTTAATTTGAAGATTTGTTTGGTGCCCCTTGCTGCCATTATAGGGGGTTATTTTAGCCTCCTTGCTATAACTATTCTAATTTAATGGTGAACGGTAGAATTAGTTGACTTTCAACTTTTGCAAGATTATTAATATTTACTTTAAATAATTTAACATGTTGAAACAAGTTTATAAAATATAAGGTAAAATTTTACGGTCTCAATTCTGCTTGATTGTGTTTCTATGAATGTGTTATGGACATAATATACAAATAGTTAAAAAAAAAACTGGGTGTCATGGTCCATGCCTGTAATCTGAGCTATAAGGGAGGATCGCCTGAGCTCAAGAGTTTAGATCAGCCTGGGCAACAGAGCAAGACACCATCTCTAAAATTAAAAAAATATATATCTTTATCTATATGACTACATATTGTAAATGATGTGCAGAGGTGCCTCAGTATAGAGATGATTATTATAGGCTATGATATCAGCTATCTGGGTTCATATTCTGGTCCAGTAAACTTAGTCAAGCCTTCTTTCTTAGTTTAATAGTAAGAGTTGTTAGAAAAAATTGGGAATAATGTAAAGTGCTTGACTTAATACGTGGGTTATGTTGAAATTTCAGTAGATGGCAGCTATGATCGTAATTATATTCTGCAACTTTTTTTTCTCCTGATACACATGCTGCTAAACATACTATCTCATTGCTTTATTTTGGCATAGTTTTAAGTTGTAAGCATGTACTGTAATTAACAAGTTCTTTACTGATGGATATTTAGGTGGTTTCCAGTTTTACTTCATTGCATACTCTGCTCAGTGAACAACCTTGATTACCTTTCTGTGTTAGTTCTGTGAGAAAGGTTCAAATTCCAGAACCTATGAGATCAAGAGAGTTAATTTACAAATGAATGAACTAAGTACCAAAGAAGCTCCCTTTTTAGGGGATAGCCCTGGGATAGACACTGCTCATTTCAAGCTTATTTCTGTTGTGCTGGAATTCGGGTCCCTATTTTGGTCTGTCTTCCAGTCTTTGCACCCATACTCTAGCAGTGGCTGGAAATGTATATATTTTTTATTGTTTGTTTTTTGCTTTTTTTGGGGATGGAGTCCCGCTTGTTGCTCAGGCTGGACTGCAGTGGTGTGATCACAGATCACTACAGCCTCAGCTTCCTGGGCTCAAGAGATCCTCTTGCCTCAGCCTTCTGAGTAGCTGGGACTACACTACAGGTGCATGCCACTACAGCTGGCTAATTTTTAAACTTTTTGTACAGATGGGGCCTTTCTATGTTGCCCAGGCTGGTCTCAAACTCCTGGGCTCAAGGGATCTTCCTACCTCAGCCTCCCAAAGTGACGGGATTACAGGTCTGAGCCGCTGCACCAGGCCTGGGGATTTAGCTTTTTATGTAATTTATATTTTAAAAATGTGTGATTAAAGAGAATATGTCTTCCAATTTCATGGCTTTCAGTTTGAACCTTCTGTCCTAGTATTTTTGTAATAAATAGATCGCTGGAGATAAAGTTGCTAGACAAACTTTTAAAATTGGTATGTGCATTTTTAATTTTGATAAATATCATATTGCCTTTTAAAATGATGTAACAAGTTTGCTTTCATCGTGATGAATAAGGGCTCGTTTTTTTTACACCATGGCCAACATTGGAGGTTTTTTGTCTTTCATTCTTACCACATATATTAAATTTTGTTTTTCATTAATCAGGTTGTCTTAATTTGCTTCCCTGATATGCAGTGAAACTTTTTTAAAAATTGATTGAAGAATTCTTTATGTATTCAGACTGTTGCTGTTTTGGCATAAGCTGCATGTATTTTCTCCTTTTATCATTTGCTTTAACTTTCCTTATGTGCTATATTGTTATTATATAAAAGTTGGAATATTTTGATGTAAGTAAACCTGTTTTTATGGCTTTTGCGTTCCGTGTCTTGCTTGACTAAGGCTCTGAAAATGTTTTTTATTTTCTTTCAGTGCCTTTATGCTTTTTAAATATTTCTGAAATAGCATCTGGGTTTTAGATTTTACTATGGACAGTCAAAGCCATTTGAGTATTTCATAGTTGTCTTCACTGATTTAAAATGGTTATCAGTATATGTCCAAAGATGATCATGCTTTGCCTATTTGAATGTATGACCATTAAACTCCAGTTAACAAATCATAGGAACTTGCACTATTTGCATTAGGTATCTTTTTTTTTTTTTTTTGAGACTGAGTCCTGTTCTGTTGCCCAGGCTGGAGTGCTGGGATCTCGGCTCACTGCAAGTTCCACCTCCCGGGTTCACGCCATTCTCCTGCCTCAGCCTCACAAGTAGCTATGACTACAGGCAACTGCCACCACGCCCGGCTAATTTTTTTTTTTTTGTTATGTTTAGTAGAGACGGGGTTTCACTGTGTCAGCCAGGGTGGTCTCGATCTCCTGACGTCGTGATCCGCCCGCCTTGGCCTCCCAAAGTGCTGGGATTGCAGGCGTGTGCCACCACGCCCAGCCTATTTGCATTAGATTTCTAACTACTGTACCAAGGTGGTTCTTGATAGTTGAGATTGTATATATTAGTTAAGTCGAATGTCTAACCTTTTGAAACAAATATCCCGCCAAAATAAATAGCCAACAGTCAACAAAAATGTCACTATTCTTTCTAAGTTCCTAAATATTTATCCTAATTAGAGTCATCTTGACAGCCCTGCATGGGGAAAGGAAAGACCTGTTTCTCAGCTTTGGTCTAAAAACTTTCGTATTTGGAAACTGCTCTTTAGTGTTATGTGTTGTAGTTGTAAAATTCCTAGTTTGTTATCCAAAGTAATGAAGAGATACAATAAATTCTAAGGTAAATCTGCAGAGATGCAACTTACCAAGAATAATATAACTAGTGGCAGAATTGAAACCAGAGTAATACGACGAGTAGCAGAAGTGAAATCAGGCCTGCTTTCTCCCTTTTTTATCAGATTGTTTTTGAGTTGAGACCAGACTTTGTAGTCTGTCCTGAATGCTGTTACCAGAAGTCACAGTTTTTTTAGTATACAGTTATATTTTAGGAAGACATACTTAGTAGTAATATGCATGGTGGAACCATGTGACAAAGGAGTGGAAGGAAAGGAGTTGGGACCAAGATTGCCAAGAATCAGAACTAGAATAGTTGAAAACGAATTGTTATATAGAATGTTAAAATTAAAACAATTAAAAGGCATGTATTCTATGTGAACTTTGCCTTGATGAAAATAATTTAAATATTATAAAGAAAACTCCTCGTATTCTAAGGAGAGAAGAGTTCTGAAAATTCTTTATACATTACCTTGAACCTGTAAGAAAAGGTGTGTTTGTAGGGGAGGAGTGTTTGGCTGTCTTTTTGTGGTTTTGAGAGGGGGCAGAATTCATATATGTACTATTAGATGTAGGTATGTATTTATGTGTAACTCTGATCCAGAAAGGATGAAGACTTTTAAGAATGCTTTAGTCATAATATTAAAAACTGGCAAGATGTTTGCATTAGATGTGGATGAAAAGGAAGAATAAGGATAGATACACAATGGAGCAAAATATTAGGCTACTAAAAATAGTTCTTAAGGAAATACAGTAACTTTTGTATTTTTATAGAGTAGAGAGCTTGCTAGATGGCTGCCAGTTGCACTCTAAGAATTCAGGCAGTACCCTGAAGGTAAATATTAATTATGTTGGTGAGACGAAAATGGACCAGTTGCTCAAGCAAAGCACAGTGTTCTTCATATTAAAAACCAGGAAGACATTTTAAGGAATCACAAATACTGCAGCTATATGTCTGGTTTGTATTTTTCCTTTTTGTGTTACGTAAATTGTAGAAGTTTATTTTTCAAAGTAGAATAGTGTCTGAAGAAAATTAAATACTGGTAAAAATGTTTCTAGAATGGGCAGATGTCTAGTGCATTCAAGAATGGGAGGAGGAACTTTGCATTCTTGGGATTGGTAGCTGTCTGGTGTATGGTTCCAGGAGAGTGTCAGTGCATATGTAAGGCAGAAGAATCCTTAATCTTTGGAGGTTTATGTTCCAAATTGCCCAATATTGGAGTATATAGTTTTGTTAGAAGGAGAACAGCAACAAAAAGATTCCTTAAATTGTTTTATCACTCTACTTAATTTCTAATGTTAAATGGAAAATCTTCACTTCCATTTAAAGTGTTACAATATTTAATGTTTCTACTTTGGACGTTTGAAACATCTGGGAGCCTGGAATTCTTAGTCTAGCTCCTTAAGCTCATGCTGAGCCATTTTTATTGGAGACACAAGTATCTTGTAAATTTCAGAGTATGCATTTGTTTCTTTTTATTTGGTAGGTCTATGTTAACGTAGTTTTTCCTTTTCTTTCTTTCTTTCCTTCCCTTTCCTTCCCCTCCCTCCCTCATTCTCTCCCTCTCTTTCTTCCTTCCTCCCTCCCTCCCTCCCTCCTGGGCTCCTATCTCAAACTCCTGGGCTCAAGCCATCCTCCTGCCTCAGCCTCCTGAGTAGCTAGGACTACGGGCATGTGCCACCAAGCCCAGCTAATTTTTATTTTTCATAGAGATGGGTGTCTTGCTGTGTTGCCCAGGCTGGTCTCAAATTCCTGACCTCAAGTGATTTTCCCCTGCTGTGCCTCCCTAAGCATTGGGATTATATGCATGAGCCATGGTGCCTGGCTCATATATATTCTTTCTTGAATTAGATGGAACACATGTGGTTTTATCTTGACAGAAAGTAATACTGAGGCTAGATGATGTGCCTACATTTGGAATAAAGTAAATAAAAATTTCCAGCTTGCGTCTGATTTATTTCCCCATCAAAATGTTAGTGTAATCAATATTTTTTCAAATTAGGCTGAACAAGTCTTGTGCGCGTTTAGAAATCAGGGCCTGTATTCTAATGTTCTAGTGAGAAAGTTAAAGTAGACAGGAGCTTTCCAAGCATTGTTTATTGTGACAATGAAAGCCTAAAGATTTGAGTAAGAAAAAAATGGGAAGATTTAGGAATCTTACAGTGGATACTCTTTGTTTTTTTAATGATCCAAACTGAACTGGTAATGAATTTAATTCCTTGAGAATGGAAAAGAATGCAGAGAAACATATTACTCGCACAAAACAAAAATAGAAGTTTATTGCTTGAAGCTACAAAAGTATAATTTCAGCTTATACTTGACTTAAAAGCTCTCCTTGCTTGAACCAGATCTAGCCTAGACAAAATAAAGTTTTTACACTTTTTCTGGCTTTACTTGCGTTAAAGTCATTTATAAAAGCATTCATAATCCCAGGATAATTGTGAAGGACTGTAGTTTATTCAGAAAAACTCATGAAGCAATGAATAACACAAGATAATACAATTACGTTAGGATATGTGGTAAGCGTACTTTGTATTGTGCACTTGAAAATTTAAGAGTAGATCTCAGGTTGCGTGCTCTTATGGCAGAAAACCAGAGGGGTACACAGGGAAACTTTTGGAGGTAATGGATGCGTTTATTACCTTGATTATGCTAATGGAACTACAAGTGTATGCATATGTCCAAACTCACCAAATTATATACATTAATTACGTTCAGTAGTTTTGGTATGTCAGTGATATCTCAATAAAACTGGGGGAAAAAAAAACCTGTGTGTGATGAACAAGACATTATGAATTCAGTTACATTTCATGTGTATATTTTAACCTTAGGAGATGCTACATATGATTGGAAAACAGAACATTTTTATTTTGTCTTCAGCAAATGCTTTTTTTTTTTTTTTTTTTTCCTGAGATGGAGTTTTGCTCTGTTGCCCAGGCTGGAGTGCAGTGGCACGATCTTGGCTTACCGCAACCTCCACTTCCTGGGTTAGAGCGATGCTCCTGCCTCAGCCTACTGAGTAGCTGAGATTATAGCATGCCACCACACCTGGCTAATTTTTGTATTTTTATTAGAAATGGGTTTACGCCTTCTTGGCTGGGCTGGTCTTTGAACTCCTGGCCTCAAATCATCTGCCCTCCTCGGCCCCCCAAAATTTGCTGGGATTACAAGTGTGAGACACCATGCTTGGGCCAGTCTTCAGCAAATGCTTAATGCTGATGGGGATTAACATAGCTTTTGAGTAGCTATGCAACTTAGATTAAAGGGGCAGGAGGAAACGATCTAATGTGAATTAATTTCTGCAAGAGATAAATCTGATTCATATTTATTCAGTAAATGTTATTATAAAATCTGAATTAAAATTAAGACAGTATGTAACTAGACCAGGCAACAGTAAATAGATGACACGCAGTCCAGCAGCTAATTAGTAACACGCAGTATGGGCTTCTTGGCATTCTTAGATCTTTCTTGATATCACAAGACAAATTACAGAACAGTCTAGCCGTTGGAGTATAGACCAGAACCCAGTGGATTTGTTCAGTAAATGTATCATAAGCCTTACTTGCATAGCATTCTTAGATTTAGCACTTTATTGCTTTTTGCTTTTTTTTTTTTGAGACGGAGTCTCGCTCTGTCCCCCAGGCTGGAGTGCAGTGGTGCGATCTCAGCTCACTGCAAGCTCCGCCTCCCAGGTTCACGCCATTCTCCTGCCTCAGCCTCTCCGAGTAGCTGGGACTACAGGCGCCCGCCACTACGCCCAGCTAATTTTTTGTATTTTTAGTAGAGACGGGGTTTCACTGTGGTCTCGATCTCCTGACCTCGTGATCCGCCCACCTCGGCCTCCCAAAGTGCTGGGATTACAAGCGTGAGCCACCGCGCCTGGCCTTTATTGCATATGTAGATTATCACACTTTAACTTAAAGTAGAAATTGTATTTAGAACTTGGTAAAAAAAAGTAGCTGTGGTTGGGCATGGTGGCCCATGCCTGTAATCCCAGCACTTTGGGAGGCCAAAGGGAGCGGATCACTTGAGCTCAGGAGTTCGAGAGCAGCCTGGCCAACATGGTGAAACCCTGTCTCTACTAAAAATATAAAAATTAGCCGGGTGTGGTGGCATGCACCTGTAGTCCCAGCTACTCGGGAGGCTGAGGCAGGAGAATCGGTGGAACCTGGAAGGTAGAGGTTGCAGTGAGCTGAGATCGTACCACTGTACTCCAGCCTGGGTGACAGAGCGAGACTCCATCTCAAAAAATAAGAGGTAGCTGTGTGTGTGTGTAAAATACACTTTTTTTTTTTTTGGTAGAGACAGGGTTTCAGCATGTTATCCAGGCTGGCCTCAACTCCTGGGCTCAAGCCATTCTCCCACTTCAGCCTCCTGAAGTGCTGGGATTACAGGGGTGAGCCCACACCTGGCCTATAAACACTTAATTTCTTAAGGAATGGAATTTGGGAGAAATAACCGATCCAGATTTTGGGTCTTTCCTTATTGTGTACTTGGTTTTGTATGTTATTCAACTGTTAGTTTAAAATTATTATGTTGACTTCTTAATTTAATGAAAAAATATTTATGAAAAAAGATTGAGTCAGATTTATTTCCTAAGCATTTAAAGCATGCTATGCCTTTTTACAAATTTGGAACTTATCTTAAAATGGATAAAATAGCTGTGTGTGTGTAAAATAAACCTTTTAGACTAGCATCATTATCGAAGTGTAAATCTCTTAAAAAGATCATTAACAAGCTTAAGGTATATTCACCCTAAGGGAAAGAACTATATTCAGTTCTTTCCCTTCAAATTTTGTTTAAGTTTTTGCTATTTGCTTCATTATCTATGAACTTCGTTCATTGTAAGCCAGATGCCAGGTTTCATTTGGGGAATGTCTTATATTGGTAAAGTAGCATTTCTGTAGCGTGTTTATCAATGTTTAAGAAACAGATTTTGGCTTCTTTTCAAGAGGTGAAATTTCTCAGAAGTTTACTATATTCTGAATTAGTGTTTTCTCTAGCAATGTATTTGGTCTGGATTCTAACTTAGATGTTTAAGTAGTGACAGTTAAAATCCTTGGGGCAGGATTTTCTCTTTGGTCACTTGCTTTTGGTCACTTTTTGTCAAAAATTTTGGGGGTATTGCAGGGAACCAATCATGTTTAGAAATGTGTGTTACTAAATTAGTTTTTCTGGTCTTACTGATTTGTTTCAAATTGTAGAATTCTTTTGGCAGTAATTGTATCCAATTTTGTTTATAGTCCAGTTACAACACAGGGATCACAACAAACACAACCGCCACAGAAGCACTATGGCATTACTTCTCCTATCAGCTTAGCAGCCCCCAAGGAGACTGACTGCGTACTTACACAGAAACTAATTGAGACATTGAAACCCTTTGGGGTTTTTGAAGAGGAAGAGGAACTGCAGCGCAGGTAAATAGATATTCTATATTTTTTTAACTCGGAAACTTTTATTAATGTTGACATAAACTAATTTTGAGGCATTCTCTACTTACTTAGAAGACCAGGGTTATTTGCCCAGATCTATATATCTGTTTTGGAGAAGAGGGATACTTAAGAGAGAAAACTTTTTGTTTTTGAGACGGAGTCTTGCTCGTTACCCAGGCTGGAGTGCAATGGTGTGATCTTGGCTCACCACAGCCTCCGCCTCCTGGGTTCAAGCGATTCTCCTGCCTCAGCCTCTCGAGTAGCTGGGATTATAGGTACCCGCCACCACGCCCGGCTAATTTTTTGTATTTTTAGTAGAGGTGGGGTTTCACCATGTTGGGCAGGCTGGTCTCGAACTCCTGAGCCTTGGTCTCCCAAAGTGTTGGGATTACAGGCGTGAGCCACCGTACCTGGCTGAAAACTTTTATTTTCTACATAGAGTTCTCTTCCCTTAATTTTGATGTTATTTATTTTTTTTTCTGAAGAATTAATTTTGATTTTTTATGCTTTTGGTTATTATAGTACTGAATTGTCTGGAGAAAAAGGAATGCCTTACTCAGTGTAACAGTGCCTGTATATATATATAGAAAGAGAGAGAGAGAGAAAGCGAGAGAGAGAGCGAGCGAGCGTGCACTAACTACAATATACTGTGCTTCTGATTGCTTAAAAACTCATAATTTAGGAAGAACGCCTATTTAAAACTTTAAGAAATTTAATCAGTAATGATCTGGAATACTTGATTGATAATTGTTTTATCAACAGGATTTTAATTTTGGGAAAACTAAATAACCTGGTAAAAGAGTGGATACGAGAAATCAGTGAAAGCAAGGTAAGGCAACTTTTTTGTATATGAAATAATTTCATATATAGCCAACTGAACACAGCAAGTGTCTTATATAACCTGTTCTTATTTGAGTGGATTTGGAGTCTTTAATGTGGAGTCAATTTTAGACTATTGATAACAGATTTTACATTATTTTTCTAGTTAATTTGGAAGCAGGAAAAACTGAACTGAGTTAAGCGATTTTTAAAAATAAGTATAGTACTCTTTGTTTGGAACATTTGAAAACTGAAACTCAGTAATTGTAAAGTACTTACACTCTTCACAGAAATAATGGATGTTTCTCTAAAAAGGTGCTTTAAACATATTTGAGACTCTTCTTACCTTTTAAGAAATTCTGCCACAGTTAGTTTTTAAAAAAGATTTTCAGGTATTATTCAAACTGAATATTTATTTATTTATTTATTTTTTATTTATTTTTTTTGAGACAGGGTCTCGCTCTGTCATTCAGGCGGAGTGTAGTGACACCATTATAGTGCACTGTAACCTGAAATTCCTGAGTTCAAGCAGTCCTCCTGGCCTCAGCCTCCCAAGTAGCTAGGACTATAGGCATGTCCCTTCACACCTGGCTAATGGTATATGTGGAGTCTTGCTGTGTTGCCCAGACTGATCTCAAACTCCTAGCCTCAAGCAGTCCTCTCATCTTGGCCTCCCAAAGTGCTAGTGTTCCAGGCGTGAGCCGCTGCCCGGCCTATTTAGTTTTCTGTAATAACATTCTTTGGGTTTCCTTTTTTCTTTCTTTATTGAGACAGAGTCTCACTCTGTCACCCAGGCTAGAGTGCAGTGGTGCCACTGCAACCACCACCTCCCGGGTTCAAGTGATTCTCATGCCTCAGCCTCCTGAGTAGCTGGAATTGCAGGCGGGCGCCACCATGCCCAACTATTGTTTTTATTTTTAGTAGAGATGGGGTTTCTCCATGTTGGCCACGCTGGTCTTGAGCTCCTGACCTCAAGTGATCCACCTTCCTTGGCCTCCCAAAGTGCTTGGGATTATAGGCATGAGCCACTGCATCTAGCCTCTTTCTTTCTTTCTTTTTTTTTTTTTTTTTTTTTTTTTGAGACAGTCTTGCTCAGTTGCCCAGGCTGAAGTACAGTGGCACCATCTTGGTTCGCTGCAACCTGTGCCTCCTGCGGCCAACTGATTCTCCTGCCTCAGCCCCTCAAGTAGCTGGGATTACAGGTGTGTGCCACCATACCCAGCTAATTTTGTATTTTAGTAGAGATGGGCTTTTGCCACGTTGACCAGCTGGTCTCAAACTTTTGGTCTCAAGTGATCTGCCCACCTCGGCCTTTCAAAGTGCTGGGATTACAGGCGTGAGGTACTGTTCTGTCCTCTTTTTTTTTTTGAGACAGGGTCTCCCTCTTGCCCAGACTGGAGTGCAGTGGCATGATCTTAGCTAACTGTATCCTCCACCTCCCGGGCTCAGGCAATCCTCCCACCCCAGCCTCCTGAGTAGCTGGGACTATATAGGTGGGCACCACCAAGCCTGGCTAATTTTTTGTAGCGATGGCTTTTCACCATGTTGCCTAGGCTAGTCTCGAACTCCTGGGCTTAAGATATCTGCTTGCCTTGGCTTCCCAAAGTGCCAGGATTACAGGGGTGAGCCACTGCCCCAGCCCCTTTGAGTTTCTAACACTTCATTATGAATACTCATACATACAACTCATAAATACATGGCTGGGCTTCTTCTGGTAGAGAAAATGTATTTGTAGAGTTGTGTGTGGAGTTCATTTGACCCATTTAAAAAAATAACATAAATAGTGGTAATTTTTCCAGGGTAGTACAAAATCCGTGTTTAATCTATAATATAACTGAAAGGTTGAAAAGAGAACCAAGGGTAAAGGAAAAATTTCATAGAGCAGGGAGACAGGGTGTCAACTTAAAAGTTGTAGTCTTTTGGTTTTAATGAAATTTATAGTACTGTTTACTTATGCAGTGTATATGTATATTTCAAAATACAAATTAAACTTCAGCAAATGTAGTATTCTAAATTATGGACTTTACGTACCATGTGTTTCTTACTGATTTTAGTTTCTGATAGAAAATAAGATTTTTTTTTTGGTTTGTTTGACATCTAATACTCTTCACTTAAAAATGAAAAAAAGATTTTGCAAGTGAAAATGTTTTTCCATGACCTGAATTAAGAAATCTTAATTTCTGGGTTACAATGATGATAATAAGTATAAACATACTAATATCTAAAAATGTAGTTTATAATATACTAGTCACTAGTCACCAGCCAGGTATTTAAATAAAAATTAAAATTAAACATTCAGATTCTTGACTACACTAGCAACATTTCAGGTGCTCAACAAAAGTGATAACAGTGACAGAATATTTACATCCTTGCAGAAAGTACCATTGGAGAGTATTCTTCAAAAGATTGTTATGTCTTAATAGAGAAGTCTGTGGACCAGTGTTTTAAGATAGTTTCTCCTTCACCTCCTTTGTAGGCTACTTGTGCACACGTCTTGCTGGCTAATTTTAAATAACCAGGTCAGCGTTGCCATTGAGGTTTTAAAATATCTAAACATAGGAAGACAAAGGCTTTGCTTACTTTTAAGAAATACAACATTACAGCCAGGCGCAGTGGCTTACGCCTGTAATCCAACACTTTGGGAGGCCAAGGTGGGCTTATCACGAGGTCAAGAGTTCGAGACAAGCCTGACTAACATGGTGAAACCCTGTCTCTACTAAAAATACAAAAATTAGCTGGGCGTGGTAGTGCGCGCCTGTAATCCCAGCTACTCAGGAGGCTGAGGCAGGATAATGGCTTGAACCGAGGAGGCAGAGGTTGCAGTAAGCCGAGATTGCGCCCGTTGCACTGCAGCCTGGGTGACAGAGCGAGACTCTGTCTCAGAAAAAAAAAAAAAAAAATTACACACATAACTTGTCTATTAGTGTCTATAGTGATGGTTAAATATGCTCTTAAAAAACAGGAGTCTCTGACTGTTTAGAACTTGGCTTTAGGGTTTTTTTGGAGTATGAAATAACACTTCATTTTATGTCCTTTTTCTTTTTTTTGAGAGGAAGGGGGGTGGTCTTTTACATGTTTTGGTACTGAATAGATATTTTATTATACTGAGGAGTTAGGTAAAAGGAAATATTGACTAAACACTTCATAAAATTGTTTTTGTTTGGACAGACCTTGTCATTCTTACGAGCAGGGCCATTGAATACTAAACCGTAAAGCTTGGGACTTTACACTAGTGCCAGGGCCAGGAAGGCAGTTTTTGAATGCTTTCTCCCTCTTCCTGATGATGCTACTCTTTCTGAGTAAGAAAAGAAAATTTAGTTGTTTCTAAATTACTTCACTAAAGCCTTTTGGAAATCTAAAAAACTAAGCAATTATTTACCAATATTGGCTTTTTCTTCTCTGCTCTGCTGTCCCTTTCCCCTTCCCGTTCCCCTTCCCCTTCCCTTCTTCCCCTCTTCCCCTTCCCCTTCTCTTTTTTTGAGACAGGGTCTGACTGTCGCCCAGGCTAGAGTGCAGTGGCGTGATCATGGCTCACGTAGCCTTGACCTGTAGGACTCAAGCAATCCTCCCACCTTAGCCACCTGATTAGCTGGGACTATATGTGCATGCCACCATGCCCAGCTAATTTTTAAAACATTTTTTGTAGAGACGGGGTTTCACATGTTGCCGAAGCTGGTCTCAATCTGGGCTCAAGCAATTGGCCCGTCTCACCCTCCCAAAGTGTTGGGATTATAGGCGTGAGCCACTGTGTGTGGCTACTATTGGCTTTCAAGTCACTTTTGATATGATAAAAAAAATACTCTAATATGTTGTGGGATATTTGGTAAAAATCGTTGAATATAATCTTTTTCTTTAAAGCAATCAGAATATGTTTTTATTATACTCTAAATTGGTGATTCATTTTATATACAGCATCTTTGTCATGAATAAAGTCCCCGATTCTAACGTGCTCCTGTGGGATTACATGATCTTCTCAATCACAGTCTTCTTTATAGTAGTTTCTAGAAATAGGGCAAGAATCTAACAATAAAGAATAAACCTCTTTAAAAGTTGAAAATGGTTTGAATTTCAAATATGATTGATCTGAGGGGCTGGTATTTTTTAAGAACTTTTATAGACTTTGAATACCCTTTATATAAATTTACACTGTAATCTTTCTTGGATCCACTCCCTCACCCCAGTATAGTATCATTTGAATAGTTTCCCTTGTGCTCCACTGGCAAAATAACCATTTTTTGTTTCAACAGAATCTTCCACAATCTGTAATTGAAAATGTTGGAGGAAAAATTTTTACATTTGGATCTTACAGATTAGGAGTGCATACAAAAGGTAAGTATTATTTCATTTTTCTTAGAAAGGGACCCTTTAGTTCTTAAAAATTATGACATACCCGTCTCAGTTACTTGTGTATCATATAGCTTAGGCTTGCATGGAAGAGAGAGTGCTTTGAGGAGTCTAAATTTTTCAGTAAGAAAGATGTAAAATAATGCTGACTTCTATATCGCCACTGTCCAAAAGTATTATTAAGATTAAATGAAATTAGCTTAGTGTGGTGACTCATATCTGTAATCCTAGAACTTTGGGAGGCCGAGGCAGGTGGATTGCTTGAGCCCAGGGAGGTCAAGGCTGCAGTGAGCTGTGATTGCATTGCTACACTTCAGCCTGGGTGACAGAACAAGACCCCGTCTCAAGAAAAAGTAAATAAATAAATTAAAAACTCAGAGTTTCAGTAGAGGTAGCCACATTTTATCTGTTCAGTAGCCACATATGGCTAGTCGTTACTGCATTGGAAAGTACAGATACAGAGTAGTTTTTCTGTTGGAGAGCTCTTTTGTACAGTGCTGCTATCTACATATATATCATTTTCCCTCACCAGAAGAATATCACTCTGGAAATAGAACAAAAATGAATTCTAGCTTTTAAGAAAACTCATGGATGCCCCCCGCTAATACCTTTATAGACAAATTATAAAATATAGCTAAGCAAAAGCAAACCCCAAAAATGTGTATTCATAGCCAATGATAATCAGTTAATAGTTTATACTTGTAGTTATTTCCTCTATGCAAATAAATACACAATAAAAATGTTACCTCGGCAAAGAACATTTATTGAGCTTCTTTTCTTTCACTGAGTACTGAGATCTTCATTATCTTATTTAGTTCTTCCAGTACTGTTATTCTCACATAACAAACAGGAGCCTGAGACTAAAAGAGGCAATAAAGCTTGAACAGTTTTTCTCAACCTTCTAGTGGCAGAGTAGGTACAACTCAGGCATCCCGAGGCTGTACTGTCTTTGGGTCTTGCTCTGTTGCACAGGCTGGATGCAGTGGCACAGTCTTGGCTTACTGCACCTTCCACCTCCTGGGCTCAATTGATTTTCAGGCCTCAGCCACCTGAGTAGCTGGGACTACAGGCACACGCCACCATGCCTGGCTAATTTTTTAATTTTATTTTGGTAGAGACAGGGTTTTCCCGTGTTGTCCAGCTGGTCTCGAACTCCTGGGCTCAAGCCATCCACTTGCCTCGGCCTCCCAGAGTGCTGGGATTACAGGCATGAGCCACCACGCCCAGCTGAGGCTGTATTCTTTAACCATGAACTGTATCTGCCGAGATAGTGTTGTCTGTTTTCTAGTATCCTTTCCTCTCTCCATCTCCCATCACTCTGTCCCATTAGTACATTACTTTTGATATATCCTGTGTGCTGTACACCGTTCTTCCTGTTCTAATAAATAGCTTTCAGAGTCATACCTCAGCATCTTGTCTTTTAGGAAAATGACTGTTGACCTGATTCCACATTAATCTCTCCCTTTTATGACCCCAATTGATTTTAATTCTCCTTTTTAAAATTCTGCCTATGTACTTAGTGCTGGCCTCTTATCAAGCACTGAATTAATGACAAATATTTTACCATTGTCTACTTCTTTGGATTCTTCTGCTTGAAGTTTATTTTGTAGGTCCCATTTAGGGGCCTGGTAGAGAACCTATAAGCACCAAATACGTAGTACATAGAGGAAAACTATTTTTGTTTTACCAATGAACATGGCTATGACTAATGACATCAAGATGTTGGGTGTATGTTTGAATAATTCCCTCTCCACCATGAAAGTACTTGCTGAGCCATCTTTCTTTGGGCTCCCAGTTTACTTGGGCCACTATAAATAGAGGATGCTGCAGGATCAAAATATACCACATCAATTAAAATCATGTTTGTCCTCCATTGACTGGTAATTTTAAGTAAGGGGTGGAACATTTTTAGAAGCTCACCAGTATGTTAAACAGATTCTCAACATCAAATACTACCATGATAGGATGCAAAATAATTTTCTTGTAATATTAATTAGTGGTTGATGGGCTTAATTTTTTTTAGGTGCTGATATTGATGCGTTGTGTGTTGCACCAAGACATGTTGATCGAAGTGACTTTTTCACCTCATTCTATGATAAGTTGAAATTACAGGAAGAAGTAAAAGATTTAAGAGTGCGTAAATGTTCGGGGTGAAATGGGATGAGTTATGAACATTCATTTAGTCAGTTGAGTGAATTTTATGATATAGCCATCATTTATTGAGTTCTTGCAATTTGCCAAACCTTTCTAAACACTTGGCATATGTGTTTGTGTTTTATTCTTTACAGCAAGCCTAAAATTATAAACTCATTTACAGATTAGGAAATTGAGGCAAACAAAATAAATATGAAATAATCTGGCCACAATCATACATCTGATGAGTGGGTGAAGTAAAATATTTGAACCTTGATTTCTGATCTGTCTGATCGAACAGCCCAGTCTTAAAGCTAGCTATTTTTGTGTCAGGTGTTTTGCTAAAGTACTAAAACTAGTAGAGGCTTAAAATGTAGTTTCAGAGACCCTGAACTTGTTTACTTTCCTTATAGGCTGTTGAAGAGGCATTCGTACCAGTTATTAAACTCTGTTTTGATGGGATAGAGGTAAGGTATAGTTCAAATTGACAGTTCTTGCTATGTGCTGTCACTAATTTTGATTGATATAGGTTAAAAACTTGGTTTAAAGTTTATAATTAGTGAGTTGGTTGTGATATTAATAACAATTAAGGCTTTTAAATGGAAGTGACTGCCTATTCTTGTAGAATATACCATTTTAAATCTTTTTAAAAATACCAAGTGAAATTTGGAGCTAAAACAGAAGTAATGAAACCTTAAGATTGAAATGCTATTACAAAAAAGTTTTTTTGGTAGCTTTTCCATATGCCAGTTTTGTGTGCTTTTAGTCTCATTAAGGCAGTAGCATAATGTGTTTTTGCAAGTAATGCTTTGCTTTGACTTCATTTAAAAATTGGGAGAAAAGTGTGAGTGCTGAAATATCTTCCGATAGGGGAGGATTTATGGACTCAAATTCTTGAGATGATGTTCATTTCTCCTTGCTGCTTTCGGTGTGTGTAATTAAAGTGATGAGAATAAAGTTGACAGTGAAGCAACTTTAGTAATTCATTACTTTTGCTGTACAGAATGGTACTGGAAAGTCACAGATAATAAAGTGAAGATTGTAACATTTTGGAAACTGTAAGAGAAATAATTTATTGAAGCTGGGCACAGTGATGTGCACCTATCAGGAAGCTGCTACAGGAGGATCTCTTGAGCCCAGGAGCTTAAATCTAGCCTGGCAATGTAGCGAGACTTAATCTCTTTAAAAAATAAAAAAGATAATTCACTGTTGTACTATTTTGCAAAAAAATGGCTGCATCTAAGGTTGCTGCATAAGACGCTCAACTCTGTATTTTATGAAAAGTCAAGTGACTGACCTTAATAAGTAGACATAAAATGTTAAATTTGGTAAAGGATTATCAAGTTCATGTAGTTTTGATTTACTGTCAGTGTTTTAAGTAAACGTAAAAATAATCTGTAATATAAAGTATAAGTTGAGGCCTCATTTTCCTAAAAAGAATATTACTGACAAAGAGGACTTTTTTTTGGAAGGAGACCTGACCTAACTTTGTAAACTTTACAGGATCAAGATGGAAAGTTAGATGGCTACTTAAAACATTTAATGTGTTAATTTTCTATTATACATGCTATATTAAAAAATAATATTTTAGGAACATAATATTTTAGGAAATTTAGTAATCATTTTCACATTTCAATATTTTTTGAAGTAATTCCATCCTTTAAAAAATGTGTCAGTATTATTACTGAGTTGCTTTTTCAGTTACCTAGTTTTATGAGCCTATAATCTTTATTTCTGTCCAAATTGGGGGAGACTTTGAAATCTGTTCTTTTTCATTGAACAGTTTATCCTAGACCACAAGTACTTATTTGTGTAACAGTACAATTTTTTTTCTGTAGGTATGTTTAAATGATATTTTAAAATGTGCTCCTAAAATACTGCTTTTTAAAAAGTGATCTAGTAGCCAGGCACGGTGGCTCATGCCTGTAATCCCAGCACTTTGGGAGGCCAAGGTAGGTGGATCACGAGGTCAGGAGATCAAGACCGTCCTGGCCAACACGTTGAAACCCTGTCTGTACTAAAAATAGAAAAAATTAGCCAGGCATGGTGGCGTGTGCCTGTAGTCCCAGCTACTTAGGAGACTGAGGCAGGAGAATCACTTGAACCCGGGAAGTGGAGGTTGCAGTGATCCAAGATCCTGCCACTGCACTCCAGCCTGGGCGACAGAGCAAGACTCTGTCTAAAACAAAAAAACAAACAAACAAAAAAAAAGTGATCTTATAAAAGGCTTGTTTACAGCGACATCCACATTTTTGGAACCATGAAATCATACCCTCAGGGATAACTACCAAAGCTGTGCTGTTTCTTTGCACTCTCACCTTTCCTTTAGAAAAGAAACAATTTTGTCAGCGGAATTCTATGTCTTCAAAATTAGCCTTAACTGTGGTTGTTTTAGGCTGTACTTTCCCCAGTGTTTTTGTTTTACTTAAAACTCAGTTGGAAAAACATACTGTAGTATTACAGACATAAAAGTTCTCAGATATAATGGAATCTCTTTATTGAGAATTATTTTTGGCTAAATGTAAGGATGTTTGCCTTATATTTGAGTACTATTAAGTTCTCATGTATAATGAGATCTCCCCTTATTGAGAGGTATTTTTGGCTGAATATAAGGCTATTTGCCTAAATTTGGGTACTTTTTAGTATGTAATCAATTTATAATTCATATAGATGAAGAGCTAAACAGTTAACTTTAATTCAGCATATGTATTTACTAGACTTACTATATCCAGTAGATGCATTTAACAAACTTAATACATCAAACTTGATAATTGTGATTAAACTGACAACCAGGTATTTGTACATTTCCATTTCTGTTTTAAAAATATTGCCATGTTTGTTTGTTTTTTTTTTTCTTTTTTTTTTTTCTGAGGCAGGGTCTTACTTTACCCAGGCTAGAGGCAGTGTTGCAATCACAGTTCACTGTAGCCTCAACCTCCTGGGCTCAAGGGATCCTCCTACCTCAGCCCCCCCAAGTAGGTGGGACTACAGGCGCTTGTCACCATGCCTGGCTAATTTTTAATTTTTTTTGTAGAGATGGAGTCTCACTATGTTGTCCAGGCTGATCTCGAAGACAGCCTCAAGCAGTCTTCCTGCCTTGGCTCCCAAAGTGCTGGGACTACCGGCGGGAGCCACTACCCCCAGCCTATATTGCCATGTTTTAAAATTATCTAATTAAAATACCTATGATACGAAATAATATAGTTTGGACTTTTGGAGGGACATTGTCGTGTTCATAGATAATGAAAGGATCCTGGCTTTAAGGAAAATTAGGTTTTTGTTTTGCTGTTTTGAGTCAGGGTTTTACTCCTGTCACCCAGGCTGGAGTGCGGTGGCATGGTTTTGACTTACCGCAACCTCCGCCTTCCAGGCTCAAATGATTTTTCTGCCTCAGCCTCCCACAGGTGCATGGGAGGTCCATAGCTGAGACCACAGGTGTGTGCCACTACACCTGGCTAATTTTTTTGTAGTTTTTGTTTTTGAGACGGAGTGTTGCTCTGTCACCCAGGCTGTAGTGCAGTGGTGCGGTCTCGGCTCACTGCAGTTCTGCCTCCTGGGTTCACACCATTCTCCTGCCTCAGCCTCCCCAGTAACTGGGACTACAGGTGCCCACCACCATGCCCGGCTAATTTTTTTGTATTTTTAATAGAGACGGGGTTCACCGTGTTAGCCAGGATGGTCTCGATCTCCTGACCTCGTGATCCGCCTGCCCAGGCCTCCCAAAGTGCTGGGATTACAGGTGCGAGCCACTGTGCCAGACCTGTATTTTTTTTATAGAGACAGGGTTTCGCCATGTTGCCCAGGCTGGTCTTGCTCAAGTGTTCCACCTGCCTCAGCCTCCCAGAGTGCTGGGATTTTTTGTTTGTTTGTTTTTTCATAGAAATGCCTTAAAAGTAGTTTGACAGATATGGAATGTTGTTTTGTTTGTGTTTCAGATTGATATTTTGTTTGCAAGATTAGCACTGCAGACAATTCCTGAAGATTTGGATCTACGAGATGACAGTCTGCTAAAAAATTTAGATATAAGATGTATAAGAAGTCTTAACGGTATGAGAAAGCCTACTTCCTTTTGTGTACTTCAGTTTTTGTCAGATATTAGTTGTTTTTACACAAGTTTTGTATTGAAGCTTTTTATAGCTATATTGTTAACACAGTAGTGAGTTAAATAAAATGAACTTTGCCTAATAAACTACAGAAGAGTATGTAGTAGTTTATTTCACTCTACAGTATTTTATACACTGTATTTCTTCTGTCATTAATGGTATACTCAGGACACTTAAAAAGACCATCTGACTTTTGTACTCTGTTGCTAGTGATTTAGGTTTCATGGCCTAACCCAAATTAATTTTGATCCTGTTATTCTTTAGTAATGCTTTCAGCATTGCTGAGATCAGAAGGACTACTTTGGTACAATTTTATATTAGCATAGCTTGTTACTGTGCTCTTGAAGAGCAGTTCTTGGAAACTTTAGTGGATTAAGTCTTCCGCAGTATATGTGGGAAGTTTTAATTGTGAATCTGAAGTTCAAATTGGGGCAGGTTACAGTTTACTTTGGTTTCTTTGGTCAGTGCTTACAATAGGAGATAAATGCTTTAGATTTTTTCCCCCTCTTTATTGAATTAGCTTTACTGGTTCTACCAAATAAAAATTTATGTTTACTTTTAACTTCAATCTCAGAAAATTTGGAAGCATTACCATTAAACTTTTGATGATTTAATGTTGTTTTTTTTTGTTTTGTTTTGTTTTGTGTGTGTGTGTGTGTGTGTGTTTTTTTTTACCCCTATTAATTAGGTTGCAGGGTAACCGATGAAATTTTACATCTAGTACCAAACATTGACAACTTCAGGTTAACTCTGAGAGCTATCAAACTATGGGCCAAACGTGAGTTCAGAATTTGTTGGCTAGCTTATTAAAAATGTTCAAACTTTTGTTCAACACTAACTTATCTTTTTGCTTTTCCCTTATCAACAGGCCACAACATCTATTCCAATATATTAGGTTTCCTCGGTGGTGTTTCCTGGGCTATGCTAGTAGCAAGAACTTGCCAGCTTTATCCAAATGCAATAGCATCAACTCTTGTACATAAATTTTTCTTGGTATTTTCTAAATGGTATGTGTTTAGATTATATTAAAATAAAATTGATTGTAGACACTGAAGTTTAGTCTTATTTCTATGACATTTCTCAGCTTGGTTTCAGATTCAAATTTTAGTTCATGATGTAGTCATGTAGGCAGCCTTGGAGATCACATTGTGTATAAAATGGCAAACTGAAACTATTTTTTTTCCCTAGTTTGGCCAGGATAGTAAGGCAGATTCTATTTGTACTTCCTTGCATAAACTTACCCTCTGAATAAACTCTGAATTTTAGCAGCTAAGATCCAATTTATTGATAGGTTGGGAAATCAGTTACTATACTTTTGGATAAAACTTGTACACACTACCTCTTTCACTCTTTTAATTCTCTATCTATAGGCCATTAGTTTCTTGTGATTGTTTTTTTTTTCTTTTTGCTTTCAGCATTTATTTGGCCTAATATTAAAGATACGAATTTTCATAAGAAGCTTTTAAAGAATAAATTAACATTAAGTGCTTCGGGACAAAAAAGGAATTTGAGATTAGTCATTAACCCAGATTTTTTTAAGTTTCTTCGTTTCATTTCCACATATGTCAACTATGATTTAAGAAAAAGTAGAATAAAAGATTACTGCCATTTTATATTAATTGCCTTGGCCCAAAAGGTGAGGGTTCTTGGTTTTTAATCAAATTAAGATAAATCGTCCATTCCTGTTCTTATGAACTCCTGCTCCTCCCTCTGCAAAAGAGATGTTCTTTTCTAGTAATTTTATAAAAATTAGTTATTTGAGACAATTTAGAGCTGTGTTCAACTGGAGGAAAAATAAAAAAAATTTAGAACCATGCCACACTTTTCAGTACACATTCTGGCTGTTTTGGGATTTAGTAGCACTTATAATCAGGTGTGATAAGATTAAAGAATGTCAGAATTTCTTTTTTTTTTTTTTTTTTTTTTGTTTGAGACGGAGTCTCACTCTGTCACCCAGGCTGGAGTGCAGTGGCACGATCTTGGCTCACTGCAAGCTCTGCCTCCTGGATTCATGCTATTCTCCTGCCTTAGTCTCCTGAGTAGCTGGGACTACAAGCGCCTGCCACCACGCCTGGCTAATTTTTGTATTTTTAGTAGAGACGAGGTTTCACTGTGTTAGCCAGGATGGTCTCGATCTCCTGACCTCATAATCCGCCCGCCTCGGCCTCCCATAGTGCTGGGATTACAGGCGTGAGCCACCGCGTCCGGCTGTCAGAATTTCTTTTAATGCTACACATATATAAGCAAATAATGTTTTTAAGAAGCTAACCTTGATGTTAAGAGTGGCAGGTGTTCTCCAGTTTTTACCTCTTTCATATGGGACCAAAGTAGCTAGTTTATGGAACACATATGAAAATGTGGTTATGCCACCAAGTTTTACTACTACACTTGTCTTACCACTTTTAAGTCATGAATTCTATAATTATTCATACCCCTTTGCCTGTGATCAGAAGTAACTTTTAAAATTATCACTTGACTTTGGATGGAACTAGTATAAAGGCAGGAATTTTGTCTTTCAGTGGAGATTTATTCTGTTCAAGGTTGAAGTGGACACATCATTATCTTGGGATGGTACTTCTTTATTTAAATAGTCCTTTAAAGTTCTTTGAGTGGCAGAGAACGTTTTTGGTTTCAGTCTGAGAAGGCTACCAAATGGTTTAAGTTCATTTCATAGTTAGGAGAAAAAGATTTTGAGTAGTCTAATGTCGTCAGAAAGGATTAAAACGTTGTATGTACCAAGAAGGCAGAATGAAGAAGGATCACGTTCACAAATGCTGTATGTTTAACAAAATACGTTTAGATGGTAATATCCAATAGTCTTATCAAGTGCTACAATCTTTTTAAACAGGGAATGGCCAAATCCAGTGCTATTGAAACAGCCTGAAGAATGCAATCTTAATTTGCCTGTATGGGACCCAAGGGTTAGTGTATTATTTTTTCCCCTACCAATTCACACTGTGCAATAACAAGTAAAAATCATCTGCATAAACTCCAGGGAGACTTCCAGCCTTTTACTTATGAATGGTCATGTCCGTATTACACTTTCTTTTAGATAACCTCAACTATAATTGTCCTCAACTATAATTGATGTGAGAAGCATAATTATGTACCCTGTAAACCACATTTAATTGTACATAGTTTTTAATACAGATTTTACTAACATTTTAATTTATTCTATATAGAACTACCTTGTAAGTCAAAGTTGTGTGGGCATTTGTGCTTTAAAAAAAATAAAAGGATACTAAAAATCCCTGTATTTTTTATTTTATCTAAGTATTATGCTAAAGTTGGGTTGTTATAGGAAAGCTGTTACTTAATGTTTACATGTGGCATATAACTTCTAAGCATTTTCACTTTAATTACCATGATGTAATTGTAAAAAAAATTGGTTTAGATATTTTAGAGATTATAAAAACATGGTTGGGCTAAAGAAGACCTTCCATTCTGTTTCTTGGGAAGTTACAACATTTACCGCTTACTCATTTTAAATGTTAACAACATGCACTTTATAAACTGATAAAAGAAATTTAGGTTTGAATAAGATTTCCTAAGTTTATGAAATCCTTTTTTTCTAAATTATTACAATATCAAAAATTTTAAATTCTGTTGAATTACATCAAGCTATGCATTTTCAGGTTTTCCGAACCTCAAGGCATTTACTTTTAGAGGATGTGAATTTACAACTTACTTTGTGGAAATGTGCCACTTACTGATATACAGATTTAAAATTAACAGTATATCATTTCATTATCTCCTAACATATCAACATGGATAATGTAGTTTCACCGCGTGTTAATAAGCTTGAACTCCTTAATAGTTTCAGGGTATATTAAGAACTTAAGTTTCTATCTTGTTGAAAATTAGCTTACAAAACATTGTAGCATGACATGTCTCTAAAGGTAATTGTATGTGCATCCCCATTTCTGTTGTTGAATAAAGAAAAACTAAACATCAATAGATTCCCAAGCAGAACTTTTTTGTTGTTGTTCAGCAGGCACACTTTCTAGTAAGGTTGCCAAAATCCAAATTGAAGCAGATCATTAGTTTAGATGAAATCTTTGATTCTATAAAAAATTCCTATAAAAACAATGTCTCTCTACATGGTTTTTCTTTCTCAACTCCAGCTATGAATGAAATAAAAAATAGAATCATTGGTTCAGTTTAACAAGGGGTAAAAAGCCCAAGTATCTGTTGCATATGTACTTGAAGAAACTGATTGGCTGTTGTTGTATGTAGGTAAACCCCAGTGATAGGTACCATCTTATGCCTATAATTACACCAGCATACCCACAACAGAACTCCACGTACAATGTGTCCGTTTCAACACGGATGGTCATGGTTGAGGAGTTTAAACAAGGTAAGTGTTTATCCTTATGCTCTGATTTATACAGGAAGGATTTACGTACCATTGTAGACCCAGTAGTCAGCTGTGCAACTTAAATTGAAGAAGGATTCACTGAAGTGGATTTTGGTGTTCATTTATTTATTACAGTATATATTTGAGAACTGACTTCAAAAAATTAATTCCTTTTAGGCAATTTGTTTTTTATAACAAGTTGGAAGATTAACCAACAGTTAAAACCAGTAAGCTGGTTTAGTTGCATACTATTGCCTTGTAAAATTATAAATGATAACAGTTTGTCTACACTGGTTGAAATGAGAGATGTTTAGCAGGCTGTATACTCCTGGGAAAGAACTTTGAGCAGGAATGGGGCCAAACCACCCAATTACATTCCATTATTTTGGAGGAACCTTTTAACTTTTGAACCCTAGTTGTACTGTTAATTTGAAGGTATAGCTACTACCAAATAGTCTTTGAGAGAAATAACTGGAACAGATTGGTTTGACTGAAAACAGTAAAGGAAATAGAATCAGTTGTCTGACTACTAGCTTTAAATTTAGACGTTTAAAATTCCTGAATATTTTACACTTTAGTTTCATCTTTAGTCTAAAGAGGCCCATCAAGGGAAGATGCCTCTATCCCTTTAGAAACAACAGGGAAACTTGGTTTTAGAAAGGCAAGAAACAAAGTATATTGGAAAGTTTTCCTTCTCGGGTAACTGGAGTGTTTAAGAAAGAAGGTCATTCTATGAGCATGGCATTTTAGAATAATTGTACTTTACCAGAAACCTGGTTCTCAAAAAATCTTCCAGCTTTTTAAAAAAAAAATGTGTATATATATAAGAGTATGCTCTAAAATCATAAGCTAAAACTATATATGTTAAAATTCTGGTTTTAGGATTATAGTGAGTGCATGTAGTATGATTAAGATTATTTAAAATTCTAGATTGTAGACTGAAGTATGCAAACATTTTAATATGTTTTTAATTTAGGTCTTGCTATCACAGATGAAATTTTGCTGAGTAAGGCAGAGTGGTCCAAACTTTTTGAAGCTCCAAACTTCTTTCAAAAGTACAAGTATGTATTTTAAGGCATGTCGGACATGTTGCTCTCTTAAGTAATGGTTTAATGGTAGCACATTATGACATTTCTTCTTGCTGGACTAATGTTATTGGAAGAATTTTCTTTCCTGTCACAAGGACATACTGTTTTAGTGAACTCCTTAGTTTTTTTTGGTTGAGGTAATGAATGTGAAGCCCCTTTGATTTTTCTGCCCGATCTAACTGAACTCCTGCTACATTTGTAGCAACATAAGTTCTGTAGGCATACATCAGTCATGACAAAAACAGTACATCTGTATACAGTGGCAAGTGGATGCACCCTGAAAAATCTGTAGTTAATAATTCTCTGCTAAGAAACAGTATTTTTATCTAATTCTGGAAACTCATTAATTGCTAGGAATCTTTAAAACAAAGACAAAGCTAATAAAATGTCAATATATAGCCAATTAAATGTTTTCAATAGTTACAGCACATTATTGGCCTGCCATTTTCCCCCAATGTTATAGCCCCTTCAAATATTTCTACAGCTAGCTTTCATGAATCTAAGTGGGTGTTAATCATTTTAATTAATGGTTTAAATATAATGGTTTAATACCTTAGTACAGGTTAAAAGCTTCATTAATTGTGTTAGTTTTGATGAAAAATGTAAGTTATAATCTTATTTAAAAAACAGACAAACCACAGACTTGCACTTTTATTTGCCCTGGGCTGAAAATGTGCCAAAGTCCCACTTAAAATTTTTTTTTTAATGCTTGAAGCTTTTCTGACCATTTGATCTTGTGTTGGATTGTGTTTTGTAATAATCTAAGCAAGATTGCTTTATGCTCTTCCCCAATTAAAAACAAGAATGATGACCTTCATGATGTCTCTGTGTTTTGTTTCTGTATCTTTTGCATGAGAAAGCAATAACGGAGCCAGTAATTGTGTTCTCGAAGCACTACGTTGTCAGTAAAAATTAAAATAGCATAATCATTAAATACTCTTATTTTACTACGAATCCCCCCATAAATTGTGATTTCTGTTTGACAGATAATTTTTCTTTGTTTTTATTTTAACCAGTGTAGAGGAAGTACCTTGGAACATTTAAACTAATAAACATGTATGTAGATACTTTTAAAACTATGATATAAAAGAGACACAGTTACATGTAAGGAGAAGAATAAAGGAATTGGTTTTACAGGAAAGTGCTAGTACCCCTTAATTCCTGGAATCAATGATGAAACTAGATTCAAACTTTGTTCTATTCACTTTCGTATAGGACTGTGACGGGGCTTCTTTCACTTTAAGAAAGATTAATGTTTACACTGAACAAACCTTAATAATGTCATTTTATTTGAACAAATTCACATCATTAGAACTTTGGTGCTTTTTCTAAAGCTTGCTTAATGTTTCTTTTAAAAGTTTTAAACTATGCTTCAGTCCTTGCTGGATAGTACCTGTAAGTTCTTTGACTGGTTAAAAGATATATTACTAATCTTCACTGAAGTTTTTGTGAAATAATCAAATTTTTTTAGGTTGTAAAAAAAGCAGCAACAAATAGAGGAAATTACATCAGGAAAATTTGCATTTCAGCTGAGTGTCTTGTGAAAACTTTTAAAATATGACAATGGGCTAGTTTTATCCATACCAAATTCTATTTATATTTTTAATTGTTCTCCAGAAATTTGCCTCTTTAAGATAAAGTGATGACTATCATTAGGCTTTTGGAGGTGTTCACAGATTTGAATTTTTAAAGACATCCTCATATAAAATACTCCAAAGATTGACTGTACAACCAAATGGAAATGTTTAGTCTTCCCATGAGTCACAAGTTGATTCAATCTTATTTGAGGCATATCATGAAATACTGTCAGTTGATATGTGTAGGATTTTAAATCATGTGAAATATACCTGACATTCTTGGAAGGAGCCAGAACCATGGAGAAAAATCTCGTTTGTTTTAAAATGCAAACTAATCATCTTCCAGAAAGACTTATCAGTGTTCCTCAAGAAAAAGGGGTAACATTGTTTTGTGAAATTTTTGGAGTTCTAAGAAAACAGTTTTTTAAATGCCGCTTCTGAGATAATTCAAGTTAACATGTAACTAGCAGTAAATCATTAACATTAGGAAATGTGAATACTTACTTCAGTTGTTAGATTTCACTAGGAATAAAGGAAAAGTATTAGGAAAACCAATGTATTCTCTAAGGTGCAAGATGATTTTATAATTTCATGTGTGTATACAGTAACCTTAAATTTGTTAAAAAAGTTAAAAACAGGAAACTAAATCTTGGTCTTGAATTACGTAAACATAGAATTGCAAACATTTTTGACTAAGATATGCCAGCTTTTTATTGTACATCTGAGTTATGATCTTCCCAGGTGAGATGAAATGGTCTTCAAGAGATTCACTTAGAGAATTTGTTTTGCAAATAGCAGTTAGGTAATAAAGTAACTAAATTAAGTGTTTTTAGGGCACTTTGCATAAATTCTAATTATTTTGGGATACATTTTTATAGTTAAATTTATTTTTAACTATGTTTTTAACTATTTTTATTGGAAACTATATATTTTTAAATTTGGGGAAAAGGTAATGGCAATTGCATCAAGACTTCAAAGTCTCGCATGGAGGCACTTGCGCATCATAAACATGACAGTTTTAAACATGGCACTTGTAAAATAGGGGACCATGATTTTTCGTACATCAACAAAATGTCTAATTTAGATGTACACTAGGTTTCTGTGGTCTGATTGGGACCTTAAGAATTGAGTACCAATCCTGGTTTTAAAAATTAAAAATAGAGATATTTAGAGAATGCAGTTGGAATTTTGTTTTGTAAATGAATTCCTAATGACTCAAAATATTTGCGGGTTTTTTTTTATTAAACTTAACTATTGCATTTTATATCTCAACTCAAATTTGTTTAAATGTGGCTGAGTAAAGGACATTTAACCTCAGCATAAATACTTGTTAGAATTACTTAATATTTCTACCTATATGTGAATGTGTGCATTTGTGTGTAAGATATATACAGAGTAGGTACTCTTTCCCTTTTGGATTTCAGTAAGAAGTTATGTTGAACTCTAGGATTCAAAACTTTGAATTGCCAGCAAAACCGTGTCCAAATGGATTGTATGTTTTCCCTTTATAAATAAAGAACATTGTATATCATTTAAGGTTTTGTTGAAGACTAAGGTGGTTATTAAGAATTTCCATTTTAATAATGTGTTGTAAGAGTGATTTAGAGACTGCGGGAGTTTTGTCCCTGCCCTTAGATGGACCCAGACAGCTTTGTGTTTTTGTGTACATGCCTGATTTCTATACTTCATTGTCTCCTGTTACAAGTCACTGTACTTTCGTGAGAGAGCTCTTTCTGCATGTTCTTTACCTTTTTTTTTTTTTTTAACCAGTTAGCCATTTTTAATGTTTTAGGGACCTAGAAATCAGGTTACTGAGCTTGTTAGGATTTTGTTTGATTTAAGAGCATTTGGAACTCCGAGTATGGGTTTTTCTACACATAAAATACATGATTTTTTAATGCTTTTATATGACTTTTGTTGATTTATTTGGGCCATCTGTGCTTGCTCATGTATTTGACATATTCCAAATAATGCTGAGCAAATTAAACTGGTAAAGGAAGTATTGGTTTGTAGGAGTTTGGACTGCATATTCACATATCCCTATATACCTTGTTTTTTATATATCTATCTCTGTTACCTTGAGTTTATAGACTTCAAGTTAACTCCATTGAACTTTACAATACCTCTGCCAGTAAAATGTGTACTATTATCCCATTTTACAGATGATGTACACAAGACTTAGAATTGCCTAGGATTACATAGCTGTGAAGAATTAAAACCATTTTTCTTTTTTTTGTTTTGAGACGGAGTCTCGCTCTGTTGCCCAGGCTGGAATGCAGTGGTGCGATGATCTCGGCTCACTGCAAGCTCCGCCTCCTGGGTTCATGCCATTCTCCTGCCTCAGCCTCCTGAATAGCTGGGACTATAGGTGCTCACCACCATGCCCGGCTAATTTTTTGTATTTTTAGTAGAGACGGAGTTTCACTGTGTTAGCCAGGATGGTCTCATCTCCTGACCTTGTGATCCGCCCGCCTCGGCCTCACAGAGTGCTGGGATTACAGGCGTGAGCCACCACACCCGGCTGAAACCATGTTTCAAATACATTTTTTTAAAATAAGTTTGGTAGTTTTTCTCTGGGTCTAGGTCAGATTTTTGCTCTTGGTTAGAAACTATACTTATAAAATGTGTTAGAAAGTATTAGGAAGGTTTTAGACTTTTCAAAGAGTAAAATAATTTTAAAATTGTGGTTATACTGCTACTTTTGAAACTAGTGTCAGTACTAGATGATGTCAGTTTGCTTTTTGGGGTAGAGATTCTGGTGTGAAATTTGGCCCCCAGCACTTCTAAAATGGGTACTGTAGAAGAGTATATTGGATTGAACTTTTTTAGTCGTAGGAAACTGAATCATTGTAGTTACATTTTAGTTGTAAATAGTTTGTTTTAAAAAGACTTCATTATTTATTTGATCATGATGCTATTTTCTGAAGTGAAAACTTGGCTTTTGTCTAATATGAATGGGATTGAGTTTTGGATAAAAATCAGATTTCTTTGTTGCTGTCATGTTAGTGATTTTTTTTTTCTTTTTTGATTATAGAAATGTATACTCTTAAAATTGGGAAAAAAATCACAGGGCCTAACTGCAGTATTCAGTTTAATTTTCACTACTATTTCATTTGAATTTAAAAGCATGATGTGTTTGATACTGTTTTTGAAGTTACTGTTGTAGTATGTGTATTTAGTGATAAGTTTTTGTGTCTAAAGCAATGGTGTTTTGATTCTATTGAAACATTTTTGTTATAAGTAGATTATATTTTAGTGAACAGCTCTTTAATTTTATAGGCAGAGCACTCAATCGGTGTCATTGAGCAAAATTATTAATGCTTATTTATGCTTCTTGAATTAAGCTGCTTTTTGGTAATTATTCATAAAGTCACTGCCTTTTTCAGAAGAATTAAACTCACTAGTAGTTAGAAACATGGAATTTAGCATATATGATTTTATGTGCATATTGAGATTGTAGTCCCCCTTGCTAAATTGATGTGGATCTATAACTGTAAGGAAGCTTATTACTTTATGGTTTAATATCCAGCACAAAGCGTGTAAATAAAATAAATAGCATGTTGTCTTTATCTTCAAAGGCATTATATTGTACTTCTAGCAAGTGCACCAACAGAAAAACAACGCCTGGAATGGTGAGTATAAGAATAGACTTTACAGAAAAAGCAAACTTCAAAATGAATCACATAGCCACTGAACACAGTAGGAGATGGGAGGAAGTCCTTAAAACTTCTAGTTTGGTTTGATTTGTTCACAAATGGAGCTTTACTGTGTGTAGTGGAAGTACAGAAATCAGGAGATCCATATGCAACTTATTTTTTTGTTTGCTTTATGGAGATCCGTGCATAATTTCTTAATTGTATATTTAAAGTGCACTTATAGCTTGTTTTTCTTAAAATTTTTGTGTGGATAACTTTTGTAACCTTGCTGGTGTGAATGGAGTGTTTCTTGGCTCTTTTTTCCCCGTTGTTTGGCAATTTTGGGTAGAACATAAGGCTTCTGGTTTTATCTGTGGGAGTTCAGCTAGTTGAAATGCCCTGGTATGTGCATTTTATTTATTTATTTTTAAGTTAACCAAAACTTTTTGTTAATACTAAGTGACATTTGTTCAGGGTGGGCTTGGTGGAATCAAAAATCCGAATCCTGGTTGGAAGCTTGGAGAAGAATGAATTTATTACACTGGCTCATGTGAATCCCCAGTCATTTCCAGCACCCAAAGAAAATCCCGACAAGTAAGCCCTTTTCTAATTTAATTTCTTCTTCCCATTTCCAATTTTTATTCATAGAAGCTTTTACAGGCATTTTTTATAACTAGTATAACTATTCTGTTGACTACATATGGCTTATAGACAATTTAGAACTTATAATTTAGTTTTTCCTGATCAGAAACATTGAAGAGAAAGACTGTTTCGTGAGAAAAATCAGCACACATTTTTTTTCTGATAATATTCTTCCAATGATGAGGTGCCTGTTAGCTAGAGTTTACATTCTACAGTTCTGCTTTAATACTGTCTTTACCATTCCTTCTTAATATTTTTTCTTCTCCTGTTTTGTACAATAGTTGTCAGAATAGCTGGTATACCATACATCAGTCTTTGCTTTTTATCTTAATTTTTTGTTATGAACTTATAAAAATCTGATTTATGCGTGATTCTGGACTGTTGAGAAGATAACATAAGAAAAAGCAGAGTCAGTTTACCTTTTTAGGGGTCTTTTATTTATGTAGGTTAGTTGTTGATTTGATTGTTTGCTGTTCGTATGAGACTAGACTCTATACTTTGTTGCATTGGAGAATTGGAGAGTACTAGTAATGAGCTTATTTTAAAAAATAAAGCAGCATTAAAACAAGTGAAAGGATCATTAAATTTGTGTTATACAGTATTCTTATTGATTATATAGATTTTTTTATTTTGTAATTATATAAGAGTTTTTTTACATTTTGTGGTAATTCTAATCTTAATTATAACAAGACCGTTTGATGTTCCATTCAGTAGATAAACTGTTAAATGTTCAAAAGTAGCTAAATCACTAATTACTCCTGTTATGCTTCTGTTCATGTGGCCTTTTAAATTGAATTTTTGAAGTTTAAGAAATATCTATTAAGTTCTAGTTAAATTTCTGTATTTAGAAAAATCCTTTTTTTCCCAGATTTTTCTAAAAAGATTATTCTTTTTCCTTCATTAGTTTAAAGATAATTTTTCTTTGATTTCAGTGGCTTTGGTTCTTTAGAATCATCATTAAGGACATTGACTATCAATGCACAGTTAGTAAGAGTATATTTCTCCTGGATCTCTGTTTATGTTGTAGTAGGAATATAGAGGACAGGTGTGGGTGAGGACTTTGCGTTTTCATGGAGCTTGGGCTTAGAACTTTTAGTTTGCTCATACATTTGTATTGTAAGTTTTTCCATGTCTCTGATTGTCAGCCACACTGATAGCTACATTTTCATGAAATCCAGATAAACTATGGTAATGCTCTTCTTTGCAGGGAAGAATTTCGCACGATGTGGGTGATTGGGTTAGTGTTTAAAAAAACAGAAAACTCTGAAAACCTCAGTGTTGATCTCACCTATGATATTCAGTCTTTCACAGATACAGGTATGTCTTTACTTGGATAATCAAAACACTTCAGTTCTTGCATATTTCAAATTGTCTTGATGCATACCATAGTGATATTTACAATAATTGTTGAAATTACTTGCGAATATTGAACTATCATCAGAATAATGGTTTTGTATTAGTCTAATACAGATTGAGTATTCCTTATCCACAATGCTTGGGACCAGAAGTGTTTAGGATTTTTTCAGATTTTGGAATATTTACATTACACTTACCAGTTGAGCATCCCTAGTCTGAAAATATGAAATTTGAAATACTTCAGTGAGCATTTCCTTTAAGTATCATGTTGGCACTCACAAATTTTTGCATTTTGTAGCAGTTTCAGTGTCAGATTTTTGGATTAGGGATACTCAACCTGTGTATACACGATTTTTCTCTATTGTGGTGACCTTAAAGTTAAGTAGAACCATTCCAAACTTGACTTGCGCATAATTTCTTGAGAAATGGGAAACAACTTGAATATATGGTTGTCTAGACTGAATCTGTGTCTAACTGCCTTCATCATCTTGAACCTGAGAAATTGATGAAGCAGAACTTGTGATGACCTGGAGAAATTTTCCGACTATGGGGATTCAAATGTTAATGCATAGGTGGGAAATAGGCTGATTATATGTAGATTTCAGATTGACCTGTACCCTAAGATGAAAGGTAGTTCATTTTAACCAAAGACCAAATGGTGGATGTAGTTGAGAGAATGAGTCTATATGTAGCTGCACAACTTTTAATGGGAATGGCAAATACTACGCATAGGGACAACCGCATTTCTTCTTTAAGGACTAATCCTTTTCTCTCGCAGATACTGTCCTTCTCTCCCCATTTAAAACAAATGTAGTAAGTGGCATTTTTATTCCCTTTGAGGAGTTTTCACTTGAGAACATACAGACTTAAAATTAAGAAATGTTTTACCTAATTACAGGAGAGAAAAAAGTTAGTGCCAGTTTGTTAAAAAGTCAGTATCGTACACTAACTGTGATATAAAGGAGAAATAAAAGGAAAAGGATATGTATTTCAATATGTCAGTGCTCAGATACAGTGACACTAGAAGATAACTTAAGAGTCAAGTGATTGCACTTTATGTAGAATCGCGAGCAGTGTGACATCTATAAATTCTGACTGATACAAGTGTTGTCTGTAGGGATTCAGCTATCACCAGCAGCGTTAGCATTGGTGACCTGGTAAAAGTGAAAGTTGCAAATAAAAAGTGATCTGATTTTGATATGCTTGGTGGTAGTTGTATTCCTGGAAATTTCAAATTAAAATACTCTATTTTTTGTTTGTTTTTTCTCGTTTTTTATTTTAAATACTCCATTTTTTAAATTTAAAATTGAAGTGAATTCTTGTTTAAATAATTGCCAAGTAGGTTTTTTTGTCTTTAGGAATGTAGGAAGGACATGGTATAATTCTGTGTTGGGTAGAACTGTCCACATTGAAAGATATATAGTGTTTCTAGGCATAATACCTTTTAATCAATACAATAACAAAAATACCTCTGCAGATTTTTAGAATGTCGTATGTAGGGTGATACTCCACCTGCTGAACACCACAGAAGTATTTTTTCCTGAAGTAAAAATTCTGATGTTAACTCATTTATGAACTAATAAGTCACGGATACTTACCTGGATTAGAAATTTGTTCTGTACATTGCATTCAAGTTAAGATGTTTATCAAAGATTGCACTAATGAACCATCAAGATTTTCAAGGATGTTTTAGGTATTTTGGGAAGGAAATATTTAGTTGTCCTGTATATTGAAACACTTTAATCCAATACTTTATGGGATTTTTAAAGAAAATAGGTTTCACATATTCAGCACACAAATGTTCACTCCCAACCCCTACCAGTTTCTTTTCAAGTTATTTTGGTTGTTCAACCTAGAGACATTGGAATCAGTCTTTGACTCCTGTTTTTTCCATATTTGATGTTAATCCACTATAAAATCTTTTTGCCTCTTCTTTCAGAATACATTGAGGTTTCTGCTACTTAGTACTGTTCCCACTGCTTTCACCCTAAGTCCTAGCCACTATAGTGCTGTTGGATCACTGTCATTGCCAAAACTTTCTCTTTTGCCCTTGCCCCCTTCAGCTGTTCTTACCTAGTGTCCAGATGATATTTTTAAGCCAGATCATATCTTGCCTCCTTAAAACCTTTGAGTATTTGTCTCACTCAAAATAAAAGTCCAAGTCTTTACTGTGGTTTGCAAGCCTCTGCCTGATCTGCCTTTTTCATTATGTCTGTGACCTTACCTCCTGTTATAAGTTCACAGTCCTTTATCTGTAAGTTTTGGAGCCAGAAGGGTAATAAAGTTAGTAAGTAATATACCCAGTGAGGCCTGGAGCAGCATTTGGTACTGAAAGACAGTATCATTTCTGCAGGGAACCATTGGTACTCACATGGAGCAAAAGGTAAAGACCATATAGCCATAGCCACAAATAGTTCAGAACAGGGTTTGTTACTAGATGAATTTTGTTTCCTATCTTAGAAAAACTTGTGTGTTGAGAGTTTTTGGGATTTTGGAGTTGCACATAAGGGATTATGGATTTCTACTTTTCATCTTCTTCATTGGCATTTTTCTTGTTTCTCAAATGTTCCAGGCATTTTCTGCTGCTTAGGGCATTTTGTTCTTGATGTTTGCTTTCTCTGGAATGCTATTTCACCAGGTACTCTCAGCTTACATCCTCATGTTCATTTAAATCTTCAGTCAGATGTCAACTCAGTTTCCAGGCTGAGCTTCCTATCCTACTCCCTACGTGGTTTTTCTCAGTAATACTTATCATCATCTGACACGGACTATAGTTTATGTTTTATTTTTTTGTGTTTATTCTATTCTCCCTACTGTAATGTAGACCCTTTGAGGCTACGTTGGTCTTTGTTCACTGCTTATCTCCAGTGTCTAGGACAATATGAATCAAGTATAGGTGTTTCATAAATATGTTTTGTATGACCGACTTTTTTACTTTTTGGGGCCCTCTGGATCTAAATAATTTGAATTTATTTAATTGTAGCATTTTCTTTTTGTACCTGTGACCTCTGTTATTTAAATTATTACTATATTAGAAAGTATGTCATTAGTTAGTTTTATCTTGCAGATTCTTGTAAAGATACCTTTAGGTATAGTTTAATAAGTTTGACTTATTTTACAGCATGTGTTACATACTTGGGTAAAGTTTTAAAGAATAGTACTGGTAGCATAAAAGGGTATGGGTGTAAGAAACCCTTTTCCCCTCATTTCTGCCATTTCTTAAAGAGTTACTCTTTAGAGTTACTACTTTAAGAGCTATTTAAAGGGTTACTACACTGGAAGAATTAATACATTTTGTGCTTTTATTCAGCTCATCTTGTGGTAAAAGGAGTTTGCTCAGGCAATGAATTATGTCAGATTAGGAATAGGTCTTGACCGATCTACAGATATGCAGTATTGATGGAAAAAGGATCCCTACTTAGAATAGTTTCTCTGGAGTGAGTATAACTGCCTTTATTAAAATGTTTCTATTTCTTGTAACAATTTCCTAATTGTATAGTTTATAGGCAAGCAATAAACAGCAAGATGTTTGAGGTGGATATGAAAATTGCTGCAATGCATGTAAAAAGAAAGCAACTCCATCAACTACTACCTAATCATGTGCTTCAGAAAAAGAAAAAGGTAAATTTAGAAAGTACTTACAAAAGCATTACTAACATAATGTTTTATGCATCTGGACTATCATTATTTCAGAATTTAGGCTCAGTTAATAAGTCATTTTAAATAGATGACAGCTTTTTAAAAATCTGTTTCATGGAGCAGTTTCATTATGTGAAATCTGACTCTAATCAGTTTTCTTGCACACAGTTGCTTTAGATTTTAGAAGGATTAGTGGTGATGCTTCATATCCTTACTTTGTATATACCCGTATTCTCTTTTAGGACTTTTTATTCTTATTCACTTAAAAATCCCACACCAGTATTTAATTTTCTTTCCTTTAAAAAGTAAACTAAATTAAATTAGTAAGGAAATATGTGGGTCAAGTAAATTATGTGAGACTTTTAAAAAATGAAAGTCGCTTTTTTTGGTGAATGTAAAAAATATAACGTATATTAAAAACTAAAAGTTGCTGAGTGTAAAGGAGGTCATGAACAGAGGTCACTGAGTTAATATTTTGCATTACATTGTTCTAGTGTTAGTGCTTCCTTTTGAATAACTTAGAGCCATTTTTTCCTTATTTGGACTTTAGTGAGCATATTGGAATTTTAGTGGACAGATACAAATTACGTTTTTTCTTTAAGTGATTTCAAAAATAGATGGTTTATTCTTATAATGGAATACTTCACAGTATGCAGCAGTGAAAATAAATGAACTACAACTGCATATACTAATATGTTGAATAAAAAAGGCACATGTATGTATGTATCACTTGATACTTCCATATAAAGTTTACAAGTTTAAAAACCTAAAAAACAATGTATTTAGGAGAGAATATGAAATAAAAGTATATGTTACAGAATGACAACTACTGCATTCAGGAAAATGGCTGGTTGTCTGGGATTGGGGTTGGGAGGAAAGGAATGAAATTAATACACAAAAGACTTTAATTTTATAATATTTTGTTTCTTAAAACAATATATTATGATACAAAAGCATTGAAGTTAATTAAAGGCAAGGACTCTGGAGTGGACTGCCTTGTTCAAATTCAGGCTCTACTGTTTCCTACCTGTGAAATTTGAGCAAGTTACATGGCAAACATCTTATTCTTGATTTGTCTCATCCCTAAAATTGTGGCAATATTTTTACCTATTTTATTAGGTATTTCATGAGGATTAAATGAGCCAATACATAAATACATGTAAATGGTGGTTTAGACTAGCTCCTGGCACATAATAAATGCTCATATTGGCTTTTGTTATCACCATCATTGTTATTCACAACTTGGAGATAGGTAGATAGATGGGGAGGGGTCTAAAATCAGTTTTTAAGGTTTAAACATGATGTTATTCTAATTTTTTTTTTTTTTTTTGAGACGGAGTCTCACTCTGTTGCCCAGGCTGGAGTGCCGTGGCACAATTTCGGCTCACTGCAAGCTCCGCCTCCTGGGTTCACGCCATTCTCCTGCCTCAGCCTCATGAGTAGCTGGGACTACAGGTGCCCACCACCACACCCAGCTAATTTTTTGTATTTTTAGTAGAGACGGGGTTTCACCGTGTTAGCCAGGATGGTCTCGATCTCCTGGCCTCGTGATCCGCCTGCCTCAGCCTTCCAAAGTGCTGGGATTACAGGTGTGAGCCACAGCACCTGGCCAAAAATTTTCTTCTTAACCTAATGGTTTACTAAAAATTTAGTTAACTAAATAAAAATTGACAAAAATGTACCATTCTCAATGTACTATTTATACACAGACTGTTCAGTGCATGTTTCCACATATTTATTGTAAAATTTTCCATCAAGCAGTTTTATTTTAAAATTAAAGTATCTCAGCTAGAGCTTAGCCTCAGGAAAACAAAACTAAAATATCAAGTTAAACACTTGCTTTCTAATTGTCCTTTAGTGTTGTATTATTAATAGGTTAAATCAATTGTACTTAAATGTAAATTTATCACATACAGAAAATATAAACATTTTGGACCCGGGAATGGTGGCTCATGCTTGTAATCCCAGTGACTTGTGAGGCTGCAGTAGGAGGATCCTTTGAGGCTGGGAGTTCAAGACCATCCTGGGCAACACAGCAAGACTCCGTCTCTAAAAAAAAATTTTTTTGAGAATGGTGGCCTGGGCCTTATAGTCCTAGCTACTTGAGAGGCTGAGGTGGGAAGATCATGTGTGCCCAATAGTTCAAGGCTGCAGTGAACTTATGATTATGCCATTGCACTTCAGTCTGAGTGACAGAACGAGACCCTGTCTCTTACAAAATAATAATTTTTTTAAAAAAGTATACAAACGTTTTATGTTTTCAGAAGTGAAAGTAGATTATGTTCTTTAGAACTTGGCTATTTCTTATGAATATTTAATTCATAATCAAATAGCTATTTAATAAACAGCTATTTATAACAGATAATTAGATTTCTCAGAATCATATATTCAGATTACCTTTTTAAACTCTTAGTATTTCCATGACAATATTGATATTTGGAACCATCTTGTGTACATTTTAAGTAAATTTGAATATAAGATGTTTTATTATTTCTTTAAATATAGTCATCTAGAATATAAAGAGAATCATTAATGATTGGAAATTTGTTTTTTGGTCCAAAAATTCTATCAGATGAAGTAACTATAATTTCACAGCAAACCTACTTTTAACATTTTATTTATACACAGACTGTTCAGTGCCTGTTACCACATACATATTTTTAAAAGGTTTTTGATTAAACTTGCTATTTTGTGACCTGCCTTTTTTTGTGTTAACATATCGTGACCATCTATCCAAATTACATTTTTAGTGGTTGTTTAATATCTCTTTATATAGCTACAGTATGATTAAATCTACCCTGTATTTGAGATCATTTAGATTATTTCTAAGTTTGCATTAGTAAAATAGCACTTTCTTGCTTAATAACAAGTGTCTAGGAGTCAAGATCTATGAATGTTTTGTTTGGACTCTTATAAATAGCTTCCTTTTATTAACTGCTTTTTGCAAAGCACTGTACGAGTCCTTTTTATATTTAATATTCCACCAACCCATGGGTATTGTCTTTAGTAGCAGAAACTGAGGGGTTGAGAACCTTGCCCTGGGTTATGTAGTATGAGCTGTGAATTGGACCTAGGTCTGACTGCAAAGTATGTGTGTGTGTTTCTTTCTGTAGTATGTTCTTTGTTTTATTTTATTAAAAATTATGATAGAATATTTATGACTATTTGGCTTTGAGGTCTCTTGCTACCAAACTTGATCTGGATATAGAAGCAAACAAAGCAAAGTAGCTTAATGCTGTTTTGTGTTTAGACCAACCAGATAAACTTTCACAGTTTATCCCCAACAGTGGCCTGTTAACTCACAGCTGTTTGGCCACTTAGTGAGGCAGGTAGGCAGGTAACTGTAGAACTGAATATAATTTACTTACTGAATAAATCCTCATATCTAGTGGAGAGTAAGATTGGTAGCATTGTTGAATAGAAGAGATACTCATTTATAATATTAGGTACTTCTATTTCACGACTGACTTCATAAGCAAATGGCATTACTCTCTCTTCCTCTCCTTTCTACCAAATCTCATCTTCCCCATTTGATCAATTTTCATTCATGTACATAAGTGATATGTCTAGTGCTAAATCAAAGATAAGAATATTTTGTTATTTGGGGAACTAGAAAGCAGAGAATGCAGGCACATGTATAAGGAATGTATTTTTGTCAACAGTATAAATTATTTTCATTAAAATGTTTCTGTAGGTAAGTGAACACAGGCTAAACATTCTGGAAAAAAAAATTAAGCTGAATGTAATATTACAGTAGTACCAAATAGCGAAAATTTAAACTCTGTTACTAGAAAGCAACTTTAATTCCATGAAACCATCCATAGTTTTTGGTTTTTCTGCATTATTTGTTTTGGGGTGCTTTGATTTTTAAGGAGGACCAACATTAGGATTTGTATATTATGTTTAGTTTTCAGAAAGTTATTTCTGCTTTTCTTTTCACAGGATAATTTACAGTATTAAGCATGCCATTTAAAAAATTCTGAATTGCAATTAGAGCACTGAAGTCTCTTGCTTTTGAGAGAGGCTCTTTTTATTGACAAATAGTAAGGAGTGGCAATAAGTTACACTTTTTGAAATTAAAAAAATTTTATATTTATTGTAGGATAATTAGAAATCTATATGTAAACAAAATCACTTCTAGTCCCACTTTCCAGAGTCATTGTAGTCCCATGTTTATTGTTGAGACATTTCTTTCTTGTGTGTGTATATTTTTAGAGTTCTCTGATTTGAGATTCTTGTGTTTTTATATTATAGTGTTTTTAATTTGTGTTGTATCTTACAGTCAGTATGTACATTTAATACGGCATTTCTTTCTCCCTTTTTCTCCCACATAAGAACTATATTTAATGTTGATGCCTTCTTAGAAGAAAGTACTTGACTCCCAAATCGTTGCCTTTTAGAGTCAGCATGGCACATCTAACTTTCGTAGATTTAGTGATCTGTGCTTTTCAGTAAAAATCATATATGTTAAGTAAAAGGTTTCCATGTTTCAACATTTGGATGAAATAAAGATATATTTGATAAAATGTTTTATTGTTTGCAGCATTCAACAGAAGGTGTCAAATTGACAGCTCTCAATGACAGCAGCCTCGACTTGTCTATGGACAGTGATAACAGCATGTCTGTGCCTTCACCTACTAGTGCTACGAAGACCAGTCCATTGAACAGTTCTGGCAGCTCTCAGGGGTAAGGAAAAAGAGGGAAATAGAAGTGGAGGGGCTGTTTGCTAAATCAATCAGATACATTCTCTTTTTGCTATTAAAGTCATCTATTTAGAATGTTATTTTCATTCCATCTACTAATTTTTTTTTAAATAGCAATTTAATTCCCAGGTTTGGGGATAGTACTTTTTGGTTTTGTCTTGTCATACTTAACATTTTATTTTTGAGACTGATAATGTCTTCAGTCAGATGTGAATGAATGTTAGCACATAACCCCTCCAAATTCATGTATTTAGATAGCTACTGCTACAGTGCACTGTATGGTGTGCTGATGAGAACAGACAAAAGGAACAAAACCACCTTTCTGTCCCAGAGCTGCTTATACCTTTGTAACAGGGAATGTGTCTATGATAGTTAGGGAAACCTGTTTTAGAAGAGCTAGATATCTGTCTAACATTTACAGCAGTTAAAATTTTAAAAATTTATTATTATTTTGAGAAATGGGGTCTGGCTGTGTTGTTTAGGCTGGCCTTGAGTTCCTGGATTTAAGCGATCCTCCTACTTCAACCTTCTGAGTAGCTGAGACTACAGGCGCATGCCACTGCCCTGGGTATGAAGCAGTGAAAAATTTTCAGCCAGGTGCAGTGACTCACACCTGTAATCCCAACACTTGGGGAGGCTGAGGTGGTAGGATCACTTGAGGCCAGGAGTTCAAGACCAGCCTGGGCAACGTAGTGAGACTCCCATCTCTAGAAAAAAGTAAAAGAATTAGGTGTGGTGGTATGCACCTGTAGTCGTGGCCACTCAGGAGGCTGAGGTGGGAGGATTGCTTGAACCTGCAAGGTTGAGACTACAGTGAGCTGTGATCCCACTGCTGTACCCCAGCCTGGGCAACCAGAGTGAGACCCTGTCTTAAAAAAAAAAAAAAAAAAAAATTTTGAGTCTCGCTCTGTCACCCAGGCTGGAGTACAATGGCGCGATCTCGGCTCACTGCGACTTCCGCCTCCCAGGTTCAAGCGACTCTCCTGCCTCAGCCTCCGGAGTAGCTTGGATTACCGTCACCTGCCATCATGCCCAGCTGATTACTGTATTTTTGTGGAGACGGGGTTTCACCATGTTGGCCAGGCTGGTCTTGAATTCCTGACCTCAGGTGATCTGCCCACCCTGGCCTCCCCAAAGTGCCAGGATTCCAGGCATGAGCCACCACGCCCGGCCTGTATTACAATTTAACCAATGGCAGAAGTGCGGGTTGGGGAGGATTCCCTGGATGAGTGTGAAATAGAAAATGCTGAGGTGTTGTGGATGTGTTTTTTTCTTTCTTTTGGACTTCATGTGTATATGTTTTTAGGCAAATCATGCATAATCCAAAGACTTCAGGCCTGAATATGTCCTGTAAGTGTTATCATTTTAAAAGTTTTTTTTTAAGTGAAGAAACTAACATTTTAATAAGAATTTTGGGATCTGTGAAAGTCTGTGTCCTTTGAGTGTGTGCACAAATATAAAATGTGTACAACTGTACTAAATAATTTCACAAATTTAGTTTTGAAGTTTAGTTTCTTGAAGTAATACTAAGTAACTTCTGTAAATAAAACTTCTGGGTTTTTAGAATACGATTGTATATTTGCTCAACAAGCAGTGAGTGTTTATTATGTACTAGGCACCTTGCTAGCCATTTCAGGCTTTCTTCAGCATCTGTGGTTGTTCTCTGGCCAACTATCCTTTTCTTTTTAGTCATTTAATATTTGTGCCCTTGAGGGCTCTCTCATTATTCTTTTGTCTGTTTATCCCCTCTTGATATTGTCCCTGAGTGGTAACACCTGCTCTGTTGACTACATTTACATTCATATACCAATGATATCCATAGCTTTAATAAGTTGACTGCTCCGTGGTTCCCTGTGGATGTCATGTAAGTACCAAAAATAACAAGTCTTCGAAGTGTTGCCTACCTCCTCATGGTGTCATCATTCACCAGTTTCAGAGTGTGGGTGATAGCTCTGAGAGAGAGAGAGAGAAAGAGAGACAGACACACACACACACAGACACAGATAGAGACAGAGAGAGAAACCAGAGGACTTTTCTGCTTTTGTTTTTCTTTTAGGAGGTAATAAAACCGTGAATTTATTTAAATGCTAATGTGTAGGATTTACTTGAGACAGGAAAATTGGATGGGAGAGTAAAGGAGTGTGATGATTTGAGTTTCTTGAGATGACAGGAGTTAGTGAGATTTAGAACATAGATTGGGCTTTTTTATATAATAAGGAATAATTTCTTTGTATAGGAAAGAATAGGGGTTAATTATAGAAATAGGTGTGTCTCTTTAATATTTATACTTAGAATTTGGGGTAATACTTGGCTAGTGGCTTTTGGTTGGTTGTTAAGTAGGAAGGTCATTTGAGATTGGCATGAGAAAGAGAAAATGAGAGAGAAACTTCGGGGGAGTAAAGAGGGTTTAAAATAAGTTATTTTAAAAGTAAGATATTGAAATAATCCCCTTGTCACTTAAAGGTCTTTAACTGGGCCACTGGATGGGCTTTTAGGGTTTTATAAAACTCTTATACTTTGTATACAGAAGTTTATTTCTGTTTTCTGTTTCTCAGAACATTTGCTCATTCATAACTTTTTTTTTTTTTAATAATATAGGTTTTTTTTTTTTTTTCTTGTAGAGACGAGGGCTCACTGTGTTGTCCGGGCTAGTTTCAGACTTGAGCTCAAGCAATCCTTCCACCTCACCTCCCAGAGTGCTAGGGTTACAGGCGTGAGCCACCATGCCTGGCCTCTTATTAATAACTTTTTAAAGGATTTTTGTTCGAAAAAATCCTTCAGTTAAGTCTCTTAGCCAAAATTAGCTAAGAATAGATCTTTTAGAACCACTCTGGCGATATAGTAGCCAGCCGCCATATGTGACAATTTAAATTTAATTAAAATTAAATAGTTTCTCACTAGTCATATTTTAAGTGCAGAGTAGCTATGTTTTAATAGTGGCTACCATGTCCAGTAGCACAGATATAGAACATTCTGTCATCTCAGGAAGTAACATTAGACAGTGCTGCTTTAGAAGGTTTGTGTACTATTTACTGTTGTTATACTTTATCCAATAAAGTCAGTTGCTAAATTGTATGTATAGGAAGTAAAACCAAAGAATCATTTACTTTACAAAATAATTTCTATATATGTTATAGATTATTGTAATTTTTTTTTTATTTTTCTATTTTTAAATTTTGAGACAATTTTTAATTTTTTTTTTTTTAGCAGAAACAGTCCTGCTCCAGCTGTAACAGCAGCATCTGTGACCAACATACAGGCTACTGAAGTTTCTGTGCCACAAGTAAATTCCAGTGAAAGCTCAGGGGGTAAGGAGATTGGGTTTGTCAGGTTTGAGAATTCTTACATTATATTTGGTTTAGCCTTCATTTTGAAAAGTGGGTTTGTTAAGTAGTTGAAATTCAGTTTTTTAAATGCCAGTTTATTTTTTGCATGTAAAGTTATTCATGAAATCAAATTCAGAGAAACAAAAACTTACAACTTGATACTGATTTGGTTATTTTAATTTGTATATACTCATATATTTGCTGCTTAGGTACATCGAGTGAAAGCATTCCTCAAACTGCCACACAACCAGCCATTTCTCCACCACCAAAGCCTACGGTCTCCAGAGTTGTTTCTTCAACACGTCTGGTAAACCCACCACCTAGATCTTCAGGAAATGCAGCAACTTCAGGAAATGCAGCAACAAAAATACCTACTCCTATAGTAGGAGTCAAGAGGACATCCTCACCTCATAAAGAAGAGAGTCCCAAGAAAACCAAAACAGAAGAGGTATATATATGAAAAACATATTAGTTAGCCATGGCAACACCAACTGCCTATTTTTAAATCCAGTGGAAGAAAAGTTTATGAACCAAAATAGAGAAGGATCAAGGAACAAAGCTTTTAGAAAATTTTAGGTGTGTCTGTAGTGCTTTAGTGCTGTAGTTTCTCTTCACCTTTCCCATTCTTCTCAGTAACTACCTCTGCTATAAAGCTATGCCCTCTCATTTAAACTTCTTTAGTGTGTGTAGTTAGCAGGTATTGTCTACAACAGAATTTAACATGAAATTACATGTATTCTTAACTTATTATTCTCTAATGACTACCTTTTATTTGTACTGATTTTTTGATGGTCCTTTGGACAGTTTTTTGCTTCTGTGATCCAAAAGGAGTTTTGGAGTTTCTCTACTGTACTTGGTGTTATAGGACCATCAAATACCAGAGGTTCTCAGGGACTTCTTACTGAATGATAAGTGCATGCAGCCAGATTAGTTTTTGAACCTTAAATGGTTAGCTCTCTAACCCTTAAAGAAACTTTCTAGCATCATTTGCATTTTTGTTTTTTAACTCCTGGGCACAGGCGATCCTTCTGCCTCCCAGGTAGCTAGACCCACAGGTGCATGCCACCATTTCCAGCTTAATTTTTTGTTTTTTGTTTTGAGACAGGGGCTGGCTCTTTTGCCCAGGTTGGAGTGCAGTGGAGCAATCTCAGCTCACTGCAACCTCTGCCTCCCGGGCTCAAGCAATCCTCCCACCTCAGCCTCCCAAGTAGCTGGGACTACAGGTGCGCACCACCATGCCTGCCTAATTTAAAAAAAGATTTTTTTGTAAAGACAGAGTCTTGCTATGTTATCCAGGCTTGTCTCCAGCTCCTGGGCTCAAGCGATCCTCCTGTCTTGGTCTCCCAAAGTGTTGAGGTCACAGGAACCACTATGCTTTGCAAGCTGGTATTAACCTTTTATACTACCTGGTTTATAATTGTTACAGTCTTAGTTTTGGGAAAACCATTAAAACTGTACATTGATTTCGTATGAGTCTTAAAATAGAGGTAGTCTTGTTACACAATTTTATTTCTCCCTCGAGTCACTTTCATGTTGTTTTCCAATCAGTGAGGCATTTGCAATTGCCCCAGAGATGACAGTCTAAAAGCACCAATTTCATTGTGTTTTTTTTTTTTGCTAAGAATGTATTTAGTAATTTACTTACTACAACACAATTTCTTTAGAGTGGAAAAAAAACCCCTCTAGATTTCTCATGGATTCTATTATGTTTTGATTAAGAATGGTGAAAAATTATTTTATTATTTTATTATTTAGCTTATTCTCTGAAGACTTTTTCTTTCTTTTTTTTTTTTTTGGAAATAGCTGCTATTAACTAAAAGTAATCTGATGAATTTTGTCACTCTTAAGATGGTAAATGAGAATGAAAAACGGGTATTGTATAGTACTTTAAATCCCCCAGATTACTTACGATGCCTAATACAATGTAAATGCTGTTTAAATTGTTGTTATGATGTATTTTTTAATTTGTGTCATTTTTATTGTTGTATTATTTTTTATTTTTCTAAGTATTTTTGATCCATGGTTGGTTGAATTCGCAGATATGGATTCCACAGATATGGAGGGCCCACTGTAAATAATCATAACTTAGAAGATGTGTTCTGAAAACTCATCTGTGTCTGTGTAATTATCTCTTAGGGCAGTGATTTTCATCATTGGTTGTACAACAGAATTAGTTTTTGGGGTTTTTTTTGTTGTTGTTGTTTTTCAATAAAGATTTTAGGGCTTTCTCCAAACTGAATCAGAGATCTTCTAGAAGTTAGGCCTGGAGATCCTATTAAGAGCCCTGCTGCCACATGATTGGGTTGTGCAGCAGCTAAAGAATATACTCAATTTTTGTGTCAATTACACATTCAGACTACTGATACTGGTTTGAAGTTGTCACGGCATTTCAGAACTCAAATTTCTTTTGACATTAGTAAAGTGTATTTAAGCATAATTCTATGCATTTAACATTTGGTTTTCTTTATGTTAAAAATGGCACCCTAAGAGCTCTAAATAAGTTTGTACTAGTGCAGTATTTTGCAATTTTGTTTGCACTTACCTTGGTAGAATAACACTTGTGTTTCTTGTCTGGTTTAGAAAAGCAATAAGAATATAGAATTTTTAAACTTAAGTATGGAAAATTAAAAATACATATAAAAGAGTCATTTTATGTACCTGTGTACCCATCACACAGCTTCTGTTATAATTAACTCTCAGCCAATCTTTGTAATCTTAATTCTTTCAGCCTTTTTCATTTTCTCTTGCCATTGAATTACTTAAAAGCAAAATCCAAACATGTTTCATTAGAATCTTAAAAATCATATCTAAGAATGAAAGCATTAACAGTAAAATTAGCCTACTCACAAAAATTAACAATTTATTAATATCATCAAACATCTAGTCAGTGCTCAAATGGCCCCTGATTGTTTCATTGATTTTTTAAAAAATAGGCTGTTTGTTTAAATCTGGAAGCAGAAAAAGATCCCTGTGTTGCAATTGTTTGATATCTCTAAGTGTCCTTTAAAATATAGATTCCCTCCTCCATCCCTCCCCCACTTTTCCCTGTAATTTTTTTTTTTTTTTTGGTGTATGTTTTCTCAGTCTGGATTTTGCTTACAGTATTTCTACGGAGTTGATTAATAGAACTATAGCATTTTAAGAAGATAAGGGGTATTAGGTTATTCCATGGGCTAATCTCATTTCCTACCAGAAGAACTTGCTGTTTAGTGGCTTTTCCAGTTACGGATCTAGTTACAGTTAGAGGCAGGATTAGAACCCAGGCCTAAATCTCATGGTGCTTTAGTCAAAAGAAATTTGCTGTGGTAGAAGTAATCCTGATTTTGAAGCCCTTCTTAATTGGGTCTTTTATTCTCTGCTAATGAGTACTTGGTATTAGAAATTTTAGCAAAGCAGAAAGAAATACTGGCCTCACTCAGTAATGCACTAACGTGTATATAGATAGGAAAGTTTTAGATACTCTGAGGTAGTTTAGTTCTGCTTAATGGTCATCATATCCTAAGGTTTTTCAAATAAATATAAATGGTAATGTAAAATAAAAATCGAAAATGTTTGCTCTATTTCCTGGATTATAGCTAAATTAACCTCTCTCTCTCTCTCTCTCTCTCTCTCTCTCTATATATATATATATACACACACACATATATATATGTATATATATATATGTGTATATATGTATATATTTAAAACTTTCTGTATGGAAAATTTCAAACATGTCATAAGTATAATGAACTGTCATGTTTGCATCACCTAGCTTCAACAGTTAACAACTCACAGCCAGCCTTGTTTTATCTACATACCCACATCACTTCCTTCCCCATTGTTTTGAAGCAAACCCCAGGCATAACAACCAAAAACATTTCTTTGTATATCTAAAAATAAGGACTTCTATAAAATATAAGTACCGTATATTTGTCACACAAATATTAATAATCCATAGTTTTACATATCAGTCAGTATTCAGATTTGGCCAATTGTGACACATTACTATTTTTAAAGTTTGCATATTTGCAGGGTACAAATAAAGTCCTTATTGGAATTGATCGATACTGTATTAAATCTCTTCTAAGCTATAAGCCTGTGGTTTTTCTATGCCTGTTTTAAAAGTCACATTTAAAATTAAATTTTAATTCTGCTGAGAAAATAGTGTCAAAATAGTTATTAAGACCCAAGCAAGGCATTTCTCAAGTCTTGTATTCTGTAGGATGTTAGTAGGTCGTACCAAGAGCAAGGATTCTCTGGTTAAGCTTGGGAAAATTAAAGTGGAGTTCTTTCTTGATAGAATTTATTAGAACCTTTTATGTGCCACTCTGTGTGAATCTCCCAGAATGGGGGTGATACTATGCCAAGTTCCTAAAGTTGTATGATCAGGAACTCTTTTTTTTTTTTCTTTTCCTTACAAAATATATTTCTATGAACTCTTAGTGGTTTTGGAAATGTACTTTAGGTGGTGATCTGCAGTAACAGTTTTCCTAATGCTCTTTTTAATTTTATTAGCTACTGAAGCCAAATTTAATCTGATAAAAACATTTTAAAAGAGGGACCAGTTATCTATTTTAAGGCTGTAGTTGATCTTACAGGTTTAATTATTTTATAGTTTTAAAGTTTATAAAGTAAAGCATTGATTGGCAAATAATCTAAATTTTTCATTTTAGAGAATAAAGCTTTTTTTTTTAAAAACAGGATGAAACAAGTGAAGATGCTAACTGTCTTGCTTTGAGTGGACATGATAAAACAGAAGCAAAGGTATACTAATTTAGCCTTTAGAATACATACACAATTAAGAGTACAGAAGATGTAATAGAAATGTCTCTAAAATATTGTATTTTTGTGCTATAGGTTTTAGATTTTTTTAGTATTGTTTATTACTGTTAATTATGTAATGCTGAACACTGAAGGGAATATTGTGATGAGTGAAACACATTCTGTGCCTTTAAAGGAGCTTATAATTAAGTAGACAAGATAAGTCATGAATGTAATTAATTACATTATCAAAGAAAAAGTAATTGAGGGCTGGGGGCCACGGGGCAAGAAAAGTAAGATGTTATTTCTGACTGCAGAAATAGCAGTACATGTCTTCATTGAAGAAAGAAGTAGCATTTGAAGTGGTCCTCAAAGGATACATAGGATTTTTGATAGTCCGGGCTGAGATCATGATCTGTCTCTTTGGGTTGAGAATTTGTTATGATTATAGAAGCAGTTTTTGGCGTAAGGTTTTGGCTAGAACCTGGGGTACATGGGGCTTGAATGAGGTGTAGATGGGGTGGAAGAAATTTTTTTTTCCCCAAAATGTAAAAGACTCATTTTTTTTCCCTAGAAATTGAAATCTATTGAAGGCTTTTAACTTTCTTTCCTTGTGGAAAAATTGGAAATTCTCCCCCTTCTCCCAAATTATCCAGATTTCTATGATGGATATTTTAACAAAACTCTCTTAGGTTTTGTGTGTGCCCTCATAATGCCCTTGCTTTATAATTTTGATTCACTTTGTAAACCAAGAAAAAAGTATGTGTATCATTATGTAATCTACAAAATTATTAATGGCTTCATAGAATGCTGTCTTAAGGCTATGATTATTTTTATCCAACCAATTTCCTATCCATAGCAATTATTTCCATTTAAAAAAGAAAGTTGTGCTTTCCTGCTGTAATATTGGTTACAGCTAAATACCATATCTGCCATTCATTCATGTTTATTTACTTAGCATAAATTAATGGAAGAAGAATTATTGAGGAAAATAGTATGCTTTATCTTAAAGTTTGGTATACATCACCAAGTTGTCCTCCAGGAAGGCTGCATGTCTTCCATTCCTACTTCTTACATCTTATTTACCTTTTTTAATTTCATAGGAGAAAACAATATTTCGTTTTTTTTTTTTTTGGTATAGTTTCATTGAAATTGAAGTTTTTATATTTTTCTTTTCTTCTTTGTCCTTTTTTTGGTTTTTTTTGAGATGGAGTCTTGCTCTGTCGCCCAGGCTGGAGTGCAGTGGGACAATCTCGGCTCACTGCAACCTCTGCCTCCTAGGTTCAAGCAATTCTTCTGCCTCAGCCTCCCGAGTAGTGGGGATTACAGGCACCCGCCACCATGCCTGGCTAATTTTGTATTTTTAGTAGAGATGGGGTTTCACCATGTTGGCCAGGCTGGTCTTGAACTCCTGATGTCATGATCTCCCCACCTCGGCCTCCCAAAGTGCTAGGATTACAGGTGTGAGCCACCACGTCTGGCCTATATTTTTATTTTCATTTATTTGTGTAGATATTATTTTCTTTTGTGTACTGCTTTTAAAAAGTTTAGAGTGATGGCATGACATACTTTACCCTGTGTTTTCTGATGAGTAGAATCAGTGCACTGATTACTAGAGAGGGGTGAAGAGACCATAAGGAGGGAGAAATCTTTTTTAGACATATTTTCTACTTTTAATTAAAGGTGTGAGGTTATTTTATTTAGTAGTATTGAATAAGTTTTTTTTTTTTTTTTTCCTCCCACAAAGCTAAGAACTGTCCTTGGGTTTATGCTCTGTTATTGTCTGGGCAACATTTCATGATGTGCCTATGTGTGTTTTTAATTATTGTTTGCTTAAAATGTCCCAAGTTGGAGCTGGTTGGAAAGTCATGAGCTAGTTTGACCCATGCCTTATAAGATTTAAGTAGGCAAATAGAAATTTATTAATATCTGAAATGGTGAAATAACCTACAACATCTACTGACTAGATGTTTTTGTAATGTAGTCACATCTTTCTCTTGATCCCTCCTGTCTTCCAGTTTGTCTTCTTTATTAGCCACCAAACCCAGTTATGTTCTTTTATTCTTTTTTAAGTCTCTTTTCCCCCTTCCCCATCCTCTTTGTCTCACAGGAACAACTTGATACAGAGACAAGTACAACTCAATCAGAAACTATTCAGACAGCGGCTTCTCTGTTGGCCTCTCAGGTACTAAGTGCAAAAAGCAAGGAGAATTTTGTAAATGTCCTTAAGATTAGTGTGGTATATTGAATTAAAGTGAGAGTTCATAGAAGACTATTAAAATTAATCTTTCTGAAAGTAATTACTTGCTAGCCTATAAACGTATTTATTGTAGTTTTAAGGCAGGGCCCTGGATTTGACGGAACCGTTCTCTGGGACTGTTTCGATGTTAACCCATCCCCTTATATTAATATATTATTTGATACTGCAAATCATTTAAATTCTCACTAGTCATTTACACAGGGTTCATATGTAGGTTTTATTTGTAGGTCAAAAGTGAAATTAAAACTAGGAATGAACTAAAAAACATTCTTCGTGGATTTCTTTTGCAAAGGCTAATATATTTTTATTTTAAAAATGTATTTCTGCCTTATTTTTCCACTACTGATTTCAGTTAGTTATTTAATATAGCCCATAGCTCTTCAGAATTATGTTTTCATTTGTCCTAGCAATTCTACTTGTGACAGACCCTCACATACAGAATACAGTAGGCATCTGGAATCTTTTTTCATTGATTTGTGAACCTTCATTTTGTTGAATAATTTTTTTCTTGAATCCTTTCACATGAATGAACCCTAACATCTAGCTCAAATTCTGACACAAAGTAGATATATTCTTTAATAGATGATAAAACTGGTTAATGTCTACAAAGTAACTGAGATAACAACTGCTGCTGTACTGATATGATACTATGTACTATGATGATATTTTGCTGCTCCTGTGCAGCTCCGAGTTATTTTAACGTGATCATTTAAACATGTGCTTTTGCTAGATGTTAACTTTTATTGACTCTAAAGATATATAAATATTATGTTTAGTTTCTGAAATACCTTTTCCATAATCTAATAAAACTTTAGGGGGAGTAACTAACATCAGGAAGTATGCTTAATATTGATACGTGGACAAACTTGTTTATCAGTCTTAAACTGTCCTGTGATTGTGATTGCATGTTTTTTGGTTTGCCACATACTCTCGGGACTTATTTTCATAGTTTTGTCTTACTGAATTTATCCCTATAGTAATTAGTACCCATGGGTATTTGCCTTTTAGATATTTTTATGAGTGAGTAGAATTTTCTTTCTAATGAAAGGATTCATAGAGCCATAGAGAGAAAAATCACCCAGTTATGTAAGAAGAATGATTATGTTGATTTAAAAAAAAATTCATTCCTATCTTTGGTAATGTTAGGGGCGTACTTATTTCTGGGGAGGTGATAATATTGTGGCTATACCTAATAAAGAGTTCTTATTGTTTTGAGATAAATCTGGAAATATTTATAGATGAAATGATAAGATCTCTAGGATTTGCTTCAGAATAACACAAGGTGAATTGAAAGTGGGAGGACAGTGGCTTTGATTTGATAATTGATGAAGCTGGGTAATGAATACATGGGGATGCATTATACAGTGCTCTCTACTTTGTGTATGTTTGGAATTTTCCATAATAAAACTTTTAAAGATCCATCTCTGTATTTTTTTAGTGTTAAAGAACGCTTGTGATTTAATCTAATTAATATGAAAATAATCTACCTAAAATTTAGGATGATTAAATTATTGCTTAGCTGTATATATTTGTTTAATTTACAGTGTCAGAAAATAATAAATTTACTGCTGCTTCTGTATATAAAATGAGCTTTGAGTATTCTCCCACTTGGGGGTGCTCCAATACTAGTTAATATTACAGCTATTAGTGTTGTAATAAGTGAATACAGTTTAGCAGTAACTTAAGCATTATATGATAGGTGATTCTTAGAGGAACAATTTTAAAAACTATTTGAAATTACTTAGGAGTTTTTAAAATATTATTAAAATATACCTATTTGAAAATTCCTTTGTTGAACACATTATTTGTTGAACAAATAATGTGATAGGCATATTTACATTCCATTTTGACAACATTATAGAGTTTTTAAATTTGTAATACTTTTCTTCTTAGAAGGTTTCTTAGGAAGTAAAGCAATGGAAAATACATCTCATTGTTAAATTATGGTGCTTTGAACAATGTTGTGTTCTTTGCTTTCATTCTCAGAAAACATCCAGTACAGACCTTTCTGATATCCCTGCTCTCCCTGCAAATCCTATTCCTGTTATCAAGAATTCAATAAAACTGAGATTGAATCGGTAAAAACAACCTCAGGGGTCCATAAACAATATCTGCCAACTCAACCTGTTGTCTTCAAATGCTAAAAAAGGAGAATGGAGGGTACAAGACTAGACATGACTGAAATGGATTTGGGTTTTTTGGTGACCTCCCTTACTGGGCTAATCAGCACTTGATCGGAAGTCCAGGTTAGTATGTGAAGCCAGGAGTACTATTATTATTGTGTTAGCAACAGTTGCATTAACTATTTCAAAAATTACTGCCTTTAAAAAAAACAACCTCAAGCTATATTTGTATTCATAATTGACATCTGGATTGGGTTTATGTTTGATGCATTGTTTGGAAAATTTGCAATACAAACTGGCATAAGAATTACTTATTCTGATGATGCACTTTTATGTATTTTTCATTAGAAAGTAGAACTAATTTTAGATTTTCAGCTTGATGGATTTTCAGTTTTTCCTGAAGAATTTTCTTTACCATTAGTCTTCAAATTGGATACTGTTGTGCAGTGGTGTACTGTTATACTTCAGAGAAAGGGTAAGAGTACATCTAGTTCAGTTCCTATGAGGTAGCTGTAACCCTTAAAAATGAAACGTCAACTCTAGGGTACATTTGACATTGAAAGAATAGTTAGGAAATAACTTGGTTTTGATAGGGTCATGATTAAGAAATGATATATTGGTTTTATTTATGGAATTGTTTTATAGTGCATACAAATCAGCGATCAGCCAGCAAATATTTTTCTTTGAGCTTGTGAAAGCTCTGTGTTCTTTTGCCTTCAATCTGTTGTCTTCAAAACAAACAAACAAAAAAAGCTTCTTGCGCCTTTCCCTCCCCTGTTTTCTTCCTTTTTCTTTTTGCTTGTATGCACAAGGTAGGACTTACTTCGTAAGAAACAAAATGCCAGTATTTTCTTAAGCCATGATGTGAAACCAATGACCCTGTGACCACATGGCACAGAACACTAAATTTTGGTCCCATGGCTGAAACTTGAGGGTGACTAAAAGTAATGCCTGTGAAACATGATATCTATCTGGGATGGCCATTTGATCTCTAAAAGGAATTTTGTACACTCCACAGAACTCCTATCTATAGTAAAATTGATTTTCAGTTTTAAATGTGGGCAAAAAGGCATTTTCTCCAAGATTTTAAAACTAATTCTTATTTTTAAATGGTTTACCAAAATTTGTCAGTACATTTTACGTGTAGAAGCATTTTAAAAATCATTTCTAGCAAGCACTTGACATCTAGTCAGCTCTCTACTCCTTTATTTTGTTTTATCAAAAGATTAAGAGCTCCTTTCTTTGAATAAAATAATTTCTCATAATTAAGCAGTAGAAGATCTATCTTCACAAAGTATGAGGGATGCCAGATGTTGATAAACTTACTCTTTCTGAATCTGGACAAAGTCGACTTAACAGATTTTTCTGATGAGCATGTTTTATGAATCCTCCATTGTGCTCCATTCTATCACATGTGCATTTTTCATGTTAAACTGCAATTACTTAATCTCTTCCCCTATCCTTCTAAATTAATTTTCTGAAGTTGGAGTGTAGTCTTTTCCCCCTTAGGCTATGCATTAATCGAAGCTTTCTTTTCACCATGACTTTATAATGTCTAGTAAACAATATTTCTACTTCCCACATCTTTGCTTTACACAGTCACCTTGCCCTTCCTTCCACCACCGAAGAAAAAAGATGGTCATACTAACAGGTGAAATGTACAAGGTGTCTGTGTGTTTTGTGTAGCTTCAGAGTTAGATTGAAATTACCAGGCACAGATTTAGTCTTGTCATTTTGTTTACACATTGGGGAAAACAATTCAGTTTATTAAACGTTTCATGTAACTGCACCCAAGTTTTGCCAAGCTGGAAACTTGGACCTTTTCTGTGTAGTGACTTTTTAATTATAGTTTTCATAACCTGGAGATCAGACTGTTGCTTTCGCATGATGTATGTAGTGTCTCATGACTGGAGTTTGCTTTGTTTTATAGTATCTGTACTCCTTGTATTTTTCAAGAGCTATTTTGTAAACAGATGATGTATTTCTCCATTGAAAACACAATAAAAAAAAAACAGCACAATCTCACAGTTGCCTGATTTCTTTTGACTACTACTTTTTTCCAGTAATCATAAGTTTATAGTATGATTCTAAGTGAGGATTTGCAAAAGAATTTGGTTACATTAGAAAAGATTTGTTTCTGGTTAACTTCAGCCATTGGCAGCAGCCTTGTATTTATAGCTCAGATAATAATTAGGTGTTTGTTTTTCATATAATTGATCTTTAGGGAGGAAAACATTAATATAGTTACTATTAATTCAATTTTAGCTCTTCCGTCCTCTAAAGTGTTCTGTGTCTGTAGACACCATACGTTATCTGTATATTTATTCTATGCCTGTGGACAGTGTACTGTCCTTTTCAAAGCATTTAGCACTTTAATGTCAGCAGGTGGCACTGTTGTTTTTCAGTGAATTTAGAATTACAGACCACAACCAACAGGATTCTATGTTTCTTATTTTACTAAATGCAAATCAGATATTGCTTTTCTTAACCCCCCAGATGCTCAGCATTGATACTTAACTCATGGTGCAGGAGCGAGCTGCTCTGTGTATTTTGTGATGGTCAGCTCTTGGGTATGGTTATCTTGTGTTTTGGGTGGAGGGATGGACTCTTTGTGTCAAAGCCATTATTCTGAGGGACATGCAGTTGTTCATATATCATTTCTAAAATTCTAATGTAACCTTCCCTATATATGAAAATGGGAATGTGGCTGCATTGTGGGATAACTTTTTAGTAAAAGCAAAATTTAACTTCTGAGACTGTTCAGTAAAAGGGAAAATATTGTAGGAATTACCCTTATCTCCCTTGTTAACACTAAAAGAATTGAACTGGCTGTACTTCCTCTACTTTGATAGTCATCTAGATGCAGTTTGTATATCACAGTTTCTGAGTTTTATCATCCACGTGGCCTCTTGGCATTTTCATGCATCTTGCTGAATTAGTAAAATTATAATGGAAAGTTGTGTTTTGTGGCTGTGGGTATATTCTAGAATAAAGTTTTTATTTTTCTAATTAACAGGTTTTTTTCCCACCACACAGAAAAATGTTTTAGAGCTCTGCATAGTATTAATTCTGGCTGCATTCAAGGTGGCAATAAATGATCAGCAGCTCCAAGTCGTAATGGATATATGAACAGATAAATCATTAATGTATACAAACTTGTAGATTGAGTCCCAGAAATACTGTTAGTGCACTTAAATTATAAAACTGTTTACCTGAAGCAGCACTGAGCAATCCTTTGGATATACTTTTACCTGTTTTTATTCTAATAAAAATGACTAGTACAAGGAAAATTAGTTGGTTTTTAGCCTGAATTGTATGTTTTGATTTGATTTTTATTTCTCCACATTATTTTGCTTGTTAGCTTTTCTTCAAACCAGTATCACAAATGGATGCTGTCTTCACTCAGACCTGACTTTGGTAAATGAAATATTATGTTCTGTAATAAATATGACCTTCAGTCATATAGAAACCAGTGGTCTGTTTAATATCTATTTCTCATAGAATCAATTCATTCTTCTTTTTTCTTATCAATTTAAAAATTCTTGTTAAATTTTACATAGCTTTTATTAGCACCAAATAAGGAAGATGGCCTCAATGTTTTTGAGCCATGTGTTTCAGAAGTGATTGTACTTCATTCTAGATGTGATTTTATATACTTGGGAAATCATTTCAACTTCTTTTCTTCTTTGGAGACATGCTTTTGTCTCAATATTCTGGGAACATCATTACAGCTGATCAAACCACACAAGTATTCTGTTGAAAGGGATGGAATTTTAAGTACATTTTTTTCTTTCTTCATCCCTTCCCAATTCACAGGCCTTTCCTTAAAAGGGTAGAATTAAGACTAGGCTTAAGTTCACATTTCAGAAACTTTACATTTGTGTGAAAGGTTGTGATTTTAGTTATTGTGCTTTTTTCTGCAATTATCTTTTAATGTTTTTTCTATTTTAATCCAGCTAAGAGTCACACCTACAAAGGGCACAGTTTTTGTTGAGTTTTTAGAGTTTATCTGCTGTTTAAAATGTTAACTTTCAAAGTATTCATACTTTAATATAAATAAGAGTGCAGTCACTTTTTCCTCTGGTCTGGGTATCTTTAAATTCCACCAGTAAGGTGGGAAATGTGTCTATTCAAGTAAAGAACCAGAAGAGTGAGCGAGAGAGACAGAGAGTGAGAGCGTGTGTGTGTGTATCAAAGGATTATATTTTTTGCTTTGATACTTCTAAGGTACAGAATAATGCTTTGTGCCACTAGGTTAGAGTTCTTGTTTGTTATATGTTGTTTTAATTTTTTAATGGTGAGAATGGATTTATGCTCAGCCCTCCACACTCCCTCTTACTGGGTTGCAGAATTGACTAGGGAAAGCCCAAGGGTGTGCTGGTTTTGTTTTTCATTTTGGAATAAATAGAGTCTGGACGCTAGAGAGCTGATTCACCCTGGACTTGAACTCGGCACTGCCCACTTGGTCTAAGCAGCACCGTTCCCTTTTCACCTGAGCACAGGTGTCAGAGCATTAAGACATACTATAGCAAAATGCAAAATTTTGCAACAGTATAAATTCAGTTATGTATTATCAGTCTTAAAATTGTAGAGTCTTCCTCAGTAGTCATTGAATAATACTCTTTTTGTCAGTTTGTTTCTCAAACAAGTCAACGGGTTTGTTATGGTAGGTTTTAGTCTTGGGCTGGTTTTAATGTTACTAGTAGTTAAATGATAAAGTCTCACCTCTTTTAATTACCACACATCACAATATTTGAAACGGTGTAGATGGTATCCTCATTTTTCACATAACCTGGATGGTTTTTATTAGTGATATGATTATGACCTGATTTTTAAAAAATTATCTTTAAGTCTCTTAAAGTCTCTTAAAAATACTTCACAAGCTTTTTAGAAGTATTTCCTTTAATTAATTTGTAGGATGTTATTTTTTGATCCAACAGATTTCATGCTGAAAATATATATTTTGAATAATTCAAACATTTCAGTTTTATGGTTTTTTTTTTTTTCCAGCTCATTGGAGACATTTATCTCAGTCTTGTGTGTTTTCTAATAATGTCATGTAGTCCTAAAATAGTTAAAACTTTTTTTTTTTGGTATAATACTGTTTTTGCCCAAAGACTTCTGGAAGTGCAAAATAACAAAGTTATTTCTGGGGAGTAAGGTGATCTCTGTCTCACTACCGTGCCCCTCTCAATCCCCATACATACACACATATGTGAGTTTTGGGGTTCTTTTCAGTTTTAGGCATCAGAAATTGTGTGTGTGTGTGTGTGTGTGTGTGTGTGTGTGTAAAAACGTAAAATGTCCCAACTTTGTGCTCTTCCTTGTGGATGCTGTCTCTCTCTTGGCATAGCACCCTCCTTAGAAACTTTCACACTGTGTGATGCCTGGTGCTATGTGATTTCCAGAAATCTGGCATGAGAATTGGTCCTTGTTTGCGTTTTCTGACTGCAGTGGAGCTGTTAATAAAGAGATTGATGATAAAGTTGTCGAAAAGAGACAGTTGGGCAGAACTGCTCCCCATGAGTGACAGAGGGCATGATCTGCCTTCACAGCCAAGAAAGTTGCCCCCAGCTGAGAACCGACCATGCCTGGACACTGTGCCAAGACTGTTAGGGGAACTTTACTGCACTATTAGGCTACTACCTCTCTCTCTGTCGCTTTGGCTTACTTCACATTACCATTTTTTTCCTTAAGTTCTTGAGATGCTCAGGACAAATCTCTGCATATACAACACACACTTTCCAACTGTAAAATAATTATTTTTGAAAATTATTTAAAGCACTCAGTTCATCCTAATTTGGCTTTTATAGTAAAATAGTACAAGTTTTAAAAGTATTACTACAGTTTTCATACAAAGCCTGCCTCAAGAATAAGCATTGGCTTCAATAAGCATTGGTTATGGGATATTAGACATTTTAGCCATACTTATTGTAACTGTATTTTTCATCTATCACTGTTTGTAAACTTAGGCTACTGGCATCCAATTTAGCTGTTCATGTTTTGTGTGGTCTCCTTGATAACCTGTAAGATTTTTTTGGCTCTCTTTAATGCGACTTTAAAGGTACAAATTTTTCCTGTAATTTTTAAGCTGTGTTAGGTTACATGTTTTTCACTTAGGTTTTCTTAAATATGAGACTATTTTAGTAGACTTCTCTTTTGAGGAAACTGATACCATTGTGGCCTTTGTCATGTTGAATGACCCAAACGTGAACACTTTGGTTTCTTAACAATGAAAATTCTCGTAAAGCTAGTTTTCCAAGCATGGTCTTTGTCATCTGCCTAAATTGTTGAATAACTTTTTTTTTTCCTTGAAAATAACCAGTCTTCTTTAAAAATTTACATTTAAAATGTTTAAATTTTAAAGTCTCAAAGTAGAAGGCACCTAATGAGCCTTCTCGTTCATTTTGTCTGTGACGGCCTCTGCTCAACCATTTCCATTGAGAGAGGAGTCTGTATTTCATGTTGCCATCTCTAGGCAGCAGTTGAAGTTTTAGCTTGGCTCAAGGCGATTTTCTTAATCCCCATAGTCTCCTTAGAAGCCAGTTATGACCCATCTCTACTTCATTTAACAGGGGACCTCAAAACATTACTCAGGAGTCACTAGCTGGTTTTCTTATCCAAAGTCAGATGTAGGGATGTGTTTTATAGCTAGAGTATGTTAGCACATCACTCATTCCCTGTTATTTGAGTAGTGGTAGTCTAACACCACTCATTCTCTAGGAACCACACACCTGAAGAGGGGAATAAGGTTAAGCTCGTGTCCTCGGATATATCGTAATCAGGATAAATCCCCCAAGTGAAGTAGTACCTGTGGGTGTAGTGGAGCAACTTGTACATTAGGGCGATACCAGGTTTTCTCAGTAGGCTTTTGCGAGGTTTATGGTGAGCATGAGCTATTGCTAAGCTAGAAATCCACTGATAGGAAGATAAAAGCAGTAATTTGCAATAGATGAAGAAACTATCAAGTGACATCAAAGATCATGTAATTTCTCTCTACTTCTGTCCATCTCGTAAAGTGTGTTCTTGCTATTCTGTATTATTTGTTCTACTGACTCACTTTTGATATGGGAAGAGGTAAGATGGAATGTCTTACAGGACTCTGGTTTAGTGAACTGAACTGTAGCATGTTGAGAGCATGTTTTCTGAGGCCAGATTTGTTCTCAGAGACCTCCAAAGAAGGGTTTCCTCTGCCAGACTTACCAGGGTTGGCTTTTGAAAGGAGAGTTCTAGTCATGGACTCTAAATCATAATCCCTAGAAGATAGACTTGGGATGGGTAGAAGAAAGGTGAGCTGCAAGGACTCCTGGTATTTTCTTAGCTCCCCCTTGGCCTTGTAGCACCTTTTTTTTTTTTTTTTTTTGAGACAGAGTCTTGCTGTGTCGCCCAGGCTGGAGTACAGTGGCACAATCTTGGCTCATTACAGCCTCTGCCTCCTGAGTTCAAGTGATTCTCGTGCTTCAGCCTCCCAAGTAGCAGGGATTACAGGTATGCACCACCACACCTGGCTAATTTTTGTGTTTTTAGTTGAGATAGGGTTTCTCCATGTTGGCCAGGCTGGTCTTGAACTCCTGGCCTCAGGCAGTTTGCCTGCTTCGGCCTCCCAAAGTGTTGGTATTACAGGTGTGAGCCACTGCACCTGGCCCCTTGCGGTACTTTATGAAGAGCTTTGAATTTGGCTGTTAACCAAACAGGCTGTAGGAAAACACGAAAATCTTCATTTTCAGAAAGGTTTGAAGTAGAATTTTCACATGTTAGGAACAGAATTTTTAAAGAAGGGTAGTATAACTGGGATGTGGGGAAACAAGTATTGAACAGTAAGGTGAGGCCAGAAGCCTAGAGAAAATAATTAGTAATATGGCTAGTAAGTGGCTAAACCACATAAATTAGCATGACTCCATTAATTCTGAATTCTTTGGAAATTCTTGTTTGTAATCTTATTTTGATCACCACTCAGGATCATAATATCCAAAGCATTGGAGCTTCCATGAAGGAAGGATTAGAAGTTGAAGCACCTTAGAGGCTCTGACTTGAGTGGTGTTTTACTTGAAACCTGCTATATTGGTTTAACATGGGGGGAGAATACAGGGAGTTTGAGGCATGCCCGGATGTTAGGGCCAATTAGAAGACTGGGGCCTCTTGGAAAATAAGTGGTCTATGTAGGCCTTTTGTTGAGTGGAAGGGAAATGGCATTGGCATTGTGATAAAGATGCATGGAAAATAAGAGGTCTGGGCATTTTGCTGAGTGGAAAGGGGATGGCATTGGCATTGTGGTACGGATGCCTAATTTCTGGTTGTTAAGAATTAAATTCCATAGGATACATCATTTGCTGGGTTTGGCACATGCTAGAAATATTCAGCAAAGTTGCCCATCAGGCAGTTCATCTTGACTGCCATTTTATCATATCAGCTGAATTAAAACATTTAGTACACAACTTTCTGTGTGTAGCGGAAAGAATGCCTGTTTTCAAGGCAGAGCTGCATTCAGGTCTTAGCTTCAGCACTTACTAGCTATTGAGCTCATGCAGTTACAGCATTTTCTTTGAAGCTCGTATTCCTTTTCAGTGGAGATGAGCAATGTCCTTTTAAGGTGATTGTGAGGATAAAAGGTAAGTAAGTGAAGAGCCTCATACTGCAGCTGTTACTACTGTGTCCTGATGCTCTCTGAGCATTCACCCTTCAGCGCTCATTGGCTTAAATGTTCTAACTAACAATTCTTCCTTACTTGGGATAGCCAAGGTGATCTGTGGCTATTTGAACTTTGGTCCAGGTTAGAATTGAGGAAAGCTAACACTGGAAAGAGGTTGAATGCTTGAGATTCCATTAAAGTTTGTGTCACGTCATCCTGGTTGGGGATTTTGTTTGTAAACAACGTATTTCAGCCTAACACTGTCACCAACTAGTTTCTTGAAATTTTGCATATCTAGTTGGAGTGAGCCTAAGTACCCATTGAAGGTTCCCAGGTAAGAGTGGGAGGAAGGAAAAGAAAAGATAATTGATGAGCAAATAAGAAAATAAGATGTCGACGAGATGAAGGCAGTAAAAGAGGAGGGAAAGATAAAGCAGTTTAGGGGATGCAACCGAATTGGAGAGAGAAATTCCATTGTTTTACATCCTGGCTGAATTATACAACCAATCTAGGACTTGGATATTGTTAAATACTTTTTTATGATGTACAAATTGAATATTGCCAAACCTTGGCCTTTCAGTTGAATTGTACTCCAAGTTGCATGAAGTCTTAAGCCTTATGCTTCTGAAGCCACCACCAGTGTGGTGCAATGTTTGATTAATGTCTGAAGGGAGCCTGGTCCAGTGGTTGGAAGAAAAAGCCCTGGCCTTCAGGAAGGACAAATCTGATCCTTCTCCAGGGCCTGATGACCCTGGGTAAGCTACTTAACGCCTTCCCCCAGTTTCTGAGGAAAATGTTAAGTTTTTCTTTAGATCTTTCTTATTGAAGCTTTATGTGGATTAGCAAGCAGATAGGGCATGTTTAAGCAATCAGACTTTTTTTTTTTCAGTACTAGGTTAAACCTAGTTTGAATTAGTCAGAGGGCAGTCACAAAGGCAGACTGCAAAGGAACATCTGGCAAACCACCCCTGCTAATTCTCAAAGCTGTCTTCCTGCTATGAAATTTGGGCAGGACCAGAGTAGGGAGAAAAAAGTGGAGTCAGGCAAAGCCCTGTTTAAAAAAAAAATTAGTGTGAGTTTGGGGCAGACTGACCTTTTCATTAAAAAACGTTCTCTCCCTTAGTGCCAAGACAAATGCAGTGCGTAGCTTCTGAGGAGACAGTGAGCATGCCTGCCTGCTTCTGGCAAGGGTTCAAGTGCAGTGAGTGGGTCTGGGAAAAATTCCTGACAGTAGCTGCCTTTTATTGAGTATATCTACTAGGTGTTAAGTGGTAGGGCCAGTTGTTACAGCAACCTATAAGATTTGACATATTCATTGGTGTCACCATTTACAGATGAGGAAACAGGTTTATTTTGGCAGAGTATCTTGCCCAGGGTCACACAGTAAATTGGATTTGAGCCTGGTTCTGTTTGACTCTAAAACTTAATCCTGAAATATGACCCTGTGTTTTCCCACTCAACAACGTTGCCTTAGTATCTCTTTGGATATTATCGTTGAGAAGGCAAGGGTAATTAGCTCTATTTTGCATATGCCTCTAGTTTTAGAACAGCTAAAATACATTGCTGCTCTTTGGATGCCCTTAAAAAGCTGGCCTGCTGGAGGTGAGGAGGGGGAGAGATTTGCAAAGAGCGACAGTGAACAGCTGGGCTCTGATGAGACTGGTGTACTCTATTTACTAGTACTGGAAGGTTTGGATTCTGACTAGTTTGGGGTGAACTGACCTGTTCACACTCAAGTCACTTAATAGCTTTGACTAAACTTTGGATGTTTAAGTAATGTTACATATCGGTTGGGATGGTTTCTCCTTGAGAAGTTTTGCATCTTAGAATGTTTTTCTTTTTAAGCCAATTAAAACAGAAGACCTCCTAAAAGGAAAGCTAAAAATCCTTAAAAGTGCTTAAGACTAGAGTGAATGAAACCTCAGCAGAGATGCCTTAGAGGTTGTTGAGGTGCTTTACCTATCATATCTGAAGGCATTAATTACACTTGACAAAGTTTTATTAAAAACAGAAAAGGCAGAGGCACTTTTAGAGGAACTGGATGAAAACAATACTTAATGTTTTAAAAAAAAGAAAAATTGGCATCTAAAAATGAATTTTTTGTGGGGAGGGCTTCATTATGTTGTATATAAAATGTGAATGTGGTAAATGTCTAAAATGTGAATTGTGGGTGAATATGTCACTGGGCAAATTGATTATTAGGTGAATTGGTTTTAGGCAAATTTGATGTTATCTTGAATTTGTTAATGTTGATTTTTTCTAATTATAGTCATAATTCATATTCATTGTAGTCAAAATTCATATTCATTGTAATACTTAAAAAATACAGAAAAGCATAAAGAAGAAACTTCACCCATAATCCTTAAAAAAAAAAAAAAAGCATACTTAAGGTCATACTAGGTAAGTAATTTTATATCAGGCATTTTCCCTGGAGATTGTCACGGCTGTTGAATAGGTAAAGCAAAGAGCCCAAGCATATCATGTGTGTGTCTCCACAAGCTGGGGACCTACGCTTTGGATTGAAGCCTGAGGAGAAATGTGGGGGAGCCTGGACCTAGGAGGGGTATGGAGAGGGAACCAGGCTGTATAGTGGAGAAAGACTCCCTGGTTTGCCAGGTGAGGGTTGAATCAGGGAGGCTCACAACAATGGCCGGCTTTAGCTTTAAGTGAATACCCCTATCAGAAAGTTAGAAAAAAAACAAACTCGTGTAGTTCAATGGGCATGGTTTTGCCTCCTGTGAGGAGGATGTTCATTCAACAGATATTCGTTGATCCCCTACCATGTACCAGGTGCTGTTACAGTGAGAAGCAAGCAAGGAGAGGGAACTGGGGTTCACTGAGTCCACAGGGTTTAGGCACTTTGGCGCACTCTGAGTGGTGGGCGTCACACTCAGCTGCCGTGACAGCTGCCTGGGGGTAGTTACAGATCAGTGAGACCTGGTAATAAGTTGAACTTGTCTGGTTCTAAAGCCCAAGCTGTTTCCATTTTGGGGCACATTTAACAGTTAAAAAGAGGCCCTAGTTATACATGGGGAACAAAACTGATAATAGCCCCTGTCCTTATGAAAGCTTATAGTTCATAGGAGATACAGATGCCGACAACACAAATGAACTGTAAGTTACTAGTGGGCTCTGAACGGAAATAAGAGTGCTTCTGGAAGGTTAGGAGCACCCTTTCAAACTGGACAAGCTTTGACCTGAAGACTAAGGTGGTGCCGAGTGAGGGAGCAGCATGTTTCTTAAGCAGGAAGGAGCTTGGCAACTGCAGAGGAACAGGAAGGTGCTGGAGTTTTAGAGCTTAGTTGGGTTGAGAGAGATGTAGGTGCCCAGATGTATCACAGTGATAGAATAAGAGGTCCAGAAGTGCTGAGGGAGCATGCAGCTTCCTGGTGGCCTTGGGGAGGATGTGGGAGAGCAGGTGCCATTTGATGGGTAGTTTGGCTGTGATCAGGAAACAGAGCAGAGGAGACAGCATGCTAAGTGGAGTGAAGGGCTTGCACCAGGGCACGGGGCAGGAGAGCATGTCAAGGTCAGAGAACAAAGCAGCCAGCAAAGCTAGTGTGTGACTGGGTGGGGCGGGTGGGGAGCAGTAGGTTAGATGTTACTGCCCTATTGAGAAAGATCTTGAGGCTCAGAGCAGCTCAACATGATTAAGATGTGGTCCAGGTTCTTAGTGGTGGTAGAAGCTAAGTAAAGGAGAACAAAGAGCGCACACACACACAAAGACCCTGGGCTTCCGTCACTTGTGCTTGTACCTGGTCCCATATTCCCATATTGGAGACTTGTACCGTTGCATACTTGCTCTCGCACCTCCCTTCCTTCCAGATCCAGCTTCATGCTGGATAAAAGAAATGTTTACATCCCAAATAGGATGGAGTGGACGGTGCCAGATTTCACACTACCCAGAGGGCTGCACAATTTACTACTTATAAGTTGTTTATTTCTGGCATTTTCCATTGAATATTTTCAGACTGTGGTTGGCTGCAGGTAACTGAAACCACGGAAAGCAGAACCATGGATAAAGGGGATTACTGTACTACAAATTCCAAGGTCCTGATAGAGAAGTCTCTTCATTAGGGAACTAGACCGCTTGCCTTAAAATGCATTTGGCTTGCAAGGCGGGTGCGAGGGAACGATATGTCACAAGCTAGCAGAGGCTGTGGGCAGTGTGCCCTTTACGTTCTGACACGCGTGGGGGCCCACATCTCTGCAGAGTCCTCCCCTTGAAAGCCTTTTAGTCCCTGACATCCATCATTGTGGGGGCTCAGCTTGGCTGAGCTGAATATTTATGAGTCATTATTTAATTAAGCCTTTCATACTTTCATTGATAAATGCAGTCACCCCTTGCCCCATTAGTCCCCACCACCACCTTGCAGCCCACAGCCAACTTCCAGCCCAGGCGCTGCTCCTCATTCTGTTCCTGGCATGCTGTTGACTGCCCTCCAGTGTCTACCACCCACTGGAGAGAAATCAAGGCCGGGATTCCTTTCAGTGCCCCCAGTATGTGGAGGCAAAGAGAGACATTTGCACTGACCATTGGTAGATGCTATAGTTTGACCAAACGGCCCCTATTCCTAGGTGTTTGGCAACTTGTAGCCCAAGTGGAAGACGGGAGAGAACAACCCAACAGGCATCTGGGGAGGTGCCTGTTCTCCTGACGCTGCCTGTCTGTCTGATGGTTCTATTAACAGCCTTCAAGAAGGATGAAGGGGAGGGTACAACAGTGAACAACAAACATCTCAGTCAGGAGAGGAATTTCAAGACGGGGTGGGCCTGGGTGGGAAGAGGAGAAATGAGGACAAAGCTTTGGAAACTTTGCTAGGAAGATGTAATGGGAATGTGGCCCGAGGTGAGGCTCACACACCTGGCCCCTGCGTCGTCAAGAAGCACCGCACAGGAGGTGAGGGTGCTTCTTCCCCACCCGTGGACAACTTGCCTAGCACCTTGGTTTCTGAACTTAAGCCACTTGAGTCCACTTGCAGCAGTACTTGGGGCCCCAGCCTGTCCCTTTCACTGAGAATCTGGGAGTCTGGGCACCTGGGGGTGTGGCAGTCTTCCTGGAGTTGGAGTGCTTTCCCATGGCAGCCTGGCCTGGCATGTCCAGTGACGCACTGCTCCACATGCTGCCCTCTTCTTCCTGGCTATGCTCTGGGTTAGGCGCCAGAGGGAGCGGGCATCTCTTCCCTGGAACCTGGAGCAGCAGGTAGGAAGGGAGGATGTGAACCGTGTACGGCAAGCTTGTTTATTCATTCAGCAGCACCTCCTGAGCCCCAAGTGCCTGGCATGAGTTCTGGGTGTGTCAATGAGTTAGCCGAAGCCTGTCCCCTCTTCCACTTGCCACGACGTGCTCTTCTGTGTGCGTGGAAGTTCTTGCCCCAGCATCTCACTGCTCACCTCCTGTTGTACTCAGCTGGGTTTCACTCATCCCACAGGATATACCTTAGATATCATCATCTCTGAGAAGTCTTCTGATCCCTTAGGCTGGGTTAGATCTCCACTCCCAAAGCACTCTGTAGCTAAATCTCTTAGCACTTACCATATTGTGGTATTGCCCGAGTTGGGAGCAGCTCTTGCAAAGCTGAGGCCGTGTCTTGATGCATGTCTGTAGCCACAGTGCATGATGTGTAATAGCTGCTTGTCAGTGTCTGTGGAAATTCAGTGAATGAAGGACTTGACCAAGTTCTTCCCGAGGAGCTCCCAGTGTACCAGTGGAATATGAGCTCATGTGTATTAAGACTTCATGGTCTAAAGATTGTGCTAAATGCCTTACGTGGACTATCTCACTGAATCCTCCCAACAATCCTTTGAAGCACGTATTACAGTTCCCATTTTCCAGATGTTGAAACCGAGGCACAGAGAAATACTTGTCCAACGACCCATGGTGCCAATTGCAATGATGGGAATGTTTAAGGGTGATGGGACAGAGAAGAGGGGCACCTGACTGTGTGCTACGCACTGTTTGGTACTATGCACACCTCTCATCTAGTACCCAAAACAGCCCTGCAGGACTGCTTTTGTTACCTGGAACCTAAGAATTCAGAGAAAGTCAGTGACTTGTCCAAGGCCACCAGCTGGGAAGCAGTGGAGCCAAGATTCAAACCCTATGTTCTTAGGCAGACAGACCCCAAAGAGAGGACTCTCGGGTATCATAGCTTGAACGCTAAGGGGGCCCCTCGAGGCAGGAGCTGTGTCTGCCTGTGCTCTCTCCCACTTTACTGGAAAGGGGCTCTGACATGAGAATTCTGTTTTATTTTTGAGACAAGGTCTTGCTCTGGCACCCAGGCTGGAGTGTAGTGGTGCAATCACAGCTCACTGCAGCCTTGACCTCCCGGGCTCAAGTGATCCTCCTACCTCAGCCTCCAGAGTAGCTGGAACCACGGTGCACGGCACCACAGGCCCAGCTAATTTTAAATTTTTTCTTTTGTAGAGACAGGGTCTCTCTTTGTTTCCCAAGCTGGTCTCAAACTTCTGGGACCAAGTGATCCTTCTGCCTTGGCCTCCCAGTGTTGGGGTTATAGGTGTGAGACACCACACCTGGCCTGACATGACAGTCCTGACTGTCATTTGCTGAATAAACCATGATAGGGAGCCCAGCTAATTGGGATGCACTAGTAACTGGACAGTCCTCTCAGATCTCAGGGGCCACTGTCAAAGCCCTTTTCCTGGATTAAGACTCATGGCTGGTTACCCTGAGTCTTCCAGTCTACCACCTCTCTGGCTATGGCAGGTTTTGCAGAATAAAGTGACTGAGGCTTAACAAGTTTGTGAGTGTGGCCAAAGCCAGTGTAGCATAGGACTGGACCAGTGCTGGTGAAGGAAATTAAGCTGTAACTTGTGGGATTTCAAGAAACCAATCTTGGTCTGTAAGTCGTTTTTATAAAAATGAATATGCGATCACTGCCCTAACTCTCGTTTCTTTAAACGGATGCCAAGAGCATTCAAGGGAGAGCAATGCCAAATTTACATTCAGCTTTAACAGTTTGTCCTTCCGAGGAGCACAGGCTGACTTTAGAGTAATTCCTGTGATCATCACAAATGGAGTTGGCATTAAAAAGGGTGAAGGGAAGACTCAGGAAGGAGGACAGACACTCCGTGCTACACGCGAAAGCTTGTTTATCTGGAAGCCTGGCTTGCAGTTCCTGCATCCCTCTGGAACCCAGCCCTGAATCTCTGAACCGAGCAGTAAGTAGAAAAGGCTTCTAGGCTCTGGGAAGAAATGTCACACAGCCCATGCACCAAGGTCACGCCCTGTCCTCTAGGTGCACAGCAAAGGTCTTCGTGGCTGTCTCCTGTGTCATTTGTGGTTAACACTCGACTTATGTGCCGGTTTTCACAACTCACAGCAGATTATCCTAGAGGCCTGTAACTTCAGCTAGCTTCAAGTATAGCAGGTATGACACTAAATGTCATCACATACCTGATCGTTTTTACTCCTCACAGAAAACAGGCCTTGTAAACTGTATTTCACAGATGAGGAAACTAGTTCCCTTAAGAGGTGTCTAGCTTGTAGGCTGCATGTGTCTAGTATAGATAACTGCTGTGCCGACGATTTGCTAATTGCTGTGGGGGGATGGGCACGGGAGAGCTTTTTGGCCTCAGTGGACGTTTTAAGAGATGCACACTTAGAACCACTGGAGCTGTGTCCAGCTAGAGAAACTGTATCCATCGCTACAGACTGGTGAGGTTTTGCACATTTCTCCCAGAAAACCCGAAGGAAGGGGGTTTGGAGAGAGGAGCCAGGAGTGGGGCTCAGAGCAGAGCCGAAAGGAAAGCGCAGGGTGGGATGTGGCTCTGAGCTCTTCCACCCGCCCCGGGGACCTCTGAGATAATACCAACTGCACCCAGTTCCCTAGCCCACACCTGGCAGGTAGCACGTTCACTTCATGACCTTCTTGAATGCGCAGTGCCCCATTCTTTTGAGTTCTTATTACATGTCAAAGGCAAGGACCGTGGCTTCTCTTTTTGTCCACGCGGTACTCACATGGTCTTGATAGGACTGACCTTCTGAGGATCTCCTTGATCTTTCTTTACCTATATAAACAAAAATTAAATTTAAACACAGCTGTATTCGCATATGAACAAAAAACTACCATTAGGTGTTTGTCTCTCAGCAAATTATTTCTCCTCTCTAGGCCTCAGTTTTTTCATCAATAAAATGAGACCATTAGACCGAGGAGGAACTTCTGGCTCCAAAACCCTTTGGGTTCTAAGTCTTCTCTTTGAGAATGTTCTCCACTCCCCCAAACTGATTTGACATAATTTGGTCTCTCCTCCCATTCCAATGGCCTCTTTCCTGCCTAGTCCTTGCCTACCAGCCACGCCCCCTCTGGCATGCCCCACCCACCTTTCTCTGTTTGCTGCTCTGGAAGAGAAGGATCCTGGCTTCTCAGAGCCCTGGTGAATACAGATACTGCCTCGTTTGCATATTAACACTGGTGCCAGTCTGAGCCCAGCTGTGTGCAACGTAAGGTGAAATATAGATTCCCCCAACCTGGCCACAGTGTCTCCACGCGGCTAATGGAAAAGCCTTCGGAGTGGGCCCATGTTGCATATGCATAAGCTTTCCTTTGGCCGTGGATGGGCATTGGGTGCTCTTACTCCCATTTCAACTGTGTCTCTGTGCTTCTTTGGGTTTCCTTCAAGATTAACAGGCCATCTGGGCTAAACAGCTATTTGAAGTGACTTGGCCAGGCCCTGGGCTGGCCTCTTGGGAACTCTGGGACTTGAGTGTTGAACCCGAGCCCCGCCCTCCTGCTCACCCACTCAGCATGGCAGCAGCAGCTTTTATGTATCAGCAGCGACCTAGAACTAGGCCAAGCATCCCCTTCACCTCCTGCAGGATGAAGGTCAGGCTCCTCACACGGTGTCGGAGGTCCTGCTTCCCCTGCCCCTGGGCCCTCTGTTACACCCATCATCCCGTGTCCAGACTTACCACAGCTCCTGAGCAGGCCTGGTGTTCTCCTGCCTGCCAAGCCTTCGCACCTGCTGCTTCTTCTGCCCTTTGGGCGTTCCTGGGGGTGGGGGGTGCAGAGAGGAGGATCTAGGGCTCCCCTCTGTGTTCCTGCAGCCCAGTGTGTCTGCCTCTGGCACACACCTGCACTTGGAACTCACATCTGTCCCTGCTGGACCCTGGGTCCTCCCTGGGACTCTGGCCTCGCACCTGCACACAGTGGATGCCACCAAGCGAGGAAGGCTCAGGGCCAAAGCGTTTTAACCCCTTTACCGAGAACCTGAGTTGTAAGAACTTGCTGAATCTTGCTACATACAGATGCGGCACCTTAATGGAAATGGCTAAACAGAGAGAGGTTTTGCTGGTGAAGGTTTTTGTTGCTATTGCTGCTCCTGCCACTGAAGGCTTTCTCAGGAGGAAGCCCCTCAAACCACCCCCTCACCCTGGGAAATAGGAAGGTGGGCTGCCTGTCTGTGTGGCCAGCTCAGTCACTGGGGGGCGGTGAGCACAGTGGCCGGATGCCACTGCAGCCTCCCCACCTTCTCCCTGCCCTCCATCTGCCCCTGCCAGGTCTTCCAGGCACCCACTCTCTCCTTCCACTCCTCGATCGGGGTAGCTGGAAGAGCAGAGGGGCTAAATTGAGTTTATATAGCTTTCCCTGTATATATTTAGAGATAAGAAGTTCATTTAGGGATCAGGGGCTGCTGCTTCTCTATGCATCATTAAGCACACCACATCTGCTACTGAGCTAGCAATCAGCAGAATATTGAGAAAAGTTATAAAGAAATCTTTGCATCGGTTCATTTTCATTCTCAACTCCCTGTGTCCTGGCTCTCAGATTTCTGTGAGCGAGTGCAGGGGAGGAAATGGAGCCGCGGCTGTTGGGGCCATGCTTTGGGAGCTGGGGCTGGATTCAGATAATTCATCTTGGACCTGCTGTCTTTTCTCGGTGTGTGTGCCTATGTGCGTGTGTGTGTGCAAGCATGTGAGTGTGTGTTGGGGGAGGGCGGGTGGTGGTGTTGAGGAGATGGTCTATGGAAAGCTGTGCATGCATTGTCCCATGGTGGCCACGCCAGGAAGGGCATGTCGCCTGATCAAGTCCTGAGCATGTCGCCATGGCAGTCCTGAGCACTGTCCTGCAGGTAGGCTGAGGCTGCAGACCAGACTTAGGTGCCATCTCCCTAGATGACCTTGACCAAGCCACCTCCCTTCTGTGGTCCTCAGTCTTCCGGGCTGTAAAGTGAGGGCACTGGGCCAGGTGGTCGCGCCTTGCTGAGAGGAGCAGGGGGAAGGTGAGCTAGTGCAGCACAGAGCTGGCTCTCAGTAAAACCTGTTTGGATGCTGCCACTGTGGCGACTGGTGTTCTCTGGTCCCTGCTGCCTCCCCACCCAGCAAGTTCCCATGGCCTTGGCTTTCTTAGGTTGGTGGCTGAGTGGGGAGAGTCACAGGCACAGGTGCTGGGTTCTGGAGTCTCGGGGCTAGAAACTGTTGCCTTGTGGCCTCCTCCCAGAACAGCAGGTGGGTCTGCCCTCTCTCTAGCTCCTATACCAGGCCCAGAGAACTCAGTCTCCTCAGCCTCTCCCTGGGGACCCCTGGCAAGGGCATTGGTGGCCAGGTGGCCCAAGGTCCCTCAGCCCCCTCCCAGGGCAGTTGTCCCGCAGAGTGACATGTGGCAGGTTAAACTGCAGGTGTCACTGTTAGCCCTGAAATGGGGGCTTGGTTGGGCCGGCCTGTGGGCAGCCGCAAAGGAATCTTCCTGGCTTAGCGGCTTGGCCGGCTGAGGGAGCCCCGGAGCGGGCGCAGCACTCCCTGCTCTTATGCTTTGCCTCCCTGGCTGTGTGGACATTGCCCACCCTTAGCTAAAGCAAGGACGATACTAACTGACCACAGCCTGGCCCCAAGAAAGCACCATTTTCACAAGGCACGCAAATGGCTCTCTGAACACCTGTAATTAGAAGGAATGCTCAAAACCCGGACATTTGTGGGATCAGCATTTAACCTCGGCCAACCCCTCAGGAAGGAGGGGCGCAGGGAGGCTGAGTGCAGCCACGTCCATGCAGTCAGTGTGGCCAGCCTGGGGGGCCTGTGAGGACTGAGGGAGGGTGGGGACCCCTGGGTAGAAGAGGCCAAGAGCTTTGTGCTCTATTGAGGAAGCTGCAGAGGAGGAGAGACCCAAATCAACATGGGGTGTTCATGCTCTGTTCCTTGTACCTCGAATGGTGGCACTCTTGCCCTCTAGACATTGCTAAGGACTTAGAGGTTCAGGAGTCACAGGCAAAAAAGGCCCCTTTTTAAAGTGTTTTTAAAAGTGACCGGTGGGGTGCTGTTTTTCCGGGAAATTGAACTGCATAAACCACAGCCACTGACCGGGAAACGCCTGCCACCACCAAATTGCCCCCGGGAACTTGGGGCACAGCGTCCCAGCCCTGGGCCAGGCAGGTTCCTATAGCCGCCAAGTGGATTACACACCCTGGCTTCACTTCAGTGGGCTTGTTGACCCTCAACGTACTCTCCCCATGTTGTTTTACTCCCCTTTTTAAAAATTCTGCATTTCATTCTGGACCAAGAAAGCCCTTGGACTTGAGAGAAAACTAGTATCTGCTCGAAGCAGGTTTGGAGGGGTCTCCGTCTCTCTGGGAGCTGCAGTTCCCGCCCCAGGCCCAGCGGCTGCAGGAGTGGGGGCTGCTGGGCTTTCTGGGCTTCCGTATCTTAATTTCTGTTTAAAGAGAACGTAGAAAGAAGGGTGTGTGTATCTGTGTGTTGGTGGGGAGAGAGGGCATAGAATATTTTCAGGTCTTAAAAAGAAGAAGAAAAAAATAAATTTTTGAATAAGAATGGTCCATGTACTGTGACCGCAGGGCAAATGCAAATGTCTGTTTTCAAACACAGACTCGTGAATTCTTATTAGGAGTTCGTGACTGCGCCTCCAAGCAGGACATTACATATTCATCAGTGTGAGCAACCAGGCTGCCCACTTCAGGTGTGGCCTTCGCAACACCCGTGTCCCTTTAATCTTGGGGGAAGAAGGAGAAGGAGAAGAAAACCATGACCAGCCACATTTGGTCTGTTTTCTTCAGTTGCTAAAGTGTTAAGGGAATAGGAGATAAAAAGATGCATGCAGAAAAAGCAGCAGCCGCAGCGATACTCCACAAAGATCTTTTTAGTGTCAACTTAAATGTACACAAATAGCGGATGATGATCTCTTTTATTGGACTAACATTTATCCAGTAATATCCACACACTTTTAAAACCATTGAGGCCTCCTCTTCAGGTGTTCATTTGAATAGAAATAGCTGAATGAGTGTTTTTATAATTGATCCCCTGAGAACTGAATGTCTAGTGCTGCATAACCAACATTTTCCCATTGCTGGGTTTTTTTTCCCCCAAATTGCCACTCTGCAAAATTAGGATTTTGTACAGTTTTGATAAGAGAATTAACCTCCCACGTGCCAAACTCCCTGAGTATGAGGGACTCCCAAGGAATCGGATTGTGCGAGGTCAGCTTTGACACCAGATATTTTACGGGGGCTTTGCTGCTGCTCAGTCTGAGAGAGGGAACCGCAGAGATCTGGTGGGAGGTAGACTTGATGGAGGCAGAGGGAGAGGAGGAGGCTGTTGCACACCCTGAAAGGTTCCTGGACCCCAGAATCTTGCGCTTCTGACTTTTCCTTCTGCACTTGCCAGAAACACCCGGACGCTCACTCTGGCTCAATGTGGCGTCTGTGGGTGCTTGGAGCCCTGGACCTTGATGGAAACGTGAAAGATTTTCCTTTCCTCTCCCTCGAAGTGTTTCCCCCAGGGCTGCCAAGTATGTCCTCAGAGTCTTCACTCTAGTTCTTAAGTTACAATCATAATATATGCTTATTGTAGAAAACTTGAAAAATGTGCAGAAGTATAAAGTCGACAATAAATATTACCCCAAATTCCACCACCCAAACACTGTGGTGTTTCCTTCCAGTCTTATTTTATGTGTGTGCATATTAAAAAAAATATATGTATATGATCATACTGCATACATAGAGTTTTGTAACCTGTATTTTTTTCTTTCATTTAATAGTAATATACAAAGCATCTCCCGTGTCTTTAAGCATCATCTGTCAGCATCAATTTAGCGGCTGTGCACACAGCTATCAAATGGCTGTAGTTGAATGAACTTAATTACCCTCTATTGATGGACAGTTGGGTGGGGAGCTTTCTTTTTTGACTGTGTAAAAAGGAAACGTCAGTCTCTGGCCATTTTGTGGGAGACTTATTTAAACCAGGGTAAGACAGTTATTTAGGAAACAGTTTTCCCTTCATGGCCTAGAAGTGAAGGAAAGAGCAGTTTTTTGCAGCAGAAACTGACCAACGTGTCTTCAGTAAGACAAGCCACAGGGCTCAGGGCCAGGGGGAAGCTGGAGCAGCCGGTCTGGCTCCCCTGTCACTCCTAGTTCACGCTGATCCCAGCTCTGAGTCCTGGTGTCAAGGAGGCTGCTTTCAGCTCCAGACAACAGAAACGCTGCTTAACCCGCTGCAAAAGCGAGTACGGGGACTGCATTACCTGATGGGCTTTCCTGAGGTGATGCCACCACCACGAGAGGCCCTGGCTCCTTGGCTCCCTGGCCACCTTCAGCTCCTCCGCATGGCTGCAGCCTGGCTGCCCGCCTCAGTCCCGCGTGCCACCCAGACTCAAGGCAGTCCAAAGGTGGAAATTGGACTCTTTCTTCAAATGGGATTTTTTATAATTTTAATTTTTAATGAGCAAGCAAAATATTGTCCAGAAGCCCAGGCCTTTCCTTCCTCCAACTCCCCGCCCCTGTCGTGGACTAGAATGGGGACACACGCCATGCCCACGCATAAGGCAGGCACTCCCTGGCAAGGAGAGTGAAATCCGTGCCCTCCTGACACTATACTTCGGGTACCTGGGATGTGCCCTCCTGCCCTTCTGAGCTTGGAATCCGGAAGCCCCAGCATCCCGCCTTCTCTAGGCTCTTCTTGGCAGTGGGCATTGACCCCTCTAAGCTGCTGGCTCACCCAGACCCCGAGGCAGCCCACATTAGGGACCAGAATGTTAATTGTCCCAGCCCTATCAGCTGGTGGGGGGACCTGGGGCTGTGATCCAGTGTGAGACTTGAGCCAGCCTCAGTGGTGGTCTTCCAGATCCCACTGAGTGTCCCCAGAGCTTTGGTGACAGCCCTGCTTGGCTGGGTCCTGATAGCAACCTCTGTCGTCTGCTCCCCTGCCATGTTGCCTGCCCTCTCAGTTCTACCCCTGCTACTTCTGAAAATGGCATGTTAATTTTCCCATGGAGAACCCCTCGTCTATAGGCAGCTCATTTGGATAGAGCCCCCACCTTGCGCCTAGTGCCATAGGTGGCCCAGAATGTTGCATGCCCAATCACAGTACCACATGCCTACACCAATCTGATTGGTTGCTGCGGGGTGGGCATGTGATCCAAAACTAGTCCAGTAAGAGTTGCCCTCAGGATGTCTCCTGGGCTTCATGGGATCTTAAGATGAGCTGGTGGGCGCCATCTTACCACCACAGGGAAGCGTCTGCCTGAGAACCAACACAGAGGAAAGCAGAGTTAGAAGACAGAGAGCCCAGGTCCTGAGGATGTCAGTTGAACCACTGGATCCAGCCATGCCTGAAGCAATTTACCTCTGAAATGATCATTTATGGAAGCCAACAATTTTCCTTTGCACATGGACCAGTTTGAGTTGGGTTTTTGTTGCAACTCAAAAGAGACCTGACTGAAATACCTATTCAATAGGCTACTCTTCCAAAACCAGAATCCCTTTGTCATGCCTATAACCACCAACACTGTCCACATACTCCAGCCATTGTGCCCGTTATGCCAGGTTGGATCCACCCCCCGTGCTGTCCTTCTATTTCTGATGTCAAGGCAGGTCAGGCCCCAATGACCCTGACTTTGCCGCTTTCTTTGGGTGCCGAAGGCTGAACAGCTGGCCACTCCTCCTGGAGCCACTTCCTGCAGTCCACAGAGCTTCTGTGCAGAGCTGTTTCCTGAATGCCCAATGAATGGATCTGGTGACCTCTTTTGAGAAGTCAGGCAGAAACAGGAACGGTATCTTCCCCTCCCTCTCTGCATCGACACCTCCATTTTGCCCAGGCGTTCACAATTCCAGGGGTAGTTTCCTGATAATTCAGCTGAAAATTTCCCCGGCTCAGTTCTGTTTCCCTGAGTTGCCCCCCTGGGCTTTTCTCTAACAACTCGGCTCCTTCCTGAGGCCGTGAATGGGGCGCATCTCTGCCCACGTCACTGTTCAGCCAAGGTCGGCACATTTCCTGTGTTCATTCTTCTTCATAAATCACATCTCCAGCCTGCTAATCGCCGTGGACGCATTTCGAGGGATGCTTTGCAATTTTCACTGGCTCTGGTGTTGAGAGGTCCCCTGGCTGCTTCTAGGCAAGCCAAGGGCTTTCCCTCTAAAAAGCCGTGTGTCCCACATCCAAGTGCATACGCGGGTTGAGAGGGAAGGAAGTGGATGAAGCAGGCCTGGAGGAAGATGCTGAGGGCCCGGGACCTGCCCCCGGGAGGCAGCTACTTCTCAGGCCAGCCAGCTGTCTCCATGTGGGAACCAGGCCCAGCATTTGCAGAGGTTATAATTTCTCAAGGGAAGCTGCAAATCTGTGCTTTTATGTGTAATTTCCCACTTAACAAAAAATGCCAGCAACAAAATAAAAATTGAAACGCCGTGGAGACCAAAATGGTCTCTCACACCACCAGACTGTGACTTCTGTCCTGGTAGATTAATAAAGTGACAGGGTGTTAGGCCACTTAGAGCAGGGTGGCCTAGCGAACAAACACAAGGCTGGGAACCAGAACCCATAGGCCTGGATCTGGTCCTAGCCTGGACACTGCGTGATCTTGGGCAAATAAAGAACTGAGTCTCTAAAAATTCCTGTTGTCCACAGTCATCTTCTTAACCCTTACAAGAATCTCATAAGGTGGAGCTCATTATTCCTATCTTGCAGAAGTGAAAACCCAGCTCAGAAGGCAGCTGCAAGAGGGCTGTTGGTTCCCACAGGCCAGCTTGCAGCTCTGTTTCTGGGGTGTTGGGGAGACTACTGTCTGGGCGAGCAAGAGCTGGATCTGTCTTCAGCAGCTTGAGCCGGTTGCAGAGTCCAGCATTCTTCAGGGTCACAGGTGGCTTTTCCTCCTCTGGATCTGAGATTTTCTCTCTGCTTTCCCTGCCCTCCCCTCTCTATGCTCAGCATATTTTATTTCTGTAGCTCCATATTCTTGCCATGTCGCTGGTTCTGGGTGATGTTTCAAACACTGTTGGCACTGGGTTAGAAATGTCATTATCTAACTCAGAAAAGCTCCAAGAGGAATGTTGTGTATACGCATCTTCTCCCCATGAGCTTGTCTCTGCCTTGTGATGAGAACTATGAGGGCGTAGTCTTTGTTGCTTTCCAATCTTCGATGCTCTTTCCTTCACCTAAGACGCTGCTTTCTGAAAAGAGAGAGATTCCAGAGCTCAGCCATTTAGATCCATGAGTTCTCGGCACTGGTTCTTCTTCCATTTTTGTTTTGATAATAGTGCTTAGTAGTGATAACAGTGATACACTGGAGTGGCCCCTTGCTTGCCCAAGGCCGCAGGCTCTGAGGAGATCGCCACAATTTGTAAGAAGCTTTGAGCTTTTATACTGTTGCATAAAACAGAAAAGGGCAAGCTGTGTGTATGCTCCCATTTTACAGATGGGAAAACAGAGGTCATGCCTGGTTAAATAACTTGCTCAGTAAACCCACCTAGCCAAGTAATAAGTAAAACTCATTTGGCCCAAATGTTTGATCTTAAGGTCTACAGTAGTGGCCTCCCCCTCCCCCGCTTAACCTCGCCCCCACTTGCCTTCGTTGGGGCATATTCACTCATTTGGGTTCAGAAGCAGAACTGACATTCTCCTAGACATTGTCATCTGGTGCTTGCTCTTTGTTCTGTCTCTGCATGGTCTCTTCTTTGGGAAAGGTCCTCCAACTACTGAAATATGAAACCAGGAGTGGGCCAGGGGAGGGGAGACGCGTGTCTTGTGCTAGGGCTGGATCTGACTCGCTGTGAGACTTTGGGAGTTTTTCCTCACTCTGGGCTTTGGTTCTTTCTTCTCCAAAGGGTGTGGGGGAAAGGAGAAGGGCTAGCCCGGGCTCCAGGAGGCAAATTGGTCACATATAGGCAATTGGTTCACAGCTACATTTGAATTGGTTGCCAACCTTTAGAAACCAGGAAATGTCAGGTCAAGAGCTAGCTCACCACCTTTCTTGAAGAAGAATATGTGGCCCCTTCACACCATTAGGCTGGAGGGAACATTTCCACTTGTCACCGTCCCTACCTGTCACTCCTCTCAGTGACACTGCCTGCCTGGCCCTGCAGGCCCTGGGTGTGGGACTCCTAGCTCAGTGGCTTTCAAGGACCCAGCATCCAGTCCCAGGGGTCTCATTCCCTCTGAGGTGGGCACCCCTATAATCCTCATTTTCAGATGAGGAAACAGAGTCACTTGCAGTTTGAGTGACTTGCCAAAGGTCACACAGCTGGTCAGCAGCAGAGACAAGACTCCCCCTAGGCTTGTAGACTGTGGGGTCGGTTCTCAGTTGCTGGAAAACAGATCTTGGGATTGAGTTCTTCCAGCAACACAGGTGTGCTTCAGCTTAAGAAGTTTTGAGAAAACTTGATTTATTTTTATTGTTATTATGGAAACTTTAAACATGTGCTAAGAGTAGACAGACTCATGTGATGAACTCATGTGCTCATCACCCATTTCCAACAATTTTTATGGCCAGTTTTGCTTAATCTGTGCACCCGCACCCCATTATTTAAAAACAAATGGGCACCAGACATCGTATCCTTTCATTTGGGAAGATTGTAGTGTGTCTCTCTAAAGGGAGAGGGTTCTTTTTCAAAGTATAACTGTAATATTACTGTATTGTCACACTCTCCCCAATAATAGAAAATCCTTAATTATGCAGGGCAATTTCAGTGTGAACTTACACCGCTGATATGTCTAGAAAGGATGGCCATCATGCTTGCTTTCAGAACGAGCCAGCAGCACCCCAGCTTTGGAATCTGAAGACTTGGGTTTCAGTCTTGGCTTCCTTATTTTATTTTTATTTTATTTTATTTTATTTTATTTTATTTTATTTTATTTATTTTATTTATTTTAATTTTTTGGAGACCGAGTCTCACTCTGTCTCTCAGGCTGGAGCGCAGTGGCGCGATCCCAGGTCACTGCAATCTCTGCTTCCTGGGTTCAAGCAATTCTTCTGCCTCAGCCTCCCGAGTAGCAGGGATTACAGGCGCCCGCTACCACACCCCGCTAATTTTGTATATTTAGTAGAGACGGGGTTTCACCATGTTGGCCAGGCTGATCTCGAACTCCCTACCTCTGGTGATCCACCCGCCTTGGCCTCCCAAAGTGCTGGGATTACAGTCGTGAGCTACCGCGCCTGGCCAGCTTCCTTACTTTCTAGCTGTGGGACCTCAGGCTGGCCACTAGATCTCTGAGCCTCAGTTTCCTTATCTGGAAAATGGGAAGAATCCTAAAATTTATCCATCTCAAAAGGCTCATGTGACAGTCAAGTGAGAAGGCGTACATGCAAGGTATCCTGTCAAATTACACAAAGTCGTGATTTTAATGGAGGAAAGCAACATAAGTACTGGGTGGTGGAGAAATACTTTTGGGTCTCATCTTGCTGAGACTAGGTAGGAAGCAGAATAAGAATAGCCCTTCCTAGGCGCCCACCGGAATGCTCAGCGCTGCCGCACAGAGAGTCCGCATCCGTGCCTGCCACCGGCCTAAGTTATACCCGGAGCTACGACGACTTATGAGATGGGCGACTCTAGGACCCTCATTTTCCAGACGAGAAAACGGAGGCACCTGCAGGTTCAGTGACTTGCCCAAGGTCACGCACCTGGTCAGCGGCAGAGACAGGACTCCCCCCGCCCGGGCCCGCGGATTGCCGGGTCGGTTCTCAGTCACCGCACAGGTGCCCTGGAGAGTGCGACCACCCCCTGCCCTCCGCCCCGCGCCGGCCCTCGGCTCAGTGCCCCGCCCTTCCTGGAGCACGGCCTGCGCATGCGCGCGCCCCAGGGCCCAGCCCTGTTCCTGCTCCGGCTCCTGCGGGGATGGATGCTTCACGCAGTAAGCGAGTAAGCGAGCCCTGGAGACCGGGGCCCTGGGTGTGCGGTCGGCTCAGTGCCACGCGGTGAGATAGGCATGGTTATCAACCCACGCCAAGGCGGTTGTGTACCTGGCATAGAAAACACTGCTGTTGAATGTTGTTTCCATAGTCATTCGCCAGCGTCCACTGATGAGAGGTGCCACCACGGACACCCGGCCTTGCTCCGTCGAAGCTTTGGTCCATTAGGACCAAAGTCAGGCCCCAGCGGGCCTCCCTGCCATTCCTGGACGGCCTCGCGTCCTCCCAGAGCCTGACCTTCTCTTATCTCTGCAGCCTAAGTCGCGGAAGCGTAGACACCCGGCTTTTCCCGCGTGCTCTATCGGGCTCCCCTGGACACGGAGGGTGGAGCAGAAAGAGCAGAGGGGCCGGTGGGAGCCATGGGGAGTCCGCCTAGCTCCAGAGGTAAGGGCGAGAATGGCTTCATCCTCCCCCCTTCATCCTCCAGGCCAGCCTCGGACCCAGCAGCATCCTGCCCAGGGGGCACCCCCACCTCCCTGGATGCCAGCCAGAGCTGGAGAATATTCACGACCCAGAGGAGGGCCTGGACTCCAGAGAAGGGACCCCCTTTCACAGTGCACTCTGTGTCTGTGTGGATCTGATTTCATGTCTAGTGACCACTATTTTTATCCTCCCAATTCCTAGGACACCTTACCTGGATCCGCCTTTGTAGCCTCCTCCTGGCTCTGGGGGCTGTCCTGTGGGGTCCGAGTAGCTGAAAGACAGCCCCTCCATGTGAGGAAGCCCCCAACTGGGGAAAACCCCCTCGTGGACTCATTCCTGTCCCTGCATGTGGCCTTCACCTGACTGTCTGCATTGAGGCATCCTCTGCCAAGAGCAATTTCAAAGTGGCAGGTCTTGGGAGATGGGGTGCTGTATTTGGGAGTAGGGGCGGGGAAGGGTTGAGGTGCCCTGGGAAAACTGGAGGAAGACATTTTTAATGCTCTTATGAGGCTGGGAGCAGAGGCCAAGAGGGGCAGAGCAGAGCAGGGGTGAGGAGAATGAGGCACTGGCCTGGGCACAGAATTGAAGGGGCACCAAAAATCGCAATCATCAAGGGAAATCGTATTTTAATGCCATATTTTAAAACTCAAAATTAACAAAAGGAATCCATGATGAACGAACTATCAACATTTCAAGTAAAGACAGGATCTGTTTCATGGATATCTCCTTTTGCCTCAGGGTCCAATATGGAACGGCATAGTTGATTCTGTCTTTATTTAAAATTTTTGGCGGCGCGCGGTGGCTCAAGCCTGTAATCCCAGCACTTTGGGAGGCCGAGGCGGGTGGATCACGAGGTCAGGAGATCGAGACCATCCTGGCTAACACGGTGAAACGCCGTCTGTACTAAAAGTACAAAAAAATTAGCCGGACGTGGTGGCGGGAGCCTGTAGTCCCAGCTACTCCGGAGGCTGAGGCAGGAGAATGGTGTGAACCCGGGAGGTGGAGCTTGCAGTGAGCCGAGATGGCGCCACTGCACTCCAGCCTGGGTGACAGAGCGAGACTCCATCTCAAAAAAAAATGATAATAAATAAAATAAAATTTTGATTTTTTGTTCATCGTGGATTTTTTTCCCCATTACTTTTTGCATTAACATTATTTATCTTGAATTCTGGCTGCTCTTAAATTCTGCACCCAAGGCAAGTGGGCTTCACTCTAGTCCCATTCCGGGAGGACGGTGGATTCGTGAGCATTCGGGAGACCACCACAGGACCCTTAAGCTGCTTCATTGCGCAGTGGGATCCCCTGTAACCCCAGACTTCAGTAATAATCCCACACAGAAAGGTCTTACGTGAGTGTTTTCTTGTGAAAATTAAAGGAAAGTGCTGCTTTCAACATCTGCCACATTTGCAAGAAGAGCAAAGGTGGCCCATTTGAGACCACCCTTGAACTAAACCATCCAGTGAGCCCCTGAGGTCGGGACAGAAGTGGCCATGACCTTCCTCAAGCAGGGACTGTGGTGGAGCCCACCTTATCCAGCACAAGGTGGCCTGCTGACTTCTGGTGACAGTGATGCCAACTTCCTGGCTGTCCAAGGTTCAAATCTTGGTCTTAATCCTCCTGGCCTTCTCTCATCAATGGCCAGAGCCACCCTAGCTAACAAGGTGCCCAGGGACTCCGGGGTGGGAGAAGTCCAGCTTCTTCTTAGCTGAGGACATTTGAGTCTCGTCACAGCCCCCAAAAGAATACTCATTTTTGTAGCTGGAGGGCCTGGCCTCTGTCTATCTTTGCTTTTCCAGAAGCTGACAAGTACCTGCCGGAAAAACTGCCTCTTTTCCCTCCCGTGCTTGGAGCAGGCATTGCTGACAGATCACAGCTGCTGGGCCCAAAGGTCCCTTTGCACGCGGGACTTCAGGAAGTTGCTGCTGACCTATGGGAGTTGGTGCAGAAAGATGAAATTTGTTATCCTTGGCTGTATCAACTCTCTCTCCTCTCCTTGGTGGTGATAGTTTTGTTCTTAAAAGCCTCTTGTGAGAGAATTTGTGGATGAAGAACCTGTAAGATCACAAGTGAAACAATTTATTGATGTCAATAGATTTATACACGTTCATTAAGAATCAAAACTAAACTAAAACATCAGTCTGACTAAAGAGACCACCACAGATATTTCATATGCTGTACATCAGTAACAAAGGGTACCAAATAGTTAATATCCATGTACTAGTCACATGAGAAATGTTTTAGGGTCATTGACCAGTGTAGTCAGTACAGTGGTCCCATGGTATTTGTGGGGGATTGGTTCCAGGAATCTCTTGGACACCAACTCCGTGGATGATCAGACAATATAAAATGTGGGTCAGGTGCGGTGGCTCATACCTGTAATCCCAGCATTTTGCGAGAATCACTTGAGGCCAGTTCAAGATCAGCCTGTGCAACATAGCAAGACTCCACCTCTAAAAAAAAAAAAAAAAAAAAAAATTAGCCCAGTGCAGCGGTGTGCACCTGTAGTCCCAGCTTCTCATGAGGTTGAGGTGAAAAGATCACTTGGGCCCAGGAGTTTGAGGCTGCAGTGAGCTGTGACTGCCACTGCACTCCAGCCTGAGTGACAAAGCAAGTCCCTGTCTCTTAAAAAATAAAATAAAATAATAGCATTTGAATGTAACCTACACACATCTCCCATATACTTTAAATCATCTGTAGATTGCTTATAATACCTAATACACTGTAAATGCTATGTAAATAGTTGTTATTCTGTGTAGTTTTTAAAAACGTGTATTTCTTATTGTATTTTTTTGTTTGTTTTTTGTTGTTTTTGGAGACAAGGAGACAAGGTCTCACTCTATCACCCAGGCTGGAGTGCAGTGGCACCATCTCGGCTCACTGCAGCCTTGACATCCTGGGCCCAAGCGATCCTTCTACTTCAACCTCCCAAGTAGCTGGGAATACAGGCGCTTGTCATCATGCCTGACTAATTTTTGTATTTTTGTAGAGATAGGGTTTCACCATGTTGCCCAGGCTGGTCTTGAACTCCTGGGCTCAAGTAATCCTCCTGCCTCAGCCTCCCAAACTGCTGAAATTACAGATGTGAGCCACCACGCCCGGCCATTATTGTTGTATTTTTATTTTTTTTCAAACATTTTTGACTTGCGGTTGGTTGAATCTGTGCGTGTGGGAAGCATAGATACTGAGGACTGTAGTTTCACCAAAATGCTTCCAGTCACTGTGCCTTCCACCAGCTCCCTCACACATCTGGGTGCATGACGTGTCGTGGGAAGAGTGTGGCCTCCAGGGCCCACCAACCTAAGCTTCAATTCCAACTCCACTCCTGCGGACCAGTTACTTCCTTGAGGTCCATTCTTCTCATTTGCAAAATGGGAGAACAACTTTTCCTCAGGTTGCTGGGAAGATTAAACAAGATCGTGATTCAGAATGCTTAGCATGTATGCTCATGACACACTTAAAGAATGCCGGCTACCCTTTCTGTTCCCCTTGCCACACTTACTCCCTCGCTACCTTCTCTGTGGGGGTCCTTCTTCCGAAAGTCAATATATTTCTGATTTAAGACTTGGCCTCTCTGAGCCCCACCATGGTGACTCTTGATTTGAATGTAGATATCCCACATCTCAATGTAGATGAAAAGGTGGAGCTGAAAATTTATACCAGAGTCAGATCCAGGTTTTAGGGGTCCTGGAACCTATACAATTTGGGGCGCCTTCTTACAGAGCTATAAATTCTAAATTCAGCTCAGGGTCTTGGAAGGTACCTGGGCAAGTGAGGGGGCCTGGAGCTTAAGTTTCACTCGCTTCTCGGCAAATCCCCTTTGATCCACCCACGTTAGAATTTCACATGCAGTAGGCCGGGCACGGTGGCTCACACCTGTAATCCCAGCACTTTGGGAGGCTGAGGTGGGCAGCTCACTTGAGGTCAGGAGTTTGAGACCAACCTGGCCAATACAGTGAAACCCCGTCTCTACTAAATTACAAAAATTAGTCAGGCGTGGTGGCGGGTGCCTGTAATCCCAGCTACTCAGGAGCCTGAGGCAGGAGAATGGCTTGAACCTGGGAGGCAGAAGTAGCAGTAAGCCAAGATCATGCCACTGTACTCCAGCCTGGGTGACAGAGTGAGACCTTGTCTCCTTGTCTCCAAAAACAACAACAAACAAACAAAAAATACAACAATAAGAAATACACATTTTAAAAAACTATACAGAATAACAACTATTTACATATTTTAAGACTGTGTCTTAAAAAATTCCACACAAGTGAGCTGGGGCTTAGGGACCTTTCTGTTTGTGTGCCTCAGAGCCTAGACGCAATGCTTTCCTCCACAAAGACCTCCCTGGGGGCTTTCTGGAAGTCCCAAGAGCAGAGCCTGGGGAAGGGAGACCCATAGGGAGGGCAATGCCCTGACCCCCTCACCCATGCCCAAGTGCGTCAGTTCAGGACGAGAGTGGGGAAAGCCCTGTACTTTGCCAAGGCCGCTCTTGAAACCCAGCCGACATCCCATCAGAAGGCTCCCTTACATGTCCTCTGCTGTGGGACTGAGATGGCACCCTGGCCCCTCCCCTGGAGCCAGAAGGCAATGGAGCAGGGGTCCATGGAGCCTGCCAGGCCCACCCGAGCATGTTCAGCTCAGAGATGCAGCTCCCAGCTCCAGGCCTGGGCCCCAACCCACCTCTGCCTCCTTCTCTTTCTGGTCCTCCTCCCCTCTTCTCCTTCCTCCTCTCTTCCCCCTCCTCCATCTTCCCCCTTCTCCTCCCTCCTCCCCTCTTCTCCTGCCCCTCTAGGTTCCTTCCCCCTCCTCTTCCCCCTTCTCCCTCTTCCTCCTCCTCTCCTCTTCCCCCTCCTCTCCTCTCCCCCTCCTCTCCCTTTCTCCTGCCCCTCTAGGTTCCTTCCCCCTCCTCTTCCCCATTGTCCCTCTTCCTTCTCCTCTCCTCTTCCCCTTCCTCTCCTCTCCCCCCTCCTCTCCTCTCCCCCTCCTCTGCTCTGCCCCTCCTCTCCCTTTCTCCTGCCCCTCTAGGTTCCTTCCCCCTCCTATTCCCCCATCTCCCTCCTCCTCCCTCCCTCCTCCTCCCTCCGTCTTCCTCCTCCTCCTCCCTTCCTCCCCTCCTCTCCCCTTCTCCTGCCCCTCTAGGTTTCTTCCTCCTCCTCCCCACCTCCTTCTCTACCTCCTCCCCTTCCCTCTCTCCAGCCTCCCCGGGGTAGATGGGCTCTGGAGACCTCTTCTCTCTCTAGAGGTGTCTGCTAGAGTCTACAGGACCCGCCACCCACAGCCCCTCATGCTAACACAGGCCCAGCTGAGGCATTCTGGTTATGACGGAGCTGTCCAGTTGCCTGGAAAGGGCTGACAGCAGACACAGCCCTGGTCGGGCAGAGCAAGTCCCCGGCCAGCTGGTGAGGGGATGGGCCCGAGCCAGGTAATTATTGCCTGGTGCAGAGGTCGAAAGCCGCAGAGCGGCTGATGTACTAACGAAACACAAATGGGACATCTGTGTTCAGGAGTTCAGCAAACCATGGAAAACCCAGCTTTGCCAAGAGTTTATCTACTACTGAGATCAGGGACACTCCTGCAGCTAAGGGAGCAGTGCGCACACCAGAAGCCGTTTCCCCTGCTGCTCCACTTTCCCCTGCTGCTCCGCACACCCTTTATCTAGGGGCATGGCAACTTTTTCTTCCCTGGGAAATTGTTGGAGCTGGAAGTGTGTTCACCTGTGGAGCGCCCTTTCCTGGTAGTTTGGAAAGCCCTGATGCCAGGCCTTTGGATGCGCTCCTGGGGAGGGATGGTGGTGAGGGTGTGTTTGCCTCCCCACAGGTCTGGATCCGCTTGGTCCAAGCTTACCACTTGGTCTGAGCAGATTGGGGCCTTTGCCTTCCCAAGCAGCACCAACACAGGGCATGTGGACACCTCTGAAGGCAGAGCCAAGAGGGCCCCAGGAAGGGGCCGAGTCCACACGTTTACCAAGCAGATTGTCAGAAAGAGGAGTGAGGGGGTGCCTAGAAACTGGGGTTCTCTCAGACCTGCATGCACGGCCAGCGCAACCTCTACACGTCACATGCCTGCTGGGCCCCAGGTCACACCTGTAAAATGAGAGCGTGGCTGAGGGCCGTGTGTTCATTCGGACTCAAGCAACAGAAACCGACTCTGTCTTATCTGACAAAAACAAAAAAAGAGTCTCCTGGCAGGAAGTGAGGGTGTTTTGTGGACTACAGGAGGCACTGGCCCAGGAAGAATAGGTAGCCGTGGGGACTGGGGCAGCAGGAGGCGGTGGCCGTCTTCTGGGGGCCCAGCCCTTACAGGACTCAACTTCAGTGCCCACTGCCCTGTGTCTTGGTACCACCAGGTGTCAATTCCCAAACTCTGGTGGGCAGACTCTTTGGCCCATCCACTTGGGTGTCTTTCCAGTGCATGGGTGGGGGATACTCAGGACCTGGACTGCACAGGGTGCTACTTCTGGAAGAGGGGGAAATTGCAGAGAGCCAGCCAACCATGACATGAATACTGCAGCATCGTGACGTGCAACTACAAATGGGTGTGCCTATCTCATTGGGGTCCAAAGCCAGGACAGCCAAGGCCCTAGCCTGGCTCTGCACTCCTGAATCTGTGCCTCACTCGCAGCCCCCACTTACCCTGGGGCCATGCTTGAGCTGGGGACCAATGCTTTAGGAAGCACACTGCAACTGCAGTCCACATTTGCCCTCAGGAGGCTGCTGCTTCTATAACCACGATGGCTAACGCATGCTGGGGGCCCAACCCTAGCACCTCCCAGATTGTTTGCTAGGTGCCAATTACGGGACTGGGGTCTTAGCTGACAGTTGCTGTGGCTCATGGCAGTGGCATCAGGACCCACCTACCCCTCCCCCCGCTCTGCCAGCTAATGGTGGCCAAGTAGGGATGGGGGTTGGCTTTCCTGAGGCTGAGGCTGAGTCTGGGCTGTGTGGCCCTCCCCAGGCAGCAGGGCGTGAGAGTCAAGCCATGCTGAAACTGCCCCATGAGCTGAGGCTGTACTTCCAGCAGGGCCTGTGCAAGTGCTGGTCTTAGAGGGGCCAGAGTGTGGTCCACAGTCAGGAACGTGAGGCCAAGAGATGGATCTTGAGAGATCCAACTCTTTGTTGAGAGGTGGATCACAGCAGAAGGAGATCAGGAGTGAGGGGTGGGTTGGTAGGACAGCTGACTCACCCTCCTGGGGCCAGTGACCTCCTTCCTCCACTCCTTTCCCAGTTGGTTGTAATCCCTAGGCTGTGTAGGAGGATTCATGCGATCATCTCAGGCATTTTCCAAGAAAGGAATTTTGCCAGGCCATGCGTTTGACTGGAGGCCTGGGGTCACAGGCAATGAGGCCACCAAAGTCTGCTTCCGCCTGAGGGGTTGGGAACCAGTGGCTCTTGGGTGTGAAGCACCAAGGACAAGACTGTTCATTTTTCCTGATCAAGCTTTTACCAATGGTATTCCTATTTTCTCAGCATCATTAGGAAATGCTAACAAGTAAGAATGCCTTGCAAGTAAATGAGAAAATTCACCTGCAAAGCTATTTCATAAGCAGGTGTGGCAGACATTCTTGTTGCTCACTCCAAATTCACTCCCCCACTTCCCTGCTGGCGGAGTCTGATTTTCTCAGGCTCCACCCTCTTCCACCTGGCTGGGCTTCAGGTAAGTTGTGTTTGGTCTATGGTTCCCATTCCCCCGACATTGAAGCTGGTCTGAGGTTGGCCACCTCAGGGTCTTTTGTGTGTGGTCATGAAAATCCTCAGTGCTTAAATCTCTTTTTTTCTTTTTCCATAGGTTATTGGGGTATAGGTGGTGTTTGGTTACATAAGTCAGTTCTTTAGTGGTGATTTGTGAGATTTTGGTGCACCCATCACCCGAGCAGTATACACTGCACCCTATTTGCAGTCTTTTGTCTCTTACCCCCTTCCACCCTTCCCCCCAAGTCCCCAAAGTCCATTGTATCATTCTTATGCCTTTGCATCCTTATAGCTTAGCTCCCACATATCAGTGAGAATATACAATGTTTGGTTTTCCATTCCTGAGTGACTTCACTTAGAAGAATAGTCTCCAATCTCACCCAGGTCACCGCGAATGCCGTTACTTCATTCCTTTTTATGGCTGAGTAGTATTCCATCATATATATCTATATCACAGTTTCTTTATCCACTCGTTGATTGATGAGCATTTGGGTTGGTTCCACGATTTTGCAATTGTGGATTGTGCTGCTATAAACATGCGTGTGCAAGTATCTTTTTCACATAATGACTTCTTTTCCTCTGGGTAGATACCCAGTAGTGGGATTGCTGGATGAAATGGTAGTTCTACTTTTAGTTCTTTAAGGAATCTCCACACTGTTTTCCATGGTGGCTGTACTAGTTTACATTCTCACCAGCAGTGTAGAAGTGTTTCCTGCTCACCGCATCCATGCCAACATCTACTGTTTTTTGGATTTTATGATTACAGCCATTCTTGCAGGAGTAAGGTGATATCATATTGTGGTTTTGATTTGCATTTCCCTGATCATTAGTGATGTTAAGCATTTTTTCATGTTTCTTGGCCATTTGTATATCTTCTTTTGAGAATTGTCTATTCATGTCCTTAGCCCACTTTTTGATGAGATGTTTAAACCTCTTTGAGTTGGTTTGTCTGTTACTTGCAGCCCAAAGCACTCCAGTTGAACCCATGTATGGAGGGTAACTTTCTGGTTTTGTGGGAGATTCATGCTGTCTGCATGGAATACTGCATGGGTTACAAACAGGTTCCATGGATGCTGTCACCTTTGATCCCATGGCAGCCCGTAAGGGAGGGAAGTGTGGCATTGGCTCCTTGTCTCAGATGATGGCAACTAAGGCTAAAGACAGAGAGCAACGTGGTGATAGGGCCAGAACTTCAACACAGGAGGGGGGATTGGAGGGCTGCAGGGGACAGCCCCAGGTTTTCCTGTTACCTAATAGTTGAGAGTAAAAGTGAAGCCACCTGGAAGCTGGAGGAAAACACACCAGGCTTTGTGCAGCACGGCCCAGCACTGATGCAGGGAGGTAGAAATGACTCTCTTTCATAATAACAACCACAGCATTTATTAACTGTGTGCTCTGGGCCAAACCCTGTGCATGTTCTCACTTAATTCCTACAGAGTTCTTAGAAGGCTGTCCTTATATAGTTCACATTCTTAGATGAGGAAACTGTGGTCAAGAAAAGTATATGGAGGCTTCTGAGCTGGGACTCAGTTCTGTCAGATGTTGCATCATGGTGCTAAATGGAAACTATGGCCTCTCCATCCAGGAGGCAAATGCATAAAGCTCATGCATGGCGTGGAGCTCCTGCCCCGTCCTGGGTTGAAGCACAGCCAGTGCATTTGTAGTTAAGCAGGCATCTTCTTTAAGTGGCACCCTGGGCCCTGGGCAGTGAACAGCTCATGGGTGGGACCAGCACCCCAAGACCTGGCATAGTGCCTGGGACTCAGGAGGTGCTCCCCTGGTATTTGTTGAATGAATGAACAAGTGTTTGTGTTTGTGGCTGAACTATCCAGAGCAGTTGTTTAGAAAGTGAACAGCCACCGTGGGCCAAACATCCACCATGGGCCCTTGGGTAGGGGACTTTCATATGGCAGATGTAGAAACAGCCCAGGGAAGGTCTAAGATCATGCTGTATGTTGGGGAAGGGTCAGGACTAGAGTTCGGGCCTCCTGACATGCAGTCCAGGCCAGGCCAGGGGACCTTCATGTTTTATTTGTAGGAAAGACCACATGGTCAGGAGCTACGTGGAGAGGGGAAGGAAGAGGTGGGTATGAGTGTCTGGGGAGGGGAGAGGGAAAGGATGCAGAAGACTGAGTGAGGACTGCATCTGAGAGGGGCACCGCCAGGAGCTGCTGTCCCTCTCTGGGCAAGAGGTCCTTCGGCTACTGCGCTCTGCCTTGCCACTTCTCTGGGCCAACTTGACAGAGAGGCCATATTGGATGGGGAGTTGCTGTCGGCGTCTGGCCTCTCTGGCCGGTGTACTGAGTAGGTCAGGGAAGGGAACATTTTTTGGACTTCTTATCCCAGGCTGCTGAACCTTAGGAGTCCAGGGGTTGCATCTGGAGCAAAGAGATGTCCCAACAGCCTTGCCCTGAGGTTGAGAGAGGATGGGCTGGGATAGGGGTCCATGGGGTTTCCCTGCCCCAGGAGTCCTCCTGGCACCCATTCGAGCAGGCAGGATCAATGTGAGAGGCTCTGTGGGGCTTGACTTTGTACTGCCGGCAATGAACTTTGCTCAAAAGTGCTCTGTAGGCAGAAAGAGGAGTAGCAAAAAGGCTTTCATGTGCTATTTCAGGATTGCTGGCCCTGAACATTTATCACTTACTGATGCATATAATTTGCCTGATGACTCAGTTTCATATATTTTAGTTTCCAAAGATAAACAGTTTTGCATATTTCCTGCAAATGGGGGTTATATTTAATAATCTCTGGGTAGGAGGGTTGCATGCTGGGGACAGGGAGTTAGAGGAAGGCAGAGGACTTGGGTTGGGGCAGCTTGGGCACAGCGATCTGGAGGCTTGGCCCATGCTTAGCATCTGGGCAGGAGGTGGCTTCAGTCTGCAAGACTTATGGGAAGAGGTGCAGAAGCCTGGAACAAAGATGAGGTTGTCTTTAGAGGGGGTTGAATTGAATGAATACAGGCTTTGGTGCCTGTTTTTGAGGTCCAACTAGACTGGGCATCAGGGTGGAGCGTGCTGGTTTTCAGCCAAAGCCAGTCGGGCTCACCTTTGACCACACATTCCAGACCTGGCCCCGGGCGGCCTTCTTGTCAGTCCTGCTCACAAATAGGTCGGCCTGAGAGCAGAGCTGTGTTGCTTCCATCCTTCCCCCTGAACACACTCGGAACCTTGCATAGCACACTAGGTGGTGGTGTGGAAGCCCTAGGGGATAATACTGTCCACATCACGACCAAGGTGGGCTCCAGTCCCAGTTCTGTTACTGATTCGGGTGCTACATTGGACAGAGAGTTTAATCTTTTTGAATCTTGACAGTAGCATTGACCTTACAGGGTTTCTCAAAGATTGGGATGATATAGTACATGGCAAAACACGCAGTACAATGCCGGGCTCATAGTATATGCAAAATATGTGCTTCTCTTCCAAAATGTGTGTTAAGATACTCAGGGTCATTAAAAATCGGTGCCATAGATTTCTATCCTGAAGGTGTGACTGTCTAGTTGAGAAGGCAGAACGCACCCTCAGGGAAGTCAGGCTGTGATAGCCAAAGAGTGGATCTGTTTCAATTGTGGTATTGAATCAGACTCTGAGTAGCAAGTGTCAGAAACCCAATGCAAATGGCTTGAGCAGATTCTTATAATCAAATAGGCCAGGGGTAGCTGGCTTCCACCACATCTGGCTGCAGGACCCCAAGTGACATTCTTGGGGTCTGGTCTTGTTCTTGCTGTCTCTGGGAGGGCTCTGTTGCCTGTGGTGCCAAGACCACTGCTTGAAACTTCAGGCTCACAGCCACCTTCTCGGAAGCAACAACGGAAATGAATGCTTCTCTTTCCCTTCAGCCCAGATGAAAGGCTTAGCAATGAATCTCATTGACTCAATTGGCCTGGCTTGGGTCACATGCCCGTCCTTGAACCAATAACTATGGCAAAGGGGTCACCAGGTGAAGTGGGTGTAGATTGTATTCTTGCTCTCAACTCTTCAGTCTCCTTTTCTGTAAGAAGACCATACATCTCCTCCCATACCCCATGCCTTGCAGTGCCTCCTGTGGGAGGAGTCTACCTCCCCTCTCCACTAACCTTGAACGTGGCATGTGACTTGCTGTGGCTCACGGTGTGTGAGCAGATGTGATATGCACCACGTCTGAACGGAAGCTTTAATATTACAGATTTCCACCAGCTCTCTTCCTCTTTTCCTTCTCCCTCTAGAAGGGGCTGTCCGAAATAGAGACTGCTCCTTCAGCCTGGACCCAACTGCGAAGAAGCCACATGGAACAGAGCTGCAGCTAACCTGAAGTCTGTGTGAACTGAGTGCAAGAGACAAATGTTTGCCACTGGAAATCACGGAGATCTGGGGATCATTTGTTACTGCAGCCTCTAGCAGAAGCTGACTGATACACAGAGGGAATTGGGTGCTGGGTGGGTGGAAACAGTATATATGCCCCAGAGAGGCCAACTCCAAAAGCTGTGTGAATTCAGAGAGAAACACCCATGGCTTAAGGCTTGAAACAAGAGGCAGGAGGTTGGGGGATATTGGTTTTTGGTGAACTTACTGGGCTTGCTGAGGCAGAGCAACACCTGTTTCTCTGGGCCATTACTACAAAGGTCAGATTGCGAGTCTTGTCCTAGATTCAGCCTTCTTTGAGAGTTTTCCTTAAGACACAGTTTGAGCAGATTACTTTCTTGCTTAGAATCCCTCAGTAGGTCCCCACTGCCCCAGGATAAAGTCTAGACCCCCAAGCACGTCCTGCACGGCCTTGCTGACATGTCTGAGTCTGGGCATTGTACTAGTGAGCCACAAAGTGTGCAGGTCCTGGTGCCCACCCCATCTCCACTGCTGCCCAGGGCGCAAATCCACATCACCCCTTAGCTGGACTAGGGCTAGTGCCTCCTAACTGGAAGGATTCCACTCAGCTCCCTTCTAATCCACCGTCCACCCAGCCACTTCTCAAATGTAAACCCAGTCTTGTTGCCATCCTACTGTCACGTATACAATAAAATCCAAACTCATTCTGGAGTGGGTGGGGCGGCTTGTATTTTCCAAAACTGACCACATTTGTATTCTCTTCTTACAATGTGATGCTGACACTCCTCCCATGGAGGGGGCTCTGTGTCCCCTCCCCTCATTGTGGGTGGGCTTGTGACTATGGTGAAAAAGACACTCCTGAGGCGAGATCATGAGAGGTGACATGACTTCCTCCTGGCTGTCTTGGGACATGCACTCCTGGAATCCAGCCCCCTGCCAGGAGAAATCTCGAGCAGGCTGTGTGGAAAGGAAGGCAGGTGTCTGACCACAGCCGAAGCCAGCATGAGAGTGCGCTGCCTGGGAAGTGACCTCTCCAGCCCCTGACCAGCCGCCCCAGCTGACTGCATGGAGCTGTTGGTGAAGGAGACTCATAGATAAAGGTGCCTTCAGGAAGGAGAGAGAAGGGGAGGGAGACGGCTGGGGGAGAGGAGCGCCATTTCCCATGCTCTTACTGTATGCATGGCCACCTGCACATAGGATGCCTTTCTTATGAGAGAAACTGAGGCTTCAAGAAGCCAGCTCTTTTATTTGTGGCCACCCTGATGGCAAGTTGACACCTATGGGTGAAGTCCAGCTCCTCTAGGAGGCCCACCCCCTCTTTCTGCCCATTTAGATCCTTCTCTTCCTCTACAGGCCCTGGACCCCGTGAACCTCTCAGCTGCCTTGTCAGTGAGGAAGTGTTTTGGCCAGCACCTCTGCTCTAGTGACTTAGTAGACTCTTTCTTCTTGGGTGTTTATTCTAGAAGAATGGTGCCATGGGAGAGGGCACTGTGGTGGGCAGGGACGTGTGGGACTCCTAGTCAGGGTGGGGTCAGCCATTTCCCAACTCTGCCTTGCAGTCAGATTCCCATGTGGATGTGGTCTCCTTGGGAATGCGTTCTGCTTCCCCGGCTGGAGCCAGTAGCGTAAGGTGGAGGAAGATCTTAAGGTCCAAGTGTTTCCATAGCGGTGACACCAATGAGGAGGACAGACAGCTCTGGGAATCCAGCAGGAAACAAGAACCGTCACTGCCTATGTGGAGCTGGTCTGGTCCAGGAGACACACAGACACTATAGTGTGATTAGTGGATGCTCAGGGGCTGAGATCAGGGACCCCAACCCTCTGTGGGCATCCAGGAAGGCTTCTCAGAGGAGGAGGCAGCTGTGTGAATCAGACTCAATGGACTTGGGCATGGTAGTCAAGATTAGTCTACCTCTCTGAGCCTCAGCAACATCTGAACTGGTTTCAAAGTCTGGGTAGAAGGCAGCCACATCGAAGGAGGTGAGAAAGAGGTTCTGGGCAGAGCAACTGCAGGAGCAAAGTCTGGAGGTGAAAGAGTGCAGCTGCTTGGGGGGTATATGGGGGGGTCAGGTCCCAAGGGTGTATGGGCAGGAGATGGGGCTGGCACTGGATCTGGCCCACCCGGGTTTGGACAAGGTGTGAGCCTCATCCAGGGACTTGATGACTGCGTCACTTGTATACATCTGCATACCCGAAAGATGAGGCACAGTTGGTCTGCAGTGATTGTCTATTAATTGTGATGGGACCCACTGGTCACTCTCATTCCAGCCCCTGTCAAAAAAGAATGGGGACCTGATATGGTTTGGCTGTGTCCTCACCCAAATCTCATCTTGAATTGTAGCTCCCATAATCCCCACATGTCATGGGAGGGACCTGGTGGGAGGTAATCAAATCATGGGGGCAGGTTTTTCCTGTGCTGTTCTCATAATAGTGAATGAGTCTCACGAGATCTGGTGGTTTTGTAAAGGGCAGTTCCCCTGCACACGCTCTTGTCTGCAGCCACGTAAGACATGCCTTCTCTCTTCTGTCGCCTTCCACCATGATTGTGAGGCCTCCCCAGCCATGTGGAACTGTGAGTCCATTAAACCTCTTTTTCTTTATAAATTACCCGGTCTTGGGTATTTCTTCATAGCAGTATGAAAATGGACTAATACAGGACTTATCAAGGGCACATTTGGATTCTGCTAGAAAGATGTGCACTTGTCCCTGTGACTTCTTTTCCACCTGGCAGATTGCTCAAGGCAGGTGGAAAGTTTTACATTCCTTAGTGGGGCCTGGCAGAAATCGAGTCAATAGCCCCAAATCGGGGCAGTGCTGTCTCTTCAATTCTTGCTTTGGTTGTCCTGGAGATGCTGGGGACTGACGGGTGGGCTCCAGACTGACCTGCCAAGGCTGTGGTGCTCCGAGCCTGGGAATGGTGAGGTCTGGATAGGACACTCGGCCACTGGGCAGTGGAGAGTTGGAATGAGCAGATGTGTGTTCCTAGACTGACCCTGTCTTAGTCTGTGTGGCTGCAATAACAGAACATCATAGACTGGGGAGCTTATAATAAACTCAGACATTTATTTATCATGGTTCTGGAGGCTGGCTGGGAGGCCCAAGATCAAGGAGTCAGCAAGTTCTGCTTTGGGTGAGGGCCCACTTGCTGATTCATAGAAGGCCACCTCCTGCTGTGTCCTCATATGGCGAAATGAGGGCTGGAGACCTTTCTGGGGCCTCTTTTATAAAGGCAGTAATCCCATGGATAAGGGCCCCATCCTCATGACCTAATCACTCTCCGAAGGTGGGAGTCATACCATCGCCTTGGGGGTTAGGATTCAACACTGAATTTTGGTGGTGGATGGTGGGCATACACTTTCAGACCATTTCAGACCTTTCCTGCCCCGCTGTGTCCATCGCCTCGTGAGTAAATCATCCCGTGCTCTAGCTCAGTGTGGCTGGGGGAAGCTTAGAGCCCAGAACGTGGAGTGGGGCTGGGCTGGGGCTGGAGCTGGGCTTTGCTGCTCAGCAGCTTGGCCTCCTGGGGGAGACGCCTCTACTTCTGAGCCTCAGTGTCCTCACTGTGGCCACGGAGGTGGGCATGTGTGCCCTGTGGAGCTGCTGGGAGAGCTGAGGAGAGGATGACAGGCCTGCAGCGGTCTCAGCAAGCATGAGGGCCTCTCCTCACCACTGTCATCTTCTTCCTCATGGACTTATCATGACCATAATCACCACAGTTCTCTGCCTTTGTTCTCTTTCGAAAATCTTTCTCACCTCAAGAGAGCTGTCAGAAGAGCTGGGCCTCTCCTCTCCCTTCCTGAGTCCCCCACCACCCCTGAGGTGTAGAGTTTGGGAGGCTTAGAGCGGGTCTGGCCCAGCCCTCTGCTTTGGGGCCTGGTGAGGCCTGATTCATTGCTGTACGTCCAGTGCTAGCGAGAGCCTGGCACAGAGAAGGCGTTTGCTTGAGCCTTGCTGGATGAAAGCCTGAACTGAAGTCTTCTTGAGAGGTGGGAGCTGTGACCACGCTCCTCAGCTGCATGAAAGACCCCCAGCAAGTCGTCCTGGTTGGCAGCTCCCAGTCATTCGTGTGGCACTCCTTCTGTTTGGTCTTCTGTGGACCTGGAGAAAAATGGCCCATCTCATCTAAATCCAGACTCTTCCTCACTTTTCAGCCCCTGCCCAACTGGCTGCCCCCATCTCCAGCCTCCCATAGGCTCAGTCCCCCTCAGGCCCTGAGCTTCTGAAAGTCTGTCCTGGGAGGATTCTGGAAACTCCCTCCCCCGGCCAAGTGAGTCCCCAAAGCCCCTGCTGCCCATGAATTTGCGTCCCCATGGGAAATGGGGGCCCTGCTGGCAGCCTCCCTCCCCAGCCCACCCCAGCCCTCACTCCCGAGCCCCCAGCCTGCTGCCCATTGTGTGGTCATGGGCTTTTGACAATGACATCTTTATATACTTTTTTCTTCTGACTATAAAATTAATATGGGTCCATGGTGGAAAATTTGGAAAACACACAAAATGACAAAGAAGAAAATTTTGTGGCTGAATTTTGGCAGCTGAATTTGTGCTGTGAATGTATCTTTTTGCCTTGCCTGGTTCTGTTTTTGAGATTTCCTCAACTTTGCCTTCTTAGCCATCTATTGAGTTTAAATTTTTTTAGTCATACTTTTAACTTGTTAGTCCCTTTCTTACTCTCTGGTTGTTCCTTATGTTGTTGTTTCACTAGCATCCATTTTTGTTTAACAAATGCAGTACCTTCTATTATTTCTGTTGCTGTTTCCTTCCATGTGTTTTTCTTCAGTCTTCTACTTTTCTGTGAAAGGCTTTTCTCCAATCTGGGGATCACATCTGGCGATCCTTGGCTGCCCTAAAGATATTTAAGAGTGAGGCACTAAAAAGCTGAGCAGAAACGCTGGGTCTGAGGGCTGGGCTTGTGGACTGATGTTTCTCATTATGGGATGGTTTGGTGACAATCTGGTCATTCTCTTGTGGGGAGGGTCCCTCAATTATCTGTATCTGTAGATCTTTTCTCTCTGACTAGTTCCTCAAAGGACACTCTCCAAATCTGTAGAAGTGGGAGTGTGTGTAGGAGATTGTGAGATATAAACCTGGCTGCCAAGATTCTGAATCAAGTGAGGAAAGGGACCTGAGGCTTCCCCCATGTTCACACTTCCAGCTTTCTCTTAACACCTCTATTTTCAGCAGGGTCTTCACTGGGCCTGGGGTTGTTGAATATACAATCTAGTTCATTTTCATCACAAAATAAGCTTTTTCTAGTTTTTTACTGGGGTGGAAGGGGCAATTTTGTAGGTGCCCCGGGTTGGGGTCAGGGAGGAAACCTGGTGGTAAGATTATCAACTAATCTGGTTTGCCTGGGGCTGTCCTAGTTTTAGTACCCAAAGTCCTGTATCCTCTCAATCTCCCCAAAGTCCCAGGCAAACTGAGACAGTTGGTTGTGCTATTTGGTGATCCGGCTGCTTCTTTTGCCAACTTTCCACCAGTCCTCCTGTCTTCAGCCCCACCCCACTCTCCAGCCTTCAGATGTCTTTGATTCTTCTAGCTCCTCAGCCTTTTTGGGGTGATATGGAGGGTGGGAGACAGGCTTGCTTCTTATTGCCCATCTTCCTCCCCACCCCTTGAAATCAATTAAGTTTTAGCTCTCTGGTCTGCTGAGTCAATTACCACTGATCTATCAACTGTCCATCTTCCAGAATTTTGTCGACATCTCCCATCTCCTGGTTCATCTTTCCTGTGTTCTTTGTCCTTGTGGGTTGATAGCTCTTTTGTTCTGTTACCATCCCTTGGGTGGGCTTCCTAAACCCAGAGTAAAGGCATATGTCTCATCTGTCCAGCTTAACTGCAAGTCTTTCTGTGTTTCCATTTGTGCCGCTATCAGCCAGACTTGCTGCTCCTTCCTCCAAGCCCCACTCCCCAGTGCTGAGTATTGTGTAACACTAAGACTCTTCTAAAACCATCATTCCATGGCTGTTGAATTTTAGCTCTATATTTAAATGGACCAAATCCCTGCCACCTGTGCTTTCACCATACTTCTTTCTTTCATGGGTCTTTATGGGAACTGGATGAATTTGATGAGAGTCATTTTTTCATGGGTGCTATATTCCCGGGGTTTTTCATGTTTGAGAACATCTCCTGTTACCATTATATTCCAATAGCATCTTTTTGGGTTATAATCTCCTGGTCACACCTTGTCACTCTAGAACCCTGCAGCTATTACTCTGGAGCTGCCTGGCATTGAATGTGGCTGCAGAGGTCTTTAGCCAGTTAGCTTTTTCTCTTTGTGATTGATTTGCTGTTTCTGTCTTGACCTCCAAAGAACTCATTTTTATCCTTGATGTCCTATAGTTTAACCAGGCAATGTTTCAGTGTTCATGGCTCTCCATTAAGATTTTCTGGAACACTGTATGCGTATATTTTTGATCTTTTGAAAAAGTTGTACATTTAAGAGAAATGGTCTTCTATCATTTCTTTACATCTTCTGTTCAATTCGTTGGGTTCTTTACTTCAGGGACCCAAACTTCTTTTTTTCTTTCTTTCTTTCTTTTTTTTTTTTGAGATGGAGTCTCACTCTGTCACCCAGGCTGGAGTGCAGTGGCACGATCTCGGTTCACTGCAAGCTCCGCCTCCTGGGTTCACGCCATTCTCCTGCCTCAGCCTCCCAAGTAGCTGGGACTATAGGTGCCCGCCACCACGCCTGGCTAATTTTTTTGTATTTTTAGTAGAGACGGGGTTTCACTGTGTTAGCCAGGATGGTCTCGATCTCCTGACCTTGTGATCTGCCCGCCTCAGCCTCCCAAAGTTTTGGGATTACAGGCGTGAGCCACCGCGCCCGGCCCCCAAATTTCTTACATTGTACCATCCTTACCAGTTCTCTATATGTCTTTTTTTTTTTTTTTTTTTTGGAGACGGGGTCTTACTCTGTTGCCCAGCCTGGAGTTCAGTGGCATGATCTCGGCTCACTGCAAACTCCACCTACTGGGTTCAAGCGATTCTCCTGCCTTAGCCTACCAAGTGGCTGGAACTGCAGTCATGCCACCACACCTGGCTAAGTTTTGCATTTTTAATAGAAATGGGATTTTGCCATGTTGGCCAGGCTCGAACCTCCCGACCTCAAGTGATCTGCCCACCTCAGCCTCCCAAAGTGCTGGGATTACAGGCGTGAGCCACTGCACCTAGCCTCTCTGTGTTATCTTATCTCTACTTACTTTAATTTCTTTATTTCATCTGCATTCACGTTTTCTCAAGCTTTTCCACTATGTCAATAACTTTACTTCTAAGAATGTCTCCTGTTTCTGGTTCAGAAGGTTGTTGTTGCTCTCGTAGCACGTTTTGGCTTCCATCTGCACCCTTAGGTCTGAGCAATGTCCTTTTCCATCTTTTCCTGTAGTTTTAGTAACTTGTCTTTGTGCATCTGTTTTGTTGAATTACCATTCTCATTCATTGTTCAATAAAGAGGAATTCTCTCTCTTCCTTGAGCTTTCTGTTAGATCAGGATTATTTCTCCGTGTCTCCCTCCCTCTCTCCCCTTTCATTCCTGAGGACTGCCTGCATTCGTGGTTATTTTCAAGTTGCCCCATTGGAACGGACTTGGGTACAGGCCTGTGGGCATGTGGGTGGCCATGGCTCAGGGGAGACGGTTCAGCGAGGGAGCAGGGGGTCTTCGTCAGGCTCAGGGGCTCCTCTGCTTCGTCTGAGAGAATGTTAAATGCCTTCTACCAGAGTTTGTGTCCTTGGTTCACGGTGGGCTTCAGATGGCTCCCCAGTCTGGTGTAGCCCTGAGATCTCCCTTCTGCCAGTATGTGGGCCTGCTGAGTTTCAGGTGGGCTTGGGGATCCGGGCAGGAGAGAGTGATATGTGGTCTTGGCGGATGAGGGTCTAAAGAGAGACTTGGCAGGGATGGGAAGAGGGGGCCCCAGGAACAGGCAGTTGGATGCTGGGGCCCCAGGGTGATGTGCAGCTGATAAGAAGCAGTGACCATCATCTGATCTGATGTTAAATATTTTTAATATACGCCAGGCACAGTGGATCATGCCTGTAATCCTAGCACTTTGGGAGGCCGAGTTGGGTGGATCACCTGAGGTCAGGAGTTCGAGACCAGCCTGGCCAATATGGTGAAACCTCATCCCTACTAAAAATACAAAAATAAGCCAGGTGTGGTGGCGGGTGCCTGTAATCCCAGCTACTTGGGAGGCTGAGGCAGGAGAATTGCTTGAACCCAGGAGGTGGAGGTTGCAGTGAGCCGAGATGGCACCATTGCACTCCAGCATGGGCAACAGAGCAAAAACTTCATCATATATATATATAAATTTTTTAAAAATATACTCTTGCTTGGGCCCTATCACTGAGAAGTCAAGGTGGCCATGGGTGGCCAGCAGCCTGGCATGTGCAGGATCTGAGAGGAGAGTTCTCACACAGGTCCAGGAGCTGTGGGGAAGCAGAGGACAGAGCACAGCCCATGGGACCCTGATGTGCTGGGCAGGCAGGCTGAGTTCCAAGACCAGCCCCCTGCAGGGTGCTTGGCTCCATCCCCTCCTGGTGCTCTTGGACCTCAGGCGCCACCATCCACCCTATGAGGACACTTCAGGCCTCTGCAAACCTGGGGAGGACCACAGGGTCGTTAGTGGGTTGGTGGCAAAGGACCAGTCTAGGGACAGAGGGGATGGTCACCCCAGGGATCCCCCTACTACAGATACCACCTGCTCAGATTGAAGGGGCTTGGGGCAGACCTTGGACTTAGATGCTTTTCTCACTGGGAACCGATTCCAGACCCTCAAAGGGAATGGGATGCCTCCCGTCAATGCTCCCCATAGTCCCATTTTTATCTTGTAGCACTATTGCCCTGGGCTGGAACTGCCTCATCCATGGGCTTCCTGAATGCAGGTGCCAAACCTCATTCACCCAGTGCCTGGCACACAGTAGGTGCTCATTAAATGACTTCATTGACAGTAGGCAGGTCTTCTCATCTTCACTGGCACCTCTCCACATCCCCCACACACCGAAGCCCATTTACACAGGGGCACACCTTTAGCGAGTGAGCAATTTTAAGGCTAATGGGATTCATTCATAATTGCATAGTTAAGGAAAATTTATGTTTGGTGGAATTAGCTGGGCTCCCTGAGGGCAGCATACACCAGAGAGAGACTCTCTGTTTCAAAGTCCCGTTTCCCTGTTTAAAATAGTTCGTCATTCTTTTGTGGCAATGGTTAAGAGCTCCTAGAGGCACGCGGATGCTTATTTACTGATCCACAGATGACGGATGGTATATCCCTGCTTTGTTTGGAAGGGAAAACTTGAACAGCTTGTCTGCACCTCTCCACTCGGACATTAAATCAACATGGCTCTATTAGTGGCCTTGGGATGCCAGCTGAGCTGTCTCTGAGCCTGTCACCGTGATGTCTTCATCTGTAACCAGAGCAGACGTGAGCTCCTGGCAGCTTCAGGAGCTGACAACAAATCCAATTAGCTCCTCTCCACGGCGCCGCGGTGCCACTGCGAAACGGCCTGATGGGGAGGGTGGCTGCAGAGCCCCGCGCAGTGGGACACTCGCAGGAAGCAGAGAGAGAGAGGGAGGAAGGGGAGGAGAGACAAAAGGACCAAGCTTAATTGTTGGAGCGACTTTCAGCACGCTTGGAGAGATACTCGTGCCAGACCGGCCTGAAACGGTCCAGACCCTTGGGCTCTCGGATGGCTGGTGAGGCCGCCAGGAGCCCAGCTGATAGTCCGTCCCGACCTTGGAACCTTGCTTGACTTTGATGGTGACTCTCTTGAGGAGGCAGTTAAATATCATTTTCCCTTCCTCCTTTGCGACCTTCCAGCCTCTTTCCCTGTTTCTGAGCTTTGTGCACAGTCCAGAAACAAACTGGAACTCTGGGTGCTGGTGGGAGGGGAACGTTCGGTATTCCTCTCGGTCAAGGGCGGCGCCCAAAGACCAGAGCAGACGTGAGCAGACGGACTTTGGCATGCGAGCTAAGAGTGTCTTAGAAGTGAGGTGGGGGTGAGGGTGGGAGTGTGGTGACAGCGGCGGGGTGGGTGGCATGGAGGGCGCAGACTAAAAGCTCACGGCTTCCAGCATCCAGTGGGAGTGGAGGAGGAGGAAGCCGCCCGGATGGTGTGTGGCTGTTTGCTCTGTGTTTAGATCCTGGGGATGTTGACGGAGAAAGAGAACATCTTCTGAAGAAAGCCCAAACTCAAACCAGCTCAAAGAGTCTGAGAGTTCACTGAACTTTCCAAGTTCCCGAGAGGAACACAGTATTAACGGTTTCTTGGGTCATTTATTTCCTAAGAACGACTCTCCTGCCAGCCACGGGGCATTTCTAGCCATCCGCCAGCCCTGGATACCCTTCTGGAGTCAGGCGTTCTCTGTGCTCCAAGAATAGCCAAGGAATGGATGAGAAGAGGGAAGTGAGAACCGGGACAGTCCCCTTGAGATCTCTGGGATGAGGATGTGAGGGTTTGGAGGAGAGGGGCAAGAAAAGGCGGAAGGAGAAGAAGTAACTGAGCCCCTAAACGCGGTCTCTGAATGCCGCCTCTGAATGCTGACGTCTGGCCTGCAGGCTTCTACTCTACTGCGCCCTTGGTGAAGGGCTGGAGCGATGGGGGCGGTGCTCTGGAAACAGGGGGTGCGAGTCAGGAGGCTTTGACCCTGATCGTTGACTAGTGGGGGGCCATACTCATCCTCTCTGAGCCTCCAGTTCGCTCATTTTTAGAACAGAAAGAGGCGCAATCCTTGCAAGGCTTCTGGGAGGGTGACGCAGTGACAGCACCTGGCAGGTCCTCACATCCATTCCTTCCCTCCCTCTTTCCCTCCAAGGGGTTTCTGGACACATTTTTGCCTTGCATCTTCCTGGTTCTTTGGGGAGCATTAAGGTGGGGAAACAGCTCCCTGCCTGCAGAGGCCAGGCCTTGCCTCAAGAATGCCTCTGTAGTTTCACCACGTGAAACGGGCCAATGTCACATTCCAGGGAAGGGCTCAGTGCACGGACTTCTCCCGGAGAGCAGGAATTTGCAAGCGTTGCCTGCTGGAGCCAGCAGGACTGTAGTCAATGGCTAATGGCTGGCAGTGCAGGGGTCTCTGCTGCCAGCTCGCCGGTGGGGCTGTCGCTTTCTGCCACAACCTGGTGCTGTCTACCTGTAGGGGCTGGCAGCAGCAGGGCCCTTGGGGTGAGCCACAGAGCAGGGAGAGGCAAGGAGGAGGGGAAGGAACCAGGAAGTAGCTTTGTGATCCTTCTTTCAGTAGCAGGCTGTTGCAAAATGTACATTATCATAATCCAACTCATTCCAGATTAATTGGGCAGGATATAGAGGCATCTGGCTGCCGCATAGAGCAAGCAAAGATTCGGCGTGCGCTGGATCACTGGACGGCTTTTGGAATCAGCCCCAGTGCTGCCAGGCACAATTATTTTCAGCAATGTCTTTCTGCCATTGAAACTTAGGACTGTGGACTTTGGCATGCGAGCTAAGTGCCGATTTGCAAGCCCACAAATTGACACAATTCTTGATGCAAGATGTTGTACCAGGGCTGGAATGGCAGCGAGACGGACCCCCGCCCCAGGCCATGTGGTAGTGGGGCATGCCGGGGGAGTGCTGTGCATGAGTGTGTGTGTAAGGGGGGGGGGGCGCGAGCAGAAAGAGGATGGGGTAGCCTGGGACCAGCTCACAAAGGGTCTTTCAGGCCAACTGGAGGTTTTGTTTGGACTTTAGCCTGTGACAATGAGGGGGACTTCACTCATCTCTGCCATTGGTCCCTCCAAAAAGCCTTTCATGGCCCCCTAAGACTGCCAAATGGCCCCACGGGCTTCCTGTATGCCACTTGATGTCTACTATGATTTGTAATCTGCATGGCAACTCATTCCTTATTTGCCATTACTGTGTGACTTGGAGTTACTTGAGAGAAGAACCATGTTTTGTCATCAGTTCCCTCATACCCAGAACTGTGAAGGCATGTTAGACACTCAGCCATGTTCATGGAATTGGTCACCATCAATGGGAGAAATATGACCAGGGTGGGGAGGGGCTGAGGACGGGGAACCTAGATCAGCAAAACCTCCTGGGATAAAATGTCCACGGTCCAGGTAAGAGATGAGGAGGCTTGAGTTTTGAGTAGAAGACGTGGAAACGAGGTGACAAAAGAAAAAGATATTAAGGAAGTTGAATTCGTAGGATTTGGTCACTCTTTCAATGTGAGGCAAAAGAAGGAAGGTGTCCAGGAAGATTCTGGATTTCCATTTTGGGTGGTAGATGGTGGGAATACAGCCAGGGGAGGAGTGAGCATCCGGGAGTGAGGAGTTCAGGTCTGGGTGGACTGAGACCACTGGGGTGACTGTGGGACATCCCGGTGGAGAATTTCCACTGGATCCAGGGGTCAGGACCCCCAAAGAGGAGCATGGGTTGAAGTCCTGTGGGTCATCAGCTGTGGATGAGCCCTGGATGAGCCCAGGGAGAGGCTGAGAGTTGAGAACAGATGAGGGTGGAGGATGGAAGGCAGCATTTCAGGCTTGGGAGGAGGAGCCTGCAGGGAACCCCGGAAGTGAAACTGGAGAGCTGTGGGAAGGGCAGGTGCGTGCAGTAGGGGATCAGGGAGCAGGGGATGCAGTGACTGAAGAGGAGCCTTTGGGTGTGACCACAAGGGGGTCCCTGGTGGCCTGGGCGTGAGCCTGTGGGTGGAGTCAGGGTGTGGTGCAGCCAGATGACAGTGGGCTGGAGACCATAGGGGACCTCTTGGTTACCAACATGCTGCCACTTAGAATCACTGATCCGAATCATGTCTGGAGGTGTGACTGCAGCAGGAGGGCTCCAGGACCTACCTGGGAAGAGGAGAGCAGGGCTGGGAGTAGCTTTTCCTGGGACCCTGCTTCCCTCAGGCTGGATAGAAGAGCTGGGACCCAATTCTGGCTCTTTTACCTGCTTCTTGGAGTCCTTGGTGGTGCCATGTAACCTTTCTGAGCCTCAATTTCCTTCAAGCTGGGAATTCAACAGCGATCAGTGAAATAATGTACACAAAGCGACAGTCAGTGCTCCATGGACGGGGTCTCTTACTGATCCTCAGAACAGCCAGTGGGGTGGGTGCTAGCATTCCTTCTACTTTCCAGATGGGAAACCTGAGGCTCAGAGAGGTTAAGTAACTGGTCCACAGTCGCACAGCCAGGAAGAAGCTGGATTTGATTCTAGGCAGCCTGACTCCGGAGCTCAGCACTGAACTGTGTGAAAGAACCCATACAGGGTCTTGGCCCTGCAGCTGTTAATAGATGAATATTAAATCAGCAAATGTGCAAGAAGGAAGATAATCAGATAATGTCACTCTAGGGAGAACTGGACTGTTGCATGAACCACAGAGTTTAAACAGAAACCCTTGTCCCCCTGGGCTTTGGCAGGACCCTTTGGTCCTGCAATAGAATCACACGGTGTCCTGTGTTCTGTGGGTACCTTCTGAGTGTGACCATAGCTTCGGGGCTCCTACCCATTTTCTGAGACATATGAGGGCCCAGCTAAAGCCACTGGGCATTTTGCAGGGAGTGGCCAGTGTTCCCTCACCTTTCTGTCTCCCTTCAGTTCCCTTTCCCTTCTTCCAGCGCTTAAGTACTGCCCTCCTCCTTCCTCCTGTCTATATGGTGGCACTGGGGGACAACCCTAGAAGAGTGGCCTGGAGGGAGGGAGGGACCCACAGGCCCACCTGCCATCACGTGGTTGTGTGCTGAGGGCCACAGGAGGTGGGTGTATGTGCCAACTACTGGGGGCACAGAAGAGGGTCTCAGCTCAGCCTGGGAAAGCTGATAGGTCATGGGAGGCTTTCCAGAGGAGGTGACACTTGGACTCAGTCTCATATGCCCAAGGTGGGGGCACATCCCCCAATTTGCTCAAGGTGAGTGAGGACACGGAGGGGCAGGTGAGTGGGGTGTGTTTAGAGTGGGGAGAGCAGTTAGAGCAGGAGGGGTCGACCGTAGGCCTCGCCTCTTTAGACCTCTATCCTGTTTGTCCAACCAAACCCCAACCTCTGCAGCCCAGAGCAAGGGTCACATTCATGACCCCTGGAAAGCCCTCTATGGACTGCTGTCTGTTCAGAGATTGCTGACAACATCTTCCCACTCCCCTCTCCGTCTGGTCCAATGGAGATGCAGAAAGACAGTGGGGAAAGGAGGATCCAGAACCCCAGGCTTCCAGGCTGGGTGCGGGGGCCCATGCTTGTAATCCCAACACTTTGGGAGGCAGAGGCAGTGGACCACTTGGGCTCAGGAGTTCCAGACCAGCCTGAGCAACATGGTGAAACCCCATCTCTACTAAAAATACAAGAAATTCAGCCAGGTGTGGTGGCGTGCACCTGTGGGCCCAGCTACTTGGAGGGCTGAGGTGGGAGAATCACTTGAGCCTGGGAGGCCGGGGTGGAGGCGGCAGTGAGCTGAGATTGTGCCATTGCACTCCAACCTGGGTGACCGAGGGAGCCCCATCTCATAAAACAAAAAACAAAACAAAACAAAGACAACAACAACAACAACAACAACAACAACAACAAATAGAAAACTCTGGGCTTCAGATTAGGAGGCAGAGCCTGATCATTGTGGTGGCTCCTGGCAAGTAAGGCTCAGAGTCAAGAACCCAGAGAGGGTCAGCAGGAGACCACAAAGGAGGGGCCGATGCAGGGCAGCGGCGGTTTGCTCTCTCCACACTTCTTTCAATCTGCTATGAGTGGGGACCCTAAGGCCTGTGGGTATGAACTCTGCTCAGGAAGGAAAGATAGAGGAAGCCATAAAACCTTAGCAGATCGGATCATTCAACAGGGAGTGGAAACTTCAAGACAAACATCTTGCTGGATGGGAGCGCTCCATATGTAAGCTCCATGTTGGGGTCACTGGTGTATCCCCAAAACTAAGGCACCAGACACATGAAAGTTACTCCATAAATATTCGTTGAAGGAGTAAATGAATGAATTTAGCCATAGCCACCTCTATAGGTAAAAGCAGCAGCTGCTTTGCCCACAAAGTCAAAACCATGGCTAATACCAACTTTATCCAGATAATGAATTGGCAACTTCATGACCTTCTGACAAAGGGAATACATTGAAAGAATAAACAGAAATAACCAACAATTTTTTTTTTTGAGACAGTCTCACTCTATTGCCCAGTCTGGAGTGCAGTGGCATGATTTCAGGTCACTGCAACCTCCACCTCCCCAGTTCAAGTGATCTTCCTGCCTCAGCCTCCCAAGTAGCTGGGATTGCAGGCATGTACCACCATGTCTGGCTAATTTTTATTTTTATTTTTGCATTTTTAGTAGAGACAGGGTTTCACCATGTTGGCCAGGCTGGTCTTGAACTCCTGGCCTCAAGTGATCCACCCTACCTTAGTCTCCCAAAGTGCTGGGATTACAGGCATGAGCCACTGTGCCCAGCCATAAGCAACACTTTTTTAAAAGGAAAGCACTGAGTATGAATTGTCTGTATGTGTTGGCTCTCCCACAGGAACGAGGCTCCTACCGCAACATGTGTTGCTAACCCTCCTTCAACCTTCTGCAAATCTCCCTCGGTCAGTTATCCCTCTTTATCTTCTTCCTTCGTGGCTCCCTCTCAAGTTTGTCTTCTTATTTTGAAATTGTTCTGTATGTGCGGATCTCAAGAGCACAAACTGGACGAATCTATTTACTCATCTTTCTCCTCTGTTAGAGATGACATGCCCTCATTAGTCCAGTCCGGCTTCACTCCATGCCCATTCCACTTCTCCCCATTGTACAGAATCTCATCTCATTAATGCTGAACACTTCAATTACCTCCTAGCCTTTTACATGCGTATGTATATGAAAATAATATACAGTATTGTCTTTGTATTTGAAATTTTTTCCTTAAAATTATATCATACTATACATTTAATTCTTCTTCTTCTTCTTCTTCTTTTCTTTTTTTTTTTTTTTTTTGAGACAGAGTCTTCCTCTGTCACCCAGGCTGGAGTGCAGTGGCTCAATCTTGGCTCACTGCAACCGCTACCTGCTGGGTTCAAGCGATTCTCCCGTCTCAGCCTCCCAAGTAGCTGGGATTACAGGAATGCACCACCATGCCTGGCTAATTTTTCATACATTTCGTTCTACAGCTTGTTTTTCCCAATCAGCATAATCTTTGATTCATCCGAGTTGCAAATAGAGATCTAGTTCCTTTATCAATTGCTGTATAGTTTTCCAGTGCATGAACATGCCATTTTTCATCTATATATTCTCCCAGTGGTGGGCATTTTTGTTTTCGATTTTGCCGTAACACAGGATGCTATAATGAACATTCTTGTTCCTGTCAGTTTGTATAAGAGTCTCTCTGGGTCTAGGCTACACATTTAGAAATAGAATTGCTGAATTGTGGATTGTGTGTGTGGTAGACGGTAAAACATGGCCACAATATTTTCAGCTTCTCTCGTTAAGAGGTGGCATCTGTTTCCTCACCTTTTGCATCTCAGCCGGCTTTGTGACTTGCTTTGACCGACAGAATGTGGCAGACGTGATGCTGTGCAACTTCGGGGCCTAGGTGTCAAGAGACCTTGCAGCTTCCATCTTTGTCCTTTTGGAAATTGACTCCACCTACAGATAAGAGGAGCCTCATCAACTAGCGTGACCTTAGGCAAGCCACCAGCTTGGCTCACCCCAAGCCACCAGCACCTTGATTCCTCCCCTCTTGGCTCTCACCCAGGCTCTCTTTGGGACCAGAGTTTCCTTCCAGAGAGAGCAGCTGTCAGCCCCGACAGCATCTTCCTGGACTAACCATCCAGCAGAGAGAAAGGTAGAAAGAGGACAAAAGAGGGGAGCACAGTTTCTACAACCTGTGATTGTTTCCCACCTGCCCACCTCCTTGGGATGTTCTGGGTAAGGAAAGGTCTCCTGGGAGAGGAGAGGAGAGGGGAGGGGAGGGGAGGGCAGGAGAGGAGAAGGGAGGGGAGGGGAGAGGAGAAGAGGTCTTAGGAAGAAGAAATGGGGCTCTGTTCTACCTATTTCTAGGTCTTTCTTCTCTGGGGGGTTCTTTAGCCCTCTCTGCAAAGGAGTCCTTGATGCCTGAGGGTGCTCCCTGGGAAGGCTGGGGAGAGGATGAAACCAACTTCCCATGGGTGCTGCGCCTCCAGGCCTGGCATCAGCCAGGCATGTGGCTATGTACCTCCTGGAGAAGAGATTAGGGCATCTTAGAGATGATGCACTTTGGAAATTCAATTTCTAACCTTTCTACAGCTCCTGGAAACCGTCTTAGGTCCAGGATAATGTGAAATTCAGCCCCTCTGGGCCATGAGCATCTAGTCTGTGCTGCCCCAGAAGCCCCTGAAATACGCCAAGTTGTGTCTACCACGCATTTATCCAAGTCTCCTGGAGATGAGGCTCAGGACCCCACCTCAGCCCCCTAATCTGCCAAGGTTGTCAGGGGTGTCCCCCAGAACAACCCATCAGCCTTAGTCACACCATCTGCAGCAGGTGATTCTGTCTTCACTGTGCCAACAAGATGGTCCAAGCACATTATCCATGGCCGGAAGCACCGAAGTATCAGACCAACTTGCAAATATGGCACTTAGCACTCTCTCCTGTTGAAAAGTTAGACATGGCTATCAGTCTCTTGCTTCTTGAGATTGATTTGGAGAAATTAAATGATAACACGTGGATAGAGTCTTTCGCCTGTCTACGCTGTCTTCATCTTCTACCCAGTTCTAGCTGAAATGCACTCACCTGGGCCTCTGCCTAAATCTAGGTCTTTCAGTTTCTATCTGAAATGGTGAACCTGCGGTCTCCCTGAGGGTCAGTCGAGGTATGAGCCTGCTTCCTCTCAACCTGGCTTTCTCCAACTGCAAGTCCAATCGGAAGGGCGATGCCATGCCCCCGCTATCATCCCTGTGTTCCACCTCAGCACTGTTTCTGGGTCTTTGGGCCTCTTTGCAGCACCGTGCCAGCCTCACACTGACTGACACCCAGATCCTACATCCAAGAGAGCCCACGGCAGGGGCAGCTGACTGTCTCTGATGGCCGCTGGTCCCATGTTCCTCAAGTCAAAGCTGTTCTCTCAGAGCTCCATAGTGACCTGCTTTTGGGTGGCAGTCTAGATCTTTGGCCACAGAGAAGAAATTTTTCCAGCTGGTGTATCTGAGAGGGGCTGAGCATGTTGAGAGGAGATGGTGTGGTCAAGCTCTGTGTTGCCAGCTTCTACATGACACCCCGGGGTTGCTTCTCTGTGGGCCATGAATGCACTTGTGGGGGATGTTTCAACAACAGATTGATCTGGGCTCCCTGCTCCCCCTTTGGAGAGATTCTGTTCCCTAGTGGAAAACCCACCATTCTTGAAAAGTAGCCCCCAGAATACCTGTACCTCCTGGGGCATGTAGGATTCTGTAGGTTGTAATCCCTGAGTTTCCAGGTTTGGTCCAGGTCTTCCCCACTACTGGCGTCACTCACCCCATCGCCTTTTCCAACCTGCCCCTTCTTCTTTGTCTTCTATTTTCCCCACCCAGGGACCCCGGATGGAGGCAGGGTTACCGTTGCTCCTTGGCAACAGAGAGCAGTGACGTCAGGCCGCCGGACAAACCTAAATGCGCCTCCTCTACTGCTGCAGCTCCGCGTGGCTGCGGGGCCAGCTCCTCTCCAGCCCCCACGGGGATCCCAGGCTGGCCCAGCCTGGCGAAGCCCCTCCTGGCGCTCTGCCCTCTGCGCGAGTGGCGGATGCACTTGTGCTCCTGCCTGCCGGGGTTGCTACTTCCCTCCACTCCCTCTTGTACCCCATTCTTGGAAGCTGGAAAGATCTGAGAGCTCTCCTGAGGCCCAGCGAGAACCACACGGCACTTCTCCCCCATCGGGAGTCTCTTTCTCCTTCCTGGCATACGTTCCATCCCTTGCCCTTGCGGCACCTCGAGGGCACCCCAGTGGCCCTCACAGTCACTCTCTTTCAGGCCGTCAGCCCTGGCTCCCTCTCCCTGAGGTCCCCGCCCTCCATGGCTGGCTCGGGAACCCCCTGCTTCTTGCTGTTCTTCTGCCGCCTAAACCCAAGACTTCCCTTGCTTCTCTCTCCCACGGTTTCTGTCTGGGCCGCAAAACTTTTTAGCTGACTCCATGTTTTCTTGCGTTCCTAGTGGGTGTCCCCTTCTCCCCACCAAGTCAAGAGAGCCTTGAGTGGTGGTCTTCTGTCCGGAGCATAGCCTGACCCCGTCTCCTTCCTCTCTCACCCCAGCTCCGTGCTCACTGTGAGGCGCACACTTTGACTTCTAAGCCTCCTGCTGGCGTTCCTGTCAAAGTCAGCCGGCTCTCCAGCAAGGCTGCCTCCTCCACACAGGGCTCTGGCTGGAGGCAGAGTCAAGGATCCACTCTCTCCCTCCCAGACACCTTCTCAATCTTCAACCCTAGGGTCTGGAGCAGGCAAGATGTCCAACAAGCGCCTGTGGGGCCAGTGCAGAAACGGACAAAGGAGGCCCACCAAAATGACTCCAGATGGGCCCAGAAGGGGTGTAGGGTGTTCTGGCTCCTGCTCAGGCACAGGCGACGGCGCAGCAGGTGGGGACAGACAGAGTGGCCGGGGATCCGTCTGGGAGCGGCTGGGCTGCCTCGAGGGTGGAGGGCCCAACAGCCTTCTTACAGGTGCTCTGGGCAGGCCTCGACACGGGCCACGGTCGCCTGGAGGCTGAGCGGGCTCCAGCCGTCGGAGCTGGATTCCACCCCGAGCCTGGGCAGAAGAAATAAAGGGGCTCTCTTGCCAGCGCTTTCTTCCCAGTTACGGTTTTTGGCCCTGCCCCTGGTGCTCGCACAGCCGCCATCTGGCTCTCTGCTGTGGCCCAGCCCCCGCAGGCCCGCAAGCTCACAGGCCTTCCTGGAGGGGCTGTTCGTCTGTGAAGATCCGGGGTCTGGGGAAGCAGCTTGTGGGATGCCAGGCTGGAATTTCTGAAATTCTGGGAGTGTCTCCCTAGCCGGGTCCCTGGCTGGCCTCTGCCAGCTCCTGCGAGACTTAGGCCTCGGTTTCCTTTTGATAGCCGTGGACAGTGCAGGCAGGTGCCCATCTGAGATCTCATCCCCCCGGGAGCAGAAAGTCAGAGCTGTCTTTGGGTCACGCTGAATGCTGCCGCGGGGGTCCAGTGTGCTGGAGCACGCGCAGAATCCCGCTGCACGGCCGACAGCTTTGATGGACGGGGCCCCTCATCCTCCCCTCACACACATTCCCCAATTTTATTTTGAAGGAAATATAACAACGCAATTAGCTATTCCTTTGTACGGGTCCAGTAAGGGAATAATTTAAAGGGACCGGCATGCTGGAATCGCCCTTCTCCTCCTCGCTGGGAGGCAGGAGTAGGAGCAAGCTTGGGAAGGAGGACAGCCTCACTGCCCGTGGACTTGGGGCTCACCGTGGAGCCCCTGGTCGAAGGCTGCCCACACTCTCTGGGGACTCTCTGCCCCGGTGTGACCAAGAGGGGTTAAAACACACACTCTAAAGGAGTTAAAATAAAAACTGACAGACAAGCTAACACATCAAACACGACACTTCAAAGAGAAGAAGAGCCACAAGGATGGAGCAGTGGAGCGTTCCAGTCCCCAAATGCTGGGAAACAAAGGCTGCTGCTCCGTGCCCAGGGCTCGCGCCGCCATCCGTATCCTCGCCCAGAGCGCTGGGGATGGGTCTTCAGGGACGACGTGACCAGTTACTGCACTCTCCGTGCCCAAGCACTCGGAGGGGCTAATTAGTGCTTTTAATATGCAAATCAGAGCCTGAGCAGATTAAATCTAGAAAAAAAAACAGCTGGTGAATATGTTATTTTAATTATTACTCCAAAGAAAATATGGGCCTGGCTTAAGAGGATAGCAGGCGGGTGTATGAAGTTCTTATAGAAGGATTGTTGGTTAGTGGGAGAAGCCCAGCTCGGAAGGGACTCTGGGGAACTGATGTGGGGTGAGGATGCTGGGAGGGACCAGCACCCTCATCCTGGCCAGGCACCCCCGGCTGTGCACTCTCAGGCAATTGCTTTTTCCCCTGGGGCCTCTCAGCGTCATCATCGCCAGCACTGGGGGCTTGGATAAGATGATCCCATTCATTCATTCATTCATTCATTCACTCACTCATTCAGCAGATATTTATTGGTGGCCTACCGTGTGCCAGGCACTGTGCCAGGTGTCAGGGACGTTCTGGTGAACAATAGCAGCTCGGTCCCTGTCTCATGAGGCTTACATTTTAGTGGAGAAGGTGTGGCAACAAGTATCACACAAATCAGACAACTGCAGATTGACAGAGGCACTGAAAAGGGAGCAAGCAAGGGGCTGGGAGGGAGCACTGTGAGCAGCACTATCGTTCTCCCAAGTGTTTGGCCAGGGTGGCAAGGAATGCGTCCCTGGAGAGGTCGTTTACACCGAGACCTGGAGGGTGACGTGGAGCCAGGGGAGTGGTAGGGACAATCCCGGTCCCTTCGGGCAGCACTGAACAAACCCATGGCACTCCCCTCTGACACTGATCCAGTCTCGTGGAACCCAGTCGTATTGGGGGAAATGGAGGAGCAGGGAGGGATGGGACATCCTCAAAGTAAACAGAAAACGAGTCCAGCTGAGCTGATCCTGACTCTGTTTCTCTTTTGAAGTAAGAGAAAGGAAGGAAAAGTTCATTAGGGGAAGACTGTTTTCCCCACAATCCTCCCTGTCCCATGGGCTCCAGTGTCTCAAGACCCTTATCTGGTAAACATATTTGTCAGGAGGTGGGGGACAGCCACACAGGAGCTCCCGTGAGTGTGCCTGTTGTGCGCGTGATATGTGTGCTCGCGTGCACATATGCACTCAGCTGGCGTCCTTGGCTAGAAACCTAACTTCCAGCTCTGGCATCCTTGGAAACACACAGCCATTCTGACAGGTTCTTACCCTTCCGGTGGGACAGAAGGCAAAGGAAGCTCCCCATCTCCTGTGGCTGCCATCAGGGCGAGGTTCGCTGGATGTGCCAATGGGCTTGCCGTTCTGATTCCCCGGGCCTGGCGCCTGACTTTCTGAACGGGTTTTACTTTTATGGGAAGTGACAAAGCAAAACTGAGAGATCGAGGTGTGTCATATCTCCAGACACATACAGAGGGACCTGAGTTCCACTTTCTTGGGTACAGGAGCAGAATATGGAAAAACAAATGAAAAATTCATTCTTCTCCACCAACTTTGTCTGGAGGCAGCAGGGGAAAAATTCTTTGCACAGGATGGAGAGTAAAGAAAGGGAGGATGTGATAAATAAGACTATAAAGCAATCAGAGAGAGAGAGGAAAATAAAGAAAAGAGAGGGAAAGAAACAGAAACAAGACAGAGAATGAAAGGCAGAGAGGTGGTGCCAGAGAGGAGGTGAGGCAGACAGGGGAGCAAGAGGAGACAAGAGGAAGCAGAGAGGAAGGAGGAGAGGAGACACGAGAGCCGGAGAGGAAGGAGGAGAGGAGACACAAGAGCCGGAGAGGAAGGAGGAGAGGAGACACGAGAGGCAGAGAGGAGAGAGGAGAAAGCCAGAAAGAGGGGAGAGGAGGGGAAAGCAGAGAGAGAGAAGGGTGGGAAGGAGAGAGGGACTAAGGAGAGGAGAGAGGGGAGAGGAGATGAGAGAGGCAGTGAGGTGGGCATGGGCCAGGCACCCCAGGTGCAGGTGGGCAGCTCCCCAGCCCCCTTCTCCCGCCAACACACCTCCCCCAGTGAGACAGGCTGTCTGCAGGCACCTGCAGGCAACCACAAGGACAAAATGATACCTCCTTTCCAAGAGAACAAGTTTGCAGCACATATGTGTGCCCCCTGGGCTCTCCACACTGCCTGGCAGGCCTAGCAGGAAGAAGTGGGTGAAGGACCCATTGCACCCATGCAGGGCTGGGACAGGACGGTCCAGAGCCTTAGTGAAGTGCAGTGGGTTCACGCTGACCCTGGGTAAATGGCTGTCCCTGTGTACAACCTTTGCGTGCACTCTTAGAGCCCCTGTTTTAAAGGTAAGTGAACCAAAGCTCAGAGAGTTGGGGTCACCTGGCCAAGGCCGACAGGTCACGGATGATAGAGCAGGAGGGGCCCAGCAAGTTGACCATTATGCTGTACTTGCTTAAGGGGACAGGTGCTTCTTACCTTTCCTTTCACCTCTCAGCTCTTGTCCAGTTCAGAGGTGTTGACTGAGCACCTCCACTATGCCAGGCACTGTGCAGGCTCTGGAGGTGGAACAACGCCACAACTCTTTCTGTCAGCAAGCTCCCAGTTAGACAAGGATGCAGCCCAGAGCCGTGAGGGCGGGGACAGGGTGGTCAGTGGGTACTGGAGAGAGCACAGAGACTACTAGTCATGGTTGCTACAAGCTGTGAATTGTTGACTATGGGCCAGGCCTCATGCAGAGTACCCTGTTCTCCTTCAGTGGGTCTTGGTGACAGTGTGGTGAGGTGGCTGTTACCCTCACTCTGCCCAACGTCCCACACACCAAGGTCAGAAGGTTGAAGTAGAGATGGAGGAGGATGTTGCCAATGGGGGTTTGTGGGAGATGATGCAGGAGCTGTATTTTGGAAAATGGCAGAGAGTTGGCCAGGGGAAGAAAGGTGGAAAGGGCATACAAGGCAGAAGGACCAATACAAGCCAAGGCTGGAGGTCAGACTGTGCAGAGAATGTGCGGGCAAAAAGAAGACACTGGTTTTAGCAAGTCTTCGAGTGTAAGTCTGGGAGTGGTGGGAGTTGAGGGTGATTGGGCTAACAGAGGACAGGTCACAGAGGGTGAAGGGGAGTCACTGAAGAGTTTTAGGAAGGGGGCAAAATGATTAGAGTTCTGGAAAGTTCCCTGTGGCTGCAGGGTAGAGCCAATGATCTCTACCCCTTAGACCCATAGATCTGAAAGAGACCAGTCAGGAACCTGTCCCAAGGATCCAGGTTAGAGACAACTAGGTCTACTGCAGGACGGTGCATCCTAAGGAGAGTGTGAGGGGCCCCATTGAAAAACTCTCCTGGGAGAAGATTCAATTGGACTTGCCGAGTGTTTGGAAGTGGGAGTAGGACTTCCAGGGTGACACCCAGGTCTTGGCCATGAGCCGGTGGCTGCAGGTGCCATTCACCGAGATGGAAAGACACTGCAGAAGCATGCAGCATTACATCCTCTGAACGTGGTGACTTGGAAGCGCTTTTGGGAAATGGCAGGCAGCTGGATACAATCTGACACTCAGGGAAGAGGTCTGGGCGAGGCGTGTCAAGACGTCTTGACATGCAGGGAAGAGGTCTTGAACTTGACAGCCATCCATACAGGGTGGTGGTTGTTGTCATGAGAGGGAGTCAGGACTTCTCTTGAGGAGGACAGGAAGAGTAAAAGAAGCATGGGCTGAAACCAGAGAACATCTGTGTCTGAGCTGTAGCAGGAGGAAATAGGGTCTGCACAGAAAGCAGTGAGGACCAGTTAGGGGCATCAGGAAGGAGCATGGTACGGATATGAGGAGGAGGGCTGGAGGACAGAAAGAGTGGCCAAGAGTGTCACATGCTGCAAAGTGGCCCCTGGGAGATGGGCTGGGGAGTCACCTCTGGGTTTGGCAGCTGGGGGATAACTGGAGACCAGGCAGGGGCAAGAGGAGCTCTGGGGAAGAGGGGCAGCAGTTACTGCTCAGTGGTTGAGGAATGAGCAGATGCATGGCAGGCATGCCCAGCCCTTTCAAGGTGCTTGTTAGAGAAGGAGAGAGAATGGGATTAGGAAGTGGCTTCTGGTCAAGGGGCTTCACAGAGATGAGAGGTTCAGCTCTAGGCTGTGGAGAGAATGCACCTGCAGGGCTAGGAGTGAGGATGAACAATGGGGATCAGGAGCAGGGAACGGGCTGCTCTTGAACAGGAGTGAGGAGCTCATCCCCTGGGACTGGATGCAAGGCAGTGAGGATGGGGTAGGTGCAGGCGTTTGTGGAGGGAGTGGGTCAGGGAGCTGGGGGTGTCACATTTGAGTGCCTCATCTCCCCTCTTCCTGCCCCATAAAGTGGGAGACAAGCTTTTCACTGAGAACAAAAGGATTGCGTGTTGGGTAGATGCTTGAGGATGTGGAGGTTTGGCTGAGGGGAAGGGGAAGAGAGCCCCTGAGACAAGTAAAAGGATAGGATGGTGTCAGCTGATAGGGAACAAATTAGCCTGAAACTTAGAGGCTTAAAACAGAAAACAGTTATCATCACACATAGTTCCTGAGGACCGGGAATCTGGGAGTGGCTTTGCTGAGTGGTTCTGGCTCAAGACCTGTCATGAGATTTCATTCAAGATGTTGGTTGGGGCTGCACTCATCTGAAGGCCTGAGCGGGGCCGGAGGATCTGGCATGAGCTGATTTCCTCACACGGCCACCGGCTGGAGGCTTCTGCTCTTTGCCGAGTTGGCCTCTCCATGGCCCTGCTTGAGTTTCCTCTCCATGGCAGCTGGCTTCCCCTGGTGCAAGTGACCTGAAGGAGAGGAGGAGGTCCCAGTGCCTTTTCAGGCCTCATTTTGGAAATCATATGCCATGATTCTATTTATTATTATTATTATTATTATTATTATTATTATTATTATTATTATTATTTTGAGACAGAGTCTTGCTCTGTTGCCGAGGCTGGAGTGCAGTGGTGCAATCTCGGCTCACTACAACCTCCACCTCCCAGGTTCAAGTGATTCTCCTGCCTCAGCCTCCTAAGTAGCTGGGATTACAGGTGCCCACCACCATGCCCAGCTAATTTTTTGTATTTTTAGTAGAGACAGGGTTTCACCATGTTGGCCAGGCTGGTTTCGAACTCCTGACCTCAAGTGATATACCTGTCTCTGCCTCCCAAAGTGCTAGGATTACAGGTATGAGCCACCTCACCCGGCCGATTCTATTTATTAGAAGCAGGTTACTAAGTCTGGTGTACACTCAAGGGGTGGGGGCATTAGGCTTCACAGTTTGAGCGGAGAAGGTGTGGACATATTTTAAAGCCTCCACACAGGTCCACTGTGAATGGAGACTCATGCGGACAGTGATCTGCACAGCCAGCATCCAGGGAGCAACAGAGAGGCCAGGAGAGACAGAGCCCAGGGCCTTGGGTCTGCAGTCTGAGGATGGATGTAGCCCAGGTGGGCATAGTGGGCTCCAGGCTGGGCTGGGAAGGATAAGAGAGGCTGGGGGAGGGGTGCTGAGGACTGGCAGCGAACGACGGCTCAGGCTTTGGAAGGCTCTGAGAGGACAGAGAGCAGATGGGGAAAACCAAAGTGGGCATTTCCTAGGCCCTCATGCCTCAGCCCTTGCCACCTAGAAAATCAAGTCTGAGGCAAAAACTTGGATGCTCACACTTTATTGGGGAGAGAAGGCCCAGGGAAGCAGAGGGAAGGAAGAGGGACAGAAAATAGAAGGGAGTATGTTATTCAGCTTCAACCAAGAACAGTCAGCTGCTTGTCCTGGTAGAATGTCTTCTGCCCTGTCCACTGCAACTTTGAGCAGTTTGTCCCGGGAAAGGAAGAGAGAAGACTACCCACTGAAGCCTCTTTCCCAACGGTGACATCTTGCCCCGTGAGCCATCACCTTTCTGCTTTTACATGGAGTGCTACCCGGCTCCACTGGCGTCTGCTGAGGAAGCCATGTGTCCAGAGAGCAGCAGCGGCAACCACCACGTGAACCCGATGCCATGGACTCAGGCCCCGTGGGCGAGCCATGCAGGTGTGTAGCACCTCTGAGTGCACCCCGCAGCAGGTGAGAGGTGAGGTGCTGTTGGGGTGGCTCCTGAGGACCTGAAAGACTGGGTAGGGCCACAGCAGGAGGCCTGGCGGGAGTACCTTGGCAGCATGACCCTGCTATGTGAACCGCAAGGAAGATCCACATCTCCCCTCTGTGGCCCTCAAGCAGGCGGTTGGTGCTGGGCAATCTTCCTGGAGGGCCAGCAGTAACATGGAGTAGCACATCAGGCCAGGGAGGTCCAGGGATTCTCATCAGATGGACCCAGCAGACCTCACTATGCACCAGGCACTGGGGCAGGGGCGGGGACACAGAGATGAGTCAGACCTTGTTCCCCGCCCCATATTCAAGGAGCTCACAGGGCAGTGGGAGAGACAGACAGACAGACAGACAGACAGACAGACAGACCGACCAGGCAGGCAGAGAGACAGTTACTGTAGTGTTTTGAAGAGAAGGAGAGGCCTCATCCTGGGCTAAGAGCAATGAGGAGGACTTGCTGCAAAGCGAAAGAGGGAAGGAGACTACTCAGCGGCTTTGGCAGACGGAAATATCTAGGGAGCTTTTAGCTAGAAACACAGACAATTATAATGATACAAAATGATGATAATAATAATTATTATCTAATGATGACATCAAGACAACATAGAAAATGCACACTCTACACGGTGCAATGCACTTCCCTTATCTCCTTCGAGCATCTCAGCGTCGAGGAAACCGAGGTGAAGAGGGGAGAGGTGACCTGCCCAGAGTCCCACAGTTAATCAGTTGCAGGGCTGGGACCACATCTGAAGTTTTGCATTAGGTTGGAGGATGACAATGACGATCTCTTACATTTCTGTAGCTTTTTATAATTTAGGGAGCACTTCCACATTATGGGATTTTTATCTTCATAGTGATCCCATGATGTATATATGCATTAATATTCTCATTTTATTTTTGAGACAAGGTCTTGCTCTGTCACCGAGGCTGTGGTTCAGTGGCGAAATCATAGCTCACTGTAACCTTGAACTCCTGGGCTCAGGCAATCCTCCTGCCTCAGGTCTTCTGAATAGGTGAAACTATAGGCGTGAACTACTGTATTCTATAAAATAGCCTCATTTTACAGAAGAAACCAAACATCATGGAAGTGGTGTATACACTGGTAAATGGCAGAGAGTGGGCTCAAACCCAAACCCCAGGGCTGCCCAGTGCTGTCAGGAGTTTAGGGTCAGAAGTCATTCACTGGCCATGCTTTGGTTTTGCTGTGGCATGTTAAAGTTAGTTATGATTAAGACCGTCCTTCCTTTTTCCTTCCTTCCTTTCTTCCTTCCTTTTCTTTTCTTTTTTCTTTTTTTTCTTTTCTTTTCTTTTTTTCTTTTCTTTTCTTTCTTTCTTCCTTCCTTTCTCTCTCTTTCTGTCTCTTTCTTTCCTTCCTTCTTTCCTTTTTTCCTTCCCTCCTTGATAAAGACCTTCGTTCCTTCCTTCTTCTTTCTTGCTCTTTCTTTCTTTCCTTCCTTCCTTTCTTCTTTCCTTTTTTCCTTCTCTCTCCTTCCCTTGTCTTCCTTCCTTCCCTCCCTCTCTCTTAATCTTTCTTTCTCTCCTTCCTTCCTTCTCTCTTAATCTTTCTGTCCTTCCTTCCTTCCTTCCTTCCTTCCTTCCTTCTTTTCTTTCAGTGGGGTCTCTCTCTGTCACCCAGGCTGGAGTACAGTGTCATGATTATAGATCACTGCAGCCTTGATCTCCTGGGCTCAAGCAATCTTCCTGCCTCAGCCTTCTAAGTACCTGGAACTACAGGCCACCTACTAGACATCATGCCAGGCTATTTTTTTATTTTTTATTTTTTAGTAGAGACAAGGTTTCACTATGTTGCCCAGGCTGGTCTCGAACTCCTGAGCTCAAGCGATCCTCCTGCCTCAGCCTCCCAAAGTGTTAGGATTACAGGCATGAGCCACTGCACCTGGCCTAAGACTTGTTTTTCTAGTTTTATAAAATTTCAGAAGACAAGAAGGACCTTACCTCCATCCTCCATCCCCCATAGGCAGATATATCTATTCTTTGTGTTCTTAGATCAGGGGTTGGCAAACTAAGGCCTATGCGGCTAAATCTGGCCTGTGGCATATTTTTGTAAGCAAAGTTTTATTGGCACACAGCCATGCTCATTTGTTTATATATTGTCTGTGTCTGTTTTTGTGCTACAATAGCAGGGTTGAGTAGTTGTGACCAAGACAGGTGAGCCCACAGAGCCCAAAATTTTACTATCTGGCCCTTTATAGAAAAACTTTGCTGACTCTATCTTTGAGCCTGTTACAGGGCCTGGCTCAATATATGTTAGTTAAATGAGTGAATGAGTTTCAGGTAAGAGTAGGAAACCCTGAATAATCCAATTTGTTGTGTGGATAGCGGATATTCTCTTGGCTTCACGTTGGTCGAAAGGGGAGATGAGGAAGAGGTGAATTGAGTTGAGAGTTGTGCTTGCCTCAGAGAGGAACTACTCTGAGCTCTTCAGAAATCCAGGCTTGCTGCCACATGCTACCTTGGTCCTATGGGAAGCTGGATGCCTAATGACGAGCCAAGGAGGCGTTTGGAGCAGGCACTGATGTATACAGGTAATGCACACACACACATGCCTGCCAGGGTGTTGAACCCACCCACCTTTTCAGTAAGGGAAAGGAAACGTGGGAAGAGGGGCTGTGGTTGGTGAACCTCCATCTGCATCTCCACGGGGTTTGCCCTCCAGGGCTGATTGGCATTCACTCCCATGCACATCTGCCGCATCCATTAGGCACCTGGCGGGCTGCAGTCAAGGGCACTGAGACCGTGGAGGGACCCCAGAAGTATTGCAGTCTGACCTCCTGCTCTCAGGCCGGTCAGAGTCACCACCAGCGGTTGGCAGTGCTCCAGAGGTAGGTCAGGCTTCACCCGGCCCCAGGGCTTCTGTGCTGGTCACAAGTCTGCCTCTCCTCAAATCACTGTCAGCTGGAACCTTTGAGTCAGCTCAGTGCGGGGAGATTTGAATGTCATGGATGGAATCAGAGAATCCTTTCTTCCTTGAGTTGTCTGGGACCTTTCTGCTTGCCTAGCATAATATTTCTCGTAGGCCTGGTGGAAGTTTGGATATTCCCAGGGATAGGGGTCTCATGACCTCTCAAAGAAGCCCATCCCACTGCTAGAGCTCCTCCTTTGGTTGACCTAGAATTCCCTTCAGGTGGTATCTGCCGTTGCTTAAACTCCCAGCAGCTGGGCCCACCAGGCAGGTGTCCTCGTTTTGCATCAGAGCTGCAGCAGCAGATTGAGAATCAGTGGACTCAGAGTCGGGCTGCCTGAGCACCTCCTGGTCTCCCTGTGGACCCACGATATGACCTTGTGTGAGTAACTGAGCCTTCTGAGACCCAGGTTCTTCACTGGAAATGGAAATAATGTAGTGTCTGACTCAGAGTGGTGTTAAAAGGATCAAATGAGAGAAGGCAGGAGAAATGCCTGGTACAAAGGCACTAAAAACAACCATAGCCATATTGTTGTAAGTTACCAGGCAACGCGACCTAGAAAACTATGCCAGGGGAATGAGTGGATGTGGGCATGGAGATTGATAAAGCTCAGAACCTTGGACAAAAGTGTGGGTTCTGAAATGGAAGGGGAATTATATTAAGTGTAATTATAAAACAATGCTTGATGCCAGGCATGGTGGCTCATGCCTGTAATCCCAGCACTTTGGGAGGCCGAGGCGGGTGGATCACCTGACATCAGGAGTTCAAGACCAGCCTGACCAACATGGCAAAACCCCATCTCTACTTAAAATACAAAAATTAGACAGGCGAGGTGGCAGGTGCCTGCAATCCCAGCTACTTGGGAGGCTGAGGCAGGAGAAACGCTTGAACCCAGGAGGCAGAGGTTGCAGTGAGCTGAGATCGCACCATTGCACTCCAGCCTAGGCAACAAGAGTGAAACTCCATCTCAAAACAAAACAAAACAAAAAAACAATGCTTGGGTATATGAACAGTGTGCTTAAATACATTTATTTATATAGAAACCAAAAGCAATGGAAGGGCGAGGAAGAAGACTGGGCACAGGGAGAAGCTGAGCTATGGGCAGGCCCAAGGACAGCCTCAGTGGAGCCCATGGCGAGCTTTGGAACTAGCGTGGCCATCACTGTTGTCCCTAGCTGGGTGACGTGGCCAGGCTTTGGTGCTCCCATACGGATTAGTCATTGCATGTAGGCCGCACCGGAAGGAATGTGCCCTTGGGTTAGGGGACTTAACTGCAGCGGATGTGGTCCCTGCAGGAGCTGAGAGCTGAAATCTGTCTGCTTACAGCACTCCCAGAAGTTGGGGCGAAAGTCCCATCGAAGGGGATCTGGGTGGAGCATCACAGTGTCCACCGTAATCCTCCCTTTGGACCTCCAGGACCTACTTGTTCCTATATGTTCTGAGCATCACTCCTCAACATCCTGGGTGGACCTCTTTTCTTGGGAGAAACTTAGAAGGGGAAGGTTGAGGAGACTATTGCTTCTGAGGCTGCAGCTGGCCTCAGGGCCATGAGTTGATAGCCCTCATCTCATCTCCCTCCTCCAGTAGCCACTTTGGGTTCTCCTCACCCTCAGCTAGTGCCTTTGCTGCTCTTATCTGGTTGCATGGCCCAGATCCTCATCCTTGGAGGGTCTGACTCCTAGCCACCATGCCCTTCCTCAGCCCATCACAGTTGGGCAGGGAAATATCAAGAAATGCCAAACGTTTTCCTCCCTGCCTTCACTGTGTACAGCCGACCTGCTTTTCTTGTTGATTGTGGTCAGTCAGCTCCACCAGGATGCTGACTCCACTCTTACTTGCCAATTCCTCGGTCTTGGGATTCTGAAGCATCAGGTAGCACTTGTAGCTTATCATTTAATGGGATTCTGGCTGAGCCCTTGGTGGAACTGTTCTTCTAGGGAACCAGGACCTCTTAACACACAGAGCTCAAATTGTGGGTGCAGAAAGCACAAATTCGCCAAGTGAGTCGCTGAAAGTGAAGGGTCTCTGTATTAGTCTACTAGGGCCACCATTACAAAGAACCATAGTCTGGGTGACAATGGAATTTATGGAACTTTATTTCCTCACAGTTCTGGAGGCTAGAAGTCCAAGACGAAGGTGTTGGCAGGGTTGATTTCTTCTAAGACTTCTCTCCTTGGCTTGTAGATGGCCACTTTTTTCCCCATGTCTCCTCTGTGTGTGTCTGTGTCCTGATATCTTCTTATGAGGATACCAGTCATATTGGGCTAAGGCCCACCCCATGACCTCATTTGATTTTCATTTTGTCTTTAAAAGCTCTGTCTCCAATTACAGTCGCATTTTGAAGTAATTGGAGTTAGGACTTCAACATATGAATTTTGTGGGGGACACAACTGAGCCCATAAGAGACTCTTGCTTCCATTCTCTTAGTTCTGAGCTTGCCCACGTATTCTTTCTGTTGGGGACATAACAGCATATATAGGTCTTTGATTTAAACTGCATATTGCATCCTGGAGGATGACACCTCATCTTTGCAAAATGTGGCCTCAGTTGTACCTTTAATGGCAATTCCAACACTATCATGCCCACACTTCTGGATATAGATATGACCCCTGGGTTACCTGATCATGGACTACTCCCTGCACCTTCTTTGCCATAAAGCAGGTTCTCTCGTCTCATGAAGGTCATGGGAGATCTTGTGCCAGGGGATTAAATGCTTTACATGCCCTTGGATAGTGGTGTTGGCTGAGGCCCCGCAGGCAGGAAAGGCAAAAGCATATCTGGAATATTTGTCTGGCTTTTTCAGGGTGGAAGGGGTCCAACATAGTCCATTTGCTACCAAGCACCACATGGTGCCATATTGGGGGCTCAACATTAGTCCCTGCTTCTGTCAGGTTGGATGTCTGAAGGTGGCAGTAGCTGGACCAGCCTTGGTGAGTGGGAGCTCATGCTGTTGGGGCCTCCACTTTGCTCAGGTGCCCTCATGCCAGCAGTCGGGTGGCCGATGGCAGGGCTGGCTGGTGCCAGCTGGCCAAGTCGTTTTGTTGTTTAGTGCTTCTGTGCTGGATGTGTTCTGGTGAGCTGCGTGAGAAGAGGGTCTTCACCCTTGATGCCCACTTCCAGGCGTCCATCCATGTCTCCCTCCCGGACCTCCTTGTCCCAGATCATCGGCTTTTCCTCCCTACAAGCTGCTGACCAGCTTGCCAAGATAATTGCCATTGATTGTGAGGCCACCTATATTCCAACCTTAGGTCACAAAAGTGGACTTCAGCTTGCCCCCACATTCTAAGTCCTGTGCTGCCACTGTGACCCTGTTTTCAGTGCAGCACCTGTGGCCATCTGGTTTCTGATGGCATCATCTCCCTTGTGATCAGTGAACTTTGTCCTGCAATGGTGTCTTCTCTGCCATCGGCCTTGGCCTGCAGAGAGGATAGTGGTGGTGGCTGAGGCCTTGCAGACAGGAAAGACCCCTGCAGAGAGGAGTCCCGGTGAAGTTTGAGAGCTTTTTTGGAGGTTCTAGCAGGGGAGTGCAGCTATTCATATATCTGTGACCGAAGACCGGTCCTCCTCTATCGGGGAAGCTTTGGCACAGCTTCAGGAGGTCACACATGGAGTGGTGATGGAGAAGGGGACACCCGACTTGTCAGCAAGATCAGCCAAATCAACCCGGGTGATCGCTGGGGTGACAGATGTCACAGCCAGATCGCCTTCACATCCCCCAGTGAACTTTGTAATGATGCTGGCGCCCCCTCACCAGCCTATTTATTATGGCGTTAGTAAATGACACATTTTCCATGGAACATATTCATCTGGTGTGTCTTCTGACCTTACACAGCATATCCACCCCAACATACCCACATCTCTGAGCCTTTCAGTCTCCTGTGGAGCTGTCTGCCGTGGCAATCCTGGCATGCCAGCCTCATTGAATGTGGACCTGATTTGATCCATACTTCCCACAGACATCCTTGTAGAGTTTGCACCATCACTGGGCATCCTCATCAGGAGGTGAAATCCCAGGAGTGTACTCACATTGATGGAGTCTCCCTTTTCCAGTCTTTTTTTTTTTTTTGAGAGGGAGTCTCACTCTGTCGCCAGGCTGGAGAGCAGTGGTGCATCTTGGCTCACTGCAACCTCTGCCTCCTGGTTTAAGCGATTCTCCTGCCTCAGCCTCTGGAGTAGCTGGCACTACAGGTGCCCGCCACCACGCCCGGCTAATTTTTTGTATTTTTAGTAGAGACGGGGTTTCACCGTGTTAACCAGGCTGGTCTTGAACTCCTGACCTAGTGATCCGCCCGCCTTGGCTTCCCAAAGTGCTGGGATTACAGGAGTGAGCCACCGCGCCTGGCATTCCCTTTTCCAGTCTTAACTTAGACCCCCTTGGTCAGGCACCCTCAGACTCCAGTGCCATGAACACACTTTGGCAGGCTCCTGCTGGTCATGCTTACTGGGTCCTGGAGGTCCTCTGGTGTACACATTCCCAACTGGGTTATGTTGAGATTTAATCCTAATTCCAGGCCTAGCAGTCTAAAGGGGAAATGGGAATCGATTCTGAGGGGCACATGCTGACTTGTAGGGGAGGGTCTCTGCATCGTCTCCAAGCAACGGGGAGAGCTAGTTTTTTTGTTGTTGTTGTTTTTGTTTTTGTTTTTGAGATGGAGTCTCGCTCTGTCGCCAGGCTGGAGTGCAGTGGCGCGATCTCGGCTCACTGCAAGCTCCGCCTCCTAGGTTCAAGTGATTCTCCTGGGGGAGAGCCAGTTTTCAATAGGGAATGGTGAGCCACCAAGGGGGCAGGGAGTCTGATGATTCAAGAATTTGGGGGTATGAAAGTAAACACTGTCATCGTGTATCAGGGCCCTGGCCTTGGTGTGGCAGGCTGGCCTTGCTTGGCCGTGTCACCCTCTTTGGAGCTCGGCCGCTGTGGCTGAGGATGCGCAGCACAGAAGTTCCGCCATCTGAACTAGGCTTTATCAGAATCACTGTGGCTGGGTGCCAAGAATGGGGCAAAAGTAGAAGCCAGGCTATCGTATAAACCAAATGAGTGGCTGCCACCCCGGCCCAGGTGGTCTCTGGGCTCAGGTAGATATCTAGGATCTGTCTCCTGCCCTTTTGCCTTGCTCTCCTGCTCCAGCCAGCTGTGTGTGATTGGCTGCCCACCCTCACCAGCCCTAGGAGGGCCCCACCTAGGGATGCACTGTCCCTGTCTAGGACATGGCATGCTGACACCAACAGCTGCTCTTCTGTTTGCTCAGGCTCTGCTCAGCTGGTTCCACTTCTGCTGCAACTGCCTGTCTGCCCCACCCCTGTGGTCCTGTGCTGGTGACCTTGGTCCTGGCCAAGTCCAAATCCAGACTGGCTGCTCTGGGACCCATCATGCCCTCTTCTCTAGGTCCTGGTATAGAAAACCTTCATTCAAGCACATGGGGAGGAATAAAGCTACCCACCCACCTGCCTTTCAGAGGGGACTGACATTCTAGAATCTGAATATCATCAAGGCAGCGGCTCTTTTGAGAGACCCTTGGGCTCCAGGAGGAGCAGGAAAGAACCTAAAATCTTCTCAGGTTTGGAATGGGGTCTCAAAGGCTCTGAGGGCCAGCTTGCATCTTGAACAGGAACAATGGAATTTTCTACTTATGGACTCTCTGCCTGTCTTCAAGAGAAATCCTGCTTTGGGAGGTGGGCCTACTGAAATGGGCAATTGGTAAAGTAAGCCATGGCCCAGCTTTCAGGAGAGATCAGAGGCCCTGGAATGGAAGGTGCATGGGCCCTACCCATGGGCCCAGAGTCATGGCTCTACCCCAGAGTTGTAATAAGTCCACTGGATGAGTCCTGGTGACTGCTGAAGAATGCAAAAGCACCAAGGAATAAACAGTGTTTGGGAGTAGGGGTTGCTCAGAGGATGTGGGTGTCAATGTCTTGTGAGATTCAAGGCAGTTCCCAAATCTTGCCATCTTAACCTTTCCCTCTTCAGCCTTACAGTTCCCATTCTGAAACTGCCCTGACTCTAACCTTTCGGTAAAGAAACTATGCATTTGTCTGGTGTGTAGATCTTGTGGAAGTTGAAGGTCAGATTGACAAGGGTGGAGGTGGGTCCTATCATTAATACATTCAGTCCTCTCCTAGGGCAATGATTTTTCTCTTTTAAATTTTACTGTTTATTTGTTTGTTTATTGAGGTGGAGTCGTGCTCGTCGCCCGGGCTGGAGTGCAGTCAGTGGTATGATCTTGGCTCACTGCAACCTCCACCTGCCAGGTTCAAGTGATTCTCTTGCCTCAGCCTTCGGAGTAGCTGGGATTACAGGCACATGCCACCACGCCCAGCTAATTTTTGTACTTTTAGTAGAGATGGGGTTTTACCATGTTGGCCAAGCTGGTCTTGAACTCCTGACCTCAAGTGATCCACCCGCCTCGGCCTCCCAAAGTGCTGGGATTACAGGCATAAGCCACCACACCCGGCCTGAGTTTTTTTTTATTTTTAAACAGCGTTTTCCAAGTAAACTATAAATACTAAAATGTACTTATTTTAAGTCTACAATTCAATGTTTACTAAATTTATAGAGTTGTACGATCATCACCACAGTCCAGTTTTAGAACCTTCCATCCTCCTCATATGTTTCCTCCTGCCAATATGCAGTCAGTTCCTGCTCCCCCCAGCACCTGACAACCGCTGATCTGCTGTTTCTATGAATTTGCCTTTTCTAGACATATCATATAAATGGAATCATACAATATGTGGTTTTTTGTGGCTGGCTTCTTTCTCTTAGTATGATGTTTTCGAGGTTCATCTAAGTTGTAGCATGTTTGACTAGTTCATGCCTTTCTACTGCTGAATGTAATTTTATTGTAAGGATACAGCCCATTTTGTTCAACCATTCATTAACTGATGGGCATTTGACTTGTTTCAAGTTTTTTGGTTACTATGAGTATGTTGCTATGAGCATTCATGTACATGTCTTTGTGTGGAGAAATGTTTTCATTTCTCTTGAATGGATACCTAGCCATGGAGCTGCTGAATTGTAGAGTAAGTTTATGTTTAACTTTTCAAGAAACTGCCACACTGTTTTTCAAAATGACTGTATCATTTTACATTCTTCCCAGCAATGTGTGAGGGTTCTAGTTTCCACATCCTTACCATATATGTTATTGTCTTTTTAATTACAGCTAATTCTAGTGGCTATATAATGGTATCTCACAGTGGTTTAAAAACGTTTTTTATTGATACATAATATTTGCACATTTTTATGGAGAAACATGATATTTTGTTACATGCATGGAATGTAATGATTGAGTCAGGGTATTTTGGGTGCCCATTACCTTGAGTATTTTTCATTTCTATGTGTTGAGAACAGTTCAAATCCTCTCTTCCAGCTATTTTGAAATATACAGTATGCTGTTAACTTCAGTTACCCTATTCTACTATTGAACATTGGAAGTTAAACTGTATGTTTGTTCCCATTCACCAACTCTCCTCTCTTCATCCCCCACCCCACTTATCAGTCTCCAGTAACTATCATTCTACTCTCTTCCTCCACAAGATCAACCTTTTTTTTTTTTTTGAGATGGAGTCTCGCTCTGTTGCCCAGGCTGGAGGGCAGTGGCGCCATCTCAGCTTAGTGCAATCTCCGTCTCCTGGATTCAAGCAATTCTCCTGCCTCAGCCTCCCGAGTAGCTGGGATTATGGGTGTGCACCACCAGGCCTGGCTGATTTTTGTGTTTTTAGTAGAGACTGGGGCTTCACCATGTTGGCCAAGCTGGTCTTAAACTCCTGACCTTAGGTGATCTGCCTGCCTTGGCCTCCCAAAGTGTTGGGATTACAGGTGTGAGCCACCATGCCCAGCCAAGATCAACTTTTAAAGGTCCCACATAAGAGTGAGAACATGCAATATTTGTCTTTCTGTGTCTGACTTATTAACATAAGGACCTCTAGTTCCATCACTGTTGCTGCAAATGACAAGATTTCATTCTTTTCTTTGGCCAAGTAGTATTCCTTTGCATATATGTACCACATTTTCTTTATCGCCTCATCTGCTGATGGACACTTAGGAATCCATATGTTTGCTATTGTGAATAGTGCAGCAATGAACATGGGGTGCGGGTATCTCTTTGATACACTGTTTTCTTTTCCTTTGGGTAAATACCCAGTAGTAGGATTGCTGGATCATATGGTAGTTCTGTTTTTAGTATTTTGAGAAACCTCAATACTGTTTTCCATAATGGCTGTGCAAATATACATTCCCACCAACAGTGTATAAGAGTTTCCTTTTCTCCACATCTTCACCAGCATCTATTATTTATTTAATAATAGTCATTCTAACTAGGTTAAGGTGATATCTCATTGTGGTTTAATTTGCATTTCCCTGAAGTTTAGTGTTGTTGAGCATTTTTTTCGTACACCTGATGGCTATTTGTATGTCTTCTTTTGAGAAATGTCTATCTGTGTCTTTTGCACATTAAAAAAGTTTGTTTGTTTTGTTTTATTTTGTTTTTTTTCTTGTTTGTTTTTTTTTTAGAGACAGGGTCTCACTCTCTCACCCAGGCTGGAGTGTAGCGGCATGACTATAGTCCATAGGAACTTTGAACTCCTGGGCTCAAGTGATCTTCTCACCTTAGCTTCCCAAGTTTCTAGGACCAGATGTGTGAACATCATGCCTGGCTAATTTTTTTTTTTTTCGTAGAGACTGGGTCTTGCTAGGTTGCCCAAGCTGGTCTCAAACTCCTGACCTCAAGCAATCCTCCGGCCTTGGCATCCCAAAGCACTGGGATTACAGGCAAGAGCCTCCACATGCAATTCTTTGTCCACTTTTCAATGGAGTTATTTGATTTTTCTTGTTATTGAGTTGTTTGAGTTCCTTGCATATTCTGGATATTAGTCCTTTGTCCAATGAATATTTTGCAAATATTTTCTCCCATTTGATAGATTGTTTTTTTTCACTCTGTTGATTGTTTTCTTTGCTGCCCAGAAGCTTTTTAGTTTAGTAGAGTTCCATTTGTCTATTTTTGTTTTTGTTGCCTGTGCTTTTGAGGCCTTAGCCATGAAATCTTGTCTAGACCAATATCCCATATGTTTCCCTTATTTCCTTAGCAGTTTTTTTAAAATTAATTAATTTATATTAAGATGGAGTTTCACTCTGTCGCCCAGGCTGGAGTGCAGTGGTGTGATCTCGGCTCACTGCAACCTCTGCTTCCTGGGTTCAAGCGGTTCTCCTGCCTCAGCCTCCTGAGTAGCTGGGACTACAGGCGTGAGCCACCACGCCTGGCCTTCTTAGTAGTTTTATAGTTTTGGGTCTTATATTTAGGTCTTTAATCCATATTGAGTTGACTTTTGTATATGGTGAGAGAGAGGGGTCTAGTTCCATTCTTCTGCATATGGATATCCAGCTTCCCCAGCACCATTTATTGAGGAGGATGCCCTTTCCCCAATGTATGTTCTTATTGCCTTTGTCAAAAATCAGTTGGCTGTAAATATGTGAATTTATTTCTGGGTTCTTTATGCTGTTTCCATTAGTCTGTGTGTCTCTTTGTATACCAATAACATGCTGTTTTGTTTACCATAGTCTTGTAATAGATTTTGAAGCTAGGTAGTGTAGTACCTCCAGCTTTGTTTTTTTTGCTTGGGGTTGCTTTGGCTATTCAGGCTCCTTTTTGGTTCCATATGAATTATAGGACTTTTTTTTTTTCTAATTCTGTGAAGTATGATGTTGGTTGTTGTATTTTTTTCTTTTTTATTTTTTGAGATAGAGTCTCACTCTGTCATCCTGGCTGGAGTGCAGTGGTACAATCTCGGCTCACTGCAACCACCACCTCCTGGATTCAAGCTATTCTCCTGCCTCAGCCTCCTGAGTAGCTGGGATTACAGGCACTTGCCATCACGCCATGCTAATTTTTTGCATGTTTAGTAGAGATGGGGTTTCACCATATTGGCCAGGCAGATCTTGAACTCCTGGTCTCAAGTGATCTGCCTGCCTCGACCTCCCAAAGGGCTGGGATTATAGGCATGAGCCACTGTCCCTGGCCTGATGCTGGTATTTTGATAGAGATTACAGTGAATCTGCAAATTACTTTGGGTAGTATGGTCATTTTAACAATATTAATTCTTCTGATCCATGAGCATGGAATGCCTTTTCATTCGTTTGTGTACTCTTCAATTTCTTTCATCAGTTTTTTGTAGTTTTCCACTTGAAGGTCTCTCAACTCCTTTGTTAAATTTATTTCTGGGTGTTTTATTTTTTGTCTATTGTAAATTAAATTGCTTTCTTGATTTCTTTTTTAATATTTCATTGCTGGTGGGTAGAAATGCTACTGAATTTTGAATGTTGATTTTGTATCCCACAACTTTACTGTATTTATTTATCAGATCTAGGAGTTTTTTGGTGGAATCTTTAAGTTTTTCTAAATATAAAACCATGTCATCTGCAAAAAGGAAAATTTTGACTTCCTCTTTTCCAATTCAGATGCCTTTTATTTCTTTCTTTTGCCTGATTGCTCTGGCTAGGGCTTCCAGGCATGGAAGACATTCCTTTCATGTTGAATAGGGATGGTGAAAGTGGGCATATTTGTCTTTTTCCAGTTCTTAGAGAAAAGGCTTTTTAGCATTTTTCCATGTAGTATGATGTTAGCTGCGGGTTTGTCATATAAGACCTTTATTATGTTGCGTTATGTTCCTTCTCTGCCAAGTTTGTTGAGAGTTTTTATCATGAAATGATGTTGAATTTTACCAAATGCTTTTTCTGCATCTATTGAGATAATCATATGTTTTTTGTTCTTCATTCTGTTGATATCAGTATCATGTTTATTGATTAATTTGCATATGTGAACCTATCCTTGCATCCCTGGGACAAATCCCACTTGATCATGGTGTATTGATGTACTATTGGATTCTATTGCTAGTATTTTGTTGGATAATTTTGTGTCTATGTTCATCAAAGGTATTGGTCTGTAATTTTCTGTTTCGTGTGTGTGTGTGTGTGTCCGTGTGTGTGTGTGTGTGTCCTTGTCTGGTCTTGGTATCAGGGTAATGCTGGCCTTATAGAATGAGTTGGAGAGAATTCCCTCTTCTTCAACTTTTTGGAATAGTTTGAGGGAAAATTAGTGTTAGTTCTTCTTTATATGTCTCATAAAATTCAGCAGTAAAGCCATCCATTCCTGGGATTTTCTTTGTTGGGAGATTTTTTATTACTGATACAAGCCTGTTACTCATTATTGGTCTGTTCATGTTTTCTGTTTCTTCTTAATTTAGTCTTGGTAGGTCGTATGTGTCCAGGAATTTATCCTTTCCTCTAGGTTTTCCAGCTTGTGCATAGTTATTCATAATAATCTCTGATGATCTTTTGTATTTCTGTGGTGTCAGTTGTAATGTCTCCTTTTTTTGTTTCTGATTTTGTTCATTTGGATCATCTCTCTTTTTTTCTTGGTTAGTCTAGCTGGTATATCAATTCTGTTTCTTTTCAAAAAAATCAGATTTTCACTTTGTTGAACCTTTGCATTTTTTTTAGTCTATTTTATTTAGTTCTGCCCTAATCTTTATTATTTCTTTTCTTCTAATTTGGGGTTTGGTTTGTTCTTGTTCTTCTGGTTCCTTGAGGTGTATTGTTAGATTGTTTATTTGAAGGCTTCTTATTTTTTTGAGGTAGGTGTTTATTGCAATAAACTTCCTTCTTAGCACTGCTTTTCCTGTATTCCATAGGTTTCCAGATGTTGTGTTTCCATTTTCAATTGTCACAAGAAATGTTTTTATTTACTTCTTAATTTCTTTATTTACCTAGTAGTTGTTGAGGAGCATATTGTTTAATTTATATGTATTTGTATAGTTTCAAAAGTCCCTCTTGTTATTGATTTCTAGATTTATTCTATTGTGGTCTGAGAAGACACTGATTTCTTTGTATCATAAGGTATAATTTCAATTTAAAAAAATATATTGAGACTCGTTTTTATAGCTTAACATTGGTCTACCCTGGAAGGTGCTCCATATGCTGTGAGAAGAATGTATATTCTGCAGCTATTGGATAAGATGTTCTGTAGATGTCTGTTAGGTTGATTTGATCTAAAGTGCAGTCTATCTCTAGTGGGAGAGATAGACTTCTAATATTATTTGCTTTATATATCTGGGTGTTCTGGTGTTGGGTGCATATATATTTAGAATTGTTGTATCCTCTTGCTGAATTGATCTGTTTATCATTATATAATGACCTTTGTCTTCTTTTACTGTCTTTGACTTAAAGTCTATTTTTTCTCATATAACCATAGCTACTCCTGCTCACTTTTGGTTTCCATTTGCATGGAATATCTTTTTCTATCCCTTTATTTTCAGTCTATATATGTATTTATAGGGGAAGCAGGTTTCTTGTAGGCAACACATAGTTGGGTCCATTTTCTTCCTCTATTCAGCCTGTTTAGATCTTTTAAGTGGAAAATTTAATCCATTTACATTCAAGGTTATGATTGATGTTTGAGGACTTATTCCTGTTACTTTGTTAACTGTTTCCTGGTTGTTTTGTATATGCTTTGCTCCTTTCTTTCTCTGTTTTTGTTTATTTTGTTTTTTGTAGTGGTAATATTTGAGTCCTTTCTCTTCCTCATTCATGTGTTTGCTCAACCAGTCCTAACCATAGGACTCCCTTAGGCATTTCTTATAGGACTAGTGTAGCAATTACGAATTCCCTCAGTTTTTGCTTTTCTGGGACAGACTTTATTTCTCCTTCATTTATGAATGACAACTTTATATGGGTATAGTATTCTTGTCTGACAGTCTTTTTTTCTTTCAGCAGTTTAAATATATCATCCCATTCTCTCATTCTGTCATCTCATTCTGCTTAGCCTGTAATGTTTCTCTTGAGAATTCTGCTGTTAATTTGGTGGGGGCTCCCTTACATGCGAGTACATGCTTTTCTTTTGCTGATTTTAGAATTCTCTCTTTGTCTATGATTTTGACAGTTAGACTGTAATGTGCTGTGGAGAAAACTTCTTTAGGTTACATCTTTTTGGAGATTGCTGACCTTCCGTTTGTGGATATCTAAATCTCTGGCTCGACTTGAGAAGTTTTCAGCTATTGATTTGTTAAATAGGTTTTCTATGCCTTTGGGTTTCTCTTCACCTTCTGGAACTCAAAATTAGAATGTCTAGTCTCTTTGTGGTGTCCTATATGTCACCTAAGCTTTATTCATTCTTTTTTTTCTTCTTCTTTTGTCTGACTGGGCTATTTCAAAAGACCTGTCTTCAAGTTCTGAAGTCCTTTCTTCTGCTTGGTTTAATCTATTGTTGAAGCTCTTGAATAAATTTTTTTACTTTATTTTATTCATTGAATTATTCAGTTCCAGGATTTGTTTGGCTCTTTTTTATGAAAGCAATCTCTTTGGTGAATTTCTCATTCATATCCTGAATTATTTCTTCTGATTTCTTTTTATTGTTTATCTGTGCTCTCTTGTATCTCACTGAATTTCTTTCAGATCATTATTTTGAATTCTTTTTCCAGCATCCCATAATTTTGTTTTTCATTAAAAACTGCTGCTGGAGAATTATCGTGTTCCTTTGGAGGTGTTATATTTCCTTACTTTTTCATGTTTCTTGCCTTCTTATGTTGATATCTGCACATCTGTGTAACAGTTGATATCTGCACATCTGGTATAACAGTTGCCTCTTCCAATTTTTGGGTTAGCTTTTATAGGGGAAGACATTTTTCAGAAGATGTATCTATAGTGTTGGTTTAGTAGGGCACTTTAGCTTTGATTCTGCATGCATGCAGTAGTGTAGTCTCCATACGATTTCCTCAGCTGTAAACAGTGGCAGTGGTATCTGTGATTTCCTCAGTGGCTTAGGCTGTGGTTGTTAGCAGAGGCTGTGATGAAGTTTTCCTAGGGACAGGGATGCCTGGTAGGCTAGTCCTCAGTCACCAGTGGTGGCAATGGCAGGCTGAGTGTGCCTGTCCTTGGGCTTCCAGGTGGTATACAAGATCACCCGTTTTAGCATTTCCAAGTGGGCCAATTCTTGGACCTCCAGGAGGCTTACTCAGGTGTCAGCAGTGGCAGCAGTGGGCAGGGTGGCTGAGTGGGTCCTCAGGACCCTGGACAGCATGTGTGGCATGGGTGATGGCTGTAGTGGTGGTGGGACAACCCTCAGGCTCCCATGCTGCTCCCAGGTAGCATGTGCTTGTGTTAGTGGTTATTGTAATGGTCTGGGTAGGCCAGACCCCAGGCCCTCAGGTGACACATGTGGGTAGGTGCCAGCTGTGATGGTAGTGGTAAGCTGGGTTGGCCAGTCCTCAAGCCTCCGGGAAAAGTGCACAGATGCCAGCAGTAGCAGATGGGGAAAGGTGATCCCAGGCCCTTGGGGAACATGCTTGGGCATTGAGGGAGGGGCTCCAGGCCAGGCAGGCCTGTCCTCAGGCTTCTTGGTGGTGTGCGTGAATGCATGCTGTCGTGGGCAGAGTAGGGTGATCCCCAGGCCTTATGGTGGAGTACCTGGGTGATAGCAGCAGAGATGGCTGAGGGCAGAAAGAATCTATCCTTAGGGTGATGCAAGTATGCTGAGAACCTGCTGTTAGGGGGTGTGGGGTTGCCGTCATTGGCAGCAGCTGCAGGCAGGCAGGCAGGCAGGCAGCTCTTAGAATCTGGAGAGTGTTTGATTTGGCCCCCAGTGGAGGTGGCTACAGTGGCAGCAGTGGGAGAGCCAGTCCTCAAGGCACATTCAAGTATGTGATGTCCCCGTTGCTGAGGAGTATAATGTTGCTGCAGTGGCAAGTACTTTGTACTTTGCCAAAGTGGCAGCAGCAGTGGCAACTGCAGGCTGGGAGGGCATGTCCTCAGGGAGCATGAAAGCTTGGTGTAGCCCTGCTGCTGGTGGGCTAAGGGTTGCTGTCAGTAGCAGGGGCCCAGGTAGGTAGGTTTCATGCTTTGAGGAGTACATATTTTGGCTCCCATCGTCCCAGGGCAGTCTTCCCAGAGTATTGCAGTGCCCATTCCCTGGAGTGCAGGACACTATGTGTGCTAGGGAGCTGGGGATCTTGTCACTTTGCTGGATTCAGCTGGCATCACGCCAGTGCAGCCCTCTGGGTGGACACAAGGGGATGTCAGTGGGGCTCCAGGGATGTAAAGATGCAGGGGCTATTGGACCCCAGGGCAGGATGCAGTCTGGTAGGGGCTGAGCCCTCAGAATGGTTCCCTGCTGCAACTGCTTAAAACTCAGAGTGTGTGTGGGACCCAGCATGAACTTTCTCTCTGTAGCAATGTCTCTATGTGGTCTCTGGGCAGCTCCCTATGGGAGTCTCAAGGCCCACAAGGGTCAAGGAGTTCTCTTGTGCCTAGGGTTGTAGGAGCCCACAGTCAGAAGGTGGATAACTGGGGATTTCTCATTTACCTTTTCCCTACCCACTGGGGATATCTGGCTGAGCTGGCTGCCTTGCTTCCCTCTCCCTCTGTGCCCTGGGTGTTTCATGTCACATTTCTGCCAAATTCCAGTGTTTTAGATGTTCTATTTGAAGTGAGATTTTCTACTTATTATTTTGGTTCTTCTTTGCAGAGGGGGCAAGTGTTGAATGCCTTTAATCAGCCATCTTGAACCTTCATTTATCATTGTGGTTTTAATTTGCATTTCCCTAATGAATAGTGATGTTGAGCATTTTTCATGTGAACATTAGCCATTTGTATGTCTTCTTTGGTGCAATGTTTATTCAATTTTGTCTATTTTTAATTTGGATTTTAAAGTTAATTTGGCTTCTAATTATTGATGCGTTCTAAGAGTTATTTATATATTCTGGATAGAAATTCTTTATCAAATATATGTTTTGCAAATATTTTCTCCCAGTCTGTGGTTTTACTTTTCATTTCCTTAATGTTATTTTTTGAAGCAAAAATTTTAAAATTTTGATGAAGCTCAATTTATCTTTTCTTTTATGGATTGTGTTTGTGACATTGTATCTAAAAACTCTGCCTAACCCAATGTACAATTTTTTTTCTGGTTAGTTTTCTATTAGGAGATTTATAGTTTTAGTTTACATATTTAAGTTTATAATCCATTTTGAATTAATTTTTGTTTATGGTGTGAGGTAAGGGTTGAAATTAATCCTTTTGCATATGGATATCCAGTTGTTCCAGTTCCATTTGTTGAAAAGACTGTTCTTTCCTTATTGAATTGCCTTGACACCTTTGTTATAAATCAGTTGATCATGAATGTAATAATGGACACTCAGGTATATTCCATTGATCCTATCCTATGCCAATACCACTTTACCTTGATTATAGAAGTTTAACAGTAAGTTTTGAAGTCAAGCAGCTCTTCAACTTTGTTCTTCTTTTTAAAATTATTTTGACTATTCTGGGTCATTTGCTTTTCCATATGAATTTTGGGATCAACTAATCAATTTCTACAAAAAACTCCTACTGAGATCTTGATAGGGATTACATTCAATGTATAGATCAATTTGGGGAGAATTGTCATCTCAACAATATTGAGTCTCCAGTCTATGTGCATGGACTGTATCTCCATTTATTTAAATTTTCTTTATCTCAGCAATGTTTTACAGTTTCACCATACAAACCTTCCATTTCTTTTGTAAAATTTAGCCTCAATTTTTAAAATTCTTTTTGATATTATTGTGAATGGGATTTTTTCTTTATTCCATTTTTTTTCAGATTATTTGTTAGTATATAGTAGTGTGGTTTTGCCTATTAATCTTGTGTCGTGTAAGCTTGCTGAACTCATTTATTAGTTCTAGCTGTGTGTGTGAGTGTGAGTGTGTGTGTATGTGTGTGTTCCTTAGGTTTTTCTCCTTACAGGATTGTGTCATCTGTGAATAAACAGTTTTACTTATCTTCCAATCTGGATACCTATTATTTATTTTCTTTGCCTGACTGCACTGGCTAGAACTGACAGTACAATGTTGAATAGAGTGGAAGGGATGGACATCTTCGCCTTGTTCCTGATTTTAGGGAGAAAGTGTTCAGTATTTCACTGTTGCATATGATGTTAGCAACAGGCTTTTTGTAGCTGCCCTTTATCAAGTTGAGGATTTTCCCTTCTATTCCTACTGTGTTAAACGCTTTTATTATGAGTGTTAGGTTTTGTCAATTTTTTTCTGCACCTATGAAAATGATCATGTGCATTTTGTTCTTTATTCTACAAATACGGTGTGTTATAGTAATTGATTTTCAGATGTTAAACCAACCTTGTATTTCTGGGACAAATCCCAGTTGGTCATGGTGAATAATCCTTTTAGTATATTGCTGTATTTGGTTTGCTAATATTTTGTTTAAAAACCTTACATCTATGTTCATGAGGGATATCGATGTATAGTTTTTTTTCCTTGTGATATTTGTCTCACTTTGGTATCAAGGCACTGACAATAAAATGAGTTTTCTAAAAAAGTTTGTAAAGGATCGGTATTATTTCTTCTTTTGATATAGATACTCGATAGAATTTATCATTGAGGACTTGGGTTCTCTTTGTAGAAAGATTTTTAAATTACTATTTTTTTAAATTCATTTTTTAATGAATTATATTAGTCAAGGTTCTCCAGAGAAATGGAACAAATAGGAAATATGAACATATACAAGAGGGGACTTACTGTGAGAATTGACTCACTCAATTATGGAGGCTAAGAGGTCCTACAATATGCTGTCTGCAAGAGGGAGAACAAGGAAGGCCAGTAGAGTGTAACTGGTCGGAGGCTGAAGGCCTAGGGACTAGTGAGCTGCTTGGTCTAAGTCCTGAGTCTGAAGGCCCAATATCCTGGAGTTTTGATGTCTGAGGGCAGGAGAAGACGGATGTCCTAGTTCCAGAAGGAAGAGAAAATTTGCTCTTTCCTGCCATTTTGTTTTATTCCTGCCCTCAACAGATTGGGTGATGCCTGCCCACATTGATGAGGGCAATCTTCATTACTGTCTACTGATTCAAATGCTAGAAACACCCTCATAGACACACTCAAAAATAATGATTTACCAGTTACCTGGGTATCCTTTAGCCCAGTCAAGATAACACATAAAATTTATCATCACATTAATTATAGATATATTCAGATTTTCTGCCTTTTTGAGTCAGTTTTGGTCATTTGTGTTTTTCTAGGAATTTATCAATTTCACCTAAATTGCCTAATTTATTGGCATAAAGTTCTTCATTGTTTTTCCCATAATCCTTTTAAGCTTCAGTTGGCAGTGACGTTCCCTCTTTTATTACTGATCTTGGTAATTTGTGTCCTCTTTCTGTCTTGATCAGTCTAGCTAAAGATTTGTCAACTTTGCTGATCTTTTAAAGGAATTAACTTTTGGTTTCATTGATTTTTTTCCTTATGGTTTTACTGCTTTTGATTTCTTTGGATTTGGGTTTAGTTTGCCTCTTTTTAGTTTCTTCAGGTGGAAAATTGAGTTAATAATTTGATACCATTTTAATAATATAAATGTTTAAAACTATTTTATTTTCCTCTAAGCACTGCTTTAGTGGCATCCCATAAATTGTCTGGTTTTTGTTTGTTTTGTTTTGTTTTGAGACAGGGTCTCACTCTGTCACCCAGGCTGGAGTGCAGTGGTGCCATCTCGGCTCACTGCAACCTCCACCTCCTGGGTTCAAACGATTCTCGTGCTTCAGCCTCCCTGGTACCTGGGATTACAGGCATGTGCCACCATGCCCAGCTAATTTTTGTATTTTTGGTAGAGATGGGCTTCAGCATGTTGGCCAGGCTGGTTTTGAACTCCTGACCTCAAGTGATCCACTCTCCTCAGCCTCTCAAAGTGCTGGGATTGCAGGCATGAGACCCCACTCTGGGCCCCAAAAATTGTCTTTTCTTTTCTTTTTTTTTGAGATAGGATCTTGCTCAGTCACCCAGGCAGGAGTGCAGTGGCCCAATCTTGGCTCACAGCAAACTCTGCCTCCGGGGTTCAAGTGATTCTCCTACCTCAACCTCCTGAGTAGCTGAGACTACAGGCGCGTCACCATGCCTGGCTAATTTTTGTACTTTTTGGTAGAGAAGGAATTTCACCATGTTGACCAGGCTGGCTTCAACTTCTGACCTCAAATGACCCGCCTGCTTTGGCCTCCCAAAATATTCGAATTACAGGCATGAGCCACCGCGCCCGGCCTATTTTCATATGTCTTATTTTTGTTTTCATTTAGTTAAAATACTTTCTAATTTTTTTATGATTTTTTCCTTTGACCCATGAGTTATTTTGAAGTGTGATGTTTAATTTCCAAATATTTAGAGATTTCCCAAATTTCTTTCTTTTGTTAATTTCTAATTTAACTCCATTGTAATGAGAGAGCATACTTTGTATGATTTCAATTCTTTAAAATTTATTGAGACTTGTTTTATTGCTTAGAATACAGTCTATCCTTGAGAATGTTCCAAGTGTGCTTAAAAAGAATGTGTATTCTGCCTCAACTTGTTTTATTGCTTAGAATACAACCTATCCTTGAGAATCTTCCAAGTGTGCTTGAAAAGAATGTGTATTCTGCCTCATCAAATGAGTATCCTATAGATGTTGCTTAGAACAAATTAATTGATAATATTAACTTCTATATTCTTGCTGATTTGTCTAGTTATTTAACTGATTATTAATAGTGGGGTACTGATATCTCCAATTACGATTATTGAATTGTCTGTCCCTTCACCTTCTTGAATTTTTATTATTTATTTATTTATTATTTTAAAAATACTACTTCCCATTTTCCCTTTCAGGAATATGAAAATTTTAATTGTGGTTAAAAAACATACATTTTGCTATTTTAACCTTGTTTTGTTTTTTGAGATGGAGTCTCGCTCTTGTCACCCAGGCTGGAGTGCAGTGGTGCTATCTTAGCTCACTGCAACATCTGCCTCCCGGGTTCAAGTGATTCTCCTGCCTCAGCCTCCTGAGTAGCTGGGATTACAGGCACATGCCACCACACCTGGCTAATTTTTGTATTATTAGTAGAGATGGGGTTTCACCATGTTGGCCAGGCTGGTCTCAAACTCCTGACCTCGGGTGATCCACCTGCCTCAGCCTCCCAAATTGCTGGGATTATAGGCATGAGCCACCATGCCCAGCCCATTTTAACCATTTTTAAATGTAGAGTTCAGAAGTGTTAAGTGTATTCACTTGTTATGCAACAGATCTCTAGAACCTTTCCATCTTGGAAAACTGAAATTCTATATTCATTGAACAACAGCTTCCATATTCTTCTTCCTCTATCCTTTGGAAACCACCATTCTACTTTGCAGTCTACAAGTTTGATTGACTACTTTAGATATCTCATATAAGTACATATATAATATATCAAAATATTAGTATATCATATAGCATTTGACTTTTTGTGACTGGCTTATTTCACTTACCATAATATCTGCCAGGTTTATCCGTGTTGTACATGTGACAGGATTTCCTTCTTTTTAAGGCTGGATAATATTCCATTATATGTATGTACCATATTTTCTTTATCTCTCCATCTACTGATGGACGTTTAGATTGCTTCCACCTCTTGGCTATTGTGAATAATGTTGCAATGAACATCCTTTTTTTTTTTTTTTTTTTTCACATAGGGTCTCACTCTGTCACCCAGGCTGGAGGACAGTGGCACTACATGGTTCACTATAGCCTTGATCTCCTGGGCTCAAGCAATCCTCCTGCCTCAGCTTTCTGAGTAGCTGGGACAAGTGTGCACCACCATGTCTGGCTAATTTATTTTTCATTTTGTAGAGATGAGATCTCCCTGTGTTGCCCTGGCTGGTCTTGAACTTCTGGGCTGAAGTGATCCTCCTGCCTTGGCCTCCCAAATTGCTGGGATTACAGACATGAACCACTGCACCTGGCCTAATTTTGTTAATTATTACTTCCTACCTTTTGGGTCTCTTTCATTACGTCTCTATATAATTGTTATATTTTATTAAAAATAAGTTGATCTCTTTAATCATTACAAAATGTCCCTCTTTATCTCCGTTTGTCTTGGATTGACATAGCCACTCCAGCTCTGTTATGTTTACTGCTTGATGGTATATCTTTTTCTATCCTTTTCTTTCAATCTATTTGTGTGTTTTAATCTAGAAGAGGTTTCTTGTATATACCATACTGTTGGATTAAAAAATAAAAATCAGTCTGACAATTTCTGCCGTTTGATTGAAGTGTTTTATCCATTCACATTTAATGTCATTATTGGTGTGACTGAATTCATCTTTCATATTGCTTTTTGTTTTCTATGTGTCCCATTCCTTTTTGCTTCCTTTGTTTCTTCTTTCCACTTTTTTTGTGTTAGATAATTTTTAGCATTCTAATTTATTTCTTGGCTTAAATTTTTTTAAAAAGTTTATTACTTGTTTATTTTTTTCCTTCAGTGATTGATCTGGGGATTACTATATGCTTCTTAATTTATCACAATATGCTTCAGATTAATACTAATTTAATTCATGTAAAATACATAATCTTTACTCCAATATAGGTCTATTTCCTCCTCCATCCTATATGCATATATATGTACATGTGTTATAAGACCAACAATACAGTGTTATATTGTTTTCTCCAATTTTATATCTTTTAAAGGAAAAAAATAATATAGTTTTTTATATTATTTATATATTTACCTTTTTTTGGTGCTTTTCATTTCTTTGCATGAATTCAAGTCTGATGTTATTTCCTTGCAGCCTAAAGGGTTTCCTTTAGTGTTTCTTATAAGGCAGGTCTGCTAGCAACAAATTATCTGGTTGCTTTTTGTTTGAGAATGTCTCCATTTCAATTTTATTCTTAGAGGGATACTTTTAGTGATATAGAATTCTTAGTTGACAGTTTTTTTTTTTCTTTAGCACTTTGAATATGTTATTGCACTGTACTTGGGTTTTCCTTGTTTGTGATGAAAAGGCAATCATTAATCATATTGGTGGTCCCCCTTGTATGTGATAAGTTATTTTTCTCTTACTGTTTTCAAGATTTTCTCTTTGTACAATTGCATTATGATAAATCTAGGGTGGACCTCTGTGTTTATCCTACTTGTGGTTCATTAAGCTTCTAGAATATATCATGTTTTTCATCAAATTTGGGAAATATTTGCCATTATTTCATTATAATTCTCTCTCTCCTTTTTGATGGTATTGTGAAATATTAACTGGTCTTCCCACTTCCTGACACACAACTCCTAAAACTCTTGGAATCTCTGGAGTAATGTGTCTTTGTATGCTAATTACAGGTGGCTGGAAGCTCCAGGTGTCTTTAGGATGGGGACTGGTCACAGAAAAAACCAAGGCATGATTAGAGGGCTGAGAATTTCAGCCTCACCCACTCAACCTCCAGGATGGGGAGAGGGACTAAAGATTAAGCTAATCACTAATGGCCAATGATTTAATCAATGATGCCTCTGTAATGAGGCTTCCATATGGGTTTGGAAAGCTTCCAGATAGCTGAATATACAGTGATTCCTGGAGCTAGCATGACTGGAGAGGGCATGGAACCTCCATGCCCCTTCTCTCATACGTCACTCTATGCATCTCTTCCATCTGGCTGTTACTAGTATCCTTTATAATTACCTTAATGATAAATCAGTAAATGTAAATAATGTATTTGTCTGAATTTTGTGAGCCACTCTAACAAATTAATTGAACCTGAGGAAGGGTTCAGGGGAACCCTCAATTTATAGTTGGTTGGTCAGAAGCTCATGCCACAACCTGTGCTTGCTACTGGTGTCTGAAGTGGGGGCAGCCTTGGAGACTGAGGTCTTAATCTGTGGGATCTGATGCTATCTCCAGGTAGACACTGTTAGAACCAAATTGAATTAGAGAGTACTCAGCTGGTGTCCACTGCAGGATTACTTGCTTGGTGTGTGTGGATAAACCCAAACACCTATGGGGCCACAGAAGTATTCTGTGTTGTGAGACTATAGTAGGAGAAGCTGAGTTGGTTTTTCCTACATCGTCTACTTTCTTTCTCTCTCTTCTCCTAGAATCCCCATTTCTCATATATTGGTATACTCAATATTGTCCCACATACCTTCAAGGTTCTGTTCATTTTTCTACATTCGTTTTCCCCATTTAGTTCAGATTGGATAATTTCTATGATGTATATTCAAGTTTGTTAATTCTGTCTCCTGGTCATTTCAATTCTGGTGTTGAGTCCCTCTAATAGTTTTTTCATTTCCATTATTGTACTTTTCATTTTCAGAAGTTCTATTAGGTTCTTTTTAATAATGTATATCTCTGTTGATATTCTCTATGTTTTGAGCATTGTTGTCATACTTTCTTTTGATTTTTTAAATGACAGTTACCTTTAGTTTTTTTTTTTAAGAAAACACATTTACAATAGGTGCTTTGGTGTTTTCGTCTGCTAATTCCAACATCTGGCCCCCCTTAGACAAAATTTCTACTGACTGCTTCCTCCTTTTCCTTTCTTTTCTCTTTTTATTTATTTATTTATTTTTATTTTTTGAGATGGAGTCTCACTCTATTGCCCAGGCTGGAGTGCAATTGTGCGATCTCAGCTCACTGCAACCTCCGTCTACTGGGTTAAAGCGATTCTCCTGCCTCAGCCTCTTGAGTAGCTGTGATTACAGGCATGCGTCACCATGTCCAGCTAATTTTTGTATTTTTAGTAGAGACAGGGTTTCACCATGTTAGCCAGGCTGCTCTCAAACTCCTGACCTCAGGTGATCCATTTACCTTGGCCTCCCAAAGTGCCTCCTCCTTTCTTATCATGCTTTCTTGTTTCTTTGCAGATCTCATAATTTATCGTTAAAAATGGAATATTTTAAGATTATATATTCTGGTAACTCTGGATTTTGATCCAAGGTGGTGGTTGTAGCTGTTTGATTGCTGTTTAACAACTTTCCTGACCAATATCTGTGGTATCTATTTTACTGCAGAAGGCAGCTGCATATGTCTCCATTCAGTTCTTAAAAATTCTTTGTTTTGTTTGATTTTAAGCCTGGCTCTCTAGGACTAACCCCTGTATCTGTACAGTCTGTCAGCCAGCCAATGATTGTCAATGTTGTGATCATCCACCTTGGGCAAGTAAGGCTTCTACCTTCTACTGATATATCAGTGTGTGCAGGTAACGTGTTCAAAGTTCAATCTGCTCTGCATTTTTCTTTCGTATCTCTCAGCACATGTACGCATGTTCACAGTCTGTCTGGAAAGTCTGGAGAGCTTGGGCCCTCTCAGGTCTCTCCTGCTTGGATGTGTCAAGAGTTTATCAAAGCTCCCTATTGTTGTCTCATTTCTATATCTCCCTGTGAAATTTCTGGCTACTCTGCTGGTCCGTGCTTGCCCCAGTCAGAACTTCAATCCCAGGCTAGCTGAACTGATCATTCCTGTTCATTTGCCACTGAGATTGCTACTGTTCCTGACAATGCCATTGGGTGTGGAGTTTTTCAGTGCTCTACTCCAATCAAGCCAGCCTCCTCTGGCATCAAAACTACTGACTTTCATGACTTGACTGGTCTTGGGAGAACAGATCAGGAGTGGGAGATGGGAGCAGCCCCAGGCAAGAATGCTACTTACTTCCACTTTTCTTATCTGAATAACCAGTTCTCGATTTGGTGCGATTTATAGGTTCTGCAACGGATGTTTTTTTGTTTTGTTTTGTTTTGTTTTTTTAAGATGGAGCCTCACTCTATCACCCAGGCTGGAGTGTAGTGGTGTGATCTCAGCTCACTGCAACCTCTGCTGCCTGGGTTCAAGCGATTCTGCTGCCTCAGCCTCCTGAGTAGCTGGGGCTACAGGCATGTGCCACCATGCCCGGCTAATTTTTTTTTTTTTGTATTTTTAGTAGAGGCGGGGTTTCACCATGTTGGCCAGGCTGCTCTCGAACTGCTGACCTCAAGTGATCCACCCGCTTCGGCCTCCCAAAGTACTGGGATTACACACGTGAGCCACTGTACCCGGTCTGCAATGGCTGTTTTTGACATTGCTGAGTTTATCATTGCTCTTCACTTTGCTATACTGAAAAGTCTTGCTAGCATTTACATTTAAGGGCTCAGATTTAGAGGTACAGAAGACCTGGAGGACATCTGCAAGAACAAACCTTCTAGTAAGCAGATTTACTAAATTTGCAAATGCTGACTCCTTGAGAATGGTGAGAGAGGAGCCATTGAGAATCCCTGGATTGCCGTCCGTCCATCCATCCATCTATCCATCCCATCATTTATCAAACCTTTATCAAGGGTTCACTGTCCAGGCACTGTGCTAGGAGCTCAGAGAACAAACACAAAATAAGCACTCTTGCTCTCAAGAAAAGCATACAGGAAGGAAGAAAATCATGGTGACAGTCAGTGCCCCAGCAGTAGCTCTGAGAGTCTACACAGGATCAGGGTAGGTTGGGTGGGTTGGGGTGGAAGTGCAGCAGAGTAGGGTATTCTGGCCTCGAAATAGCTTCTCCAACAGCCCTCCCCAGCCCTGCATTCCTGCCTGACACACTTCAGTCCTTACCTAGAGACTACTGCAGCTATATCTCTCATGTCTAACATGGAGCCCACTTAGCTTTGGGGGGAATTGTCTTCCCTGCTTCATATCACAAAACTCTAGACAGCAGTTCTTTATCTTCAACTGAGAACTGTTTCATGCTCTGGCATAGCAAAGTGTCTGCAGACAGAGATAAGCTGTGTTTTCACATTTTTGTCTACAAAATTAATGATCTATAACTACAATAAAACCATCATCTCCTGTCACCAGTGGGGATCACAGGACATTCTAAGCTTAAAAAAACACCAGCAACACAAAATCTCAATGGCAAAAAGTGCAGATGTTTTTATTTTTCCTTTTCCTTCAATAGCGTTTTCATTTGTTAGAAACATGGAATCATAAAATGTTATTGTTGGAGCATTCCTAGGAGATTTTCTAGCCTAAGTCCTTTATTTACCAGGAAGGGGATGGAGGACGTGTTCAAGGATGCTGGGTCAGCAGGGGTGCTCGGTCCAGGACCTGGCCTCTCCATCATCAGCCTTGTTTTCCCTTCTTCAAGTGCCCATCAGTAAGTTTCAGTTCTCTGGCTGAGCTGGGGGGCCCCAGCCCAGTTCTTGAAAAGCCAGCTGCTGGAAGTTCCCCACCCTGCTCATTTCCTGCTGCCTCAACTGCACCTGCTGTCTCCAGACTCCGCTCCCTGCTCAGGACTCTGCTTCTGGCCACCTCCCTTATGCTTCTCTCAGACTCAGGGAACCTCTGAGGCAGGCTGACATTTCGCCTGTAGGCACCTGCATGGTGTACCAGTTGTCAAAACACTAAAATGTTTGCATTCCAATTGGTAAACAGCCACTGCCGGATCCCTAGAGGGCCCTCCCGCCTTCTCTTGACCACCAAGTAATCCAGCAGCTGAGGGGTTAAGAACCTGCAGGGGCCTCCAGGCCCCTGCTCTAGCCCTAAGGCAGATAACTGTTTTAATACCCTCCTGATTGTTAAGTATTTTCAAGACAAACCCTGCTAAAGAGCATGGACTCTGAAAGAGCATGGACTCTGCAGCCAGCCTGTCCGGGTTGAAACCCTGGTTTCTCTCCAGCTCTGTGATGGGACAGGTTGTTTAAACTCTCTAAGCCTCAGTCTCCCCATCTGCAAATAGGGATACACACTTCATAGGTTTGCTTTGAGACTCACACTAATAAAAATGTTCTGGTTTCTATCTTGCCAGTTCTCACTGCTAGCACCTCATACTTTCTTTCCATGTCCCTGCATCAACAGTGAGGATAACCTGGGGACTTGTCCTTGGGCTATACACAGCCACATACCAGAGGCTGGGAGAGGACAGAAGGCAGGCTCTGCCTGGGGATTTTTCTCCTGTATCATGCTGGTGAAGGCTACAACCTTCTGGGCCCTGCCCTCTGCCTGCCCCAGTGGACAACTGCTTCTTCCTGAGCAGAACCTCTGGCTCCACTTGAGCCAGCTCTCCCCTCCTGTCACCCATATTCCAATGATACCCAGGGCTGCTCTCAGCCCATTCAATGCCTTTGTGAGAGCTGAGAAAAGGTGGCCACTCTGGACAAGCATATGACTTGGCAGGTGAACCACAGGCTCAATTTCAGGCTCCAATCACACTCCCTTGGCCAGGCACCCTTGTGCAGTGCACATTCTGTACAACTGTATTTGGCATTCCTGCTGGCAGCACTCAGGAGCATTTAAGAAAAGTGCTAAGAGATTTGCAAACACTGGAGTATGTAAAGAAACAGCTAACTGCAATCATTAGTCTAAGCTTTGCTTCATAACCAAACAGCATGACTAATAAAGTGTCCCAAACTTGTCATTTATTTTCCTTTACTTTCACCTTCAGCCAACTCACACCATCAAGTGTCCCAAACTCTTATTATTTATTAATAATCATTTGTTGAGGGCTTACTGTGTGCCAGGCTCTGAAGATACAGACATGACTACGACCTGAATTTTGAGAGAGAGGCAGCTGCATAGACCTGGTGCTCCAGCCCTGGGCTGTCAGAACACTGCACTGGGGTCAAGGGCAGAAGGCCCTTCTGGGGCTGGGGTCCAGGATGAGTGTGTGGCCTTGAGCAGGGAGAAACCAGCACTCTTCTCAGCTGGGCCTTTCTGGCAGGGCTGGCCTTTGCTCTGACTTCAGCTCCTCTAGTAGAGAAGCTCAGTTTTCATCACTTCCACCTGCACCCTCCCTGGAAGTCCCTCAACTAATGCATTTCTTTCTTTGGGAGGCCGAGGCTGAAGACTGACGTCTTCGCCCCGTTGGTCCCTGGAGGCGGGCTGCTGCCCCATTTGGGAGAGGACAGTGCACTCCTTGCACAACCTTTCAAGTACGGGCGCGTCAGAGCAACAGCACATTCAACCTGTGCGGGATTTGCAGACCAGCAAGTTTTGCCGACGCGTGCTCCCGGAACAGAATCACCTTTTGTACGGTATTAATGTAAAAGTTTCATTTAAAAGACACCAGCTGTGGTCCTACCCAGGTTTATTCATATGGGACCTTCACTGGGTCAACTTAATACTTAACTACTGCTTATTATCCCATCAGTCTTCAGGGACAACCCATGATCTAATTGCCTAGCATTTATGTTGCTTGGTAACCACAAATAGAGAATAATAGTTCTTAAAGGGGCAGTGTGGAATTTCATGCCCCTGCAGTGAAGTACACTTCATTTCCCAGAGCACCCTGTGTTTTTTAATTCAGTGAATAAAAATGTGTAATGAATAATTAATTATGTGCTTGGAGGCACAATAGCTGTCTACTTTTGAATATTCATCAGCGGCATTATTAATTCACTAGAAATCCCAGGGAGGAATGGGATAGGCTTTTAGCCTAGCTGGAGGACTTAACGATAATGCTTTGCAACACGCACAAACTTTTTTAAAGCTGACTTTTCTTTGGGAGTCGCTTTCTGGGTAATTTTCCTCTTTTAAGAACATTTCGCCGTGGCCCGGATTCCCGCGGAGCTGGTGGGACGCAGAGACCACCAGTGACCATGAAAAAGGCCCACTCTGGAACTCCTGTCTGGAAAGTCCATTAATAACCAGGCTCACTCGCCTCGTGAGGCCCGGGGTGTGCTAATGGGAGCGAGAAGCCTGGCCGCAGAGGCAGGAGCCCCCGTTCACTTCCAGAGAAGAAAGCAGCGTGCGCACTATGCCCTCTCTTAGAGGGGACCCTCTCCTGTCGTGGAGATGGGGACCTCGGCCATCCCTCTGCAGCCTGTGATGTATCCTGCATGGCTCCTGAGTAGCCTCTGAGGCCAGTGGTGTCAGACTCAGGGCTGGGATCCACGCCCCTAGGCCTCCCCGCCCAGTTCTAAACACCGATGCCAAGGCACCTCTCTGCCAAGGGTCCTGTACTGTTTCCTCTGCAGTTTTCTGAGATCTTCCATGCTAGTATAATTCCTCACCCCACTTTCTCTTTTAGTCCCAGAAAAATCTTCCTGGCCTCTCAATTGCGAGCTGCCTGCCTGACGCCCGCTCCTTCCTCCTCCCTTAATAACATAACCTCTACACCACGGGACAGCGCGGCACCCCACTGGACGATTACACTTCCCAGCCCACCTTGCGGCGGGAGATCATCATGTGACTGAGTTCTAGCCAATGAGAGGCATGTGGAAGTTGCTGGGCGGAACTTCTGTGGAGTCTTTCTGAAAGCAGGTGGAGAAGGAGTCCTGCTTGTTCTCAGCCTTCCTTTTTTCCTCCAGTCTGGGATGTAGATGAGATGGTTGAAGCTCCAGCAGTCATGGTGGATCATGAGGACACTCTGAGGATGGAAACAATGTGCTTGGAGGTTGAGTAAGAAAGACAGAAGGAGCTTGGATCCCTGCTGACTGTAGAACTCTCCCTCACAGCCTGAAAGTACCTCCTTCCAGCCTTTTTTCACATGAGAGAAATGAACCTCTAACTTGTTTAATCTGGATTATTCTGGGCTTTCTGTTGTGTGCAGTGGAACCCAATCTTCATCGAGTTCCCCTTCCCAAGAGTTCTGTCATTTTTCCTGCATTCTTTTTAGATTTCATAGCATTTACTCTTTCCGATAGATGTGAAAATTCTTTGAAAAGTTAACATCTTGAATAATGAAAGATAGCCTGTGCAACCCACGCAGAAGTAGGAGCTTTAAGCAAAGTTTTGTAGAGAGGACTGCAGAATTTCTCTGTGTGTCTCGCTGGGACCTCAGAATTTTTACCAGAAAAGGCAGGAGGGGACTGCCTGGTTTAAGCATCTCTCCCTAACTGTGGTTTGGAAAAGTTTTTTTAATTTGAGAATTTAAACAGTCAATACAAGGATTATTCCAACCTGGTTGATCCATGCTCTGAAATGAGAACTCCCATAGTTTATCATCTCTAAGATACTAAAATGCACAATATTTTAAATCAAGGAAGGAAAAATTCTGCCAGCTATAATTGTAAGATGCATCCTGATTCCAGAAATGTTAAATGTGAAGAGGTTGCTTTTTTAGATCAATGAAGTATGGTACATATAGTTAACCAAACAGTTAACTTAAGCATCATTATCCACAAGCAGCCAGAGACATACTACATAGAATTGTGCTGTTAACTTTCTGTTCTGCTCTTGCCAAGAAATAGGTGAGAACTTTCTGTATCCCAAGCAGATTTTGTTCCACAGTAAGTATACCAGGAAGGATACCACTTTCTGGAATTAGAACCTTATTTCTTTTGGAAAACATATTTGTCTCTAGATTGCTCAAAGTTTACTTTCTGTACTAATTCTCTCACTGGCGATGCTGGTGGTTTGCCTGCTCAGTAGAATACCCAGTGATGGTTACGCATTACCCAGATGTAGATTTTCTGTCGCTTGATCTTCTCTTCCTCTTGAGCTCTGTGTTCTCTGTGTGTGTTGGGCAGGTTGCACTTGCATTTTGATGATAAGAGGGACTTTCTTGTCTCTCTCTATCAGATGCCATCGATGGCCTGAGGCCACTGGATCACTTGCAGCTGGGGTGGACTGTTTCCAGCCCACCGACAGCTTCCCACCTCACGTACCTGGGGTTCTCTTGTTCTCTGTCTATGCGCTTTTCCCATTATCTCAGAAGTGGCTCAACCAGTGGTGGATGAATGCTCCAGCCTACCCATCCTCTGATGGGCAATTCTGAGGCCTGCCCACGTGGCTTCTCGGAGGGTCCCCAGCAGCATGAAGGTCCAGATTCCCCCAATAGTAACTCCTTAGCACATGCTCGTTGGGTTTCTTCCTTTCCCTGTCTGATTTTCCCTACTTCTTCGCTTGTACTTACTAGGATTGTCTCCCAAGTAAGCTACCTGCACCAAAGTCCTTTCACCAGGATCTACTTTGGAGGGAGCTCTTTATCAGAAAAAGCAACTTGCTTATTGGCATCCAGGTTGAAAATGTTTTCTTCCAGTAGGCAGGAATGTTGATACCATATAAAAAAATTTATTGCGGCCGAAGCTTAGGGGTTGTGATCTATTGTGTATGTCACAGTAATGGCTCCAGATGAGTCCACCCCCAGGTCTCTATGCCTGTGTGTAGTCCCCTCCTGCCTTGACTCTGGTCTAGGCTGTATGACTTTCTTTGGCCAATGAAACAACAGCAAATATGATGCAGGTGGAGACTGTAAGTGCTTGCACATTTGACTTTGCCCTCTTGGGGGATTTCTGCCAACATACAAAGAAGTCTGGTCTAGCTGTCTAGCCTAGTGGAGGACAAGACACCATATTGAGAACTGAGGCACCCCAACCAGCAGCCAGCACTGTCAGATGTGAATGGGGTTGCATTCACATGGTGGCTCAAAGGCCCTCCTGCACCAGACTCAAACTCGTAGACATCCAATTGTTTTAAACAGCCCCAATAAGCAAATTTTTAGCCAATTAGAGTGAGCGTTATTTGCATATCCTACAAATCAGTGCCCAACATCTGCTAACCATAGATAAGATAAACCTTGTAGATATAAAGATCCCTAATTTGCAGCTCTCTGACCCAGACTCCCCTCTGGGCTGCTGAATAACACCACGTGCATGTGTAAGACTCCTCTCCAGTCTCCCTCTCCCCCAGGAGTTCTTTTGCCCTCCGTCTTCCCTTTGCTCTCCTTTACCCTTCTGAGTGGTGGGCCCTGGACAGCGTCATACCGTGAGCAAGTTTTCTTGCATGCAAACCTGTCAAAGTGGCACCCAAATAAAGTTCACTGTGTACTACTGCCACCTCATGGTTATATCTTTTTACCTGATCAGCCATGGAATCCCCCAAACCCACTACAGTGGGGGAAGTCAGAAAAGACCGAACCCACTAAGGCTGATGCCCTGGGAGCTGTAAGCTGCTGAGAGGCTGCAAAAGCAGGGCACGATGATGGAGTAGAGACCCAGAGTAAGGAGGCCAAGAGAAGGGGGCAAGGAAGAAAGAAAAGTCTGCTGGGGCCAGAGAGGGAAAAGCTCCCAGAAATGGCAGAGTGTCAGAAGAAAGGAGAGGACAGCTGGTTTTATTAAGAGTTGCTATAGATTATGTAAATAATGGTCAAAATTCCTATTTGGATTTCCCCACTTTCAATGGGACGTTGTTTTGGGACTGTAACATTTGGGTCCAGGCTTTATATCTGACGCACAATGAATATCCTTCCCATATCTTTTTTTTTTAACCCTCTAGTAAAGCAATAAAAAGTTTCTTAGATTTTTCTATTTCTCCAAGTTCTTGACTGAGACATACTGCATTTGCTTTTAACAAGTGAAAACAATAATACCCTGCAGTCATAACTTAAGCCATCACCATTTTCCTCAGCAAAGTCACACTTTTATGAAAGTTTGCCAAGAAGTTTAAGTGCGTGGATTTAGATCAATGAAGACTTTCTTGCATTTTGTTCTTAGCTTGAATTGAGACTGGAAGTCATATTTACATGTATCTTTTACTCCTGGGAGTATAACACTGTGCTGATAATAACTGTAGGAAAGCAAGCAAACTCTACATTCCGGATTTGTCCCTGCTACCCCTATGCTTCAAGTGAGGAGTGGAGGAATCATGAGTAATAAATATGGAGATAAGAGAATGAAACTGGGAAATCAATTTACTGCAAAATATTTGCATCTTTTATTAAAAGAAACTGTGTATGAGACCCATAACAGGGTGTGATGATTTATATTTTGATTTGATGCATCTGCTCCATGCCTCTGGGAGAAGTGACGTTGCCCAGGCATCCATGCGGGACTCTTCTTTCCCATTGATCTCAAAGACTTGTGGTGTATTAGGGTTCAGAGGGACTGAATGTTGATTCTGTACCCCTTATTTTACAGAAAAGGAAACGGAGGTCTGGAGAAATGATGCAGGTTGGTGGCAAACCCAAGATTCACCTGGAAAAAATTCCATTCTCCTCAAAATGTAAGAAAATGTGATAAAGGGATAGAGTAAGAAAATGTGATAAAGGGATAAAGTAAGTCATAGAAGTGTGCATATCCACAGCCTTTTACATCTTTGCTAAAAGTTAGGGAGACAAGAATCCTTGTCTCCTATTCTGATAAAAACACACATAAACACAGCCGAATGCACATTTGAATATATTTGACATCTCTTTTGACAGAGATGGGAGAAATCGTTCACTGAATATATACGAGACTTTCCCACCCCCACCCTCTCCCTACTCCAAGAACAAGTTATAGCCAACAGATCCTCTTTTGGTGATGTGGTGGGGAATTTGTGGACTTGCTTTTTCCCTCTCCAAACCCTCTCTGTGACATAAAAATTATTTTTAAAAAGTGATGTCCCCATTGGCTACTGCTGATTATTTGACAATATGTGAAGCTTAGGAATTTCTACCCACTCAAAACCAGAAGGCCTGTGATGGTTAGCATCTTCCTTTTAGGTTGTCTGCAGTTGATGTCATTTGCAAGACCATAGTTCCATTTGGCGGCTTCCACTCTGGATTGATCTTCCCAGGAATCCACTCCTCCCTTTCAGCTGCTGCCCTACAGATTCGTGATGCTGCATTGCTTACGGTCCCCCATGCTGCTCAGGAAGCTCCCAATATTCATGGCCAGTACCTTCTCCCATTTCCTATAGAGGCTCTTCCAGACTCTCTCCACCATCCTTACCCTCTTTTCCTCTCAGAGTGTGACTGTGCCTTCTACTGGCTGGGGTAAACAGAAGCTGTTTGGATGTGCATGCAAAGCGTAGCTATTAGACTGCCTGCTTTTAGCATGATGCCTGGCATAGAGTAGCTACTGGATTCATGTTTGCCAAATGGTTGAATTAATGAGGCAGCAACCCTGGAGGTGCAGGTCCAGTGGAGCTGGGGTTCAGTCACAATGAACACAGGCATCTATGGATTAGGGGAAATGAAAGAATCCATTTGGATGTACCTTGTCTTAGAGTGGAAAGACTGGGATCTAGAGCGAGGTCTGTTGCCAGCTGTCCACATGACTTGCAGGAAATAATCCGTCCCCCATCAGTTCATTCATTCATACATTCACTCGTTATCCCATAAACCATCACTCAGCACTTGTTCCAAGCTGGGCATCATGGTAGACAATGAGAATGCAGACATAGTGAGATACGCTCACTGCCTATAGCATGCTCTGAGTCTTGTAAGAGACGTGAATAACTAAGCTAACATGGTGTGAATAGTCATGAGGCACTGAGTCAGGGGCAGTTCCAAGCAAGGAGATTTTATTCAGCTGGGGCAGGTGGTCAGGGACGAGAAGGGCATTGGAGCTGAGGCTTGACAGATGAGTTGGAATGTGGCAAGTGAAGAGAGATGGGAAAACAGGGGCCTCTCCTGGGCAGGAGGAAACTGGGAGGGAAGCAAGTTCTGAAGGTCTGAAGGATTAGGAGCCTTTGTGAATTTCTACCTACAGAGGAAAAGCTGGTGGGAGAATATCCTTTAGCCGGGCCACAAAGTTCCCATGAGGCTGCTGGGGAATCAAGTCCAGGGCTTGCTGTCATTTCAGATGGAAAAGATGGCTGGTGAGAGGGGCACTGACAAGATTCCTGGTGTCTATTTGTTATTAGCCTTTTGAACTTGTCTCTGCCTTGGGTTTGCAGGACTCCCGGGCTTGCTTGCATTTGCAAACACGGAGTTTGCCTTTGTGGTGTAGATGAGGAAATTGGGTCCCAGAGACGACAAGACAGGTCCAAAGTCACATACAGCCATGTGCAGCCAAAATGTTAGGTGGCATTACTCACAGAGGCATTCAGTGATGAACTGAAAGTAGTGCTAGAAAGAATGGAGGTCAGAGGGAAGAAATCCACAGGACCCCATTCATTAGCAATCTGGTCCACACAGAGCTTTTAAAGGTTGGAGTGAATATTGGATGCTTCCTCTGCTTCTTGGGCCTATTTCTCCTTCTAATTCTAAAGTACCCCAGCTGCCTTCTGGAGTATTACCTCTTCTCCTTTGCATTCTGGAAGGAGCTGTCATTCAAAGGGCCCTTTACTTCTCTAGACAAATAATGGGCACATGACCCAAGCTCAACCAATGAGATTCTCTCCTGAAATTTTTGAGCACAGACAGACATGTATTATTAAAAAAGGGGCTGATGCTGGTTCATCGCAACAATGGCCTGTGAGGGACACTATATAGTCCTGGCTATCTACAGAACCAGAGTTGCCCTGGTCCTGTCTGTATGTATCTAGTCTGGCTTTCCCTTCACTTCCGTGAGGACCTCCATATATGTGGTCTTTGGGTGGGCTAATCTCTCTCACTTAGCCTCAGTTTCTTCATTCATATAGTGAGATAATAATACCACCTTGCTGTGCTGTTGTGATGATCAAGTGAGCCAATGGGGTGAATGAATGCATTCTGCAAACCGTAAAGTGCTCTAGGCATGGGAGCGGCTGTTATTATTGTGAATATTATTAAGGGACAGCTAGTGGTCACAGAAAGCACAGCCTGAGAGTGTTTCAGCTGGTCCTAATGAGCATTCATTGTTGCTTTCTCCAGTGGTTCCTTTTAAAATGCATCATGGAGGGAGCTCAGGGGGAATATACTCTGCTGAATTCATAGTTTTGCATACTGTTCATTAAAATGAGTTTCTAAAAATAGATTCAGGTCAGAGAAGGTGTCCCAGACAGGAACGTTTATCAGAGCTTGACCCAAATCCCTGTGATCTCGTTTTCCAACAGCCCAGCTGCCTGGGGAGACAGACCTGACCCGGCTCAGACTTTGTGGCCATTTTCTGTCTGTAGAGAGATGTGGAGCCTTTCCCTGCACCTTTGTGACATGAAGTCCCACCTGGCACCAAAGCCTTCTAAAGTGCTGGAGCCGAAGTGGGCTCTAGGATCCTGTCCTTTCCTGCTTTGAAATAGCTTTCTTCTTTGACAGCAGTTGGAGTCATGAGTGCAGATCTGATGGGCTCACCTGTCATGTGCCCCATGACTCCAATTTGTGCCTCTAGTCCGGGCTGATTTTCTGAGTTTCAAACCTGTGCAGGCTGAGCATCTCTCCTGGAAGGTCCATGAACCCACTTGCCTAGGATAAGCTCATTCCATACCACACCCCATTCCCAAACTTGGCCTCCTGCTCCTCCACCCACTGTGAGTTCAAGCCTGAGGGTTAGCTCCCCCACCGCCCCCCTCACACCCAGGCCCTGGAAAGTCCTGCTATATTCATCCTCTAAATACCTGTAGGCTCTGCCTACACTCTCCATCTCTCTCCATCTTCTCTTCTGCAAGCTCAGAGTGAAAAACCAAAAGCCTTTTTTTTTTCCCTGAATAGGAAGGAAGGGAAAAGAAGTAATGGTACATGGGAAGGAGAGGGATCTAGAATTTCTAAGGACAGACCCCTAAAAATCTCTTATTTCATACAGAGAAAAACTGCAGTTCTAAACAGGCAATAGACCAGGGCTGCCACTGGCCCATGGAATGTCTTTGTGAGAACAAGGAAAATGCGCCCTTTTCTCTAGGCTGATGTAGCCCTGTTCCAAGGTGCATGGCTTGGCAAGCAAAGTGCAGACTAGATTTCAACCTCTAATCACTGCCTTGTGCAGTAAGCCACGTGCACAACCATATAGGGCAGACTTGAAAATGACGCCTGAAATTCCACAACCAAAAGGCTGATAGGACTTCAGATGCATTTGGGGCTTTTTCCAGTGTACTCCTTGAGCTCATGGGGACCCCTTTCCCTCCAAAGCTGCAGCAGTATTTCAAAGTCACTGAAAATGCAGCCCCTGCCAGTACCCTCTGTCCTAGCATCTCAGTGGATTGGGATCTTTGTGATGAAGAGCAACAGGGTTTGCTCAGCAGTCATGACAATCTGGTGCTCTCAGATCAGAGGTGCTTTTTGCCTTGAACCAATGCTGGTGACACCTCGTGGCAAAAAAGGCAGTGCCTCCTTCAGTCCATCACCCATGGAGGCAGAAGCCTGCCCTCTTTATTCTAGAACTGAATTGTAGTCGCCTACATAATTTATAGAGGTGGTAATCACTCATTCGCTCAGAAAGTCATGCCAAATAAATGCCAATCATATCAGGCAAACTCTGAAGTCCTTCCCTGTACATCCCATATATGTTACCTCATAAAATTATCCCAACAGCTCCATGAAGCAGCATTATATCCTCATCCTCCACATTCACTAATAGGTAAACTGAGGCTTAAACATGGTTCATTGCAAATAGGGGCCAGAGCAGCATGGGCATGCACACCTTGAGTCCAAAACCCTTGCTCTTCTATCCTGCATCACTCTCTAGCGACCAGAAGATCTAAGTTCCTGATCCTGTTTGACTTCTAGGTCACTGTGATTTTGGGCAGGTGACTCTATGTCTCTGAACTTCCATTTCTTCATCTAAGAATGTCATCCCAGACTACTTTACAGGTTGTTACGATAAAAATAACAACAAAAATACTCAAAACATTAGGTAAGGCACTTTGAAAGGTGATCAGTGATATACAAATATGAGGCATTGCCAACTGATCCCAGCACAGGTGAGCCCCAGCAGGTCAGAGTAGTGGAGCCCGCTGACCTGCTGGCTGCCAAACAAGTCTTTACATTTGTAGGCTCGAGTGCCCTCCAAACAGCCCAATCAAAGTGGAGGAAGGAAACCCACAGGGTTATTTCCCATTGTACTTCTTTATATCCAATGATGACCCAGAGGCATCCCAAGTAGTTCTAGGAAATCAAAGAGATTTGGAAATGCATTGAAAGAGATGGTGGAGTCATGCCATTCAATTCATTTTCTCTGTTTTCTAAGTTTTTGGTGTTTTGGATATGACTTATAATGAAAGGAATCAATCTGTTATTTATTTATTTTTGAGACAGAGTCTCACACTGTCACCCAGGTTGTAGTGCAGTGGCGCCATCTTGGCTCATGGCAACCTCTGCCTCCTGGGTTCAAGCAATTCTCCTGCCTCAGCCTCCTGAGTAGCTGGGATTACAGGTGTGTGCCACCACACCTGGCTAATTTTTGTATTTTTTAAATTATACTTTAAGTTCTCGGGTACACGTGCAGAACGTGCAGGTTTGTTACATAGGTATGCAAGTGCCATGGTGGTTTGCTGCACCCACCAACCCATCATCTACATTAGGTATTTCTCCTAATGTATCCCTCTCCTAGCCCCACACTCCCCAACAGGCCCCGGTGTGTGATGTTCCCCTTCCTGTGTCCATGTGTTCTCATTGTTCAGCTCCCACTTATGAGTGAGAACATGTGGTGTTTGGTTCTCTGTTCTTGTGTTAGTTTGCTGAGAATGATGGTTTCCAGCTTCATCCATGTCCCTGCAAAGGACATGAACTCATCCTTTTTTATGGCTGCATAGTATTCTATGGTGTATATGTGCCACATTTTCTTTATCCAGTCTATCATTGATGGGCATTTTGGTTGATTCCAAGTCTTAGCTATTGTGAACAGTGCTGCAATAAACATATGTGTGCATGTGTCTTTATAGTAGAATGATTTATAATCCTTTGGGTATAATTTTTGTATTTTTAGTAGAGACAGGGTTTCACCATGTTGGCCAGGCTGGTCTTGAACTCCTGACTTCAGGTGATCTACCTGACTTGGACTCCCAAAGTGCTGGGATTATAGGCGTGAGCCACTGTTCTTGGCCTATTTTTTCAAAAGTGCAGTTCTTTCTGGTTACACATTGGTCAAATGTTAGGTTTCTAGCTGCCTCTCTGCTGCAGCCAGGGCGTTTCAGTGGAATTCAAAATTCTCCCTATTTTTCTTTTCAAATTCCCACCATCGAAGGGCAGACACTGGTTTTGTCCTCTCAGACCGTTGTGATGTTGGAGGTGGGCTGTGGCTGGTGAGGCAGGAGGCCAGTTGGAGGTCTCACTCTGGATGTTTGGCCTGGAGCTGTAGTTCTCAACTGGGGGTAGTTGTAGCTTGCAGGGGGACATTTCACAGTGCCATTTGTGTCTAGAGATATTTTTGGTTGTGTGACTGGGAAAATGTTCCTGGGATCTAGTGGGTAGAGGCTGTGGATGCTGCTCCACAACCTGTAATACACAGGACAACCCCTCCCCTTCTCCCCTGCCTGCCCTCCCCCACCAAAAAAAAACGTGTATGGCCTCAAATGTCAGTAGTGCAGGGCTGAGCGTTAAGAAGCCCTGGTATAGAGGAAATCTCTTGGCCTCTCTGGGCCTCAGTTTCCTCCTCTGAAAAACGCAGGTGAGGAGGTCATGCACTAGATGATGCCTAAGGTCCCTTAAAGCTTCAGCCATCTAATTTTATCTCTGGTTCCAGAGTGACTCAGAGGTTCTGCATCACTGGCTTCCTCTCCCTGTGACACCAAGACCCCATTATAGCATCTCCAATGCCAGGGCACCGCGTGACATGGCACTCAGCTGGGAGACACCAGCGGGGGGCCCTTTGCAGAGACAGTTGCTAGAAAATGCCAGCCTGGAAGGCAGACACTCTCAGCCCCCAAATCCTTTCTTTATTTGCTTGTTTTCCTGTCTCCTCCTTCAGTAAGGCACTGTGGGTTCTGCGTTGGCAGAGCTTTGGCTAATTGGACCTTCTCATCATCCTATCACATGAACACAGAGCCCAGCAACTGGCCCAGCCTTTCCAGCATGTTCTAGCTTTGGCTGATTTTTTTTGAGATGGGTCCCAGCAGCTGATATTTGATATCAGAGCCTCTCTCTCTCTTTGGCTTTTCATTCTACCCACTCAAGAACTTCCTCAGGCTCCACTTGGGCTGTGCCCCCTCCCATCCCTCATGCTCCAAGGTCCCTTTGTTCTTCTTCATCTGCATTTGAGTTGGCTGTCTAGTGGGCCTTGAGTCCTGACTCCACTGCATCCTATTTGTGTGATGTGATAGCTATGGAGCGGCGGCCCAGGTCTCCCTCCAGAGACCCTGCTGAAAGAGAGTCATAGGTAGAGAGCCTTCAGCTGCTACGTCTTCCAGTCCTAGGTAGCACTTACCTGAGATCATGGCCTTCCATGGTCATGGTGGGGTGATTGAACTGGACCATTTCTGCCTGACCAGGACTCCTCTTACAGGCAGTTTTTGCTCTGGGGTTACCCATCAGAGTGACCAATGCTTGCTCAGAGCTCCCTGTGGTTGGAGTCTCTTCCTACCCAATCCCCCTTCCTTCCCTCTGTCCTTTCCCAGGTATCGGACCTGGTGGAGTCATGCTGTTCAATACATTTTCTCTGTTTTCTAAGTTTTTGGCGCCCTGGATATGATTTATAATGAAAGGAATCAATCTATTATTTGTTTATTTATTCATTTTTTATTTTTAGACAAAGTCTCACTCTGTTGCCCAGGCTGGAGTGCAGTGCACCACTGTCTAAAGGCTCTCCCCTCCCACTCCTCCTTTGTCTCCCCTTCATCCCTCTTGCCATCTGCTTCTTGAAGGATCTGAACAGATGCATCTGAGCATGTCAGTGAACATCCCTGAGTCTCAGTTTCCTTGTCTGTGTAACAGAGAATCAGATTTGCTGCATTTCACAAGGTGATTTTGAGGATTAAATGACAAAAAAGATGTATAACTTTGTAAACAACGCAGTCAGGCAAATGTGATGCATTATTTTCTCCTCAAAGATTGCAGGTCTTAGGTCCCATTCCTTGGAGACCCCTGTAAACCAACAGCAGAAAAATGAGATTGCTTTTGATGTTTTAGTTGCAACTATTCTGTGTCAGGTGGGACTGCATCATGTTAAGTATCCCAAACTCCCACCTGCTAAATGCCAATAGCTTTTGCCATCCCCATTATTGCAACCATGAAAAATGACCTCCTACCATTTCTAAATGCCAGCTATTGGGGCTGCCTGGTTCCTGGTTGAGAACCACTGTGCTGAACTCTGTCCAGCTGATATGTTAGTAGGTTAGTAGATCCTCATCCTCCCTAAGTATACACTTCAACTTGGGCCTTGGGGGCCTCAAGTCAGAGGAATTAGTGCTGTGGACCTTCTAAACACTGGGCCAAGGCAAGGATGAGTGGTTTCTGGGGAGGAATTAATCACACCCCAATCGGGTGTTGGCACAATGACTACCAAGGGCAACACCTGGTATGGCACTGAACACTCTATTGACAAAATGTAACAGAAAGCCCAATCACTAGAAGTTCAAATATCCTGGAATGGGCAGCCAGAGGCTGGGTTTGGAAAGTTCCATTATGCAGAGATAGGATTTTTAGGGGACATCAACCACAGCCAAGAGGAATGGCTGGCAGCCAGTCATTATCAGGCAAGAGATCAGAGGTGTATCAGATCTATTAGAGCCCAGTTGGATTGTCCCAGTTCATCTACAGAGAGAATCTGATTCTTGAGGGGCTGACCTTGGATCCCCCTGGTGAGCAGCTACCCATGGGTTACAAGGTTCTCCTCTGAGGGTCTCACCCACCAAAGGGCCAGCAGAGAGCTCAGAAGGGAGGCTAGGAGGCTAGGAAGGGAGGCTCCAGGTGTCTTTTTACAGCCTTTGATAATGTAAGATTTGCTTTGTGGCTGCTTCTTCTATTTTCACTGACATCCTCTCTTATTTATTTTTTGAATGTAGTTAACATTTGAATATAGTTTTGTTACATGCCTTATTCCTTTATGGAATAAGAAGGTGGGAGAAACAAATTTGTGAAATAATAAATACACCTTTTGATGCACTCAAATCACTCTCATATCAGGCTGACTACTGTATCAGCCAGAAAGTCTGCCCTGACCATGGTCAGCAGCTACAGCTGGTGGGAAACTCCATCTTCCAGAATCTTCTTCACTGCCCACTTGGAAATGTTTCCTGCTGTTTATCTTCTCCAGGCATCTTGTTGCCTTTGCTTTTGATTCATGGCATCTGGGGAAATTCTTGCTCTCCAAGAGGCCATGCAACTCTAGATGAATCACTTAGCCTCCTACAGTTCCTTAGCTTTAAAGTTGTGATAACAACAATACCTTCTCTGCCTGACTCAGAGGGTCATTGGAGAATGGTTGAGAAACTGTAACAGAGGTGAGATCTTGTTTGCAAAAATGGCCACAATTGTTCTTCAGCCTGTATCCTTGCAATCCAATTTTGTAGCTCCTCTCAGTGGGTGACATTTGTTTCTTGACCCCATGAATCTGGTTTTGTGACTTGCTTTCATCAGTAGAGTGAAGCAGAAGTGATAGCATGCCAGTTCTGAACCTCCACCCAAAAGACCCTGCATGCTACTGCTTGCTCTCTTGGACTCCTGCCTGCATTGTGTGAATGTGCTCAGCCTGGCCTGCTGGAGGATGAGAGCATATAAAGCAGAGATGAACTAGAGGCTGCTTAGACCAACACAGACCACCCAAACCTGAGCCAATCTGGAAGCTGACTACAATAGAATGAATGAACCCAGTCAAGACCAGAAGACCCAACAAGCAAAGCCCAGTCCAAATAGCCCACACCTGGAGTCATAAGCAAAATATATGGTCACTTTTTGAAGCCATGCAATTTTGGGATAGTTTGTTATGCAGCAAAAGCTGACTGATGCACTTGGTGTACAGTAGAGGAAAGCTCAGTGGCATTAAGGCCAGGTATTGTGAAGCCAGGATGGGGAGATCTGGGCAGCTCTTGAGGAAGTGCAGGGCAGTGAGATTCCAGAGCAGCTGCCACCCCTCTGCACCCTCAGGTCAGGCAAGGAAGTGCTGAGCAGTTGGGTATCAGATGTCAGGGACCCAAATTGCATGCAAGCAGAAAAAAAATATCTAAGGTTGTTATTTATAGCAAAAATTTAAACAGGGAAGCTCTGTCAGTTTTCTGAATTACTGACAGTTGCAGAAATGTTAATACAAAGCTTTATAAGACTGGCCAGATGTTCGATATTAAACAAGCATCTGTTTTGTATAAGAGACTTTTTATGCCCCCAGCACACTGTCTCTTTCTCTCTCTCCCCTTCTCATCCCCCTTTATTTGTCCTGATCCCAGGCTGGATCAGGGCAATGGCTGAGGGTAATTGCCTCAGCTACAGTTTTATTTAGTTTCTGAATGCTGGTGTCCATGGTGTCAAAAATACACCCCAAAAAATAACCCTGGGAAAGGTTAATAATGGCCTTTCTGGTGTCATATTCTGCACTTTATATGTTGTGGTAATTATTATCATTAGGGCTGTAAGAATGTCTAGTTATCTTTCTTAATCACATACTCTAAAGAAGTACTTCTGAACACATATCTATTATTTAATCAAAATCTCACAGTTATTGGCATTTGTGCTCCACCAGGGCTGTGTTTATTTTCTGTTTGCGAGGGGGAGCTTTGCCTCCCAGAAAAGAGGGGGCCCCGAGTCCATACCCACTTTCATCGCTGTCATAGCATGTGACACTTGGTGCTATTAATATCGGAGACACCAAACACATGTTATTACTCCCCACTCCCCCTTTTGACTGCATTCTAGGAAAAGCACTTTTATTAACAAATAAAGGGTCAAACACATGGCACAGATGAATCTTGCTGCCTGGAAGAGGAGATTTAGTGGGGCTGAGACCTTTGGGGATATGCTGTTTCCAGGGAGGGAGAGCAAAGCAGGTCAGTGGGGGCATTATGGACTCCCTGTGGTGGCCACCTTGAGGCGTACTTACCCATTGCTCAGGAGGGAACTGCTCATCAGAGGAAGGAGACTAACCCCTAAAGGGGGACCACTATGCTCTGCTTGTTTTGAGGGTGCTTCAAACCTCTCTTCTTCTTCGTAATCCTCACAATGACCCTGATATGGTTTGAATTTGCACCCCTGCCCAAATCTTATGTCAAATTGTAATCCCCAGTGTTGGAGGAGGGACGTGGTGGGAGGGGATTGGATCATGGGGGCAGATTTCCTCCATGCTGTTCTCATGATAGTGAGTGAGTTCTCATGAGATCTGGTTGTTTTACAGTGTGTGGCACCTTCCCTCTCTCTTCTTTCTGCTCCAGGCATGTAAGACGTGCCTCCTTCCTCTTTGCCTTCCACCATGATTGTAAGTTTCCTGAGGCCTCCCCAGCCATGCTTCCTGTACAGCTTCCAGAACCATGAGCCAATTAAACTTGCTTTCTTTATAAATTACCCAGTCTCAGGTAGTTCTTTATAGCAATGTGAGAATGGACTTACATAGACCCTATGCAGAATGTATCACTGTCACATTTTACAGATAGAGAAGTCAAGGATCCGAGAGACTTACTTGCTCAGGGTCACATAGCTTGTGAGCTGGAACTTGAGGCTACCGCTTGCTTGATTCTAATGTGTATGGTTTTATCATAAAGCCATGCATGCTTCCCAGCCAGCACTGGCCAAGACAGTGGCCACTCACCTTGTGTAGCTACTGAGCACTTGAAACGTGGCTAGTCCAAACTAAGATGTGCTTTAGATAAAAAAACACTCACTGGAGTTCCAAGACAAAGTACCAGGAAAAAAAAGACTATTCATTAGTAACTTTTAATATTGATTACATGTTAAAGAACATTTTGTATAATACATATTGGGTTAAACAAACTATATGATTAGAACTAATTTCACCATTTTCAAAACTTTTAAAAATGTCACTACTAGAAAATTTAAAATTATATCTGTGGCTTGCATTTGTGGCTCACATTGTATTTGGACAGCACTGTCCCCAACTGTAAGTCTCTGCATGCTTCTTCAACAACAGTTTGTCCTATTGCTTAAGAGCAGTGCTTTTCAATTGGGGGTGATTTTGTCCCCCAGGAGACATTTGGCAATGTTTGGAGGTGTTTTTGACTGCTGCAGCTTGCAATGGGGAGGGTGCTACTGTCATCTAGTGGGTGGAGGCTGAAGATGCTGCCAAACATCCTACCGCACACAGGACAGTCTCACAACAAAGCCTTGTCCAGCCCCAAATGTCACTCGTGCTGAGGGTGAGACGCCCCAGCGTAGAGACGTACCTTGTATACTTTGTTCTCCTGCTGGGGTCCCCAGGGATGTCAGCAGTGATTTAAGAGAAAGAGGAACACTGCTGTGATGGTGTCTGTATTGGTAGTTTCTTCCTCCATTTCCCTCTAGAACACCCTCCTTCCTGATTTTTTCACAGAATTAAAAACCAACATCTGACCATAATTGTCACATATCCCTGCCAAGTGACCTATATTTTTTGGAAACATATGCAAGGGTGGCTGTATGTCTTCAATGGCATTTTTAAGTAGCAAACTTCTTCTTTCCAGAAGAACACACAGCTCAAGTGAGGGCAGGAAATGCTATTGGAGTTGGGAAGATCTGGCTGGAGGAGGGGAAAGGGGGCTTCCTAGAGAAGAATGAAGGAGGGCTGACCCTGTGTTGGAAGCAGGCCCTCAGACAGACTTGGGGTGGAGGTCTTTGGGGCTGACATGAGCTCCAGCTGGGAGAAAAGGCCCAGGGAGAAGGAGCTGAGCCCTGGCTTGGGACACCTACAGCAGTGAAAATGATCCAGGCATGTAGCAGGTAAGGAAGGTCATTTTGCATTAGGGGTTGACTCTCCCTGGACCCTGGCAAAAGCGGTGGATTCTCTGGGCAACTGAGGTGGTACAGTGCTCCTGGAGGAGTTAGATATGGCTGAGGCAAACCCACAGGGGCCTGACAAGTGGAGGCCTGGGGGGGAAGTATGGAGAGCTGAGGTGCACCCTTCCCACTTTGAGCAGAGGGGAAGTACTCAGAGGGAAATGCAGTGCTGCCAGAAACTGGAGCCTTCAGGAGCAAGCAAAATAACTAATTGGCTCCAGTTTAGGGTCTGCTATGGTCTGATGTTTGTCCTGTGTTGAAACTCAACACCCAAGGAGATAGTATTAGGAGGTGGGGCCTTTGGGAGGTGATTAGGTCATGAGGGTGGAGCCCTCATGAATGGGATCAGTGCCCTTATAAAAGAGTCCCCAGAGTGCTACCTCACCCTTTCCACCAGTGCTTGCTTTCTTTTTTTTTAAATTTTTTTTTATTTTTGAGATGGAGTCTTGCTCTGTTGCCCAAGCTGGAGTGCAGTGGTGCAATCTCAGCTGACTACAACCTCTGTTTCCTGAGTTCAAGCAATTCTCCTGCCTCAGCCTCCCACGTAGCTGGGACTACAGGTGCATGCCACCATGCCCAGCTAATTTTTTTGTATTTTTCATAGAGATGGGGTTTCACCATGTTGGCAAGGCTGGTCTTGAACTCCTGGCCTCAAATGATTGGCCCACCTCAGCCTCCCCAAATGCTGGAATTACAGGTGTGAGCCACTGTGGCTGGCCTTCCACCGGTGCTTTCTGTGAACCAGAAAGTAGGCCCTCACCAGACGCTGAGTCTGCTAGCACCTTGATTTTGGACTTCCCTGCTTCCAGAACTGAGTGCAATAAATTGTGAAAAATAATAAGCTGTTGTTTAAAAGTGACTCAGTTTATCGTGTGTTATAGCAGCCCAAACAGAATAAAACAGGACCTAAATGTGTCCCCAGAGGGTGTGGCCTGGAAAATACATTTGTTACAGTTGTGTAATGGGCACAAAACTCAGACCATTAGCTTATGTGTGTAAGAAATTTTACTCATTTTCTCATTGCTAGCTGTGGCATAAATGGCCAGCTATTCACCAGGGATTCATGAATCCCTTCAGGAATGTCTGGGAATGGCTGTCCAGCCAGGCGAGCCCCTGGCCCCCAGCATCTAGGTGGGGTCACCGACTACTTCTCAGCAATGTCATTGCTAGGTTGTGGGTAAGAAACAGATGTGTCTTCTCTACCCAATCTTTTCTCCCTCATTCTTCTCCCTGTCTCTTGAACAACTTCCAGGTGGCTATCAAGGCCTAAGATGATCTTGGAAGCTGCAGGCTGAAGATGGCAGGGCCTGAGTCCCTGAGCTACTGTGTGGAGTAGAGCCCCACCTCCTGCTGACCAGGAATATAGGCACTGGTGGTTACATAAGTAAGGAATCAACTTCTGATACGTACAGTCGCTGAGATTTGGGGGTTTATGTGTTACGGCTGCTGATGTTACCTTAATTTCTATTTTGAACCCTGTAGTGGGCTGAATTATGTTCCTGCCAAGAACTATGTCTAAGTCCTCATCCCCAGTACGCGAGAATGTGACTTTATTTTAAAATAGCATTATTGCAGATGTATTGAAATTATGGATCTAGACTTGAAATCATCTTGGATTTAGGGTGGGCCTTGAATCCAATGATGAGTGTTCTTAGACAGAAAAGGAGGAGATGCGGAGAGAAACAGAGAAGAGATGATGTGAAGCCTGAGGCAGAGATTGGGGCGATGCATCTGCAAGTCAAGGTTAGCCCCCAGCAGGCAGGAGTGAGGCATGGAGCATATTTACCCTCAGAACCTCCAAGAGGAACCAATTTTTCCAACACCTTGATTTTAGTCTCCTGGTCTCTGGAGCTCTAAGAAAATAAACTTCCGTTGTTTTAAGCCACCCAGTTTGTGGTCATTGGTTAGGGCAGTCTTTGGAAACTAATCCAAATCCCATTCCACTGACTGATGTTCACCCAGTTGTGATTCTATGCGACCTCACTGCAGCTCTTTCCCGCCTCTCTCCAGGGTTCTAACTATGTCCCAGAGCCTTGCATAATGCGTGGAATGAGGCCAGGAAGCACAGCGTCTATTGCTCAGTCATTAGCCATCCATTATGCCACTGGCTGAGATGTGCATCATCTTCTCTGGTCTCCAAGCTTTGACCTGCTGATGTGCAGCTGAGCCATCGCTCATCCTGACCTTAACGCCTTTCCACATCAGACTGTATGGAAGTCACTTCCGCAGGCCCTCTCAGGGGGAGGGGCAGAGGCCAACTCTTGTCCTGGCCACTCTGAGGCTTCTAGAACATAGAAGAGACTGTCTCAGGTCCTCTCTGCCTAATACCCTGTGTAGCCATTTATACCTTAATGTTCTTTCTCCAGACTTAGTGCACCTTGCCTCTCCCCCATCATCATCCAGAAAAAGAGGGACAGACCCTATTGCTCCCAAGTCCTGCCCCATTACTTCTGAGTTTCTTCTCAATCTCCACTGTGCCTCCTGTGAGCCTCAGCCAGGTTTTAGAGGCAGGGCTGCTAGGGTTCGTGTTCCCTTCTTGGGCACCTACCACCATCAACCCTCTTAATTCCCTCCTGCCCTACTCTCTCCCCAGCAAAGGAAGTTTTAATCTCTAGTGTGGTGTGGTAGGTGGAATTCTAAGATGGTACACACACCCTGCATCTCGTTTCCTTGAGTGTGGGTGGGACCTGTGAATAAGCCATTTACATACCTTTTATAGATGTCACTGCCATGATTAAGTTACTCATAGGTTAGTTAGTTGGTTAGGCTAGTAACCTGCCATGATTAGGTTACTTATATGTAAAGATGAAGGGATGTTGCAGATGTAGTTAAGGTCTCTAATCCGCTGGCTGTAAATGGTTCAAAAGGAAGACTCTCCTGGTGGGCCTGACCTAATTAGGCAATCCCTTTAAAAGAGACACAGTGGGAGTTTGTGTACTGTGAGTCCCCGGAGGCCTCTCCAAGAAGCACAGGCTTTTGTTGCTTGAGTTAGGGACGTCTGAGAAATGGTAGGTGGGTTGCAGGTATTTTGAGAGGCATTCACGAAGCACCTATTATGTAACAGGCTGTGTGTTTAGACCACAGGGCTACAGAGATGGGTGTGAGTTCACAGCCAGCAGGAGAGGAGAGTCACATAATAATAATGATCACCTTGATTGAACACATCTTACTTTATGCCAGGCTCGACTGTAAGTGCCATATATTAGCTCACTTAATTCTTCCCATGACCTTGCTATGAAGGTGATATTATTATTGACATTTCATTTTCACAGATGCAAAAAACAGAAAGGTTGAGTAACTTGCCCAAAGTTATACAGTCAGATGGTAATAGATCCAGGATTGAGGCCAACCGGCTCCAAAATCCACACTCATTACTACCATGCAAGACTCCCTCTTGGGATAGAGAATAAAAAGCATACAAGTCTCCCTCCCCAAAAACAAAATAATCTGGATCCTCTTTCTTATTCTCTGGTAGGGTTGACTACACCCTTCACTTGTGTACCCATAGAATTTTGTTAAGATAAACTTAGAAATTTATATGTGTTCACAGTTTGTGGAGAAGAAGCGGGTGTATTGGTTTTGTAGCAATAATGATGTGCAGCAAATCCAAATCTCCAGGGTTTTCTAAATAAGCATTTCCTTCTCTCTGTGGGTCTTATGGCCTTCAGTTCAGATCCACTCTTGTCCCAGGATTGGGGCTGAGAATGCAATGACCACCTTGGACATGCCTTTTCCTTGCAAATGGCAGCAGCACAAGAGCACCAGGTCACGCTGTGCTCCTTAACGCCCCACCAAGAACTGTCATACCATCCTTCCACCCACGTTTCATTGGCTACAGCAAAGTCACCTGGTCAAGTCCACAGCCAATGGGGTGGGAAGTTGACTCCACTCCTAAGGAAGCCACAGTGAAGGCAGGGAAGGAAGGAAGACTGGTAAGAAAATGACAGGTGGCTTCCAGGCACTGATAGGAAGGGGTTTGAACCCAGAAGACAGGGAGAGATGAAGCTCATCCAGAAGGATGGGACCTCCCCCTGAGGGCTCGAGGAAAGTGGGCGAGGTCTGTGGCTGACACCCCTGAGCCTGTAGGTGTGGGGGCAAGAGGTGGCAGATGTTCAATCTCAGGCCTCTGTTTTCCCTGCAGAGTAGTGGGTGAGTCATTCCCAGAGGGTGAGCAGAGGAGGCCACGCCTCCAAAGAGTGTAGAGAGGGTTCCAAGTGCAGCTGACTCTGGGAATGTGTAAGGAGAGGAGCAGGGCCACGGCAGAGATGGCTGGGCAGTTTCAGGGCCCTACTGAAGCTGTAGAAGCTCCTGGCCTCAGGATGGAGGTTTTCTGGCCCCCACCTCCCGGAGGCTCCTTCCTTTTGCAAAACTATGACCTCTCTTCTGCCCACCACATTGACGCTGTCTCTCAGTCTGGGAATGAATAGGATGAGAGCGGTGGCAAACCATTTACAAAGGGAAGTTATGCATCTGGCCAATGGTGAAGGATTTCTTGAAGTCATTGCAAGTGATATTAGAGAACTGGTTGAACTACTGCAAAAGCCATTGGCAAAAGGAAGACCCACCTTAGAAGAGTTAGTGCTTAAAGTATAATAAAAATTAAAAAAAAAAAGAAAAACAGAAATGTAAAAAAAAAGAAGAGTTAGTGCTTAATTACCATCATGAGTGATGATCTGATTGATGTTTTGAATGATTTCATATCAACGGATAGAGAAAAGCCTTTGAGACAATGGATTAAATCCTTGATTTTTTAAAAAATAGATTTTATTACTATACTGGGAGGCCAAACATGGAATGAAGGATGTTATAACCTGTTGTCTTGCAATTTTGTTGGAAAAATCATGCCCCCTCACCAATTTACCACTTATTCATTCTAAGAATTAATGCACAGCTGCTGTTATAATTTAAATTTTATTAACTTTATTAAAAACAAGCTTGATTTTAAGATTTTTAGCTTAACTTTTTAAAACAAAGTGCATCTGTCACATTTTTAACCAATCGCATGTGGATTTATTCTTAGTAGAGATCTCCCATGCCCAGCCTTGAAGGATTCATTTCTTCCTCATGCTGCCTGGGAACTGCATGGCCCTGTGGCTCTTTATCCTTTTTGAAAACTTGGCCCTTTGGTGATGGTCCTATTACAACAGAGTCAGCCCTCCTCTGGGCCAAGGCCATGGGAAGGGTATGTCCGGGGCCCATTGGTGGGAAGTGTTCTGTCCTGGATGGAGTTCAACCCTTTGTTGTGTGATATTACGATGACATGACATGTTCTGTGTCGTACCAAAAATAACTGCCTTGGAAATGAAGGCTTAGGACGTTACTGTTGAATTGCGTCACGCCCAATATGAAATGGGCTATAATTACAGTCTGGGGAAGTCAAAATACAACCCAGCATGGGGGAATTGTTAAAGTGATTGAAACATGGAAATGAATCTGAACAGAAAGGTCTAAATCTTACCTGGGTTAGCATTATTCTTATAATAAATAATCACAATAATCCCATACATTTTATAGCTTACAAAATTCTTCTTATAGATTAATTCATTTGACTAGGTTAGGGAGAATAAATCTTAAGGTGTAATTTCTCTTGGAAATATCAATCTCTAGTCTATACTACACCTGGCTGCCTTTTTAATGGTCCCAAAGCACAGCTTCCCCATTCATTCTCCAGCTCAAAAACTTTTAAAAACTTTCTGCATCTAGAGAATAAGCTCCAAATTCCTTATCCTGGCATTCAAGACCCTCCAGTACCCTGACCCAACCTCTCCTTGCACTGTTTCTCTCGATCCTCCTTGTCAGGCATCTCACCTTCACAACTAACTGAAGCACCTGCTTCCTAGGTGCACAACCCGGTTCCTGCACTGGCACCCTTGTCCACAGAGCCACTTCCTTGTGAATGCTCTTCCCTCACCTCTTCATAGGCATGTGGCTGAGCCAACCCATCTTGCAAGACCCAGCCTCCAGACACTTCCTGAGTTCCCCTGTGGACCTGGACTTTCTGCCTTTGTGCTCTCTTAGCACTTTCTCTGATTGTCCCTGAAGACAGCCTGACCTGTAAAAGTCTAATAGCACCCCCAACTTATTTCTTGCAACTGTAAGCTCCTTGTGGGCAGGACCCAAATTTGATCCTGCTTTGTATCTCCTTCCTCTGCTATTGGGGCCCTCCCCACCCTGCCAAGTGACCAGCCCAAGAATCCACAAAACCTTTTCTGTAAATGTTTCTGATAGTAAATATTTTCAGCTTTGTAGGCTATAAGGACTCTTGCAACTACTCAGTTCTGCCATTTTAGAGTAAAAGCGGCCATAGCCAAAATGTAAACAATGGGCACAGCTATGTTCCAATAAAACTTTATCTACAAAAACATCAAGCTATCAAGCTGGATTTGGCCATGGGCTGTCGTTTGCTGACCTCTGGTTCAGCCAGTGTTTAGCAAAGGTGTTATGTAAATGTTTGTTGATTGTTGGGATGGATGGGTGGGGGTATGGATGAATGGATGACAGAAAGAACAGCTTGTGAGTATTTGGAAACTGGGTTAACCCAAGTACATAAAGTCGGAGCCCTGCTACTAACCACATGGCCACTTGCAGAAGAGGGAAAAAAGAGTTGCCTGTGTTCAGGGAGCATTGCCTCGCTAAGAGGAGGATGGTCTCTGAGAAAAGCTGGAGGGGCCCCTAGGTGTGGTGGCATGGGAGAAGGGTTGGAGGGTGCAGTGAGGCCAGCCTTGTGGATCAGTGATGTGAGCAGTAGCTAGCAGAGAGCAGAAGCTTGCCATAGTCCTGCCCAGGATGCTGCGCCACTTAGCTCACTCTTCTGTCACCCCATTGAGTAAGGAGGCTGGCGTCCTGGGGTTGACGCCTCCATGGAGTTGATATGGTTTGGGCAGTGTGGACCTTCTCAACTAGTATTGTTTCTTGTCTACCTTTAGTTGGCCCAAAGCCAAGACAGTGGCCTCCATCATCCAGAGAACCAGGCAGGTAGGTCCTGAGTAGCCTCTCCAGTGTGGCCAACATCGTCCTGTGCCATAAAACCTGGAGCCTGGCACCTGTACCCCTGAGGAGGACAGCTGACATCCATGTAACCCTTTATTGTCCACACAGGGCTCTCTGTGTCTCACCCCACTTGATCCCTCCTCCAACTTTTCAAGGTAAGCAGCAGTTATTATTACTGTTCCCATTTGCCCTGGAAAGAAACAGGCTTGGAGAGTGTATGCAGATTTTGCTCAGGACCACAAAAGGTGGCTCTGTCTTCTCTCCAAGCAGAGAAGAAGGTGGCTCTCAGGAAGCCCATCTCCAGCCTGGGGCTCCCTGACACCAGCTTTGCTACCCCGAGGTGGGGCCCATCCCTTGCAGACACTGCCGTGTTGTATTTGGTTTGAGTCCCTCTGTCACCACGGCACACAGGTATGTTCACCAGCTTTCCACAGGATTTGCAGAAACCCTCACCTTTAGGAAAACTGTTTGCCAAGGGAGCCCCTTTCAAAGGGCCGTGACAGGCACAGTTGAGGATTTAAACTGGGACCCACATCGGAAGGAAGGGCTATGAACTGCTGGGGCTGATACAAGGACAGGTGCAACATGGAACTGATGACCCACCAGACATTTAACCATCCACATATTTCCAAGCTGAAAGTGGAGAATTTTTCCGGCTTTCCCAGGTAATTAATGATCTGCTGATCATCTGAATTTCCCTCTCCTCCTTCTGTATAACGATGCAGGCAAAAGGAAAACAATAACCACATTTCTTAAAAAGAATAATATTATAGTGATAGAGTGGTGGTATAATCTCTCATCCATGGTTCTTTGGATAAAAATGCTTCCTTGGACAGAAATATAATTCTCTGTAATAACACCCATGATTTTTTTCCATACACCTGGAGAGCTAGGGGAGAACTTTAAGAAGTTGACGTGGAACACAAAGTTTGCTTTTTGTATTCTGTCAGATGGGCAAGTTCAGGACCAAACCATTTAAGAACATTGGGGAAATAACTTGAAATATAATGATCCATTCAATACTTTTATCTTTCTTTTTTAAGAGGTGAGATCTTGCTATGTTGCCCAGTTTGGAGTGCAGTGATTATTCACAGGCGAGATCATAGCTCACTGAGGCCTCGAACTCCTAGGCTCAAGCGATCCTCCTGCCTCAGCCTCCTGAGTAGCTGGGACTAGAGGTGCATGCCACCACACCCGGCTCTATACTTTTACAAATAAAACAGGCCAGGAGTGGTGGCTCACGCCTGTAATCCAAACACTTTGGGAAGCCAAGGTGGGAGGATTGTTTGAGCCCTGGAGTTTGAAACCAGCCTCGGCAACACACTGAGACTCCATCTCTATAAAAAATACAAAAATTAACCAGGCATGGTGGCACACACTTATAGTTCCAGCTACTCGGGAGGCTGAGGCAGGAGGATCATCAGAGCCTGGGGAAGTTGAAGCTGCAGTGAGCCGTGATTGCACCACTGCACTCTAGCCTGGGTGACAGAGTGAGACCCTGTCTCAAAAAACAAAAAATAAATAAAATAAAGGATCTTGAGATCCTCTTCATCTTTCTAATTTTTTCCTTTTAATGGACAAGAGAAAAAAAAATGATCAAATTATGACATGAAACAAAAAGGAACCCAAATGTGGGGTAATACGCCATTTCCTTCCATGATTCTAAGAGGGACAATAAAAACATCCACTTGGGAAGGGAGGCCCCACTCCTTTCCTCTCTTTGCCAAGGTTTCCGCTTGTCCCTGGATCACTTCTTTTACTTCTTAAGCCTCACTTCTCTTTCCTGTCTCTACCTCCTCCTTCAGTGTTTAAAGCTGTGCCTCCCCACTCTCTCAACATTTTAAATATTCTTAATGATGCAACCTGAAGTTGCCATGGCAACTAATTTCCTTGCTGAGGCAGAGGTAGAGGCCTGTGATCAGCCTGCCATTGAAATCTCCAATAATTTTCCTTTTCTTTCAAAATTAAGTAGGGCATCTCAAGTGTTCCACTGTGGTTTTCCCTGCCCCCAAAGAATCAGACTCCCATGCACTGAAATATCCAGTTATTGCATTTCCCTGGTATCTTTTATGACTTCCTTCTTCACTGGCATACACACTATCCCTCTGGAAAAATAACAACAACACAATCTTTGTTATTTCTCTTTTGTCAGTATGAGAAATGGTTCTGATGAAGTCTAATGACATTTGATGGGTTTTCCCTCCTCTCTCTCTCTGTCTTCTTAAAAATTGCCTTTAGTTTCCCATTCTTAAAAACAAGTTTCTTTCTCCTTGAATCTTGAGGACAGCTTTGTAAATAGCACTTCCATGCACAAAACTATTTGAGCCCAAGATGCTGCACTGGTGTCACCATGTGGACTTGCCCGGGAGCTGTGCCTGCCTCCTCTGTGTGCCTGAGTGGTTCTCAGTACAGGTGGGGCTGGGTGCCTTCTCTCAGGATGCCACTATTCCTGTAGCACCTTGAACTAGCCCCATCTTTCTGCCCTTCCTGCTCCCCATCAGTTCCTCCAGCCAGGGACATCCAGCTCCTTCCTGTAGCAGGCCACTGAGTCTGCTCTCCCCAAAGTCCAGTAACTCTGTAACACAATGTCAGTGTGGCATGCTTCCTGCCTCAGTTTCCATGGAGAGACCTGTCATTAAAGTGAGCAGGAGAATCTACAAAGGAAACAAGGAAAAATCAGTTCTGTGGTTCTGGGGCCCTCAACCAGGTCCAGAATATTTAAAAAGGAGTCAGAGTGTGGAGCAGGGAAGGGTTTTGCACAGAGGCCATCTCTGGGCAAGTTGGGCTGTGCTGAGGAGGGGGAAGGTGGAGAAGCAGGGGGCGTTTACCGTGGCTCTTCCCACTGCTAGCTGATGAGTCCAGTGAATACTTTTCAGTTCTTCTCGTAACCTCCCTAGGCCCAGGACACTGTTATTACTTCCTTCTTTTTGAATTCTTTCCTTCTTTGGCTTTTACAATAGCAGTCTCTCTGGGATTCCCTGCTACCCCTCCAACTATTCGTTCTCAGGACCTTCCCAGTCATCCTCTGACACTGACATTTGCCAGGGTTACAGACTCAGTTGCTGCTTCTTTCCTGCCCCCCTCCCCCACTCTCTGCGCCATCTCATTGTACCATCTGTACAACTATCCCAAATGTGCATTCCAATCCAAAGCTCCCTTCTAAACAAACTCTACACCCATGCAACTGGCTCCTGAAAGTCACATTGGGCTGTCCCACAGACCTCCAACTAAATAGGTCCCAAACATAACTCAACATTTTGCCCTCACACTCTTCCTTTGGTCTTATAAACATGGTAAGTTGTATCATCATCCACACAGGCCAGAAACCTGGGAGGCAGCTTTAAATCTTCTCTCCCACAAGCTCTGTGGTCGACCAGTTACCAGGGCTGTCAAGGTTCCATGTGAAGAGCCCCCTGGGCTATGCCCAGCAGGGCTCACCACCCCTTGGATGGCCCCCTATAGCAGCCTCCCCTTCATGGCACCACCTGCCACCCGTCCTGCCCTCTCTGCCCCAGAGGAGCTGTTTCTCCAATGCAAACATATCTGGGACAGGACCCTGCTCAGAGCAAACCATCCTTGCCTTGAGAATGCAAGTCCAAGTCCCTATTATGTCCTTCAGGTCTTGCAGAGATTTCAAGGGTCAGCGCAGGGCAGGGAATGCCTCCAGGCTGAAAGGAAATAGGAACAAAGACCAGAGTTATTGTGAAGGTCATGTTATTGTCCCTTCCTCACACACGATGAAGCAAAGAGGGGGTCTCTGCAGTATACTCGCAGTGCACTGGGACAGAGCCAGGACATGAACTTGAGCCTTCTAAGTCCTCTGCTTTTCCTAGAGGACTAGGACTCGTTGCTGCAGGCAGGGGCCTTGGAGTCTTTTTTCCTCTGTCCCTCAGACCCATGGATACAGCCCACAAACCATGACAGTGTGACTGTCTCTTGCCACTTGGCTGGCTCGGTTATTCATTCAGTTCCCATTTGTTGGTACACCTGCTCGGGGCCAGATCCTATGCCAAGTGCTGGGACGTGGAAACAAGTAAGAAACTCTCTCTGTCCTCCAATACCTCCCAGTCCTAGGGAGTGTTTGGGAGCTGGATGCTGGATCAGACCCCTATGAAACAATGGTGGAATCAGGGGAACCTCTTAACTTTTCTAGCTACCAGTTCAGCCTCTGTGAGATGAAGGAAATTATATTTTCCTATGGCTGAGCTTGGGAGCTACACAGGCCTGGGTCAATTCCTGGCATCCCCACTTAGTAACTGTGACCCTGGTCACATTGCATAACTACACAATCTTTGTTTCCTTACTTGCAAAATGGAAACAGTCAGAATCTCCACCTTACAGGACTATGGCAGTAGTCAGATGAGCTGATGCATGAAAAATACTCACTGCAGCAACCTAACCTCCAGTGAGCACTTGGGATACCTGAAGGAGAGAACTTAGAAGGGGAGTTGGTCAGGAAAGGTGTGCTGGGGGAATGAATGGCTTAAGTTAACGTGTGGGGATAAGAAACAGCGAGGGAGTGTACACTGTTGCTGGGAATGTGAGTTAGGGTTGCCATGATAGACAACAGTGTAGCAGTTCTCACCAAATTACCATATGACCCAGCAATCCCTGTTGGTTAGATACAAAGGAACTGAAATCAGCACCATGTAGAGATATGTGCACTTCCATATTCAATGCAGCTTTATTTACAATAACTGGGATACAGAAACAAAATATCCATGTCTCAGACAAATGGATATACATAATGTGTCTTAGTCTGTTTTGTGCTGCTGTAACAGAATACCGGAGACTAGGTAACTTGTAAAGAAAAGCTTATTCTCTCACAGTTCTGGAGGCTGGGAAGTCCAAGATCAGGGCACCTACATCTGGGAGGGCCTTGCTGTGTCCTCACATGGTGGGAGGCCAAAGAGCAAGAGAGTACCCAGCTCTCTCTGTCAAGCCTCTTTATAAGGGCACCGATCCTATACATGAGAGAGGAGCCCTCATACCCTAATCACCTCTTAAACCCTTACCTCTTAATATTATGACATTGGCAACACCTGAATTTTGGAGGGGACATATTCAAACCATAGCACAATGGAATATTGTTTAGCCTTTAAAAAAGAGATCCTGCCATTTGTGACAATATGAATGAACCTGGAAGATATTATGCTAAGTAAAATAAGCCAGACACAGAAAGAAAAATACTGCATGATTTCACATGTATTTGGAATCTGAAAAAACAAACTCATGGTGGGTACTGGGGAGAGGAATGGGAAGATGTAGGTCAAAGGATACGAAGCTTCAGTCACGTAGGATGAGTAAGTGCAGAGATATAATGTATAACATGAGGACTGGAGTTTAATAATATTGTATTGTATACTGGACGTTTTTTAAGAGTAGATTTTAGGTACTCTTACCACACACACACACATATGAGGTGACTATGTGAGATGATGGACATGTTAATTTGCTTGAGTGTGGTAATCATTTCACTATGCATGTGTATATCCAAACATCATGTTGTACCCCTTAACTATATACAATAAAAAATAGCAAGAGGGAGTGTGTGTGTGTGTGTGTGTGTGTGTGTGGTGTATACTATGTGTGTATATGGAGTGTTTGTGGGTGTGTGTGTGTGATTTTGTCATATGTGCATAGTGGTGAGAGATGAGGCTGGAGAAGGAGGCTTAAGGGTGGACTTAGGTAACCAAAGATGACCTTGGGCCTCGTTAGGTGGTTTTGGCTGTAACCTGAGGGGCCCTGGGAGCCACTGGAAAGTTGGTTGCAGGTAAGGTGATGTGTGGCCTGGTCCCTCCAGCAGGCAGGACTGTGGGGGATAGCCTGCAGGGGTGAGCCAGGGAGAAGAAAGGATGGCCAGGAGCTGTCTGTGGAGCCCCAGGGATAGAGGCAGGCCACGGACCAACTGGCGTAGAAAGTGTCTGGATGACTCCCATGGAGCCACCAAGCGAATACCTCTGAGCCCCCGATGGGCAGGTGTGCGCTGGTTGCGGGCATCAGGACACAAATAAGCCCAGCCCCTGTCGCTGTCATGTCCCTGAGATCTGAGACGAGTACACAGCTCTCTCCACAGATTCTTGATTTCTGATTTTCAGGCCTGTGATTTGGCAGCTTGGAATCACTATTATTTAGCACCTAAAATAAGTAGTCCCTGACACATAGTAGACACTCAATAAATATTTGGGAAAAGAATGCATGATTTCTGGGTGCATTTCCCATCTTTGTTCAAATGGCAGAAGTATTCATGTCTTGATTTAAAGCAGAAAGTGTCCTGAATTAAGGCCTTGGCCTGGCCCTGCAGACAAGCTCTGAGTGTCTTCAGCTGACAAACCTTTCCAGCCTCAGTTTCCTTCTGGGTCCTGCTGCCCTCTTCCCCTTGCACCAAGGTTAAAGGAGAGAACAGATGTGGTGCTGTTTTTGCAAACGGCAGAGGCTAAGAGGTCTTTGCTACAGTTTGCTGCATGAGCGGCTGGAGCAGTGGAGGGGACGGGACAGAATCCATCCCCACTAGCCTCAGGGCTATGCCAAGGGAGACTGCATTCCAGGACAACAGCAGGGCTCTTCTGCACTTTCTATTTTGTCTGCACCCGGGAGGTATTAGGTAACTCTGTGAAACCTAAGTGCCTTAAGGGATTAGAGAAATTCAATTAAATTCAGATAACCTTCACACTCATCATCCAATTTGCACATACCAAACCAAACAGACCCCCAAATCATCTCAAGTTCACCCAGCACTATCTCTCTTCTCTTTGTATTCCTCCTACTATCTACTGAGATAAATGGAGGTCCATGAGGAAAATTCCTCCCTTTGAGCCTTTTCAGACCTCCTAAGCAAAAATGACTTATCCAGCATCATTGGAGGTTAAAGAATGGCTCAAAGCCTTGAATGGAAACAGAAAGTGTATCTATTTACTTGGAGAGTTTCCTCTCCAACTCCTTCACATTAGGCATCAATAGCGCTGGTGGAACAATGCCTGCAACCCATCTGGCGGAGGAGCCCCAAAGCAGAAGGCAATGTGATTGACTGCGAGTCAAGGTCTCCCTGTGATGGAAGGAGAACACTCGGTAGCGATGATAAAGCACTCGGAAAGTAATGATGTACTTAAATGTACATATGAAGCACTTTTAATGTTTCTTCTTTTGACAAAGAGAAAACTGAAGTGGGCAGCTTTGGTGAAACGAACACCTCTGTCCCTAACTTATGCTGAGTGGTTGATCTAGGAATGTGAGCACTGTCAACAAAGGCATTATCACCAACAAAGGATTCTTTTAGAGGCTGAGAAGCAGGCCTTTGACTCTGTTGCTTTATCTTTGCCTGTGAAAACATTTCTGTTAACATGCTGCTGGAAGAGAGAGGTACTCCACCAGTGTCTGCAGGAGACAGACATTTGGAGCAAAACTTGTACATCAAGGAGGTGAGACAGTATGGCAGTGAGGGAAAAACATGCTAGATTCCTTTCCAGGAGAGATGGGGTCTATTTCAGGCGTCTAAGTTAGCAGACGGCAACCTAAGGAGCGCCCCACGGAAAGAGATGTATTGGTTAGCTATTGCTACAAAATGATGCATAACAAACCACCCCAAAACTCAGTAGTCTCAAACATCACTTATTCTTACCAATCTGCAGGTTGTCTGGGCTCAGATAGCAGCTCTGCTTCACACTTGGATCTGGTGGTGCTTGGTGGGGCATCTCTGCTCTATGTGTATCTCCTTTCTGCGCTCAGGCTAAGAGACAGCAGCTACCCAGGTGAAAGGTTTCTTACAGGAATGGCAGAAGCTCAAGACAACAAGGTCTCCTAAGGTTTAGGTCTGGAAATGTCCAGCTTACTCCTGCCCATATGCCACTGCCAAGGAAGTCACACCACTAAGCCCAAAGTCAGGAGGTAGGGAAAAGCGCTTTGTCTACAACAAGGCCATCTCAAGCTTGTGAGTGCAGGGAAAGGTGAGGAATTGGGGCCGATCATTTAATCTGCCTCAGGAAATGGCATCTGCTGAGCATCCACCATGTCCCATTCACATATGCGGGTCTGTGATACATACTTTCTCATTTGTTTTTCTCAGCAGTTCTGGAAAATAGGCATTACTATTTCCACAGATGAGATTTGACAAAGGAAAGTAACTTGAAGAAGCTTACACAGCAGCGTTGGGATTAGTACTTAGGTCGGCCTGATTCCAAAACCTAGACTTTTCCTGGCCATGCCACTGACCCATGCTGGGATTTTTCCTTTGGCAAACAGGACTGAAATCCCATTTTTGCCTCCCTTCACAAGCTTGTATGAAGCTCAAACAAGATAATGTATAGAAAATTGCTTTTGAATCTCAAAGCACCATATAAATGTAAGGCTATGTTGTTTAATATTATCCAAACCTTCGCTGTGATTAGTATAGAATTTGAGTGAGGCTACCTCAGTCCCAGTTCCAATTAACTTCATGAGTAATCCTGGTCATGTCCTCTTTCCTTGGTCTACCCCACTCTTTTCATTTTGAAGAGGGGATATGAATTATAGTATTAAATAGTGATGTTTTGAATGGCCATGGGCAAAAGGGATGGGATGGTTGACTTTGGGCACCTCTTGCCTCAGGCCTGACCTCGCCATTGGCTATTCCATTGGCTGGTGGAGTTGCGATCCCCCGGCCTAGCCTCTGACTCTCTGTTCTGCCATTCTCCTTAGAGCCTGTGTCCTTTTGCCCATTGGCATCTTCCTGGCTTGTTCTGACCTCTAGGATCAGTAAACAGCCTCCATTGAACTGATTAACATAACTAGCCTTATTTTGCCTTGACCACATTGCTTCCTGGGCTCCACCCTTCCTCTGGCTTCTCCCAGGATGTTTCTTAAAGGTTCCCAGCTGGGAAGTAAACCAGTCTCAGAAAGTGGGCTGTCCAGGGACTACAGGTAAGTAGGAGTTCTGGCTGGAAGAAAGGGAAAGCGGGCAGAAAGAAGAGTAGAGACTGCCTAAGAAAGACGAGTAAATGAACCCTTTGTGAAAAGACTGAGTGTTAGAGAACCATGAATTGCATCAATATTTTTAGTGGGCATATCATCTCCAGAGAGTTGTCTAGACCATTTGTGAATCCACCTTTCCATCTATCCATCATGTAAACATCAAACATCCATCCATCCATCCATCCGTCCGTCCGTCCATCCATCCATCCATCCATCCATCCGTCCATCCACATATTCACCCTTGCAACCAACATTTCTTGAGCACTGATCATAAGGCATACAATGAGTAAATAAAGGCAGTAAAAGGGCGAAGTTTTCAGAATGCCTACTCGCTTTACATAAAATGTCCAGTTTAATTCTCACAACAACCCTAAGATTATGTGTGGTTTGACAACAGTGAAAATGAGATTCAGAGAAGTATGTCACTTGCCCAAGGTCACACAGTTGTCAGAGACAAAGCCATAATTCAAATCCAGTCCCTCTGACTCTCAAAGCCCTCTTCCTTCCAAGTATGGTCCATCTACCCTCCTTAAGTTTGTTTCACTAGATGGGCACATGCCGCTGTAAGTCCTAACCATTTCTTGGTATGAAAATCCCATCATGGCCCTTGGCCATGACACCCAAGGAAGCCTGTGCTGCAAATTACAAGCTGGAATTTGCCCCACAACACTGCATCTCTGATTGCTAGAGATAGCAGAAGAGTGACGAGAGCTGGGACAGATGAAGAAGTTTCTTGGTTGCTCATGGTGCCATGTTGACGAGCCTCTTGCTAGAGCATCACCCGCACTTTGTGCTCCTTACCAGGCTTCTGGCTGCTGCTGAGAGGACCATTGTTACTTCTGGATGGCTGCAGTGTCTTCCTGAGCCCCCAGGAACAGCCTGCTGGGGATGGGAGTATTATCTTGAGGTCACATAGCCAGAGAAAGTTTGAGTTAGAGGAGACCTGAGCTCTCACCTTGTCCAGATGGCAAAACTGAGCCTGGAAAGGGTAGCAGAAGCTTCACTTGTCCCCTCAAGTTCACTTCTCCACTTCATCCCCTGTGATCACTTGATCATTTTCTGGCCCACAGGCTGCTGATGTGTCTCCACTCCCAGCAGCCTGCCGTAGGTCTTTGTGCTAGAGGACTTCCTTCAGCACATGTTCATGAAGGCCTGGCCGTGCTTGGGAACTGGGTTGATGTTCTGCAGAGGCCATCCCTTCTCCAGTGATGGACTGGTACAGAGGTATGAATGCTGCAGCTCCCTCACCCTGACTGGGACAACTCTCAGGTTGGGGCACTGAGCCGCAGTTGACCTCCATGGAACTTTGTTCGATGCCAATTCCTTGTTGGCCTCCTTCCCTCCCCTGTTCCACCTCCTCGTCCCCCTACCTGATTTTCCTGGAACACTTCCTCATTGATTATTTCACAGGAATCCGCATTTCAGGAGCTGCTTCTGGGGAACTCATTTTAAGTCAGAGAGGCAGAGTGGTCTCAAGGAGAACCAACTGAGAATCTTGCACCAAGCAGAGCCAAGCTCCGGGTTTTCAACTCTCCGAGTTTTCTCTGGGTCATATAACAGTGAAATTGGTTGCTGCTTCTACTCCTACAGCCTTCCATGATAGCTGCACCCGGAGTTATCAGCGGTTCAAACCCAAAAAGCTGATTTATCACTCACACTACAATCTAATGCAGGTGTTCCTGGCCAGTCAGCCACCCTGTGTTCACTGCGCCCCTTCCATCTTGTGTTCCTGTGTCTTCGGGTGCTCTTCTGTTCAGCCAGTGGATGTGGAAAGAGCTTGCAGGAGCGCATGGAAGGGTGTTATGTGCTGGGCCTAGAGGTGGTGCCCATCCCTTCAGCCTGCATTTCCTCGGCCAGAACCCAGTCTTGTTGCCACACCTAACAAAGAGGCCTGAGCATCTCATTAGCTGTGTGTCCCTGTGGAAAAGGAGAGGAGTTTCAATGAACACACACTGTAATCTCTACCACAGGCAAGAGACTTAACCTCTCTGACCTGGTTCTGCTGTAAGTGGGGAGCCATAACACCCCCGCTTCCTCTGGTGGTGTGAGGTTGCCTGTGCCAAGACATAGCATGAGCTTCCAGAGGAACTGCATACAGTAAGCGCATGGGACACGTTGACTCTCATTTCCTTCTTAAATTGTTGTTTTCAAATCTGGGCTCAGCACCACTGCATGGGGACAAAAACTATTAGTGCCCTTGGCAGCATCTCATAAAAACCTCCACTCTCCAGCCCAAAAGGAAGCCCCACAGCCTCCTCTTCCAGATCCCACAAGTTGTCTGAGAGCTGAGGTCTTTCATCCTCCCCTGCCTAAAAGCATGAGATAGAAACACAACATACGAAAGGGCACCGTGAAGCGTACATTAACCTCCGACCTCGTTAGAAGCCGCGTGCTCAAGGCCTGTTGGTGTCTCCGCATCACAGCCGGTCCCCTGTGCCCCTCATAGGTGTTGTCATTGTCATTCAAAATACCTGGGAAAATGTACTTTATTGAATCTGTTTCCACATTGAATGCAAACATGCAAGTCTGCTTCTTTCAGCAGAAATGCTCTCAGAGTTCTTTTTTTCCCCCTCATCAAATTCCTCCTTCCTTAAATAAAAGACTCCTTTTTTCCGCCCTTGGCAGTGTTGTTCAGCAGGTGGTATTATATGGATGTTTTTCTACAGTGGAGGCCTTCAGTGACCCTCATCTTAAGGAACTGCTTAAGCATTCAATAATAGCCCATACAGTGGCTCTCTAAAAATAAACATCTGCTTAGAAAGAATTTAACCTGAGGACACACTTTAGAGGAGGGGGCATCCTTAATGGACTTTTAGTGCAGAGCCGAAAAGGAGTCCATTGCAGCTGAAAACTGCCGGCTTCTCGTCGTCATGATACCCGGGATGTTGTTAACTACTGGGCCAGGTGGGCTCAGGGAGTGGAGGTGACGGCGGCCTGCCGAGGGCTAGAGCCGGGGAGAGAAGGCGCTTCCTGCCTGGTTCCTTTGTTAGTCTGTGGACCAGCCTTTCTGCACACATGAAGAGGAACGAAGGGGAGAGGAAGCGCCCTGGGTGTGACATGAGGACAGTCATGGGCTGCAGCCGGGCCTGGCGTCCTGTTCTGGTTTTGCCATGTCCTGCTTGGGTGACCCGTGGCAAGCTCTCTACCTTCTGAGCTTCACGTCTGCATCAGAAAACTGGAGCTGGGAAACCTCTCTCAGAGTGGCTGTGAGGATTAGAGACTGCATCTGGGAAACTCCAGCGTGGGGCCTGGCAAATCACGAACATTCGATAATACAGTGGGTGTGGTCACCAGATCCCCGAGCTGCAGAGGAAAGGAAGCGGCATTGCTGGTGCAGCTCGAAAAAAGATGAAACTCATGTGTCAAATCCCAGCAAGCAGAATGGGGAAACACCCAGGGCATGGTTTGGAAAGTCCCCGACATTGCGTAGGGGGTTATGTGAGGCAAATTCAAATAACGGATCATGCAAGTGTCATCTCAGGCTCTCCCCACGGCAGCCCCGTGAGAAAGGTCTCATGATCCCATTTTACAGGTGAGGAGACTGTGGCTCAGAGCTGTGCATATGCCACCCAGCCTGCAGGGGGGGGCCAGAGTTCAGTCTCAGAACTGGGCTCTTTCTACCTGGCAATTCTACTTCCCTTAGTGTCTGCCTTAGAATTTCTCCCCCAGAAGACACGACCTACTACTCTTCAGTATAGATTCCACCATTTTCCATTGCACAGAGTGCCTGGTATGGAGGTACAGGTAGGAGAGAGTGGCTAAGGTAAAGTTCCTGCACAGCTGCGGAGCTCCTTGCAACGGCATGGATCATGAGTTAGGGAGGACCAGATAATAACAGGTAATGGTGAGGATGCGGAGAAATCACAACCCCATACATGCTGGTGGACATGTAAAATAGCACAGCCACATTGGAAAGAGCCTGACAGTTTCCCAAATAGTAAACTGTAGACTTACCATATGACCTAGCAATTCTGCTCCTAGGTGCATACCCAAGAGAAATGAAAACATGTGCCCATGCAAAAACTTGTACAGAAATGCTCATAGCAGCATTGTTCATAATAGCCAAAAGGCAGAAACAACCCAAATGTCCAACAATGGGTGAATGGGTACACAAAGTGTGGTCTATCCACGCAGTGGAATACTATTCAGCTATAAGAAGGAACAAAGCACTGACACATACTACCATGTGGAGGAACCTTGGAAACACTGTGCTAAGCGAAAGAAGCCAGACATCAAAGACAACATAGTACATGGTTCCATTTATAAGATATGTCCAGAATAGGCAAATCTATAGAGACAGAAAGTAGGTTCGTAGTTCCTTAGGTCTGGGGAGATGGGGGAATGAGGAGGGAAGCTAAAAGGGGGTACATCATTTTATTTTCATTTATTTATTGTTTTGAGATGGAGTCTTGCTCTGTCACTCAGGCTGGAGTGCAGTGGCTTAATCTCTACTCACTGCAACCTCTGCCTCCTGGGTTCAAGCAATTCTCATGCCTCAGCCTCCCGAGTAGCTGGGATTACAGGCCTGCGCCACCATGCCTGGGCAATTTTTGTTTATTTAGTGCAGACAGGTTTCACCAGGTTGGCCAGGCTGGTCTCGAACTCCTGACCCCAAGTGATCCACCCGCCTTGGCCTCCCAAAGTGCTGGGATTACAGGTGTAAGCCACTGCGCCCATCCCAGGGTTTATTTTTGAGGTGATGAAAATGTTCAAAATTGGCTGTGGCGATGTTTGCACATAGCTGTGAATATATTAAAAACCACTGAGGCCAGGCATGGTGGCATACGCCTGTAATCCCAACACTTTAGGAGGCCGAGGCGGGAGGATCCCTTGAGCCCGGGAGTTCGAGGCTGTACTGAGCTATGATGACGCCACTGCACTCCAGCCTGGGCCACAGAGCAAGACCCTGTTTGTAAAAATAAATAAATAATAAGACAGTAAAAACCATTGAATCGAACACTTTAAATGGGTGAATTGTATGGTATGTGATTATGTCTTAATATAGCTGTTATTTGAGGAAAAAAGAGTTGTAGGGGGTGGGTGCCTAAAAAAGGAAAATTGGGTGCCATTTTTAGAAGATTGGAGAACAGATGCTGGGCAGGGAAAAACGGTCAATGCTCACTTTTACGCGACTGATAGATGAAACGCTCTCATCTGTGTAAAGGCGCCTCGCCTGTGCCTGCTAATGGCAGGACTTCAGCAAACATGAGTTTCTTTTCCTTTCCCTCCTCCTTGAATACCTTTCTGTAGACCCCTAGTCTCAATGGACTTACCAAGCAGAACAGAGTTTCCTCCCTGCTTTGAGGTGGGAAAGAAAACTGTTATAAGCCAGTATTTCTAAATGAGAGGGAGCGGATGGAAAGGCACCCATAGTCAAGGAATATAGGGCTGTGCTTGGTGACATAGAAGGTCACTGGCATCTTTTGGAGTGTGCTGTGTGCTGGGCCAGGACCCCCCCTCCCCTGCCCCTCCCACCTAGAAGCACCGAGTGTGACTGGTTTCCTATGGAACCCCCTTTGGAAAAGAGCTTGAGTCCACAATCAAAGTGTCAAGAAGTGACTGACCTCTCCCAGCCTCTACCTGCCATGGTCTCTGAGCTCTGGACTTGGTTCCCAGTGAGAGACTCCACATCCCCTGAGGATCCAGCCCTGGCCCGAGAGCTGGCCTGATCCTTTTGCCTGGGGCTCGGCAGTCAGTTGTACTCTGGATGCTCTTCCTAATTTCATCTGAGGCCTCACTGTGTTGACCTGGCCTCTTCCTGCTTGCCCCTCAGGCTACTCCACTCCTCAGCCAGCAGGTCTCACTAAATATTCCAAGGCCACTTGGTCTTAGGGACAAGGTGAGAGGTCAGCAAGGCTGGGAGCATCTCTTGTGTGTCTGGCCACTTAGGCCATGTGGCCAGGGGAGGGGCTTGATTCTCTTGGAGCCTGAGATATCTGTGCAGGCAGCACAAGGGGTTGGGTTCTGACAGGGTCCTTCTCAAAAGACCTTCTGGCTCCCCCACTTGACCTCTCCACTAGCATTGTCACTCAATCCTTCGAGGGCCAGCTCTGCATCTGTGAAATGGGGTCATAATGCCTATTTCTTGAATTGCAGGGAAGTTTAAATGAGAAAAGTTTTGTGGTAACACCTAACAGAGTGGCATAAATAGGTGCTTATTAAAGCTTTTCATCGTCACCATCATCATCAATGATATAGCCCGGGGGGGTCAGTCCTTCCAGATCATTCAGGTAGATGGGTCCTTTTTGCAGAGTATTGTGTGCTGTATCCATTTTATTTTTCCTGGATTGGAAAATGGCCTTCCCATTCATTTTGTTGTGGAAACTGAGGCACATCCAGATGACTTAGCTGGGGTAAGTTCCCCTGTGAGCATACGGTATAGGTCAGCTTTCAACCGAGATTGCTTGGGATGTGTGTCTCTCTCCTCTCCCTGGGAGCCCCTGCCTTCCCCTGGGATGAGCCTGGCACAGTTTCAGCAGGGGACTGAGCAGGTCATTAATGAGGGACCTGTTCAAAAAGCCAGAAAATATCACCCCAAAGACATCCACGTAATGTATTCATGCCATAGGTCATTGGCTGAGCCTCCCTAATTAAGGAGATCTGGCTGTCGGTACCAGTTTTGAGGGAGGTATGTGTCTGCAGAAAAACTGGCTGCTTTCATCAGCCTGGGCAGAATGTGGCAGGCCAAGCCCCTGGGCTGCTGATCTTAGCAGAGGGAAGGGCCTGGGAGCCAGGCTCTGGGGCTGGCTGAGAAACACCCATGGGGGACAGACCACCCCTGCCTGGTAGCTTGGTTGGTGCCTTGAGGGAGAGGGCCATTTGTTCATTCGCTTGACAGCTATTGAGCACCTACTACGCACAGCACAGTGCTAAATGGTAGCAGACACGCAGCTAGTAAGTGAGCATCATCCCTGCCCTCATGTTGGAGGAAGACAGAAATAATCACATGAGAAAACACAGTAGAGGGTATGGTAGTAAGTGCTACTGGGGAAAATAAGCCAGAGTGGGGGCGGGGTGAAGGGGGGTGGGAAGGACTGTGACCTCCGTTCCTTGTGGGATGAGTGGCCAGCAGGGTGTCTGGACCTGACTTACACTCTCCCTGGGTTGTCTGTTGACCAAAGTGAGCCTTTCTCCAAGTGGTTTGCTACTCACCTGGCACCCACTGTGGACGGGGCACAGGGGACAGACTGCAGGGTGGTGGCTTGGTGTTCTGAAAAGCAGAGCTTATGGAGGGAGGAAGTGGGGTTGCTCATAGTAACAAGGAACCTCGAATGTGGACGTTGGGTAGATTCTCCAGATGAGGTTACGGACACAGTCTCATGGACACACTGAAGGATGGAAACAAGGAGACTCTCTCTGTGCAACTTCTGTGTGTGTGTCCCACAGAGAACCTGATATGGTTTGGCTCTGTGTCCCCACCCAAATCTCATCTTGAATTGTACTCCCATAATTCCCACGTGTTGTGGGAGGGATCCGGTGGGAGATAATTGAATCATCGGGGCGGTTTCCTCCATACTGTCTCAAATAAGTCTCACAAGATCTGATGGTTTGATAAGAGGACCCATGACCTTTGCTTGGCTCTCATTTTCTCTTTGCCTGCCGCCATCCACGTAAGATGTGACTTGCTCCTTCTTGCCCTCCACCATGATTGTGAGGCTTCCCCAGCCACGTGGAACTGTGAGTTCTCCATTAAACATCTTCCATTTGTAAATTGCCCAGTCTCAGGTATGTCTTTATCAGCAGCATGAAAACGAACTAATACAGACCCTGTTCCTGGGGTGGAGGCAGGGTGGTAAAAATCCATTAAGCAAAACCAATGCGGTCATTATCTTGTGACTAGCACAGTAAATTATACTGTATTTTTTTTCATTAAAAGCGTTGGTTTAGTAAATGTACACATGTGATGTGTATCACAAACATTGTGACTGTTGTGGTGTTTCTGTTTTTCTGACCCTCTCTTGACCTCAGAGAAAGTAGTTCTGATACCTGGGCTGGCTCTCTTCGTTGTTCAGCATGGATTAAATACTTACTGACTGCCTACTGTATGGGCAGCTCTGCTCCAGGTGCAGGGATATGGCAGGGAGTGAAACAGGCCGAAGCATCTGCCCTCCTGAGGCCGTGCTCTCAGTGGGTGGAGACAAACAAGTGGGTGAATGTGTCATATGTCAAATGGATGTGCTATGAAGATGATGCAGGAGTTGAGGCTGGAGAGTGGGGAGCTGGGCAGGGGCAGGGGGTTGAGCCTGGGGCAGGGAATGGGTTGCATGGTGGGAGAATAGGTCCTGGGGGTTGCCTGGCTTCCCTGGACCATACAGGGATGAGGAATAATGTCGGAATTCCCAGCACCTTGGGGGAACTGATGAAGCCAGAGGGGGACTCACTGCACTATTTTTCCCCATGACCTCAAGGCAGATGGAGGGGTGAGGCTGTGAGTGGTGGTGGTGGTGGGATGCAGGGAGTGAGTGAGGGGCTTCCAGGAGCAGGCAGGCCTCCTGGGGCCCCCTCTTCACCTGTGCTTGGCCAGAGGCAGGAAGATGGAGCTAGAGCAGGCAGAGCTCCTGGGTTTGAGTTGTGGGTCCGGAAGGGGAGAGGAGGTAGAGAACACTTTGTTGGTGCCCACGCATGCCCCACGGCCTGTTCCAGAGGCTACCTGCAGGCAGCTGTTAGCCCCATGCCGATGATTTTCTGTGTCTTTCTCCCACCAAGGGTATTCCCTCCCCACAGGGCAGTGGTGAGGCCCGGGAGCTTGTAACCATGGAGGACCCTTCAACCAGTGAGGAAGGGTGGCTGGTAGACAAATGCTCCCCGGCCCCCACTTCCTTGTTCCTATGGGGGATGGGTCAAGGGTTCCCTGAGGGTCCCCAATGCCACCATTTACAGGCTCTTGCCCTACCTCAGCCTCACTTCCCAACTCCCTCACCTGCTTCCTGGGATCACCTCTGAAACAAACTACTTGCACCTAAGTCCTTGTCTCAGGAAGAGACGGGGGAACCCAAGCTAAGATGAGGAGAGAGGCATTCAACCCTCATGTTGCCACCAGCTCCCTTAGCCCTGCTGGAGAGACTCGTGGCCAGGAGGGAGGAAAGTGATCTTGCAAGATATGGACATCTTCTGGCCCCAAACCTCATGGATAAAACTGGTGCAGACACTGTCTCCATGGTGCCTCCTTCCCCTGCCTCCACATGCCCTGTGTGGCAGGGCGGCCAGCCCTCCCTGGTCTCTAGATGGTCTTAGTTCTCTCTTCAAATTTCACAAAGAAGCAGTGTCCAGGCAAGTTTACTAGGGCCAGAAAGTGACATTCAAATCTCACTCCCAGCCCTGGGAGAGAGATTCACTAAGCAAGTGTCCAGCTGTGACATGCTGGGCATGTGGCACGGGCCTCTCCGGGCTATGCTCTTCTCTTCCGTATGTTGGGGTGATCGTGCCCCTCAGAGCTGCTGTCATGTCACTGTGACAGCAAAGCTCACCGAAGGCCAGTGCATATCCATGGCAATGGTTATCCTCCATGGGAACTCAAAATCCTGAGTGCGAAGGCAGTGGGTGGGTGCTAGGGCAGTGGTGACTTAGTAGATTGGGGTGTTCCTGCACCCCAGATTTTCCAGAACCTCCAACAACTAAATAATGGATTAACTGATTCATTGCATTTTCCTCTCCCTTGCGTGGGGAACACTTTTCTCTGCCCCGAAGTTCCCAATTTGGCCCATAAATAGGAAGTGATGTCACCCTCTGCCTCACCAGGGAAGTGCTGGCCACCTTCCTGCAACACCTCAGCCGTTTGCAGGGAGGACTGAGTGGGAGTTTCCCTTTCCCTTTCCTCCCCTGGGGAAAAGGGTATCTTGAGAGGTCCAGGCCATGGGCTGGGGTCTCTCTTGGGCCAGGTTAATAGGACAGAATCGCTGCTCCTCCATGGCCCCTCTTGTTTTATCCCTTTCTTTGGATCAGCAGTGGCTCGCAAACAGTTTACACTGGCTGGATCAGCTGTTTACCATGGAGCAAAAGCCGGCCATGGTTCCATGCTGTGGGTCCCTCCTGCTGGCCAGTCATAGAGCCCCTGTTTTACCTGCGTGGAGCCCACAAGCCTGTTCCCAATCTCTTCTGTGTTGATCTTGGAGGGGGAAGAGAGGTGAACGATGTGGCTTAATATCAACCTTGGGCCGATTTTAAATTATGATTTTACTTTTATAACTTGACGATTGTGTCTTTCATTGTGAACTGTTTTAAATCCGCCCCAGAAAATACAGGATGTGGACAAATATAAAAAATTCTTTTGGGGGCTGGGTAAGGATGAATTTTATTTATTTGTTTGTTTCTAATGTCATTTTATTTTATAATAGGGGTTAAATTTAAAACGAAATGAGATTTAATTTTTCTCTCTAAAAGCAACCTGAAACAATTAGACATCTCTGTCAGCACTCACCAAAGTTCTTCACACACAATGGCTTTGTGGTCAGGCCTCTGTATGTTTTATCAATAAATTCACAAACTAGGGAGAACTTCATCAGACGACTTGGCTCCATTTGGATGAAGAAAATGTGGTCGCCAGGTGCGTTGTCACATGCCTGTAATCCCAGCACTTTGGGAGGCCAAGGCGGGTGGATCACCTGAGGTCAGGACTTCGAGACCAGCCTGGCCAATTGGTGAAACCCCGTCTCTACTAAAAATACAGAAAAATTAGCTGGCGTTGTGGTGCATGCCTGTAATCCCAGCTACTCGGGAGGCTGATGCAGGAGAATTGCTTGAACTCGGGAGGTGGAGGTTGCAGTGAGCCGAGATTGCACCACTGCACTCCAGCCTGGGTGACAGAGCAAGACTCCGTCTCAAAAAAAAAAAAAAAAAAAACAAAAAAAAACAAAAAGAAAAAGAAAATATGGTCTCCTTGAAGGGGATAGAAAGGACAGTGGCTTGGGAGCAGCTGCAGTCCCCACTCAGCCCCGAAATGGCAGTGTGGCCTTGGACGAGTCACGGCCTCTTAGTGAGGGGGGCCTCAGTTTCCCCATTTATAAAATGACATGGCTGAATGAGTTGATTGGAAAGCCTCTTTTGCCCTCTACTTCTAGGTCTCTATCAAATACAAATCAAAACAGTTGTTAGTGTGAGTGCTGACATAAATACCCATTTTCCAAGGCTCTGAATCCACCGGGTCAGATTGTATGTGCGCCTGCCCCATGGAGATTCAGTCTGCCTGCTGGGATGAAGCCTTTGTACACAGAGTCTTGAAGGATAATAAGTCCTTTGCTTAGGGAGCAGTGCATTAGGGAGAAGATGACTATAATTTCTTGTCTGCAAAGATACAGCTTCAAAAGGAGAATTCCTACTTGCAGAAGTGCAAGGACAGCAACGACAACAACAAAAACGTATGTGAAATTAGAGGGAAGAAAGGAAGACTCAGGCATAGCTATTTTGGAGATTTTCCATCATTCAGATTGTTTGGGAAATAGGAAAAGCACATTGTCTGCTTCAAAAACCCTTCAGGAAATTATTAAAAACGCTGAATTCCTGTATAATCACCAAATCTCCTGAAGTGCACACATTATACACATTGTGAATGAGAATAAATTTATGACTAGGAACTCGCTTGAAATGAACTAAAAGTTGGACACTCTTTGTTGTGGCGCTAAATGAGATTTTAAAAGAGAAATCTTGTAAATAGACACATCCATATTATACTCAAAGGGGAAAAAACCTATCAATAGATTGTTGGGACGTTTCTTTTTCATTTGTGTTGAGAAAACAATACGACAGCAACATTAAAGAGGATCGTGAAAAAAATCTCTTCTTCTTACTATACAAATCTTCCAACAATTATTTTCATTTTTCTATGTTTTATTGTCTATGAGCACACATATTTTATAATACTCTAAACACGGTATAAATACTTTGTTATGTCTTCATCTTTTTCTCTCAACAGTACATCCTAAGCATCTTTCTGGGTAGTACAGTTTTTTTTAATACCACAGTTGTTCAAAGCTGTGTAATATTCCCACCAGCAGGAATATACCAGTCGAGGGGTTCATTCCCCGAGACACAAACATTGGGTTCATCTCCCCTCTGTTTTTATTGTTGCTGATCAAGGTTCAGGTAATATATTTTTCTCCCACTTTGTCATCTCTTGAATTAGTCCCAGGAGTGGAAATTGTTGATTCAAGGGCATTTTTAAGGCTTTTGATAGTTCATATCTTTCACCATCCTAAAGCAGTCCATTGTAACAATGCACTATTTTATCAGGCCTTCAACTCTGTCTCACAAGCATGGCACAGGTTTATTTAAAATAGTTCCCCCCCCCAGTTAATTGTTATGACCTGGTATTTCAAGGGTGCTTTAAAGTGAATTTCTTTGCTTAATAGCTAGAAATAGTATTTTTGCTTGGGTTTACTCTTTGTACAGTTTCTTCAAAGAGTACACAAAAGTGTACAATTTGTACACTTACTATTGTACAGTGTGATTTTATACCTGTTCTTCGTTCTTCCTCAATTGGCAATAGCAGCAGTGATCACAGTAGAGGTAATAATAACAGTAGTAGCAGGAGTGGTGGTAGCAGCAGCGAGCAGTGGAAGCGGTCTCAGCAGTGGTGGCAATGCCGGTGGCACTAGCAGTAGTAGCAGTGGTGGCAGTAGCAGCAGCAGCTGTATTGATAGCAGCAGTACTGGCAGCAGTAGCAATCGTAATGGTAGTAGCAGCGATTGTGGTAGCAGTGGTAGCATCAGCGCAGTGCTAACAGTAGCAGCAACAGCAGTACTAGTGACGGTGGTATTAGTGATAGTGGTAGTGTTGTTTTGATAATAGTGGTGCTGGCAGTGGCAGTAATGGTGGTCATGGTGGTGGGAGCAGCAGCAGTGTTGGTCATTGTGGGAGTAGCAACAGTTGTGGTCATGGCAGTAATACCACTGGTAGCAATGGTGGTAGTGGTGACAGTAGCAACAGCGGTGGTAATGGTGGCAATAGCAGTAGTAGCAGTGGTGGCAGTGGTGGTGGGATTAGCGCAGCAGTGGTGGCAGTGGTGGTGGGATTAGCGGCAGTGGTAGTGGTGGTGGGATTAGCGGCAGTGGTAGTGGTGGTGGGATTAGCGCAGCAGTGGTGGCGGTGGTGGTGGCAGGATTAGCAGCAGTGATGGTTGTGGTGGTGGGATTAGCAGCAGTGGTGGCGGTGGTGGTGGCAGGATTAGCAGCAGTGATGGTTGTGGTGGTGGGATTAGCAGCAGTGGTGGCGGTGGTGGTGGCAGGATTAGCAGCAGTGATGGTTGTGGTGGTGGGATTAGCGCAGCAGTGGTGGCGGTGGTGGTGGCAGGATTAGCAGCAGTGATGGTTGTGGTGGTGGGATTAGCAGCAGTGGTGGCGGTGGTGGTGGCAGGATTAGCAGCAGTGATGGTTGTGGTGGTGGGATTAGCGGCAGTGGTAGTGGTGGTGGGATTAGCGCAGCAGTGGTGGCGGTGGTGGTGGCAGGATTAGCAGCAGTGATGGTTGTGGTGGTGGGATTAGCGGCAGTGGTAGTGGTGGTGGGATTAGCGCAGCAGTGGTGGCGGTGGTGGTGGCAGGATTAGCAGCACTGGTGGTCGTGGTGGTGGGAGCAGCAGTGGTGGCATCCGTGGTGGCAGTAGTAAAAGCTGCTGTGTCTTGAGCGTTGCCAAGTGCCACGCATTCAGTCCACCCAACAACTCTGTGATGGTTTTTGCCTACTCCCCTTTCACAGGTGAGGAGAGACAAGTGGACAGGAGAGTGGGGGTCTATTTGCCAGGCATTCCAGGGGTGAGTTCCTGCTGGGCCTGGACGGTGGGTGGAGGGGAGTGAGGGTGGGTGTGAGTGAGGGACTGATTCTGAAATTTGGCGCTCATTCTGGAAGCAACAGGAGGCCATTATCGCTTCGTTCTGCTAGCACCATAATTAAGCACAGGCCTTCTTTCCCCAGATTTGGGTTTTGTCCATCTCATATTTCTCCATAGAATCTAGCATCAAGCTATGCAGCAGTAGCACTGAATGAGTACTGAGTGAATTCATGATGTAGCCCCAGTGATGTTTCAAATGCAGTCCTGACCCTGCCAACACCTGCTCAGAACCCTCCCTCTGCTTCTCAGGGCCCCTAGGGTGGAGTCCAAGCACCTTCCCCAGCCTGCAGGTCCCACAGCAGCCCGTGTCCTGCCTGGGTTAAAATCCCAGCTCTGCCACTTACTAGCCATGTGACGAGTGGCATCTCTGTGCCCCATTTCCTCACCTTTGTGGAGAGAACAGGAGAATCTTACTTTAGGATTAAATAAGAGAATGCATAGAGGACATTGTTCCTGGCACAGGAGTGTTGCTCGCTATTAGTACTTTCTCCACCACTGTAACCTCACCAAGGGGACCCTGTGTGAATAAGTCACCATAAGAAAGTGACCGTAACCACCACGGACACACCCTGCACAGAGTCAGCTGCAGCCCTCTCAGGGTGTGGGCCCCATGGAGGGCAACAGGTGCAAAGATAATGATTATCACCCTGGTAATCAGAAAAAAACAACAAAACTCTTTGCATTTTAGGAAAAAAAAAAAGAAAGTGATCTCACTTAAAACTGGGCTTGTTTCAGTTTATCTGAAACCTTTTCATATTTTCAGTTTTAATAAGATGTGACGGAAGCTGACATTTTTGCAAGCACCAAGAACTCGCGTCACTTTGAAAACTTGCAAGTTGATTTGAAGAAGCACCAAGAGGTAGCCAAGACTCGCTCTGCTCACAGATGGTGGGTGATTAGGTGCCAGTTTGCCGAAAAGCTTGGAATTGGCAGACGGTGGAGGGCAGCCGGCTGAGCTGCCCGTGGGCAGGCAGGATGGGCTGCCTGGCAGGAGGGTCTTGAGGCCTCGGCCATACCCCACCTGGCCCAGGTGAGGGCTGCCAGGCCCAGAAGGCGATCTGAGCCTGGGCACAGCTTAACCTCTTCCAGGGGCTTATGTCCAGGGCAAGACTGGCTCCAGGGACTGGGAAATGTTGTGTGGCCTTGGCTCATGCAGATTCTAAAGCTCAGGCTGGGACCCATTTTTGTGACCACCTACCTGTGTGGCCTTGGGTGAGTCATTAACTCTCTGGGTCCAAGTCTCAGCATTGGGAGAAAATGAAATGAATATTTCTGTGAGGCAGCGAGAACCCCAATCTCTTAGGGTTACTGTAAGAAATAAGATCATACTGGAGAACCCTTTTTAAAGATAAAATCTAGCTAGTTAATTATCCAAATTGGGTAACATGGGGGTGCAAGGGTATATGGGGAAAATGAGGAATTTATAACTAATTATTAAATGTTTAAATGTATTTTTACTTATTATTACTATTATTATTTTTAAGAGACAGGGTATTGGTCTGTTGTCCAGGCTGGAGTGCAGTGACATGATCATAGCTCATTGTAACTTCAAACTCCTAAGCTCAAGCGATACTCTTGCCTCAGCCTCCTGAGTATCTGATCTACAGGTGTGCACCATCAGGCCCAGATAATTTTTTTTTAATATTGTTTTTTGTAGAGTCAGGGTCTCACTATGTTGCCCAGGCCGGTCTTGAACTTTTGGCTTCAAGAGATCCTCCTGTCTCAGCCTCCCAAAGTACTGGGATTACAGGCATGAACCACCGTACCTGACCTAGTTATTGAATTTATTAACCATGCCTATATTCAGTTATTCTGGGTGTGACCTGATCAAAAAGCTGAAGCTGCAAAGATGAACACCCCCGAGGAGTTTTGAGACCTTTCCTCAAATATAGCTGGGGGAGGGGTGATGGAGGGGCTCAGAGAAGAGGAAATGATTCCTTTGTCCAGGAGCAGAGAATGCAGACAGGCAACGTGAGAGAGCACCTGGCAGAGGGGAGGGCTGAAACAAGCCAGGGCCTGAATGGAAACGGGCCCCTGGGCCATTCAGGTGGCTGCAGCCTGAGGGAGGTCCGAGGCTGGGCAGGGGAGCACACATACCGAGTTAGGATATCCCGGGCCATTTGCTGCATTCCAGTTGTTTCAGTGTGGCGCGCAGTTGAGTTGTCCTAGCAGGAAATGCGTGGCTCTCTCGTGCCCTTCTTTGTGTCCAGGGCCTGAGCTTCTCCTCTGGGCCCTCCCTGAGGGCTAAAGGTGGCTCAGAGATGGTGTCTCTCCTCCTGAGAAGCTTGAGTGGATGAGGAGGGAGGCTGTTTCCTCTCCTGAGTAAGTCCTGGCTCCCCGAAGTGGCAATGCCAAGTGCCAGCCCCGCAGTGCCGGGCAGTGGGAGATGCATGGACAGGCCCTAGGGCTCAGTCTCCCCTCTTGACGCTCCGGTACCCTGCTCAGCACACGGTTCCTAATCCCTTAATAAACCTCTCCTTATCCTGCACCCCAGGAAGGCTTCAGGTTCATGGCAATGCAGAAATAATGATTTGCCTGTATTCACTGATATGATTGAACTAACAATAAGTTCACCCTTTCTGCAAGTCAGGAACTTGGGTCTGGAACGGAGCCGGTCTCCAGTTGCAGGACAGATACCTTTCTGAGTGTAGCCAGGAGGTCTGTGTGAGGAGGGGGTTTTTGGTCCCTGTGTGGGTCTTCCTCGGACACCCCCATCCCTGAAGGGAACCTACACCCTTCCAGGTGTGAAGTAATGAAAGACCAGTAGTCATTCAGCTCTAGCTGCAAATGCCTGCTCTCTCACCTCTAAGCTGTGTATCCTCGGGCAAGTCACCTGGCCTCTCTGTGCTTTCTGAGACTGTCCACTCATGCCGCTATCAAAGGGGTGAGAGAACTGAGATTAAACTAGGGGAGGAGGCCGGGCATGGTGGCTCACACCTGTAATCCCAGCACTTTGGGAGGCCGGGGCAGATGGATCACCTGAGGTCAGGTGTTTAAGAGCAGCGTGGCCAACATGGGGAAACCCCGTCTCTACTAAAAATACAAAAATTAGCCAGGTGTGGTGGCAGATGTCTGTAGTCCCAGCTCCTCGGGAGGCTGAAGCAGGAGAATCACTTGAACCTGGGAGGTGGAGGTTGCGTGAGCCAAGATCATGCCACTGCGCTGCAGCCTGGGTGACAGAGGGAGACTCTGTCTCAGGAAAAAAAAAAAAAACAAAAAAAACGAGGGGAGGTGCTGCTGGAAGTGCAGGGCCTAGAACAGAGGATTACTTGGAAAATTTTTGTTGACTCTGAATCCTAAGACACTCTTCCACCTGGGAATGAGAATAGATAGATCAATGAGAAGCGTGGGTTATTGGCCGATCAGAAGTGCCAGCTGTAGACGTTGGTTCATCCACATCAGGGTGAAAATGAAAATGCACTCTTGTCCCTTTCCCCTCTTTTTAAAAAGTTTCCCTACAACCCTCCATAACTGTGGTGGAAAGAGTATACAGCGAGGACGTAGGGACATTTAGCTAGAAGCATCCCAACCAGCCTCCTGCCTGATAATAACAACAAGAGCTAACATTTATGATTGTTATAATAAACACTAACATTGGTTATGGCTGGGTACTGTGTAAGGTGTTCTCCCAGCAGCACCCCATCCATGCTCACACCAATCCCCTGACCTGCGCCCTGGATTCATCCCTATCTGGCATAGAACGGAACTTTCTAGGAAACAGAGCTTGCCTGGCCACATCAGCTCAGTAAATGGCAGAGTTGAGACACAAACCCAGGCTGCCTCCCCCAAAACCCAAACCCACCAAATTAGATTGTCTTCCAAATGCAGAAATCCTCTCTGCAGCCCAACTTGGCCCAATTCTCTAGGTTTTGGGAGAAATACATTTCCTCTCTTCCCGTAGCCTAATTCGAAAACGAGGCATCTTTCACTTCACATTTCACAGCCGCAATTCTTTCTTGCACATAAAATCTATCCATCCCGCTGGCCCCCTTCCCTCTTCTGGGCACATTACAGGCTGTTGGCGTGTGTGTCTAAATAAACACCCATCAGCCTGGATCCTTGCAGGCTGATTCTAAACATTTGGCTCCGAAGGGTAGCACTGGGGGCTTGTAAACCCTTCACCTTTCTCCCAGCACACTTCAAACATTCCCCTTCTTGCATCTAGGAAAACCAGAGCGGTTGGTTTCTCTCTCTACTCTTACACAGAACTTTGTGAAAACCTCTGTTAGACTGAAATAACCTTCTTTATTTCTGTCTTGCTCCTCAAGCTGAGAGTGTTTCTAGGTCAGGGTGGAGGGCCTGACATTTACTGTCTCCTTGGTACTAGGCTCTGTGCCACACATTACACACCTTGATTTATTCTTTTTAACAGGACCACGTGAAGTATTAATGGTCCCCCTTCACAAGTGAGGAACAAGAGGCTGAAAGGAGAGGCACATTTTCTCAGATAACGTGGCCACTTTGAGGCAGAGCTGAGATTTCTGGCCCCCCCCTCACTGTGCTAGGGAGACCCTGTTCTATTTAGCCCCATCCGCCTGGAACCTCCAAAGGGCCTGGCACAGCTTTCCAGCAAATGTTTGTTGACTGACCAACTGACTGACTGAATAAAAGAATGAATGAGCAAGTGTCTAATTTCCAGAAGAACTGTGGAGTGGGAGCTGTAAAGTGGTCCAGGTGCCTTGCTTAGAAGCACAAACTAGGCTGGAAGAAAACTAGCTAATAGAGTTGCGGTCAGACATGGATTACACTTTTCCAAGCATTGGAATATGGCAATATTAATCATGTTTCTACAAATCGTCTTTTATTTCTTCTTCTTTTTTTTGAGACGGGGTCTCACTGGAGTGCAGTGGTGTGATCTTGGCTCACTGCAACCTCCGCCTCCTGGTTCAAGTGATCCTCCCGCTTTAGCCTCTTGAGTAGCTGGGATTACAGGTACATGCCACCACGCCTGGCTAATTTTTGTATTTTCTGTAGACATGATGTCTCACTATGTTGCCCAGGCTGGTCTCGAACTCCTGGACTCAAGCGATCCGCCCGCCTCAGCCTCTCAAAGTGCCGGGATTACAGGCATGAGCCACCACGCCCAGCCCACCTTTTGTTTCTTCTCATTCTGCATATGTGGAATTTGCTGCATCTGGTAAGTCAGGTCAACTACAGTTGACCCTTAGAGAAAACGGGTTTGAACTGCACAGGTCCACTTCTCTATGGATTTTCTCCCACCTCTGCCACCCCTGAGACAGCAAGACTACCCTTCCTCCTCCTCAGCCTACTCAACATGAAAGAGCAAGGCTGAAGCCCTTTATGATGATCTACTTCCACTTAATGAATAATACATAGATTTTCTCTTTCTTATGATTTTCTTAATAACTTTCTTTTCTCTAGCTTACTTTATTGTAAGAATACAGTTTATAGTACAACAAATAACATACGAAATATATGTTAATTGACTGTTTATATTATCAGCAAGGCTTCCAGTCAACAGTAGGCTATTAGTAGTTACGTTTTGGGGGAATCAAAAGTTATACAGATTGTTGACTGTGCATGGGGGGCGGGGTCAGCGCCCCTAACCCACATGTTTTTCGAGGGTCAACTGTACTTCATTTAGTCTGTTGACTGAGAGGAAGGCTTTGCACATTCTTTAAATTATTTAGAATCATTGTTCAACAAACATGCAGGTACAACAGATGCTGTGTGTGTACAGAATAGAGAGTGGCTAAATACTTTTTACCATGGTTTAATTTACAAACCTCATGGCTTGGACTTTTAAGATCAACATTTGGTTATCTGGCATGAATTGCTCCTAATTTTCCCTGGCTTTTCCCCTTTAGTAATGGTCTCCAAGAGGAGTTGCTATAATTTTCTTTCTTTCTTTTTTGCTTTTTTTGAAGACAGGGTCTCACTCTGTCACCCAGGCTGAAGTGCTGTGGCATGATCGTGGCTCACTGCAGCTTCAACTTCCCACACTCAAGTGATCCTCCTATCTCAGGCTCCCAGGTAGCTGGGACTACAGGCTTATACCACCACGCATGACTACTTTAATTTTTTTTTTTTTTTTTTTTTTTTTTTGGTAGAGACAGGTCTCACTAAGTTACTCAGCCTGGTCTCAAACTCCTGGCTTCAAGTGATCCTCCTGCCACAGCCTCCCAAAGTGCTAGGATTACAGGCATGAGCCACCTTGCCCAGCCACTAGAATTGTGATAGAAGAGAGCTTAAAGTTATCATCTGGGCTTCCTGTTTTAAAAACGAGGACATCCAGTTAAACGTGACTAGGAAATGGCAAATCTCAAACCAGAGTTCAGGTCTCCTATCACCCAGCCAGTGTTCTCTGCTTAAATGAAAACCAAGCAGATCAGCTTCACCATGCAACTGTGTACACTGCCGTCCTGCGTCCCCAAGGTTCCCCTCAGAAAACAGAGTTGATTTAAATGCATGCACTGATCATCAACCTGAGTCTTAAAAATGATGACATGGTTTGTTTCTATAATATCCCTCCTAAGAATTGACCCCAAGAAAATAATCAGAAATGTGGATAAAGATTTACGCACCAAGATGTTCATTACTGAATTATTTATAACAGAAAAAAAGAGAATGTAACCTAACAAAGAAACATCTATAGTATGGACTGTTAGTCTGCCATTAAAATAAAGTTCTGAAGACTATTTAATGACTTTAGAACTTATTCAGAATAAAATACTAAGTGAGGAATGTAGGACAAAAACACACGGTCATAGAACAATTGCAATAGTTAAAATATGCAATATACATAGAAAAAAGACTGGAAAGAAATATACCAAAATGTTAGCAGAGGCCATTCGTTCAGTGATCACACAGTGCATTTATGGATCACTGCTATATCTCAGACACTGAGCTCTTCACTGGAGTGGGTTCCCACCTTCCTGGGCCCTACTGTCTGGGGAAAGGATGGGCAAAGTGACATTATTTTTAAAATAATCATTAAGGCTGGGTGTGGTGGCTCATGCTTGTAATCCCGGCACTTTGGGAGGCCGGGGAGGGTGGATCACCCGAGGTCAGGAGTTCAAGACCAGCCTGGCCAACATGTGAAACCCTGCCTCTACTAAAATTACAAAAAATAGCTGGGCATGGTGGCAGATGCCTGTAATCCCAGCTACTTGGGAGGCTGAGGCTGGAGGATTGCTTGAGCCCAGGATGCAGAGGTTGCAGTGAGCCGAGATCGCATCACTGCACTGCAGCCTGGGCAACAGAATAAGACTCCGTCTCTAAAAAAATAAATAAATAAAATAAAATAATAAAAATAAAAATAATCATTAAAATAAACCTGTAATTACAAATCATGATCATTACTATTACGAAGGCTATTTCTAGAGGTTGGGATTATAGTTGAGTGTCATTTTTTTTGGTTTTGGTTTGTATTCTTTTATTTTTTTTCTTTTTATGTTCTTCCAATTTTTCTTCACATCTTAAATTTCTGACAGTGGGACTTTATTAGAAAAACAGAGGACTTTTAGAAACACACAAACACAAATGCCCAAGCACCTGCATGGCTTCCAGTGGCCCCACTGACGATGGAGCCTTGGAGCTCCTCAGAAGGAGCCTGGAGTGCCTGCGGAGGGGATGAAGCCCCCCCCCAACCCCACTGACAATGGAGCACTCGGAGCTCCTCAGAAGGAGCCTGGAGTGCCTGCGGAGGGAACGAAGCCCTGTCCCTGGAGCTTCATGACTGTCTGAATTTCCTTTGCTGCTGTAAAAATTCCTCAAACTTAGTGACTTAAAAGAGCAACATTTATTTTCTTACAGTTCTAGAGACCAGAACTGTAAGAAATTTTGTTCAAAATTGATGTCAGGCCGGGCACAGTGGCTCACGCCTGTAATACCAGCACTTCGGGAGGCCGAGGTGGGCGGATCACGAGGTCAGGAGATTGAGACCATCCTGGCTAACAAGGTGAAACCCCGTCTCCACTAAAAAATACAAAAAAAAAAGTAGCCGGGCATAGTGGCGGGCGCCTGTAGTCCCAGCTACTGGGGAGGCTGAGGCAGGAGAATGGCGTGAACCCGGGAGGTGGAGCTTGCAGTGAGCCGAGATGGAGCCACTGCACTCCAGCCTGGGCAACAGAGTGAGACTCCATCTCAAAAAAAAAAAAAAAAAATTGATGTCAGTGGGCTAAAGTCAAGGTGTTGATGGGGTCAGTTCCTTCTGAGGTTCTAGAGGAAAATCTGTTTCCTTGCCTTTTTCAGTTTCTGGTGGTCACCTGCAATCCTTGGCTCATGGCCTTTTCCTCAAATGCACCACGGCTTCCACCATCATGCGGCCTTTGACCCCCTCTCTCTCTCACAGCCAAGCCTCCCTCTTCATTTTAAAAGAACACTCATGATTATATTTAGGGCCTACCTGGATAATACAAGATCATCCCCATCTCAAGATCCTTAACTTAATCACACCTGCAAAGTGCCTTTTCCCGTAAGGTAACATACAGAGGTTCCAGGGCTGGGGACCTGGACATCTTTGGGGGCTATGATTCAGCCTTCCACAGTGTTTTGTCAAAAGTTTGCAGATTTACTGAATGCTAAACCTTGTTAGCCAATCCCAGAAAAGCTTTGCCTAATATGTGTGAGTTTTTTCCGTTTTGTTTTGTTTCTCTTGAGAAAAAAGAAAGAGTGGCATGTCTGAAAATTCATTTGTGCCATTAGCACTACTTACACCTTTGGTAACTCTCCACACACCCCACCAGGTCTACTCTGTTAAAGAATTTGCTTGGCAGTTTGTATCAAAAACAGGAGGGATGTCTGTATATGCAAATAAAAAGAGAGAGAGAGAGTAAGGGACAGAGACAGAGAGAGGGCGGGGGAGGATTATTGTAAGCTAATGCTTGCATTTCAAACATTCAGTCCAGTTAAAACGTTGACATCAAGCATTGTGTATGTTCCTGGGAGAGGGCTCTCTGAGTTGTGTATCTCATGGGTGTCATTGAATGTTATTGTTGCCTCGCTAAATATTCATGGATGAATATGTGGAATAAATTCTCTTGTAAGCTGACAGAGAGCAAGTAAGGCCTGTCCTTGAGTCTCTCATCTGCATCCTTATTTCTGAAAAACTGTCTATTTGGGCACGAGTGTGTGTGTGTGTGTGTGTGTGTGCATGCAAAAGTGCGGGCACTACGTGCTTGGTTAATTTAAGCAGAAGAATCCCATTTTCTTTTCTTTTCTTTCTTTTTTTTTGAGACGGAGTTTCGCTCTTGTTGCCCAGGCTGGAGTGCAATGGCACAATCTTGGCTCACTGCAACCTCCACCTCCCGGGTTCAAGCGATTCTCCTGATTCAGCCTCCCAAGTAGCTGGGATTACAGGCATGTGCCACCTTGCCTGGCTAATTTTCTACTTTTAGTAGAGACGGGGTTTCTCCATGTTGGTCAGGCTGGTCTCAAACTCCTAACCTCAGGTGATCAGCCCACCTCAGCCTCCCAGAGTGCTGGGATTGCAGGCGTGAGCCACTGCGTCCAGCCAAGAATCCCATTTTCAGAGTAGAAAAGATGGATCTCTCCAGTTTGGTGACCTCAAAGTGGGTGGTGTTTAAAGAAAGCAAGTATTGCTCATCGAATAGCTTTGATAAAACTGCTCCCTTTGCTCTCTTGTTTCAAACTTCAAAACCAGCCTCACTTTTTCTGTCTTTTTTGTTTTTTTGAGATGGAAGCTCACTCTGTTGCCCAGGCTGGAGTGCAGTGGTGTGACCCTGGCTCACTGCCTGCAACCTCCACCTCCCAGGTTCAAGTGATTCTCCTGCCTCAGCCTCCTAAGTAACTGGGATTATAGGTGTGTGCCATGATGCCCAGCTAATTTTGTATTTTTAGTAGAGACAAGGTTTCACCATGTTGGCAAGGTTGGTCTTGAACTCCTGACCTCAAGTGATCTGCCCGCCCCGGCCTCCCAAAGTGCTGAGATTACAGGCCTGAGCCACTGCGCCTGGCCAAAACCATCCTCTTTAGGGGTTATAGTTTGTTTGTTGAGAGGTGAGGTGGGTTCTAAGAGTTCCAAGAATGTACACACGCATGTGCACACTCACAGAGAAGAGCTTCTTTTGACTCAGAACAAAGTCTCTAGGGGTGGCCATGGGCCAGAGTGCTTCTGAGTGGAGAGAGAGAGAGAGTGGGGGTGGGGACACTGAGGACATTGAGTTACAGACCTATGAGACATAGAGGATGAGGGAGGAACGGTGATTCCTGGAGACTGCTTAGATGCTGCCTTCCTTAGGACACCTACTGTGACCCTGGGTCTTCTCCTCCACCAGGACTGGCCAGTTGCCCAGCCTTGGGGTTCCCACGCCATGCTGCATGGACACCCATGAGAGCAAACTATCCCCTGATGGTCTGAGGGCTCCTCAAGGGCAGGAACTCCCTTGCTGCTGTATCTCTAGCACCCCAGCCATGTGCCATGTACTTAGAAGGTACTGGTGGAAGACACTTGCCCTTGTTCACTCCATCCTCCATAGCCACAGAACTTTCAATGATGCCCACGGATGCTGAGAATGAGAACTGCATTTCTCTGCCTTCTTTGCAGTGAGGTGAGGCCAACTGCACCAGCAGGAATGGGAGGGAATCGATAGGATTAACTTCCACGTCCTGCCTTTTTAAGAGTAAACACACACCTTCCTCTGCCCCTGCAGGCTGGCTGGAATTTGGGCATGACAGAGAGCCCCCTTGAGCTGTGGAGCCAAGGGCAACGCACTAACAGGGCACAGCAACAAGATAGAGGGGGCCTGGCCCATGATGCTGTGAGGCTGCCGCCCAGCCCTGCACTGTTTGCCCCAGCTGTTTACCTGGGGAGATAATTACGGTTCTATCTAGGCAAGGATTTGGTATCTTGGGTCTCTGCTTCAGCAGTCCAAGCTAAACACTATACAATGCTCAGAATGTTTGCTCATTCACAGATGATAACAGGCTCAGAGCCTTCCCTCAATATCCCCAGCCAAGACTCTTCATGTCTCCTTGTTATAGGAAAGGGGTCCCGATCCAGACCTCAAGAGAGGGTTCTTGGATCTCATGCAAGAAAGAATTCAGGGCCAGTCTGCAGAGCAAAGTGAAAGCAAGTTAACGTAAAGGAATAAAAGAATGGCTACTCCATAGACAGAGCAGCGCTGAGGGTGGCTGGTTGCCCATTTTTATAGTTATGTATTGATGATATGCTAAACAAGGGGTGGATTATTCATGCCTCCCCTTTTTAGACCATATAAGGTAACTTCCTGACGTTGCCATGGCATCTGTAAACTGTCATGGTGCTGGTGGGAGTGTAGCAGTGAGGACGACCAGAGGTCACTCTCGTCACCATCTTGGTTTTGGTAGGTTTGGGTCAGCTTCTTTACTGCAACCTGTTTTATCAGCAAGGTCTTTATGACCCGCATCTTGTGCCAACCTCCTGTCTCATACTGTGACTTAAAATGCCTTAGCCTCCTGGGAATGCAGTCCAGTAGGTCCCAGCCTCATTTTACCAAGCTCCTATTCAAGATGGAGTTGTTCTGGTTCACATGTCTCTGACACCCACACTGTGAACAGAATAATCCCATCCCTCTAGGAGGTGTCCACATCCTAATCTCTGAAATCTGTGAATATGGTAACTTAAGTGGCAGAGAGATCTCTGCAGATGTGATTAAAATAAGGATGGGAGTGAGGAGGCCACGTGTTGTGTGACCCTGGAACCAGATCCAGGGAGCACAGGGCAATGCTGCAAAGACCAGTGGGTGCCAGAGCAGGGCATCCAGAGACCTGACAGCCACATGTCTCCTTACAGGACAGAAAAGGGACTAGGGCTGTCATCTGTCATCCCATGGGGTGGGTCACACCCTAACTGAAGGTCACTGGGAGCCTCAAGCAACATTTCCCCATCCCCAGCACCTCACTGACCCCTTGACCCCAGATTCCATCATGAAAGGAGAGGAAGATCCTGGAAAATGGAGCAGAAGCCTAGAAAGAGGTTAAGATCTCACCTGACAACCACTGAGCAGCCTTACTTGGCAAAATCGAGGTTTCTGCCATCACAGGATTGGGACTCGAGAGCAAGAGGAAAGCAGTTATAGACAACACAGCAAGTCACTTTTTTTTTCTTTTGCGCATTTGCACATCTGCACAAATCCCAGCCAGCTACTGAAGGGGAAGCGGAATGCAGGAGAGGAATGTGGAGTCCACTCCGGTCACTGACTTTCTAGAAACTTCTCATTGGCTTGTTGCTGGGAGAGTTTCACAAGGAGAGCACGGAAGTAGATACAGCAGGGTCTGTGGGCTGGTGGAGGCTGAGCCAGCCTCCCTCTGACCAAGTCTGTCCCGGGAGCTGCGGGGAGCAGCAAGGGGCATGGTCTCTACTCTCCAGACCTCTACAGGCTCCTTTCTGCTTTTTGCCTCACTCAAAATGCCCCAGAAGTGATCAACTGGGCATTCATCTTTTTCTTTTAAGAGTGAAGATTGTGAGCCTTCTCTGGGTATTCCTGAAGGTCACTCAGCTTGGGAAAAGTTGACACAGCACCTGCAGGAAGGATGGAGCTTTGTGAGAAATGGCCTTCCAATTGCTGGGGCCACTCCTGTTGGGGTCCTCAGTGCAGGGCTTGGAAAGGCACCCCGTCCCTCCATCAGTGCTGGCTGAGCTGGCCTGAGGGTGGAGTGACAGAACCCACATTATGCCCTTCCTGAGATGGTTTTCCTATCAGGGTCCCTTGAATGGAAAACCTTCTCCATGTCCAAGGGCTGGGGGCAGATGAGGCCTGAGGTAGTAATTATTATTGTTTTATTATATAAAAGAGAAATCTTTGAGGCTTTGACAGGATGGAAGTCTGTTCATGGCATATGACCAAGCAGATCCAACTCAGATGCTGAGAGTCACTACCTCTAAGCGTCTCTAAGGCTCTCAGTCTCTAAAGCTAACTCTTGCCATCATCATGATGGCCACGAGGGAGCTCATTGTCTTGTAAAATCTGACCCAAGCTTGGACACAGCTCTCCTCCCGAAAGATAAAACACTATGCTGACAAGCAGCAGGTGCCCACTAAAGAGTACTTAAGTAAGGAGTGCTTAAAATGACGAGGGGCCCTGTCTGCCTGGGGCGTACTCCCAACACCCTACTTTACAACTTCTATAGGGGCTGATAGGGTCTGGGCCATTGCCTTCTACCCAAAGTCCAGCTGAGGCTTGTCACAGCCAGGCCCGAATAAACACGCGCTGTAGTTGAAAGAGCTGAGACTCTCGGCTTGCTTGAACTATGTGGCCTCCCCTGACGTCTAAGATTGCAAGTTGAGTTGTCCATTTATTCATGCAGAAAGGATTTCTTCTGGGTGCTTGAATAAGTTTTATTTCCTCTCTTACTTCTGGGTTTCTCATTAATAAGAGTGACATTCCAACTCTCAAGACTAGGACCAGGGGTCAAATTTCCAGGAAGCCTCCATGGATGGGTGGGGCCTCTTTCTGCCCCCAGCCCTTTGAGCTTCCCTCTACCCTCGAGCGGCACTCGTCCTGCCGCTGTCTGCTGACATCAGTTTTCCCACGCAGAGCTTGAGCTCCTTCATTGTCAGGGGCGTGGTTCTCAGCTGGGCCTGGCACCATCTAGGCCCTCAATGCGTGTTCTTGGGATGAGCCAAGGAAGGCAGGGATAGATGCAAATCCATAATATAACCCTAGGGATAAGACTACCACACACCATGGCAGCAACGCCCTGGCAGCAATGCCCAGGTAGAGGTGGGACCTTTGCTCTGTGGCGAGAACACACTCTCCTTACTATGCATTCAGAGATTCGCATTCGGGAACATGACTTTCAAGGGGAGAGTTCCATTAGTGAATAGGAAGCTCTGACCTGCTGTGTTGCCATGACAGGCAAGGGCAATGGAGGGCCCTGGCTCATTTCTTTATAAACCATGTCTGCTTTAATGCTCTCTCCTCCTGTCTGTTCCCCCAAATAAACCATGAACTGAGGGATGACAGGAGACTGAGGGATGACAGGAGAAAGTGAGGCAAAGTCTTTATAGCTTCTGCTCCTTGATTCTGGCCTTCCCAGCTCTGGGCTGGCTACCTGGGTGGATAGGGGGTCCCCAGGGCCAGGAACTAGACCCATAGCACATGTAATTTCCTCCTGGGCCTGGTGTGTGGTGCTGCAGGTGGCACTTAATCTTGGCTGGTGACTGACTGACTGACCAGAAACCGGATTCCAGATGGGAAAGGAACAGGCATTTGCCCCCAGCCAATAGCTCATGAGGACAAGCAATCAATTATTCAGGGAGCAATTATTAAATTAGGGACCTGTCTGGACCTTCCAGCCTCGACTGCTCTGTTCCTGCTGCCTGGCGGGGTGGATTAGCACCCCTAGAAAGAGGAAAGAAAATGCATCCAAGCAAGGGCACCCCAGCTCTGTATCCCAAGAGACTGTGGGAGTGCAGGGGTTCCAGGACCTCCCGACTCGCTGAACTCTCGGGGACGAGCCCGTTCGTCTCTCCGAGCCTTGCTTTTCTTGTGTGTTAGGATTGTAAACCCTGTTCTGCCTAACTCTCAAGTCGGGTTGGGATGGGGACTTTGCTGCCTGTAAAATGTGTGCCACTATGAGCAAGCCATTGTAGGTAGCACCCCCCAAAACCTTGGCAAGAGAGGAAGTGGAGCCCATTTGCTGCTGTGAGGATCTGGGTTTTCTGTGGGTTTTGTTTGCCTGCCAGCCCCATTTGGCCAAGGCTTGGGAATCTGGCCCGGATTTTACCAAGCTGGACTCAATGCAAGTGGATGCTGTGGTCCATGTTCACAAGTCACTGTGTGGCCTTCCCTTCAACCCTCTGCCTGTGGAATCTGCACCTGAGCCCCACCTCCCCTCAGTGCCTACCCTGCGCCGAGCTCTGTATCCCTAGGGATAAGACTACCACACATCATGTGGATGCATGTGACACATGTGTGGGTTAGTTTCCTCCTGTGACTATAACAAATCACGACACATTTAGTGGCTTTCAATAACACAAACTCATTCTCTAACAGTTCCAGAAGTCAGAAATTGGGTCTTACAAGGTGAAAATCAAGTGCGGCAAGGCTGGTTCCTTCTGGAGCCTCTCAGGAGAATGGTTTCCTGCCTTTTCCAGCTTGCAGAGACTGCCTGGATTCCTTGGCTTGTGGCCTCTTCTTTAATCTTCAGAGCCAAACAGGGACTATCAGACTGCTCCCTCCTCGGTTATTATAGACCTTCTTCTCTGTCCTCTGACCCTAGCCTCCCTCTTACAAAGACACTTAGGATTATACTTAGGGCACACCCAAGATCATCCAGGAGCATCTCCTAGCTCAAGATCTTTCACTTAATCCCATTGGCAAAGTCCTGTTTGCCATGTAAGATGACATGTTCACAGGTTCCTGGGATGAGGCGGTGGGCATCTTTGGGGGCCAGGATCCAGCCTATCTCAGAAGTTCTCTGCCCTATGGGTGGAAGGGATGGGCAGCACCCCCATTCCAGTTCCCAGTAACCCTGGCCACCCTGGTCTGAGCACGCATCTGGGGATCCCCACTTCACCAGAACGCTCTACAGGAAAGGAGCACATCAAACTGGACTTAAACAATGGACCTAGTTAGTAGGGTGAAGGAATTGGTCTCCTGAGGAGTGGCAGCAAGACAATTTTTAATTATTTAGCAGTGTGTGCATTAGAAGGCCATTATATAGAATAGCAAATTATAAACAACAACTTCCACAATAAGGTAATAAAATAAATAATACATGAACAAGGTGCAGTGCTCCCGAGTCAGAGGGGCTGACAGTGATGGCGCCCTGCCAGACGCAGCGGTCTGCCGGAGCAGAGGCCAGAAAGCTGCGCGTACTAAGTGAAGCAAGTGAGTACTGGGGGCTGGGCCTCCCACCTTCCCAGCCCACAGGTGTCCAGGGCCCAATGAGGAAGGGTCACCACCAATGCTGAGACAGCTGGGCTGTGTCTGTCTGAAGCTTATTGTGAGGTTTCCTGTGAAGCCGCCCGGCCACACTCCCCTCAACTCTGGACTCTGGGATGACCACCACGGCGCTTACAGGTGCCGTGACGTTAGTCGCACAGGTTCTGGGTCTCGACAGCCTGGATTCAAATCCTGGCTCTGCTGCTTACTGAGCCTCCAGGTTCTCATCTGAGAAATGGGAGTGATGACAATGGTATGTCTCTCATAGCACTACCAATGCTGTGACCGGCACTCGTGAAGCTCTAAGAGTACTGGGCATACAGTAAACATGCGATGACTGTTAGCTCTTTGTTTTCAGCTATTATTATTATTATTTTAGCAATAGGGTCTGGCTCTATCACCCAGGCTGGAGTGCAATGGTGCAATCACAGCTCACTGCAACGTCGAACTCCCTGGCTCAAGAGATCCTCCCATGTCAGCCTCCTGAGTAGCTGAGACTACAGGTGTGCACCACCATGACCAGCTAATGTATTTATGTTACTATTATTATTATTTGTAGAGACAAGGTCTTGCTTTGTTGCCCAGGCTAGTTTTGAACTCCTGGGCTCAAGGAATCCTTTCACCTCGGCCTCCCAAAGTGCTGGGATTACAGGCGTGAGCCACTGCACCCAGCCAGCCATTACTATTATAGTAGGATGAATCATGGCCCCCAGAGATACATTTCCAGGCCCTAATCCCCAGAATCTGTGAATACGTTACCTTGCATGGCAAAAGGGACTTTGCAGATGGGATCAAGGGAAAAACCTTGAGATGGAAAGATGATCCTGGATAATCCGAGTGGGCCGTAAATGTAACCATGAGGGTCCTTCTAAGAAGGAGGCAGAGGGGAAATTGACACAGAAGAAATGTGACAACAAGCCAGATGCAACACTGCTGGCTTTGAAGGTGGAGGGAGGGGCCATAAGCCAAGGAATGGAAGAAAGGCAGCTCTGGAAGCTGGGAAAGGCAGGGAAATGGATTCTCCTCTGCAGCCTCTGGAGAGCACAGCCCTGCTGACACCTTGATCTTGGCCCAGTGAAACTGGTTTTGGACTTTTGACCTTCAGAATGGTAAGAGAATAAATGTGTGTTGTTTTAACCCACCCATTTTGTGGTGATTTGTTCTGGCAGCCATGGGAAACGAATATAGTTATTATGCACTGCGCGGTTTCTGTGTGTAGTGGTAGAGGATGGTATTAAGAAAAGTCGTGATGTTCCCTAAGTACGTCTTGTTCATGGATCTGCACATTTATTGAGTACCTGCTATGTGCTCAATACATTTTTATTTTGTGCTATAAGGCAAAGCTGTGCACAGCCTATTGTAAATAGGAAATGTCACTCAGACCATGAGAGAAGTAGGTGGTGGGCTCTGCAATCAGTGACCTGGATGGCAATTCTAGCTCTAATTAGCTATGTGCCTCTAGGCAAAGTGTTTAGCCTCTCGGGGCCTCCCTGTCTGAGTCTTTTCAGTGGGAATACTATTAGCATCTCCCTCACAGGGTCCTTGTGGCGATTAAATAAGTAAATACACAAAAGGATTTTGGAACAGTGGTCTGAGACATGCATTACTCACTAAGCAGTGGCTATCATTATGACAGAACAAAACAGGAGAACCATATTCCAATGAGAAGGTCAGGAGCATTCCTTCTGCATTCCAGTCAGAGAGAAGAGCATATGCAAAGGGCCTGGGGCAGGAAGAAGCTGTGAATTCAAAACAACTAGACAAAGGCCAGAACAGAGACAGAGTGGTGGCATGTGGGCATGTGGGGATGTGGGGCAAGTTGAGGCCAGATGCAGCAAGTTCCTGGAGGTCACAGTGAGGCTTTCAGGTGTATCCTCGGAACCATGGGAAGATTTGGAGTGGTTTTTAGGCAAGCAAGTGATACAATGTGATTTGCAGTTTAAAAAAATTACTGAGACTGGAACAGAGAGGAGTCAGAGAGGCTATTAGGGAATCTGAGACAGGGCTTTTGCAACTTGGGTGACACAGGTGTCTGGAATCAGGATTAAGAAAATTGAAAAGTCGAGAGGAAGTCAGAGGGGCAAAAGAAACAGCTTTTGTAGAGGTCCAGCTGCTGCATGGGGGAGGCTGGTGTGTGCAGTGGAGTGAGGAGGGGTGGGAAGCAGGCAGGGTCACATGGTGGGAGGAAATAGGAAGCAAGAGCAGCATGGTTGGCCAGGCGTGGTGGGTCATGTCTGTAAGTCTGTAATCCCAGCACTTTGGGAGGCTGGGACAGGTGGATCTTGAGGTCAGGAGTTTGAGACCAGCCCCTGTCTGTACTAAAAATACAAAAATTAGCCGAGTGTGGTGGTGCATGTCTATAATCCCAGCTACTCTGGATGCTGGGGCAGGAGAATTGCTTGAACCCAGGAGGCTGGGTCACAGTGAGCCGAGATCATGCCACTGCACTTCAGCCTGGGTTATAGAGTGAGATTCCATCACAAACAAACAAAGAAACAACCCCGGTGTGGTTCAGATGTCAGAAGGGACCCTCCAGGGCTGCCATGTGCAGTGGTGCTGGTTGTTCACTGCACAAGTATACACTTGTGCCCACTGGAGGTTGGGGCAGGTGAGAGGGGCTGACATCCAGCCAGTGTTCAGCCGGTAAAGCTGGGCTGGGTCTGCCCAGGGAAGGGCCACCTTTTCCTGTGTCCCACAAATATGCCCTATGGGCTCTGAGGGCAGCATTACTCTCATCACACCAGAGCAAGGTTGTGGTCATTTTGGGGTGAGACAGAACACATCTCGTGGCTCCCACACAATCTGTGGTGGGAACAGACCAATGGCGTGGAGCTCATGACTTGGGAGTGACTTGGGGTGAGCTGCCACTCACTCACGGAGTGACCTCCAGTAGAGTGACCTCCAGTAACCCCTCTGGCCTTGATTCCCTTGTCTGTAAAAGGGGACAATAACGCCTCTCATCTGCATTGCTCACAGGAGTCTCAAGGTTTAGAAAGGATGCAGAGAAGCCGGGCAACACCCGGCACTCCCTGCAGACCACAAAACTCCGGACTTCATGCACCCGGTCCAGCCTGGTTTTCCTCCTTGCCATGTTTACACCTGAGCCTCTTACCCAGCTCTTGGGGTGAGAATGAACTCCATCCGTGACCATCAGGAGACCCCTGCTGTTGTTTCTCTTAACCCTGCTTACTTTACCGCAATCATCCCAATTTATACTTAGTTTCTTTTTTATTTTGTGTTTCTTTTTTATTTTGTTTTTCTTTTTCTTGCCTCATAAAACAATAAGGTATCCATTCTGTCTCAGTCACTTTTGTATCTTCAGAGTCTAGCACAATGCTTGATGGATATTTGTGGATACTGATAAATATTTGTTGGTGAGTGAAGGGATTCAGTGCTCCTGGAGAACCCCATCAAATGGCTGGGAATATCTATCCCACACACACAGGTGCACATCAGCGCTGACCATGTACACACAGCAGGCGGCTGAGGCCAACTGAGATGAGTGTGGGGGAAAAGTGCCTGCTTCTAATTTCTAGAAAGGGGCAAGGAAATGGAGGAGATGAGAAATGGACACTTGAAAGGGAACAAAAGGACAGAGAAAGAAGATGTTTTTTTGGGGTTGTTTATTTATTTTGTTGGGGATTTTATGATGTACCAGGATTTGCCTGATGCCTGGAATGACCCAGATTTTCTCTAGCCCTGATACAAGCCTGAGACAAGAAGGTTGATCTGAAGTCACTTACGGCTGATTTCTGCAGAATGAGAAAGCCAGGGTACAGAGAGACTCAAAAGGGGCACGGCACCCGAAAAGCAGGCTCTATTGGTCCGATCCATAGCATATTAATTATGAATTATGAGAACATTTCAGAAAGGTGTGGTGGGCCCCTCTGGGATCCTTTCTGTGGATATGTCTTCGGGGAGGAATTTTAGACTTAACATTTAAGGAATCGCTCTGCGATCTTCTGACAGGCAGCCCCAGCAAAAGAAAAAAAAGCCTCCAAGTCTGGTCCTGCGTCCTATTTGTGTATCTGGGAAACTGGTCTTCCGCATCTGTTCTGATTTCCCTCTCAGCCAATGAAATAAGGTTTCTTCACTGCCTCACACTTGTCGGATATTTATTCAGGACTCATTTTAGAACCAGGAAGCTCCTTAGCCCAAGCGATTTGCACTTCTTGGTGAACTGTTCAACACAAATGTAGAAAAATTAAATGTTTTTTTCTGTAATGAGATTTTCCTTAATGTCAATTTCCTTGGACATTTATTTATTGGCTGCTTTCTGAGCTGTCTTCAGGTGCTGTGGCTGCAGCCCCAGCCCATGCTTAAGCTATATGTGATTTTGCTAATCAGAAGGGCTTGGGAAATATTTTACCCTTGACAGTGACCTGTATTACCGTTAAAGCTTATGATGTAGGTCTCTTATTTGCCTAAGGAGACAACAAGATTTGCTATGTAATTTGAGAAGCACTTACAATACAGCTATCCATGCCGTAAGCTGATTATAAATAAAGTTCAGCACAATTGCTTCCATCAGAATATCAGCATTCACAGTCAAATAAAAGGGCACCACCCTGATGCACAGTTGCTCTGTATTGCTTTTGTACATAAATCAGATTCTCTTAGCGACTGCTGCATATCATGTTTATTAAACACCTTCTGGTTATTACAGAGCAGGGTACTAAAAAATCACTCTCAAAGAGTCTCAGAAAATCTTTTCGCTTATCAACTATTTTTAAAGTCTACTTGAGATGAACAGTGTTTTCTGCAGAAGAGGCCCTTTGAGGGCTTGGCGTATTGGGTGGGCTCTGGAAGTCACATGAGCAGAGGTTTTTAAATTTTTTTGCTCACTTTGCAAACAGAGCAACATGTCTCCTGCCAAACCCTTTGCCTCATTGTGTCCGTTAGGGTTCATAGGACAGAAGGACATTTAATCGTTTCTCTTGTCATGGCAGACAGACAACTGGGGATTCTTTGAGCTGAAAGAGCTTCGTGAAGCTGCGGTATCCAGCTCCCTGGCTGGACAGACGAGGAGGCCAAGGAGCAAAAAGAAGAGGTGACCTGTAGACTATATGATCACCAGGCAAGCAAGGGGCGGGGCCCAACTCATAGTCCTGCGCTCATTTAGGGGTACAAGAGCCTTCAAGCTCCTTTAGTCATTCAGCTTATTTATTTATTCTATTAAACACAACTATATTCTTAATGTATATTATTCAAGCCATACATAATTAGTGGGAGCAAAAGGTGAAGTGTCCACTACTCTCCTCTCGATGCCACTTCTGTTCTCGATGCCACTTGACTACCGCAATGAGACACCTGAAGCAAGAGGCAGATGTGATTGAGTTAAGGCTCTTGAGATGGGGGAATTATTCTAGATGCTCAGGTGGGCCCCAAAATGTAATCACCCGTGTCCTTATCAGAAGGAGGCAGGGGTGGATTTAACACTCTCACCCCTTTTGCTCAGCATTTTATAAACCTATGTGTATTTGCACAAAAGTAGGTTGGTGTTCTTTTCATAGACAAGATCATACTGTACATATTGCTCTGCAAATCGCTGTTTTTTTTGTTTTTCTCTCCTTTAACATCTCAGAAATCTTTCCACGCTGGTGTACTGACACACACACACTATACATATACACACACACACTATACATATATACACACACTATAAATATATACACACACACTATACATATATACACACACACTATACATATATACACACACTATACATATATACACACACACATACATACATACACACACACATTGTATATAGATCGTCCTCTTTCATTTTAATGCTTACATAGTATTCCACAATAGTAATAAACATCATTTATTTACACTTCTCCATTATGAACATTTAGCTCACTCCCACTTTTTTGATACTATTAATACAATCAGTGTTTCCATGAATACCATATACAAGCTATTTGCATGGATGTTTGAGAAAGTCTCTAAGATAGATGCTGGGGAATGAATTTGCTGGATCAAAGGGTATGTGCAGTTTAAATTTTAATACGTGCTGCCCAATTATTCTCTAAAAGGACTGAAGTAATTCACATTCCCACCAGCAGTGTTAGAGGCTTTTCTAGGTAGGCAGACAACTTTGCTGATGATTTTATATCAAGGACTTCACTTTAAAAGATTATATTTAGACACTATCACGGGATCTTTTAAAAACAAACCCTTAAAATATTATGCAATCATCACTTCCTTTGTAGAAAAAATTAGAAAAAGTGGGAAATATATGTGTATATAATAAAAGTAAAAATCATCCAGTGATGATCGCATTAGTGAGCTTTTCTTCTAGACTTTCTGTAGGGAGAACATACATTTACATAATACAGGCCTAGGATCACAATATTATATATACTGTTTGTAGTTGACTGTTTACATTTAATGGTGTATAGCGGAGCCCTGCCCATTGAACCGACTACAAATCGACGTAACGTTTCAATGGTTTATAATATTTTTTAAATCCCCTATTGTTGGGCACAAGCGTTTCCAGGTTTTTGCCATTGTAGAAGATGCAGTCATGACTTCTGCTCTCAGATCTGTGTGTGCTTGCTTTGTGTCTCCCACGTATTTCATCTCTGTTTTCTGCTGCTCTGCTGTTCCAGAGCCTCTTCAAGATACTGGAAACGTGACGCTGCCTCAGATTTTAAGACTCTGAGGCTTACCACTAGTGCGTCGCTGGCTTTGGGGTGATGCTCATTTACCCGACTTCTGAGAGTGTGTGTGTGTGCGTGTGTGTGTGTGTGAGAGAAAGAGACAGGGTCTCACTCAGTTGCCCAGGCTGAAGCACAGTGGTGGTATCACAGCTTACTGCAGCCTTGACCTCCCAAGGTCAAGCAATCCTCCCACTTCAGCTTCCCGAGTAGCTGAGATGACAGGTGCATGCCATACCTGGGTAATTTTGTGTATTTTTTATAGAGACAGGGTTTCACTGTGTTGCCCAGGCTGGTCTCAAACTCCTAGTCTCAAGCGACCCACCCGCCTCAGACTCCCAGAATGCCGGGTCACACCTGTAATCCCAGCACCCCCCTCCACTCTCAATGTACGTCCATCAAGGATTCTTCCTCCCAGCCACTACCTTGGACTGCCCTGATCTCCTAAGGTGACAAAAACTCACCTCTGCCCAGAGAGGTCTGTATCAGCTTCTGGGGCTGCTGGAACAAAATACTATAAACCAGTGGCTTAAACCAGCAAAAATTATTCTGTCACAGTTCTGGAGGTCGGAAGTCCAAAATCAAGGTGTTGGCAGGGCCGCACATCCTCCAAAGGATCTAGAAGAGAATCTGTCCTTGCCTGTTCCAGCTTCTGGCGGTTCCTGGAGTTTCCTGGTGTTCCGTGGCTCATGGCAGCATCACTCCAATCTCCGCCTCTGTCTTCACACGGCCTTCTCGGCATCTGTTCTCTTTTCTGTGTCTCTTGTAAGGACCCACAGTTGGAGTTAGGACCCACCTGGATAATACAGGATCTTGAGATCCTTCAGTGAATTACATCTGCAAAGACCCTTTTTACAAATAAGGTCCACATTCAGAGCAGGCAACAGGATGTGGACACAGCTTTTTGGGAGTCACTGTTCAATCCACCATGAGACCCCTCCTGTGGCTGCCTTCCATACTAGTGCCTCCTGCCATCTTTACCCACCTACCCCTCGCCCTGTGAGCAGACAAAGCACCTTCTCAAACCACGCTGTTCTGGGGCTTTTGGTTCTGAAGGCCTTTGAAGCTGCAGCCTTTGGGGCTACTCCTCAAACCCTGATCACAGGATGAGACCTAGTGTTGGGGCATCCCAGTCACCTACATGCTTCTCAGAGCAGGTCTTAACAATTTGTCTCCTTCAAGGGCTGTTTCTAGACTTGCCTCTTCATCCAGCCTTCCCACCAGGCATCACAGCCCGAGGCATCCGGCCAAGACGGCTGGGGACCGAGTCTCTCAGCCAAACAGGAATGGCGCCCACCAAGATATTAAGGCCATGCATTAGAAAGCACAGGCCCAGAAGGTAATCAAAGGTAATGTAGCTTTGCTCACATTTCAGAGCTTCCGTTCCTCTTTTGAATCTCCCGGACCTTGGCAAATCTCCATTCTTTACGGGTAGATTTGATTTTTAGAAACAGTCAGTAGCCATGGGGGACTAAAGCAGCTCCTGAGATGGATGACGAAAAGCTGGAGAAACCATTTGGAGTCAAGAAGGATGGCGGATAAGGAAGCCGGGAGGGGCGCAAAGTAGAAAGCGGTTCTGAATGTGGCATGGGGGTTGAGCCCCCCAAAGTCACTGCTGCCAAGGGAACAACATGCACACTTGAAAATTCTCACATTTTTGTTCTAAAAAATACTCATTTTATTATTTGTATCACTCAAAAATAACTGTGAGTAGTTTTATGGGGGACATTTGCATTTTTGCCTCCCAGTTCTTCTTTCTCTTACCCTCAATAAGGGTTTAGAATTGGGAGATTTGATCAGAAATCTGAATGAAGCTGTAGCCTCAGCCATTTGTTCTAAGCCCTTTATGTTTATGAGCCAGAAAAACATGAAACAAATTTGGGGTGAGAGAGGCTAAGAGAGAGTCGCTAACTTTTGAATTTTGTCAAAGTTGAAAATGTAGAAAGAAAAAAAAAACAGCTTCTCACATACTGTCACCATAATTTCATAAACAAAAGGATGTTTAAACAGCAAAGAAGAAGTAGAAATGACATCATCTCATAATAAAACAGCCCTTCCGATGGAAAGGATTTTGCTTTATGAAAAACTCCACATATTATCTTCCTTGTTCTCACTTGGCTGTAGGTTAGTGAAAACTTGTTATAAACCAGCACCACCCGTGAGTCATGGGCTGCTGTGAATAGGAACCTGAAGGCTAAAAATCCTAGAGCCAGGTGTTTACCATACTTGACCTTTACTCCTGACAGCAGCGCTGCACCGCAGACACCGTTAGCTCCATTTTATGTATGGGAGAAGTGGGACTCTACTGGTCTAAGTGATTTTGCTCAAGGGCCACAGATCCAGCTATGGTAGAGAGGAATTGGAACTTCCGTGGCCTTGACTCCAACCCCTGTCTTAGTTTCCACCAAGGACATTGTCTCTCACTCAGCACAGGTGTGTTCTCCATTTGAACAGCCTTGGGCTCTACAAATTCACCGGCACAAGCATTCATGGAGCCATTTCTATGTGCAAGGCTCTGTGCTAGGTTCTGGGGTGACAGCGATACATAAAACACGATTCCTGACCTCAGCGAGCTCGCCCTCCCATTGAAACAACCAACAGATTCACATAAAGCCACTGATGAACGCAGTAGCGATAGTCATCCCAGTCACTGTGAGAGTTCACAAGGTCAGGTCCACGTGGAGTCTGGATGTGTAGACAATGAGCTTTAAAAGGGCCACACTTTCAGGAGACACTCTCACACTGCTGGCCAGCATGCAGACCTTTCCAGAGGGCAATTTAATAATATGTTGTTTTTTAAAATATGTATTTTCTTTGACTGCACAACTCCACTCCTAGGAAATTATTTTAAGGACATAGAGAAGTGTGCAAAGACAAATATACCAAGGATGTTCATTACAATCCTACTTACAACACTGAGACCTGTTTAGAAAATAAATCCTTGCCCTCAAAGAGAAATGTGCTCTATGAGAAAGTATAAGCAGAGATGTCTCTTCTTTTTCCATCAAAGAAGAGACAGATGTGCGGCCTGGGGTCTGACAATGCTGAAACCCGACTTTGTGACCTTGAGCAGTTACTACCTCCTTGGTCCTCAGTTTTGGGCTCAGGAGGTGGGATAAGAGAAGCAATGTCCCCAGAGCCATTGGAAGGTGGGCTGCATCATACAGGACACAGAGAACCGTGGGCTGCATCATATAGGACACAAGGAACCCTTGGCTCAGGTCCTGGGAGAGGGAAGACACCCCGGGGGTGGGAGCTAATTAATACTATTTTAAAAAGTGATTTCTGACCTCAGCTTAAAAACCCTTGGAATTACAGAAACCTGGAGCAGGGCAAGTTGAAGACAGGGATGAGCCAGGGGTGATGGGGAGGAGCTGCTGGTCTGTCCGAGGGGAGCTCCCGGGCTCCTGCCCCTGGGAGCCCCTCCGCTTGCAGGAGGGTGCAAAACCGCAGGTCATTTATGCTCCCCTGGTATTTAGCATGAGAGGAGGAGTAATTGCCCTGGCAGTGTCCTGGCTGAGTTCCAATTTGGGTGATTACATTCTGCCTACTTAAAATTCCCCTCTCTGGTATCCATGGTAGAAGCATTCTTCAAACCCTCTCCTGTTACGGGGAAAAATAAAATAAAATAAAAAGAAAGGAATCAGCCCAGCCTTCTGTATACACATGGTATAGAGGGTTGCTCTGTGCACCCCAGAAGTGGTTTCCTTTAAAAAGGGGGGTGGAGGATCCCCAGTGGAATAAATCCGTCAAACATGTTGAAATTTTCCAGAAAGAAAGATTTTGTTTCAGGAGGGAAGACAGTGTGGGTGGGAGCTCTGCGGCTGAGTATGGAGAACACTTAGGTGAAGAGAGTCTTTTAGGTGAGGCCGCTGTGTCACCTGCTTGGGGTCGCACTGGTGGGCTTGGGGCTCAGGCCTCAGTCCTTTAACCACTCCCCCACCCCCTCACCATAATGCCTCCTGCCTGTTGCATTCTTGATGTTGCTTAATTATAGAATATAAAATTGTTTCTTTTCATTTGGATGCTATTGGGAGTGATGTATGGATAACAGCTTGAGAATTCAAATTATTCTACAGATCAACATGACCCGAGAGAAGAAAAAATGTTTTGACTATTACACTAAACAAACCGGGCTGGATGTCAGAAAGATGCTGGGCTGTGCACATCTCCGCGTGCACGATTTGCACTCGTCCTAAGTGGCTTTATTAATTAAAGCGCACCAGGACTTTGAAACATTTGTACCAAATGTATTTTTTAGACACACACACACACGCACAACAAATGGTTCGGTAAAAGCAGTAAAGTTGGATTTCAGAAAGTAGCCCCCTCCCTTCGAGCTCTTCCCGACTTGCAAGTGATCCTTCAGAAGTCTCAGCTTCCTATTTCCATGGGTCTGAAAGAATCACAATTAACCCCTGATTTACGGGAGGGCTGTAGAGGTATGAAATGTGAGAAACCTCGGCAACAGAGACAGAAACGCAGGAAGACTCGTGTGCAGGGATGATGCGGGGAGAGCCTGTCTTCAATCACAGTGTCTGTGCCGGCGAATTTACGATAGTGTCAATGCACAGCTGAATAAAAAGCCAAAATATCCACTACAGATGAAACCTGTGTATCTCTATATGTATTTGCCCATCTACCCATCCATGTTTCACAAAAGGCAACTGTCCCTCGCATTCCTGTGTTCAACCTCTCCCTATTAGGCAACAATGGCTGCAAGCTCGTTGGTTTTGGTGGATTTGGCGATTCTCATGCCTCTTTTGATGACCAGGTGAGACTGAAATAACACATGGTTAAACTGCAGCTTCTCTCGTCTTAGTCCCCCACCCTTAGACGGACAAACAGCCAAGGTTGCATCTTGCCGCGAGTTTTTGTTCTGCTGATGTTCATGTGAGCAGAAGGAAATCTTTCTACTTGAAAATCCTAATGACTTGGAGGGATGTGTTCATGCACCTGGCTCCTCTGGAGGGATAAACCTAACTGCCAGTGTGTCTTCCACAATGAACCTGCGAGTGCTCCTGTCACTGCAGCTATAATTGCCTAGAAAGATCGACCCTCTGGTGAACAACTGACTCGACTCCATTGCTTAACACTTCGAATGCGTTTCCATCCCAGGCCTGTCCCACATGGTCGGGAAGGGGGTGTTTTGGTGTCAGAACAAGAGAGGGTTTCGGTCAGAGCCCTGGATCTGTGCAGCGAGGCTACCCAGTGCTATTTGCCTGCATATCTACATAAACTAATCCTGGCGAGTGTGATCTTTGGTGGCCCTCAGCTAGGAGGTTCTTACCACAAGTCTGGCTTGGGTTCCATCTGCAAAAAATAAGACACAATAAAAAGGCTGAGACTCAGCAGTAACCCAGAGAACAAAGTGACAGGTTTCAATTTCCTCCAAATTGTACATATATTTTTCCATAATCATATTTTCTAGTATCCAAGCCCTGTTTTAAAAAATTTTTAATGCATGCTTAGACAAATTATTTTAAAAGCTCTGTGAAATATTAGCACCATTTTAGTAGGTATGTCTCAAAACAATATCATACAAAAGAAAAAGAGGAAGAAAATAAAAGGAGATGTTTCCAGTAATGGTCAAAATATACCAATCTGTACACCCCTTTCAGAACTGAATATTAGTTTTCTTGTCCAAACCATGATGTATTAATATCACCACTTTAACAATAGGCTTTTATTTTCTTACAGTGAAGCTGACTGACAAGGGATGAAGAGTGAAAATTACAATTTGAGAACCTCTTTGGTCAGCTATTGGGAAAGAATGAACTCTCCCCTGTGCAAACCACCTCACGATTTTTCAGGAAGCCAGGGCGAGGAACTTGGATTCCAAAGCCTAGAGAAAGATGTGAGCTGCAAAACTTTCTTTTGGTGGGTGAGGAGACTGGCGTGGGGAGAAGCGGTTTCTGCTGGAGGCGTCTCCACTGCAGGGTGGGGGGGCGGTGTTGGGAGGACTTCCACTTGCTGGCGATATTGACTAGAAAACAAGACTCATTTTGTCTATCTTTTCCTGGATAAAGGACTGATAGGCTCCCCCCACTGCAGCTGTTTTGTTCTTCAAATATATTATCACTTTTTAAACGGATGGTAAAGGAAAAAAATGCATTCATTTTTTCAGCCTAAGGAGACTGCAGGAAAAAGCAGTTCTGCTGCTGAGGTACAACGTAGCATAATGTTGTTTTTCAAAACACCACCAGTTCTGCCTTCCCCTTTTAATGGTATTCATTTTCCTTCTTAGAAAAGGGGTTAAAATTAGTAGGCACATTTCATATTAGCGTATTTCATGCAATAAAGCATAAATTATTTAAAATAACACGACCTTTTATCTTGCACCTTTTGAAGGAAGCAAATTAAAAATGTAAATTGGGAGCTAATTAATATGCAAATGTATTCATTCGCAGTTAACAATTAGCAATTAAACCTGCAGTGTCTACAAAGAGCACGGACAAAATTAGTAACTTAATTTATCATTAAAAAATGAAAACGTACACAAAATTTTAATTGACTTTCAAAATATTTCCCCTGCTTTTTTCCTTTCATTTTTTAATACCAAAAAAAAATTTTTTTAATATTATGCCTTACCTCTACAGATGAAATTGGGTACATGCAGTGTTCAGGGGAGTTCATTAAATAGGATTGGAGAAAAGCATGTTAGGAAAAGTTTGCCTTTTACATGAGGTATTAAAAGATGACATTTAAGAGTGTTGACTTGTGTTGCATAGTCGAGTTCAAGAGAGAAATAAATACATAGATTCTCCTGTGTTTGGGAATATAGAGATGGCAGAGATTTGTAGAGATAAGGGGGAGTATATGCGGCTTATGCACATAGATGTGGGACCGGCTGTGTGTGTGTGTGTGTGCGCGCGTGTGTGTGTCTACACCTTCTAGAAGACACACAGCAAACGTACAGGGTCATTTAAATGCTTCTGGTTCAGCTTTGAGAATTCCAGTACAAAACAGTTGCATGGAAAATCAGCAACAAATAGCTTAAGATGTAAATAAGATACTCTCGGTTGATCATGAGACACATTAGCATTCTATGTTTCATCTATCCCTCCTCACTACAACCCAGACACACATATTTTCCACTTTCTGTTTTCCTGTAGAATTTAAAGAGCAAACCTTTTGCATATTTTCCTGAATTTGGGGTTCATTTGCTGCGTCTCCTCACCATCAGCCTAGCTCTGCCTGCAGATGTAGCCTTATATTTTTACACACTCCCTTTCTAATGTCATGCAGCATAGGAAAGAACCCAGCAAACATAGGATCTGTTGCTTGCAACCTTATTTTGGTTATTTAAACAGCACCTGCTGCTCCAGCTCCATTGAGAGCTTTAAGTTTCATTCACAAGTGTTTTCTTTTGGTTTTTCTTGCTTCAGGGCTGACTCGGGGCGGCTGCGCTGCGTTCTCTCCCCTGTGAACTTTGCTCACGTTTTGGACTGGGCAGCATCTCGCGGTCTGCTCGAGCGGGCTGCCCTTCTGCTTAGAGCTGGACAGTGTTCTCGTCTGCTAGAACGGGATTTTATGGTCAACAGGACATTGCCATGTGTCACTGCAACACTTAGAGGGTAGTTTGAACTGGGATTGAAGGTCTGTCTGGCTGCTTTCCCCGGCAGGCCCCAAACTGGCTTGGATGCAATTGAGCCAGCATTTTCCAAGGTACTCTCATTCACAGTCATAAGGGACAAACGCATCTCATGTGAAAAACTCAAAGGCCAAGGAGGCCAGGGCATGAAGTATTAAGTTGATTTTATTCGGTTTCACAGAAGGCAGTTCTGTCTTGTTGACTAGCAACATTGTGACAAATTGTTCTCGATTAAATGCTTATTATGTGTTTATTTAGCTGTTTGCCTGGAACTAGAGAAGAAAAAAAAATGTGTTACAGTGTATGGCAATATTCTATCCTTTCATAATTGTACCAGAGAAATATGGCATTTTCTCTCCTAAATTTGTACTTATTTCGGGCTCTCTCACACTCTCCTGACAAGTCTGATACTCCAGAACTTCCCAACAATAAGAGAGACCAGGGAAAACAAACAAAAAAACTTGGTTTTAATGGAAAATAAGAGAAGAAGCTAAATATAGCTCTTGACTTTCACAGAATTGTGATTCAGATCTGCTAATTTCTATTTGCCTGGGAGAAATTTTAAGAGTCTCATCGCACCCCCCCCCCCCACCGCCCCCCGCCCCATGGCCATCCCCACCTCCCTAGACTGGAGGGCCCGGAAATAATGACTGGGAAGGAGTTTACCTGTCATCTGTGACACACCCGAAAGAAAGGTTTTTCAGCCAGGGACCCAGCTACAATGCCCAGGCTGGGAACTGTGTGGTTCAGAGGTTCATAGAAGGCATTTAGGAACCAGCTTATAAAAATTAATGTTTTCTTCTTTTATAGGAAATATGCACCATTCTATTTCAGTATGGAAAAAATACGGACCTTGTCACTGATCATTTTTCATGGACTATTTATTTAGGTTTTGAGCAGCTCAGAAGCCTTTTTATTCCTTTTGAGCTCCCCTTGGGATGCTGAAGAGAATAAAGATTTCTCCCTTCCAATACCGTGCACACATTTCACTGTGGGAACTGTCACCAAACTAAACAAAAAACTGAGTCCAAGCACCTTCCACCTCGTTGGCCAAAAAAGACCCAAACGGCCCTCATATTTTTATTTTTGCTTGTGCGCCTGCGATATTAAGCAGCTAACAACAATCTGAGAATTAAGTTACCACAATTAGGAATTAGAAGCAGGTGGCATAATAATGGCGCTTTTTTCATTTCATTTATTAGCAAAAAGAGAGAGAGGAGCTTCATTTATTTTCATCAGCGCCTCAGTAAAAGCATAGCAATTTGCAACACAAAAATCATTTCAAGTACCTCAGCCTTGTGCAAACCTTTTTTTTTTTTGTTGTTGTTCCTTTAAAAGCCTTTTAAAGTTCACCACCTCCCCCGCCCAACCCCATTCTGAAAGGACGTGCGTGTGTGTGGAGAGGTGAGTACTGGTGGGATCAGACTATTTCTCCCCCAAAGCAGTTTTGGGGGTTCCATAACCCAGGGAGCGAGGTGTGGGGCATCTCCTGCCCTGCCTGCCTCCGCCTGTCTCTCATTTAGTTTTGCACCGGCTTGTTTCAGTCTTGCAAAGATTTAATGCAGGGGCAACCTCTCTCCAAATAAATAAAGTGAGCAACACCTCTTTGCATGGCACCCTCCCATCAGCCATCCGGGCCAGCGCCTCCAGCACCCCACTGCCCGGCTCCGCGGCACCCCACTGTCCAGCCCCTAGCACCCCACTGCTGGTGCCGACACCCGCAGGCCCTACGCTTTTTGCGTTTCTACCCGCCGCTCCTCGCAGACCTGGCGCGGCGCAGCAACCTTTGCGCGCCCTCTAGCGTCAGCATCGGGGATTACCACGAGCTGGCCCGCACGCCGCCGCCGCCTCCAAGCACCACCCGCCCGCGGGAGAAGCAGCCCGGGCTGCAGCAGAGGCTGGGGGGCGAGGGGGGCGAGGGGCCGAGGGGGTGCCTGGGCTCGTGCATTTACACGAAGTCCCTCCGAGACGGAGGCGGGCGTGGGTGATTTTATTGCAAACTTTGGGGAGCCCCTTCCTTGGCTGCGGCCGCCCGCTGGTGTTGCCCCCGAACCCTGGGCATGGGGCGAGTGGCCCAAGCCCGGACCCTTGGAAGTGGCGCGGCGGGGCTGCCTTTCCTCGGGTGTTCGCGGCTCGGCGCGACCCTCTCTCCCGTCTGCTCCCCGCCGCTCTGCTCGCCCCCTCCCCTCGACCAGGTTCTGGCTTTCTGGCCTGTTCCGGCCTGGGGGACTCCCTTGTCCTGTGCCTCCCCATTCTACTCTCTGTCCACATACCCCTGAGTCTCTCTTTTCTCCCTGTTTGATTTATTTTAGAGCAGCGGATCACAATTTCTGACTTCCACTTTGCTCTGTCTGCCTTTCCCCATCCTACAGCATTCTCGCCGTTTGTCTTTTTTTCTTCCCTGTAACTTTTTCTTCTCTCTCTCTCTCCCCTCCCTACCTGTCTCCCTCCCTCTCCCTCCCTCTCTCTCCCCCTCTCTCTCTCTTTCTCTCTTTTTGAGAGAGTCTCCCTCCAGGCTGGAGTGCAGTGGCGCGATTCCGGCTCTCACTGTCGGGTGCCCGCCACTATGCCCGGCTAATTTTTATATTTTTAGTAGAGACGGGGTTTTTCCATGTTGGCCAGGCTGGTCTGGAACTCCTGGCCTCAACTGATCCGCCCGCCTTGGCCTCCCAAAGTGCTGGGATTACAGGCCTGAGCCACTAGGCCCTGCCTCTTCTCTCCTTTTCTGTTTCTCAGCCTCCAACTTCATATTTCTGTTTATATTCTTTCTGCCCCCTGTTCCCCAGGGAGTTTCACAGAAGAGCCACAGGCCTCTAGCATAGTCATCTAGAATGCCAGCCACCTCTTTTCCGTCCAGCGTCTTGGAATTAGTCTCCACTGGATCTTGCTGCCTGAGCTTCTGGTCTGCAGGGTGACAGGTGCCTTCTGCAGCCCCCTCAGGCCAGGCTTGTTTTTGTTTGTCCTTTGCTTTATAAACACAGACAAATAGCCGTTTATTTGGAATTCACTGTCCTCATTGAAGAGGTGGCATTAGGTGAGTGTAGGAATGGTGATGGGGATGGGATACCAGAGTCCAGAAGGCCGTGGTCACGGAGAATCCTCCACAAGCTCCCAGAGTTTGGACTTTCCAGGACAGCCTTGCATCTTCCCTGCCGATCGGGCAGCCTTGGAACCTGGCACAATTTTATTAAAGATATGTCCAGTTTTAGTGGCCACCAAACTTTTCAACGGTTGTTGGTATTTGAGAGAAGTCTCCATCACCAAAATAATAAAAGGAATTCAGATAAAACAATGAGTTAGTACATGAACCTATGGAGTGAGGAAAGATTACAATAAAATCAAAGGCTGGTGAGGGAGGAGAGAAGACAGGATGTGCAGTGGCATAATCTTGGCTCACTGCAGCCTCAACCTCCTGGGCTCAAGCTATCCTCCCACCTCTGCCTCCCAAAGTGTTGGGACTACAGGTGTGAGCCACCACACCTGAGCTTTGGGGGTATAAATTGGTAAAAAGAAATTTGGCAATCTGTATTAAGAAACTTTAAGATACTCCCACCATTTTTTTTTTTTTTTTTTTTGTGATGGAGTCTCTCTCTGTTGTCCAGGCTGGAGTACAGTGGTGAGGTCTCCACTCACTGCAACATCTGCCTCCTAGGTTCAAGCAATTCTCCTGCCTTAGCCTCCCTAGTAGTTGGGATTACAGGCATGTACCACCACCTCCGGCTAATTTTTATATTTTTAGTAGAGACGGGGTTTGGCCATGTTGGCCAGACTGGTCTTGAACTCCTGGCCTCAGGTGATCTGCCCGCCTTGGCCTCCCAAAGTGCTGGGATTATAGGTGTGAGCCACCGTGCCCAGCCAGATACACATATCTTTTGATCCAGTAATTCCACTGCTGAAAATCTATCCCAAAGAAAGATTCTGAAACGTGGAAAAAGCTGGAGAAGTAAACCAAGCTGCCATACTTGAAAGAGAAATTGGAAATAACCTAGATGTCCAACAAAAGTGGATGACGATTTGAGTAAACCAGGGTCCACCCGCCACTTAAAATTGATGCTGCCGTGGAGAACCATGTTGGTAAGAGTACAGTAACCTGGGAGTGCAGGTGATCGCGTGCTGAGACAAAAAGCAGGATTCAAAGCTGAATCCACAGCATGATCACGAAAAAGATGCTCCACAAAGTAAAAGTTACACAGAAAATACCCGCACAGTGCCTGTCTTTGTATGGTTGGAACTATGGGCAAAGTTTTTCCTCCTTTATCCTTCCACTTCTCTTTTGCCTTCTAATTTTCTTGAAAGAGTGAGATTTTACTTTTAGAATAGAATAAAAGTCACCTTTGTTTTTCCTTTTTAAAGTGGCTGTGAAAGCGACACGGGCTCTGTGGGAAGAGAAGTAAGGAGGACTTCTGGGAAGGAAACGAGGTTCTCGGATGAGCAGGGGCTGTGATATGAAAGTGATCAAGAGGTGAGTGTGTGGGGGGTAGGGACGGAGCATGGGTTTTGGAGAAAAGTGTAGCTAGATTCCAATCCGGCTTCCACTCCATGAGGTGGGGCTGTGCTGGGCTCCACCAAAGGCTTGCTGCTGCCTTAGCTGTTAAACACGGGCTTGGTTTCCTCAGCAACTGACCCGAGCACTGTGTATCTGTGGTCATCACCATGCTCCTGTGTGCTGATGAAACAAGGAACATACACAGTACAGTCTCACTGGAGAGAAAGCTACTTCCCGATGGGTGTCTTAGCCCAAGCCGGATGATCTGTGGGCCAGCACCTGAGCACCTGAGCAGTAGTTGCAGCCCTGGGCTTCACCTGCTCACACAGGGCTGTGTTTGGACAGGTGCATCCCAAAGCGTGCTCCATGGAGCACTGTCCCCAAGATGGTCCAAAATGCCTTGACACATGTATTGAGCACCTACTGTGTACCAGGGCTGTAAATTCCTCAAGGGCAGGGAGCAGATCACCCAGCAAGGGTCTCACTACAGGGCCAGGTGTGGTGGCTCACACCTGTAGTCCCAACACTTTGGGAGGCAGAGGTGGGAGGATGGCTTGAGCCCAGGAGGTCGAGGCTGCAGTGAGCCAAGATTATGCCACTGCACTCCAGCCTGGGTGACAGAGTGAGACCCTGACCAAAAACGAAAGAAAGAAAGAACAAGCTAATGAACGAAAGAAAGAAAGAAGAGAGAGAGAGAGAAAGAAAGAGAAGAGAAGAGAACAGAACAGAACAGAAAAGAAAAGGAAAAAAAGGCTCAGCACAGTAGAGGAGCTCAACATCTTAACTTTCATTCATTCAACCCATCCTTCATTTGAGGCTGATCCTTGGTGAAATTGGGACATTGAGGAAGCTTATTTTAGCTGACCCTTCATCTTCCATGTCACAGCTTCTCTTCTCTTGCTAGAAATTCATCCTGCCTCCCTCCTTCCCTACAGTGCTAGCTAATAGAACATTCAATGAGGATGGAAATGTTCTAAAACGTGTGCTGTCCAATGTGATTGCCACTAGCCACATGTAACCACTGAGCATCTGAAATGTGTCTAGTGCCACCAAACTACTGAATTTTTAATTGTAATACATTTTAATCTAAACCAAATAGCCACATATGGTTAGTGAGTACAGTATTGGACAGCACAGCTCTGTAAAAACCTGTCCTCAGTTTTGCCTCTGGTCTCACTCAAACTCAAATCCATCTTTTGTGTCCACCCTGTGATGAGCCCTTCAGGCCTTGCTCTAGATGTCACTTCAGTGGCATGCTGGAGTCGGCCTCCACTGGCTGGCACCAGCTTGCACCAGCTTGCAGGAGCACATGTTTGCATCTCTTCCCAACCTGCAGTGACTTAACATTGGTAGCTTGACATCAGCAGCTATGGAAGCATTTACACCATGGGAATGGGCAAACACTACACATCAGGTCTGTTTCCCCCCAGAGCCAGTCATTAAATGGCAGCGTTTACACCAGGGGAGTGGGCAGACACTACACATCACGTCTGTTTCCCCCCAGAGCCAGTCATTAAATATTTTCCAGTGTATCCATGAGTCACAGGGCCAGGACTTGCATTCCCCACAGACTGAGTGTCTCCTCCAGCCTTGCTCACCCCCATCCTGGCTCTGCTTTATTCACCTGGCTTCCCAGTGTCAGGTTGGGCTCTTGGACTGGGATCCTGTGGCTCCCAGGGCTTCCAGTTCTCACTGGACTCTCACGCTGCAGTTTTATGTCTGCTTCCTCCATTAGTTTTATAATCTTTTGAGAATAGGTAGCTCCTGTGACCTGTGAAGTGCTGAATCCCCAGGGCCTAGCCCATAGTAGGCAATCAATAAGTAGGTATGGAATAAATAAAGACAGCATGGTGGAAAGAGTGTGCAACTGGGAGCCTGTATCTGGGGCCCTAAGTTGGAATCTTGCTCTGCCTGTTACCAGCTGTGTGACATTGAATCTGGCCCCTCTGTGAGTCAGTGTCCTTGCATGTTACACAGGCATAACAATCCCTTTCCTGTCCACCTCGTGGGGATATTGGAAGGGTCACGTGACATATAGGAGTGCTTTAAAAGACCATGCAAATAAACAAATCGCTTTTGAAAGTCCAGGAAAGCTGACCATGGTGGTGTGCCCCTCTAGTCCCAGCTACTCAGGAGGTGGAGGTGGGAGGATTGCTTAAGGCCAGGAGATTGAGACCAGCCTGGGCAACACAGTGAGACCCCATCTCTAAGAAAAGAAAAGAAAAGAAAAGAGAAGAGAAGAGAAGAGAAGAGAAGAGAAGAGAAGAGAAAAGAAAAGAAAAGAAAAGAAAAGAAGTCCAGGGACATTGTGAATTCAGTTTGGTCTTTTGCCGTCTTGGGTTTGTGAATCACACGGGCGAAAGAGGACCATAGGGAATCTGCATTCTCCCAGTGTGTTAAATGAAATGGGACAAGCACAGCAACCCTCAAGGAAGGGAGAGGAGGTTGCACGTGCAGCTGGCCGGGCAGGTGGCCTTGAAGGGCAGGCTGCAAGCCCCTTCTCTCCCTTAGCAGAAGAATTCAGCCTGGCTGCGCCCGAAGATGGTTCTGTCCATGGCCTTGTACGAGGAAGGAGGGACTGATGGTTCACGCTGAGCTCTTGGATGAGAAATGGTTTCTTTCTGGCATTTAAGAAAGAAGTTCTCTCTTTAAAACCCACAAATGTTTGTTAGTTATTTTTCTCCTTGAGAAATGTTTTCCTGAAATCTGCGACGCCGAGGCTCGTCGTGGGCATTTCGGCTTCTGTGGCCTGTGAAAGTTGACTGTGAACGAGGGCTGCTCCAAAGGGGTTAATTGCATGTAGGCATTGGAAAGTGATTATCTAATTAAACTTTGAAATGGAATGGTAAAAACACTGGGTGACAGACTGTCTGTAGGAGGGTCCCCTGAGGTGTTCTCCATTTATTGCTAATCATCTCTGCCCAGGCTGTGCCTGCCTCCAGCGGAGCCCGCCTCAGACCTCGCTCTCTGGAACTCTGGCTTGGCTCAAAGATTTGTCAAACAGACCTCCCCCTCGGTGTTCCGTGCCCTCCCTGAACTCTGCAGTTGAGCCTGGATGTCTTGGAAGACTTTCGTCACTTGTCTTCAGCTCCGCAATTTCTATTTAAAATTGAAAGGTTATTTCTATTCTTAGAACCATGAAATCAAAGAAATGTGAAGTGTTGGGAGTTAATTCTAGATATTTATGAATATTGCCCAGAATATCTGGGTTGGAGACCTAGCATACCAGCCATAAAGCACATGTATTGTACCCCTTGCATTTAAGTCTGCCGGCGTTTATTCAGTCCTCTGAGCCAGGCCCCTGCTAGACATTTTGGTGATGGAGAGGTGACGCTGATGAGTACCTTGCTGTAAAGCCACCTTCAGGCTGGAGGGGCACTGCTGGGTGAATGCACATTAACGTAGCTCTTTGTAACTTAGAGAGCTCTCCTCATTCCCGCCTGGCCATTTTATAGATGAGAAAACCGAGGCTCAGACTTGCTTAAGAGACTTACCGGAGCCCCTCAAAGCCAGGCGTCCTGACATTAAAAGCCACTGTTGCCTGCTGCCCCGGGGTAAGCAGCTGTCTGTGCTGGATGCCGGGGGGAATGGTGAAGATGGTACGCATTTCTGCGGGAGGCAAAGAGGGAAATTTCATAGAGGAGTTGGCATCTGAGTATGATTTTAACAGCAGGGGCCAGGCCAGGGAAGGCACAGAGAAAGGCAAGTGCACATTGACTTTGGGGACCAGCAAGTTGGCAGGAGTGATGTGAGACCTTTTTTTTCGTATTTTTAAGTTTTGAATGATTCCTTTATTCAGCAATAAATGCTCAGTGAGTACCTATCCTGTGTTGGTGCATGGAGAGAAACATTCTTGCAGAATAGTTGCAATCTTCTGGGCAAGACAGCATGTGCTCAGAGCTGGGTATTGGGAGACAATGCCGAAGAAGGCTGCAGGCATAAAGATGGGAGAACAGATCTGAAAGCAGCTTAAGCTGAAATTCCAGAATTGCTTCCACTTCCTTTTTGGTCTAGAATCAAGGTGCTGGAGTTACTCGATTTCCCCTCTGGAATTGTTTCGTGGAGCAACACTTTAATATTTTGCCCTCAGCAAAGGTTCCACGGTGATGCAAGAGCTGCCCAAGGAACATCACTGCATTTTTTTTTTCTTTTTGTAAAATGACTATTGGGGATATAATTCATTACACTGCTCAATGCCACTTAATGCAAATGTCTCTATGACAAGTGCATTCTAGGGCACTGGGCCAAGAAAAATTGGTTCTCTTGACACACGGGCTGGTCCTACCTCTAAGACAATAAGAACTCCACGCCCAGCCGGCCTTTGCTCCAGACTCCAGCTGTTGGGAAGCTCAGAACAAGATTTCGGGCTTAATTTCTACAGCATTACCTGTAATATTACACCTCCCTGCTTGATCTGATTTTACTCTGTTTTTATTGTAAGATGTTCTTCTGGAAAGAGGGGTGGCGAGAAAGGGGAGTGATGAAATCAATCAATAAATGGTTTGAAACAGCTTCTGGCAGTATTAAATAGTGTTTGCATATATCTCTCCAGCACCATTTCCAAAACTCCGTTCCATGGCACACAAAGGTTCCGTGAGATGTTCGTGGGTATTCCAAAGGACAGGAGCTCTCACAGCTGGTGGCATTGTTCGTCTTAAATTCATTTTAAAGTGTACATTAGAAAAATGCAAAAAATGTATAAAGTGGTTCTAATTATTAAAAGAGGCTGTGTGGTATAACAGTTAGGAGCACCGGCTCAGGAACCAGAATCCCCAGGTTCAACCTGACCTGGAAATTACTTGACCTCTTTGTGACTCAGTTTCTTCATCCATAAAATTACCCTGATTGTGGTATCAGCCTCAGAGAGTTAGAACAGTGCCTGACACATGATACATCTTTGACTACTGGTAGTTTTTATTAGTTTTATTTTATTTTATTTTATTTTATTTTATTTTTTGAGACAAAGTCTCACTCTGTTGCCCAGGCTGGTGTGCAGTGGTGTGATCTCAGCTCACTGCAACCTCCGCCTCCCAGGTTCAAGTGATTCTCCTGCCTCAGCCTCCCTAGTAGTTGGGATCACAGGTGTGCGCCACTGCGCCCAGCTAATTTTTGTATTTTTAGTAGAGACAGGGTTTCACCATGTTGGCCATGCTGGTCGTAGCTTTTATTTCTAAGTGCTGATCTTCCTTTGGGAAAGGGTCTCCTGTACCTGACAACAATAGGAAGTCCCCTGATAAATCACCTTAGGCAGGAAGCATGAGGTTCAGCAGTAGGTTGTATATTTTGCCTCTCACTGCCAGGCTGTGTGCGTTTCTATTTGACAATTGCCGGTCTTTGTTATGCATTTTATCTCATGATTTTAACATTTATTGGTGCAAATATTCAATGTTTACTTTATATTAAGCATATGAATCAAATTTTGATCATTTCTTACAGCAATTAATTCAACTCTGAGATCATTTTTTTTCTGTCTGCTTCAACTTAAACAGTATCACATAAGGATGCTCTATTGGCATCCTGACAAAAACAGAACAATTTAAATAACATGCAGTGGTCAGACAAGTTTGGGAAATGCTGCCTGAGGTTGTATTTTCATCACATATGACCCCTTTGAGCAAGTCTGCTTCAGACGCAGACACAGCACCAGCCAACGTGGCCTTCCAAAACACCACCATCCGTTATAATGAAAATTTGATGGGTCTAAGCCATAGGCATTTTTTTTTTCCCCGTGGGTAACAGGTCTGCCCACCTGTTCTCAGCTTTAAAGCAATGCCTATGTGTTTATCATTCATCCATTCAGGACTTATTTACTGAGTGCCCCTTGTGTGCCAGGCACCACGTTACACACTGGTGACATGGAGTTTTGCCTTCCATTATTCAGAGCTGCGCTGTCCAGTATGGTAGCCGTAAGCCACATATGGCTGTTAAGGACTGAGATGTGGCCGGTCTGAAGTGAGGCATGCCGTGCCTGTTAAATACACGCTGGACCTCAGAGGCTGGGCATGAAAAGGAATGCAAAATATCTGTTAAATAATGCGTATATATAATATATTAGAAACATATAATAATTTAAGTAATTAATGTTGGTTACATGTTGAAATAATATTTGGGGTATATTGGGCTAAATTTAATGTATTATTAGAATTAATTTCACTTTCTTTTTACTTAAACTAATTAATTGTTTATTTCTTAACTAATTAATTATTTATTTATTTTTGAGACAGGGTCTCACTCTGTCACCCAGGCTGGAGTGCGGTGGCACGATCACAGCTCACTGCAGCCTCCAATTCCTGGGCTCAAGCAATCCTCCTACCTCAGCCTCTTGAGTAGCTGGGACTAGAGGTGTGCACCATCATGCCCAGCTAATTTTTTAATATTTTATAGAGACAGGATCTCACTTTATTGCCCAGACTGGCCTTGAACTCCTGGCTTCAAGTGATTCCCTGCCCTGTAATCTCCCAAAGTGCTGGGACTACAGGTGTAAGCCACTGCACCTGGCCTCTTTTTTACTTTTTAATGTAGCTACTGAAAAATTTTAGATTATACACCTGGCTCACATTCTGTTTCTGTTGCACAGTGCTGGCCTAGAAGGTTCACAGACATGTAATTAATTCAATCCAGCACAACAAGGGAAATCCTATAATTTTCCAGATCTCCTCACCACCCCTCTGCCCCACTGCTGGGGCCTGACATGAGGAGGCCTCCCCAGAGGTGGCACGGAGAGATCAGCCAAGGTCCTAGCTGGATGGAGAGGCACGAGACCCTTACTGAAGTCGGGGTCAGGAGTCTGAAGTTGGAATCCAGGGAATTGGGAGTGAACACAAACACACTGGGAGCAGATGGTAGTGTGTGGCTGTAGAAGTCAGCTGTCGCTGGGTGACAAACAATCACAGATCCTCAGGGACATACCACAATATGCATTTGTTTCTCTCGCACACCTCTGCAGGTTGGCGGGGGTTCAGCTGATGTAAGCAGGACTTGGCTGGGTTTGGCTTCTCTCTGAGGACTGGGCTCAGATCTACTCGAAGGGTGTTCATCCCAGGGTCCAGGCTAAAGGGGCAGCAAGTTATTATTTAAAAGTCAAAAGATAACAGATGCTGGCAAAGTTGCAGAGAAAAGGAATGCTTATTTACTGCTGGTGGGGATGTGCATTAGTTCAGCCATTGTAGAAAACGGTTTGGTGATTTCCCAAAGTACTTAAAACAGAATTACCATTTGACCCAGCAATCCTATTACTGAGTATATACCCAAAGGAATGTAAATTGTTCTGCTATAAAGACACATGCACGTGTACGTTCATTGCAACACTATACACAAGAGCAAAGACATGGAATCAACCTAAATGCCCATTAACAGTGGACTGGATAAAGAAAATGTGGTACATGTACACCATAGACTACTATGCAGCCATGAAAAAGAATGTGATCCTGTCCTTTGCAGCAACATGATTGCAACTGGAGGTCATTATCCTAAGTGAACTAGTGCAGGAACAGAAAACCAAATGCTACATGTTCTCACTTATAAGTAGGAGCTAACACTGACTACATACGGACACAAAGAAGGGAACAACAGATACCAGGGCCTACTTGGGGGTGGAGGGTGGGAGGAGGGTGAGGATTGAAAACCTACCTATCGAGTATTGTGCCTAGTACCTGGGTGGTAAAATAATCTGTACACCAAACCCCTGCAACGTGTAGTTTACCTACATAACAGACCTGCACCTGTACCCCAAACTTAACATAAAAGTTAAAAAATAAAATAAAATTTTAAAAAGGGGCAGCAAGTACCTGGGAGAAGCTCTCCGCATGATGCCAGAGGTGCAAGGGGTGTGGCTCACTTGTGCAAGTGCTTTTCAAATTCAGCTCAATGATCTCTGCTAACATCCCATTAACCAAAGCAAGTCATGGGGCTGGGACCAAAATGCAACAGCAGGGAAGCAAACTCTGCCCACCGTGAGGCCAAAGCGGTCACATGGGCAAGTCCTGCATCTGCTGGATAGGGAAAAATATTCCTCCCCTGGGACTGGAGGTCAGGAGGGAGTGAATATTTGCTGAATAATCATCTACACTATCAATGGGGTGGGGACATGACTGGAGGTGGGATAAGGCAGATCTTTTCTGAATGCTTGTTCTGAAGGCAGGGGAAAACTCATGGCCCATGAGTGAGCCCATCATTCACCGTTCACTCTGGATGCTTCTGAGGGTCGAGGGGCCTAGGAAAAATTACACGGGAACAACAGGGATAATCCAGAGTTGTCTCGGGTACACGAGGACATATGGTCACCCTAGCTACAGGCCGAATTCCCAACACTGTTTTGTTTCACTGTCATAGCACTTTCTTTTAGTTTTTCTTCTTTTTTAAACAAAAATAAATGTGAATATTCTCCAGGGAGGCGTATGTTTTCATGCTCAACACAGGCCCAGGCATTCTCTTAGGTCCTACACATACTTGCATCACCTGCTTGGCCTCTCAAAGCGTTGGAGCTATGGCTCCCGGATGTAACATCTGCAGTTGGCTTTTAGTGGTCAGAGGCCACATGAGTGGTGTATTTGACTCATAGAACTGCTGTAACAAATTGCCACACATCTGGTGGCTTAACACAACAGAAATTTGTTCTCTTACAGTAATGGAGGCCAAAAGTCTGAAATCAAGGTGTCAGCAGTGCTGGTTCTTTAAGGCAGGGGTCCCCAGCCCTCAGGCCATGGGCCAGTGCCTGTCCATGGCCTGTCAGGAATTGGGTGGCCCAGCAGGAGGTGAGCAGCAGGTTAGTGAGGGAAGTTTCATCTGTAGGTACAGCCACTCCCCATAGCTTGCATTACTGCCTAAACTCCACCTCCTATCAGATCAGTGGTGGCATTAGATTCTTATAGGAGTGCGGACTCTGTTGTGATCTGTGCATTTGAGGGATCTAGGTTGCACATTCCTTATGAGAATCTAGTGCCTGATGACCTGTCACTGTTTTCCATCACCCCCAGATGGGACCATCTAGTTGCAAGAGAACAAGCTCAGGGCTCCCCCTGATTCTACATGATGGTGAGTTGTATAATTATTTTATTTTATATTACAATGGAACTAAAGTGCCCAATAAATGGAATGTGCTTGAATCATCCCAAAACTATCCCCCCACCCAGTCTGTGAAAAAATTGTCTTCCATGAAACCAGTCCCTGGTGCCAAAAATGTGGGGGACTGCTGCTTTAAGGGGTCTGTGGGAGAGTCTGCCCCATGCCTCCCTCCTGGCTTCTAGTGGCTGCCAGGAGTCCTCGGTGTTCCTGCCTCGTGCTGTGTCGCTCCCACCTCTACCTCCATCTTCACATGGCCTTCTCCGTGGGCCTTCCTGGGTCTCTGTGTTACATCTCCCTCTCCTTTCTCTTACAAGGGCACAAGTCCTAGATCCAGGATGATCTCATCTTGAGATGCTCAAGTTAATTACATCTGCAAAGACCCTATTTCCAAATTTGGTCACAGTCACTGGTACCAGGAGTCAGGATTTGGATATATCTTTTAGGGAGACACAATTCAATGCATGCAGGTGGACTGCTGAGTGGGCCATGGAGAAGAAAGTGTGCGTGGGCAGGTGCAGGGCACGATGGTGGCAGAGAGCGAGCAGGCTGCCACCTTTTCTGGGAAGGAGGCTGGCGGGGGGTGTTCTGCAGGGAAGCATGCCCTTGAGGGGGGTCTTGAAGGTGGCGTAGAGCGTGGGGGACATGGAGAGGACACCCGAGGCAGAGGAAATGAAATAAGCAAACCACAGACCTGTCCAACAGCCTGGGGGCAGCTTCGGGGGTCCTAACTCACCGGCTTTGAGGTGGCTGGAGTATACACAGGGTGTGGAAGGGGGAGAGGGAAGGCCAAGGAATGAGGCAGGGAGTTTGGATACCACATCGTGGTGTTTCACAGAGGAAATGCCTAATCGCTCATTTTCTTCGCTTTATATTTGAGATCCTGGGTGGGGAGTGTCAGAGACCAGCTAGTTGTTCATTTTTCATCCTGGGCACATAAGTGAACTACAAGTCCCAGGCTTCCTTGCAGTTAGGTGCCGCCATATGACTGAGTTCAATGGAATGTGGGAGAGATGAGGTATGCCCCTTCTAGACAAGGTCTTGGAAACCTCCCTGTTATTCTCCACACTCCCTTGTCCTTCATCTGCCTGCTGGACGCAGATGGGACAGTGTGGGACCCTGACCCCCAGATGGAGGAGGCCTGGCTGGTGGGATCACTGCATGGAGCAGAACACCCTCACCCACCCATGCTGGGCTGTGTTGTGTTATTTATTTCTTATTTAAAAAAAACTGTAGAGACTGGGTCTCACTATGTTACTCAGACTGGTCTGGGCTCCAGCGGTCCTCCCACCTTGGCCTCCTAAAGTGCGGAATTACAGGTGTGAGCCACTGCGAGAGGCCTACACTGTGTGTTATTGAGGGAAGCCACTGAGAGGTGGGAGTTTATCACAGCAGTGGTCTACTTTGACCTTAACAACCACTTCCCTGCTGCCAGAGCAAAGAATCCTCTGCAAACAACTGAGCCACATTAGGCAAAGGGCTCTGTGGGGGAGTGGAATGGGGCCAGATGGAGGCCTGGGCAGGGATAGGCTCAAGTGGCTCAGAGGAGGTAGTCCATCTGCCCCACAGGGGGTTGGGGGAGGTGGCCTGAGAAGATTAAATCCCACGGGACCAGCCAGGGCAGGCGTGCCTCCTAAGCAGATGCAGAGCAGATGGATGTGGAGCCAAGGATTGGGAATTCCAGCTGGAAGTCTCTACATGGGGCCCAGAGTCCTCAGCAGCCAGGGGGAGCAGCTGCTGCAGGAGTGGGAGCGAAAGCAAGGGTTGGAGGTGAAGGTCAGGCACTCGGCCTTTGTCCAGATCAAAGCAGGCGCAGGCTGGAATCGGGGGAGATGTCAGGGTCCCCCCGTACAGCCAAACCCCCTGGAGGTCTCTGCATGCTGCTTGGCAAGGATGGGCATGAAATGAGAAGGCATATGCCAGGGTGCCCTAACAAAACAGGCTGAAACCAGGATGCCCTGATGGAGGCAGCAGGTGTCATTCATTCATCTACTCATTCATTTATTCATCCACACACATTTTCTCAACACCTACCGTGTGCCCAGCCCTGAGCCAGAGAAGGGGAAGGCATACAGGCCAATGTATCTGCATCAACGTACAGCATGCTCAGAGCTCTGAAGGGAGGAGAGGGGCATAGGGGAGGGTCCAGGATGGCATCTTTCCGGAACCCTGGGGCCCGTGGTTCTGATGGCAGTGTCCACCCTGAAGTCAGCCCCTCCACCCCGAGAGTGAGTCAGAGCAGGCTCACCAGCTAGGAGATGTGCTCTGCTCATTCACCAGTGAAAGCCTCCTTTGTCCCTCCTCCATAGGGAAGGACAATGTCGTGCCCTGGTTTCTTTGTGTTCAGGGGCCAGCAGGCTCTTAGCGAGTGTTAAATGCAATAACACCCACTCATCTTAGCCTCTGCTTTGGTGCCCACTGGTAGCTCAAAAATTCACACACACACACACACACACACACACACACACACACACCCATGGGGTCTGGCAGATGCAATTAGCCTCTGGGTCCCTCAGAATTAGATGCAGGTGGCTAATTGTCCATGCCAGGAGGCAACTGTGGGCACAATTAGTCATGTCTCTTTCCCCACTCAGGGCTAATAATGGGTGGAAATCTGCAGGGGGAGCAGAAATCTGAGGGGGCTCAGGCTCTCCTTGCCTGGGCTGTGATGGGCAGCTCTTGGTGACATTGCTCTTCCCTGGGCCTGGAAAAAGCTGTGGGGTGGGCAAGAAGGGAAGGCGGAGGGGGCAGCTCTTCTGGGGATCTGGGCTGTGGTGCCCCTCCATCCCCTCCCTGGCCCTGCCAGCACACGGGCTTCTGCGCATCCGAATTTATTAATAATGCCAACCCCTTGCGTGCATGTAGCTTATTAGAATCTCAAAGCCCTTTTGCATACATTATTGCATTGCACAGCCACATGACAAGGAGGCAGGTGTAGTTATCACATCCCATTTTACAGATAAGAAAATGGAGGTTCTACTTGCAGAGCCTGTATTAGAATGCAGGCCTGGCCAGGTGCGGTGGCTCACACTTGTCATCCCAGCAGTCTGGGAGGCCGAGGCAGGCAGATCGCCTGAGGTCAGGAGTTCGAGATCAGCCTGGCCAACATGGTGAAACCCCCATCTCTACTAAAAATACAAAAATTAGCTGGGCATGGTGGTGCGCGCCTGTAACCCCAGCTACTCAGGAGGCTGAGGCAGGAGAATCACTTGAACCTGGGAGGTGGAGGTTGCAGTGAGCCAAGATGGCGCCACTGCACTCCAACCTGGGCAACGGAGTGAGACTCCGTCTCCAAAAAAATAAATAAACAAATAAAATAAAATAAAATAAATAGAATGCAGGCCTGCCTGACGCCAAGCCTGTGTGCTGCTTTTTTGCCACATCATGCTGCTTTTTGTCCCTCCTGCCCTTACTTTCTAGTGGGGGCAGAGAGATGGCTCCCCAGAAACTGAATGATAGCTTAGGGCAGAGCGGACTTGGGAAAGTCCCGAGGTAAAAGTTGCTTCAGCAAACAAGTTCTGCAGTTGTCCCCTGTTCAAACCCCATCCAAGGTGTGGTGGGGGGTACAGAGAGGAAGTAGCATACTCCCTGCTTATCAGGAGTTTACAGTCCGGTGGAGAGAATCAGCTATGTACATAATATCCATTCTATGAGAGAGAATGTGATAAGGGCTCTGGGTGCTTTCCCGAATCCAGAAACTTGTTGAGTGACTTTGGTGTTGCCTCTCTGGGTCTCGGTTTCCCCAGCTTAAGTTTCCTCAGCAGAGTGTTGAGCCTCATTGATGACTCAGGCTTTGTTCAGTTCTTTCTACCGATTTCCAACACAGTTGTGGATTTCAATAAGGAAGAGATTAATTCTGGTAGGGGGAAGAGGATGGAGGAGGGTGCACAAAGAAGCGGCATCTGAATTGGGCTTGAGAGGGAGACAGGAGAGCAGGGCTGCATCCTAACTTAGGCTGTGGTTATGGTTGTGAGTGGCAAACTTGCTTGTGGTTGCAAGTGGCAGAAACCTAAATTTACGGGCATCGAAGTGAATGTATTGGCTGGCATATCATGGTAGCGGGTCTCCAAAAGTAGCTTCTCGATGACTCATGTCTTCCGTGTATACATGCCCTTGTGTAGCTTCCTCCCCTTGGATCTGGGTTGGCCCTGAGACTTGCTGGTAACACATGGACATGGCTGGTAACCCATGGAAATAACGCTGCTGGCCTCCAAGGCAGAAGTTGAAGCTCTCACCTTGTTCCCTCGGAACACTCACTCTAGGGGAAGCCAGACACTAAGTAGGAAGTCCGGCTCTCCCGAGACCTCCGTTCTATGAGGAAGTCCACACCAGCCATGTGGGAGGCTGCATGGAGAGAGATGCCTGGCCGGTCCCCAGCTCATCCAGCTTGATTGGCATCTGAACACAATAGTGTCAACAACCCTGAGCAAGACCATCTAGTTGAGCTCATCAACCCACAGAACCATGCAGATAACGATAAATGACTGTTCTACACCACTGTATTTTGAGATGGATCGTTTGCAGAATCAGAATACATATATAATGTAACAGTCCAGGGAGATTTAGTTTCAGGCATTGCTGGATCCAGGAGCTCAAAGAATATCACTGGGTCTTGTTTTTCCCTGTCTCATGTCTTGCTCTCTCGTGCTGGCTTCTTTTCTAAACCACCTGGCTATCCCCCAGAACTCCCAGACTGGTTTCACCCCTGCTTCCAGCAATGCCAGTGAACAAACCTACTGTTGCTCACTACTTTCAACAAAAGTCCTGGAAATCCACCTCATTGGCTGATAACAGGCTCTTTTTTGAAACATTCCTGATGTGGCCAGAAGGGAGGGGTATGGAAGGAACATTCTCTACCCCTCCAAGATGGAACGGGCATGAGCTCTGCCCACATCAAGTCCTGAGCATGGGGGAAGACATCTCTTAAGAAGATCTCTAGGCCGGATGCGGTGGCTCATGCCTGTAATCCCAGCATTTTGGGAGGCCAAGGCGGGCAGATCATGAGGTCAAGAGATCGAGACCATCCTGGCCAACATGGTGAAACCCCATCTTTACGAAAAATACAAAAATTAGCTGGGTGTGGTGGCGTGCACCTGTAGTCCCAGCTATTCAGGAGGTTGAGGCAGGAGAATCACTTGAACCTGGGAGGCGGAGGTTGCAGTGAGCCAAGATTGTGCTATTGCACTCCAGCCTGGTGACAGAGCGAGATTCTGTCAAAAAAAAAAAAAAAAATATATATATATATATATGGGAAATATCTATTCTGAGGGGAAATGGACCCTGGATAGACACAAATAGACATCCGTTTCTGTGACCTTGTATAAGACACATAACTTTCCTAAAGCTTGTCCTGCCCAACTCATTGTAAGACTCAGGTCTGAAAACAGCAAGAAGCCTGGGAAAGCTGTCACAGAAGCAGTGTCTACCTGGGAGTGGGGGACTGTTTGCATCAGTAGCCATCTGGAGAGGGCTCAAAACTGAGCAGGACAAGGTGTGACTGCCCCAAACCCAAATCCTTTTCATAGAGAGGAAGGGAACTAGAACCCAAGGTTTCTGATCAGAAGGCAAAACAGAGTGGCCTCTCAACAGGAGGCACGTATCCTGTGTGTTCTGGAGTCACGCATTTCTGTACATTAGCAGAGTTTATGTCATCTGAGAATTCCCAGGAATGAAGGTCTCACATTGAAGTGAGTGGGAAGAGACTTCCTCAAAAACAAAAGCACATCCCGCTGAGGCAGGACAGAGATATCTTTGCTGGAAGGAGGAGGTTTCCCCTGAACCTGCAGAGGGATCAGAGACACTGCACAGGGGGCTCAATCTAGAATGATCAATTATACTGGAAGGCATATTGTTTTTTCTTTATTTATTATTCTCCAAAGGCTTTGAACATATCTAAAAAAAGGAGACTTTTATATTAGTCAAGGACACAGGGCAAAGCCACAAAGCAATATCAAAAATAAGGGCGACTACATGCTGGGGGTCAGAAAACCAGCACTCTTTCCACGATGAAAGCAACTTGGTTCTTGAGATTCCAGTTATTCCAGTCTGGAGTGCAGTGTAAGTGGTATGAATTCCCTCATCCATGTGATAATGCCTCCTTCGATGTATTCATTCATTCACCTGGGCATCCACCCCTTAATCTGTTCACTTAGTCAACCATCCAACAGGTCGTACCCACACCAATGTCAGTTAGGGCAAAGCTGCTATGCCTGCTAGAGGCTAGGAGAGAAATTCTCAGGGTAGAGAAATGGTTAAAATAAATCAAAATAAAATCTGAGTTGGCCGTGGTGCTTATTCTTAATGACACACAGGAAACTATAAACCAGCCATGCTACATAATTGACCACTGAGGATTTTTCACTCTCAGTCAGTTTGAGATGTACCGAATCCAATATCACATCAGTGATTTGATTTGTTAATAATCAAATTGCAAATACCTTTTCATTTGGCTTCAAAAAGCAAACAGCCATTCGGAATAATTTTTATGGGTCTTGGAATGCAATATAAACTTAAAATATTGTGTTTGCAAGTCCTATTGGCATGACCGTATTATAATTTATATTGGCCTATTTTGATGTACAGTGGCATAATGAAACTTTAAAAAATATATTTTGCAAAGCTGCATCTAAGCCCAAGCCGGCAGCACAGATTAATGTAAGAACAGCATGGGGATTCTTTGCATATTTTTTTTTTACGGAGATTTCTAGAGAACATTCTACTCACCAAAACTTTAACCTAAGCAAGATTTGCAAAGATTTTCAGAATCCGTCTCTTGTCACATTTCCAGGCACACTGCCTGATGCCTTTCTTCCTGCCTCACTCTTCCCCATCTCATACATCCCCTGTCCTGCCCTCCTATTTGCAATTTTATGAAGCTTTTGTGTGTATACATGTTTGCATTCTGTTTCTATTCCCTCCATCTATAATGCCCTTCTTCCCGTCTCTGCTTGGAGGATATCTCTTAGACATTCTTCAGCTCCTGGCTAACATGCTATCCCTGCTGGGAACCTTCTCTGACACCCCCAGAAGTTATTACTTCCATTCTTCCACAGCAGTTGAAAAGGAACTCTGTTACAGCTCTTGTCATAATGTGTTACTGTTATTTGTTTACATGCACAAACTCTGAAGTCCTTGACAGCCTGACCATGATATATTCAATTCAAAAACCCCAGTGCCTACCACCATGCCTGGTGCATAATACATGCTCTGTAAATGTTTGTGTAATGGTGCTGTGGATGAATGAGTGGGTAGATGGATGGATAAATGGAAAGATGGATGGAAGGATGAGGAGGTAGCGAATGAATGAATGGGTGCAAGGAAGGATGGGTGGGCTGTTGGACAGATAGGTGGATGGATGGATGGCTGGGTGGGTGGATGAATGATGGGTTGGTGGATAGATTGACAGAACAGATCCTCCTGGAGGATAATGCTTTCCCTGACATTGGAAGCATTTAAGCACAGGTTATAGAGAGACTTCAGGACCTAAATGTGTTGTTAGACAAATTAATCTATTAGATGTTTCCAACAAAAAAAGCCCTTGATTCCACCATGTTCCTGTAGAGCTACGCTTCAGCACAGAATTGCAGTAGAGGCTTACTTTACTTTTAAAGCCTGTTTTTTGTTTGTTTGCTTTTTGTTTTTTGGAGACAGGGTCTTCCTCTTCTGCTCAGGCTGGAGTGCAATGGCACAGTCATAGCTCACTGGATCCTTGAACTCCTGGGCTCAAGTGATCCTCCCACTTCAGCCTCCTGAGTAGCTGAGACTACAGGTGTGCAGCAACAAGCCTGGCCAGTTTTATTTTATTTTATTTTTGTAGAGTCGGGGTCTCACTGTGTTGCCTGGGCTGGTCTTTAACTCCTGGCCTCAAGCAATCCTCCTGCCTCAGCCTCCCAAAGCACTGGGATTACAGGCATGAGCCACGGCGCCCAGCGAAGCCTATTTTTCGAAAAGGGTCAGGGAAGGCCTCATTAACAAGATAACATTAAAACAGAGGCCTGGGGGAAGAACAGCCAGGCCTAGGGAACAGCAAGAGCTGAGCCTGCCTGCAATGTCCAGTAACTGCTAGGAGTGTGGCTGGAACAGAGGGAAAGATTTGAGATCTGACACTTTACGGCTTCTTTTGTGCCTTGCTGAGGGAGGTCTTGCTCACTTGGCATTCTAGAGACTGTTCCCCTATCTTTTAGTCATACACTTTTATAGTTTAGAATTTTACTCTTAGCTGTTTGATTTAACTAGAATCTATTATTGTATATGGTGTGAGGTAAAGTTCTAAAATTATTTCTAAATGGAGGGCCAATTATCTCAAGGTTATTTCTCGAATAGTCTGTGCTCTCCACTAATGTAAGATGCCATCTTTACCACCAACAAAATTGTCATTTATCCAACAGTTCTTTTTTGTATTCTCTCTTATTTCATTGATCTATTTGTCTGTTTCTGTGTCTGTTTCTAGTACTTAAGCTACTAGAACATGTAAGATGTTTGACATTTTTATTCTTCTTGGACTCAAACAGATGGACTTGAAAATCACTTTATCAAGTTCTATAAACTTTTTATTGGGAATACATAACATTTAAAAGTGAATTTGAGGAATACTGACATCTTTATAGCAGAGTACACCATCTACAAATAGTATGCTCTTGATTTTTTTAAAGCTGTCTTATATCATTGAGAAAAGCTTATAGTTTTTTTAAAAAATAGAATGTGCACATTTTTTGTAAAGTTTATTTCTACATATTTGTACTGACAAATGTTATTTTTTTTTTGTGAACAGGATTTTTTTCCTATTATATTTTCCAATTGGTCATTGTGTATAGAAAACCTATTATCAGGATAAATAGCTAATGCATGCGAGGCTTAATATTTAGGTGATGAGTTGATAGGTGCAGCAAACCTCTATGGCACAGGTTTACTTATGTAACAAACCTGCGCATCCTGCACATGTATTCCAGAACTTAAAATTTTTAAAAAAAGTAATAAAAAAGAAAACCTATTATATATATTCCAGAAACTTATTGAAATCTCTTATTCTTTCTAGTGCTTCTTCAGTTAGAAAGCAAATGATCATATTGCCTGCACAAAATGGGAACGTAAATTTCTTGCTTTCTTATATTTATTATTTTATCCCTCTTCTCACCTAATTGCTTTGACTAGTACCTCCAGCAAAATGTCGTATAATAAAGATGATAGCAGGTATCCTTTTCTTGTTCCTGACTTTAATAGGGAGGCTTCTAATGATTCATCGTTGGAAATTATGTTTGTGGGGTTTTAGGGCATAGGCTAAATGGTACAAGAAGACTCCAAAATACTATGGCTTAAATAAGATAGAAGCTAACTGATCTCTTACATAAGAGTTCACAGTGATAGTCCCGGGTAGGCAGCACAGGGCTGGTTCTGCTATTCTCCTCAGGTAGCTTCCAAACATGATCAGTCATTGCTGTTTTCCAGCTAGCGGGAGATAGGAGAGGGATGTCGAGCTTCCTCTTTAAAGCAGTAACAAGGCAAATTATAGGTATGCCTTCTATTCACATCCCATTGGCTGAAATTAATCACCTGACCACTCTCAATGGCAAAGGAGCCTGGGAAATGTAGTCTGTAACTTAGTGACCACATACCCACCTAAAGCTATAGTTCTAAACTACAACTAAAGCTAGGGTTTAGGAACCATTACAAAAGGGAGGAAGTGAGAATTGATGATGGGGGGGCTACAGCAATCAATGCCACAATGTTCTTTATCAACATAAGGAAATTTCCTCCTATTTCCAGGTAATAAAAAGTTTTTTTTTAATTTAAATCTGGGATTAGTTATTTTATTTTACCAGATTATTTTTCAACATATTTTGAGATGACCATATGATTTTCTCTTGTGATCTGTTAATAAAGTGAATTTCCTAATGTTGAACCATATTTGCATTTCTGGGATTAGGCTCTACTTGATTAAGTTGTGTGATTTCCATAACAGACCATTGATCATATTTTATTTAGGATTTGCTTCTATGTTTATAAGTGATACGGACCTGTAGTTCTCTTTATCTGTGCATTATTTTTGTTTTTAATATCAGGGTGATGCCAACCTGAAAGGATGGGCTGGGAAGCTTCCTATGCTCTATAAAAGTCAATAGATCTAAAACTATTTTTTAAAGGTTTGGGGGAATTTGTTCTTAAAACGATCTGGCATGGTGATTTTTTTTTTAAAGAGATAGATCTTTGATTACTGCGGCAGAGACTCCTAATTGTCCACAACCTTGGTTCTCTCCTTTTTCTAAGATAAGAGAACCCTTGACTTGTAGCTGAGTGAAATGCCTAGAAGGAGACACTTTCCTGGCTTCTCTGTGGCTAGAGGTGGCCAAGTTTCAAAACCCAGGCTGTGAAAAGTTTCAGATTTTCCGTTGTGAAGACAAGTAATGTTTGTGTGCCACTTCTGGCACAAGCCTTTAAATGTGGAAGTGTTCCCCTTATTTCCTCAATTTGCTGCTTTGAAAGGGGACTGAGAGGTGGGTCAGGTAGCAAGTTAGGGTGGCAAATCCAGAAGGCAGAAGGAGCCTGGGTTCTTAGTGCCATGAAGCTGCCATGCCAGCTCCTAGACAGGTGAGTGGACGTTTCTCTTTTCTTTGAGCCACTTATTTTGTGTTTTTGCTATAACTGCTAAGCCTACATTTAATTCATATAAGCCAGGGGTCCCCAGCCCCTGTGGTGGAAGGAGACAGAAGGAGGAAGGAGTGGCAGGCAAGCAAGTGAAGCTTCATCTGAATTTACAGTCACTCCTCATTGCTCGCATTGCCGCCTGAGCTCTGCCTCCTGTCAGATCGGTGGCTGCATCAGATTCTCATAGGAGCGCGGACCCTATTGAGAACTGTGCATGCAAGGGATCCCTGTGGAGGGAGCCACAGGCAAGCACCAGAGGGCAATCACAAGGAGCTGAGGGGACCCCCAGGTGATCGCCAAGAAGAACTTACAGTCCCAAGGAACCGAATTCTGCCAATAGCAGGAATTGCTTGGAAGAGGACACCAAGCTGCAGGTGAGAAAGCAGCCAGCCAACACCCTCAGTGTAGCCTTGTGAAGTCCTGAGCAGAGTCCCGCGATGTCATCATGACACCTGACCTTCTGAACTAAGATAATAAATGGATGTTGTTTTAGGTAGCAGTCCCCAACTTTTTTGGCACCAGGGACCAGTTTCAGGGAAGACAATTTTTTTTTTTTTCACGAACCAGGGGTTGGTGGGGGATGGTTTTGGGATGATTCAAGCCCTTTACATTTATTGTGCACTTTATTTATTTTATTTTATTTTTATTTTTTATTATACTTTAAGTTTTAGGGTACATGTGCACAACGTGCAGGTTTGTTACATATGTATACATGTGCCATGCTGGTGTGCTGCACCCATTAACTTGTCATTTAGCATTAGGTATATCTTCTAATACTATCCCTCCCCCCTCCCCCTACCCCACAACAGGCCCTGGTGTGTGATGTTCCCCTTCCTGTGTCCATGTGTTGTCATTGTTCAATTCCCACCTGTGAGTGAGAACATGCGGTGTTTGGTTTTTTGTCCTTGCGATAGTTTGCTGAGAATGATGGTTTCCAGCTTCATCCATGTCCCTACAAAGGACATGAACTCATCATTTTTTATGGCTGCATAGTATTCCATGGTGTATATGTGCCACATTTTCTTAATCCAGTCTGTCATTGTTGGACATTTGGGTTGGTTCCAAGTCTTTGCTATTGTGAATAGTGCCGCAGTAAACATACGTGTGCATGTGTCTTTATAGCAGCATGATTTATAATCCTTTGGGTATATACCCAGTAATGGGATGGCTGGGTCAAATGGTATTTCTAGTTCTAGATCCCTGAGGAATCGCCACACTGATTTCCACAATGGCTGAACTAGTTTACAGTCCCACCAACAGTGTAAAAGTGTTCCTATTTCTCCACATCCTCTCCAGCACCTGTTGTTCCCTGACTTTTTAATGATCGCCATTCTAACTGGTGTGAGATGGTATCTCATTGTGGTTTTGATTTGCATTTCTCTGATGGCCAGTGATGATGAGCATTTTTTCATGTGTCTGTTGGCTGCATAAATGTCTTCTTTTGAGAAGTGTCTGTTCATATCCTTTGCCCACTTGTTGATGGGGTTGTTTGTTTTTTTTCTTGTAAATTTGTTTGAGTTCATTGTAGATTCTGGATATTAGCCCTTTGTCAGATGAGTAGACTGCAAAAATTTTCTCCCATTCTGTGGGTTGCCTGTTCACTCTGATGGTAGTTTCTTGTGCTGTGGAGAAGCTCTTTAGTTTAATTAGATCCCATTTGTCAATTTTGGCTTTTGTCACCATTGCCTTTGGTGTTTTAGACATGAAGTCCTTGCCCATGCCTATGTTCTGAATGGTATTGCCTAGGTTTTCTTCTAGGGTTTTTATGGTTTTAGGCTTAACATTTAAGTCGTTAATCCATCTTGAATTAATTTTTGTATAAGGTGTAAGGAAGGGATCCAGTTTCAGCTTTCTACATATGGCTAGCCAGTTTTCCCAGTACCATTTATTAAATAGGGAATCCTTTCCCCGTTTCTTGTTTTTGTCAGGTTTGTCAAAGATCAGATGGTTGTAGATGTGTGGTATTATTTCTGAGGGCTCTGTTCTGTTCCATTGCTGTATATCTCTGTTTTGGTACCAGTACCATGCTGTTTTGGTTACTGTAGCCTTGTAGTATAGTTTGAAGTCAGGTAGCGTCATGCCTCCAGCTTTGTTCTTTTGGCTTAGGATTGACTTGGCAGTGCAGGCTCTTTTTTGGTTCCATATGAACTTTAAAGTAGTTTTTTCCAATTCTGTGAAGAAAGTCATTGGTAGCTTGATGGGGATGGCATTGAATCTGTAAGTTACCTTGGGCAGTATGGCCATTTTCATGATATTGATTCTTCCTACCCATGAGCATGGAATGTTCTTCCATTTGTTTGTATCCTCTTTCATTTCATTGAGCAGTGGTTTGTAGTTCTCCTTGAAGAGGTCCTTCACATCCCTTGTAAGTTGGATTCCTAGGTATTTTATTCTCTTTGAAGCAATTGTGAATGGGAGTTCACTCATGATTTGGCTCTCTGTTTGTCTGTTATTGGTGTATAAGAATGCTTGTGATTTTTGCACATTGATTTTGTATCCTGAGACTTTGCTGAAGTTGCTTATCAGCTTAAGGAGACTTTGGACTGAGACAATGGGGTTTTCTAGAAATACAATCATGTCATCTGCAAGCAGGGACAATTTGACTTCCTCTTTTCCTAATTGAATACCCTTTATTCCCTTCTCCTGCCTGATTGCCCTGGCCAGAACTTCCAACACTACGTTGAATAGGAGTGGTGAGAGAGGGCATCCCTGTCTTGTGCCAGTTTTCAAAGGGAATGCTTCCAGTTTTTGCCCATTCAGTATGATATTGGCTGTGGGTTTGTCATAGATGGCTCTTATTATTTTGAGATATGTCCCATCAATACCTAATTTAATGAGAGTTTTTAGCTTGAAGGGTTGTTGAATTTTGTCAAAGGCCTTTTCTGCATCTATTGAGATAATCATGTGGCTTTTGTCATTGGTTCTGTTTATATGCTGGATTACGTTTATTGATTTGTGTATGTTGAACCAGCCTTGCATCCCAGGGATGAAGCCCACTTGATCATGGCGGATAAGCTTTTTGATGTGCTGCTGGATTCGGTTTGCCAGTATTTTATTGAGGATTTTTGCATCGATGTTCATCAGGGATATTGGTCTAAAATTCTCTTTTTTTGTTGTGTCTCTGTCAGGCTTTGGTATCAGGATGATGCTGGCCTTATAAAATGAGTTAGGGAGGATTCCGTCTTTTTCTATTGATTGGAATAGTTTCAGAAGGAATGGAACCAGCTTCTCCTTGTACCTCTGGTAGAATTCAGCTGTGAATTCATCTGGTCCTGGACTTTTTTTTGTTGGTAAGGTATTAATTATTGCCTCAATTTCAGAGCCTGTTATTGGTCTATTCAGAGATTCAACTTCCTGGTTTAGTCTTGGGAGGGTGTATGTGTTGAGGAATTTGTCCATTTCTTCTAGATTTTCTAGTTTATTTGCGTAGAGGTGTTTATAGTATTCTCTGATGGTAGTTTGTATTTCTGTGGGATCAGTGGTGATATCCCCTTTATCATTTTTTATTGTGTCTATTTGATTCTTCTCTCTTTTCTTCTTTATTAGTCTTGCTAGCGGTCTATCAATTTTGTTGATCTTTTCAAAAAACCAGCTCCTGGATTCATTGATTTTTTGAAGGGTTTTTTGTGCACTCTATTGCCCAGGCTGGAGTGCAGTGGCACAATCTAGGCTTACTGCAACCTCTGCCTCCCAGGTTCAAGTGATTCTCCTACCTCAGCCTCCTGAGTGACTAGGATTACAGGCACCTACCACCATCCCGGCTAATTTTTGTAGTTTTAGTAGAGACTGGGTTTCACCATGTTGGCCAGGCTGATCTCGAACTCCTGACCACAGGTGATCTGACCGCCTCGGACTCCCAAAGTGCTGGGATTATAGGCATGAGCCGCCATGACCAGCCATGAAATAAGTGATTTTTATTTTTACCACCATACATTTTGAATTCTTCAAAATTTCTCTATTTCATGTAGAGATAATATTACATGTATTATTTTTATTTTTATGTTTTGTGATTAGGATGGTCCATTTAAAATGCTGGTATTTGACCAATTTTGATTTATGCAAATGGCAATTTCATGTAGTTCAAACTAAAATTTTATTTTCAGAAAAACAAAGCTAATAAGGGATCTAATTAAAAAAGAAATCGACCCTAATATAGTGGGGAATTTGGGGCAAAAAATCGGATAAGAAGCAGCTCTTCTGTTTAGATTGAAAATTGAAGAGGATGTCATGAAGGTCTCAAGTCAATGAAAGAAGCTGAAACAGATGGAAAGCAAGGAGGTAAAGCAGTGAATGGACCTTGGGGACCCACATTTATACATGAAAGCAAGGAGGCACTCCTAGAGAAATGCCCACAGAGGGCACACCAGGAAGGCACACTACAGTTGCAAGAACGAACGGGAAAACAGAGGAAGTGAGGTCAGCTGAAGGGAGATAAAGGGCAGAGCCTCCACAAGCCAGCCTATGAGTGCCCCTCTCCCCTTGCTCTCCTTCCCTTCCTCCTCCCTCCCTTCCTCCCTCCTTCTTTCCTTCCTTCCCAGCCTTGCTTCCCTCCCTTCCATCCGTCCTTTCTTCCATCCCTCCCTCCCTCCCTTCCTCCCTACATCCTTCCTCTCTCTCCCTCCCTCCCTTCCATCCTTCCTCCCTCTCTCCCTTCCATCCTTCCTCCCTCCCTTCTTCCTCCTTCCCTTCCTTCTTCCTTCCTTCCTTCCCTTCCTCCTTCCCTTCTTTCCTTCCATCCTTCCTCCTTCCCTTCCTTCCTTCCTTCCTTCATCCTTCCCTCCCTCCCTGCCTTCCATCCTTCCTCCTTCCTTCCTCCCTCCCTTCCTTCTTTCCTTCCTCCCTCCCTCCCTCGCTTGCTTCCTCTCTCCCTCCCTTCCTTCCTATCTTCATTCCTTCCTTCCTCCCTCCCTCCTTCCTTCTTTCTTCCTTCCTTCCCTCCTTCTTTCTTTCTTTCCTTCCTTCTTCCCTTCCTTCCTCCCTCCCTCACTCCCTCCTTCCTTCTTTCCTTTCTTCCTCCCTCCCTCACTCCCTCCTTCTTTCTTTCCTTCCTTCCTCCCTCCCTCACTCCCTCCTTCCTTCTTTCCTTCCTCCTCCCTTCCTCCCTCCTTCCTTCTTTCCTTACCTCCTTCCTTCTTCCCTCCCCTCTCCCTTCCTTCCTTCCTTCCTTCCTTCCTTCCTTCCTTCCTTCCTTCCTCTGTCCCTCTCTCCCTCCCTCCCTTTCTTCTTTCTTTTTCTCAGGTCATGTTATACAAGACACCATACCACACCCCACGTTGTGACGATAATGCTCACAGCTAGTGAGGAAGGCCATAGAAAGCACACTTCGGTGCCTGCATTGAATGGTACAAGACAGCACCCCCCAGCCTAAAAGCGGGTCAGCCTTGCCAACCCAGGCATGGAGAGGCAGCAGGGAATGAAGTTTCTGGTTAGTTCAGTGATCTGCCTTACCAGATGTATTCATGTGCTAAGGCTGCTGTCACAAAGCACCACAAACTGGGTGACTTAAGCAACAGACGTTCATTCTTTCCCAGTGTTGGAGGCCAGAAGTCCAAGATCAAGGTGTGGGCAGGGTTGTGCCCCCTCTGAAGGCTCTTGGGAGGGATCCATTCCAGGTCTGTCTCTGAGCTTCTGGTAACTCCTTGGCTTGTGGCAGCAGAACTCCCTTCAAATCGTATTCTCCCTGTATGTGTGTCTGTGACCACGTTTCCTCTTTTTATAAGGACACCTGTCATATTGAGGTAGGGCTCACCCTACTCCAGTATGACCTCCTCCTAACCATTACATCTGCTATGACCCTATTTCCAAATAAGGTCATATTCTTAGGAGCTCAGAGTTAGGACTTCAAGGTAGGAATTTAGGGGGATACAATTCCGCCGTGAATATTGGGTAATGTGGAAATCATTCTTATTTATTTCAGAAAAGTGGTTTTTATTTCAGAAAAGTTTCCTAAAACAAATAGTTATATCTCCCTCTACAGCATAGCAAAAAGAGTCTTGGCACTCAATAAGACAGGGACCTACTGTCTTGGGTTGGGGGTGGGGGAGTCTCTACCATCCTGAGGTCCAGGGGCAGGACTGTAGGGGTTGTGTGAGGCAGAGCTGGAGTCCTAGAAGCTGGGGTTTGTCTCTGAGAAGCCCTATGAAGAGCTAAGCCTCTGGAATCTGGCGCATTAACCATCTCACCCAAAGGGGATGTGTGACCTCAGCATGTCACTCGTTAAGCACCTACCTCCCCAGTCACAGCTTCTTACCTCCAAAATACAGGAGACATGCCTCATGGGGTTGTGTGGGGAACTGTGGTAGCCTGAATAATGCCCCCCAAATATATCAGGACCCAATCCCTGGAACCTGTAAATGTTACCTGATTTGGAAAAGTGTCTTTGCAGATGTGATAGAGTTACTGCCTCAAAATGGGCAGATCATCCTGGATTATCTGGCGGGCCCTAAATACTATCACCTATATCCTTATAAGAGAGAGGCAAGAGGAGATGTGACACACACACAAAGGAGAAGGCAATGTGATAATAGAGGCAGAGATTAGAGGGATGCGGCCATAGGCCAAGGGATGTGGGCAGCCACGTGGAAGAGCCACCAGGAGATGCAACAGATTCTCCTCTAGAGCCTTGATTTCAGCACAGTGATGCTGACTTCAGAGGTCTGGCCACTAGAACTGTGAGAGGGTCCCCTTCTGTTTGTTAAAGCCACCCAGTGTATTGTGATTTGTTATAGCAGCCACAGGAATCAACACAGAACTAAGCGAGGCAGCCTCCGTGGAGTGCTGAGGGCCCACCCGTGAATGGTTGCTGTGGATTGCAGACAACCTCAGTGGGGGCTACTGTGCATTCTTGAATGCCTGACAGGGCAATGCTATGTGTTCTTCAGTCCGTATTTTCCAAGTACTGTTCACGAGTCAGCCCCTGTCTCCTGGTGCTTTCAGGCAGCATGACAGGCACAGAAGCAAGGGATCGGAACATTCTGGATGCAGAACACCATAGAAGAGTATGAAGCAGAGGAGTGAAATCTCCAGGTGGGAATGGGAGAGGCCACTCTGGCTGCGGCACCAAGAGGCCAGAAGACCCTCAAGAGGCTGATGGAGGCCAGCAGGGCCACACTCTGGCTGTCATGAGTCTGAGACACTATTGTCTTTGCGGGTCTCTTCCTCTAAGAAAAAATATTAAAAATACTACCTCTCACCCATTGGGATGGCCACTATCAACCAAATCAAACCAAAAAACAGAAGTGAACAGTGCTGATGAAGATGTGGAGAAGTTGGAACCTTTGCCTACCATTGGTAGGAATGTAAAATGGTGTAGCTGATGGGGAAAACAATATGGTGTTTTCTCAAAAAATTAAAAATAGAATTCTCATATGATCCCCAGCAATTCCACTTCTGGGTATATACTCAAAAGAATTGCAAGTAGGGACTCACGGATATTTATATGCCCATGTTCACAGCGGCATTATTGACAATAATCAAAAGATGGAAGCAACCCAAGTGTCCACCTATAGACGACTGGAAAGCAAATGTGGTCCATCCATACAATGGGATATTATCCAGCCTTAAAGAGGAAGATGATTCTGACACGTACTGCAACATGCATGGACCTGGAGTTCATTATGCCGAGTGAAATAAGCCAGGCACAAAAAGACAAATACTACCAGGGCCAGGAGTTCAAGACCAGCCTGAGCAACACAACGAGATCCCTCTCTCTACAAAAAATTTAAAAATTAGCTAGGTATAGGGGTGCATGCCTATAGTCTCAGCTTCTTGGGAGGCTAAGGCAGGAGGATTGATTGAGCCCAAGAGTTCAAAGCTGCAGTGAGCTATGATCATGCCACTGCACACCAGCCTTGGTGACAGATTGAGACCCTGTCTTTTTAAAATAAACAAACAAAAAATATTGTATGATTCCACTTATATAAAGTACCAATAGTAGTCAAATTCATAGAGACAGAGAAGAGAATGGTAGTTGCCAGGGACTGTGGGAGAGGAGAATGGAGAATTGTATAACGGGTACAGAGCTTCAGTTTGGCAAGTGAAAAGAGTTCTGGAGATAGGTTGCACATCAATGTAAATGAATTTAACACAACTGAACTGTACACTAAAAAATTGTTAGGATGGTAAATTTTATGTATATTTTATCACAATAAAAAATTTAAATGTGTTAAAGCTATATTTTTTGAATGCATGAGTATAAAGACAAATATATTAACATTGCATATTAAAACGTTTTCTGTGATCTAAAACTTCTTTTTTCCTCCCCTCTAATTCTGAAAGAAAGTCAGACGTGTTTGTAGGCTCTGGAAAGTATCAGGGGCCTGGCTCTGGGCCTGTGCTGCCTGGTGGGGAAGTCAGCCCTGTGGGCAGGGCCAGTTGGCAGGTGCCAGGGCCTTTCTGAAAAGGGAGAGCCCAGGGTGGGTGCAATAGCTGCAAAGCCATGCTGCAGACCCACAGGACTCTACCCCCATCTCCGTGCCAGACCCCCGGGGTGTGCTTGTGGGAGGTTTCATGCCCCCTTTTGTTGCTCAAACATGCCCAGTGGTTTGTCCATCATAAGCAAAGCTTCTAGAACAAAGGTTTGAGTAGGGACATGCTCTCCTTAGATCTGAGCTTCCTCCTCCTTCTCTCAACTTCTGCACTTCAACTAAGTGGATAACGGGTTCTCCTGAAAGAACTGAACTCTGTATGCAAAAAAAAAAAAAAGTCATCCTTTGAACAACCTTGTCTGAGGGTTTGTCTGAGGTTTCTAATCCCCGCTGTTGGGAATAAAGGCAAAGCCCTACCTTGATGAAAAGACAAAAGGTGTAGGGGGTGGTAGGGGGCCCATGGCCAAGCTACTGGGTATGTTGGAAGTCCGAATTTTACAATTTCTCTCTGCACATTTTACTTTTTAGAATCGTACACATGAATCAACTGATCTACAGCAAGGATCTAATAAGTAAAATGAGGTAAATTAACATAAAAGAGCAATTCACAATAGGCTTCCATTTCACAATAACATGTAAGCACAAAGGCCCCAGGTTATAGCGTTCATTTTGAATTTGTTACTCCATAAGAATAACCTACACGAGGCTTGAATAATTGAAAATTCCTAATTACGGTTCCAAAGAGTGGGGTTTTCCAGCCTCTTGTGAGTGACGTTCTAGACAGTCTGGCTAAACCTGTCCTAAAGGGAGAGGGAGATGCTCTCCCTCCTGCCTTTCTTCCCTGAACAAAAGCTACGATGCCTTTGTCAGGCCCCTCTTGGAAACACAATATCAATCTTGCCTTATCCATATTATTGATGGGTTGTGGGTATTCTACTGTAATTATGTCAAAAATGAAATATTTCAAAATGTGATTGGCAGGCTGATTGCAATAATGCATGTGATTAAGCCCAGCGCTTGCTTATGCAACCTAAGAGAGAATGTCAGTGGCAATTAACTGTATTTTCTTTAAAGTTTGCCAAGATTTCTCTTATTTTTTCATTGTTTTGTTGTAAAATAACCCTCCAAGGCCCCTGGTGGTAGGCATATTTAAGTATTCTTCCTGGGAAGAACCAATGGGGTTGGAGGCAGGGATAATAGGAATCTTCAACTCCCATCACTGCTAGGTAAGCTTTGTCAGCCTCTGGAAGGGAGGAAGGGACTCGAACCAGGGACAAAGGCTGTGTGGATTGTGTGTGTGTGTGTGTTATGTGTGTGTGTCACTTTGTCCCAGGCTCTCTTTGTGTCTGTCTCTCTTTCACCATCTTTTTTCCCCATCCCTTCAATTCAGAATCCTCAGAGAAGGGGCTGATTGGCTCAGCTTGGGTGAGATGACCCGTGTACTGCCATCTTGCACGGTGTAACTTCCTGCTTCATGACCCATTGCGTTGGTCACAGATGGGCTGACTTGATGAGTAGGTCCATGCCCCCATGTGAAGGAGCAGGTGTCCCAGTTGTCTGCAGAAGCTGTGCAAACACTTCAAGGCCACTGCGGCAACTGGGACCCCAGGAATAGGCTGGGCTGAAGTCCAGCTCTTCTCTCACTTCTGTTCAATGAACAATTTCAGAGAATCTGCTATGTACCAGGCCCCAGTATGGATCGTGATAGGGGTAGAGTCAGGGAGATGAGACCCCTCCCTGTGCAGCGGAGTTCATGTGGAATTGCAGAATCATAAGAGGCCTGGCTGACCCTCCCCAGCAATCTGGCTGCTCTTCTGCTGACGAGAACCCCTCTGTGGAAAGGAGAGTCTTGTCTTGGTCACATCTAGATATTCTGGGTTTTGTCTTCAGATGGGAGAGAGTGAGCCCACTGCCAGAGTCCCCAAAGTGAAGCAGAACATGGATGCTTATGGAATGGAGAACTTGTCCCTCACAGTCCTGGGGGTTATCCAAATTTTGGATGTCACTTATTCTTATAAGCCCTTCCAGATTCCCTGGGTCAGGTTGGGAGCCTCTTCTCTGCATTGTGTTCATTTTGAACTTAGCACGTTGCTTTTCACATTGGTTTGGTCAGGTTGCCATAACAAAGTACCACAGATTGGGGAATTACACAACAGAAATTTATTTTCTCACAGCCCTGGAGGCTAGAAGTCCAAGATCAGGATGTCAGCAGGACTGGTTTCTCCTGAGACCTCTCTCCTCAGCTTATAGATGGTTGACATCTTTTTTTTTCTTTTTTTTTTGAGGCAGAGCCTCACTCTGTCACCTAGGCTGGAGTGCAGTGGCGCAGTCTCGGCTCAGCAACCTCCACCTCCTGGGTTCAAACCATTCGCCTGCCTCAGTTTCCCAAGTAGCTGGGACCACAGGTTCATGCCACCACGCCTGGCTAATTTTTTGTATTTTTAGTAGAGACGAGGTTTCACCGTGTTAGCCAGGCTGGTCTCGATCTTCTGACCTTGTGATCCACCTGCCTTGGCCTCCCAAAGTGCTGGGATTACAGGCATGAGCCACTGTGCCCGGCCAGATGGTTGACATCTTGCTGTGTCTTCACATCGTCTTCCTCCTGTGTGTATCCATGTCCTAATCTCCCCTTCCCATAAGGACACCAGTCCTATTGGATTGGGACCCACCCCAATGACTCATTTTAACTTAAGGCCTATCTCCAAATCGACCGTCACAGTCTGAGGGTTAGGACTTCAACATATGAATCTAGGGGGGACACAATTTGCTCATAACACTTTGTGATGAGTTTTTCTCTCAAGGGGACACTTGAACACAAAGAGACATGTGTCCTACTCGTCTCGGTACATGGGGCCCAGGACATGAGAGGAGTTCCAGGAAGGCACGTTTGCGAAACAAATCAACCTCGTATTAGTTTCCCAGGGCTGCTGTAACAAAGTACCACAAACTGCTTGGCTTAGAACAACAAAAATTTATTGTCTCACAGTGCTGGAGGCTAGAAGCCCAAGATCAAAGTGTGGGAAGGGCCATGTTCCCTCTGAAGGTGCTAGGGAAGGCTCTGTTCCAGGCCTCTTTTGGAGCTTCTGGTAGCTCCTTGGTTTGTGACCGCAGACTCTGATGTTCACACAGTATGCTCCCTGGGTGTGTATCTGTGTCCTACTTTCCTCTTGTATTAAGCATATCAGTTGTGATGTATTAGGGGCTCACCCTACTCCAGTATGGCTTCATCTTAACAAATTATATCTACAATGACCCTGATTTCAGGTAAGCTCTGATTTTAGGTACTGGGGGTTAGGACTTCAACATATGAATTTTTGAGAGACAAAATTCAACCACAACAATCCTTTAGGCTCATGGTAAGGCTCTTCCTCCCAGACCTGATAGATAGTTTGCAAGTTTAATACCTCAGTGTGACCCTGTGATACCTGCCACTGAGACAGAGAAGCCCCCATCATGAGACAGAGAAACCGTCATAATGTCACAGAGACTGTTAGGTTCAGAACCAGGAGCTGAGCACAGGTCTCTGATTATATTTCACTCTGAAATGTGAATGACACATAACAAAGCACTCTGAAACATGAGTGAAATATGATCAGAGACCTGTGCTCAGCTCCTCTCTGGCAGTATCTTGGTGAGGATGCTCTCCCTAGGACCCTCCCCAAACCCTTTCCCCTTCCTGCAGAATGGCTTCCCCTCCCCAAGGCCTCTCAGCACCTCCCCTGCACTTCCAATACCAAAAGCAATGGGAGGCTATGCTTCGTCTTCGGCAATGTCTAGGCAGACTTTGAGCCTTGGGAGAAGATGAATGTCTTGAAGTGCCCAAAAGTGCCTTCCTTGAAGGGAGGCTTTGGCTGGCTTTGCAGTGAGGTCTTCGATTTGACCCAGGAACATAAGAAATCACTGCAGAGATGGTCTTGCCATGGGAACAAAACGACTAACGTGGTGTTGTTGCTTGGCTCCTGGAATTGTATTAAATTCTTATTAATTAATGAAGCCCACCTACTAATGAGGTTCTCCATATTTATGGCCATGTTCCTTCTCAAGGGACACTGGACCCCAGTGCTTCAGAATTGTGGCTATGAAGTGACACATGCTAGGGCAGAGGACATGGTAAGATTGTGCTGTGAAATAGGAAATGTGTCTGAGAAGTGTGTGTGCGTGCGTGTGTGTGTGCGTGTGTGCATGCGTGTGTGTGTGCATGCGTGCGTGTGCACTGCTCCCAATCTTTTCACAAGACTGAGAAATTTTTAATTGTGTAAAATACACATAACATAAAATTTCCCATCCTAACCATTTTTAAATGCACACAGTTCAGTAGCATTAACCATATTCCCACTGTTGTGAAACCGTCAGTACCATCCATCTTCGGAATTCTTCATTTTCCAAATGGAGACTCTGTAGCTATAAAACAGTAACTTCTGTTCACAGGATGGTTTCACTAGATGAACTTCAACTTGAATTTGTCCAGTATCATGTTTATCTCTTGCAGTGTAACAAACCACCCCAAAAGTTAGTGGCATAGAACAATAGCCCCATTGTATTATATGCACAGTTTTGTAGGTTAGGAATTGGGGCAGGGCATGCAAGATAGCTGGTCTCCGATTCACAATGGCTCCACCTCCGCGAGGATGACCTGAACAATAAGAGATGGCTGGGGCACCTCCCGGAGCTGTGTTACTGGGGCCTTGGTTCTGGCTGCTGGCTGAACTCTTTAATTTGTCTCCATGTTGTGTTTTCTAGACCTGGATTACCCTAGATGGCATTTGCACTGACATGTCTGATGATTTGATTGGGATAGCTAGCACAGTGGGTCTCTTTGAATATGCACCTCTCCATGTGGCTAGCTTGGGCTACCCTTAGAGCAGCATGGTCTTTCCTAGGGGGATTGGACAGCTGACTCTCTCTAGGGCATGGGTGTCCAAACTTTTGGCTTCCCTGGGCCACACTGGAAGAATTGTCTTGGGCCACACATGAAATACACTAACACTAATGATAGCTGATGAGCTAAAAAAAAAAAAAAAAAAAAAAAAAAGTCCGTGAATAATTTTTGTGATACCCACCACCACAAAGTGTCCTCGCATTCAAAGGGTTGGACACTACTGCTCTAGAGTGAGTATTCCAAGAAGCCTAGGTAGAAACTGCAAGGATTCTTATGACTAGGCTTGGAAGTCCCTTCTCCCACATTCCATTGGCCGAGCAAGCCACTAAGTCCAGCCCAGGTGAAAGGGGAGGGGAAATAAACGTCATCTTTCAATCAGGAGACGGACAAGGAATGTGCAGCCATCTTTAACCTTTTAAGCACATCCTGCCTATGAGCCATTATCAAATGTTCTGGGTGGTTTCTCCAAGCCCACCTCCACAGGGTTTTAGGACTGTTGTTAACCACAAATCTAACCATGTCACCTCACCTCCACACTAAAAAATATTTGACTATTCCATTGCCTCTGGAGGATGCTTAAGGATACCCTTGGCATGCACGGCTCAGTACATTCTTCATGGCCTGCCCCCTACTTACCTTTCCACTCCTCTCCTCTTATCCCTGGCTCTCTATCCTAATTTAATTCCTTGTAATTCCAGAAATCCCCTCTGCTATCTTCCTTCTGGGCCTTTGCATGCATAGCCTGTGCTGCATCCTGCCTTCCTTGACTCTTTCCTAGGGGCAGCAACTCATCCTTCAAACAAGGCTTCTCCCCAAACCCTCTGCACTTCCACCAGGCACACATTTATCTTATGAGCCTTTTCACTCTTGTTTACCCACGTGTCTACCTTCCCTTTAGCCAGGAGCCATATTTTTGCAGGTGTTCTCTTTGCCTAGGAGAGTACATGGGAAGTGGAGTGCATTTTGTCAATGTGACTACATGCGCAGATCAATGAATGCTTTGAGAACAGTCAATGGTGTGGCCAAAGAATAGCTTGGCATTGGAATACCCAAATGGAAGCACTGAAGTGTCAGCAGGAATACTCAATGTAGGAAATAGTTTAAAAATTCCACTTGAGCTTCTGGAATCTTGGAGCCCTGCTCCCTCAAGTGTGCTCTGCCCTCCATCAGTGCTGTGAAATGGTGCTTGGGAAAAGGTGTTCCATGGTGAAATATGTTTGAGAAGTCTAAGATTAAACAAGATTATATTCCCCCTCTGACCGTAGAAATTAAACACAATGATGGGCATTGGAAATCTTGCAGAAAGTGCTGCACGCAATATTTCCTATACTTATTTCACTTTGGAAGTCTGATAGGGCCACTGGTCCATGGTGCACTCTCTGGGAAATGCTCTATTACTCCAGCTCTCATTGCCTCTCTGCCCACAGCCCCTTCATGGGATACTCCTGCCTATAGCCCCTGCTAACTTGGCAGTGGACCAAATTTCCCTGGTCCCCAGCTATTGATAAAGGGTGAGTCAATGACTAAGAAGTGCTGATCATATTCCCTTTTCCATGGCAGGAAACTGAGCTGAAAGGTCATGTGGAATTCAGGTCGGAGGCAGCCATATTGGTCCATACACAACATGAGTGACAATGACAGTTCTGTGACATATTAAAATGCCTCTTTATATTGAGGAAATGGAGGCTTAGAGAAGTGAATGAACTGCCCAGGGTAAAGCTAGGATGTCAGGGGTCTCCCTGCTGTTAAGTGTGGGTTTTTTTCCACTACATCTCTGTTCTCTGTGGGATCTGAATCCCTCAGTTATGAAGGAAGCACACCAAACAGGAACAGGGAAACTGCATTCACCAGGCACCAATATGGATCAGGTTTCTTAGAAACTGCAACTGACTGATCCCTACAGGAACACTGGATACTGGTTTTATTATTATTAATAATAATTTCTGAGACAGAATCTTGCTCTGTCACCCAGGCTGGAGTGCAACTTTGTCTCCCAAGCTCAAGCCATTCACATGCCTCAGCCTCCCAAGTAGCTGGGACCACAGGCATACGCCACCGCACCCAGCTGATTTTTGTATTTTCTTTTTAGTCGAGATGGGGTTTCACCATATTGGCTTGCCTGGTCTAGAACTCCTGGCCTCACGTGATCCGCGCCCCCTTCAGCCTCCCACAGTGCTGGGATTACAAGCATGAGCCACCACGCCCAGCCTGGATACTAGTATTATTGAACCTATTTTACAATGAAGTGACCTAATGGAGGAAACACACTGAGATTAATGAGGGGAGTTAAACTCAAACTTCATGGCCTTTCTGGATGGCTCAAATGTCTTTGCTTGGAGTGATGTGCTTAAAGCATTTTGTTGCAGCCCATCCAGAATGCTTTGGTATCTGCATATGGGCACGCAGAAAGCACAGCCCTCTGAAATGTGTCTTACTAACCCACAGGAGACCCGACCCTGCCATGGGATTTGCTTCTGCAACAGCTGCTTCCAGAAGCAGTCTTCAGGGGAAAAGGATCAATGGCAAAATTGGTAGATCTAGCAAGGCTTTTGCAATAAAAGCTTTTTATGCTTCTTGTTCAAAGCATTTAAGTGCCTTTTAGATCACAGATTGAACCATCGACATTATAAAGTGGAACCTTTTAATACCAAAATACACTTCCAGAGTAAAATTCCATTATGGGAAAAAGCATTTCACGGCACCAGGCTAGATAATAATTCTCTCATGTGTAATAGGAGGTATATGCAATGTTTGATGATAAACAGAGTTTCTCAGTATTGTAATAAGACAACTCACACTGCAATGTGAGTGTGTGCATATGTGTGTGTTGTATACACATAACAAGCCTCTTCTCATCTCTGGACACCAGTTTCTTTATCTGTAAATAGTGGGAATTGGACTTGACGGGCATTCAGGATTCAACTTCTTTATCTGTAAATAGTGGGAATTGGCTTGACGGCTTTCTGCTATCAGATTTTATGGAAAAGCTACTTTTTCATTCTGGGTTTCCATCTTCTCATCCTTAAAATGAGGGTTTTTTGGTATCAATCAGGAAACTTTTAGTTGCAAGTGATAACTTAAAGTGGCTTAAGCAAAAAAAGAAAAAATAGGAATATAATTACTCTGGCTTATGTAACTAAAATTAGAGCTTGGGCAAGAGTGTTTGGAGCATGAGTGTTTGGAGCTTAGGCAAGGTTGCATCTAGACGCTCCAGCAATGTCAGTGTTACCAGGACTCGGTTTACCATACTCAAGCTCCCCTTTACACTGACCTCCCTGGCTCACATAGTGGGATTCTCACTGCTTGGCAATGCCAGCAGACAGAGAACTTCTTTCTCCAAGTATTTTCAACAAAAGCCTCTGGACTGAATCTCGTTGGCTCAGATTGGATGGATATCTATTCCTGAACAAATCACAATCTTCAGGGTACAAACTGCTCTGATTGGTTAGGCCTAAGTCACATGCTCACTACAGAGCCGAAGTGGTCAGCTCTTTTCAACTGCAAGGTAAAAGTTATAGATGATGGTTCCCCACTGGAATGGTGAAGTGCAGGTAATAGAGGAAGGGGGAAACGGTGTCAGGCAATGGAAACAACCAATGTCTATTTGGAGTTTGAATTAGCTCTAGTGGGCACTGAGGCTTGCCCAAGCTCTAGGAGCTTCAGAATAATACATATTTAGTGCTAGAGGCACTTTTGAGATATTAAAGCCACGTTTTTGCTGAAAGTTCAGGAAACTGCCGCTCAGAGGGGAGAAGTGGCTACTCAAACTACTGAATCTCAGGTCTCTAACGCTCATTCCATGCTAAAACTCTCCTATCTGAACTGTTCGGTTATGGAGGCCTCCCAGAAAGGGCTGAGCATGGGGAATCTGGCTGAGACTTTGCTGTTTAAACTTGATTCCATTAATAGCAATCCTTCAACACAGCCAGTTTAGGATCTTTCAATTGACTGATGTCTTCCAAGTTTTCTGATGCGGAATCAGGATTCCCAGGTCTGATTTCTGATTTGCTATGTACTCCCGCTCCAGTCACTTAACCTCTCTGGGCATCAGTTTCTCAATGTGTGAGTTTACCCTTATACCAAAGCTCCATCTTAGTGTCTCTCCCTATGTGCGTGCCCCTGGGGTTTCTCAGGTTCTAGAAGAAGATGATTTAATATAGTCTTCCACAATCTGGGTTTCTAGCAAGTCTTGGGTAACCTCTCTCAGGAAGAGACTGTATTTTAACAAATGAGTTTTGAGAATACAGTGGCTCTTTAATAGAAGTGTTTCAGGCAGTGTGGGACGGCCATATCCCTGGCTTTGGAGAAGATGCACCTGAATTCAAACATTGCACCTCCATGTATGTGACCCTGAGCAGCTGATTTAACCTCTTTGGGTATGTATTTCCTTCTCTGGAAAGTGGGGACCTTGCAGAGTACTTGTGAGAATAAAACAACACCCAGTACTGGGCTTGGGTCAGAGCAGGCTCCAATTTGGAGAGAATATGTAGCCGTGGAGGCATGCCCAGCAACACCCGGGGGCAGGGGAAGTTGACTGTCAGGGCAGTCTCCACTCTTTTTTTTTTTTTTTTTTTTTGGTTATTTTCTACAAAAATTTAACCAAATAGTCATAATTATGACATAAAATATACCAAGACATATCAACATTTTAGGAATCATATAATTTTGGAACACCTGTTAATAATATGCATATATAAGATAACTCAAAGAAGGTTAAACATCATTTCTTTACTACTACAGTTTTTGCTTCCTATTAATACTACACAAACATCTTTTTCAAAAGAGAAAACCAAATTTTATACGTGTTTCTGTATTCATACTAAACCTAATTTTAATAAAACCTTATAAACAAATTTATCCAATCTCAGTAAGCTTTGACCACACAAAATTTCCATAAATCTTTTATAACCTCTTATATTTTTCTATTCTCTTTTTATATCTGTTTAGTTTTATCCATGTCATTTTTTTTATTCCTTCAATTTAGTCTCCACTCTTTACCTCCGTTAAAGGGAATTACGCAGCAACATCCGCTGCAGTGGGTTGAATTGTGTCCCCCAAAAGGGTACATCCAAGTTCTAACTCTGGGTACCTGTGAACGTGATCTCATTTGGAAACAAAGTCTTTAATTTAAGGATGTGGAGATGAGATCATCCTGGATTCAGACTAGGCCCTAAATCCAGTGACTGGTTTAATTAAAAGAGGAATGAAAGAGAGATCTGAGACATACAGGGGAGAAGGCCATGTGCAGACAGGGGCAGGGTTTGGAGAGATGCAGGCAGTAGCCAAGAAAAGCCAGGAGCCACCAGCAGCTGCAAGAGGCATGGAGGGATTCTCTCCTAGAGCCTTCGGAGGCAGCACAGCTCTGCGGGCACCTTGCTTTAGGACTTTGGCCTCCAGAACCGTGCACTTCTGTTATAGGTCTCTACGTTGGTGGTCATTGCAGCAGCCCCAGGAAATTAATGCAGCTGCCAGCCTAACACACAATGAAACAGAAACTTTAATGGCCCGGTGCGGTGGCTCACACCTATAATCCCAGCACTTTGGGAGGCCAAGGTGGGCGGATAACTTGAGGTCAGGAGTTCGAGACCAGCCTGGCCAACATGGTGAAACCTCGTCTCTACTAAAAATAAAAACAATCAGCCAGGCATGATGGTGCATGCCTGTAGTCCCAGCTACCTGGGAGGCTGAGGCAGGAAAATTGCTTGAACCTGGGAGGTGGCGGTTGCAGTGAGCCAAGATCGTGCCATTGCACTCCAGGTTGGGCAACAAGAGCGAAACACCGTCTAAAAAAAAAAAAAAAAAAGAAGCTTTACATGTTCAGTGGCACTGACTCAAACTGCTTTTCTGGCTACAAAAGAATTCTTACCTCTGTCCTTCTCTCTCCCTCTTTTCCCTCCCTTCATTCATTCTCAGCATGTGCCCTATCTTTATGTTCAGTCTGATTACCCATAGAAATTTTCCCTACTGAGCTGATTAATCAAAATACCGAGCCATTCATACTACGCTTAGGAATTCCTGATCATGCTTAAAAATAGTCAGTAACAGATATGTACAAATAAACCCAGCTGTAAACGAGAGTGATTATTGGTGATTTAATTCACTCCAGGATCACAAGGGGGTGAAATCATATGGCATGGATGCGTTTTCAATGATATATTTTTGCTACCAGGAGAGATATTAATACATTATACACGCTCAGGCATTGGTAAATCAGCCATACCAAATGATTCATTTATTCATTCAACAAATATTTCGTGGGTGTGCCAGGGGCTAGGTGAGCTCTCTGCCCAGGAATCTTCGCCTAGTGCAGAAGACAAACCACCAAATATGCAATTGTATTTGGATATTGAATTTGGTGATGGGTGCTTTAAAGGAAAAACGCAGGGCACAGAGACAGAGGCAGTGGAGGGCAGTGGCAAGGACATGGGCTATAGGGTCTGTCATCCCAAATCACGACCAGAGGGAGGCTTGCTAAAAGAAAAGCACTTTATTTGGGAACAGAGCATTGGAATGGGGAAATGCATGCTCTGGTAAACTACGTGCATACTCAGGAAGGTAAAGGAAGACAAAGGTTTTTAAAGAAGAAAAATGAGGAGGATTACACAACTGTTTGGAAATAATTATCCTTGGCTACAAAGATCAATAACAAGGGTGATGCCAATCTGAGGTTAGACAGGCAATTGCTGGGAAGATGTCCTTGCAGAAGGATTTTTTCTGCAATGGCCTTTGCGCAAGATTGTGGTTTTTGCAGTCTTTCGTGATAGCTTTTAGTCAAAGACATACAAGCAAGAGGAACTTCTCTTTATGGCCTTCCCCAGCTGTCTTTGTTAGGATTTCCTTAATATCCATGACTTCATTTTGATTCTGACAACTTCGACAGGCCCGACCAGGTGGGTTTGAATCCCAGCCCTAAACTCATTAACTATGTGCCTAAAACAACTACTTGACATCATTGCATCTCTGTTTCTTAGTTCCTTAGAACTTGGACATAGCCTTTCACCTTCAGTCATGGTCTTTTTGCAGGGTTTCAATGGACAGCCTGAAATGTTTATTAAGCTCCTCTAACTTGGCAGGACTCAAACCCCAAACTTGGTCTCCCCCAACAGTGGGCAGTTGCTGAAATCTGTGCACTGTTCTTTTAGCCTTCCAATTATTGTTTCCCCCTTGGGCTCCTTGAAATCTTGTTCATGCATGTGCAATTCACTAATCAGCCTGTGATTTTGGGGTGTATATATGGGGGTTTTAGGGCTGCCCCTCTTGGCTACCGCCATTGTGGGATGTCTGCCTTCCCTCAGTTTCCAATTGCTCTAGCAGTTCAGAACCCCATCCTCTGACTCCTCAGGGTAATAAAACTGTGGTTTTCCTCTTTTTTTTTTTTTTTTTTTTTTTTTTTTTGAGATGGAGCCTCACCCTATCGCCCAGGCTGGAGTGCAATGGCGCAATCTCAGCTCACTGCAACCTCTGCCTCCTGGTTCAAGCTATTCTCTTGCTTGGCCTCCCGAGTAGCTGGGATTACAGGCTCGCACCACCATGCTCGGCTAATTTTTTGTGTCTTTAGTAGAGACGGGGTTTCACCCTGTTGGCCAGGCTGGTCTCGAATTCCTGACCTCATGATCCGCCCTCCTCAGCCTCCCAAAGTGCTGGGATTACAGGCGTGAGCCACCGCACCCAGCTGGTTTTCTTCTTGAGTTCTAGCCACCCTGTGGCATGCAGAGTGGGAAGTGTCCTCAGTAGAAAAGTCAAATAACCAAGGCGCTCCCCCAGTGTGGCTCCTTCTTTCAAGGGTCAAATCCCCTTTGGTTTCTGCCTGCTTTTGGCTGCTGTCCTGTGGGAGGTTAGTATGATGGAAGCTACTTCACCATTACCACTGACTCTGATTTTTTTTTTTTTTTTTTTTTTTTTTTTTTTTTTGGAGACGGAGTCTCACTCTCTGTCGCCCAGGCTGGAGTGCAGTGGCGCGATCTCAGCTCACTGCAAGTTCCGCCTCCCGGGTTCACGCCATTCTCCTGCCTCAGCCTCCTGAGTAGCTGGGACTACAGGTGCCTGCCACCACGCTCGGCTAATTTTTTGTGTTTTTAGTAGAGTTGGGGTTTCACCGTCTTAGCCAGGATGGTCTCAACCTCCTGACCTCGTGATCCACCCACCTCGGCCTCCCAAAGTGCTGGGATTACAGGCGTGAGCCACCGCGCCTAGCAGGATTTTTTTTAAATCTGCACTCACTTCTTAGGGTAGCTCATCCGTCCTCATGAATGATCCACTCCCATCTCCAGCAGGCAACTAGATGTTAATAATTCCTAAGTTTTCATCTCCACCCCCTGATATCCACGTAGATTTGAACATAAAGATCCAAACATAAGCTGGGCGCGGTGGCTGACACCTGTCATCTCAGTTATTTGGGAGGCAGAGGCAGGAGGATCACTTGAGCCTAGGAGTTCGAGACCAGCCTGGGCAATAGAACAAGATTCCATCTCTTCAAAAAATTCTAACATAAAGATAGAGAAAAGGGCCTTGAACACTTAGAAATTGGAGCCAAAGAAGAAATGTTAGCATAAGGAGTTTTCGTAGAGAAAAACAGAAATCAGGACAAAGCAGTGTTATAGAAGCCAAGAGAAAAAAGTACTTGAAGAAGAAGAGAATGGTCAATTGTGGTGAATGTTGAAAGAGCCCTGGTGAGATAAAAACTGAACAATGGTAATTGTAATTAGTACCACGTGGTCATGGGTGGCCTTATCAAGGATGCTTTTGGTGGTGTGAAGGAGGTAGATGCTGCGTTAGAGACGGTTAACGTATGGCTGGAGATGAGGAAGTGAAGACAGAGATCCATCCAAAGAGAGAGGCCGGAGCTAAGCAGGTGCCATCCCTGGAGAGTCAAGAGATGAGGGTAGCAATTTCTCAAATGCACTGAGCTTCTTTCATACTTCCATGCCTTTGCATATGCCCTTCTCCCTGCCAAGAATGCCCTTCCCATCCCTATTTGCTTGAGTCATATCTACTCCTTTTTGAGAACCTCACTCAAGGGTCCAGCCTTACCCACCAGCCCCTTCCCTGCACTAGGTTGGCTATTTCTCCTCTTTGCTCATTCATTTCCTCCCTCTCACCACTGTCATAACTACTGGTGATTGAATAACATTCTTTCTTTCCCACTGAGTTTGGAAATAAATGGAAGTATAGGCATAGAACCACACAGATGATATCAAAATGCTAGCCTTATTATAGGTAAAGCTTGATTGGAGAATATGGGTTGACCTGTGGCCAATTGAGCTTCATTAGACTTTGGCTCCAGATCTAAATTTTGGGGCAACTCTGCTGAGGCCAGCCATTCACAGCCAAATGCAAGGAGTCCCTGCCCCACACCTATGAGCCTCCAGAGAGAGATTTGTCCTTCCCGATCTAGTTAGGAAGGCAGGTCTTGGGCCTAACCCAAGCTTTCTTACACCTTGGATGCAGGGGCAGGCAAGCAGATAAAGAGAGACAGTGAGAGAGTGGGTGGGTCAGGGGAACTCAGCCTCACGTTGGATGCTTTCTCCGTCTTACTGATCTGGCAAGTCACTTCTCTTTACTCAGGAGGAGTGAGTGGGAGAGAGGCTACAATTTCTTTCCAAGAGTACATCCCCTGGGGTGTGGAATCGAACTTTCCTCATGAAAACTGGCCGGTGGGAGCAGAAATTCCACCTCATAATGCCATCGCCCCCTTGTCCTATCACCATAAGTTTGTGTCCATCTGCCCCCTTAGAGTGTGGACACTTGAGGACAGCAATCTTTTCTTGTTCATTCCTATCCTGAGAGCCTATTGCAGTGCTTGGGACACACTAGGTGCTCAGTCTTTATTTGTTGAATGGTAAATGAATAAACATCAGGTTAAACCAACGGAGTTGTCCAAAGGCCCTACAATATGTCCTGACTCCTCTTAAAGCTGTCTAACAGATTTGCAAAACACCTGAGGCTTATCTCTGTGTTAAGCTGAGACCAATGACAGTGAGGGGAAAGAATGATCAAGTTCACAAATTATCCTTTGGTTTATATTTTAATTCCCAAAGATAAAGGGTACTTCAGTTAGATCATGCTTTCTGTCTCTTTTGCAGGTGTTAGCTTATGAAAACATTGGCTGAGCTCAGCTCCCTGGTGTGAAATGCAAGTCCTGGGAAATTGAAACATACTTGTGTGTGGTAGCCTGGTTTCTTTTATTAATGGCCACTAATGGTCAGCAATCAAGCCACACCTGTGAGGGACAAACAACAATTGGCTTGTTTGCTTGAAGGGAGTATAATTTATGAACTTGCTGATTGTTTATTCTCTCTCTTGAAGTATTAGCTAGAGACATTTGTGCAGAAAAAGAGAGAGAGGAAAATGCCCACTTATCTAATTTAATAGGCAGTATAGAGTTATCATGGCTTTGGAGTCAGATAGCGTCGGCTATAAAACCCCACTGTCACTAACTAGCCATAATTACAGCTAAAGATCCTATTTCTCATCTGTTAGGTTGTGGTAATCATACCTGTCTTTCAGAGTTGATAGTGGAGGTTAAACAACTCAGCATTGTCCGCAGGCCTCCCATAATAGGAGTGCAACACAATTCCTTTATTATTATTATTATTTTCTTATTAGGAATTCAATGTGGAATTTTTTTCTTTATTTATTATTTAATATTTTTTTCTTTTTAGGAATTCAATGTTGGACATCGTTTCATTCCTGTGCCATTCTGCTATGTTCCTAGGAGTTCTATCAATCTATTTAACATTTAAAAGTAGTTGCATCAACATCTCTCTCTCTCTCTCTCTCTCTCAATTCATGCTTTGGCCTCTTAGAAGTTTCCCTCTAATCTGAGTGACAGAAGAAGAAAGGACTCCTGATGGGGCTCACACATAGGTGGCTGCAAGATGCTGGTGCAAGATAGAGATGGAGCACTGAGCCCGGAGCCACAGCCCAGACCTCAGGAGTGGCAGGGGGAGCCAGGCTCTGAGGTGTGGGGATTGGCCCAGATCAGAGCCGTGCAGCTCTGCAGCTCTAAGGTCAAGTGTTAGTCCACTAGGGCAGTCATAACAAAATACCAGACAGTGAGTGACTTGAACAAGAGAAGCTTATTTTCTCACAGTTTACTTCTGTTCTCACAGTCCAAGATCAAGGTGTTAGTAGAGTTGGTTTCTCCTGAGGCCTCTCACAGCGTGTAGATGGCCGTCTTCTCCTTGTGTCTTCAGAGTCTTCCCTCTGCATGTCTCTGGGTCTAAATTTCCTGTTTGTATAAGGACACCAGTGAGATTGGATGAAGGCCCACCCCAATGACCTCATTTTTAAGTGATCACGTCTTTATAGGCCCTGTCTCCAAATGCAGTCACATTCTGACGTTTTAGGGGTTAGGACTGCAGCACAGGAATGAGAGGGGATGGAGTTTAGCCTGTAACACCACAGAACCAGTGCCTGAGGGAGAGAGTCCAGGATACAGGTGAGACCTGATGCTCTGAGACCCAACAAATGCATCCCATGTGAGATTCTGTCTCCTCCACTGTCTGGGATTTGGTCTTGGGGCAAGCTACAGAGAGGGTCCTTCTCAAAGACACCTTGGCAATGACACTCTTTCTCCCTTCCTTCTTCTCTCTGTTCCTCATTCTAGGAAACATATCCACTGTTACACTGGAAAAAGGTCTTCTGAAACTTCTTCTATGCTCTGGCCTTTCCTCCAAGGCCTTGACATTTGATACTCCAAAGCATACATTTCCGAAACTCTGAAAATCTTCTCTGAAATACATTGCTTCTACCATGAGTTTCAAGATTGTATTTTAAAATTTGGAAGCCAAGAATTGCCATCATCTTTGTTCCCTTTCTTGTGGCATTCTTTGAGGCATGGGGCTGGAAATCCCTTGTTGCCTGAACTAGGAGGAAACCAACCACGAGGCCAGAGAAATTGGTCAGGGAGCAGGGAGGGGACACGGTAATTCATATAAACAGAGTATAGCCTCTGAACTCTGTCTTCTCGAAAACCCTGGCTCACTAAGATTTCTGTGACACCTCAACTGCTGGGACAGCTACTAGTGTGCCAGTCACTTGACATTTATCTTGATAATCGGATTACAGATTTCTGAGGATCAGGGACATATACCCATCTTTGCTGTGCAATCCCGTATTCCCTTTGACATAAAGGAAGTACGTAATCATTGATATCATACAGCTGCATTCAAATCCTGACTTTGCCTCTTTTTAGCTATTTGCTTAGGCAACTTTAAGCAAGTTGCCTAAGTTCTCCAAGGCTTAATTTCCTCACCTGTCAAATGTGCTAATAATGATACCTACCTCTGGGAAGAGCTGCTGGGAAGACCGAATGAGATACAAGATGTAAAGTACTTGGGACCATGCTTGGCACATGTAACTGCCAAAAGATGTTAGTCATTATTATTTAAAATATTTGTAGATAGATTAATTGATAGGGTGTGGGTTTAGCTACAGCACGGTGGTGGCAATGGTGATGACGTGGGGAAAAAAGGAAAAACGCATTTTCCGTGCAGTAACTATATTTGGCAACAAGTCTTTCCAATTCTCTGTAATAAAAGGATTTTGTTTTGCTCAGAGCCCCCTTTGAGTCTCATAATAATGCTTATATATAGTGCCTTTTGTCCCAGAATCTTGGAGCAGCCCTGAAATCAAAACACAACAAGAGTTGGATGGTTGCAAAAATAAAAGCAACGATTTGCTTTTGTTTTTGACACAACTCTCCTTCCTTTCCCAGTTTGCAAGCTGGCGACTAGATATGAACATGTATGTATATTTGACTTGAGTCTATGTCTAGCCACGGACAATAAATGATAACAGCTGCTTGCAGCTTGGCTCTGGGACGTGGAGTGATGTGAGAGGCAGATCTCATGATGTTCAGAAGGAGAGCAATAAGAGAAGGATGAGCAGAAGGAGTAGGGAAAGCCTTTACTGAGTGCCTACTAGGGCCAAGAATTGTATAGAGGCTATCTCATTTAATCCCAACAGCCACTGTCATTTATAGATGAGAAGGAGACTCAGCAAGATTAATAATTTATACAAGGTCACACAGCAATTAAGTGGTAGAGGAAGGTTTCAGATTCAGGCCTCTCTCAATCACAAAACCCATGTCCTATTGCATTAACACATTGCTTCTCTCTTTCTCTAACAGTATTTGTCTTCACTTTCAAAGAGCGTAAAGTGAAAGAAAGGAGGAAGTCCACACCCTTGGGTTTGGGGGCATCGGATCCAGTGTGCAATGTGAGAAGTAAAATGAAGAGGAGAAATGATCTAGAGAGACTTTCTGATGAAGCAAACACCAGATATCCTAGAATTTCAGCAAATCTAAGACTCCGTCAAGTGTTAGATGCCCCATTATTTTATGTATTATTAATAAAGAAAAAAACACTGCCAATTATAATTGGCATTGATTGAAAGATACATCCAGATTTCAGAGGTATTCAAGTAGGAAAAGCATGCATCTTATAATTGATGATAGATCGCATTTATTGGTATCTCTTTTCTCTTCTGTATTAGTCAATATTTAACACGGGATACAGTTAACTGTGTCCTGTTAACCTGTTAACCTGCTAGGTGTTTAAAGCACAAAGGGATTTAGTATAGGGATTAAAAAGCACTAGCTCAAGCATTGCAGAACTGCCTTGTCAGGGGAGCCACCAGCTCTGCAACAATCTAAAGGGGAAGAATGAGGAGGCTGCCACTGGGGCTAGAGAGTTTGAGAACTCTGCAAGAGTGTTAGCCAACTGTACAGTTGGAGAGAACATAGCCTGTAAGACTTCCCTCACTTCTGAAATTAATTGCAAAATCTGAGGGGCTCCCTAAACCTTTTTCAATTTGGATAATTTGCTAGAAAGATTCCTAGAACTCATTAAAAGCTGTAATACTCATGGGTATGGCTTATTACAGGGAAAGGTTACACGTTAAAATCAGCCAAGAGAAGAAGCAGAGGCTAGAGAGGGTTCCAAATTCACAGTTGCGTGGTCTTCTTTTCATGGAGTTAGGATGGTGTTTCTTCCCAGTATCACTTTGTGAAAATACACATGGAGTGCTGTGGACCAGGGGGCACATCCAAGCCTTGGTGTCCAGAGTTTTTACTAGGACTCTTGTCACAAAGGTATGGTTGTCCATATGGCTGATCTCAGTCTCTGGTCCCTATGGACCACACTGATACAGTGTGACCCAAAGCACTCACCCTAAATTGCATTGCTGGTGTTTCTGGCATGAGCAACCAGCATCCTAAGACCATCTGATATGACCAGCCCCCACCCTACATTATATTTAGACTATCTGGTGACCCAAGGCCCCCAGGCAAACAAAGACACTTCTATCGAGGATGATATTCCAAGGGCTTCCAATTGCGGAGAATGAAGGCCAGACCTCTCTTTGGGCAAGTTCCATATCTTTACTACATAAACTCACAACTATATCAGGAAGCTGATACTGTTACCAACCCAACAGATGAGTGTCTTCTGACAGTCATGACATTAGGGACAAGGCAGTGGAACACGGCTGTGGAAAAATCCCAAGACAACACCATGACCATGTTGCCACCTCACCCTGCCCTCCAAATCTTCTTTGAGGACTTTAACTGGTGGAACTTTTTGCATCCAGAGCCCTAAGTACTAGGGTTTCTGGGAAGCGCAATTTTTAGTTTTGCAGCCTGTGCAGTAGGAAGGTACAGAAGAAGGCAGTAGAAATGGATGCTGAGTGTTGACAGATCATATCGAGCACACCTCCCAACAGGAAGGCAGAAAGCAACCCACCTGCAGGCAGCTTACAACATCCTCAGCTCAGAGAATTTCACCAGGGCACTGGGAAACAATTCAGTCATTGTGGGAGGCCCACACATTAAATTTCCCTCTGTTATTAATCCCTCAGGATTTCAGGAAGATAAAATAGCCGTGGCATTTTGAAAACCAGCTCAGAAGATATAAGCATATGAAATGGTGAGTGTTTGGTGAACCGCACGGTAGAGTGGTTAAGCATTTGGTCTTCTGAGTCAGTCGAAACTTTGGCTTAAGGCCCAACTGCATCATTTACTAGCTGTGTGACCTTCAGCAAGTGACTTACCTTATCTGAGCTCCAATATCCTTATCTCTATACTGGGGGTAAAGTTACCAACCTCCTAAAATATTGTGAAGATTTCTGGAAATGGTGTTTATAAAGTATTGGTGCGGTTCTTGGCAAATGCTTCAAACTCAATAAATGGAAGCTGCCATCGTCAGTGTCATCATCATCATCGTTACCATCATCACCACCACTGATGTCATTATCAGGAGGAAGAAAAGAAGAAGGAAACATTTTCTAGGCTTTTAAAACTTGTTTCATCCACTTCTGACCTCAGAATAATTACAATAATCTATTACTGTGTCATAATATCTAAAAGAACCTATCTCTACCATTGTGGGAGGAACCATATTAGTTCAGCAGAGTAACTGGGTTCACGCTGCCTTCTCTACCTTCTCAGGCTTCTCTGTGAGGCTTGGTAGAACGATTTACTCTTCTTCCTGCATTCTTACTGTGTGGAGTCTGTGTGCCTCCAGTTAGCCCTCGCCTCATTACCCTTTCCTGTGTCAACAGCTGTGATTGATATCGGGATGGATTCGAAGTGAGGCAGCTAGCAGCGTGACCTTGAGCAAATCAGTTCATTTCACTGGGGCTTTGTCTCTTCATCTGGACACTGGGGTCGTATCACCCACCTCACAAGGTTACATGAGATGGTTTTCCCAGCATGTAATAGGTTCTCATAAAGATCATAGTTACTAGAATTAGTGGACGTGTCTGGTTTTCCCACTGTATTGTAAACGTGTTAAGGACTGTATTAGTCTGCGCTCATGCTGCTAATAAAGTCATACCTGAGACTGGGTAATTGATAAAGGAAGGAGGTTTAATTGACTCACAGTTCAGAATGGCTGCGGAGGCCTCAGGAAACTTACAGTCATGGCAGAAGGGGAAGCAAACACGTCCTTCACAGAGCGGCATCAAGGAGAAGTATGAGTGAGGTGGGGGAAAGCCCCTTATAAAACCATCAGATCTCAGGAGAACTCACTCCTACCCATAACACGTGGGGATTATGGGAACTATAATTCAAGATGAGATTTGGGTGGGGATGCAGCCAATCCATATCAGACACTCTGCCTGACACATGGTAGATCCTCAAAAGTCCTTGCTAAAAGGGAAATAAGGGTTCTGGGCACTTGGGATGAGATAAAGCATCAAGAGCAGGTGGGGGAGTACAAACCAGGGTCAGGGTACTCAGAAGACCCTGATCACATTCTGCCCCTCACTCCTCTCTCCTTTCCTTTCTCCCAGGAAGTAATATTGTCTTGGGCTTTTCTTAGGCCACTTACACTGAGTAAGGACACCCTAGTGACTTTGTTCTGGATAGATCAAAGCCCTTCTCAAACATTACCTCATCTGCCTCCCATCAGCCTGGGGTGGCAGAGAGCCGGTTGGCCCAGAATGATTGCTCCCATTCTACAGATGAAAACAACAAGGACAAGGATGCATAAACTGACTCACGGGTTGAATCAGTGCCTCCTGGGCAGCCCGCCAGGACGATGTTGCTTCCTAATGACTATGGCGTTTGTTTGAAGTTTATAGATTGGGTTTCTGCCACGGTGGAGCCAACACCAACCTCCTCACACTTTCCCAAAGTGCCTGGATTATTTTTATTTTTCTATACCTTTGTGTTAGGGCTCCCAGAGATGAAAAAAAAAAAGGAACTCTGGGGTCTCACTATGCAGCAAATCAATACAGATCCCATGTATAAATTTTTAGTTGGTTTGCCTTTACTGGGAAGCTAGAAGATTTTTATTCACTAGGTCACCCTGCTTCATCTATGATGACCCCTTAACCAGGAATCTCAGTACTAGGCTATGATAGCATTCTGTACAAGTCTCCACCACTGTGCTAAAATTATTTCTTTGTAAGGACAGTCCTCATGTATTGAGGCTGGGCATAAAGGGGCAGTAAAAAGAACATTTGGAAGTAGATTCAGGGGACCAAGAATCATTGTCCAAATTCTTTGAGATTTTTTTCCCCTCTAAGAATTGGGGAAACAATATGTGTGAAAAATCACAGTGCCTGACAAATAGTAGGGCCTCCTTAAGCATTAAACCAGGGTCCCTGGAATTTGGCTCAATCCCTGGCTCACAGTAAGTGCTCTGTAAACATTTGTTTGGACCGTATAGATATTTTGAATATATGGCAGGATTACTTTTATGAACCTTTCCTGCCTAGTACAATTCTTAATTTCTTCTTCTTCTTCTTCTTCTTCTTCTTTTTTTTTTTTTGTTTGAGACGGAGTCTCACTCTGTCGCCAGGCTGGAGTGCAGTGGCGCGATCTCGGCTCACTGCAACCTCCGCCTGCCGGGTTCGAGCGACTCTCCCACCTCAGCCTCCTGAGTAGCTGGGATTACAGGTGCCTGCCACCACACCCAGCTAATTTTTTGTATCTTTAGTAGAGACAGGGTTTCACCATGTTGGCCAAGCTGGTCTCAAACTCCTAACCTCGTGATCCGCCAGCCTCGGCCTCCCAAAGTGCTGGGATTACAGGCGTGAGCCATCAATTCTTAATTTCTAAAGCCCACCAACAGCAAGTCCTCGCTGGTCAATCTTATGTATGACCCTGATCTTGACACCAAGCTATCAACTCATAAAAACGTGCCAAGGGTCTGCTAGCTTTGAGAGTTGTATCCCCATCTATAGCATTTCAGACATGTTGTCTCTGTGACAGCAGCTTGGACTGGTGACCTGCCATGCTCTGCACTGGGAAGACATCTCAGCATGTGTGGATGATGTTGTAGGTGCCGGCAACTGCCTTGGAACAGGGCTGCACGTAAGGAGTGTTTAACAGTGAGCCATCAGATCAAGGGTGCCAGGGCCAAGAGCTCCAGAATAAATACATTCCATTCTTACCTTACACTGTTGCTGATTTAATTGTGCTTTAAAGTCAGTCAATTGTCAACCCAGTGTGGAAACAGGGATGTTTCTTCACGTGTCTATTGTGAGGTTAGGGGAACATGGTCACACTATGACAGATAAGTCCTGTTCCAAGTTTTCTTAACATATGTGTGTATTTGTGTGGGTGTGGGTGTGGGTGTGTGTGTCTTTCTCTCAGTGGATTCTGGCCACAGAGTCTTGCTGGGGGATTCCACACCCATGAGATGTGTGAATCTTGAGACTTTTTTGCTGACAGATTTTATCGAGTGCTCACCTTGCCCATGCTCTGTTAGGGTCTCAACAGGAAGCAGATGACATAATTCCAAATAGGGTAATTTGAGGAAGGTTATTTGCAATGAGACTATTTACAACGGTGTTGGGGGTAGGAACCACGAGGGAGGATGCAGTAACTTGTGGGTCAGCAGCAGCCGTGATGTCATCACTTCCAGACCTGAGGCACAAAGGGAAGGGCTACTACCGCAAACTGGAGGGAGGGCCAGGGAGCAGTGACCTTCAGCTGAGGGACCTGCCAACTGGAGGTGACCTTGCCAGTCAGGATCCAGGGGCTTAACCTACTCTAACCAACCTTTCTTTTTCCTCCAATCTTCTGTGGGGTTCTCCACTGGGCACGCCCCAAAGCCAGGGGGCACAGGGAGCGCGAAGTAATTTGTAGAGGTCAGCCTCCTGGGGCAGAGGGCAGGCAGGAGAAGTATTTGGAGCAGATGAGGGTATCTGGAGGGGAAAATGTAAGACATCAGGCACAATATTGCCCTGTCTAATGGACAGAGTGATTCCAGGTTTTGTAGGGACTGAAGCTCACATAATTTTGGGGGATCTACTTTAAGAAAAATCAGCTGGGTGTGGTGGCTCATGCCTGTAATTCTAGCACTTTGGGAGGCTGAGGCGGGGTGGATTGTTTGAGCTCAGGAGTTCAAGACCAGCCTGGGCAACATGGTCAAACCCTGTCTCTACAAAAAATACAAAAATTAGCCAGAAGTGGTGGCCTGTGCGTGTAATCCCAGCTACTCGGAGGGTTGAGGTGGGAGGATTGCTTGAGCCCAGGAGGTCGTGGCTGCAGTGAACCGAGATCGCGCCAATGCATTGCAGCCTGGGTGACAAAGTGAGACTATATCTTTAAAAAAAAGAAAAAGAAAAGTAAAATCGACAAATAAACCCCCAAAGCTATGTAAACTCATTGAGGGACCTGCGCAAGTGAGGTCCTGAAGCTTACGCTTCATTGGCTTCATTGTTAATCTCCCTCTGCCTGTGACTTCAGTGATTTTGACCTAGAACAATGACCCAGTGCCCAATAAGCTCTCAGCCTCATGGGTGATGGAGACTTAGCTGATTATAATAAACACAATGCGGCCGGGCGCGGTGGCTCACGCCTGTAATCCCAGCACTTGGCGAGGCCAAGGCGGGCGGATCACAAGGTCAGGAGATCGAGACCATCCTGGCTAACACGGTGAAACCCCGTCTCTACTAAAAACAGAAAAAAATTAGCTGGGCGTGATGGCGAGCGCCTGTAGTCCCAGCTACTCGGGAGGCTGAGGCAGGAGAATGGCGTGAACCCGGGAGACGGAGCTTGCAGTGAGCCGAGACTGTGCCACTGTACTCCAGCCTGGGCGACAGAGTGAGACTCCGTCTCAAAAAAATAAATAAATAAAAATAAATAATAAACACAATGCAAACTGTGGCATACGTTGATTACAGATGAAACACTATAGATGATTAGGTAGACATTGAGATATGCTTTGAAATAGGCTTCGAAAAACAGGTAGGATTTAGACACATATCAATGAGTGGGCAGAATAATACTAACACTATCTGCTATTTATTGAGCACCAACTAAGTTTAAAGTACTGCCTATAGATTATTTCATTTAATCCTAACAGAAACAGGAAACTTATTTTACACCCAACTCTCTGCCAATACACTTAATAAATCAAGCTACTACGAACAAGGCTGTAAACCACATTTCCTAGAAGACCAGGGAGCAGAAGGACGGGGATCTCCCTTTGCCGCTAAGAGACTCCAACTCCCAGGATGCCTTGGGAGCGCTGGACCACAGCTCCCGGCATTCCCGGGGAGGCGCGGGGCTAGCGTAGCCTCCGCCCCGCGCCTCGCGTTACCACTCGTCCCGCCCCTCCTCGTCGCCTCCGAGCCAATGGGAAGGCTCCATACTGCAGGGTGCGAAGGGGCCGGCGCCGCTGCCGAGTTACGAGTCGGCGAAAGCGGCGGGAAGTTCGTACTGGGCAGAACGCGACGGGTCTGCGGCTTAGGGTAGGGAGGCCGCAGGCGACACGGCTCGAGGACTCGCGCGCCGAGCCGGGGGCGCGGAGGCGGGCGGCCGGGGCTGGGGCCGGCACTGGGCCTTCCGGGCGGCCTGTGGGTCCACCGGGGTGCGGGAGTCGCCGTCAGCCTCGGTCGCCCCGCGGGACCGCGCTCCGCCGCGTGGCTTCCGCCTGCGCGGGCGTCCGCTCCTTCCTTGTCTCGTTCAGGCCCCGCAGGCGCCCCCGGGGATGCCTGGACTGGCCAGGCCGGCCCCCATCTGAGCTCCACGTTCTGGACGCGCGTGGTGTCGCGGCCGAGCTCGCAAACGCCGCCTCGGGCCTCACCGGGAAGCCGGTTCTGTCAGGCGGGGCTCCGGGTGAACAGCGCAGGCGAGGCCCCTGCCCCGCAGAGCTCACTCTGTAGAAGGGAAACAACACACGCAGCTGCGATGTTTTGCGGATACGGAAATGCTTTCTTAGAAACGGGACAGGCAGTTGCGGGCTAGAGGAATGGGGGCGAGGCTCTTTAGGTTAGGTGATCCGGGAGGGCATCTCAGAGGATGTGACCTTTGACTTGAGACCTGAGAGGGGAGGCCGACCCCTGAGGATAGCAGCCAGGCCTGGGGACCGCGAGGCCGCCCGTTATTTCCCTGTCACATCGCGGGGAGGCCCCGTGATCCTGTACTTGAGGGTCTGTCTGGTGCAAGGCAGTTAGAGCCGCTTGTGTGTTTTGCAAGGGACTTTCATAACCGTTTGACAGTTCCTCCTCATTCTGTCCTTACCTGGCAGGGTGGCATCCTTTACTGTTGCAGCTCCATTCAGGGGCAACGCATAGTTTTTCCTACCACCGAAATAGTATTGTGGTTCTCGTCTCAAAACTCTTAGGTGGTAGAATTAAATTCGACAGACAGCAGCAGAGTCAGACACTATAGGTTCCTGTTGAGGCCACCCATTTTTCTGATGTCCTTTCTTTCAAGTCACTCATTTTTGTTTTCCTTTGTATAGACTCTTCCCTTCCCTTTCCTGTGTCCCTTTCTTGGAACAACTTGGAAATACAATTTGCTATTGGGAGGATGTTGGTTTTAGGGAACTGTTGAAGAACTTCATTAATTATTGTGTGTGTGTTTTTCTTTTCTTCTTCTTTTTTTTTAAACTGGAATTGCCCATCTGTTGAGACTGAAATTCAAGAGTAAAAAAAAGTAGGGCAGCATTTATTTTCAAGAGTTGACAATAAAGGCACCTTTCTTTATGACATGCTGAGCATGATACTTTGGGGGAGAATTTAATCTAGAATTTTGAAGCATTTTCAGAAGGAAGCAAGGGTTCTTTATATAGTCATTTTATGTAGGTTACGTTTATGTTCTTCAAAATGGCATGTAGTGATTGGAATTAAATTTCTGGGTAGATAAGATTATGTTCATCTGTTACCTATAGAAGGGAATGTAACTTAAGTAGTCACTTAATAATAGCTTTCTCTGTTGATGCTACCACAGATGGTATTCTCTACATCTCAACATTGCTGATCAGATTCTGTGTTAATACAGTAACACAACTTGAATTTAATAACAATAAACTTGTGTTAGGCGTTACTGTCAATTTAGTTCTGGTATCCAGTACAAATACCAGTTTTATAGTGCAATGTCTTCTTGTTATGTTCAGTGCTGCAAAAATTATGAGAGGATATTTGTTAAACAAATGAGATAATGGAGTAATGTGTTAAGCATAGAGCCTGGCATATAGTAAGTTAGTAAGTGCCCAGGAAATGGTTATATGGAAAGCTTATGCTAAGTTTTATTCCAGTATGCAAGTGTGTATTTTAAAAATAACAGTAATGCATTCAAAATGTTGACAGACCCTAAAATTAAATTTCTTAAAGGAAATAGGCCAGCTTTTTTTTTTAACTTTGAGAACTAATGTGAAATAATAATAAATATATAAGTGAAATGTCCCAGATGTCTAGAAATGAAAAAACAAGATTTTAATTTTGACAGCTATATTTTTTTTTCTTAAAAGCATCCCTAATAAGATATAATGTACTATGATTAGGATTATGATTTGAAAAATAAAACTTTAAAAATATTTTTGATTTGAAAAATAAAACTTATTTGGAAATGAAGCGAAGCTTTAAGATTTACCTTATATCAAATGAAGGATGTCTCCTGAATTTATGCAAATGTGCAAATGCTTATATCTCCGTAGATCAGGCAGTGAGCCTAATGGGAATTAAATGCTGCCTCTTTGTGCGTGTGAGTGAGGCTTTCATGAAAATTGCTCTTGATGGGTTCTGAGAATGGATTGGTAGCTGAATAGGACTGGAGAATATTTTTCAGACTGGTAGGATATTTTACATGCTTGCCAGGGTTATTTTTCGGAGTAAGGAGAAATGGACTCATTTATTCAGCAGAGATCACGTGCCCCCTATTTACAAGGAATTGTGCTAGGTGCAAAGTCTATTGCTATTGTAGTGTTTTGCTGAAGCAAGTTTTCTTTGTTTTAAATTAGTGTACGTCTTTTTTTTTTTTTTTTTAACTTTATCTAGCATCCAGCACAGAATAATCCAATAAATGTGTAGGGCGCCTTTGAAAAACTGCACTATTAATGTTAAAATGTAGAAAATGTTTAATAAAGGTACAAGATTAATTTAAAAGGGTGATAGAACCCTAATAAAACATTTAGGTAGGTGTTGTAACCAAGATGTATTTTTACTCTAGGATAAGTTTGGCTCTTTTGATCAAAATTCCTGTGAATATATTTCTACTTGCCATTATAAAGATGCAGAGGGCTCTGTCCTTTGAATTTTTTCCCTTTGGTGCTTGAATGATATTTAAGCACCCAGCATTCTGAAGTTGCTGTTTTGAAGTAATTTCATGCACTTTCCCAATTACTCCTGCTCCATCTCTCCCAATGTTGTCTTAAATCTTTGCACTCAAATTCAAGCACATCCTACTCCTCCTGTTCTGAGTGACATATGGGCAACACTTTAAAAAAGAAAAGCTCTCTAGAAAATCTAGAGAGGTACGAGCGATGGCCCTTCTCCCATATTAGGAGTTAGATTTTTAGTATTCATCAATAAATACTGATGAGAAGAAACTGCTCTACTTTTACCAACATTCTTCAGGAAATTTATTAAGATTTTTATTAGCCACAGTATCTTTGTCAGCTTGGAAACATATATGTTTGTGAATCACATTTATTTAGTCTTTAGGTAAGTATATGGATTTTGATGATTCTTTGCAGTTACTCCTATCTCTCTATGGGTTTCTTGCCCATAGGATGGGAACCAGTACTCTAGGATTTGAAAATTAAGGTAGATACTGTTCACACTGGCAAATATTTAAGATGAATATTAAACGTGTATACTAAAATGTTTATTGGTAAGTAATTCATTAAATGGGAAGATATACTAGATGAAGTAAATAATTAAATTGCAAGCACAAGCAAATTAAATTTGAGATTTGGGAATGGTCTGTCATATACTTTTAAAGCAAATATCATACTGATAATGGAAGGACACGTGTCTTGTGGAGCTCAGTATCAGGAACAATATAGTTGGTCCTGCAGGGGACTAAACATGAGAACTGAAAGTCATTAGGAACACGAGCAGCCTCATTCCACTGTTCCAGGGACCTTATAATTTCTTTCTGTGTATTTATTTTATTTTCTTTTTGAGGACCGTCTGTCTGGCTGTTTGTATGTCGGCAGATATGTCTGCTCTAGACTTAGATACTTGCTTTAAGAATCCAAAAGAGATTGCATTATCTAATTGTCATTTATATCTAAAATTAAACAAACCATGAAGTTAGACATAGCTAAGATAACCACAGCTTTATTTCAGGTTAATTGCTTTTCTTAGATTGTTTTTATCAAGTGACAGCTAAAGAAAAGTCATCATTTGATGACACTAAGTATTAGTGCATTGTGATTGCGTTTCACAATATTAAGTGTTAGAAAGAACTATTAGACCTTAAGTATTTATAGAATGTGTCTGGAAGACACAGGGAGAGAAACTGTTAATGTTTCTACTGTAGTCTTTAGAGTTGCTTTTTTCACATCTTATTGCAGTTTACTATGTAATTTGGCAACAGCTATCAACATAGAGATTATATGTAATTACAGTGTACCCTTGAACAACTCAGGGGTTGGGAGTGCTGACCCCCATGCAGTTGAAAATCCATGTATAAGCTTTGACTCCTCAAAAGCTTAACCACTCATAGCCTGTTGACCAGAAGCCCTACCAATAGCATAAACAATTAACACATATTTGTATATGTACTATATGCTATATTCTTACAATACAATAAGCTAGAGAAAAGAAAATATTATTAAGAAAACCCTAAGAAAGAGCAAATATATTTATTGTTCATGAAGCGGAAGTGGGCCATCTTAAAGGTCTTCATCCTCATTGTCTTGGTGTTGAGTAGGCTCAGGAGGAGGAACAAGAGGAGAGGTTGGTCTTGCTGTCTTGGAGTGGCAGAGGCAGAAGAAAATCTGTGTATAAGTGGACCTGCACAGTTCACACTCATGTTGTTCAAGGGTCAGCTGTATGCATTTTTTTCTTAGAGGTAATCTGTTATTTGGGAATCAGGAAAAAAGTTTTAAAATTCATTTTTTAAAAATAAGTTCAGGTTATAACATTTAAGAAGTTTAATCTTGTTTTTTCAGACTTGCAGAAAATACTTTAGAAATGCTGACTCTAAAATTTATCTTTCATATGTTGCTGGTAGGAATGTAAAATGATATAACCACTCTGGAAATTAGTTTGGCAATTTCTCGAAAAGTTAAACGTACATTTGACACACAATCCAGCGATTGCACTCCTGAGCCTTTATCCTAGAGAAATAAAAACGTTCACAAAAAAACCTGTACATGAATGCTCGTAGAAGCCTTGTTTATAATAGCTAAAAACCAGAAACAACTCACATGTCCTTCAGTGGGTGAATGGTTAAATAAAATGTGATAGTCTTGCGGTAGAACACCACCATCAAAAAAAGAAACAAACTGTTGGTTCATGCAGCAACTTGGTTGGAGTTTAAGGGCATTGTATTGAGTGAAAAAAGCCAGTCTCAGAGATTGTATGATTCCATTTATATAGGATTCTCAAAATGACAAAATTATAGAAATGCAGAACAGACCGGTTTTGCTGGGGTTAGGGCTGACTTTCTTTGAGATGATAGAACAGTTCAGTGTCTTGTTTATGGTGATGGTTACATGAATCTGTACACATGACACAATGTCCTAGAATTAGACACACAAAAGAATGTAAAAGCTGACATTTCAATAAGTAGTTCAGTGATGAATATTGTATTAGTGTCACTTTCCTGCTTTTGATAATTGCACAGTGCTTGTCCATTTTATGGCTGTATCACATTTAACCATTTACCCATGGAAGGCCATGTGGGTTGTTTCTGGTTTTTGGTGATTGCAGGTAAAGCTGCTATGAACATTAATGTACAGGTTCTTTTGTGACTGTAAGTTTTAATTGTTCTAGAATAAATATCTAGAAATTCAACTGCTGGGTCATATAGTGATAAAACCTTGAGCCCTCTTATTCTGTCCCAGGTGGGGTGTAAATCATCCCTTTGTCCAGCATATCCACACTGTATACACTACCCACCAGCTAGTTAGTCACTCTTGGTTATCAGATTGACTGTCTGGTGTCTTGGTGCTTGTGTTTGAGAATCCCTTATTGTACTTAGTAGTGACCCCAAGTGCAAGACTAGTGATGCTGGCATTTTTTTTTTTTTTTTTTTTGAGGCAGGTCTCTTATCTTGTCCCCCAGGCTGGAGTGCAATGGTGTGATCTCAGCTCACTGCAACCTCCGCCTCCCAGGGTCAAGCGATTCTCTTGCCTCAGCCTCCCTAGTAGCTGGGTCACAGGCGCCTGCTGCCACGCACCGCAAATTTTTGCATTTTAAGTAGAGACAGGGTTTCACCATTTTGGCCAGGCTGGTCTCGAACTCCTGACTTCAGGTGATCCGCCTGCCTCTGCCTCCCAAAGTGCTGGGACTGCAGGGAGTGAGCCACCGCATCTGGCCGCTGACATATTGTTATAATTACTCTTAGTATTGTTGTTAATCTCTTAACTGGCTCCAATTTATAAATTAAGCTTCATCATAAGTATGTCTATCTAATGTATGTATAGGAAAAAACGTATTTATGTAGGGTTCGATACTCTCCATACTCTCCACCATTTAAGGTATCCACTGAGGGCTTTGGAATGTATCCCTCACAGATGAAGGGGGTGCTGCTGTGTTTGAGAGATACAGTTTCTCCACAACCTCACTACCATTTGGTATTGGTGATATTTTTTGTGCGTACTGGTATCTTGTCATGGCTTTAATTTGCATCCTAATGGCTGATGATTTCATGTGCTTATTTGCCATTCATATTTTTTTTGGTGATTTGTCTGTTCAAGTCTTTTACCCGTTTTGTGATTGGTTTGTTTTCTTACTGATTTTAGAGCATTCTTTATATGTTGTGTATACAAAATCCTTTGCCAAATATATGATTTGTAAATATATTCTCTCAGTCTCTGGCTTGTCTTTTCATTCTCTTAACAGTGTCTTTAGCAGCAAAAAAGTTTCAAATTTTGTTAAAGTCCAACTTCTCAATATATGGATCGTGTTTTTAGTGCCTATCTTAGAACTCTCTGCCTAACTCTAGGTCAGGAGGTTGTTCTCATTTTTTCTTCTGTTTTACCCTTATATGTCTTACATTTAGATCCGTGATCCTTTTTGGTTTCATTTTTGCACAGGATGTGAGCTTTAGATCTTGGTACATTTTTCTTTTCCTTTTGTCCATGGATGTCCAGTTGTTCCAAAACCATTTGTTGAAAAGTCTACCCTTTCTCCATTCAATAAGTTTTAAAAATCAAAAATCAGTTGGCCATATACTGTAAATTAGGTATCAAAACAAAGACAGGAAGAAATGAATGAGCAATTAACTATTAATAAATACAGGTTTATTGAAGGTATAACATGGCTGGAGTCTGGAAAAAGTGGGAAAACATTTTAGAGAATAACATGGGCAAAGATCTGTTCTAGAGAAAATAAGTAAGAACTGGCTATTTTTGGGAGTCATGCAAGTGAAGGGAAGTAGAGAAGTAAAGGAAGGATCATTGGTTCGTGAAAAAGAAAGAGTATATAAACTTCTGGCTAGATTGAAGCATTTGTAATCAGTTTCATTGGCTATTAGGAAGGTGCTGTATATTCTTAATCAGGAAAATGGTATGATAGAAATGGTATTAAAGAGAAGTTGTTTTAGGACCATTTGTGGCAGTGATACGTTGGTAGGAAGAACAGGATATAATCATGACCCTTGACTTACAACTTTGTTTTACAAATATCTGCCAGAAAGCTAAAAAAGTGGTGTTACTTCAGAATGTTATAAATTCCTAGTATTTTCTAGAAGGCAGTGGTAGATTTCAAACTTTTGCTGCTGTCCTCAGTGATGGATATGGAGAAGTCAGCAGGACTTCCAAACTGTTTCGTATTTATGCTACTGTTATTAAGTTGTACATTTGGGAAAAAGAGTAGTTTCCGTTGGCTCATTGTTGATGTGGGTGACATTTCTTACCAGGCCTGAAAAGAGTCCAAGCGTTGAGCAACTGAAATGATAAAAACATGAAGAGTTCATAAATCGGTCCAATGAGGAAAAGTTAATGGGATCAGATTTATTTATCATGGCAAAGAGGAGACTCAGGGGTTATTTAATCAGTATGTCCTGATACTTGTATGTGAAGAACTATACAGAGAATGATGATGACCAGCTGTTCTTCAAAATCCTGAGGACTGCATAAGAACAAATGGCTCAAATTGCAGCTTTAAGGTTTTGGTCTTAGGGAAGAATTTCCGGACAGTAAAGACATTATATATTTCATGTGAGATATTAAAGGATACACTAGAAACCTAGATGTAGTATAGGAACATTTTGCTTGTAGTCAGGGGGATGTGAAAGATAACAGATCTATGTTTTTGCCCTCGAGTCCTATTAAATTCATGAGCAAAAGTACTCACTTTCCATTTTGTTAGTGCCTACTTCAGTTGTTAGTTTCTTTCTCCATGCAAATTATACTCTTCCCCTCCCCTGCCGTTTATCTGTGGGGATCTCTTTGGTTTCTGCTTTCTTTTGTGCATTTAAAAGATTATCATGGCTGTAGATTAGACTTAAGTCATTTTAAAAATAATCAGTCAACAAATAGAACCTGTATAGTGTCGAACTACTAGAAATCAATGCATTTCTGTTCCTATTTAGAACATGGAAAAATGTATCATTCCATTAAGAAAAAAATCAGTGATGACTTGTTGAGGCAAGGATTTTACAGTGTAAGAGGTTACCATTGACACATGTTAATGAAAGAAGGGCAGTGTTAAAAGCTTTCATGCAACATCTCACATGTTTTTAAAGTACCTGTTCTGTTTGATTTAACTTCCTTATTCTGATTCTTTTCTACTTGTCTAGATCTTTTTTTCCACTGAAATGTTGAGATTGACCAAGAATATTTCACTTGTGATTTGCAGCCCTTCAGTATTATCACAGAGAATTTTTCTTTTTTTTTTTTTTTTTCTGCAGAAGAGCAAGCTCTTATAGTGCTATGCAAGCTGCCCATTTAAAACTATCATTGCTTGGCACCTATGCCCTAGTGACAGTTTGACCAACATGTGAGCAGGCATACTGCCATCCTGACAGATGGGCGTGAGTATAGGCAGCCAAGAAACCATGTATCTGCATCTAGTGTATTTGTTAAGGGCAGGATTCCCAGTCGGGGATGTTCAAACGTCTGTCCATTCTGAGCTTTCACGCCTATGGATAAAAGGATGTCATCATTAATCCCATCCTCCATGGGTATATAAGAGCTTCTTGGCTCTTACAGAAGTAGGCAATTGGGGACAATCAGGATAATTGTTCTCTTCTTCATCACAGGACTACTTCAAATAATCCTTTCCTCTTTCTCCTAGCCAGCTAGGTTTACAGTGAGTACAAACCTGTTCAGACATTGTCCTGATACTTGTGGAATATGTGCTTGTTCATTTCTTTTCCAGAGTGTGAAAGCTTTGAAAGTCATTTGATGTTTATGCTTTGGACAGTGACATATAAAATTGGGTCAGGTAGATCTAGTTCAAATATTGACTGCTGTGTGACATTAGAGCAATTCAATTTAGCATCAAATCAAGGTAAAATAATACCTATCTTAGAGTTGTTGAATTAACTGCAAACTGTATACATGAGTCATTTGGTGTAATGTCTGGCCCACAGTAAGTGTTCAATAAATGTTTGTCATCATCATCATTTTCACTTTGATATACCTGAAGGTATTTTTCTCTGGAGAGGTATCTGAAACAAAACTTTTTTCAATTCACTCTCACTTCCCATCATTCCCCTCCCTCCCTCCCTCCCTTCCTTCCCTCCTTCCCTTCCTCTCGCTCTGTCAACCAGGCTGGAGTGCAGTGGTGCGATCATAGCTCACTGCCACCTTGATTTCCTGGGAGCAAATGATCCTCCTCCTGAGTAGCTGGAATGACAAGCCACCATTCCTGGCCCACCATTCTTGTGACATCATCACATGGTCTGGTCTATGATGAAATGCCTCCAACGACAGAGAACTCACTATCTCTAGGGCAGAATTTCTCAACCATGGGACTGTTGACATTTTACATGGGTCACTGTTTGTTCTCTGCACTGTGGGATGTTTAGTGGCATCTCTGGCTACAGAGACAAAATCATCTCTGGTTGAGAACCACTGCTCTAGAGACAGCCTATCCTATTTTTATTAAAGTTTTGACCATTAGAAAATTCTTTCTTACATTGAGTGGAAGTCTACTTAATTTCTTCTACTCACTTCTGCCTTTTGGAGAAATGTGGAACAGGCTGAATCCCTCTTCCACGTAACATCCTTTCAAATATGTGAAAATAGTCATCAAGTATTCTCAGTCTTTTTGATTTGAAACATCTCCAGTTCATTAGCTATTCCTTACATGGCATGGTTTCATGTCAGTTTACCACATTGGTGGCTTTCCTCTTTTTAAAAAAATTTCATTTTAAACTGTAGTGCTTTGAATTGAATTCTGTGCTCCAGACATGGCTTGATACGTGAGAAATAGAGTTGTATCTCTTGTTCTAGATATAACACTTTTCTTCTGTGAGTTAAGGGAAGAATATCACCTTCCTTCTTCTACATAATTTTATTAATATTAGCTATATCCTTTTGTGACCACATCATACATTGAACATAAAGTTGAATAAAATCCCTGCATCTATCTAAGCTATGTCTTTTCATCCTGTTTGTATGCATTAGTTTTGGGGTCCAACCATGGGAGCTTATGTTTGTCTTGTTAAATTTCTTTTTATTGAATTTAACTAACTGCAACTTTTAAAGATATTTTGGAATCCTAGTTCTTGGTTTAATTGGCAGTTTCTAGCCTAAAAGAACATGTATGTGATGATGCTATGCACTGAGATTGGAAATACAAGAGAAAGAAGTCACTCTCTCTGTCTCTCTCTTTCTCTGTCTCTCTCTCTGTCTCTCCCTCCCTCTCTCTCTGTCTCTCTCCCTCTCTCCCTCTCTCCCTCTCTCTCTCCCTCTGTGTGTGTGTGTGTGTGTGTGTGTGTGTGTGTGTGTGCATGTGATTGAAAAGAGATTGAGTATGGAAGCCTGGGTAATACCAATATTAAGAGGCAGCTGGGCAGAAAGGAAGTAAGAAAGGAGACCAAGAAGTGGTGGTCAAAAAGTTGGGATGAAAATAATAGGAGTATCTTGTAATGCTGGAGTGACTCTGTGTTAAGTACTGTGGTAGATACTTGAATAAAAAATGAATAGGACATGGTCCCTGCTTTCTGCCCCTGTTTTTGTTTAATTGTTCAGTTTATGGAACTGCCTAGTCAGTCATTCCTGAAGACTTGGAAGTCATCCTTTATTTCTCCCTCATACCCTTGCCTCTTTGGGTTACCAAGCTCCATTGATTAAAAAAATTTTTTTGAAGTGTAACAAAAAGGTGCAGAAGCATCAAGCTCAATTATTTTTAAAGTTTTACAAAGTGAACACCCTGTAATCACTACTACCCAGATCAAGATACTCATTTTCTAGCCCTCAGAAGCCCAGATTATGTGGGGATATCTTGCAGACAGTAGTTACTCCCACCCAAGGTAAACACGATTCTGACTTACATAACTATAGTTTTACCTGGTTTTGAACTCATGTGTAAATGGAATAATGCCCTCTGGACTTTTTTTTTTTTTTTTTGCTTGACTTCTTTTACTCGATGTTGTGTCTGAGATTCATTCATGTTGTTGCATGTAGTTTGTTATTTTTAAAAATAGCTCTGTAGTTGTGGTTATCTATCCCTGCATAACACACTAGTTTTGATTATTGGTTATTGCGTAACACACCACTCCAAACTTACTAGTGTAAAATAACAACCATTTTATTATGCTCATGGATTCTGTGGATTGGGAATTTGGTGGTTATGGCTTATCACTGCCCTACAATGCTTGGGGTCTAGAATCATTTAGAGGCTTCTCCACTTTCCTGTATGGTACCTTGACTAGAACGTCTAGAAGACTGGGATCATCTGATACTGTTGACCAAACCTACATGTGGGGTCAGGAGGTTTTGGCTTTTCACAGCATGTTGGCTGAGTACCTTGACTAGAACGTCTAGAAGACTGGGATCATCTGATACTATTGACCAAACCTACATGTGGGGTCAGGAGGTTTTGGCTTTTCACAGCATGTTGGCTGAGTGTCCAGAGGAAGCTTCCTGAGAGTGGCTTATCTTCAGAAGTCATATAATCTCACCTCCACCATACTCTATTGGTTGACAAAGACACAGCCTGCCTGGATTGAAGGGGAGGGGACATAGACCTCATGTCTTTATGAGAGGTGTGTCAAAGAATTTGTGGTCATTTTTAAAAACTACCACAAATTACATAGCAAAATTCATTTATTCATTCCATTTTAGGTATTTGAATAGTTTCTATTTTGAGGCAATTATGAACAATGTTGCTATAATCATATACTTATGTATATGTATGTATCTTTTGGCATACTTTTATATTCATTTTGGTTGGGTATATATGTAGGAGTAGAATTCCTGGTCAAAATGTATATGCATCTAGCTTGCTTGCTTGCTTGCTTTCTTTTTTTTTTTTTTTTTTCTGAAACGAAGTCTCCCTTTGTCACCCAGGCTGGAGTGCAGTGGTATGATCTTGGCTTACTGCAACCTCTGCCTCCCAGGTTCAAGTGATTCTCCTGCCTCAGTCTCACAAATAGCTGGGATTATAGGCGCCTGCCACCACGCCTGGCTCATTTTTGTATTTTTAGTAGAGACAGGGTTTCTCCATGTTGGCCAGACTGGACTCCAACTCCTGACCTCAAGTGATCTGCCTGCTTCGGCCTCCCTAAGCGCTGGGGTTACAGGTGTAAGCCACTGTACCTGGCCATGTGTCTAGTTTTAATAGACACTGCCAAATTGTTTTTCATCCTTGTTGTACCTATTTATACTTTTACCAACATATGAAAGTTCCGGTTACTCTGCAGCTTTGCTTCCCTTGATATTGTCAGTTAAATATTACAAAAAATTAATCACTAGTGGCTGTATAGAAGATCTTAGTGTGGTTTTCGTGGGCATTTCTCTAATCACTGATAATTTGAGCACTTCTTCATATGCTTGTTGGCCATTTGGATACCCTCTGTTATAAAGTTCCTGTTCAAGTCTTTTGTCCATTTTCAACAGATTGGATTGTCTTTTTTCTTATTGAAATGTGGAGTTTATAAGGTATCTGGATATGAATCCTTTGTCGAATATGTGAATTATAAAAATCTTCCTGTCTTACAGCTTGTCATTTCACTCTCATAAAGTTTTTGATGAACTGAAATTCTGAATTTTAATCAATTCCAATGTATCCATCTTTTCCTTTACGGGTAGTGTTTTTTTGTGTTTAAGAAGTTTTTGCTACTCTAGGGCGATGAAGCTATTTTCTTATGTTATCTTCTAGAAGCTTTAGTATTTTGCCTTTCAGATTTAGGTCAAAGTCCCCAGGAATTTGTTTGTGTGTTATGAGGTAGGGATCAAGCCTTCTTTTACTTTTTTCATATGGTTATCTATACAAGTAGTAACAGGTGGCATTGGGTCTGTTGGACACAAGCCTGGGAGTTAGGATTCCAGTATTCTCCACCTTAGATTACCTTTAATGAGCCTTCTGCACTTGGGCATATTCTTAAATCCGTCTTGACTCAGCTTCATTTGTGAAATGAAGGATTTGAATGGAATGTTTTCTGATTTTCATTCTGACTGTGGTTTGTTAGATCTCTACCTACTTTTGTAGTTGTATTGAGGCTTGTTAGAATCTTCTTATATCTGGATTGTGTTATCTAAAATATTCATAACATCTCCCAGCTTTATGTTGTTCCCAGTTCGAATGTGCTATCTAGAACTTAGCTGCTGATGAAAGATAGTTTTATTGATCACGTTGGCAAGTCCAAGATCACCTGTTCTTCTGATTTTTTTTTTTAATTTTTTTTTGAGATGGAGTGTCACTCTGTTGATAGTGCAGTGGCGCTATCTCGGCTCACTGCAACCTCCGCCTCCTGGGTTCAAGCGGTTCTCCCACCTCAGCCTCCCAAGTAGCTGGGATTACAGGTGCACGCCACCACGCCCAGCTAATTTTTTGAATTTTTAGTGGAGATGGGATCTCACCATGTTGGCCAGGCTGGTCTTGAACTCCTGACCTCAAGTGATCCACCCACCTTGGCCTCCCAAAGTGCAGGGATTACAGGTGTGAGCCACCGCGCCCAGCCTCTGATCTTACTAATATACTGTGTCCCTTGCCAGGAGCTCATCATGCTTTGTTTAGTAAGTCATGGTAGAAGACACCAATTCCATTAACAAAAAAATTAGCTATCTCCTGCAGAAGGGAGCAAATTCCATTTTTGAAAGTCATCTGCACATACTATTCATCTTACTTGTCCCTACCTTCAGTTTCGTACTTGAACTTTTAAGAATCACATACACAGCATAGAGTTTCATGAATCAGCAGAAGTCATTCAAGATCAGTGAGTTGTAGTCTTGGCAAATTCTCTCTTCCATCTTGGAAAGTGGCATACGTTCCAAATTACTGTATAATATGTTTGTGTCTCTAAGAAGAGTGAGTCAGGAACTACCCTGGATGACAGAACAGAAAATCTACCATTTGCTGGTTTCTTTGTGTTCTTAGTGGCCTGCTTTGAGGTGCTTTTAACCCTTCTTTGAAAATATTTAGTTTAGTTTCCACAGAACGCTATAATCCAGTGTAGCTATTTTTCTTTGTTATCCTTGCTATCACATTTTCCCTCTCATTAACCTTTTTTTTTTTAAAGCAAACAGCTTTAGTGAGATATAACTTACATACCATACAATTCATTCATTAAAAGGTATAATTCAGTAGCTTTTAGTGTATGCACAGGACTGTAACCATCACCATAATCTAATTTTAGAATGCTTTCATCAGTACTAAAACCCCCTACTCATTAACAGTCATTCTCCATTCCCTACTTGATCCCTAAGAAACCACGAATAGTTTTGTCTATAAATTTATCAATTCTGGAAATTTTACGTAATTGGAATCATATAATATGTAGTGTTTTGTGACCAGTTTCTTAACGTGTGTTCAGGGTTCATCCCTGTTGTACATGTGTTAATACTTTATTTCTTTTTATTGCTGAATAATATTCCATTGTATAGGTGTACCAAATTTGATTTATCCATTCATCAGTTGAAGGACTTTGGGGTTGCTTTTGCTTTTTGACTATTATGATTAGTGCTGCTATGGACATTTATGTACAAGTTGTTGTGTGGGTATGTGTTTTCATTTCTCTTGAGTATACCTAGGTAATTCTTTAAGTTCTTTAGGGACTACCAAACTTTCCCAAAGTGGCTGTATTGTTTTATATTCTTACTAACAATCTGTAAGGATTCAGATCTCTCTAGATCCTACCAAAACTTGTTACTGTCTTTTTGTTTATATATGTCCTAGTGGGTAGGAAGTGGCATCTCGTTGTGGTCTTGACTTTCATTTCCCTAACAACTAATGATACTGAGCATCTTTTTGTTTGCTTGTTGGCCATTTGTTTATCTGTTTTGGAGAAATGTCTGTCCAAATCCTTTACCCATTTTTAAACTGGCTTAGTTGTCTTTTTGAGTTCATTAACCTTTTAATGTTCACTCTGATTTACTTTTAACTCAAAATGTTTTTTCTTTTTCTTCCATTTTGTTCAGAGACTGTTCGTTCTGTATTAAGCAGGATGGTTAAGAGGGTTTTCAAGCCCTTTTATGTTTTCTTGGCAACAGGTTCCATTAGCAACATACATACATGTGGATTACTTTAGATTGGAAAATGTACATCTACTGGTTATTGGAATAGATCATTTGTGGTTCATACTGGTTATATTAATAAAATGAACTCTGCTCCTTTTCCTACAAACCAGTAGGTAAAATGCTTGGCTTTGACTTTAATCCTAGCCTTTCATTTTACAGGTAAGGAAAAAAGACCTGGAGAAGTTGGGTCTTGTCTTAAGTTCACAACAGGTAGACCTGGACCATGACTTTAATTCAGCCCATTCTTAAGAACTATCAGTTGGTTTCACATCATGTGGCAGATATGTTAGATTGAAGGGATACCAAGGTAAGACAGGGTCCCTGATTTGGCGATCCTCACAAACTGTGTCACAAGAGATTGACATATACATAACTAATGGTAATACAGTATCACAATTGCTGTGAATTGTGAACAAGGGTGTGTAGTCAGTCCAGTGCTCTTAACACTGCTCGGTGCTGACTGGGATTTTCACCTTACTTTCTTTTGCATATAGGCAGAATTAGATTCTTGAGTAGTTGATTTTGTTTGGGTCATTTAGTAAGAAATGATAACACAAATGCCATCATTCAAACCCTGAGATTACAGAAGAAACAGACTTTAGAATCTTCAGGGTTTTGGACTAGAATCTAGAAGATAGTCTCATTAAGTGCATATTTTATATGTATTATTTTCTTAGCTTTTTTCATATATTCTTCAGTGGCGTATACATCAAGTTTTTTTCAGCTGAATTTGTGTTAGTATATTAAAAAAACAAAACTTTTCGGAAGACGTTTTATTTACATCAGTGATTTATTTCATTACTACGTTTGTCCTTTGGATTTTTGGAAGTCATATTTCTTTTCACTTGACAGAGTTAGGCCATGGGATATGTATTTATAGTAATGTGTGAGTATGTTTAGGTTTGATCTTTTATACTATTTTTATGGCATTTATATTTATGGCTGTGTTATTAGTCATTAAAGCAAATATTTTTCCACCTTAAGACTTCTTGTTTTGCACATGATTTATTCTGCAGTATGTGCTCTCTTTTAATTAGCAAAAAGGCATTTTTACAAAAATTACACTTTCCTTGCAACTTACTGGTTGTAAGGCCGTGGACAAATTATTTAATTTCACTTATCCTTGGTTTCCTTATATAATGATACAGTCAGTATCATTATACCTTTGTTTTATGGTTATCCTAAGAATTAGAGATAATGTGTTTAAGTTACCCAGCATATAGCTTGCCATATAGATGCTTGAATATTGATGGTATTAATTGTAATATATTAGTTCATTTATACATAAGAGCTATAAATTCTAGTTAATGGTTAATCGATTCTTTGTGATATAGATTACTCATTTAGGATTAATTGAGCAAAAATAAGTGATCATATTAATGTAAGAACTTGATATCAGTATTCATTTTCAGTTACTTGTCTTTTAGAGACTGTAGTACTTTAAAGACTAGAGACTATTGCTCTTTAAAGACTGACCTCATCTTTATCTTCAAAACATGAAGGTATGATCCTGTCTGCAGATTAAGGTATTGAGAGTTATTTTTCTATGTTGTCAATTGCAGTGTTTTAACTTGTGGCAGTTGACAGGGCTGACTGTGTTGATCCTGATGCTTTAGAAGCACTGGTAAATTCTAGACTAATATTGGAAAGAATTACTTGACATTTTATTTACTAAAGTTCTTTTTGTTATTCATGAAGAATTCTTAAAAAATACCTCAATTGAAAAATTAATACATGCACACAATAATAAATTTAGACAATATAAAAGAGCAAAGAATGAAAATTAAGCTTCCCACCCTTAAGGCATTCTCTGCTACTAATTGATTATATAGCCTCCTAGTAATGTGCTATATGTACACGCGTGGGGATACATTGTTGCACAGCTCCCAGGGGTGCAGTCATACATATTCAAGCATATGCAGCATATGTATAATGGTCCTTTTATATGAATAGGAATGTTCTCATACAAGGTTCTTTCCTTGTATTTTTCACTTAATGATATATCTTGGCGAATATTCCATGCCAATGTATGTAGAGCTACCTTATTTTTAAAACTGCCTAATATTCCATTCTGTGGATATGCCATGCTTCATTTAATATTATGTTGGTGCAAAAGTAATTGCGGTCCAACCTAAAAGTCCCCTCTTGATGGTAATTAAGGATCTTTCTAGTCTTTTATTGTATATAATGCTGCAGTAACTATCCATGTATATTTGACAGTACGTGAGTATCCCTGCATGATAAATTACTGGAAGTACACTTTGTGAGCAAAAGGGAGTATGCATTTAAAATTTTGATAATGCCAAATTGTTATGCCTTTTTCCTCATACTCTTACCAACCCAGTGCATTTTCTTATTTTTTGAATATGACTAATGTGATAACTAAAAAATGTCATTTTAATTGTAAATTAAGTCTCATTGTAATTTTAATTTGCATTTTATTAATGAAGCTGAGTCTATTTGTTATTGATTTCCAGGATATATTGTTAGTGAAAGAAATCATGGTGAAGAACAAGGTGTATAATATTCTATCTCTCATCTAGGAAATGAGGGATGCAGATAAATGTATTTTATTTGTTATTTAAAAAGAGAAAACAGGAAGGATAACCCCAAAACTAGTGAAAGCCATTATTTGAGGGGAAAAATAATAAAGACGGAGGGGTAGAATCTAGGATTCTCTGAAGATACCTTATATTGTTTGGGCTTTGGAAATGTAAATGTTTTATACATTTTTAAAACTTAAAGAGGAAAATATATCAGTTAAATATTTAGGTTGACATTGTTAGGAACCAAGGTTTTTAACAAATGAGAAAAAAAGCCGGGTGCGGTGGTTCGTGCCTGTAATCCCAACACTTTGGAAGGCTGAGGTGGGAGGATCACTTGAGCTCAGGAGTTTGAGACCAACCTGGGCAACATAGCCAGACCTCACTCTACTAAAAAAAAAAAGAAACAGAACAAAACAAATTCGTGGGCATGGTGGCACTGGTCTGTAGTCCCAGCTGCTTGGAAGGTTGAGGTGGGAGGATTGCTTAGGGCCGAGGCTGCAGTGAGCCATGATTCTGCTATTGCACTCAGCCTGGGTGACAGGGAGACCCTGTCTGGAAAAAAAAAAAAATCTTCTTGCTCTGTCCACTCAAAAAACCTAGAAATAATATTTTAGTGCCCAGATTTTGGTCTCCGAGTACCACTTTCAACTAAAAGGAAATAGGGCCCCTTGTAGAAGTGGCTGATTGTAGGCTTGAGACAGGAAAATGTACAGAAGGAACCTGGAACATTTTGTACTAGGAAAGCAAGGAAAAGCTCCAAGACTAGTAGGGTTGTATCAGGAAACAGTGGCCACATTGAAGGGGCCCCCGTTGTCCAGTGGGAAAGAAAAAAGAAATGAGCAGCCCCTGATGTTCAGAAGCCTCACCGGTAGGCCATGTTCTCCTACTAAACATAAGCGGTCTCACAGAATACCTTCAACAAAGTTTCTCAGAGATCATAATAAAATGAGGCAAAGCATAGACAAAAACCAAGACCACTGTGCCACCTACAAAATACTTAGCCAAAATGAATGACTACCGCTGCTTTACCCATTACAGTTTTATCTTCATTCTCATCTCCCCTCCCTTAGGTAAGATTTATTGAGATACGTAACCACAGAATTACCCTACTTCCTGACAGCATCCAATGTAGAGAAACTCCTCCTTCTTTAGACCCTCCCCCAAATTACTAAACTGAGGCCCAAATTGTGTAATTGATTTTAACATCCTCTTACTGAGATGCCCCATGGTGCCCTGTGGTGTGTGTTCTCCCTCACTGCAATGAGTAATAAGCCTGTCTCGTTTAATTATTGGTGGTCTTGGCTGAAGGGCATTGATAACAGGTAGAGTAATTTGAGCAACAATATCAGTAACAAAAAATACAAGGAACAGATTAAGTGACAGTATAGGGTCACAATCAGCAAAATTCAAAATGGGAAATTTTACAGGACAAATGACAAGAAGAAGGACAAAAAAGAGAACAGTGGCACTCAAAGAGACTCAAAGACACATCAGCCACGTGCATTGACTAGTATTTGGGTCCTGAGTCAAAGTCAACTGTGAGAAGACATTCTTTGAGAAAACTGGATAAATTTGAACCCTTCTTATTAGATGACATTAAGGAATTACTGTTAATTTTGTTAGGTGTGGCAATAATATATGGTGGATTTATTTTTAAAAAGTACCTGTTAAAAGTATTTACATATGAAATGATGTGTTGTCTGAGGTTTGCTTTAAAATAATCTTGGAAGGGGTTAGTAGAAACAAACAAATTGGCCATGTGTTGTTGATAGTTGTTGAAATTAGCTGATGTTTAGGTGGACACTCATTATATCACTTCTCTACTTCATATGTATTTGAAAATTCTTCTAAGGAGAAGTTTTTTTCTTTAAAGCCATATTTATTTCTTTTTCTGTGAGTGTGCCTCTTCATATTCTTCCATTTTTCTGTTGGGCTTTAGTCTTATAATTTAAAGGGTTCTTTAAATACTAAGAAAATTTGCCTTTAGTCATATGTTTTGCAGGTATTTTTAATTTGTTTTTTGAATTTGTTTATGGCTTTTTTTTAATCTGTGGAGAATTTCTATTTTTATTTTGTTAAATTTATCAGTTTTCTTTATGGCTTGCGTGTTTTGTGTGTTTAGAAAAATCTTCTTGTCTCTGAGATTCTGAAAAGTTCTTTCATGTTTTCATGAATTTTTTTAATGACCACAGTACACTTCTGTTATACTTTATTTAGTCACCTTAATTTCCTCTTAGAGTATTTGGAAATATTCTCCCATAGAGCCCTGCCCCAAGACTATATAGGGAAAAATGTTGTTCAGTAGCTGTTCTATCAGATCTATTGATAGATTATTATATAGTGAACATCCAGAGAATTAATTGTAAAAGTTTGCTCACTAATTTTGCTCCCTAAATAGAATGAATGAGAAATCTATTTACCAGATTTTGAAAATATGCTAAGTGTTATGTAAAAGTATTAGCTATATAGTTCACAGTTTCTAATTTTAGAAAAGTTTCAGTGTTTGCTTTATATAAAGAAGCATTCCTTTGAGCTCTTCTCATGGGCCATAAGGTCAAGGAGCCAGGTGTCACCGCTTTTTGAAGTTGACATCTTTTGGCTTGCTCCTTTCCTAGGTCTGACTCTCTTGGATAGGCACAACAGTGATTCTGTTTTCTGGTCTCTGTAGGAATGGATGTTACTGTAGTGTCTTCATCACTTTCGTTTCTGGGAGACCTGTTGAGACCCAGGAATGGATCCTTCTACCTACTATCTCAAAAGTCAGAAACGGAAATACAGTTAAGGCTTCAGGGAATGCTTCCCTTGTAGGGGAAAGTGATAGCAGTGAGGTGTCTTGGGCTTGTGTTTGCAAATGTACCACACTGTGCATTCTCAGTTGAAAACTAACTCTGCAGTTAGTGTTTCTCTTTTAGAACTTTTAGAAGTTTTTTAAGGAATAAAAGTTGAGAAAGTACATTTGATACTATATTTTAAGCATTTTACTCACTATACCAAAACATTTTATAACCTAACGTTGATCACTTTTCTAATACAAGTAAAAAAATTTCTGACTAGGAAGAAATTTTTTCTTTTCTGAAGATAGCCACTTTCTTTTTCAGAGTTAGAAACGTGAGTCTTCACCTAGTTCTTTCCAGCTTAGGTGTGAAAACATGACTAGTGTGACAATTGCTGCTAAAGATTGTATCACAGTTTGAGTTTAGCTTAATGTTTTTCAGGGATAAATCTATGAATTTATGGGATCATTATCTCTGGAGGTTCACTTCTATATCTCATGGTTTGTTGTGTTATATTTTGATACTTATTTTTTTAATGTTATAAAGGTACCATATAGCCATGAATTTTTTTATACTTTCATTGATATGCATAATTCTCCTCTGAGTGAAACCTGGGGACAGATTGGGTGTTCCTAACAGGAACCTGGGGGCAGTTTCCTTAGGTTTTTTATGTTTAGTGATTTTGGTCATAAGTGAATTTTAATATCTAATGAATATCCTTACAGTTCTGTCTCAATCATAGGATTTTTGGGATCAAAATGAAGAAAATATATGAGGACCCTCTGTGTCACTGGGAAGTGGCTTTATAAACTCAAGATTCTGTATTTTATTTTTCAAATGATTTCTTAGCACTAATCAAATGCATTAATCAACTTCTGATTAGCTGGCACATTTATAAGAGGATTGTCTTTAGATGTATTGCTTTCAAATTGTTCCTGATGTAATTTAGCAAAGGAGGTGATGGAGTTCTTTGTTGACTGACTATCTTTCGTTTGATTTTATTCTGACTTACTGTAGTTTGGCAGGAGGCCAGTTATACCAAAATATGTAATTACTTCTTAATCCCAAATAAGTTTGAAATATAAATGAGTCATTTTGTCTTAGGGATATGATGGGTTGGGAAAAAAGTGGTGTTTTTGGCTCCTCCTAAATCACTCATGAATTTATTTTTTACCCAACTTCTAAAATGAACTGGAAAGGTCTTTTATTAAAATCCTCAGATACGGTAGACTTGTATGTAATAGAGCAATTAAAGTGAAAATGAATGACTTAATGAAGAAAGTAAGATGTACCAGAATATCTAGGTCAGTGGGTCAGTCTGTGCATCACAGTACCCTGTGTAGCATGAAAATATAAAGATGCTGGGGCTGTTGTGGAGTAAGGCCTTTACTGTTCCAAAGTTCCACTGATAATTAGGTTGGTGCACAAATAATTGCGGTTTTGGACTGTGAATTTTAAATCATTATAACTAGGCTCAAACACATCTTTATCAAAATAGGAGCCATTGCAGTCAACACATTTTTGCCAATGAGAAGTAAGTTAGTTTATTCCTGTAGTGTAAAAATCCGTGTTTTGGGATTCGATGAACTCTTGGAAAGCATTTTCTGCATCCTGCTGGTTGTGCAAGCGTTTTCCCTGCAAAAATTTGTTGATATGCTTGAAAAAGTGGTAGTCGGCTGGTGAGAGGTCAGGTGAATATGGCGGATGAGACAAAACTTTGTAGCCCAATTCATTCAACTTTTGGAGTGTTTGTTGTGCGACGTGCAGTCGGGCGTTACCCTGGAGAAGAATTGGGCCCTTTCTGTTGACGAATGCTGGCTCCAGGTGTTGCAGTTTTTGGTGCATCTCATCGATTTGCTGAGTGTACTTCTCAGATGTAATGGTTTCGCCAGGATTCACAAAGCTGTACTAGGTTAGACTGGCAGCAGACCATCAAACAGTGACCATGACCTTTTTTTGGTGCAAGTTTGGCTTTGGAAAGTGCTTTGGAGCTTCTTCTCAGTCCAACCACTAAGCTTGTTGTTGCCGATTGTTGTATAAAATTCACTTTCATCACTATCCGATCGAGAAATGGTTCATTGTTGTAGTGTAGAATAAGACAAGATGACACTTGAAAATGATGATTTTTTTTTTTTAATTTTTGCTCAGCTTATGAGGCATCCACTTATAGAGCTTTTTCACCTTCCCAATTTGCTTCAAATGCTGAATGACTGTAGAATGGTCAACGTTGAGTTCTTCGGCAACTTCTCTGTAGTTGTAAGAGGATCAGCATCGATGATTGCTCTCAATTGATCGTTGTCAACTTCCAATGGCCAGCCTCTACCCTCCTCATCTTCACGCCTCTCATTTCCTTTGAAAAACTTCTTGAACCACACCACACTGTATGTTCGTTAGCAGTTCCTGGGCCAAATGCGTTGTTGATGTTGTGAGTTGTCTCTGCTGCTTTACAACCCATTTTGAACTCGAATAAGAAAATTGCTCAAATTTGCTTTTTGTCTAACATCATTTCCATAGTCTAAAATAAACAAAATAAACAGCAAACAATAAGTCATTAGCCAAAAAACATAAAGTGAGAAATGTCCATTAAAATGATGTATAACATAACCACATTTATTTAAGAATGTATTATAATATCAAACAGCAAATTCCAACAATGCAAAAACCACAATTATTTTTGCACTAACCTAATAATTTTAATGTATAGTTAAGATAGATGTTACTGCCTTAGATGATGGATCGTTAGGCATTTGGCTTTATAATTTTGTTCTGAATTTCCTAGCATTCACTGCAAAAGAGGTAACAGGAGTTTCATAGCTCTTGATATCTTAAACACTTGCATCATTGGAAGAGACACTTTTTTCCCTACCATGAACCCTAGAGAGTTTGATTTTGTAGATGTCCACAACTGTTCACTATCTTTAATAAATACTTTTATTAAAGGCTTCAGAAACATTCTTTCCCTGGGAAGTTTTTTATTGATCCTTGTTTGAAGTTGATACATAATATTATATCATAACTGTGTGATGCTGTTTCTGCATATAGCTGAATGCAGCTTTTTGAGACTAAAGGTTGCATTTCCTTCATCTTTGAATTTCCAGCCCCTAGCACAGTTCCTGGCACATATTTTGGAGGTATTTTATAAATGCCTTTGGAAAAAAGGAGTTCAAGTGTTTAATTTCCTGGCAAACTAAATAGCTATAAAGAGAGAGCTTAGAAAGTCTAGAGTAAGAGATGATTAGCATGCTTCCTAGACCATCTGTCACTAATACCAATTGTTTCTACTTGGCACTGCAGACTTGTTTTTTGAGGGGGAGGGCAGCTTGTGTAAAGTTAAAAAAAACAAAACAAAACAAAATACCAGAACTCTTAGGTTATTCTATACCCCTCTGTTTAGTGGCTAAAAAGTCATTGCTGTTTTCTAAAAAACATTGACATTCTTATTCAGTAAAGATAAATGCAATTATTGCTTTTTCCAATAGCAATACAGTTGTAATAACTGGTAGCTGTTTCTGCCTTGCCCCCTTACAGTCTATTCTTGATGCGTCAACCAGAGTGATCCATTCAAAGTGCAAGTCAGAACATGTACACTCCTCTGCTCAAGACCTTCCAAGATTTCCCCATTCAGAGTTAACGTTGAAGTCCTTACAATAGCCTGAGTGTTGGGCATGTTCTCCACCTCTGTGCTTCTTTACATCTGACCCCAGCCATTGCTCTCCCCTGGCTAATTCTTCCTCAGCTGCACCAGTCCCCTTGCTGTTTCTAGAACAAGCTGGACATGTTCTTGCCTTAACGCCTTTGTAGTCGCTCCTCCCTCAATGTGGGATGCTATTCCTCTAGAGCATCTGTGTGGCTAGATTCTCTCACTTTTTTTTTTTTTTTAACAAGTTTTTGCTTAAATGTCACTTTCTTGTGAGGCTTTACCAGACCATCTTTTTAAATTTCATTCCCTCCCGCCCCCAACTCCCTGTCCCTGCCTTTTTTTTTTTTTCCTTAGCCCTTATACCATTGGACATATGACATGTTTTAATTTTTAGAAAATTATTTTTCTCTACTGAATAAAATATAAGCTCCATGAAGGCAGGAGTTTTTGTCTGCTTTGTTCACTTTTTATTCTTGTCTTGTAGAACAGTTCCTGCACAGAGTGTGCTGTCAATAAATACTTGTTGAGTAAACAAATTAATTAAGCAGGCAGTATGTATTGTAATAATGTAGAATTCCAATGGGACTCAGTATTGTTTTTATTTTAAATTTTAAGAGGGGTGTAGCATGGTAAAGTTTTTGTATTTCTTGTCAAAAAGTTGCAGACCATTCACTCTAATAGCACTACTAAATTACTGATATTTACATTAAAGGGAAAATAGGGTCTAGTCCTATTCTCTACTTTTTAGGCACAGAATTTGATTCATTGCAAAACCATTCCTATCGTGAGGTGACTTGTGACAGAGGCACTACAGAAGCACTTAACATTTTGGATTTGTATCAAGCTTATATAGTTTATAGATGGAATGTATTTTTAGAATGGACTAACACATTAGCAAAAAATATAACAAATGTAAAATCTTTGGTGAGAATTAAGTCAGCAGGAGAATTTTTCTTGACTTAGGTGTTCAGTGCATGATTTTCAATTTGATTGAAGTGTTGTGAACTACAATGCAAGTATACAGCAAGTTCCAAACCTTGTAGAAATCCATTTACCCTGTGGTGAAATTCAGAGTCCTGACAGTAGCCTTCAAGGCCCTACTTGATCTCTTGCTCCTGTGCTAACCTTTGGGACTTGATCTCCTGCTTCCCCCTTGCTCACGCCACACCAGCCACACTGGCATTCTTACTCTTTGGTTGCCAGGTGTGCTCCCACCTTAGGGTCTTTGCACAACTCGTCCCTCTGCCTATACTCTCTGCCCAGATACTCACATGGTCCTCTTCCTCAACTCCTTCAAGTCCTTGTTCCAATGAGCAAAGTCCTTTCAGAGGAGGCTGACCATGACCACTCTGTTTCACTGCAAGCTTTCCCCTTCTACCTTCTACTCCCTATCCTCTATCTCCCTTTACCTGCTTTATGTTTTTAAAACATGACTGGATTTTCTGAAATATTAGGTAACATATGCATTATTTGTTCTTTTTATCTGTCTCTTCCTGCCAGAATGTGTCAAAAGAGAAGGACCTTTGTTTTGTTCCTTGAGGTATAGCAAGTGCCTAGAACAGTGCTTGGCACATTGTAGATTATCAGTGACTATTTGTAGAGTGAGTGAATGAACAGACTATGTCATTACCCTTCATGAATTTACATAATCCACAGTTAACATTTATTTATTGCTGTGATAACTAGTAGATTTATGTAATTAGCATCTATAAGAATAACCTCTGAAAAAAATACCAATTGTAATGCTTTTCCAGTTGTGTGTGTATGGGGGCAGGAATGATTCTGTAGTCATCAGGAACACGTTGGTATTATCTTGATTCAACTTAATTTCTGCCTTTTTTATCTGCTGCATCTAGAAACTGTTTTCTTTTTTAAAAAATTGTGATAAGAAACATAGAAGATTTCCCATCTTAACCATTTTTAAGTGTACACAGTAGCGTTAAGTGTATTCATATTGTTGTGAAGCAGATCTCTAGAACTTAATTTGCAAATTCGAAACTCTATATACCACTAAACAACAACTCTCTTTTCTCCCTCCCTCCAGCCTCTGGCTTATTTCACTTAGCATAACTGTCCTCAAGATTCATCTGTGGTGTAGTGTGTGTCAGAATTTACTTCTATTTTTCAAGGCTGAATAATATTCCATTGTATATACATGCCACATTTATTCATTCATCTGTTAATGGACACTCAGGTTGCTTCCACCTTTTACTATTATTGTGGATAGTGCTGCTGTGCACATGGGTGTACAGATACCTCTTTGAGACTACAAACTTTTTCCTAGAGATCTGTTAACTTAAAGGAATAAACATCAATTATTTTTTCAAATAAATGTCCTGAATTTCCAAAGATCTTAATTTTATTGAGTAGCACATTTTTAAATATATAATTTATTTTCACATAATAAAATTTGTATTTTGGTGTAAGCTGTGGAAATGTAGGTGGTCTGCTTTTTTAACATGATAAAACCCTGGAAAACTGTATATGATAAAGTGGAACAAGCTCCCTGAATGAAAGCTCATTTCATCTTGAAAAAAGAATTTACTGTATTCCTCAAATTGCCTAGGACTGTGAGTAGCCTAAATGGTAGACTGGAATCCAGGATACTACTGTATTTTGAAAGCAAAAGGAAGAGAATGTTTCAAGAAAGAAAGAATGAGCAGTGTTGAGTGCTTCTGGGCAGGCAAATGAGATGATTCAGTGTCAGCTAGATTTCATAGCATGGAAGTCACTGGTGACCTCAGCAAGGGTTATTAGAGAGGAATCATGAAGGCGGATCTCGGAGTGAGTTGGATAAGTAGGTGAAAGGAAATATTGGCAAGTACAGACGATTATTGAAATGGCAAGTACAGACATTTGGCATTGAAAGGGAAAAGAAAGGATGATAGCAGAGATAGCAGAGGGGGATTAAAAACATTAATTTTTTTTTTTTTTTTTTCCCTCTGTCGCCCAGCCTGGAGTGCAGTGGCGCCGTCTCGGCTCACTGCAAGCTCTGCCTCCTGGGTTCACACCATTCTCCTGCCTCAGTCTCCCGAGTAGCTGGGACTACAGGCATCCACCACCACGCCTGGCTTATTTTTTGTATTTTTAGTAGAGACGGGATTTCACCATGTTAGCCAGGATGGTCTCGATCTCCTGACCTCGTGATCCACCCGCCTCGGCCTCCCAAAGTGCTGAGATTACAGGTGTGAGCCACCGCACCCGGCCAAAAACATTAATTTTTTAAAATGGCAGAGCCATAAGCATTTTTAATAGCTGATGGGAAGGATCTAGTTGAGGGAGACATTGAATATATTAGAGAAGGATTAATTAATAGTGTAAGTCTTGAGAAGGTTGGAGGGGATGGGATCCAAAGCAAAGGTGAAGGACTTGATGTTTGATAGGAGGAGGATAGTTTCTTTCAATGTGATAGGAGAGAAGGAAGCTAGGATTGGCTTGAAGTGGGTGCAGGTGGTTTGTAGGTGTGGCTCTTAGAAAGATAGGGAATTCCCATCTGAAGTTTCTGTTTTCTCTCTAAACTAGAGTAGGTCATCTGTTGATAATTATGGCTTAGGAAGGGGAATTAGAGTTTTGAGGAAGAATAAATAGAGTTTGACATAGTCATTGTAGAGGGTGGTTGCTGGACTTTTGAGGAATGACATTGTCCTTTGCAGTTGGGTGATGTATATTAAACATAAAGTTAGATATCTGGTAGTTGGGGAAAAATACTAAACTTTTTTGCTGTTTAATTTTATGGATTTAGTGAATTCCTGCTAACTACAATGTATTGTGACTAAGACATTTCTCATATACGAGGAGCTTATAAGCTTATAGGGAAAGTTATTTGTCACATGCAATAAGAGGTACAAACAGTACTGAAACTTCAGGTCATATCTGACTTCAGAAGAGATAGGTCTTTAGGTATGGGGAAAATGTCAATCAATGTATAAGGAGAGGTTAAATGAGAGAAAAGGCTTTGTGCTGGGAAGAATGGAGATAAAAATATGTTGGTTCCATGTTAATAGAATGGTGGAGTCCAGTTTGTCCAGAATTATCCTTGAATCAGAGTGTCTCTATACAGTGTAAAACATATCAGAGAAGTTTATGACTTTAAAGAAAATTTCATAAAAATACATGACCCCCTAAAGGAGTTTACATGCAGAACTATTTTGGGGAAAATTTATGAGTAGTCATTCAGTATATAACGAGCTTTATTCAGCATTGTAATTTTCCAGTTTGTGTATGATGAATTCATAGAGCTCATTAAGTGTAAGTGTCATTGTTGTGATTCATTCAAGCCTTTTTCCTCTCTTCAGCAGAAGGTTAAAAAAAAATTCCAAATTTGAATCCAGGACTTGAAGAATGCCAGTTGTCTAAATACAGTACCATATTGTGATAAATATAGCTATTGAAATTTTTAAAAATCTATTCACAAAACTTTATTTTAATATTCATAGCAGAACTTTTTTTGGAATGTTATCTGAAAAACAGAGGACCATTTTATCATCAGAGCTGACTATTAATTAGGGTATTGTTGCAGATATAAAAGTTGATCTGCCACTGAAATTCTATTTGAATATGTATAGTTCCAAGCTTGCTTTGTGTATTTAATAACTTTAGTACCATAATTACTCTGTTTACAATTAAATTTTGGTGAATATGCTAATATGGAATATACCAATGAGTGATTTCAGCAAAGGGCAGTATTGATTTGCATCTTGATGTGCTTTTCAGTTGCATCTGCATTTCATTTAATATCAGAGGAAAAGAAGTGGTCAGATTATGTAATGCTAAACTTTTTTTTCTTTGAAACCTCTCTGTTGCATTGGCTACTATAAAAGTAGACTTGCATAGAGTCAGAGGGGCTGAAATTATGTGGAAAGATTTAATTTTGTTAAAGTTTGTGCCTTTCGGTATATTCATTAATAGAAACCTTAATGCAAGCATCGGTTTCATTATTAGAAGAAACCTATAATGTACTAAAGTGATTGTTTAATTCTAATTAGTATTTTAAGTTCTTCAGAAAACTCACTAACTTACTGAAGCAAATACTTGTGATTATTTTATTTCTTTGAGCAGGGACTTCTGGTTTTAAATAATTCCTCTTTTAAGAAATTGCCTGAAAAGCAACAAGGAGATTGAGAAACAGTGATTTCATATTCTGAGAAACTGAGAAGCTTCTGTAGCCCTGAACTAGAAAATAAGGAGCTGCCAAATTCAGTGAAGGTCAAACAGGGTATGGGAGGATGCTGAAAGGGAACCTGAGACACAGATGTCAGGAAAGCTGGCAGAACTGTGTTCTCTAAAGAAAGGGGCACACCCTGAGAGGCACATTAATAAGCCTTTGTCTGGGAGAACAGGAATAGGTGTTGGCAGGCAGGGGCACTAGGGAACTTTATGGTGTGATGAAAATGTTCTGTCTGGTGGTCGCACAAGTGTATGTACGTTTGTAAAATTTTGTCAGTTTACTTTGTGCAAGTTAGTAATTTATTGCCTCTCAACTCCAAATTCACCCCTTTTTGCTCTATTTATATACTCGAGCCAGACCTTTTAAATATTTTTTCTTTTCCTGGACAGTGTTAGATTTTGTCAGTAGAAGGTGAGGAAGGGATACTGCAAGACTTAGCAGAGAAAGTGCTTCTCTTGTTGCCATGTGCTTGTTTTTTTGTTCGTTTGTTTGTTTTTCTTAATCTCTTAAGGTGTGGCTGTCAGCTCTACTTACTCTCCTGTAAGCTTCATTAGCACCCTGGTAGGCAGCTTCTTGCTCCCACCAGTATCTCGTGGGCAGCAGATTCCTGTGGATAAGCTGTAGCTCACTGGCCCTACAGAGAACTACCCTACCGCTCAGTGGGTCACTGCCACAGTCTGTCCAGTGAAGTGTTCCTTTCTTGGGCACTCTCCCTTAGCCTTGGAGACAGTAACTGCTCCCTATATTTGCTAGTTCCATATTCCTTCAAATTGTCTTTTACATCTATTAGCACTTGACAACTTTTTACAAATTAATAATTTTTTATTTATGTTACATTTTCTTGTTTTAATTGATTGTTTGTTTTCTAGCTCCTGAATGGACACTGACTGTTATCACACACTTGTGATTTGTGTACCTTACTTACTGTGTTAATTTTACATAAATAAACAGGATGAAATAATAAGTATACTTCTTGATTACTTTCTATAACATGAACCAATTGTTTAAACACCAAGATTGGGATATAGAATGCTACCAGATCCCTAGGAACCATCCACCTCCAGCCATTTCTTCTGACCCTTAGTCCCCAAAGTGATATCTGCTGTTTGACTTGTATCACCATTGATTTGTTTTATTATTGAAATTCATGTAAATGGAATATAGTATGTACTCTTCTGTCTGGTGCTGCTTTTTCTTAACACAGTGTTTGGTATGTCCATCCGTCTTACTATATTCATTTTCCTGTTGTTGGACATACAGGTTTCCAGTTTGTGGCTGTTGTGAATAAAGCTGTTATCATTCTTGTACATGTCTTTGGGTGGACATGTACATGCATAGAAGTTGAATTGCTGGGTCGGTTAGCAGGTACTGCCAAATGAATTTTCAAAATGATCGAAACAGTATACAGTGTAGGAGAGTTCTGTTTGTTCCAACTCCTTACCAACACTTTGTAGTGTCAGACTTTTGCAGTTGAAGTCTTCAAAACCTTAAGGAATAGATCAAATGCTGCTTAAACTCCTTAGATTGTGGTAAAGGAAGAAAAGCTTCCAAAATCTTATTATGAAGTGAGCATAATATTGATACTTAAACAGATAAATGTAGCAGAAAAAATAAACTACAGACCATTCTTATGAATATCAGTCTTGTCTATGGCTATACCACCCTGAGTGTGCCCGATCTCGTCTAAATATCAGTCTTGTTCCTAAATAAAATATTAGCAAATAGAATTCAGCAGCACACTAAAAAAATTATAACTGCCACCAAGTATAATTTTTTTTTTTCTAGGAAGGTTGTGTTAAATAGCTCTATATGAGTATGTGGTATACCAGCTGTATTTAAGTCTTTTGTGTTTCTCAAGATGCTAAAAGATAAGTATTGAACAAGTATTTATTAGTACACTGCCATTGGCCCTGCTTATACCTGGCTGAAGCAGGCCCTAAGGATTGACAGGGCCTTTGGTTGCCTGAGGCCACCTGAGATTATAGGGGCCAGCAAGAGCAAGAGGGAATCCTCCACATCTTTTTCCATTAGAAGCCACAGGAGGGAGTTTCATTTAGATACATTTTAAAGAAATATTTCTGTCATAGTGGCCTCTTGCAGAGCAGCTGAGTATATTTCAGTGACTTCTTAACGTTTATGCGCAAGACACAGAGCTACTCTGTTTAATATACAACATATAAGATGTGCCTGGAAATAAAAAGCAAGACTAATAATTCAAAAGAAAAATGAGCCGAGGTTACTCATAGTTTACAGGAAATAAAGTACAGATTTTGCTTAGGAGTGTTTTCTTTTAATTTTTTTTTTTTTTTTTGAGAGGGAAGTGGGAATGGACTGGGCATGCTCATTGAGTATGAGAGGATTTCCAGTTTTGATCCCTTGGTGAATATTAATTATAGGAGCAATAATCATTTTGTTAAGGAACCTGGTTTCTTTTCATGGGAAGTGGTATTTTAAGACTACAATTTGTTTGCTAGGGATGCTCTTTGCTGCTGGGTTGATTATTGTTTCTAAGCTTTTTAGTGAATGGGGCTAGGAAATACAAAGATGTGTTTCTGTGTATGTGTTTATTTTAAAGATACATTCTGAACTAAAAATATTTCCAAGTACAGCATTTTTACCTTTACCTATTCTATCTTTTATCTCTGTCTCTTTCTTCCATATCTGAATCCTGATGTTCAGGGACACAAGAGAATGATAGAATAATAATATCACATAATTACTCATTTGCATCATTCCACATGTATGCACACAACAGTCTTAGTTAACAAAATCAAGTATCACAATATGATTTCTGGAAAGTTGCCTTTTTTGCGTATGTTATCCCATTTTTTGATAGTTGTACTATATCTACAGTGTCAGTACATTTGCCCATTATATACTCTTTTCTCTCTTTTATAACCCTTGTTGAGTCTCAGTTCTACAAGTATATATTTACTGCTCACTGATATTGACATTTCTTTAGTCATTTTGGATATTGCTATGGGAGTGGCAGACCCCTTCTACTGGGCTTCTTCTCTAGTAGATTCTTATTGCTGTTTTCTATATTGATAACACTTAGCAGTCTTTATACTCGAAATTTAGCTGGGTATAAAATCTTTGGTTCATGTTTCCTTTCTTAGAGTCTTAAATATGTTACTTTTTTTCCCCTGGCATAAAATGTTGCTGTTAAAGTGATGACAATTTGATTTTATTTTCCTTATAAAATATCTGCAGATGCTCAAAAAGTATTTTCATTTACTATTAAGTTAACTAAATTATATCTTGGTGATGGTCATTCTGGGTTGATTTTTCAAATGTATGTGATATGACCTTTCAAAATGTAGTTTTATGTTTAAATGAAGTTCAGGAAAGTTTTCTTGAATTAAATGATTTTTAATATTCTGTTCCCTTGCTTTGATTTTCTTTGTTATATGTATGTTGGTTTTTTTGTGTATGTTTTCTTAAACATTTTTTGGTCCTTTTTGATTTTTTTGTTTTTTTCCTTTTCACTTTCTATTTCTCTTGTCATTAAAAAGTTTTATTTACTCTTATGTTCCTTCTCATGTAGTTTTTATTTCCGAACTGATTTTTGTCTTTCATTTTCAATTATTCTGTCATCTGATTTCTGAATTTTTCTAATTCTGATTGATGTTAGTCTGTACATAAAGTGTTTTTTAGCTTGTTTTGAAATACTAATTTATAGCTATCAACCTTTTGGGAGGCATGTTTTCTTATGTACTTTTCTAAAGGGATTTTTTTTCTCTTTAAAAATACCAACTTAGTGTGGCACTAGGCTTTGATCCATTTTTGTTGCTGAGTTTCGTATGCAGCCAGTTTTCCCTTATATGCAATTAGTTTTAGATAGTCTGGTTCAGGGTGAGTGTATGTCATTCTCTAGATCCCACTCTTCACTTGTTTTTGTGTAGTATTCCAAAATACTGAGGCTAACTTATAGATCCACTTTCATTTGAACTTTCTTTTTCCTTTCTTCGTATTATCCTTGTGATGTTCACTTTGGCTTCATCCCTAGCAGTTTCTCCTCAGCCTGAGGCTTTGACCTAGAAGGGGCTTTGGCTGGTTAGTTTTGAGAGTTGTAGAGGCAACAGGCTTCAGCCTCTTGAGACCTCACCAAGGACCCCTTGCACTTCCTGGCTGTGGGAGTGGCAGAGCCCTTCTTCTTTCAGTTGCTTTTCTCACAGTGTCTTGTGTGCTTCTAAGAAGTAGCTCCTGATAATTTTTGGATCCTAAGATTTATCAGAGGCACCATACTTTCTTCTGCTTCCTTCTTTACAGTTGCTGATACCACACAGATCTTACTGCTGTTTGTCATGGTCTGTCTTCACCTGCTCAAATTTTGTAGAGATAAAGGGATACTGTCCCTCCGTTTGGTTGGAGAGGTTGTCCATAGGTGTTGAGTTTTGCTATCCAGTTGTCCTGTCCAGTTTTATGGGGGAATTCAGGGAGATGAAACAGCTGTGCTGCTGCCTCCACCATGTCCAGCGTTAACCTTCAGGAGCTGTGATTTAGAAGCATATTGAAGATACTGACAGCGATGACGCTGTTCTGTGGGACTATTTTTAGGAAAGAAAGTCATTCCAAGCCTTAATTAATTATTACAATTAGTTTCAATTAGTTGGCCACAGAAATAAAACTAAAAATAAAAGCAAACAGCTTTATTTGGAGGAAAATCACTTTTTATTGACCACAATTTACATTGAATAGATGCTGAGCCAGAATATTTCATTTAAAATATATTTTTGTCACTTCTGGAAAGGAATTTCAGAAAAACACAAAAGATTGTCCAGTCACTATTTTGAGATATATAAAGATAAAAAACATGTTGTCCACTCATTTTAAACTATTTTGATTACTATAAGGAACCAGTCAAATAAGAGATTACTCTGATGATTTGATAAAGTGGGTTGAAATTCAGAAGGGCATCTGTTTTAATATTTGGAAGTACTATGTGTTTTAGTTGTTTCTTTTATTTGGTTTACTACCATAGGTGTAAAAGTAACCTTTCTTGGTGTTTTGAGTCTAGGCTAGCTTGGTTGGCACAGAAATTCCATTTTGCAAGATTTTACCATGAGTAAAAACACATTAATTAAGAGAACTAATTGACATGAAGAAATAAGAGACACTTTTATTTATTTTGAAGATGTTTTTGTTAACTTAGAGAAGATTTAGACAGCGAAGATGCATTAGTATTCTATAGGAAAAAATTCAATTTAAAAAGTCCCCAGTAAATTAATAAGGAACATTTTCAGATAAGGAGTTTGTGTATTTGGAGTGATAGTGGGTGAGTTGGTGAAAAATTCCAGTTGAATCTAGTGTGTATGTATGTAGCATGTCTAGGCTCAAAACTGAGCTCAAAACTGAGCTACAGACTTCTTTCATCTGAATAGCCATTTCAAGTGTTGCATACTGTCTTAATCATTCTTATTAACCTTCTTTCTTTTCTATATCTCCAGTATGTTTTTAGGGAACTGTGGAACCTAACAAATACTTATTTTAAATCTTTTTTGATTAACATTTATAGAACCGAGAGTTTGAAATCACACAACAAACACATGTTCACATGCATACTAGTACAAATTGAGTTCCTTCAGTCAACGAAGTGAGTTACACCTGAGGGCACTTGAAGCCCAGTGTGAAGTGACTTGATCAAGATTACCCAACCAGCTGGTGTCATACCTGCAATCCAGGTCTTTTGATTCCAGTCAGTACTCTTTTCACAATAAAACACTGCTTTCTCTGAATGTTATGTTAAACTTATGTGTCAGTGAGAAAAATGAATCAAGATTCATCTCCTAAAGGATAGCTAATGGGAAAGAAAGCTTAGGAATTCTGGGTGTCACCAGCCTTGCCCAGATGATTAAGCCACAGTTTTTCCTGTCACTCTTGAAAGTTGTGCTCCTTCCTCACAGTGACTTCCATAATTGTGGAGCATGTTGGTGAGGTCTTGGAGCCAGGTGGTCACCGGTGCAATTTTCTGTTGTTCCACCACTTACCAGCTTGCTGAGCCTTAGTTTCCTCGAAATGGAGGTGATAATGTAATCTTCACAGAGTCATGAGGATGGATGGGAACCTGTGTAAAGCATTTACTAGCATGTCCCGGGAACCTTTGCCCCTTCCCCTTGTGCTCAGTTGCCTTATGTTTTCAATCTCTGCACTGTGTTCTATCATATCGGTATTGACCTTAATAAACTCTTCATTTTGTTCCTATAAAATGTGCATTCTAATTGGATGCACCTTTCCCTCTCAGCTTCATAGAGCAATTCTTTGTTGTTATTAAATAGCATTTTTAGTTGTAGTTGATCATTATGCCATTGGACTTAAACCTAATTATTTCCTTGAAAATAGTTGCATATATGATTTTATTGTTTCTTCTCCAAAGTTAAGAGATAATCAAATAGGATTTGAGCCATTATAAGTCAGAATTAACAGGTATCCTTTAAGTTTTGGAGTAAGTAGGAATTTGAACAGCATCTCCGTACGGAAGTTTTCCTTAGGGAAAAATGTTTTAAACACTTCTAAGATTAGAATTCTGACCATTTCTTTGTTTTATGTTATAGTGAAAATGCCTCGTGTAAAAGCAGCTCAAGCTGGAAGACAGAGCTCTGCAAAGAGACATCTTGCAGAACAATTTGCAGTTGGAGAGATAATAACTGACATGGCAAAAAAGGAATGGAAAGTAGGATTACCCATTGGCCAAGGAGGCTTTGGCTGTATATATCTTGGTAAGTGTGTGACTGCTTCTAATGATCAATCCAAAGATTTATATGTTTTCTTATGAAAATGGTTTCTCATTTATGAGCTGTTATGGGATGTTCCTAATAATCTGCAGTCAACTTAATAGTTTCTGATTAAGCAAAAATGCATCTCTGACGTAGGAGTGGAAATTGTTAATGCAGTCACAACAGAAAAGGAGGATAAAATAGCTGTAATACTATCATTAGTGAGCACTAGGACTTTAGATTTTTAAGATACTTTATATAATCTTAATCTCTTTTGAGACCCAAAGAAACCCATTTACGTATCTTTCCCCTCCCACCTCCACCTATGTGGGATTTATTCCCTCCGTGTTTGTCTGATTTAGAGGTTTGCAAATCTTTTACAAGTGTGAGTTTCTTTTTTCTTTCAGTGCAACCCTCTTAGCCATCATACTGGAACTAGGAGAATTACCTAGAAACTGCATATTAGGCCTGATTAAATGTGCAGATAACTAGCATACTTATTCTGAAATTTTTGGGGACCCGTTGTGGAATCCTGAAATTATGTTAGGTTAACTAAATTATGGACTTAAAAAATATTTTACCTGATTGCTTCTAAAGCTGTCTGCTTCACCAATAAATATATTTGCTTCTGATTTTTCTAACTTTTCCATTCTGTGTTCTCACTCTACTTCCAATCTCAGATTAATTAATTAATTTCTACCATGGAGGTTTATAAAATTTTATTTTTAGCAATATCTTACTCAGAATACTAATAATACGACATAGATTAGTGTCACTTGGGAACTTGTTAGACCTGCAGATTTTTGAGCCTTACCTCAGACTACGAATCAGAAACTGTAGGGAGAGGGCCCAGCAGTGTTTGTTCAAGGTGATTCTGATGCATGTTGAAGTTTGAGAACCACTGGTTGGTAAAAGATCACTGGTCTTACTCAAGAGGAGTCCCACTTCACCTGCTCCAGGAGCAGTGGGCCGCCCTTGGTCAGTTGCAGTTTCTGGAGCTATCTTTATGAAACATAGCTTGAAATCTAGTGCTTTATCATATTTTATGCATATGATTCCTGTTGGCCAGTGGCACCCTTTTTGTGAAATATATGTTGATTCTCTGGTTTTGTTTAGAGCCAAACCCATTCCAGTGAACTAGGCTGTATCTCTGATTTATGGCAAAAATCCCTGTAAACCATTAAAGAGTAGTGGCTGTATTAGCCAGGTATATATTTTTGATCTTGTGATGGAGGAGAGATGGTAGATTAGATAAGCTGTCTTTACTACAGGATATGTGGACTTATGCCATCCTGTATTAATAGAAACCTGTCTCTAAAAAAATAGGTTCTTCATTTTATATTAATTTGCTTTTGTAACCTTTTGCAAAGTTAAAACTTGCCCTGTGTGTGTCTCATCTGTTTTATCTGTATTTATCATCAAAAGGTGCCATCTAATAGTATTTTTAATAGGCAATGATTTGACCTCTGTAATAAAACTTTACTTTTGTAAGGTTGGGATGACTAATCTGTAAAAGGAGGGACTTGCTTGAGTATTGTCGCCTCCAGTCTCTGTCTCTATGATACACTGAAACAGCCAGATTCAAGATCATCAGCAGTTTGTTAATGAATTAAAAAGATTGCTTTTGAATTTTCTTTGCATTTTCTTTTCTGTAGCATTTGATACTGTTTATCTTTGTTTCTCATAACAATTGCTTCCATTATCTTTTATGGTAGCATACCTTTTTCCTAGTTTTCTTTCTGCTTTTCTGGCTGTACTTGGTCATCTTTATAGGCACTTCTGTGTGCTCCGGCTTTTCTTCTTAGGTTCACTTTTTATTCTATATATTCTTTCTGAGTGATATCAGGCTTCTCCTGCTGTCTCTTTACCGTTGATTTCCCTGTCTTTTATCTGTAGCCTAGGACTTGATTTCCTGAGTCCAGGCCTGTAGCCACTGGCCTATAAGGGATCTCTACTTAGATGTTCCACAGGCATTTCTAAAACTTGTATCATCATCATTTATCTCCTGATCCTGTCATGAGGATTGTCTCAATGAATGACAGCCTTGAAGCCAGAAACTGGGAAGGCATTCTTGAGCATTCCTTCACTAATATCCTAGTTCCTTTTCTAGTCCTATTGCTTTACCTGGGTGACTTCTCAGATCCATTCATTTCTCTCCATCTTTGCAGCCACTGTCCTGGTCAGGTCATTATCATGTCTTGTCTGGACTCTGACTGTAGCACTGAATCTTCTCTGTCCCAGTCTTGCCACCTTGCACACCATTGTTTTCAGTATGGCTTTTATGACCAAGTATACTGATCAGATAATACGATCATCCTGTTTAAACCTCTCTGATGACTCTCCAGTGTCCTTCAAATAAGGTGCCAGACTTTTAAAGAGTGGCATACAAGTCCCTTCTTATACAACGTTTATCTTCATCCCTTTTGTCTCCTCAAAGTCTGTGCTTCAGCCGTCTTGCTGCCCTTTGGCTCTTGATCTTTGTATATGATGCTTTAAAAATTTTTTTAATATATTTTATTTTACATTGTTTTTGTACCAAGCCTTTGAAAAATTTTTAGTAGCTTTACTGAGGTATAATCCATATACTTAGACTATTGGTATAGCCTCTTAACTGATCTGCCTGCTTCTGCCCCTTGCCCCTATACTCCATTCTCCACAAAGCAGCCCAAAGAAGTCTTTATTACCATAGTCTGATTTTGCTAACCCTCTTCCAATGGCTCCCCATCTTATTCATAGTGACAGCCAAAACCTTTATGTTACCTGTTAAGCCCATCGTGTTTGTTCCCTGCTGCTTTCTGATCTGTCTCTCCTCTTCTGCCTCACTGTTTCCCCCAGCTACTTTTGCCTCCTTGTTTTCCAAACATGTCAAGCACACTCCTACATCAGGGTCTTTTTTTTTTTTTTTTTTTTTTGAGATGGAGTCTCGCTCTGTTGCCCAGATTGGAGTGCAGTGGCATGATCTTGGCTCACTGCTACTTCTGCCTTTCAGGTTCAAGTGATTCTCCCACCTCAGCCTCCCGAAGTAGCTGGGACTAACAGGTGCGTGCCACCACCATGCCCGGCTAATTTTTGTATTTTAAGTAAAGACGGGGTTTCACCTTGTTGGCCAGGCTGGTCTCGGAACTCCTGACCTCAGGTGATCCACCTGCGTTGACCTCCCAAAGTGCTGGGATTACAAGTGTGAGCCATTGTGCTCAGTCCAGATCAGGGTCTTGGTGCTGTTCTCCCTGGAGTGCTCTTCACTAAGATACATACATGGCTTATTCCCTTCCTGCTCTCACTGCTCAAGTAACACCTTGTCAGTAAGGTTTAGATCCCTCTTACCATGTAGCCACTCTGCTTACCTTTCTTTCCTGCTTAATTTGTCCTCTATAGCACTTCACACTGTCAAATGTACTTCATATTTTATTTCTGGTCTGCATCTTACCACTGAAATGGTGGCTTTGTAAGAGTAAGGATTTTTTCCTGTTCATTGCTAAATCTCTATTTCCTAGAAACTGACGTTTAGTATGTACTTGGTAAATATCTGTTTAATGAATATGGGCAACCTTATATTTCTAACTCAGTATTCTGGGGCAACTGTACTTCTTTATTTACATGAAATAAAATGATAGCCACATTAAAATTATTCTGATGGCAGTTGAAAGTTCTAGTGCCAACATCCTGAACTATTGGTTCAGGTGAGTTTTTCCTAAACTAGTGCTTTTTAGAACTTTAGCCCCCTCATTTCTTACTCTTCAGATGCTCCTCTCCTCTTAAAAGAATTTCATAGTTTATTAAATTTAAGAAATGTATTACTTATCCTCTGGGGAATTCACAATATCCACTAGCATATCAAAGGCTATTAGTACTTTTGAATTAAAGAAATCTTTAACTTATTTAACTCAGTTTCCCATATGTAATTGATAATCATATAGAAGAAACCAGAAATTGTAAGATGCATTCTCAATTCAGATATGTTAAAACATGAATAAAAGTCTTAAAATTTATGAAATGTACTGTAATGATATCCTGAAACACATACTTGGGAACTGAAGTGTATTCTATCAAGGGTTACAGATATACAAACCTAAATATTAATATATTTATAATATTACTTGTTCTGATATCAAATATTTTACTTTTTTAAACAGCTGATATGAATTCTTCAGAGTCAGTTGGCAGTGATGCACCTTGTGTTGTAAAAGTGGTAAGAAATATTTTAGCTAATTTGTTTCTTTTCTGTTGATTTGGTGTAGTATTTTGTAAAATGCCTTTTTTGATTAACTAGAATTAATTAAACCATAAGATACTACATTTTTAATAACTTAAAAAATATTTAATAAGACACAAAAGTAGCTTTATAGTTTTAAATCACTTGAGTGTGAAAAGTTCCTCTCTTGAAATAAAGTGGCACTGGTATTCGGGGGTAAATGAAGGAAAGCATAAAGGCATGCAGATGTGGAATAAAAATATTCAGCTCATTTAAGAAATTTCAGCTACTTTTATGGATACTTTTTATATTTATATCCTATAAGACTATACTAATTTAATATAATTTTATTGTATTTTATTTTGCATTTGCTTCTGGACTTCTACTTGGTCAATTTTTTCTGTTCCCAATTTTCTTCCATTTTAGTAAATTAAATTATTTATTTTATTGTGATTATTGGGCCTTTTTTGCTATAATAATGTTGAAATTAGTTTGTAATGAGTAAAGATTGGCAACATCCTATCTGACATAAGCATACTTCTAATAGCCAGATCCATTTATATGTTGGCGAACTAGAAGACATTTTACCGTTTTTTAAGTCAATTATGTGCCTTTTTGCTTACCAACATTTGTTACTCCCCTTCTTCAAAATTACTTGATACATGTGAAGAATATGTTTTGGTTAAATAGAAGAACCAACAGGATGTATTATCTGGGCAAATTAACATATAACTCCTCCCTTACTTTTTCTCTACGGGATACATGTATTAGGGTTCTCTAGAGGGACAGAACTAATGGGATAGATGTACATATGAAGGGGATGCCCCCATGACTTAATTACCTCCCACCAGCTCCCGCCCACGACACATGGGGATTATGGGAGCTACTATCCAAGATGAGATTTGGGTGGGGACACAGCCAAACCATATCAACCAGAACTCAGGAATTACAATTACTCTGAAGGTTTTCATTTTGTTTCGTTTTACTCTCTTTTATATTTTATCTCTTAGGAGTTAGGAGTCAGCTTTTTTGGACCTTTTTAGTGATTTTTAAACTTTTTTAAAAAAATTGAGGCATGATTTTTACGGGGAAATACATAGATATAAAATGAACAGTTTGAAGACTTTTGACAAGCACATATACCTGTGTAATCCTCACCTCTTAAAATGTAGAGCATTTCCATCATACTAAAAAGATTCCTTATGTTCTTATTCAGTCAAAACCCTACTCCCTTGCACCCTTGGAGGCAACCACTTGTCTTGAGTTTTTTTTTTTTTTTTTTTGCCGTGAATGAGTTATTCCTGTTCCAGAAGGTTATGTAAATGGTATTAAACAGTATATATTGTTTTGTAACTTCTTATGCTCAGCATAACGTTTTAATGGTTCATCCATATTGTTGGTGTATCAATCATTTGTTTCATTTTATTGCTCTCTTGATAGACATTGAGGTTGTTTCCAGTTTTTGGTATTATGAATAAAGCGTCTATAAACATTCTTGTACAAGTGTTTTTATGGAGACAGGTTTTTATTTTTCTTGGATAAATACTTTGAGTTGCTGGTTTATAGGGAAGATGTCTATTTAAACTTATAAGAAAGTACTAGGCAGATTTCCAAAATGGTTGTGCCCTTGTACACATTGGCCAATAATATATGACAGTTCTGTTTGTGTCCTCTTCAACATTTGGCATTGTCAGTTGTGTGTATTTGTTTTTTAGCCATTACAGTTAGTATGTAGATGTGACTTATAGTTTCAGTTTGCACGTGCTTGTTGCCTAATGATTTTGGGCAGTTTTTTGTTGTGCTTATTGGCCATTCATGTATTTTCCTTTGTGGAGTGCCTCTTCCATTCTTTTTGCCCCTTTCCTCTTATTTTTATCTTTTAAAAATAACTGGGTTGTTTTGCTTTTTATAATTGAATAGTAAGAGAGTTTTTTTCTGGATGCAAGTCCTTTTTCAGATACGTGTTTTAAACATTTTCTACTAGTTTATAGTTTGCCTATTCATTTTTTGAATGCTTTTTCTACATCTGAGATGAATCACAGGGTTTTTCTCCTTTCCTCTGTCAATGTGGCAATTACATTGATTGATATTTGAGTGTTGACCGAACTTTGTATTCTTAACATACACCCCACTTAGTCATGGTGTATTATAGTTTTTACATAATGCTAGAATTGATTTGTGAATACTTTGTTAAAGATTCTTGTGTCGTTGTTCGTGAAGGATATTGGTCTTTCGTTTTTTTCCCCACTGTTTCTCAATTTAAAATTTCCAATCTCATTGTTGATTTTGGTAGCAGAGTTCTGTACCTGGCACTCTGTTTGGTCTTCCCCCTTTTGCCCTGCAGGCTTAAGTCTCCTCCATTTTACTCCTAGGATCTCTAGGGGAAAAAAGCCAGGGCTGCCATGGACTCACTTTGTTTTCTGTCTCTTAGGGGTCACAGTCCTGTCCTGTCCATTGTCTAATTTCTGAAAATAGAAATTTTCTGTTTTTAAGTCTGTTTTTATCTTTGTTTGCAGTGGGAGGGCTAACTGGGTCCCAGCTATTCCCTCGTGCAGGGAAGCGGAAGCAAAGCGATGCCTTTCAAGTTGTGTCAAAGTGCTTTATTTCTCCTGCTTCTTTTCATGATGGCCTTTCATTGTGGATTTTTCTTCTTCTTCATTTATGGAATAGCATTCTTTTTGGAATATTCAGCCTGTTGCTGAATCAGAGGAACTAAAGTTCTTAGTATTAAATTGGGTCATTTGTATTTAATTGCAGAATATTGTGTGCATTTGTTTTTGATAATACAAATTAAAATATTAAAATCTATGGGTAAGATGAGTTTCTTCTTAGGCTCATTAGGAGTTCTGTTGTGAGAAGAAAGCAAGTCTCCTTCTGACGTCTCATAACGTTGAGGTTCAAATGATATGGTTACCTCTGACCCCTTGCAGTTAGTTGGCATAGCTGTTTCTGTGTCTTGGAAGGAAAGTGTGCCAGTGTCATATCTTAAAGGTGGAACAGTGTATAATCATGTCTTTTTTGTTCTGTATAACTTGAACTTTTTTTTTTTTTTTGAGACAGTGTCTCATCCTGTTGCCTGGGCTGGAGTGCATTGGTGCAATTATAGCTCATTGCAGCCTTGATCTCCTGGGTTCAAGTGATCCTCTCACCTCAGCCTCTCTAGCAGCTGGGACTAAAGGCACGCACCACCATGCCCGGCTAATTTTTTTGATTTTTTGGTAGAGATGAGGTCTTGCTTTGTTGCCCAGGCTGGTGTCAAACTCTTAAGCTCAAGTGATCCTTCCCTCTCAGCCTCCTAAAGTGATGGGGTTACAGGCATGAGCCATGGCACATGGCCTCTGAACTTAAGTTGTATTTTCTCTTAGAATGATGTGCTTCCTTATTGTAATTAGAAATATTTCTGTTGTTCTTCTTTATTGTGAGTAATTAGAAGTATTTCTGTTGTTAGTCAATGTAACTTTACTTTTACTGCCTTTTTAACTTATATAGTTAAGAAAAAACATGGCCAGGAACAGTATTTTCTATATGCTTAAGGTAATGAATTATATTTTTAAGTTTAAGACCAAGTACCTAGTTCAGGACTGTGTATCTCCTGTCTCCTAATTTAGTTCTGTTTCCATTATCCTTTATTACTTCTTCTCTTTGTAATTAGGACAGTGATACTCAGTTGATTTCTCTTTTGCATTTAATATTTTAGTAACTTTTTGGATGTTACAGTTATCCTAGAAGAATGTCATAAACAAAACAATACTACTGACCAGGCGCGGTGGCTCACGATCATAATCCCAACACTTCGAGAGGCTGAGGTGGGTGGATCACATGAGGTCAGGAGTTCAAGACCAGCCTGGCCAACATGGTGAAACCCCTAGCCAGGTGTGGTGGTGCCTGCCTGTAATCCCAGCTACTCAGGAGGCTGAGGCAGGAGAATCACTTGAAACTGGGAGGCAGAGGTTGCAGTGAGCTGAGATGGCACCATTGCACTGCAGCTTGGGCTACAGAGTGAGACTCTATCTCAAAAAAAAAAAAAATACCAAAAATAAAACAAAACAGTAATATTACTGACTTTCTCCTTCCCTTTGAAGGGGAAATTTGTAACTTCTATTTGCTTCTTTTCCCCTAGCACTCTCTCCTGAATAAACACCTACAGCACTCATTGTATTAACATTTATTTTACAGTTTCATTCTTCTTATGCCACTAGTTGTTTTTAGTTTTTTTAAATGTGTTTATTCTGTCTCTCTAACTGAATTTTAAGTTATCTGATAAGGACCTTGTCAATAAAGCTTGTTTTCCCTATGCAGTCTTTAGAAGCTTATTTCATTTATTCTTTTGAATACTTTTTAGCCATTAATTGTCCATTGCCTTTATACTACTCTTTTCATTTACTCTCAACTTCCTCATGTCATTCACTTTCCTGTCTTGTCTGTACCATAGAGAGCAGGCCCACTCATAATTTGCCTTCTTACAACTTTCTAATATTAATAGTTGAAATGTTTCACCAAATAACAAACATGTAAAATGAGCATCAGTTCTTTCTGGTATTAAAATCAGAACTGTTTATGAACATTTGTCATTTAAAACATTATGGACTATTAAAGATCGTGTTTTCAAAGAACATGTACTACTCTTTGGGGAAGTTTTATAATTATTTCTAAAAAAGCAGGATACAAAGTTCTATATATAGTATGAAGGTTGTCTTATAAAATGGCTATTTATGAAGAAAATACATCAAAATGTTTCCATATTTTCTAAAATGAGCATTATTTTATCATTAGAGAAAAAACTTGCAAATGTTACGAAATAAAGGCAAATTGATTTTCTAATGTGAAATTTTACTTAATAATGTAATAGCATATCACACAGTGGTTCTCAATCCTGGTTGTAGAGTATGATCAGAATCTGGGTGTAGGGCCTGGTTATTGGTATTTTTAGTAAAGCTTCCCAGGTGATTCTTTTGTGCATCAAGATTGAGAGCCACTGGTAGAATCTGGCACACAGAGCACCTTAATTATTTTAAATGGAATCTTGTGGCTGGCACATTTTTATCCTTGATTTCAGTAAGGGTGTGCAGGTACCCTCTGCTGCTGGTAAGGGTTTCTAACTTAATGTGGACGCTTTGTCAAAAAGTTGGTTATTGCTGATAATACATGTATCTGCCTTATGAAACAGCTCCAGATAGTTAACCCACAAATCTCTTATTTGGCATTGGAGTGAAGTTAAGACATACCCATTCAAGGTAGATGTTAGGCACATAATAAAAATGTTCTCACATGTACCAAATGTTGGTCTCTGGTTTTGGTTGGGGCTTTAATCCTTGACCTACAGAACAGACACTGTATTTTATTTCTGAAAGTAACTGTGCAGGAGAAATGTTGGATAATGCAAGGAGAAAGAAATTTTCTTTTGTGTTTTCTTGCTGACAGACTTAATATGAAATTAGTAGTTCTTTGAATTGCACTTACCCTTAGTCATGTCAGTAGCAGAACTAGAGGCAGAGGTCAGGCTTTTGGATGGTATCCTAACAGGTCATTGTACTGTGGTCCTTTTCAGATGTGAACTGATAAGAATCTGTATTTCACAGTTCCTTGGAAAGAAGTTTGCAGACTGATGTTTGATTTTCCTCACTGATGTTATGAGAAGTGACCTGAATTTTTAATTCATATATCATAATTTTTTGGTAGGAAGGAGAAATTTTGTACAGCTTCATTTTTAAATGGCAGCCAGTTGCTTTTAGCTGGTGCCATTGAAATATATCACATTTTAATTTTTTTTCTGTTGTCATCTTCATTTTGACACTTAGAAGTCTTAAAGAAACGTTTAGTGATATTCTAGTTAAAATGTCAGTCCCAATTTCTTTTCTAAATCTTGGCTATTATAGAGTTGGCAAAGTATTTTAGATTTGAAATATGTTAATAAAATTTTAGTTATGAGTTAAGGTATTTTCTTCAACAGGAATAGCTAGCTTTGGCTAGAGTGCAATGCCAAGGAAGTAGCTCCTTTATTTTGTGATAATGGAAGTTTATTGGATTAGAAGAAGTATGAAATGAGCTCAGAGAGCCTTCCTTGTAGTGGGCTTTCATTATAATAGCCTGATTTATATGGTTGATTCTCATTATTATAGGTTTAATAAATTATTGCCTGAAGGAAAACTTGAAAGTTAAAGTTGATATGACATAGGTTGAAACTGAATAAATCAGAATTTTATACTGATTTGTCTTAGGAAAACCTCTTTCAAACCTGAATTATATAAATGAGCTATTCCAAAGGTAAGCTTTGGAGAGGAACTTTACCAGAATTTCTCCTTTTGAATTTCTTTTTCTTAACGCTGATTCTGTGATTCCTACCAAAGACCTATTCTTAGCCATTGGCTGGAAACACTGCAAGTGTCTCTTGCAAATGCTTGCAAGTGTCAAGCTATTATTGCTGCTAGGAAAGGAGCCATAGGTTATAGAGGAACTTGGGTACTGAGTCCATAAGTTAAGGAATCAGCACTCATACTTTCAGTATGTTGGTTAGTTCCTCCTTCTTAAGGAGTTGTTGCATGCCAAGCCATGATACTACTGTCTTCCAAGGTTAAGGTGAAAAGTATACTTACCTGTAACAAATAAGGCACGCTTGTTTTCAGGTTGTGATCCAAGTGTTAATGTGTGTTGCCCATTTACTGTTAAATGCTCATTAATAACTGCCTGAGTCTGCAGATTGGCTAATCCGTTTTCCTCTAAGTACTTTATTTTTATTTTTGAGACAGAATCTTGCTTTGTTGCCCAGGGTGGAGTGCAGTGGCACGATCTTAGCTTACTGCAGCCTCCGCCTCCTGGGTTCAAGTGATTCTCCTCCCTCAGCCTCCTAAGTAGCTGGGATTACAGGTACTCGCCACCATGCCCAGATAATTTTTGTATTTTTAGTAGAGATGGGGTTTCACCATGTTGGCCAGGCTGGTCTTGAACTCCTGACCTCAAGTGATCCGCCCGTCTTGGCCTCCCAAAGTGCTGGGATGACAGGACAGGCATGAGCCACTATGCCAGGCCTTCTTCTAAGTACTTTAATTGGGGATTCCTATTTTCTGAATTATAAGAAATCTGAGATAATTAGAGCAGAGAGTATGGAGTGGTTTTCTACAGTTGAGGGTATCTTGAGTGAAGAAAAGGTGAACATATTTTAAGTGCTTGCAAAAGTCATCTCTAGCAACCCAAAACTATAAGTTGTCACTCATTTAAGGTAGTAGGCCTCATTACTCACTTCCCCCAATGCTCTATTTAACTTTGAACTCCAGTTAACCAAGATATTCTGCCCAAAATAATTTTTTTCTCATACCTCCTAAAAAGAAAAGCAACCCTAAAATTAGTTTAGAAATGTTAGCTTCCTCATTTGAAGTTTTCACTGCTTTAAAAACTTTTTTTAATTCCCAATAAATAATGACCAACACAAAATACCAGACATTAAATAAATACTAATTTTAATCAGATGAAATTTACTATTTAAAAAGTCCACAGAATTATAAGATCTTTTCCACTCTTACATATTTATTTAACAAGGCAAAACTGCTGACAGGCTGTTATTTCTTGTTTGTGCAAATACGTTTTTGTGAATGTATGTCTCTTTAGTAATAATTTTAATTGTTAATATCTCTAAAAACATAAAATGAATGTAGTCCATAACATTGGTAGAAAACAATTGTTAATGAGCCCCATGTTTGGTTTGACAAATGTAGGAATCTGTGTCAGAAAGGAAGGATGCAGGTTAGTGGACAGTGCATGCTTGTTCAGGAGATGCATAATATGGGCTCTTCTTTGTGGTAAGGTCTGTTTTTGCCAGTCCTGATAAAGTAGATATAAGTGTAATGAAAACAGGAAAGGAATGGGATTTTGGCATTAATTGGTTAAATTAGGTATTGAAATTTTATTAAATCTGAGAAATATCTTATAGCCCCTTGGTGATACAGTTAAGATGATTGCTCATCTTTGCTTAAGGGAAAGCTTAATAAAGATGAAAATTAGTTTAAACATTTTTCTTAAACTTCTGCAGGCTGAGCTATATATCTGATTTTGTATAATTTATCACTTATAGAAATGGAACTTGAGCAATATAAGAAATATAGACTAATATTTCTCTGAACATTTCTAAGGAGTTTGACTTAATCTTAACACAGTTATAAACTTAAGTATCAAAATTACATTGGACAGAAAAATAGATTTGTTGGTCTTTTTTGAAGGTTCATTGAAAATATCTCAGTAATTTTAACTACTGCTAGTACTAATTAACTCTTATATTTTAAGGAACCCAGTGACAATGGACCTCTTTTTACTGAATTAAAGTTCTACCAACGAGCTGCAAAACCAGAGCAAAGTAAGAAATACAGTACACATACGTTTACACTTTTAAAATGACCAGTTTTTTGTTTTAAGCCAAGACCTAGAGCATTGTATCTTATTTTATGACTCTTTGTTATTTTTTTGCTTTATAAATTCCACTTACATGGGATTTGTGTGAAAGAATTCTGGTCTTTTAATGGGTTTGTTGCATCAAGATTTTATCTATATAGATACATAGAATGAAGTTAATAATAAATGACCTATGATTTAGGAAATATTGTTAAACATTGAGAATTATTGATGAAATAGAACAGGATATCAAGGTAGAGAGCCAGAACCTCTCCTAGTCACTTTGGTCCCTTCTGTCCTTCTTCCATGTCTCTTAGATCTTGATTTCCTGGTTGAGGACTTTTATATTGAGGAAGAAAAACCTTTTAGATTGGTATGAAAAATAGGTCTTCCTGTAGAAGCAAGTAAACATTACATAATTAGAGAGAGAAACTGCAACTTCAGGATAGTCCACCCCCGTATTCTCAGATTCCACATCCTCAGACTCAACCAACCAGGGATAAAAAATATTCCAGAAAAAAAAAAAAGCTACAATAAAAAATAACAATTCAATAATAAAAAATAATACAAATAAAAAACTAGTACAGTATAACTATTGACATAGCATTTACATTGTATTACATATTATAAGTAATCTAGAGATGAGATAAAGTATATAAGAGGATGTGTGGAGGTTATATGCAGATATTACACCATTTTATATGAGGGACTTGAGCATCTGGATTTTGGTGTCTTGAGGGGTGGGGGTTCCTGGAACCAAGCCCCTAGAACAAAGGAATGACTGCACTGTAGTTTTGATTTAAAAAAAATGCTTTTTGTAGATTTTTCATTTTAAAGACAATTTTAAGGGCAGGATAACAATTTTGTAGGTTAATAAAAATGTTTTCATCGTAAAATGCTTTTCGTTATTCGTTATACTGTATTCTTCATTTTCTTTTTTATGAATACAGGTGAATTCTTATTGCATGTATAAATACATTTTGCTCTTAATGATTTTTTAAAAAATTATCATTTATGTATAACAATTGAAATCACAAAGATCTGTTTTAATTTGTAGTTCAGAAATGGATTCGTACCCGTAAGCTGAAGTACCTGGGTGTTCCTAAGTATTGGGGGTCTGGTCTACATGACAAAAATGGAAAAAGGTAAAAATATGTGTGATTTGTCTTTCTCCTTCCCTTTTGCAACATTCACTATTTAGTTGGTTTAGTCAGTAATTATTTACTGATCACTTACAATATTACTAGGCCTCCCTCTGGAGTATGTGGAGTGTATGTGACAGAGAGGAATAAGATGTTATCTCTGTCCTCTGCTTTCCATAGCAGCAGGCTATGATGCCTTATTAGAATAGGAGTGCCTCTCTAGTCAGGGAGCTTCTGCAGAGCAGTATCAACTGACTGGAACCCAACTGACAAGGAGGAACAAAGCCAAACACCCTGCCTTTTTTTCCTCCTTGCCTTTAGAAATAAACAAACAAAAACGCCTCTGTTCTTCATGCAAAAGGGAACCCCTTCAGGATTCCATTTGGTATTTCTGCCCACACAGAAATGTTGGATACATAATCTGCCCACACAAGATTAGGCTCACCCTTTATGAGGGTTTTAGTCTAGCTGGTGAGTGAAAACAAAAATGTTTGAAACAATTAGAGAACAATTAAGTGCTAAGTTGTATAATACTGACTTACGTGTCTTAGGAGTTCAGAGAATGGAGAGAATGAATTCTTTGGGATAGTTTATTTGGAGAAAACTTCTAATACTTTGGTTCATAAGCAGCACTTGATACATATTTGAATGAATGAATGGAACTTCATGGAGTAAGGCTTTGGTAGCTGAGACTTGACGGGTAGATTTAGTTTGGAACTGGGGATATATTGCTTAGGATGATTTCAGCTGCAAGTAAAGGAAAACTTTGACTCAGGCAGTCATCAAGGGCCCAGGTTCCTTATCTTGCACCTTTGCCCTCCTCTTCTTGGTTTTGTTCTCTGTTAGTTCTCCATTGTGTGGTCGCCAGGTGGCTGCTCCATTTCTAGGCTTCACATGCAGGCACAGTACCCAAGGGCAGAAAATGGTATCTATCGTGTGTTGTGAGTTTCACTTTCCTGGCAAAGAAAGCTTTCCCAGGAGCCCTGTGGCAGACTTTCTCTCACGTTTTCTTGGTCAGAATTTTATCAATACTTAAACCATTGACTGGCAAGGACAAAGTGATCACAGCGATCCATGTGGAAAAGGATGGAATGCCGGAACCAAATTGGTGCTCCGTTAGAAAAGATTGAGAGGAGGGGTAAGTAGTTGGGTAGGCAGCCAGTGTTGTTTACTTGGGATCCATGCCTCTCTTAGGGAGTGTGGGGATCCCTGAAGTCACTTTTAACATTTTATTTTATATGGTTTTGCTGGGATAGCAAAATATATTATAGTTTTTATAATATTTTCTGGAGAAATACTATAGAATAAGGATTAGTTAAGTTAGTTAAGAGCAAGGATTCTAGAGCTAGACTGCCTAGTTTTAAAACCTTGTTTTGCCCCTTAAAATGTGTGTGAATTTGGGCAATTTTTTGCTTTAATTTCTTCATCTGTGAAATGGAGTAACAGCTACCCACTTAATGATGTTTTAGTATAAAGCTACAAGAGTATATGTAAAACATAGATGTTAGCTTTTGCTCTCAAAGGGGTCTTTAATCGCTTAAATGTTAAAACCTACTGGTTTAGAAAATCATTGAAGAGGCAGAACAGCATCTTAAGTGGGAGATGAACGTGAGCACAGGCAGGATAGACTTTTATTCTACTGTATGACCCAATGGCCGTCTTCCTGTAGCAGAGGAAGAGGGCATGTGTGTAAGAGAGAAGGAAATAAACTTGGAGAAGGAGTCGGTGGCAGATAATGAAGACCCATAGAGGAAAGAACAGTTTGGAACCCATGTATAGTAGGTAGTCAGAAGCTATCACTTGCTCTTGAGCAAGGGATGAGGTGACATGGTGGTGAAAGTGGCATTTGGGAAATGGCTTACATGGTGAATTAAAGACTGTCTAAAGGGGAGTAAGACAAGAAAAACCCTTAGTGATGACTTGCTAGGAAGCAAATCTGTTTGACTGTGTGCTCCAGTATACAATAGTTATATTCCTAAGGAACAGTACATTATGAAAACCACATTTCATAGAGATGATTGGAAGAAAAGTGTACCTGGGGCTAGAGCATTTTTAGACTTGGAATAACAGCCTTTTCCTCTTTCCATAATTTGAGTATAAACGTCTTAAAAAAAAAAAACCAAGCACGGTATATTGCAGCAAAACCTAAACACCAAACAAATCTAGCACTAGATTGATTGTACTTGACTCCATCAGGTGTGGTCATGGGCTAGTTAACTTTCTGTCTCTCTTGTTTCCCTATGTGTGAGATGAGGATAATAGTGCTTACTTTATGAATTACTGTGAAGATGAATTGAAAACATGTAAATTGTAAGGGGCACAGAGTAAGTGCTGAGGAAATGTTTCTTGCAGTCATCATCACTGTGATTATCATAATTGGTTTCATTTGTTTGTCTATGATTTTTGTTTGTCAGTGGTGGTATGTTGCTTGAGAATGATGGTCTTTTTAAAAGTAGCCCACACTGTCATATCACATTTTACCATATACATTCTTATCACCCATTTTATGATAAAGTTCAGAACCAGTTAAACAGGGCTTTTGTTTGTGTGACTCCTGTGAGGTGACCAGGGACTAAGTGGGTCCAAGGTTGACTCTGTAAGCTGACTGACTTGGGCACTGCTGGAAAGAACTTCCCTGGTGTGGATCAGAAGTGCCTTAGAGTGTGGTGACAAATGAGAACACAGTCTAAGTCTTAACTCACCACTTACTAGTGATGACTTTACCTCCCAGCCCATTTCTTCTATAAAATGAGGTTGCTAGAAATGTCTCCTTTAAAAAGATGGCATTAGTCATATATCAGGCATTGATTTACTTTTTAGGTTGAAGCTCTTAAAAAGAATCATTATAGGTCTTAGAAAGTAAAGAAATAGAAAGTAGATTATTCTTCCAGCCCCCTTCCATGCCAGACATGCTTAGTTTTCCTTGTAACTCATTTGAATTAATATGTATGTAGGGCTTAGAGCAATGTTAGCTGCTACCATTATTAAATTATTTTACACTGATTTATATTTTTCTTTTACTTGCACATTTTATCCAAGTCTCCAGAAAAGTATACATCAAAGGTTTTACTTTAGAGGAGTTACTTAGAAATAGCTTTCATTTTACTACTCAATGGTAGAGCCGTCTTTCCAGAAGAATGTGGTAATGGTTTCTGTGAAATTTGTGGAATCATGTTTCAGTTGATGTTTATGATTTAGGTATGGTGACAAGATTAAGGTCTTATTAAGAGTAGTGGTAGGGTGATTTGTGAATAAAAACAAAGACCTATGTAACAGAATTTATTAATAGACCCCATGTTGAATTAAGCAGTTGTGTTTTAGCCACCTTTCAGGCTGTTACAGAGGTTGTATTTTTGTTACCTGTGTATTACAGGTTAAGTATGCCTTATCTGAAATGTTGGCACCAGAAGTATTTTAGATTTGGGATTTCTTAAGGATTTTGGAATATTTGCGTTAATACCTACTGGTTGAGCATCCCAAATCTGAAAATGGGAAATCCAAAATGCTCCAGTGAGCATTTCCTTTGAACATCTTGTTGGCACTAAAAACACTTTCTAATTTTGGAGCACTTCTGATTTCAGATTTTCAGATTTGAGATGCTCATCCTATGTTATAATCATTACACACATCACCTATTTAGTAAAAGCCAACATGTATATGTGCCCTGGTCTCATCTCTCAACCTTGCAAAATCTGTTACACAAAGGAAACCAGGAAGTCAAAGTTACCATTTTCACTTTATTATCTTACAAGCCAAGGTGCTAGGAAATCTTACATGAATGAATATATTTTGTCACAAATTTTTTTTTTTTTTTAATTGAGGTGGAGTTTGCTCTTGTCGTGCAGCTGGAGTGCAGTGGCTCAATCTTGGCTCACTGCAATCTCCGCCTCCCAGGTTCAAGCAATTCTCCTGCCTTAGCCTCCCGAGTTGCTGGAATTACAGGTTCCTGCCACCGTGCCCGGCTAATTTTTGTGTTTTTAGTAGAGACGGGGTTTCACCATGTTGGCCAGGCTGGTCTCGAACTGCTGACCTCAGGTGATCCACCAGCCTTGGCCTCCCAAAGTGCTGAGATTACTGGCGTGAACTACCAGGCCCGGCCACCACTGACTAATTTTATAACCTTGGACAAATCACTTTACCTCCAAAGACCTTAGTTATTTTATTTATTAAAAGATGTTTAGACAAGATGATTTTCTAATTTTCTTCCAGTTCAAAAATGAATAGAATTCTGAGTTACTTGTTCAACATCTTGTCTTTTAATGTTAGTCAACTCTTCCTTCCCTATTGAACTTGTCATATTGTTATCATAGAAGCCTATAACATATAAATGGGATTTTTGTATCCTACTGACATTTATTTCAGTTAATATGTAGTACAGGGGTTAAAAGCATGATTTTGCCACATACTAGAGGACAAATTATCAGTTTTCTTCTGCTGTAAAATGGGTATGATAGGAGTTACCTACTTTATAGAGTGATGTGAGGTTTAAATGCATTAATAACGTTTTAAGTACTTACAGTAGTGCTGTGTGCATACCAGGTGTTCAGTAAATGCTAGATGTTATGGTGTTGATGATTCATAATCTTCCTCATTGGAGATGTCCTGATACATTCTGAGTGTGGTTTTGATTTTTATTGATTTACTGAATGATTTCACCAGACAAGTTAGAATCTGGAAAACTATTGAAGATAAAAGTGGTCCTCAGAGCAGAAGCTAAGCAGTGTTATTGCAAATAGGTGATGCTTTTCTGTACATACTGAAATATAACGTGATTATTGAATCTGAGTTTTGGGTGTTGAAAGTGACCTTAGAAAGGGTGAGTCCCTGCTCTCTCATTTTACTTCTGTGGAAATTGAGGCCCAGGAAGTAATGTGACTCAGCCAAGGTGACATAGCTGCTTTATGCAAAGCCAGTTATCTTCATGTTTTTTCAGGATATTTGTTTTTCCCCAAATCTTGGCCATTGAGTGTTTAATGTACAATCCTTTTACGCCATTTAAACAATGGTATTGAATCTGGCTTTTGTTAAAGCATCTCACGAGAATCTTGATTTTAGCAGAATGTTGTTACTGCTGAAATATACCTTAAAAATAAGGAGAAACAGTCACAGGAAGGAAGCTGATATCCAGAAACATGAATTAATTTTAACTATGAGAAAAATCAATGCTGTCATTTTTATTCAGCTTGTTTTATTTTTACCGTGAATAAACTTGTTGGGTTCTCTCTGTGAGCATTATCTTAAATTGAATAGTCTCTTGAAACTAGCTGCGACCAGGAAGAGGCCCTCCAGGTAAAAAGCAGGACCTGAAAGCACTCTGAACTCTTTGAGATTTCTAGTTGGGAGAAATTGTTTCAAATGTTTGTATTTCTTTTTTAAAGAATACTTCTTTACTAAACATTGTCTTGAAAAAATTACTTTGAGAGTACTCATTACAAAGTTGGTTTTCTTGCATTGTATTTTGTTCATTGGCTTTTCATATTTGTCTTCAGTTACAGGTTTATGATAATGGATCGCTTTGGGAGTGACCTTCAGAAAATATATGAAGCAAATGCCAAAAGGTTTTCTCGGAAAACTGTCTTGCAGCTAAGCTTAAGAATTGTATGTGAGCTATGTTCTTCTTGTTTTTAAAAAATTGTTTTGAGTACAGTAAAGGCTAGTTTATGTTGAAGCTTGGTCCTCTGCTGGCTGGTGTTAGGTACTGCATTAACTTATTCTGTATGATACTTTCATAGCTGGATATTCTGGAATATATTCACGAGCATGAGTATGTGCATGGAGATATCAAGGCCTCAAATCTTCTTCTGAACTACAAGAATCCTGACCAGGTAGTTTTATAACTTTAATTTCTACTATTTAAAGCGTGTTGTTTGAAAATAAATATGGTTGCTTTGAACTTTTGAACCTGTGTAGAAGTTTTACTTTTTGAAGTAGATATGGTAATAATATTTCTTCTTGACACTTTGATCTAGTTAACATTCTACATTTTTGATGTGATTTGTTGGCACTTTATCAAGTTGGCTATTTTGCCCTAAATAATATTCAGAAGAAGTGCTTGTGATACAAAATGAATTTCAAATAGCTATTTGGGGGTGGAAGCTTAAAATTATATAGTACACCAATGAATTATGTTTGCCTGTCTGCTTTGTCACTTTTTTTATTCCTTTGTTCAAGAAATCCATCAAATGTAAGTGTTCTATTACTTGGAAAATTTGGTCTTTAACATGTTGATTATTCAAATCAATTGGTTTACAGAAATATCTTAGCTGTCTAAATTTGTATACCCTTAGTGTTTGGAATTCAAATGTGCATTTTTTTTTTAGCTTATTACATTCCCTTTGTAATTTTTACTTTCTAAGGAAAGGAGAAAAGCTAATGTTATTATACCTTTATTTAGGTCAGTTTAGTTGAAGTAGAGGGATCTATACAATTTTCCTGTATAACTGTTTCTGTGATTTCGGTGAAAGTAAGGTTTAGTTGACATTCATACTTAATGTATGTTCTCACTTCTTACTTGATCTTACATAAAAAGGAAGATTTAAACATTTTAAATGTGTTTGGGTACTTTGATTATTGTAATTATTTGTCAGTACTCTGTACTTCATTCTTTCTCTCAAATGTACCTTTAACTACCTTTGCTTAGTTTTTCCTTTTTCCTTTGGCTCTCTTTTCTTTTTCTGTCGTCTCGTATTTGCTTCCCTTCCTCCAATGTCAGTTATGGTGGATAGAAGGGAATCTATATAAGTATAAAAGAAGAAAGTTACTATACTATTAAGATAGTGTGCTAATGGAGAAATCTTAAAAAGGCAATCATCAAATTCATCTCTGCTCTTTCTAGCCATTTCTTTTTAGATATTTCTAGGCTAAGAACAAAGAAAACGCAGCTAACAACCTGAACAATAAGGGTTCCATTAATTGAAATAGTCTGGACTTGTACAGTATAATAAAATACAACTTATATCACTTTGTAGGTGACTAAAACATGCTGCCTTTGTTTATATGGAAATATTTTTGCAGCTCTGTTATCCTTCAGACATATGCTTTGGATGGGATTATTTTTCCAGTGTTAGATGTATGTGCTAGATCTAGCCACATATTTTTACTTCAGTTTCCTCTTGTGCCCAGATGCATGCATTTGTGACATTTACTCAGAATTAGAGATGTAATGTGTGGCTATGGAATGGAAGAAAGCCAAGTTTATTAGCTTTGTATGCTAATCAGACCCACATGTATATGCCCACGAATAAGTATGTATATAATATTAAAATTTACTTTTAATCATGAAGACTTGGCTTTAGAATATAGTATTTAGATATAGATAAAAGCCTGATCTAACAGTTCTTTAGATCATTATTATGATGTATGAAATGTTTTTATAAAGTAAATTGAAATTTGATTATTTTACAAGTGAAGAAACAGAGGAATAGAAGGTAACTAACATATCATGTGTCAGCATCATTAGCAGTCTTCTACTGGGTGTGCTTTTCTGTGTGGAAAGTAGCAGTTGTATTGCAACAAGTATTGACGGTTTGCTCTGTGCTCAATTTTAGAGTCTGTAAGATAAAGTATAAAATGTATAATTTTCGTTCAAATTGAGACAAGATTAATTACAAGTATAACATATACTTATCTTAAAAAAGTATATAAAGTCAAGTGATTACACTGTAGCTATGTGGTCATTTAACATTTTTATTAAAAATAAAAAGCCTTTCAGAATTAAGTATTTGCTGTTGTTTGCATTTTGGATCTAAATTGTTTGGAGTGTTATGGAATGACCTTGTAGGTGAACCCACCTTCAGATGCCAGTATTTTGTTTCTGTGCTTTAAAGGGTTATATGTGCAGTGATTTTGACTTTAGTTTGTCTTGGTGCTTGGAAATTTATAGGTGTACTTGGTAGATTATGGCCTTGCTTATCGGTACTGCCCAGAAGGAGTTCATAAAGAATACAAAGAAGACCCCAAAAGATGTCACGATGGCACTATTGAATTCACGAGCATCGATGCACACAATGGCGTGGGTATGTCAGTAGTACTGGAGTGAGAAATAGACTGCTAATGTTTTCACCCAGATTCCTACATAGTTCTTAATTATGCATAAGTAAATGAATAGATAAATAAAAATTGAAAAGGCACAGTGGCATGAGGAAAGAAGGCAGAGGTGAGACTCCTACAATTGTATTCCAGGACCATCTGTGTTCTTCTGTCCTGCCTTTTCCTCGCAGCCTTCAAAGATAACCAAGAAGGTGGTAGTGGTTCATTCAGCTGCCATGAGGATTTCTTTTTGGTTTTATTTAGTTTAATTGGAATGTTTGTTTTTGTGTTTTTTCTCAAGTTTCTTATGTATCTACAACTTTGTAACAGCTAACTTTTATTTTGTTACCTGTTAAGTTAGTTTATTTCTTCAGCAGTCATTTCTTCTGTGCTCAAAGCTGTGGAAGAACTCAAATACCCAGTTCTCTGGGCCTCTTAATAGCATATAAAAATTTTAAGAATATCTTCAAGTTTTCCAAAGGAAAACTAGTTTTATTTCTAGACTAACAGTCTCCGCTTGAAACCCTGAAATTTACCAATTTGGGTTTTAAAGTAGATTATTAGCTAGAAGTTAATTGGGAGGTAAGCTATTTCTTTTATACTGTCCAATGTTCAGTACCTAGGTGAAATGCAGTCAAAATTTTATGATGAAAAACAGACTGTGGAGTTGACTTGTTTTATGTTATTACTTTATATATACTTTAAATTATACATTAAAAATTATTTCAGTCTACCTAATGTTCTTCTCTTGCATTTGTAGCCCCATCAAGACGTGGTGATTTGGAAATACTTGGTTATTGCATGATCCAATGGCTTACTGGCCATCTTCCTTGGGAGGATAATTTGAAAGATCCTAAATATGTTAGAGATTCCAAAATTAGGTAAAGGAAAACTTAAGTTATTTCTAGCAAAATCATGATAAGCCAAATGTTTTTAGTCACAATTTCTTGATAGGAACTATAGTTTCAACTGATACTGATATAGAAATAAGAAAGTACTTGTTAAACAGTAAGGTTCCTTGGTCTTTTGTTTATTTTAGAAAAATGTCTGTAAGCATATTTAGGATGTAGCACAATATAGCTTAATGTGCTATATATTTTTATTTCATATTAACATATGACATCAAGCTTCAGTGACTCATTCTTTAATTTTTAACAGATACAGAGAAAATATTGCAAGTTTGATGGACAAATGTTTTCCTGAGAAAAACAAACCAGGTAGGAAATGACTTCTTCAGTGTTAATAGGGATTTTGTTTTCTGGGGATAAAAAGGCATGATATCCATGGAATAGCCCTTAATGTAAGATGTTAGGTGGTGGCCAGGCATGGTGGCTCACACCTGTAATCCCAGCACTTTGGGAGGCTGAGGTGGGTGGATCACGAGGTCAGGAGATCAAGACCATCCTGGCTAACATGGTGAAGCCTCATCTCTACTAAAAGTACAAAAAATTAGCCAGGCGTGGTGACGCACGCCTGTGGTCCCAGCTACTTGGAAGGCTGAGGCAGGAGAATCGCTTGAACCCGGGAGGCGGAGGTTGCAGTGAGCCGAGATTGTGCCACTGCACACCAGCCTGGGTGACAGAGTGAGACTCCGTCTCAGAAAAAAAAATATGTTAGATGGTTTGTTAAATGAATACTTGAGCCTCATTCAATTATTATTCAGTGCTTTTAGCAAAGGAAGCAAATTTCATTCATACATTAAGTTAGTAAATATTGAGGCTTTATTGTGTGCCAGGGACTGGGGGTACATCAGTGAACAAAACAAATATCCCTGCCCTCATGAAGCTAGCATTGTAGTTGGAGGATTTTAGACAGTAAACACATGAGCAAAATTTATATGTTCCCCCTGGTTAGTACTGTGGAACTAGAAGAAAACAGGGAATAGAATTAGGGGGATGGGGATGGGGTGGGTAGTAAAGTAGTGAGGAGGACTGTAATTTTAAGTAGGCTGTCCAGGGACAGCCTCACTTGGAAGGTGACATTTGAGCAGTTGTAGGAAGGAGGTGAGGGAGGGAGTGAGCTGTGTAGAAGTCTGGGGAAGAGAGTTCTAGGCAGAAGGGACACTAGTGCCCAGGAGATGCGAGGACTGTGTCTTCATAGGTAAACATGAGGGCTTTGGCTTTTACTTCAAGGAAGAGTGTGAGGTTTGTAGTAGAAGAGTGACATGAACTGCTTATCCTGAGGGGAAGGGTCTCCTGCTTCTGGCATGGGGATGGACTGCTGAAGGAGCAAGGATGGGCCTAGGCAGAAAGCAGGTTAAGAGGCCACTGCAGTAACCCATGCAAGAGAAGTAGCAGCCAAAGAGTGAGAATTGGTCAGTCTGGATATATTCAGAAGTCTTTCTAAGCCTTTGCTCAGTTGTCTCCTTTTCAGGGAGGTCTATCCTGACCTTATGCTATTTAAAATTGCAACCTACTCCCCATATCAATAAATACAATGTGGGTTTCTCAGAATTATCCCATGGACCTCATAGCAATCAGTAGCCTCTCCCTCCTGGCCGAATGAGTCACTTACCTTAATTTCCAACACCAAATATTTGTGTTTAAAATTTATAGAAATGGAGTTAATACAGTGAATGAAATATGTAACAATTCCTGTCCTCTTGAAATTATTGTTTACTTCTGTTAGTGTCCTTTTCTTTCACTTAGTAATGTATTTGTGAAATTCATCCCCATTATCGCATGTTTTTTTTTGTTATTGTTGTTGTTTTGTTTTTTTGAGACAGGGTCTCACTCTGTTGCCCAGGCTAGAGTGCAGTGGCACAGTCACAGCTCACTGCAGCCTTGACCTCCTGAGCTCAAAGCCTTGACCTCCTGAGCTCAAGAGATCTTCCCACCTCAGTCTCTGAAGTAGCTGGGACTACAGGCACACGCCACCACACCTGGCTAATTAAAAATTTTTTTTTGTGGACATGTGGTCTCACTATATTGCCCAGGCTAGTCTTGAACTCCTGGGCTCAAGCAGTCCTCCTACCTCAGCCTCCCAAAGTGTTGGGATTGTAGGCATCAGCCACTGCCCTTGGCCCTATTATTGTATGTTTAACAGTAGTTTCCTCATTGTCATTTCTATATGATATTCTATTGTAGTTACATACCATTATGTATTTATTCTGCTCTTAGGTCGTCTCCAATTTTTGGCAGTTGCAGCTTGCCAATTATGCATACAGATGTATAGTCTACCTGCAGTTGGTTTTTGGGTATTATTTGAGGAGGGGTCATGTATCTTTCCTATCCCCATATTTATATCTAATTGACCCAGCAGCCTTTCTTGAAAAGACCATTCTTTCCCTTTGTTGTCATGTTTGTCATCAGTCAAGTGTGGATGTGTGGATCTGTGCACCTGTTTCTGGACTCTCTTTTTTCAATTGTCCTTTTTGCCTGTTCTTGGACCACACTGTCTTAGTTACTGTAGCTTTATTTAAAGCTTGATATCTGGTAGTTGAAATTCTTTGGCACTGCTTTTCTTTAACTGGACTTTGCTACTTTGCTATTCTTTGCCCTTTGCATTTCTATTTAAATTTTAGAATCACCTTGTCAGTTACACACACACTCACCCACCTCCAAGTTTGCTGGAACCTTGGGATTGAATTTGACTCTGTAGACCAATTTGGGGAGCACTGACATCTTTATACTGTTGAGTCTTCCAGTCCACTTATATGGTATATATTTTATTAAATTTGGTCTGTCTTAATTTCTCTCAACTGTGTTTTATAGTCTTCTCTAGGAAACTCTTGCTCATCTTTCATTGTATTTGTTGCAAAGTATTTAATGCTATTTTAGGTATTTTTTGATAGTTTATTTTCCAATTGCTTTTTGCTGGTATATAGAAATAAGATAGATTTTTATATATTTACCTTGCATTTTACGACCTTGTTAAATGTATCTACTAGTTCTAGTAGTTCTTTGTAGATTCTGTAGGATTTTCCACATGTAGTATTATGTTGTTTGTGAATAAAGACTGGTTTACATCTTCTGTTCCACTCTTTATGCCTTCTATTTATTTTCCTATCGTACTAGCTAAAAGTACACATAACTATTCTGTTATACTGAAGGGATATGGCAAAAGTGGACATTTTTCTCTCCCAGGGGAGCATTTTCAATGTTTTATCATACATGGTGATATTTGTTTTAGGTTTTTTGTACATCTCCTTTATCAGATGAAGAAATTGGAAGTTAGGGATTGTTGTCCGTTTTTTTCTTGGTATATTCCAAGTATTTAGGAATAGTGCCTGGCACATAGGAGGTGCTTAATAAATATTTGAGTTAATGAATGTGTGTATATATGCACACGCTTGTGTGTGTGTGTGTAGAACTGATAAGATCTCTTGAAGGACTGGTGTGAGAAGAAATGATTCAAGGGTGACTAACTCAGATTTTGGCTTGAGGAGCTAGAAGGATGAAAATCTCAGTAACTGAGACAGAGAAAACCTCAAGTTTTAGGGATAGGTCAAGAGTTTAGACGTGGGTTTGTTGGAATTAATGGTGATATTTACACATCCAAGGACCAGTATATGAAATGATGGATATACAAGTCTGGAGGTCGGGGGAAAGGTCTGTGTGTGAGTCATTAGCTCAAAAATGAATTTTTAATATTGAGAAGTGTTGATCTTGACTAGTAGGATTTCTTTTTTATGGTGTGGTTCTGTCTAAGTGTACAGTACACTTTTATCATTTGGAAGCTGATTTTTCTCTTTTATAGGAAAGCCAGATCTTATTTCTTTCTTCTTTCTTTGGCCTCTTTTTGGTGTGTTTTATTTCTCATTTACACGAAGAATATAGCTATCTGCTATAGAGCTAATGGCTTTGATGGCAAAAACATATTGGCTATGATATTCATTGTATTTAAGGACATTTTACTTTCTAATCTTTATTCTAGATCCCTTTGTATTTTTTTATAACTTTAATACTATAATAGTTATTTTTATGAGTATTTACATTTTAAGTTGTCTTGTTTCTCACAATTACAAAAAGTGTGTTTTACATTGTATCTCAAAATACTTTTTAAATTTCAGTTATCTGACAATTCCTGAGTTCAAAAGCATACTTTTCATTGAAGTGATTGAAAAAAATAGGTATCTTAACAAGATGTGTATTTGCATTCTAACTTTACTATAACCATGAATTATTTTTTTTAGAGGTTAGAGAGAAATATATTGAAAGTTATAAAATGATTGTGTTATTCTTTTAGGTGAAATTGCCAAATACATGGAAACAGTGAAATTACTAGACTACACTGAAAAACCTCTTTATGAAAATTTACGTGACATTCTTTTGCAAGGACTAAAAGCTATAGGAAGTAAGGATGATGGCAAATTGGACCTCAGTGTTGTGGAGAATGGAGGTTTGAAAGCAAAAACAATAACAAAGGTGAATTTTGTTATTAAATTATTCTTTGGTCTTCTTGTGTTTATAATTGCAATAAATACTAAAAGAAAGTATAGCAGTAGTTCAATGAAGAACAATAACAGATTGCATGGCAATTAAGGCAAACATTTTTTGTAATACAGAAAATGTGTAGAGGGTTGTAGAAAAATAAATATTTATATATTTCTTATGTTTAGTAGCAAGTTACTAAATTCCTGAACTGATTTTAACTTGGAATACTGATATCTGACAGGGAAATTTTGATGGTGCACTGAATTCATAATTTATATGTTCTTTTCTCCCAAGTCACCACTTAGGGTTCATCTTGTCTTGGTTGTTTCTTATTTGTGGATATGGTCAGAGTATTTACCAGTTGAAAACGGGCATTTGAAAAATTACCATTTGAAAATTTCCTTGTTTGTTGGTGTGGTGCATTTTACCATTTGAACATTATTTTGCTCTGTGAAGAAATATTATATAAAGCTATATATCAGCATATAAGGGGATTAATTGTTTGGAGAGAAATGTTAAATAATGAACTTTATGGTAGAAGTATTATACAAGCATGTAAAGAACTTCTGGCATCACTTTAGATTTTACAGGTATGCATTAACTTACTGATTTGCTATTGATTATTTTTGATAATTAACTTACTGATAAACTTACTGATTTCCCTTATAATCTGAAATTATTTAATACAATGTGTTAGCTATTTTTATATGAGGAAGGAAAACAACTTTTAGAAGAAAAATTTTTTTTACATTATTAACCATTTTTACTGTCATTAACTTTGCAAATTCTAATAGATTTATTTGGAAATCTCGTATTCCAAACTGAGAAAAAGCGTTAAAACAAATTTTTCTCTCTTTAAAATCAGACGCAGCACATTGAAAAGTTTTTATCTTTTCAATTAACAAAGGAGATAGGAATTTTGAAATTGGACCAAAAATTTAACTTTGCCAAATAGCAGGTCTCTGTAATTTCATCATAGAATCTGAAATTATATACATGCATCTACATATACTTTTTTTTCTTTGATAAGTTTTATCTTAATTGCATCTGCTCCAGTTTTGTGGTCAACAAGTGTGCTGAAAACTGTATCTGTTTGAAATGAAGAGGGTAAAATGGAAGCCTGAGTGGAATTTTTTAGTAAGGTATTATAGTAAACTTACTCTTTGCATACATGCATAAACAAGCAGCATGTTTCTTATTGCTCAGGATAGATTTCTCTGCGTTAATATTTATAGGTAGCTTGTATAGTGTTTTTCTCTAAAATTTTGGTGATTGAGAAGTAAAGATCTCTGCTGCTATGTGAGAACTTGTCCAGAGCAACCACCTCCCTCCGCCCAACCCCCATCCCCCTGTCCCCGCCCCTACCTTCCTTTGCAAATCCCTTTGTTGTTTGGACTTACATGCTGGAGAAAATGTAGTTTCTGCAGGTTGGCTGACTTTACAGCTGAGTAGGTCAGTCTGCTGCAGAGCTAACATCTGTGACCTTATAATTCTGTGGTGTCCTTGGATAGTTCAGAAGGCTGGAAATTTCCTGTTGGATCATCCCTGACATGTATAAAGCTTCATTTAGGGGAAAAAAATGAATACTAAGTTGAACAAGTTGAACTATTAGGAGATTTATTTCATTAGTTTACTACTTTTTGTACACTCATTGCTGACACAGGGTTATTCTTTGTATTAAAAAGAAATTAATAAAAGTTAAGGTTAGGTAAGATCATGAGCTGCTTGATAGCCATGTAACTGAAGTGAGTTATTAATTTTGTTAGCTTTTTTTTTTTTTGTAAAGTGAAAGAACTGGACCAGACCAGTTTTTTTTCAAGCTTTTCTTTTAAACTGCAGAACATTTTCTTCATATAATTTGTAAATGCTGTCACTGAAAACAGATAAAAGCAGAGCTCTGCTGGATGAGAAGTTGGGGGCTCCCTGCAATGAAAAGCTTTCTCCTTTGAGAAACTAGCTTGCTGCCTCTGTTTTTCAGCAAGATCTATAACCCAGATGTCTTTTTTTGCTCTGGATGTCAGGAGGCTCAAAACTAAATATGATGCTTAGTTCTAGAAACTGTTAATTTTAATAATTAGTACATTTGTTTCCTCTCTTTTCGTTTGTCATAATTTTTGAAAGTGTGAAGTATATTTTCTGTGTATATATCAGACTCAGATCTCTTTTGGAAAGGGGTAGGTTTAATCAGTTTAATATATGTTTGTATTTAGGTTCCTAAGAAATATTCTTTTTGGTAAAAACCTACAGGAATTGATGAACAGTGGAATGAAGCAAGGTTTCTTGTCTATGTTTTTGCAGCCATGCTTGATTATGGTGCAGTATATTTGGAAACTAGAGTGAAACATGAATTTACCCACTTGGAAATGTTTTCTGCTTAATAATCAAGGAGCTTTATTTAAAGCATAGAATTTTGGGATGACATAAGGCTGAAGGAGAACAGAGAGATCAAGTATACATCTGCCCTTAAAAAGTACAAAGTCAAATATTTTTATTGTTGATTAGAACTAAACATTTTCAGTTTTTAGAATCTGGCAGTACAGTGCAACAGTTATTGGATTCAGTGTATACTCATAAATTAACATTCAACAATTACATAAAAAGTCTAGTTTATGTACCTGATCTAGGCTAGGTCTCTAGGGCTACGGAGATCAATGACATGTGGTCCCATTCTTAAAGAATTCCTTCCTGTTCCATCTGGGTTAAGAACAGCTTAATTTACTGGAAAGAGCTCAGCAAGTTAAAAGGACATTAACACTTCCATGAACTATTTTAGGGTTTTAAGTTGCCTGCCTAAGTCAACAAAAAGGGTTGTTGACTGGAATCTCATCCCTGGAAAGTCGTTGAGTAAGGTCTAGATCATGGCCTTGCAATTTGTATTTTAGTTTTTCATTTTCAGACAGCCTATATTGTTGCTCCCTATGAATGATTATTCACATACCTTTCTTTCCTTCTCTATTTTACCTCCTAATTTTAAAATTTTAAAATTTTATTTTTCTGGCTGCATTATGCTAATTGGTCTTTCTAGAGTTTCTCTTATTTAACCATTGTTAAATAAACCCTTGCTGGCATTTAGCCTGGAACAGGGTACAAAGAGTTGAATAAGTGCAAAGCCCTTCCATTGCAAATCAGTAGCCTGCAGCTGCTCCGGTGGACAGCTTTCTTCCTTTCTTTCTGAAGGGATTGCACCTCGTACAGCCTTTATACCATTGTAGCCTATAGTTTCAGTCGGGTTGCCCTGAATGTGCTCTAAATTTGGTGAAAATCTATCTAGCTGTTTTAGCCTGATACGGTAATAAAGATAAACTGTATTTTAATTATATAAATTTTAGATTGTTGAAGTACATTCCTGTTTTCTAATGGTTTGATCATAGTACTGTAGTTAAGTCGAGTCAGCATTTGCTAACAATTTTTTTCTTTAGGTCTGTTATTGAATTCTTTATTTTGAACTTCTTATTTGGCTGAATTTTGTCAAGTGGACTTTTTTGCCCTAATTAAGTGAAGTTGTTACGTATGTATAGAAAAGTACATGAATAAGTACACTTTTACACAATACTCATTTAAACATCACCCAGATCAAGATGTGGATCATTGCCAGAATTAGTTTTGCAATTTTTGGGGAAATTTATAGTAATGGTATCATATATTACATACTCTTTTGTTTCTTTCATTTAATTGTATCTCTGAATTTCCATGCTGTTGCATGTAACAAAAATTTGTTGTTTTTCATTGCTGTGTAGTATCCCATATGACTATACCGTAATTTATTGATGGACATTCAAATTGTTCCAGTTTCCGGCAGTTGTGATAATGCTGTTAAGAACATTATTTTAATTTTTGGGGGGAAACATGTACATTTATTTCAGATTGGGTCTGTACGTACTGGGGTTGCTGCAGCCTAGGGCTTACTTATGTTGAGGGTTTGTAGATATTGCCAATTTTCCAAAGCTGCTCTCTCAGCTTACATTCTTATCAGTAGCATGGAGGAGTTCCAGTTGCTCACTGACACTAGCTCTTGCATTATATTTAATTTCTCCTATTTTGGTGGACGTGCACTGATTTGTTTATGGTTTTAATTTAATCTCCTTGAAAAATATTGATTTGAAACATTTTTGTATGCCTGCCAGCCTTGATAATCCTTTTTTTTTGGTGAAGTACATTTCAAATCGTTTGCCTATTTAAAAAAAAAAAATTGGGGTCGTTAGCTTTCTTTTGATTTGCCAGAGTTGAATACTTTGTATGTAAACAATGTATGTGTTGCACATATCATCTTCCAGTTGGTGTTTAATCTTTTCACTCTTAATATGGTATCTTTTAATGAATAGAATCTCTTCATTTTCATGAAGCTCAGTTTATCAGTCTTTATGGTTAGTGCTTTTTATATTCTATTTGGGAATATTTTGTCTACTTAGGATCATGAAGATATGTTATTTTCAAGAAAGTTTATCTTATCCATCACATTTAAGTCTACAGTTTAACAGAAATTGATTTTGTGCATGGTGTGAGTCAGTATTTGTTTTCCTTCTTTTGGATATCTAGTTGATCTCAACCATTTGTGGAAAAGACGATCGTGTCCTTACAGCATTGCAGTGGTAACCATAGGTATTTTAGTCTCTTTCTAGATACCCTATTCTGTACCATTGGCCCGCTTGTCCATCTCTGTGCCAGTGCCACACTGTTTGAACTATTGTCTTCATAATGATACCTGATAGCATATATTCTCCAACTTTTATTTCTTTAGCATTGTCTTTGCTATTCTTCGCTCTTTGAATTTACATACAAATTTTAGAATTGGCTTATTAGTTTCCTCAAAAATACTTCTAGGATTTTGACTAAAGTTGACTTTACTCTATAGAGCAATTCGGAAAGAACTGACATCTTCTCTTCCATAGCCATAGTAGGCCCCTATAGTTACTTAGATGTTCTTCCATTTATCTCAGTCGTGTTTGTAGTCTTCTGTGTCTGTAGAGGGAATACACAACATCCATGTCTATTTTCTTATAACTGCTTAATTCTTCTGTTTTTTTTTTTTGGATTATCTGTGATTATACAAAGTCTTTCCTTTATGTCATCTGATTGTCAGATATGTTTGCTCTGTTTTTTACTATTCCTAATATATATAAGTTCTGTAATGATTGTTTTGTTTAGCTGTGTGGTTTCATTGTTATCCTTTTGTCTTTTAAATCATTTCCTCTATTTTTTAAAAAAAGTAAGTATTTTTAAATGTAGTTTTTTAAGCCTCTGATGCATTTTATAAAATTTTCTTCCTTGGGGGAGGACTGTTTTCTTTCAGAGGTGGAGTCTTCAGCTATCTTTTGGATGCTATGAGCTTCTTTTTCAGTTTCTTTTCTTGTCTCCTGGTATTCTTTGTTCGTGTGCTTATTCTATCTTATTCATATTGGATAAGGAGAGCTTTATGTGAATTTACTAGATTATTGTATTTGTGAATCTTTGACTTTCCCATCTTTGAGAATGTTATTCTTTATAGTTTGGATTTTAGGGCTTGATATATTGCCAATTCATTTTCTTTACCTATGAATACATATTTGGGGGTGGATCTGATGAGCCATAGGCCAAATTATCAGTCATTTTCCAGTATTTGCTTCGGTTCTCTGCCTACCCAGAAGAAGCAAAAATGTGAGTTTATTAATTTGGGATGTTCTTAGTGAATCCACAGTGAAAGAAAGACTATATTGGCGATCTCTTCTCCATGACTTTAGTTCTTTATGTGTTTCTTATTTATGTTCTCTTTTCTCAACAGTTGTGGCAGTTCCCTGTTTACTGTTGAGGATAATTAGTGATTTTGATTATTCTGCCGTCTTTCTCCAGGTTTCTTCCCAGCCAGGGAAGAAACAAAATTACAGGTCCTGCTTTTGGGGAGTCACTGGGGAGTAGGGAGGGTTTCCTCTTTTCAACGGGCTTAAGTCTTTTCTCCCCCAAGCTGCCTGACTTACATCTTCTAGACTGGGGGCCACTGGTGAAAAATTTCAGAATGGTGTTTGCTCACATTCTTGAAGTGTCTGACAAACTTCATGGTCATCACTTTTCAAAGGTTATGCTGCAAAGCTATGATACTTCTGTTTGCTGCTGAAATATTTCTTAATTGTTATTTTGGGTTCATTACTTCAGATTTTAGGTGGAGGGAAGTTGTGAAGTCTTAACCTCCAAAATGTCTCCACTCATTTTTTAACACATTTTAATTTGTTTATGTGTGTGAACATTTAATTAGAATTTATGTTCTTTTCTCACGAGTAAACAGAGCTTGTTTTTACTTTTACACTCTGAGCCCTCCACAAACCATCTCTCATACTGCAGTCATCTGGAATTTTTAGTTCTAGTTTTTTGTGTCATTTGTATACTATGTATTATTTTTTAGAGTTAATCATGAGTCTAACGTATTTTGTGTTTTTTGTTTGTTTGTTATCCATGTCCTTTCTCTTGACTTTATGTTTCAGAGTATATGCTCAATCTTTTTTTAAAGAAAGCTTCTGGATGGTAAACTTGTAAATCTTGGGAAGTCCAAAAATGTCTGTTTTTTCCCCAGTTGAAAACTAATGTGGCTATATAGTTTTTAATTGAAGACATTGCTTTGTTGCCTTCTAACATCTAATTTTCCTAATTTTTGTTTTTTACTAGATTTCTATTTTTTCCACTCTTGCTTTGAAGCTTCTTGCCTTTCTCTTTGTCCTGGCATTCTGCAGATATCTGTGCACAAGTGTGTGTGTGTGTGTGTGTGTGTGTGTGTGTGTGTTCTAGTTTGTTTTTACACTTTAATTAGTTATCTTTCTTGGTACTTGGCAGACCTTTTTCATCTAAAGGCTTAATGCCTGTCTTAGACGCTTGAACAATTTATTTTCTGTGTATGTGAGGCTTTCCTTTCCTTTCCTTCTCTATTCTGTCCCTCCGGAACTCCTACCACATGAATATGGGAACTCTGGAAGCTAGCTTCTTTTCTCCATGTCTCCTAACTCTTCGACCACATGTTCATTTCCTTAACGCTGTTTTGTATAGATCTGTGGGCTTCTTCTTGCCCATTTGTTACATCTGTTTTGTTTTTTAGTCATATTTTAAGGGTACTAGTTCTTTTTTTAATATGTCAGCATATTCTTGTTTTATTGGTAAGATAGCCTCTTAAATCCTTTGAGAATAGTAATTATGAGACTTTTTTATATTAACTGTTTTGGCAGAGGGATTGTTCTTTTTGAGTTTAATGCCTTTCTGTTTTGGTTCTGTGATATTGCTTAGATTTTTTTCAATGTTTATTATCTAGTCATGTTTTTTGTTGTTTGACTTATTTTAATAGTGTATACCTCAGTCAAAGTTGGAATACCTATTTTCCTGTTAGTTTAATAGAATTTTCATTACAGACATCTACTTCCAGTGATTTCAGAAATGAGTGAAATTTGTGGCCAGATAGCTTGTTTTTTAGGTGCCAGGACTCACTGCTTCTCCAGTTTCTTTTTCTGGTCCATTAACACACAAATACCTCAGATCATTTTAATGGAGGTGCTTGTGAGGCTGTGGGTGGCATCCTTAGTTGCATATTATAATAAATTCACCTGGGAGCTTTTAAGTATCTGTGCTGCACCCTAGACCAAGTAAATCAAAAGCTATAAGGGTGGGACCGTCGGGATTTTTAAAAAACTTCCTAGGTGATTTCATTATGCAGACATAGTTAAGAACCACTGCATATTAAAATTTGAGTGTCTGAATAGCTTCTGTGCAGAAAACAGCCCTTTTGTAAATAGGCATAGCAAATACAGGGCATTTTAGACTTTACATTGTAGCATTTATCAGCCCCATGACCAGCTTTTGCATGTGGGCAGTGATGCACACATACTATTTTTTGATCTCTGTATATATAAGTACTTTACTATAAGTGATACAGAAGGAAATTTGGTGTCATATAAATGTCTTGAATGGTGCCCAGCAGAATTTCTTGAAGTAATGAAAGGACATGCTTATAAGAAGTACTCAAAATTGAGATCTCAAAGGATATTATTAGATTTATTTTTCTGATATAATGGCCAGTTCTTCGGAAATGTTAAGCATTTCTGTGCTTTTTTTTTTTTTTTTTTGAGACAGAGTTTTGCTCTTGTTGCCCAGGCTGGAGTGCAATGGGACGATCTCGACTCACCGCAGCCACCGGGTTCAAGCGATTCTCCAGCCTCAGCCTCCCAAGTAGCTGGGATTACAGGCATGCGCCACCACGCCTGGCTAATTTTGCATTTTTAGTAGAGACGGGGTTTCTCCGTGTTGGTCAGGCTGGTCAAACTCCTGACCTCAGATTATCTGCCCGCCTCAGCCTACCTAAGTGCTGGGATTACAGGTGTGAGCCACCACGCCCGGCCTCGTGTAAAAATGGATGAATTTTTTCAAAAAGTTCTTTCAGTTGAAATAAGAGTGTTATCTGTCTTGCTTATAAGATTGTTATGAGGAATAAAAGATATAAAGTGCTTAGAGCAGTGGCAGGCACATAGCAAGTGACCAGTAAATGTTAACTGCAATATTATTGTTAATGCTGTTATTTAATCCACTATTTAACTTTTCCCATCTTTCTAGTTTCTTGATGATAAGAAAATAACATGGAACGTTTTCATTTGAATCTGTTTTCATTTGAACCTTCTAATAAACTAAGATCTTAGATCTTTAAAAGTTCAGTTTATGAAACAGGGTATTAGGCACATGTGAATGAAGACTGGGTTATATTTTACTTAGTGAGTATGTGTGTTAAAATAGGTTGTTTTGAATAGTAAACGATTATGAATTGGTAAAAGTTGATTTTTGCAGTGAAAGACAAGATGTTAATTACTATGAAATAAAGACTAAAATGTAGCTCCATCTTGTTAAGGCAGAATATAAACAGATTTTTTAAATAAGTAAAATATAGCTCCATACCTTTTAAGAACATATAAGTCAAATTAATGAGTTTGTAGTTATCCCTTTTTTCTCTTAAGCTAAATAATTGATACGAGAAGATAATAGTACTTGACATAAAGCAGAGGAGTCCTGACCACCAGAGAATTCTGTGTCTGCCATTTTCTGCCTGCGTGTTTAGGAATTAGGTGTTTTGTGGACATAAGTTTATTGAGGGAAGATCAGGTAGTATGTTTTTAATAGTAACTCTAATGTAGCCCAATTTGTTCTGTAATACGCTTGTTCATGTGTTGCCTTGAGATTAGTTAACTCCCCACCAGTATATATATAGGTTTTGGTTTTCATTGATGTATTTATAAAGATTAGCCTCCTTAGTTTATAGTATTATATTAAATAGTTTTCAAAATCTTACATTTTTAATTCTTGAGCATTCCTCAGAAGACTTGATTGTGCTCAGTACAGGTAATAGGATATTGACCCTTTAAACTTTAGGTTATCACTGAGCATTTATGTAGTTTCTATATTCTTTCAGGACCTTTAAATTATTTTTTATAACTTTTGCAGCATGCCTGTGAAATATATTTGTTCATAAATGATGGGACTAAAACTCAGAAGAGGCCAGGTGACTTGTTCAGGGCTGTGAAATCATTATTATTATGCATTTATATAGAAAGTTCAAGGCATCCTAGTGATTTTAGGCATAAAATATTAAAGATAATTAAAGCATGACCCGGCCACTCATTTGCCTTTTCCCATAAATTGTACTTGAACCATCTTAACTTTGCCAAAAGTTTTCGACCTTAATGGTGCATGTCATGGAACCCTCAGAGGAAAACATGAGTGAAGAGATGTGACATTGACTTTAATCTAGAATAGAATACACTGACATATTAGTCTTCTAGACCGTAGTTCATTGAATCTCTGGAAACAGCTTTCGTCTTGTTAACTGACTATACGTTTGATCATATTAAAGTTTCATGATCTCCTTGTAACATGAATGATGTTAGAATCATGAAAAGCCATTGCTGCCAACAAGTTGGAAGTTGAATTTACGGTTTTCAAAAGTGTCATTAGGAGATTTTTCTAGGTTGTGCTTGCTATTATTGTATGACATTTTGATGAAAGTTCTTAAGCATGTAGTACTCTTGTAGATCATGTAATCAAGGGTTAGCTTGTTTCACAGCTAATCTGCTTGTTAGCTGAATGTTTTTTCTAGGAGAATGGATGACAGTAGAGCTTGAAGGCAGCTTTCCCTAGTTCCTTAGTAAGCCAAGCTGAAGGGACATACATGTGCTCTAAAATAAGTGAATAGACAAATTATGCTGACTTTATGAAAGCAGTGCTTTTGCTGAAAAAAATGTGTTGCGCATGGAGCAATCAACCCTGATAGCCAACCAGATGGTTTTTTTCCTCCATTTATTCTGACAAAGTCTACCATTGTATCAGTATTTTTTGGCACATTCATATAAATTACCTGTAATTTTTGGTGTGCTATTTTTTGATAGTTACAGTAAATTCTTAATTTTTCATGGTATTGTAAGGGTGGGATACCTTGAACTAGTGAAGAACATAGATATTCCAAACTTTGTGTGCCATATATTTAATCATTTTATTTTGCTAACCTTGTTCCTTCAGACCTGTTAATTAGCAAAATTGCTTGAGTTGTACTTCCTTTCTATCTCCAGAGTAGGTAACTAAAAATGTTGACAGGAGAGAGATCTAAATTTAAACAAGTAGACAACAACAACAAAATCAAGGGTGGACTGTGATGTAATGTGTGTGTTACATTTACATATGGATTGATACTTCAATGAATGAATTTCCATGTTAGTGGGATTACACTGGACACTTATGTAAGAACACTCATTTATGGAACCCTAAAAGGATTTCTTATAGTGCTTATAGCAAAACAAATAGTTGCAGAAATTAAACGTGTGTGTATTTAATGTTTTTATAAAAGATGAAGTTTCTCTTTTGCTTTAACTATTTTATAGTGTCTATTTTTCAGCTTGAAAATGACAGTGCCAGGCACACAGTAGATGCTTAATAAGTACATGGTGGTGATCTTCACCTCTGTTCAGATGGAGGTCAGTGCTGTTGTGGAAGGAAATTGCAATAGTCATTATTTTTATTACAGTCTTCATCACTGAAACTCATTGAAAACAATAAATCACTTTAATAAATTCTAGCAAATTTTTATTTTTATTTTTATTTTTTTTTGAGACGGAGTCTTGCTCTGTCACCCAGGCTGGAGTTCATTGGTGTGATCTTGGCTCACTGCAACCTCTGCCTCCTGGATTCAAGCAGTTCTTCTGCCTCAGCTGGGACTGGTGTGTGCCACCACACCTGGCTAATTTTTGTATTTTTAGTAGAGACGGGGTTTCGCCATGTGGCCAGCCTGGTCTCAAACTCCTGACCTCAAGTGATCCACCCACCTAGGCCTCCCAAAGTGCTGGGATTGTAGGCGTGAGCTACTGCGCCGGGCCTCTAGCAGGATATTTTTAGATTATTCCTCAAATTTGTCTGTCTCTTTTCAAGTCATTCATTCATTTCCTAACTCTCCATCTTTTTATTTCTTCTCCCTGTAGTTATGTTTGACCTTTCTCTGCATTTTCTTAAAACATATATGTAATTAATGTCCATTCAAATATTACAGTTTTTGAGAGACTTAGAGGAAGATATGAAATTACCTCTTTATTACAAGAATAGTTCAATAGTTACTCTACAGGTGCACATCTGTATATGTGCAAAACACTGTGCCAAACTCATTAAGGGTTAGATAAATGAGGAAAACCATAGTCCTTGCCCTCAGGGAACATACGTAGTAGAAGAGAAATAGAGGAGGTTATGAAAATAGTTTACATGAAATACACAAATGTGTGTACTATAATATAACTCTGGAAAAAAATACATTAAGAACACAGCAACTAGAAACTGCTGCTTCCTACTGAAAGCTCACATAGGAGACCGCATAGTGCTGTGGAAAGGAAATTGCAATAAGAATAAAGAGCTCTGAGTTCTAGTCTTTTCATCACCATCAGCTGAGAAATACTGAGCACATTCTCTGGCTTTTTTCCGTCCCTAGCTTCAGTTTTTTCTGTGTATATAGTAGATTTTAACTAAATCTATTAGTTTCATAAATATTGTGGCATAATAACATGTTTGCTGTAACCTTCATAGAAGATGTGTCCTTTTTCTTTTAGTTACTACTAATATTCTATTTTCAGCCACTTTTAGGGAATGTAATAATTTAATCAAATAAATAAAATAAGATTAACTGATTAGTCACATGGACTGATTAGTGCAGTGTTTAGAACAAAGAACTTTGTTCTAAACTGTGTTCTATAGCACATATGACATATGTGCTATATGAAGCATTTTAAAACTTCTAGGCTGTATATTTTAAGTTTCTAAAGTAGACATGTAGACTTTTGTCTTATGGGATGGACAAAACCCAAATAACACTGCCCGAGTACGCATCTCTTAGAGACAGCCATGAATCTGATTGGCTTTTCTTAGAAGCTGTTGAAAGCATCTAGAGGTGATCTTTTGATGCTTGACTTGGGAAGCAAAGAATTGGTCTTTGGTTTTTGCTTCTGAAGATTTTTTTTCTCTTTTCTATTAAAACAGCTTTAAGTCTACAGCAGGTCTCCAATCGGTGTTTAGACTATTAGTAAATTATCAGTTCAAATGCATCTAGCCTGTTTGTCTTCCTGTTTCTAAATTGGAAGTGAGAAGCTGCTAATTAACTAAACTTTAGCATATCTGAACACTTCAAAAATATAATGTGTAATATATATGCTGGTGCCCTTTGAAATCTAAGTTTTGAAGATATTTTAGCTGTGCTGAATTAAAAGAATACTCAAGTTTATTTTATAAGTTATTTTAGTATATCATACAATATTTTGGTTTCATATTAAACGCAAAGGCACCTGTGAGACCTGATACAGAATGTGACAAAAATCAGAGATTAGCATAGTCACTTTGTGAAGACATTTTTCTGTTCAAAAGGAACCAAAATATGCACTATCTGAAGCCTAAGGATGTTGACAAATAACAAAATGAAGCATTTGGAAAGATTCAGAAGGAAGAAGCTGGGAGCAGATTGCTTAGAATTTTACTCATTGCCTTATAAAATTGATAACATACTTAGGTACTACTAAACTTGAAGGGTTTTATTTTGGTTTTTTAATTGGTCTGTAGACCACTGGCCCTTTCTATGCAGACTACGTACATTATTAGAAAAGTTGGGCAGGAGTTACCTGGCTGAAGTGTGGATTAATGCAGTAGAGTGCTTTACGTAATGCATACTGCTTAAAGCACAGGTGTTTCTTTTGTTGGTTGAATACTGTCTGATTTTCCTTCCTATGTAATTTACCTGCATGGAGATTAAGAAAGCCCCCTTTTATTAAATAAGCTTGAAAACTAGATGAATGCACTTAGGTTCTTGGGTAGAATGTATTGGATAGCTAGCTCCCTTTATGATGAGCATTTAAAAATCTGCTCTCCAAAAACTGGGAAATGCATTCTCTGCTGTATGGAAAGCAATATAGTACTGAAATATTCCTCCTTAATTTTGGTCTGAACAAACAAAAGTGTCTGTGTTTATTCTTGCCTAATGCATCACAAATCTGCTGACATGCTAACCTTGGAGTCTTGGCTGGCGTTAATCAGGCCTGTGCACCGGCAGGAAAGATGTACCTAATGCACTCCATCAGTGCAGTTTGCATATGGAAGTTCTCACAGGGGAGCTGCCCTGTGCCAGCTGAGGGTTACCTGCCCACTGCAGTTATTGTATGTAATTATCGAACCAATCTGTTCAGCCCAGCAGGGTTTAGACGGTAATCATGAAGCAACACTGGAAAAGAAAGATGTAAGGCATTCTCCCCTTTTCTCATCAGTTATATGAAGTTATAGCCACTCTTACAGCTATTTTTGAGAGGCAATACCCCCATATACAAATCTGCTAAATGAATGCCTTTGAAAGTTTCTCAAGGTTCAGTCAAGTTGTTATTTTTGTATGTGTGAAGCATTTTCTTTAGGAACATGGTGGGTATCTCTGAGTTCTAATTTTCCACAGCCACCTTAAGAATGTTTTGAAACAGTGGGATTAATTGTAATACATAGATAATAACAGTTCTGACCGTTTGGAGGTTTTAAGGTAATGTGCCTTGAATAGAGTTCAGCTTTCCCATGTAGTTCTCTTTGGAACAGAACCCATGGTTGCCATTAGGAAAAGGAACAATGTGCTGTCAGCAGGCATTATCCTCTTTTCTAGCTGTACACAAAATGGCCTGCAGCAAGGAACATTCTCAGATGAAGTTTAACTTATTGTTAATTGTTAGAAAATATAAATGAGGACATTCTGTTGCATTGTGAACCTGTGAGATTTGGGGCATGTCGGATGGTTTTCTAAATGATACAGACTTATTTTAGGCAACCAAGAGAAGCTTTGGATTAAAATTTGTATTTTAACCTGCTTAAATTTGAAACTACAGAAGATAAAGTTATATAAAAAAATTCAAAGTTTTATATTTATTCCTAATGCCCGTCTATAATTTTACCTATGTATAGAGATGTTAGAGAATTTAGAAACTTAACGCAGGATTGGACCTGTTAGAAAATGTTGTAGTGGTAGAAACACATAAAATGAAATTGAAGGAACATTTGGGAAGAATGGATGGTGACAGAATATAAGCACTGACTCCTAAATAACACTTCACTAGAAAAATAGGACAGGCCCAAGAGAATGTAGGAAATCCAGACGATTTTTGAGATTTTCGGAGAGCTTTGTACTTTTAAGACTATTCATGTACAGTAAGGTTTATGGCCCTCTTAAACTTTTAATAAAAAGTATGCTAAAAGAGAAACAATTATTACAAGTTTTTCATTATTGATTCATAAATAGAATTCTACCACCAATGTTATGTGGTACAAACACTGATTTAATAAATGGGGCAAGACATACATTTTTTCCATTTATCAAATAGATTATCCTCTCCACCCCACCCATGTTGTACAATGTGGAGAGTATCATTGGCCTGAGTGGTGATCGTGAGTTTGTAAAACATTTTGTTTTAAAAGAGTTTCTGTATGATTAGTCCTGATGGTTAAACCATAGCTTTGAATAATGAAGTATATAAAGCATGAAAAGTTAGAGGTGGATATAACAAATATATCTACCATCTGGGTTAACTGTCTAGTTGAAAGTTCTTGTACTCCCCCTTTCTTCCATCCCTCATCCATTCCTTTAGGTAACTACTATCCTGAAGTTGAGAATATTCTTCCTGTGTGTTTTGACACACCCACACCTATATACATTTATACACACACACAGACAAATATGTGATGAGTTTGTAGTTTACTTGACTGTCAGATATCTCTCTCTCTCTCTTTAATTTTATATGTAAGAAGCGAAAGAAAGAAATTGAAGAAAGCAAGGAACCTGGTGTTGAAGATACGGAATGGTCAAACACACAGACAGAGGAGGCCATACAGACCCGTAAGTTGAACAGTTTTGCCTAGCTGCTTTCATAGGTAAACACAAATTTCATTTCCTCCCATTAGATGAGGGGTCAACTATTTGGGTCATGACCTTTTGATTTTATAATAAAATACCACAAGATTTTTATATAGTATGTATTGTGTCTTTTGTACACAGGTTAGATTATTTTCTCTCCACAATAATTATAAAGTTGAGACTGGGAAGCTTCCTTCATTTTGCAGATTTGGAACCCGAGACACTGAATGATTAAATGGCAGAGCTGCCAGGCGTGGTGACTGATGTGTGCCTGTAGTCTCAGCTACTCAGGAGGCTGAGGCAGGAGGATCACTTGAGCCCAGGAGTTTGAGTCCAGTCTGGGCAACATAGAAACCCCATCTCTAAAATAAATAAAATAAATGACTGAGCTGTTGTGAAAGGGTTAGTGATAGAGACCAGAACTCTTAACTGTCAGGCCAATGTCTTTCCACTTCCTCACACTGATCCCACATAACTCTGGGTATGATAGTGAGTGTCAGGGGTCAGACATGGGTCTGTTGCAGCTGAGCTGCCTGATTGTTCCTTATAAAGTTTGTCAACCTCTTCTTTTTTTTGAACAAGTTAAGAGGAAAGGAATTAAAGCTTTATGGATGATCACTTTTCAAAGTTCTTGAAGCAAAAAAAAAAAAAAACACAAAAAAACAAAAAAAACAAGGTATGAAGTCATTTTTCTGAGATGGCTTATAAACTGGCACTGAAGGCACTTCCAATAGTTCCAGAAATGACATTAGCAAAGGCAGCATCTGCAAAGGGCAGAGCTAGGTTGGACTTTGGTCTGATATGTTTAATAAACTGCCAGCCAATGTGTTCCAGGATTCATGTGATATGATGATGTACTTGACTCAATAAAGAGAGCTATTCAGTGTGGCCCACAATACATTTTTTTAAAAAGATTTTTCCTGTCTGCCTTTTTTTTTTTTTGAATTATTATTTTGTTTGTCCTGAAATATTTCTTGGTTGCTAACAGAAAAGGCTTATTTTTGGTTAAAAAAAAATTTTACAGCATAGGTGCCATATTGAGTAATGCCACCAATTTATTTTACCTTCCTTTTGCTAGTGACATTAGTGCATGTTTGTGGAAAGCACAGTATTCAACTTTCAAAGAGAATCATTTTTGCCCTGATTTTATTACTATGTTCTTCATTACATATTATGGTTAGAACATCCTTTGGTTTAATCTGTTTTAACCCAAAGAATACTTGAGATACCTGAAGAGGGAATATATAACTTCACACTGAAGGCGAGAGGTTTTGAAGTAGTCCCTCTCTTTTTCCCGCTGCTGTCTTCCTTTCGCTACTGTCTTTTTTCCTCCTTTCCCCTGTCTTGTTCATTTTGTTATTAGGAAGTGAGGAGTCCCAAGGAGCAATACATCGAAGCATGTCTCAGCCAGAGGCTAGCAGCAGCAGCTATGACAGTGAGTGGGAACAAAATTAAGGAGTATTTATAAATATACAGCAATATTCTTAAAAAACAATCCCTTAAATTTTAAAACTGGCAATTTTAGTTTCAGAAAGATCCTGCATTGTTCTAGTGAGATTGACACTCATTAAGTCTAAGGCAGAGTCTCAGCTGCGCATCAGGAAGACTCATCCCTTTCTTGACTGCCTGGACATCATTTGTTACCTGAACTTTGCTTAATGAGCATCAAGCGTTTTTGTTTTGATAGATAAATGCCTTTAAATTCTAGTATAATTATGAATTTTTTTTTAACCTAAGTTTTTAGTTTAAGGTCTTCTACTGATGCTTTTTCCCATGAGAAAATATATCAGTATTTTTGTTATTTTATTAATGACAAAAGAGTATAGTAAAGTCATAAATAATTTAAGGAGAACAATTCAGTTTTTTTGACCTAACTTTTTCAGAAGATAAAGAATAGTCAGATTCACCCTTATTCATATAAACTCAAAATTGCCGTTCTTAAAATGCTGTTTATTTCCCCCATTACAGTTCACTTTTTTCCCCTAAAGTACAATGCGAGTTAAGGTATTTTACTATCAAAATAATCATAAGTGAGAGAAATATTATCTGATGGTAAAATATTATTGCTTCCAGCAAAAAGAAAAAGCCAAGAGTTCATGTAAATGTATATTTTTAAATTTATCAGTTTAAAAGTTACTTGAAGGAAAAGACACATTATTACATTTGTTTTTTTAATTTTTAAGATATATAGTACAATTCAGTGAACACTGTGTTTTAGGGCTTTAAGATTTTGTGTCATAAACGTGTTTCAAGAATGGTTACCTCTAACAGCAGCTTTAGAAATGTCAGTTTCTTCATTAACAATTTTATTTTCAAACACAATTTATGATTTACAGTATGGTAAGAGATTTTTCGCACTGTGTGATCTTTCAGAATGCTGTGCCTAGCAAAATGGGAGCAACTTTCCTTTAATATCTATTTAGACCATTTTAAAAATGTGTATAATTTTCTAGATACACCTAAACTCATTTTGAATAGTTGGGGGTCTATTGTGTAAGAACACATTCTGAAAGCTTTCAAAATGTGTATTGTGTAGGTTTTCTCAAATAAATAGAGGAGGTGATGGGATGGTTTTCAAGAAGAACAGAGGCCTCTAATCCTTTTATTTTTATGCAAGGCATAATTTTTACCAGTTGAGAAAATTTGGTTACTGGCTGCAAGTAATTTTTCCCCTCACAAAATGAGGAGCCTTTAAAAATCATGCATATTTTGGCATTTCAAAATCATGCCAGTATTTCAGAATTGTGCTAAAAATTAGCTAATATAGCCATGATATTTATGGCTGGTGTACTTTCCCCCCTCCTGTTCATAAAATGGAGGCTACTTTTGTTGGTATTATTTTTAAGAACCTTGGATTTTGGACCATTCCTGAGGAATCTTTGGAGAAAGCATGACTAGTCAAAAAGTAGATATTTTTAAGGGAACCCTACAAAGAAATTTCCTACTTTTTTTTTCCTACTGCATTATAAAATCATAGAAAAGCATCCCAAACTTGTATGTTATTTTCCAAATATCAAATTATATACATTAGTCTTCTGATTGGACCCTTTGCCAGTAGTGTATATTATGAAAATGGTTATATATTTAATTAAAGAGATAAGGTAGTTTTTTTTGTAACAATCAGAATTGATTATTAGGGAAAATATTGAATTGATTTATGCAGCAAAGTCAACAAGGTGCGTAGGACTGATTATATAATAAATTCCAGGCAGTAGTAGCCCTTTTAGTTGCAGTGAGAAACTTTGGATTGAAGGAGATGAGCAGCAGTGATATTTAATTTCAGAGTAAAATGGCAAATTAAGACATTAATGAGAATAATGCTATTTGAATGTAACTTTATAGTTGTTAATTTAGTGTTCTTTGTAGTGTGGTTAAAGATTTAAAATGTGTTGAAAGGGAGATATAGTATTGATTATTGACCTTGATTTTGTAATACCCTTTATGCCAGTCTCACTATCGCAGCATTTTCAGTTTTCTGTGCAGAATTAATTTCAAATTTCTTGAAATAGGCCGGGCGCAGTGGCTCATGCTTGTAATGCCAGCAGTTTGGGAGGCTGAGGCGGGTGGATCATTTGAGGTCAGGAGTTCGACACCAGCCTGACCAACATGGTGAAAGTCTAAGTCCTACTAAAATACAAAAATTACCTGGGCGTGGTGACAGGCACCTGTAATCTCAGCTACTCTGGAGGCTGAGGCAGGAGAATCACTTGAACCCAGGAGGCGGAGGTTGCCTGAGCCAAGATCGTGTCACTGCACTCTAGCCTGGCAACAAAGCGAGACTCCCTCTCAAAAAAAAAAATAATAATAATAAAAATAAAATTTCTTGAAATAAAAACCTAAAAATCTACTGTGGGATATTTTTAATAGATGGCCGTGTTACAGAAATTTAAGAAAAAAACTCAAATTTTAGAATCAATCATAGTACAGTATATAGGGTATGTATTATGAGTGGCAGAAAAAAGGATATTCATATAAGCTTGAAATTTGCTTTCATTGAACTGTATGATTGAATAGAAACTATAACTTGGAAAAATTAAAAATGCTAGTTTTGAAACTGACCTTCATGTTAAGTAACTAAAACCCATGATCAGAAAACCTTTAGATACACATGGTAGAATTTTGTTCCACATTCAAAGAATGTTTCGTACTTTTCAGAAAAGAAGTATTGATCTTTTGTTTTTTTTCGTGCAGTCATTGATTAATTATGAGCACCATGCTGTCCCTGACTCTGGTGCCCCTGCTCTTTCCTGGCAGAGCGTAGCATGCGGCAGTGGGAAAGAAATGGCCCTGCTTCTTTCACCAGCACTAGGCAGCCGTGATCAGGCTAACTGCTGTACCCAGAGGTGGAGTAGGAGTAGTAGGTGGGGTGAAATGTCTTGGTGAGGCAGAATTCCCATGCCCCCAGCAGAGAGTCATTGATTTATTCCAAACCAGAATAGTTAGATAGGTACTGTCATAAAGGACTTAGACCAGTATCACATATGATCCTTTTCCAGGAGGCTACTCATTTGGGACCTGTATAATTCCTAGCGGAAAAGACTTTCCATTTCAGTATATCCCAGTGCTCTCCTGCCTCAAGGGTGTAGCTAATAGTCTTTAAAAAGCAACTTATTGCTTTGCTTTTCATAACATGTGTGACCTCATCGCTTCCACCTTAGGAGTGAATGCTTATCTATATTGCTAAGGTTTATATTTGGAGATAATGTTTTAAATTTTACAACAAATTTAAATTTTGGAGAGAAATATTTCAGTATTAGTAAAAATTAGATACGTTTTATCAGTCAGTATTTTTATATGGCTTAAGAGAAGGTAGGTTTTGTCAGCATATTTTTTGACATATTAAAAAATGACCCAATTTTCTAAGATTTTCAGAGTATTAGCAATCATACCTTTGTATGTCAGTTTTATCTTTGCAAATCACGAGAGTCGATTTGATTTTAAAATGTTAATAACTATATTTAGGGATATTTATATTTCTGTTCTTTTGCTTTTGTAAATTATTGACTAGTGATTTCAGTTTCTTTGATTTTTCTTCAAGGTTCAAGAACCAGAAAGAGAGTCCAGAAGTAATTCAGATGCTGTGAACCAGATTTCCTTTTCTTTGTTTTCTTTTGACTTTTTTCTCCTTTTCTATTTGAACTGTTTTATTTTCCTGTGAGTCTTGCGAGGTGGAAGTAATGATTAAATACTCATGTGTTCAGAAAACATAAACTTTTTTTATAAAAATATTTTGTACAATTCATTAAAGGCTAATTTATGAAATTTGAAAATCTTCAGGTTATACTCCTTAAGTTATCCCAAAGCCGTGTGTTTGTGATGTTTTGGAGTACATATATATGAAAATTATTATGACACGCACTTTTCTAATCATTGTACATTTCTCAGAGTGGATAAAAATGTTTGACAAAGTCCTCACTTTTAAGGAAATGCAAAGCTTAAAATAAAACTCTCTTTTGTTTGATGCAAACACACAGTATGTTGTGGCTGTAAGGTTTGGTTTGTATTGATTTTGTTCTGTTCCCAAAATCTTTTATTAAACACCTGCTGTATGAGACAGGAGGTACAAAGACAGGAAAGGAATATGAAATAAAAAGTGGAGGAAGCGTATCCATGAGAGAGAAAATCTACATATATGAAAGATTACATAAGAATTATGTCAGTATGCAAGCCGTATGACAAGAAAACAAGTGACAGATGATCAAATGGTGGTGTGATTAAAGATTGTGTAAAGACTGGCTTCATCTACGGAAGTCCTATGAACTAGATATTAATAGATAGAGCCTATTGTTCATTCACAGAAGTTTATTTTTCTTAAAAGTTTCACTTTCATAGCATGTAATATTTATACAGTAAACCAAGCACTTCAGAGTTTCAGTGATCAGAAAGTTTAAGATCTGAAATGTTTTTAGTTGCCTTGGGAACAGAAGCTTGTAATTTTAACACATTTATGAACAATTTCATGATTCATTCCTCAGAGTTTTCTTGGTCAGAGAAATTGGTATTGGACTATATTTTCTGATGGATGGCATGCCTTACCACTTAATAACATGCACAGTGTGTTTAGAAGGTATATGGACATAGTTTCACTTAAATATTTAAGTATATTAATGTGTATTCAGAATACAGCTAGCACATTAAACTGGTGATTTGTCTACTACTTAGGACAAGCCTAAAGTAGGTATTTCAATTTTTAAAAGCAAGTCGATTTGAGGGAAAAAATAAGTAAATGTACAGGTGGGATATGGACATACCAGAAATTGTGAAGGTTGGACCAAATTTGAGAAACTATGAACCAATACAAAGACTATAACTTTTGGCTCTCTTATGTGGATATTTAGTTGTCATGTGAAGCATTTATCACTGAAATGGTTAGATACTGAAAAATGCAAAACATCTACAGACTTTCCTTTGAAGATTAACCTTTTAATGCCTCCTGAAGTTCTAGAGCAATGTATCTTTACAGATTAGAAAATTTGACTTTGGGCAGAGGCTCCTCCTGCTTTCTGTAGAATGTTACGTTTTAGTACTCATCAGTGTTAATCCCCCAAGTTTATTTGTAACACCTAAATCAACTCTCAAGTTCCATTTTAAACACATTAATGCTTAAAATAGAGTAAACTGTGTGTGGTATGTTTTTCTGTATATGCTGTAGCCTCCTTATTTTTCAAAACATAAAACATGGAAAACTTGGTTAAATATTAAGAAAACAAATATTTCCTCACATTATTGTCTTAAATAAGTGCTGGCATTTTCTTGAATGTTCCTATATTGGCAGGGCTAGAGAAATTAATGAAAAACTACTAGCCATTGTAGCCAGTTTGATTCATCAGCTACATCCCTTGTTCGGCTATTTTATTCCCTACCTTGTATTGTTTTATTCTACTCCCCTTTTAAGAAATGGTTAAGCTGGGTCAAATGGTATTTCCAGTTCTAGATCCCTGAGGAATCGCCACACTGACTTCCACAATGGTTGAACTAGTTTACAGTCCCACCAACAGTGTAAAAGTGTTCCTATTTCTCCACATCCTCTCCAGCACCTGTTGTTTCCTGACTTTTTAATGATTGCCATTCTAACTGGTGTGAGATGGTATCTCATTGTGGTTTTGGTTTGCATTTCTCTGATGGCCAGTGATGAGCATTTTTTCATGTGTTTTTTGGCTGCATAAATGTCTTCTTTTGAGAAGTGTCTGTTCATGTCCTTCGCCCACTTTTTGATGGGGTTGTTTGTTTTTTTCTTGTAAATTTGTTTGAGTTCATTGTAGATTCTGGATATTAGCCCTTTGTCAGATGAGTAGGTTGCGAAAATTTTCTCCCATTTTGTAGGTTGCCTGTTCACTCTGATGGTAGTCTCTTTTGCTGTGCAGAAGCTCTTTAGTTTAATTAGATCCCATTTGTCAATTTTGTCTTTTGTTGCCATTGCTTTTGGTGTTTTAGACATGAAGTCCTTGCCCATGCCTATGTCCTGAATGGTAATGCCTAGGTTTTCTTCTAGGGTTTTTATGGTTTTAGGTCTAATGTTTAAGTCTTTAATCCATCTTGAATTGATTTTTGTATAAGGTGTAAGGAAGGGATCCAGTTTCAGCTTCCTACATATGGCTAGCCAGTTTTCCCAGCACCATTTATTAAATAGGGAATCCTTTCCCCATTGCTTGTTTTTCTCAGGTTTGTCAAAGATCAGATAGTTGTAGATATGCGGCGTTATTTCTGAGGGCTCTGTTCTGTTCCATTGATCTATATCTCTGTTTTGGTACCAGTACCATGCTGTTTTGGTTACTGTAGCCTTGTAGTATAGTTTGAAGTCAGGTAGTGTGATGCCTCCAGCTTTCAGCCGTCCCATTACTGGGTATATACCCAAAGGACTATAAATCATGCTGCTGTAAAGACACATGCACACGTATGTTTATTGCGGCATTATTCACAATAGCAAAGACTTGGAACCAACCCAGATGTCCAACAATGATAGACTGGATTAAGAAAATGTGGCACATATACACCATGGAATACTATGCAGCCATAAAAATGATGAGTTCATGTCCTTTGTAGGGACATGGATGAAATTGGAAAACATCATTCTCAGTAAACTCTATCGCAAGAACAAAAAACCAAACACCGCATATTCTCACTCATAGGTGGGAATTGAACAATGAGTTCACATGGACACAGGAAGGGGAATATCACACTCTGGGGACTGTTGTGGGATGGGGGGAGCGGGGAGGGATAGCATTGGGAGATATACCTAATGCTAGATGACGAGTTAGTGGGTGCAGTGCACCAGCATGGCACATGTATACATATGTAACTAACCTGCACAATGTGCACATGTACCCTAAAACTTAAAGTATAATTTAAAAAAAAAAAAAGATACAAGTAAGTAGTCTAAAATACAGGTAACTTTTTAACATTAAAAAAAAATGGTTAAGCAACCTCGTCATTCAGAGTTATTTTTTTTTCTTGTCCTTTTCAGTTCTATGTTTAGTATTTTTATCTTGCATTGTTTTTATTTTCTTTCCAATCCCTGAATGGAGTGGATTTGCCATTTTTTGTTCTTTCACAATCCAGCTTCCATATTTTAACATGTTCTTCGTTCCATTTTCTCTTGCCTTCTCTGCCATTTTCCTTAGGTCCTTATTTAGCTGAGGTTTTCTAGTCTGTTGAGGATCAACAGCACTGCCAGGCTCTTGTCCTTCACACAACAGGATGTGTATGTGCTCTACATTTTCTAGAAAGCAACTGATAAGTCTTTGGTAACTAAGCCCCGAAGTAAAATGGCTTCTAGGTGTTCTTCAATAGTGATCTAAGACAGATGAAACACTAATAAGCCAGTTATAAAACCCTGATTATTGCTTTGAATTAATAAATTAAGTGTGCATATAAAGACCCAAGTTGTGTAGCAATAAAGTAGTGGTGGAAATATAAACAATTTATTTGTATTTGTGTGGGGAGATACATATGTTCACAGTTGAACATTATATGTTTGTTAATTCTTTAAAATTCTGTTTTAATGCTCTATATTCTTTGGATTATAAGAGTGTATTAATAATACATGGCCATTTTATATAATTTAGAACATACAGAAAAGTGTCAACGGACAAACCAGCGATAATACTACCCTACCACCCACAGGCAACCACTATTAATGTTTTGACACATTTTCTTCAGTCATTTCTATGCATTTTTATTTTTAAATAGTTATGCTTCGTATACAGCTTTATATTCTTCTTTTTAAAGTTAACATTAAATACTTTTTATGTTATTATGAATACTTCATGAATATAACTTCTATGTTTTCTTAACTTTTTTAAATGAATTTGTGATACTTTCATGACCATTTTCGTATTATTGGGCATTTAAGTTGCTTTCAATATTGGGATATTATAAACAATATTTTTGAACAAAATTGGGCAGAAATCTTCATTGACATATGAATATTCTTAGATTTTCAAAAGGGAGCCACTGGGTCAAAGACTATGAAATGAAAAGTTGTGGATCCTTATCAAATTGCTTTGCAAAAATCTATCAGTTAACACTTTGCCCAGTAGATCCGAGTGCCCAACCTACATTTTTGTCATCCTCGAGGGTTATAGACTGAAAGTTTGTGTCCCCTGCATTGTTCCTGTGTTTAAGCCTAACCCCTAAGATGATGGTCTTTGGAGGTGGACCTTTGAGAGGTGATTAGGTCATGAGGGTGAAGCCTTCATGATTAATGGGATTAATGCCTTCATAAGAGACAGGAGAGAGATGATGTCTGTCTCTGTCATGTGACCGTCTGCAAACTGGGAAGATGGGCCTGGCCAGGAATAGAATCTGCCAGAACTTCTATTTCTCAGCCTCCAGAACTGTGGGAAATAAATGTTTGCTATTTAAGCCATCCAGACTAACACATTAAATTTTATTTTTATAATTTGATAAGGTAATTTTTTTTTTTATTGCTAGTGCACCCAAACCTTTATTTGTAAACTAATCACTCTTTTTGGTGTGTTGATAAGTACTGTTTATACAGTAATGACCTTAACTCTTTGCCATTTTTGTTGCTGACTTTTTCCTGTTTATTTTTTGTGTATGATATATTTTTAATTTTTATGAAGTTTAGCTTCTATCACTTTAATCTATTGATCTTTCATTGTAATTTCTGTTACTTTAAAAATATTTTTTCATCCAGAAATTAGAAATATTTACCATGACTTTTTCTAGGCTTTTTTGTTTTAATGCTTCTAAATTTTCAATCCATATGGGACTTATTTTGGTAAATGTATGCCATGAGGTGAGGATCACAAAGATTTTTTTCTAAGCAGCTAGCCAGTAGCTTCAGTACCATTTGTTAAATAAATGATCTCCTCCACCCTTCCTCCACCCTGGTTTGTGATGCCTGCTTTATTACATACTCTTGTTTCTAGACTATCTGTTTGATTTCATTGATCTGTCTGTTCTTATGCCCGCACCACACTGACTTAATTAATGCCATTTTACTTATTAATTCTAATTTATTGCCCAAACCACATTAACAGAAATCAAAATTCGCTTATGATCCTACCACCACTACAGAAATCTAACTCTTGTCCTTTGGCTGTGTTATTCTTAGTCCTATTTCATGTCTGTTTAATTTTTTAGTTATAGCAGTTGCATGGAAAAAATTTTATAGTTTTTTTTAAAGTTCCACAGGTTATTCTGTAGTCTTCTAACTTACTAAGTTCTACTGATAAAGTACAAGTCACATTAAAGAATTAATATTATAAAAGGGTCTTGATATGTAGATAGCCTTATACACTACATTAGTAATTGTATGCAGTCTACTGCTGACCAGATGGTTTAGACAATTCTCTATCACATGTGTGTTACACAAATAAAATGCTTACCATTTCCACTGTACTCAGGATGCATTTGTACGTACAATGGTGAGTTTATGATGGCATAGCATTTTATAACTTATGAATAGCATTCTTGAATTTTTGTAGTTTGGCTTGTCATGAATTCAGTTCCCTGTAAAACTTCTGCATTGAGAAAATTCAGCTTCATTTGTAAACCACTGCAGATGATCTTCAAAAAACCGTCTTTTTAGTTAAGTCCAATGTTAGAACGTTGTTCTGAGATGTCAGCCATGTGAGTGGAGATGATAATATAATCTTTGTGCCTGGGATGCAACAGGGAGGAGTGAATCCAGAGTTTGGGGAGAGGGTGGGACAGTCGTCTGAATGCTCTTTCCACTTTCCTGTGTGTTGGCTTTCTGCTTCTGATCCTATAGAAGCCAGTGAAAAGCCATCACAGTTACTTAAAATGAACACCGTACAATACCTGGGCAACAGTTTCTTTAAAAGTGGAAAAATTGCTGTACTCAATATTCTCTCTGGCCTTGACACAAAAATCATAGTTCAAAAGTTCATGATGGTGGTCCTTGGTATAATTCTCAGATGTGAGAAAGGTCCCTACACACTTTCGTAGTCTTTTCCCATAAGGGACCAATATGTGTTAGTACTTAAAAGTGAAAGTAGAGCCACTGAAGGGTCTGGTCAGCTAAGCCTGAGGACTCGAAAGTTCTAGGACAGTGTATTCCAGGGAAAGTTACAACTGGGAAGTGATTCTATTAGATTGTCCGGTGAAGAGAGAAAAAAGTACATTTACTTCTTGAACTTTTGTAGGTCGAGAAATGTGCCTCCAAGGTTCTTAGGAAGACCTTTGACGTGGATATTTTAGTTCTTCCCTACTCCTTCCCCTGCCCCAACACAAACAGCCTCACGTCTTCATTTACTTCGTTAACTATTATGGAACATTTTGGTGCAAACATGTGAATCAGTTTAACTGGAGAAGTAATAACGTACATCCCAGTCTGCTTGACATTGTAATTGCAGAAGTATATGATCTAATCCCTGTGTACCTCCCCACCCCAAGTTTCTAGTCCAGAAACCCTTGACAGATAATTAAACAGTTATGGCAAAGTATTAGATTGATGCAAAAGTAATTGTAGTTTTTGCCATTTTTTAAATATTGTGCCTTAGCATTCATAATTTTAAGTAGGGTCATTTAGACATTTCTTAAGATATGCACACAGTTGCAATGGGTTTTTTTTTCCTTTTTTTAAGTTTCTAACTAGACTTTCAAAAGAGAAGCCGTCTGTATTCCAGGTGCTACAGTCCCAAAATAAGTCTCTGATATGTCATGCAAAGTGTTCAGAAAGCAAAGGTGGTTGAAATTACATCAAAATGGTTTCCAAGGCCCTGTCTGTTCTTGTAGAGGTCAGAGAAACCACAGCCTGCAAAAACACAATTGAGGCCAAAAATCTGAAACACCTGCTGTTCCCAATGAACTGTGTGATGCACATAGAAAGTGTTTGGAAGGGAGGGTCAAGCTAAGTGAACAGTCATGATAATACCTGGTTGGTCTTGTAGCAGCAAAATTGAGGGGAAATATGAAAGTTTTTAAAATGGATTTTTTTTAATGTTATTGTTGATACCCCTATTTGAATGTAAAGTCCCTAACACAAAGAAGCAAGCTTCCTTTAGACTGCATTTACTGCTCTTGATGACTCCAGTTGTGTGTAAATATTAGAAAACAGCAGGGTCCTGCATTCCAAGAATCACTTGAGCAGTGCCACGAAGACAAGTGTCCTTACTGGTATTGTAGTCATACTCCCAAGCTCTCCTGCTGTTTCTAATCTGTGCGCACAGCCGTGAAAAAACTGGACTGACATTTACAGGCACAGCAGGGAGACACTTGACTAGGGAATGTTGAAGACTACAGCACCTCCAATTCAAAGTGGCCACCACACATGATAAATCTTCACAGGAGAGCCAGTCTGCACTTCAGCTGATGCCATAATGAGGGTATCTGTAATGAAGCAAAAAGCAGAACATTATTCTCCTCTAAACTCAACTTTTTAGCAGTCAGATGTTTATTGTTGCCTTTTTTAAGACCTAAATATCTAAAGGAAAAATCTAATTCTGCGTGGGTGTCGGATCTATTTCTTTGAAACTTTTTTGGAAGGTCTGTTTCCTTACTGCTCAGTCCTTACTAGGGTTTTACAGGAATGTTCCTTAGTAAAAGAGCATTTACTCATCAACTCTGAATAGAAATAACATTTCCTGGAATCTTTTCTAACTGGCATGTAAACGAGGGTCAGTCGCTTTCTGCCTCGAGTTCGGCAGATTTTATTCCCTGTTTTGTCCCAGGGAGCTGCCAGATTCGTATGCCATAATACCAGTAATGCAATTAGGTTTGCTGCACATTGTCTGGTTGACTTCTCAGTTAAGAGTTTCTTTCCCTGTGGGAATAAGACTAGACAGACTGCCATTTGCTATTACTAATTCTGCTTAGCATTATCACTGGAGCTTTTTTTGTAATTAGCTATCTTAGTTGGCTCTTAAATTTTAATAGCCAATTGAAGCTACGTTTTCGCCAAGTTCCATATCTAAATTGCATTCAGTCCATTAACAAAGTTGGTTAAAAGGCTATTAAAAGCCAATATATGGTGGTTCGCACTTTCATCTTTGCGGCAGTAGCAATGCTGGCTTCCTCCGAGTTCTCTAAAGGAACTTACTCTCCTCAAAGTTACACATAAACTGGACACAACTTCTGAGCGGCAAGAAATTAATGACAAGATTTTTAGCATGCTAACATATTTCAAAAATGTCACTGCCTACCCCCTTTGCCTTTTGGTGAGGGTTCTTCCAGGGTTTGGTTTCATTTGGTTGATGGCGATGAAGGAAGGAAGAAAGACATTTAATATTGTAACTTAAAATTGATGGTTTTTGAAAAGTGAATAATTGAAATGATGTTTTTCTCCATTTTAGCTTATCAAAATTATTAGCAAAACCATCTGAGGCACCTTCTGGTAGAATTATAGTCTCGCTGGGTTTAGTTTGTAAAACATTCTGCCAGACATTTAAAAAAAAAAAAATTGTAGTGGAGCCAACACATAGGCTCAGAGCACTCTTTGCCTAATTGATAGTCCTCGTTATTATTATGGTTAAAGTCAGAAGACCATTTCTAACACTCCCCCACCCTTGGCAAATTAGTTTACCATGATTTTAATTTCTACATTGAGTCCCCCTTCCTCCAAATTGGAACGTTAGTTCAGTTTTCCATTTTCAAAGGTACTTAATTTCAAAAATTTTTACAATTTGTAATGCAGGCTGTCAAAAGAAATTAGACTGGTACAGGGTGCATTCAGTGTACATTTATCTCTGAATCGTTAGTATCCTGGGAATGAAGACGTGGAGAGAAACTAGTGGGCAAATACATCCTGTCACCTTGACTCAGTCCAGTGCAACTGAAACAGCCCTCCACCCCCACCCTGCCCCATTTTGCCAGTGTCCTATTTTGAAAAGAATAGTTTTTCTGTTTCAAAAATCTACAGATTTTTTAAGACTCCAAATGATGGCTTTTTCTATTGCCCCATTCAGAAGCTATTAGAAATTGTATTTAATCTTAAATTTTTCAAAGTCACAAGAGGTTCAAATACTTTCCATCTCCCTCTATTTGACCATTCTTCCATAGCTAGCTTTCTCTATCACCCCCAGAACTGTGATCAGGCTTTGTCTTTGATGATGTTATCTTCCCTACTGAAAGCCACCTGGCAGACAAAATCTGGGTGGAGGTAATTCTGCTAAAATTACGTTTCCATTTTAGGAGTCCATATTCACATGGGATTTTTCATACAAGTTTACTTTTTCAGTCTTTGGCTAGATGGCTGAGGCAACATCAATGAAAGTATAAGAGCTTCACATGTCTTAGCAAAGCAACAGCTGGATGGTCTCTGATGATTTTTGTTCTATACCAGAAGCTGATAGAAAAGGACAAGAGAGGTCATTTTATCCATGTTAAGATTATAATGCAGTAAAATTAATATGTTATTGTATATGTAACTAATTGAGCTTTAATAAAAATAAAACTGGCTTTAAAAATCATGTCACAAAACTCTCTAAGAGATGAGTTTGATGGCTTCTCCTATGGAAGACAAAGCAAGAACAGCCCTGCTGTGTGTTTTTTGTTTTGTTTTGTTTTGTTTTTTGAGATGGAGTCTCTGTCGCCCAGGCTGGAGTGCAGTGGTGTGATCTTTTGGGTGCTAACTTTCCCATGCTCCTGAATTGCACATGTGGAATGCAATGTTCCTGGTAGGCATCTCATACAACCCCTAGAGAAGGAAAGGAGAGGGGCCTTCAGGAACCTGGTAGAAGCCTGGGCAGAGTTGGCTGACGTCACTTGGTCTGGAATGAGAGAGGATTTGACATTGCACACAGTACAGGAGGCACCTCACGTGTTACCATGTGATTCACTTAAGGTCTTTTCTCTTGGACTGGTCTATTTCCTTAGAGAAGGTTCTATCTGTTGCCCAGAGGGCTGAATTTTGAAGACCATAGTTAAGAGAGCACCATCCAATTCATCAGCTTTGCCTTTTAGGGATTATGCTTTTGGTGTCTGGTCTAAGAATTTGGCCTAGCCCTAGATTCTGAAGATTTTTCAATTTTCCCTGAAAGTTCTAGAGTTTTATGTTCTACATCTAAGGCTTTGATCTATTTTGAGGGTTTTTTTATATCTATATAAGCTGTGAGTTTCGAGTCAAGATTCTGCTTTTTGCCTATGGATGTCCAATTGTTTCAGAACAATTTTATTATTACTATTATTTTATTTTTTCCAAGACTGAGTCTCGCTCTGTTGCCCAGGCTGGAGTGCAATGGCGCAATCTCAGCCCACTGCAACCTCCGCCTCCCGGGTTCAAGCAATTCTCCTGCCTCAGCCTCCCAAGTAGCTGGGATTACAGGCATGCGCCACTAGGCCCGGCTAATTTTTGTATTTTTAGTAGAGACAGGGTTTCACCATGTTGGCCAGGCTGGTCTCAAACTCCTGACCTCGTGATCCATCCACTTTGACCTCCCAAAGTTCTGGGATTACAGGCGTGAGCCACCGCGCCTGGCCTCAGAACAATTTTTTGAAGAGACTTTTCTTCCTCTTCTGAATTGATTTTGCACCATCAGAAAAAATTAGACATATTTGTAGATGAGTCTATTTGTGGATTTTCTATTCAGCTAGCTCTATGTCCACTGATCTGCCAGTATCACACTGTTTTGATTACTGTAGCTATATAGTGAGCTTTGGTATTAGATTCCTCCCGCTTGGTCATTTTTAAAGATTGGTTTAGCTATTCGAGAACTTTTGCCTTTCTATACAAATTTTAGAATGAAATTGAGGTCTACAAAAAATGGTATTGAAACTACAGACAATTTTGGGAGAACTGACATCTTTATTGTGTTAAATCTTTCGATCTATGAACACAATACTTTGTTGTTGTTGTTGTTGTTGTTTAGGTCTTTGAGTTTCAATATACAATCCTGTACTTAGTTTGTTAAGTGTATACCTAAGAATTTAACTTTTTTCTGAAGCAGTTGTAAATGGTTTTGTGTTTTTTTTTTGGTGGGGGGGGAGGGGTTGAAGTCTTGCTCTGTTGTCCAGGCTGGAGTGCAGTGGTGTGATCTCAGCTCACTGCCACCTCCACCTCCCAGGTTCAAGCAATTGTCCTGCCTCAGCCTCCAGAGTTGCTGGGATTACAGGCACCCGCCACCACGCCCGACTAATTTTTGTATTTTTGGTAGAGATGGGGTTTCACCACGTTGGCCAGGCTGGTCTCCAACTCCTGACCTCAGGTGATCCGCCCACCTCGGCCTCCTCAAGTGCCGGGATTACATGTGTGAGCCACCGTGCCTGGCAGGTATTGTTTTTAATTTCAGTTTCCACAGATTCATTGTTAGTGTAAAGAAATACAATTTTTGAGTTTTGTGTTTTGCTGTCACATTGACGAATTTACTATTTATCAATTTTAAAACTTAAGTATTGAGTTCTTATTATGATAGATGAGATTTTAGCTCTCTTGTACTCTTCCCCTTCCCCTATCCTTTCGTACAATTAGGTATTTTTAGATAAATTGGTAGTCAGGGTTTACATTGTTTCAACTAGGTAGATATTACTTATTTCAGTGTATTGTGATGTCGTTTCCTTTTTTGGTAAAACTTTTTGCTTCTGTTGGAATTAAAAATTGCCTCATTAATCTTTTTCTAAGTTTTTTACATATTTTTGACTATTTACAGTTATTCCATCAGATCTATTATAACACCCACCAGTAGTTTTTTATTTCACATGTTCAATCATATCAGAAAATTCATCAATTTGTTTTTAAATTGGATGCCTCCCTTCTGGAGTGTTTCTTTTTGTTCCACCTGATATCAAGTTGTCTTTGGGATCCTGTGCAGAGCTTCACCTAAAGCTTCTCCTCACCATAATTTTGGACTTCTCTTTACCACTTTGCTGTATTGTATCTCCCGTTCCTGATTTCTGTAGCTTCTTTCCTGATTTTGTCTCTTGCTTTGCACTAGTACATCCTGCAGAAGCTTCTTTAAAAAGATGTATGGGAAGCTATTATTTTTAATCCTTGCATGTCGGAAAATATCTGAGTTACCTTCACATCTGTTAGATAGTTTGGCTAGGTGTAGCAGCCTGGTTTGAAAATTATTTTCCTTCAGATTTTAAAAAGATGTTGCACCGCTCATTGTGTTTTAGCATTTAATGTTGCCTAGGGGGAAGCTTAGTGCATTCTGATGCCCTTTCCACTTTGAAACTCTTGGGATCTTCTCTTTGTCCTTCTGTTGTAACATTTCATGGCCATGCACCTTCATGAGGCTTCCTGTCATTTATTGTGTCGGTAACTCAATTATTTGTCAAATATTGAATGCTTACTTTGGCACTATTCTGCACTCCAGAGATACTGCAGTGAATAAGACAAGGTTTTCACCTTATGGAGCTTATAACCTGGTAGGGGAAAAAAGATAAGAAATATATAAATACAATAATTTCAGTCAGTGACAAATACGATGAATATAAAACAGAAAAGGGAAATTGAGGAATGTTTTTTGGACTGTAGGTGCTATGTTAGAGTGACCAGGGAAGATCTCTCTGAGGAGGCGATGTGAGTGCTGAGGCCTAGAGGTGAGAAAGAAGAAGCTCCTGGGGAAGACAGAGGATGGAGGCAGAAGCGGGTGGAAAGGACCTGTGGTTGGCGTGTGGGAGGAACAGAGAGCACCGTGTGCCTGGAGTGGGTGAGGAAGGAGTGCCAGGCAGGAAGTCTGAGAGTCCAGCAGAAGCCATATCACGCGGGGCTACCGAAAGGAGTTTGGATTTTATCCTATTTGAAATGAAAAGCCCTTGGAAAGTGACACGCGCAGGGGTGAGAGGCTCTGCTTGACACGGCTCCGGGAGGACAGACTGGAGAGGAATACAAGTTGTAGCAGGGTGACCACAGAGGAGGCTGTTTCAGACTTTCCTGTGATGGGTTTTGACTCAGTGGCCCTTTCAGACCAGCACACTGTGCTTTTCAGTTCTGGGAAGTATTCTTGTATTACTTCTTTGATGATTTTCTCCCCTCCAGCTTCTCTGTTCTGTGTTCCCAGAACTCTCAGCAATTATTTGTTGCACTTCTCTCCTGTTTTTTTTCTCTTTGTTTTTTCATTCTATTTTTTTTGAGCTGTTTTCGTTTTATCCTTCAGCATTTTTAGAGATGTTTTAATAAGATTTTGGAGGGTTAGGCCTTGCTGAGTGGAGAAGGAAGGCTAGGGTCCAAGTGAGCCCCCTTATTTTCAACCCTGTGCTCTGTCCCCAGCTCCCAGAGGAACCTGGAGGGCCATGTCACTCAGGAGAGCCCTCCAAGGGCTGCTTGTGCTCTGTTAGGTCAGTTATTCCTCTTCCATCCTCTCCTCTTCTCAAAAATATATTTATTTAATGTGTTTACTTATCGATCACAATGCACTTACCTAACATATTTATTGGGTTTTCACACTCTGCCAGGCACTGAGTTAACGTTGCTAGATGAAAAGACCGGCAGAACTATTTGCCTGCTAATTTGTTTCCGTTTTCTTCAAAGGAAAATACTTCCTTAAGGGATGCTCACAGCTCTCTTGAGCTTTGAGCATGTCAGGAGGATAGTTAACGCAGTTCAGAAGAACCCAAGTGTCCAAGCATTGGCCTGTTGCGCACTAGGGATAGCTGGAGTGTGCTGGTGTGTGATGGCCAAAACACTGGTAGGGATTTCTGAGTCATCACGGAAAATGTAAAGAATGTCAGAGACCTGAAATGGGAAAATATTCTACTTGTTTTCAAGCATCAATGCCCTATAATCTGCGTTTACGAATTTAAATATATGATGCTAACCTAAATGTTTCCTTCTTCTTCTTTGTTTTTTTTAAGTTTTCTGTCTTTCTTCCTCCTTCCTTCTCTCCCTTAGGAGAGAATAAAAAGAGTGAAAGTTTATTTACTTTGCTAGTACTTAGGAGGAATAAAAGGAGTGAAAGTTTATTTTTAACAAGACCAAAGGGCCTGGAAAAAGTGCAGAATCTTGGCATGGTAGCCTCAGGCGGAGTTGTAGCTAGGACGCAGTCATCCAGAGGAGTCACCACTCTGCTGTGGGCGCTCAGTCCTTATTTCCACACTTTCATCACATTTCTATGTGAAGACACCTGCATTAGTCTGTTCTCACGCTGCTGATAAAGACATACCCAAGACTGGACTGGGTAATAAGGTTTAATGGACTCGCAGTTCCATGTGGCTGGGGAGGCCTCACAATCACGGAACAAGGCAAAAGACACATCTTACATGGCTCGGACAACAGAGAATGAGAAAGTGAAAGGGATTTTCCCTTGTAAAACCATCAGATCTCATGGGACTTATTCACTACCACAAGAGCAGTACGGGAGAAACTGCCCCCATGATTCAATTATCTCCCACTGGGTCCCTCCTACAACATGTAGGAATTATGGGAGCTACAATTCCAGATGAGATTTGGGTGGAGACACAGCCAAACCATATCAACATTGAAGTCAGGCTCATCATGCTTGCAGATGAAATGGTTGGTACTTTGCATGATATCAAGAGTCAGAAGATTCTGGAGGATGTTTCTGTTTCCAAATCGGTCTCCCTCAGCAGCCTGTGAACCTCTTGTCTCTTGATCTTTTTAGCCTCTGTACCAAGCACAGTGTCTGGCTCCTACATGTGGTTGTGCAGGAGAAATATTTGTTGAATAAATGAATGAATGGTTGGGAAATGAGGAAAACTAGAAAATGAAATCAATCTGCCAAACATTTATATTAAGAAAAAAGAATAGCAATTACCCAAGAATAGGCTGAAGGAGACGTGGCCTAGCAGCAGATCGCGTGGGAAAGAGCAGCAGGCTTGTGTTGATCGCCGCTTCCTAGGCTGAGTGGAAGCTGCTTAGCCCATGCGCTCTCTCTGCACCCAGTGGACCTCATCTTGGTGCCCTCATTTGTATGGACCTGGAAGAATTGAGGTGGCTCCATATGAGGGCAGGCAGCATGGAGAATGGTTAAGCAACCCGTTACACAAGGAGATGGGAAAACTGGGACATCTAGAGAGGCACACAGAGGTGGTCATGGGGAATGTGGTGGAGAAGGCCAGTGTCTACAGATATTCAAAAGTTTGTCATGGGGGAGAAGAGCACGACTCTTCAGAGTCACTGGAGAAGGTAGAACTAGGCCCAGTGAGGTGCAAGTTAATGGGAGATGTCACAGTACAGAGGTGTCACTGATAGGTATTTAAGTTCAAGTGGAACCAGAAGACCTAAGATGCTGTGAACTCACCTTTGGAAACTTGAAGCAGAGATTGCTGAATGTATTACTGTGGGGACTCTTATATTAGAACCTACATCTTTTAATAGTCAAATTATGAAGCACTAATATTAACTGTCTTTTATGGGGAGCTTGCTATGTTCCAGGCACTGTGCTATTTTATGCACATTGTGTCATTTAATCTCCATTAGCAACCCTGTGACAGGAGTGCTAGGATTTTCTAGGAATCTGATGCTTAAAGAGGTCAAGTGACTTGCCTGAAGTCATAGCTAGTAAGTTGTACAGTAGTATCTGAGCCCACACTCGCATGGCTCCAGAGCCACCCTCTTCACAGCTATACCTGTGGCCATAATATCTGACTTGATACCATGTACAGCCATTGCAGCGTGGCCCTTGTAACTCCAAAATATTTTCTACCCTGATTGTATTAGTGTGAGCTAAGTCCTACTGCAATAACAAACAATTCCAAAATCTGTGGCTTAAAAATCACAAGGCTGATACTATCATGAAGAATACATATCATTATACACTTGTCCAAACCCATCAAAATGTACAGTGCTGACAGTGAACCCTAACGTACACTGTGGACCTCGAGTGATAATGATGTGTCAGTGAAGTTTGTCAGTTGTAACAAATGCACCACTCTGATAGGGGAAGTGGATAATGGCGGGGGACAGGGAGGCTACGCACATGTGGGGGCAGGAGGCAAGGGGCAGGCACCTCTCTCTTAATTTTGCTGTGAACCTAAAACTGCCCTAAAAGAAAAAATAACATCTTCGGGGAAAAAAATCACAAGGATTTGTCTCTTTTCCATGTCCCATGACCTAGGCTGCTCTGTTCCCAGAGGAGGTATATGTGGTGACCAACGTGAGTGGCTTCCACACCTATGCAATAAGACGTTAAAGTAATAAGTTATTGGTGTCAGATCATGGCCTAAATGGCATGCATGTTAAGTAATAAGATTTGAATTCCCTTGTGGCTCATGGAAAGATATCTTCTTGTTTTATAATTACCCATGGACTTTCTCATTTTGTAGCTCTCTTGGGTATAATAAGCCTTGGTGGTAGAAGGGTGAGCTATGCTATCACTGCTGCCACAGTCAACTGAGATATAGGAACTTTGGGGTGCACTCCATGCCTCTCTTCTGGCGTCTGGCATTTGGTATAGGAACATAGGCGGGCATCCATCAAGCATTTTCTGTCTATAGCAGAGGGGATAAGTCCTGTGTCTACACAGTTTCAGATTCTCTCTCTTTCCCTTTCTCCGCTCTTACTCATAACATAATTCTCCATCCTTGTTTGCAAAATTAGGCACCAAATTCAGAAATAAACCAATGTGCAAAAGGGCAGAGGTTCTTACCTTGACTGATAGATCCCTGCCATTTTCAGAACATAGATATGGTGGATAAAGTGGCAGGAACTACTGATGGGGCAGTAATTGAGGTCAGTTAGGAGACATTCCAGATGGCAGAAGTTGTGTTCTATGTATGTGAAGCTTAGGGGGACTTTTTTCTTCACTTTTTTTCTTACTGCAGGATACAGGAATAACTCTAAAATTAATGATGTTTCAAAGGTAGGAAGTTGTAATTTCAAGTCAGTAAAATGTTGCCATCGTTCATCTCTTGTATATGCCCCTCCCCACCAGCCGGAAGGATTAGAGTTGGCAAGGGTGCATGATTGACAGTGATGCCCATCCCTCCGAACACAAAATAAGGAACATGGCCAGAGCTGCTTCAAGTGGAACCTCACGAATTTCTCTTACTCTTTGATTTCTTGAATTTTGCTAAAGTTAGGGTTGCCAAATAAAATACAGAACATTGTCTTAGTTGATTTCTGCTGCAAAATACCTTACACTGGGTAGTTTATAAATAATAGAAATGTATTTCTCACAATGATGGAGACTGGGAAGTTCAAGACCAAGGTGCCAGCAGATTTGGTGTCTGGTGAGGACTCATCCTCTGCTTCTGAGACATCCTCCTCCCTGGTGTGCTCACATGGCACGCGGCAAATATGTTGTCCTCACGTGGCAGAAGGGCAAAAGGGCCAGGCAGCTCTCGAAAGCCTCTTTATAAGGGCATGTAATTCCATTCACAAGAGCTGTGCCCTCTTGTCTCAATCACTTCCCAAAAGGCCCCTCCTCTTGATAACGCCACAATGGGGATTAAGTTTCAACATGAATTTTGGAGGGGACGCAAACATTCAAACCATAGCAGATGCCTGGCTAAATCTGAATTTCAGATAAACAACGAAGAATTTTTTAGTGTAAATATGTCCCCAATATTGCCTAGGACATCCTTATACTAAAACCAGTGTTCATTATTCATCCGAAATTCAGATTTAACTGGGCGTCTTATATTTCTGCTTGCCAAGCCCCACCTAAAATGCAACTGCTTCTAACTATCAAATGATAGGAGACAGAGCTCAGGAAAGTGCACGCCAAACAGCTACACGGTTGCAATGTCTCAGATTGCATTCCCGAACACGTAATTTGGGAATCAGTAAGGTGCACAACAGAATGCTAAAGACAAATGCCTTTCATCTGCTTCCAAGAAAGGCATGATTGTGCGTCTTGGGTTACTAGAAATCCTCTTCATTACCCTCCACAAGGAAAGAACCGCAGCAGCGAACACACTCCAAGGTAACAATTAGCCCTCAACTGTAGCTGGATGGAGGTAGATAGGGGTAAGACTAATCTGCTCCATGAAGCAAGAGAGTAATGCCAAAACCCAAGGCAGAGCCTTTTCTGTGCACGAGCCAGTAGCCTAACCATGGGAGGCAAAACAGAATGCTTCCAAAGAGGTGGTTTCATTCAACTCTTTGGCCATTAAAAGCTTGTCCTTGTGTTTATGGGGGCAACAGAGAAGAAATGGGAGTGAAAATCGTACGTTTGAATTGGTTGGTCCATCATTTCTCTCCGCACTGTGTTCGGCTATGCAAAGAGACAGACCTGGACTGTTTCATCGAATCATTTGACACATTTTTGAGCCACTAGGTTCTCGGTGAGTAATGAATCCTCCCCTCTTGGGACCACAGTCTGGGAGCATTTGATGTATCACAGTATTTTGTATTCATTTGTAGAGAGGGTTTACTGGGCTAGGCACTGAAGTAGGAGCTTTTTTGTTCCCGGGTCTCATTGACTCCTCACAGCCACCTGAGAGGTTTATCCTGTTTGATAGATGTGGCCTCTAATGCTTACTTCTCAGGCAACATGGATACTCGTTATCCTTTCCACGAACTTAGAGATGCCCTGAGCACTCAGCATCCACTTAGCACAGCCCCCAAACACATAGATCCAGGCCCCATCTCTCACTTTGAGATGAGAAAACTGAGGCTCATTGAGATTAAGTGAAATATCCAAAGTCACAGTTGTTGTGACGACATTGATTTGCAGATACATCTCACCTAAGGTCATCTGGTGTCTTAAATTGGGTCCCCAGGAAATAGACCCTGAAATGGAAAGGACTCTCGTGTTGAAGTTTGCTGAGGAGTGCCTTGAGATTCACAGCTGTAGACAGCCGTGTGCTGCTGAATGAGTTAACAATCCTCTGGCATGGGGGTTGGGGGATCTTGATTTGTGGAGTTCGACAGTTTTAGTGTAAATTCTCCCACCATGGCCTATTTCTAAGCTACCAACTTGATGTCACTGAATGTGGCACTGGGAAGAGGTGCACGGAATCGGCTCTCACCAGCTGGTGCCATCAGTACCAGCGCACCCCTGCCTATGGGGGGGTGAGGGAAGCTGGGCTGTGCAGAGGGAGAAATTAAATCATAGGGTAGTCACAAGAAAGGCCTCGGCCAATCCCAGAAAGCTTGAACTGGGATGGTCCTTCAGCAAAGTCCCAAATTGAGGCACAGGGTAGAACCTTTGTGCCCCCTTTCCCCATATGGACTGTTACTAGATATGGGTTGCCCCAAGTTAAAGCAGCTCCCTTCCACCAAGGGCAGTTCTTGAGCAACTCTCATCAGTCAGTGCCCATGTTCCCAACAGCTGGAGGAAGACACTTCAGTCCTGCAGGGGCATCGGGGTGATACATCACTGCATCTTGGTCTCCTGGCAAGCCAGCAGTAGGTCTGGAATCCAACCAGGTCCTTCTGAGCGAGTCCAAGACTGCTCTTCTCACTACACATGCAGCTCCCGTAGATGTTCGAGTCATTGCCAGGCATGTCACGGACGTCTCCAGTGTGAAGCCACCATAGGACCGTGTATGCCTAGATCGGGGACTGGTAAGATTCCAGGATTTGTCCTGAGAATCAGGGGTCTCTGCAGGTCCTCCCTATCTTTCAAGGTCTGGAAGGAATACTTAACCCACATAACATCTACCCTGTTTAAAGTGAGGGTGGGTGGTGCTCTCCTTCCTCTAAATCCCCATAGCACCATACATGCAGCCCTCTGAAATGCCAATCTAACATCGCAGTCATGTCTCCACTTCTTACTCTCCCTAAGCAAGAAACACTTTGCTTCTGTTTCCCCTTTGTATTCCCCATGATTTTTTGGCACCTAGAAGGCACTTGGTAAACATTGGGAGAGAGAGAGATGGATGAACCAGTGATTAAATAAATGCTCAATAAAGATCTGGTGACTAGATCTCCAGTTCAGTTCATACAGTTCAGGCTTTTGGATGCTTTCTGTTGTGTGCTGTTATTTCCTTTGTGAAATCTCGTTTTCCCACCTGGGACCGAGAGTTCATTTGCATGGGGCCTAGGCCTTCCATTTCTTCTGTGATCACAAAGCAGCTAGCCTATCTCACTCATTTTTAAGAGAGACTGGTTGAGTGTGGAACTAGTGCGTTGGCATAATCAATGAATTTGATAAGGAATTTCCCTTTGGTAATTGACTTTTTGGAAGAGTTTGGAAGAGTTCCAGTTGTTATATTTCCCTTTTCTTTGGGGAAATGGAAATACAGGAAATCTAGAAATCAAGAAAACAATGCAGTTACTACAGATTTAGAAATTCCAGGGCCAGGCACGGTGGCTCACGCCTGTAATCCGAGCACTTTGGGAGGCCGAGACAGGCGGATTGCCTGAGCTCAGGAGTTGGAGACCGGCCTGGGCAACACGGTGAAACCCAGTCTCTACTAAAATACAAAAAATTAGCTGGGCATGGCAGCATGCGCCTATAGTCCCAGCTACTCAGGAGGCTGAGGCAGGAGAATTGCTTGAATCCGGGAGGCAGAGGTTGCAGTGAGCCGAGATTGTGCCACTGCACTCCAGCCTGGGCGACAGAGCGAGACTCTGTCTCAAAAAAAAAAAAAAAAAAAAAAAGACATTCCAGCGAATGGAAAGTGCTAGATGATAGTTGCATTACACATTATGTGAGTGGGCACCACAAATAAGCAGCACTTCTGGAAGACCTCAAGAGGGCAAAGTCACTCCCCTCCCCCATAGTTACAGACACTTCCTCTCCTGAGAGGGCAGGTGGAATCGTGGGGATGCCCTTGTTTCTGTGACCAGCATCCTGGCAATGCCTGTGATGTAGACAACTCAGCCTCCAGTCTGCAATTACTCCTTTTTGATGAAGTGGCCCTTATTCCTGGGCTTTCTTCCCAGGCCATGCAACAACTGTCACTGGTCTAGTCAGCCCTCTGCCTGCGTAAATGACCCAAGAGCCTCCCCCAGTGTTCCCTAGTTGTGTGTGTTTGCAGCCACACAAACACGCATTCAGGGAGACGGGACGGTGGAATTCAAGCCCTCTGATGGATTTTGCATCTACCATTTTTTTCTGTGATAGTCAGAGTCACTTCCTATGGCCTTTGATCCTTCTTTTGCCAGGTTTTTCCAGGAGCTTCTCTGCTCCCAGAAGTCCTTTAACTCCCATTCATCTCTCTAGAAGCCTCTGATACCCTGGCATATATGTTCTTTCTAATATTGCCTGTCTTCCAAAACAAAGATACAATAAACTTAGCGACATTGATTCACACACATACCTTAAGGGGAAAAAGGAGGAAAATTCAAGAAGGTCCTCTATTTATTGCACAGAAAACCAACTAGAAATAAGGGACTTGCCACTCACAGTTCATATCGATGTGATGCATCTTAAAGACACGACTTGTGGTTTTCAAATGAGCTGCTCTCTCTATCAAGCCTTGCAGGTGGCACAATCTCTGCCCCCAAATCCCTTTCTCCTTTTTTCCATTTAACTAATTCCTACTAATTCCTTAAGAGTCTGGTATCACTTCCTCTGGGAAGCCTTACCCAATCCTGTCACTCTGGGTGAGGAGTCTCTCCTATCTGCTCCCTCTTTTACAACTGTTTTTATAATGATATATGTTATAGTGCCCCGACAAACTCATGGAAATACTGGAACAATAATTGTCTGCTGACTTACTCTTTGATGCTCAATGGCTAGAACATAGTGGACACTCAACAAATGATTTTTTTTTTGGGGGGGTACAAATGAATTACAAAATGATTTTAAAAGAACTGTATCACTTTAAAATGGGCTTGATCTTTGAATGATAAAGCACCCATATTTGCAGAGTTGGGGTGGCATAGATTAGATACCAAGCAAAAGAACAAGAGACAATGGAGGAAGTGATTTTCACTCACCTTATTTCAAAATCTGACTGAACAGACGGAAGTCAACAAAATGTAATTCATTCAAATAGCATACTATGTATGCTTCCAAACCTAATGGATGAAATTTATATCTTTTCTATCTTCATAATGAAAATTCAAGGACAAAGTAAAAAACAATGATTAGTCACATTATTTAAGTATGAAATGAACACAAAGACTCAAGTTTATATGATGTTTTCATGCTGTTTTCACAGATTGCTTCATATGTAGTCATGTGATAGGGGTGGGGGCATAAAGAATTTTGGTATTTTCTCTGCAACTAGAGGAGGCCTGAGGTCTGATGTATTTGAGCTGCTCTGAGAGGTGCCTCGCTTCCTATCCAGCCCCGAGGGTTAGCCGCTCTGAGGAGTAATGTATGCTTTTTCATATCTCCCCAGTAATTAGGCAATTTTTATGTACGAGATGGTTTATAGCACACACACCTACATCATTCTGACCTTTCTTCTGTTTACCTGCAGCGTGTGGTATTTTAGGAAGTGACTTTTCTTGGTGAGTGACAGTGTCACACTGCTTGCCGGCTTCCGTGGAAAGCAGGGCAGCCAGCCACCCTGGTTGCCCTCAGGAGCAGGAACTGTAGACCTCACAAAGGCGCCTCAATCTGCAGTCCCCAGCTTGGAAATGCCAGTCTTTCTCTGTGATGCCCTGTGTGGTTCTGGGGTTTTGTTTTCAATAGTTCACAGCATGTAATTTTGAGAGCCGAAGTGGACATTGTAGAACTATCGTTTCCTCCTTGAGGTGAGGGTTCTGGACTGGGGGCTTACATACCAGTATTAGAGAGGTGGCATGCGGGTGGGGGAGGCTCCTCTGTACATGAAGGCAGGTGCTCAATGCACTGAAGGAGGAGAAGCTTGTGACTAGTATGCTGGTTTAGAAATGGGCTCTTGGTCCCCATTGTCTATCTAGGTTCAGAATCTTGCTCCTTTCTTAAAAAGGATTTTGCAAACGTTTTTAATGGAAAGTGCTTTGTTCCTTTCCCTGGCACTGACCGTATACAAGGTGTGGCTTTTAATGAATGATCAGACTTTTAAAAACAAACATTCCACATTGCTTGCATCTTAATCAGTATGTGGTCTGTCAAAGTAAACAGAGTCTCCTATTGCTCCCTCACTCTCAATTCAAACCGTGGGATGTTTTAGGCTCCTCTGGCAGGCCTTGTGCTACAAGAATCTGAAGTGAAAATGAGCATGTTGAGATGAGAGTGAATAAGTTGGCTGAGTCCTCAAGGCAGAGGTGGTGACAGAATCAGCTTAATAATCTCAATGAATGGAGGGCAAGTGCCACCCACAGACATAGTCCTTGGTCTTCCAGCACCAGGCACCCTGCTCAGAGTAGCTGAAGATGGAGGTTCCCTTCCCCTGGGCAGAGGTGAGGAAGGGGGCAGACTGAGATGTACCCTCTTCCTACAAGAGCACATTTCTTTGAACACGCTCAGTGCAGTGGCCATCATCAACTTTGAGGGTACATTTAATGTTGCAAATGCTTCCAAATTCTTTAGAGCCAAATTTAGCAACAAAATGGATAGTCGTGCTAAGGAATATAGCACCTGGGATAAAAACAATGTATTCCTGTAAAAACAAAAGCATTATATGGCTTACAAATGGACTCCAGTGGCAATTCTAAAATAAGAATCCAAATGAGGTTGGAGCAATGACAGCCAATTTCCCCAGAGGATATCATGAAAGCTTCCACGGAAGCACAGAAGTGAACGTATTTGCCAAACAATTGGACAGCACACAAGCATGAAAACTATGGATACCGAGTCAAGGCTGGGGACTTGAGGTTAGTCCACACTCTGCTATATACCCTTGGCACATGGGTCCTGGAAAACCTCTTCCTTTCCTGCAGTAGGCAGCATTTGTTTACTGCTCTAACTGGAATGTCTTAGCCTCCCTCTTCAACAGGTTGACTTCTAGGCATCCTTCAGGACTCAACTTGACTTTCATTTCCTTTCACTTCCTCAATCCCCAGAGAGTTACTGTCTTCTGTGCTCCATCTTGCATGTGTATAAATCTCTATAATGTTGACTTTCCCACTGCATTATTATAATTTTTTGCTTTTTGGTTTTCCCCATCCATGCCCCCATGTTGTGAACATCTTGAAGGCAGGTGTTGCTGTATTCATGTCTGTATTTCCAATGCTTGGCATATAGTAGATGTGCAGTAACATGCTTCATGATCCAATTTTGATGAATCTAGTGTCCTCATTTGTTTCTTGTCCTTTTAAACTCACAGGGTCAGGAAAAATGAGAGAAAAGATGTGAGAATTCTGTGATCGTCTGTGTGGTTGCTGCATGCACACACAAATAATGCTGCGATTTCTGTACACTGATAACTGTGTGGACATATCTCATGGGCCATGTTTCTTGAACATTAGTGTGTGGCTGGCACTGAGGGAGTGCCTCAGATCTGTAGAGCTGGTTCCCTTAATGAAATCCACTTCTAGATCCATTGTATAGCTCAACCCTGCCAGAAATACTCCTGTTTAAGTATGATATGTAACAAGTATTATTTGAAAGTCAATTACCAAAAGGACACCACTGCAGAATAAAAAGGAACTAACTGTGGAAAATTAGAAAGCTACTCAGAGCAGTCTTTAGTCTCAATTAGCCACATTTTCCTGTCTTCTAGCAGCTGAACTCAGAGTGTCATTTGAGTAGGAGCTTGGGCCTGGCAGCTCACGGCACTCTGTTGCTTCTGAGGTCCCCAATTATGCAATAATGGTAATCACTGATGGAGGGCTTGGTTGAGAAATGCCTGTTTCCTCATGTCTAGAGCTCAGTAATCATAGGGGAGGAGTATGTCAGCACAGGATTCGTTGATTTCAAATTATTGTTTGAGAAGGAGCTAAGTGAGATCAGGCTTTTACAGACTGGATTGCGGAGGCTGAGGCTTGGGGATGCCACCTTCAGAGGGTGCTACAGGCGGACAGCCCTGACCACTCTCTGAAAGATCTGCTCAAAGCCTGCACTCTGTCCTCCATCCCCAAAAGTTCGAGGGCCATTTGAGACAGAGCAGAAACCTACTTCTGGCATAGCCCACTTGCCACTCAAAATAACTAGTTCTTATCACAGAGGGCTGGGAAGTAAGGATATGGAATGGGACAGGCTGGTTTCCCATTTCTCACACCCAGTAGGGCTTCCAGTCTTTCATCAAATCTGGTCATTAGCAGAGGCCTCCTGAGTTCTCTTTAGATGCCTTTGCCATTTCTGAAATAGCAAGGGCAGTCATAGATTGCAAAAATGGCCACACATTCTTCCCCTCCTATTAAGGGGTGGAGCCTGTTTCTCTACTTCTTGAAGCTGGGTTGGCCATGTGATGTGTTTTGGCCAATGGGACATATTTGCAAAATGATACAAGCAGAAGCTTGAATAGTGCTTGTACACTGGGGTTTGCTTTATCTTTTTGCACTTGGAAACACTGCAGCTGCCACCACATGAACAAGCTTGAATTGATCTGCTGGACGTTGAGAGAGACACATAGCCCAGGTACCCTGTAACCCCAGCTACAGCCAGATAACCATACAACATGCGAGTGAGGTCATTGATTGCCAACTTGAGCAGGAGTGAGCCCAGCCAAGACCAGCAGAAGAACCTCATAGTTGATCAAGATGATCCCAAATTGCCAAACTACAGAGTCATGAGTTAAATAAAAGATTGCTGTTTTAAGTCACTAATTTTGGTGGGCTTGTTATGTAGCAAAAACTGATACATGACTATTATGTTACCATCATGCCAGGTACTGTCCTAAACACCACACGTATGAACTCATTTCATCCTCTCAAAACCTTATGAAGGAGGTACTATTTTCATCCCCATTTTGCAGATGAGGAAGCTGAGATTGAGTGACTTGCACAAGGTTACAAGGCTTGTGTGGGGAACAGGGGCCACACCTGGCAGCCGGGCTATGAAGTCTACACTCCTAACCATTGCACCCACTGCTGCTGTCAGGCAGGTCTGAGAATGTCTCAGCTCTACCCAGACCCTACAGTAGCCACCCCAGTGCCTCAGGAAGCACGCTACACTCCTTGGCATGGGATATAAGGCCTTTCATGATTTCATTTATTCAACAAAGCTTTTACTGAGGTCTACTACATGCAGGCACTGGGGATGTGGCAAAGGAGAAAGCACACAAAAATCCCTGCCCTCATGGATTTTACAGTCTTTGGGGGCAGAAAGAGACAACAAGTAAATAAGCAAAATAATCAGTTTGTTAGGAGGGTGGCTGGAAGGAAGGGCAGATGGACAGTGGCTCGGGGACAGAAGCTCTGTGCCTTGCCTATAGGTCAGACAGAATGGGGGTGTGGCAGAGATGCCTGTGATTGTCTGTCCAGCAAGCCTGCCCCTGTGCTGAGCTCAACCATGCCTGCTCGTCCACACATTTACCTGCAGCCAGTAAGGCCACCTGACTGCCATGTAGCTTCATGGCATGAGATGGGATTTCCCCCTCCCCACTGGTTGGTGCACCGCCTCCCATGTTCTCCCAATATACAGAGCCTCTCTACTTCTTGCAGGCATGGCAGAGCCTCTCTACTTCTTGCAGGTATGGCCCTGGGTTCCAGTTCCTTGGGATTTCTTCTGCCTCCCTTTTCTGGCCTGAACCTTTGATAGGTACATGGAGAAAAAGGCACATCATGGAGAGACCACAAGTTTTGGAGCCTCACACCTGGGCTCAAATCTCAGCTGGTTCTTATAAGCTGTGGGTCCCCAGGCAAGAGAGTTCCCCTTTCTGAACCTTAGTGTCTGCCCTTGTAAAGTGAGGGCAATCTCTCTGCCTTGGCAGTGTCGTGAGGCTAAGCCTATCATGAGGCTAATCCGGTACACAGTAGGTGCTCATAAATGGGAGGTCTCTCTCTCCTGGACTCGATTCCCCATTCCACTCTCTCAGATCCTTGGTTTCCCCATCTCTGCACTACAGATGGTAGGAGTTGTGAGTATTAAATGAGTGTAACATGTGACCTCTCAACTTTTGCAAGACCCCTTTCTTGTTTTTATCATTGTCGTTCTTGTTAATTACTTATGTAGTTACTCCACTTTCTCTCCACTCTCTTCTCCTTTTCTCCTCCCTCCATATAAGCAACTGTTCCAGTAAGTTTTGTGGAAATTACCGTTTTGATTTACATGAACAGTTGTGTGTGTGTGCCCTCTGTCCAGTGCTTCTAGCTGCTACACAGAGCTCCATGGCGTGTCTCTGCTTCATTTTCCCCATTTATGTTAGTCTGTTCTCAGACTGCTATAAAGAAATACCTGAGACTGGGTAATTCATAAATAAAAGGGGTTTAATTGGTTCATGGTTCTACAGGCTGTACAGGAAGCATGGGGGCTGGGGAAGCCTCGAGAAATTTACAATCATGGTGGGAGGTAAAGGGGAAGGAGGCATGTCTTCACATGGCTGGAGCGGGAGGAAGAGGAAGAGCAAGGGGAGGTGCCACACACTTTTAAACAACCAAATCTCAAGAGAACTCTATCACCAGAACAGCACAAAAGGGAGAAAACCGCCCCTGTTTTAGTCCGTTCTCACACTGTTATAAGGTCATACCCGAGACTGTGTAATTTGTAAAGGAAAGAGGTTCAATTGACTCACAGTTCCACAGGGCTGGGGAGGCCTCAGGAAACTTACAATTATGGTGGAAGGGGAAGTAAAGATGTCCTTCTTCACATGGTGGCAGGCAAGAGAACCTGTGCTGGGGAACTGCCCTTTATAAAACCATCAGCTCTCGTGAGACTTATTCACTCTCATGAGAACAGCATGGGAAAACTCGCCCCCATGATTCAATTACTTCCTACCAAATCCCTCCAATGACATGTGGAGATTATGGCAGCTACAATTTAAGATGAGATTTGGGTAGGGACACAGCCAAACCATATCAGCCCTCATGATCCAGTCATCTCCCACAAGGCCCCACTTTCAACATTGCATTACAATTCAACATGAGATTTGGGTGGGGACACAAATCAAAACTATATCACTGTCATTCCCAGATGGCTACCAAATCCACAAACACCATGTCTTAGAGATTCGAAGATGCACATTGTTGATTATTTTAACATCTCACACTGGGTGGCTTCTTGTGCTTGCTGTCTTCAGTAGTGACAGTTGCTACTGCCTGCCCTGCACAAACATTATCAGTATTAATGTTGGAACTGGCTCAAGGGGCGACTGTACCCTGGAAGCATATCAGGAGGTGATAGTGGAGCATGCTGAAGAAATGCTTCATGATCACACTCTTGAAGGCAGTGCTGTGTGGGTAAAGATGGACACTGATAACTTCTGGGTCAGAAGGTGATTCAGAGAGCTGGGCTTGGGATGTGAGGGAGAGCTAAAAGACTCACTCAATTTGCTTTACTTCTATTTTTCTTTCTATATATGCCTAAGGGTGAAAAATGATTTGAAAAAAAACCCATATCAATGAGGTTAAAAGATTCAAAATAGGCATTTTTGAATTCCAATTGTATAAAAGTCTCTGACGGGAGAGGATTTTTTCATTGTTTTTCCTTTCTTAGTGTTACATAAAATACTGGTGTGTCTCACAGTGGAATGAGCCTTGGTTTGAAGGGAATACAGTGATCCTGCAGAATGACCTTCTAAGTCACCATGTAGGCCACTGTGGGAATTCCTGTGGACTGTAAACCTGGAAGTGGAATTGTTTGTGGCACAGGATGTCTAGTTTGGCTAAGTCGTGCCATGTCATATCTTCACCAGCACTTGGCACAACTCATCTTTCTAATTTTTGTGAGTCTAATATGTGTACAGTGATCTTTGTTTTAAATAGCATTTCTCTAATTGCTAATACTTTTGAGTGTCTCTTCAGGTACTTGCTGGTTCTTTTGTTTTCTTCCTCTGTAAGTTGCCTGTTCTTTTCTTTTGCCCATTTTCCCATTAGGCCTGCTTTTTCTTATCTATTTGCAGGAGTTTCTTGCACATTCTAGATGTAATCCATTGCTGGCTTAGATGTTTCAAATATGTTTTTCTTTTCTATCCCCCAGAGCTCTTTGGAAACTGCCATGTGCCTTCTGGGCACTGGTTAATTACAGGTTCTCAGTGTGATGTGGATATGGGAAGATTTAGCTTTGCCAAAAGAGCACCCTGCCATGACCTGGCCCCTCAGTGTGCTGCGCCTTCCCCTAAAGCAGTTCCTGAAGGAGCTGCATTTTGAAAGAGTGCTCATGCCACTCAGGAGACCCACTTTCAGCTCTGCAGTTGCCATGCACCAGACTGGCAAGTTAAACTTTGCATTGTTGTTTAGAAACAGCTCCCTGTGTCTGTGCCCCGGGTGTCTCCATGAAGCCAGCTAGTATTTTCTGAGCACAAAGTTGCTTTTAGGCTCCAGGCTTCCACAGATGACTGGGGGAAGCTCAGATATGGCAGAGGCACTCAGACTAGCACAAAGTGTAATGTGAAAGGGGCAACAGGGAGCAGCTTGCCAGGTGCTGCTCAGGCACAGAGCAGGTATGGAGGGACAAGGAAGGCTTCCTGGAGGAGGCAGCATGAGACTCAGGTGCTGCCTGGGCACAGAGCAGGTATGGAGGGACAAGGAAGGCTTCCTGGAGGAGGCACCATGAGACCAGGGCCTTGTGGATGAGAAGGATTTCTGGCCTTCCTTCCCAGACTGTAAGGTCCTGAGAGCAGTGATCAAGTTGGGGGACTCTGCTTCTCTTGAACAACAACCACAGCTCCCATGTAGAGAGTACTTCAGAGTTGGGCAAGCACACTGACAAGGAGAGACTGCAGCTCTCACCCAAGCCTGCAGGGTGATTTCACTCTGCAGAGATAGGCACTAGGGCTCACCTAGGATCTCTGAGGCTCTGTGACTTTTCCAAGGTTACCCACTCTAAAAATGACAGCCTGCATCTAGAGCCTGACCCCATGTGTTCCTCATGCTTGTAACCAGTCACGTGGCAGGAGCAGGGGTGATACTTGGTGCTGCTGTCCAGAGTTACAGACTCTTCTCCATCCCAGACCCCAGCACCCAAAGCTTGGGATGCCCACACAGATCTACCGTGCCCTCTTGAGCCTGTGGAATTTCATTCTCATTAGGCAGGTGAGGGTGGGAAAGAGTGGAGAAGGTCGGGCTTCTGCAAGTCTTAGGGATGGACCCAGGGAAAAGAGAGTTAATTCAATTCTCTTTTGCTTTTTCTTTCCCAAGAAGTCAAAGACACTCGAGTTTAGCATGCCTGTTGTCTACTCACATAATATTTGTGGTAGAGAGAAACTCATTCATGTTAAGAAAAAAGAGTTATCAAAGATACACATTGATAGAAAACATATTGCTGGAAAAAAAAAGTAATGAATAACATTCCACATAATAGTGACTAAAAGCAAAATAGTCTTTGGCTGTGGTTACAAGTTGAGTTCAAATTGAAGGTGCTTTGTAATACTGATAAAACAGCTGTCCTTTCCAGGAAAAAATATTGTACTATATTTTATCAAGTGGCAAACGGAGGGGAAATGAACTAGGAAGAAAATCGCTCCGGGTGGATATTGTGGGTGGGTGATTGGCACCGCAGCCTTCCTGCCTCAGTCAATGTGCTGCTGACTTCAGAGAGGACCACAAGCATTGCAAAAAATGCAGGGCTTGATCAAAGGAGTGATTGTTATTCACAGCCAAGTGTTCTATCTCTGTCCTTGCACTTCTGTTGCACTTCTGTTGAAGGGGAAGCAGCTGTGACCTATGACGTTTGCCTCATGGGCTGTTTCCAGAACTTCCCCCCTTACTTCTCATGGAGTAGGACTTATGGGAACTGGATTGAGGATGCTAGACTGGGCCATGAGAGACTTCGGCACAGGCTGCCTCTCCTCTAGTGAATTAGGGAAACTTGGGCAGACCATGCCAACTCTGGCCTTGCCTGGTCCCTCTCACAGGCTGGCCTGGACTCCTCCACTGTGCAGGCTCTGCAGTGCTCCACTTCTGAGACTGCTTAAGCAAGGCTGTTGGCAAACCTTACTAGTTGCCTAGATAGCATCCCTTCCAAACTCACCTCAACCTCACCTACCTTCTACTCTAGAGGCCCAAAGACCCTAACATGCCCTTTCCCAGGCTCCCTTGAAACTAAAGGTGGTCATGTGTGCTGGGTTTGGATGATGAAAGTCATAGGAAAGCTTCTGGGAAGGATTTCCTTCTCTGATGAGGAGAGAGAGGTGGATATGGGGAGCGCCCCTTCTTGCCTCTTACATTGGGGGCTGCAGTGTAATGTTATTCTTGGAGTCATGGCAGCCATCTTGCAACCATGGGGAGAATCATGAAAACAGGAGCAACCTCACTGAGGATGGTGGCTTTTAGTTTTGTGGTAGACATGCTTCCTAAATGGGCCCAGATTCAAGAGCTGGAAAAGGCCGGTCTACATTTCATGGTGGGGCTGGGGCAGAGTGAACAGGGAAGGGGGATGGAGAGGAGAGGAGATGAGGTCTAAGAGAACATGAGTTGTGACCCCTGGGTCACTTCGAGGACGCTGGCTTGGGTGAGATGTGTCGCTAATGGGCAGTTTTGGCATAGAACAGATCTCCAATTCCGTTTTGAAAGGATTATTCAAGCTGCTGTGACGAGAAAGGGCTGGAGGAGGAGCAGGTAGTAGCTCTAAGCCCAGTGAGGAGGTAACCGTGATTACCCAGGTGAGAGATGATGGTGACGTGGACCAGGGTGATGGAGAAGAGGCCAGGGTCTAGAGATGCCAGGGCAGAGCCAGAGGGATTTGCTAATGGATTTGCTGTAAGGTAGAAAGCTTGAAGAGTTCAGGGTGAGTCCAGGGGTGGACTGGACCACTGGCAGAGTGGTCTCTGTGGGCAGATGGGGGGAAAGGGAGAGAGCCCAGGCACTTGAGGACGTAATGAGCCGCTGAGCCTCTGACCTTCTTTCCTATGGGCAGACGCTGGCTAGCTCCTCACCAAGCCCCTTTCCCTTTCTCCTGGGTGTGCCGCCAGACTGTTTCCCAGTCTCTTTTTGTGGTTAGGTGCAGACCTGTGAATGGGTTCTAGACCATAAATTGTAGGTGGAGGTGATGGGCACTTCTTCCCCATCCACAGCCCCCAGCCCATCCTCTGTGCTTTTTGCCTTTCTGCATGTTTGATGTAGTTTCCATGGCGACATTGGGAGCCACATATTGAAGATAGGGGACTCACAAGATGGAAGGAGCCTGGGTCTCTCAATCACGCCTTGGAGAAGGGACACCTGCTAATCAGAACCCTGCACTGGGCTTCACATGAGTGAGAAATAAAGCTCGATTGTGTTTGGAGCTCAGTATTTAATCATCTGTGAGTTTGTTTTTGCTTGCTGCTAGGGATCCTTGAACGAATACAATGTGCCTGGAGTTTACCCCAATTCTAGTCTTGTAGTTTTAGCAAGGAAAACATTTCCTTTAAGAGAAAGGCAGCTCAAGGCAGAGCTTTGGTTTATGGCAGCCCTGCTATGGTCTCAATGTTTGTGCCCCCCCCAAATTAATGTGAAACCTAATGCCCCACGTAATGACAACTGGAGGTGGGGCCTTTGGGAGGTGATTGGGTCATGATGGTGACTAGGCCATGAGGCCTCATGAATGGGATTAATGCCCTTATAAAAGATTTCCAAGGGAGCTTGTTTGTCTCTTCTGTCGTGTGAGGTTACAGTAGAAAGATGGCTGTCGACGAACCAGGAAGCAGGCCCTCACCAGGCACTGAATCTGCTGGCACCCTTATCCTGGACTTCCCAGCCTCCAGAAGTGTGAGAGATAAATTTCTTTTGTTTTTAAGCCACCAAGTTTATGGTATTTTGTTATAGCAAGCTGAAAACCTAAGACAGCAAGTGTGGGCTTTGGCTAGGCAGCCTGGAACAGCTGTCCCTGGTGGGCAGAGCACCTCTAGAATCAGGGAACAAGCAGCAGGTCCCCTCCCTTCAAGCCCCAGCCACCCTGGAGAGATGAGTCTTCCTTAATGTGCAGACAGATTCCTAGAATTACCTGGTAAATGTCCCTGTTAAGGCTTCAAGGGCAGTGGTTGTGGGTTTGCTTCGTGCTGGTTTAGGAGTCCTGCCCCATGGCTGGGGTGAGCCAGGAGCCATACCCATCCCTCCAGCTTCTCTGGCCACACGATCCAGCTTCTATTCCTTTCCTAGGTCCAGCCACATCAGAAATCCTTTAGGAGCTTTCTAGGTTGGGGATGGTCAACCTCAGAAAGCTTAGATTGTCTTGGAAGGAACTGGAGGCCTGTGGTTTCCATGAGTGAGAAATAAACCTCTGTTATGCTTGGAGCCCTAAACATACACTCAACACTTCTGCCCTACTCTTCGTATACACTCCAGAGTTTGTGGCAGATTGTGCTTTGCCAAGATGGGTGGTACAGTAACTCCTGTCCCATGTGCTCTGCTGGAACCCTGCCACTTTCCATCAAGAGGTGGAAATTCCCTTCCCCTTGAATGTGGGTGGGCTTGTACATTAGTTTCCTAGGGCTCTGTAACAAATTAGCACAAACTGGGTGACAAAACAACAGAAATGTATTCTCTCACAGTTCTGGAGGCAGACATCCAAAATCAAGGTGTTGGTTGGGCCAAACTCCCTTTGAAGGCTCTAGGGGAGAGTCCTTTCTAGCCTCTTCCTAGTTCCTGGTGGCTGGCAGCCATCCCTGGCGTTCTTTGTAGCTGCATCGCTTCAATCTGTCTTCCTCTTCACATGGCCTTTGATATGGTTTGGCTCTGTGTCCCTGCCCAAATCCCCAGTGTTGGAAGAGGGACCAGTGGGAGGCGACTGGATCATGGAAGTGCATTTCCCACTTGGTGCCATTCTCGTGACAGTGAGTGAGGTCTTATGAGATCTGGTTGTTTTAAAAGTGTGCAGCCTGGGCCACAGAGCGAGACTCCGTCTCAAAAAAAAAAAAAAAAAAAAAAAAAAGTGTGCAGCACCTCTCCCATCTCTCTCAGTCCTGCTCCAGCCATGAGGACTCCTGCTTCTGCTTTGCCTTCTGCCAGGAACAAAAGCTCCCTGAGGCCTCCCCAGAAGCAGATGCTGCCATGCTTCCTGTACAGCCTGCAGAACCACGAGCCAGTTAAACCTCTTTTCTTTATAAATTACCCAGTCTCAGGTTTTTTTTTTATAGCAATGCAAGAACATAGGAAGGCAGCCTTTGTTCCTGCCTCCTCTGTGATGCCTTTGTGTCGGAACCTCCCACTCCTTATTAGGACACCAGCCATATTGGATTTAGGGTCCACCCTTGATATGGTTTGTCTCTGTGTCCTCACCCAAATCTCATCTCGAATGGTAATCCCTGCATGTCAGGGAAGGGGCCTGGTGGGAGGTGACTGGATCATGGGGACGGTTTCCCTCATGCTGTTCTCGTGATAGTGAGTGAGTTCTCATGGGAGCTGATGGTTTTAAAGTGTTTGGCAGTTCCCCCATTGCTCGCACTCTCCTGCTGCCATGTAAGATGTGCCTTGCTTCCCCTTTTGCTTCCCCTTTGCCTTCTGCCATGATTGTAAGTTTCCTGAGGCTTCCCCAGCTGTGTGGAACTGTGAGTCAATTAAACCTCTTCTGTTTATAAATTACCCAGTCTCAGGTAGCATCTTTATAGCAGTGCAAAAATGGACTAATACAGCCCTTCTCCAGTAAGACCTCACCTTAACTAAGTACGTCTATAATGGTGCTGTTTCCAAATAAGGTGGCATTCTGAGGTTCTGGGTGGACATGAATTTTGGGGGCAGTACTCAGCCAAGCACGGTGTGACTGTAACCAATAGAGGAGGCGGAGGTGGTGCTGCAGCATGGCTCTGTACACCTGCCATCTTGCTCGCTGGACCCCCTGGGTCTCACACCCTGTACTGCTGTACAAGCAGACTGACTGCCTGAGGGTCACCATACCATGAGGAAGCCCACACTAAACCACATGGAGAGACCACCTGGAGAAGCCTTGAGACTATGTGAAGAGAGAAATGCTGGGCCAGTCTCCGGGTGCTCCAGCCCCCAATGTTCCATCTCCATTCCCCCATCTGAAAAAACAATGGCATGAAAGAGATGCTGAGCCTAAACTGCCCAGCTGAACTTTCTGGAATTCCTGACCCACAGAAACAGTGAGAGGTCATGCTGTGGACTGAATTGTGTCTCCCTCCACAACCAACCCGCTGTCCAAATTCACATATTGAAGTTCTAACCCCAGTGCCTTAGAATATGGGTGTATTTGGAAACAGGGCCTTTAAGGAGGTAATTAAGATCAAATGAGGTCATAAGTGTGGGCCCTAATCCAACAGGATTGATTTCCTTACAAGAAGAGGAAGAGACACCAGGAGTGTGCATGAACAGGGAAGAAACCACCAAGGACACAGCAAGAAGGCAGCCGCCTGCAGCCGAGGAAAGAGGCCTCGGGAAAAGCCAACCTGCCGGCACCTTGACTGTGGACTTTTAGCCTCCAGAACCATGAGAAGATAAATGTCTGTTGTTTAAGCCACCCAGTTTGTGTTTTTTTGTTACGGCTGCCTTAACAAACTAATACGATAATAGAATGACTGTTACTGTTTTAAGCCATTATGTTTTGGGGATATTTGCTATGCAGCAAGAATAATGGATGCATATGAACAGAGAGGGGGGTTATGAGGGGAAGCTTAGGGGCTGGGCTTCACCTCCTTGCTCTGCCACTGACTTGCTGGGTGGCCTTGGCCTACCTGTCTCCCTTTCTCTGGGCCTTGTTGTCCCCATCTGTAAAATGGACAGATCAAATGATTTCCAACAACCCTCATAGCTCCATGTTGTGCTAATTTTCTCTGTGAGTTTTGGGAAGAGGTTAGTTCAACAACAATAATTTCAGCCATGTTCCTGGAGACTTCTTGGGTTTGAGAGACATTTGCTGAGGTATTATTATTAATAATAATAATACCTGCTGTTTAAGAAGCTCGTTCTCAGTGTCAGATCCAAAGTGATTTACATAGATTACCCCCATTAAATTAAATCTTCACAAGAACTCCACAGGGAAGGAGTTATTTTTATAGCTAAGACGCTGAGCAGAGAAAGTACAACGACTGGTTCAAGGTCACAGAGCTAGTGATGAGGAAGCCAGGATCTGAAACACAATACAATTGACTCCCAAGTCCACATCCTTTCCATGTGGCCCTGTAAGCCAACACTTAGAGCAGAGGTGGGTGGGTTACACCTGTCCCACCCCAATTGAAATACTCTGCCTATGAGTGCTTGTATCAGCTCCATCCTCACTGTAAAGTACCCACCCCCACCCCTAACTCTCTCAGGTGGTGTGGTAGATAAGGCAACAGGCAACTGTCCAGCCATCTGTGAGAGGAGCCGGAGAATAAATTGGTTCTTATGTAAGAACGGATAGGGTATGCATGTCAAGGCCAAGTGAAGGGAGATTGGATCTGCCCTTTGAGGTCCTCGGAGGATCAGACCCAGGACAGATGGCAAACTGTTGTCACTCGATATGGAATTAGGCCAAGTCGAAGTTCAGGTTGAGAGGCTGCAGTTCAAGTTTCCATTCAGCTGTCAGGCAAATAAGCCCCCTTAATGAATGGCCTCCCCCGGCCACTGAGATCCTCTTTTCCTTTTCGAAAACAGCTTTTGTGTCTGTTGCTCCTTTCTGGTTACAATGAGACAGTCCAGTTGGGTGATTTATGGTGATCTGGCTGCCTGTTCAAAATGCTCCTTTGATCTGAGTGCCTGATGTTTGATGTAGAAGACAGTCCAGAGAGTGGAAGTGACTAAGGCCTGGGCGCGAATCTTGTCTCTACAACTTTGTACCTGTGTGATCTTGGGCAAATAAATCATTTAATGTTTTCAAGCCTCAATGTCCTCATCTGTGCATTAGGGGTCAAATACTGAACCCCAAGAGGGCTTGTGATGATTAAATGGATCATGCGACTGCACCCATATGGCAAGTGCCCATTTAATAATTCCTTTTCCACTTACTCCTTCCCTTCAGGGAGTGATATGGTTTATCTCTGTCCTCACCCAAATCTAATCTTGAATTGTAGCTCCCATAATTCCCATGTGTCGTGGAAGGGACCTGGTGGGAGGTAACTGAATCATGGGGGCAGGTCTTTACCCTGCTATTCTTGGGATAGTGAATAAGTCTCACAAGGTCTTATGGTTTTATAAAGCGGAGTTCCCCTGCACATGCTCTCTTGCCTGCCACCATGTAAGACGTGACTTTGCTTCTCATTCACCTTCTGCCATGATTGTGAGGCCTCCCCAACCATGTGGAACTGTGAGTCCATTAAACCTCTATTCTTTATAAATTACGCAGTCTTAGGTATGTCTTTATTAGCAGCCTGAGAACAGACTAATACAGGGAGTGACCTGTTATTCCTGTATTTGCTTGCTTCTTTGACGGTTATTTATTGAATGCTTGCTGTGTGCTGGGCCCTCATCTGGATGCCATAGCTGTGGAGACACACTGGTGAATGAGACCACCAATTCTCCCTTTCTAGTTGGGGGAGGCAGGCCATGGACAGGTGAACAAGTAAAGATAATTCCATAAATGTTAAGTGTGGTACAGAAATGTAAAAGGGGGATGTTAGAGAGTGACTGGGTATGGGGGACCGCTTCACTGAAGCTCTTGATCTCTATGCACAGCCGTGTTTGATCCTCTGCTGTGCGGGATACTTCCACAACAGAGCCCTTCCCAGGCCTTCCTAGAACAGCTTTCCTATTTTCACAAGAAGGGTTATTGCAGTTTCCTTAACCTCAGTCAGAAAGGCTCTTTATTCCTTTCTACACCTGTTCCAAATTTCAATTACACAAGATATCTTTAGCACAGAGTTCAACCAGATTCCTTAGGAGGAGGAAAAAAAATGGTGCTTTAAGTATTCATAATGTGTTTGCATTATGGAATAATTATACATAATTGCTCTGCCTCGTAAATAGTATAAAACATTTACCAGTCGACAGTGGGAGCAACCGTGAACTTACATTCTCCCACGGAGGATTCGCTGGTGGGAATAGGCCGTGACATCAGCAATCTTTTTAACTTGCCAGGTACCTTTGTCTGTTTCCATAGACAAGTACAACTAGTGGTCATTTCTTAGCCTGTGCAAATTATGCCAACTTATTGGTTTATATTTTATTCCCTCATTCTCTTTCTTACTCGCCTCTCATGAATTAAACACTCTTGAGGTGCCAGAGACTGGAGATACAGAGACTGTTATTACAGTTACCCTCTGCTGATGGCTCACTGTGTGATGGCACTGTCCTGGGCATTTCACCTGCATCCTCCATTTTAATTCTCACAGTCACCCTAGGGGATAGATACTATTATTTTATTCTCATTTTACAGAAGAAGGAACTGAGGCTTGTTGGGTTTTAAAAAATTGCATAAGGCCACAGAGCTAGCAAAGAACAAAGCTGGAGATTCAAACCCAGGCAGCATGGCCAAGGGCTGGCCCCCTTGCCAAGACAACCCAACAAATATCACCCCCAATTTCTCTTTATTCCCCGTCTCCAGCTCCCCGAGCCACAAATGGTTGACTGACTTCTGGAAGGATCTGTGCCCTCTAGTCACTTAGATGTGAGAAAGAGCAGGATCAACATTTTTTGGTTGTTGTTCCAGTTTTATGGGTTGAATTATGTCCCCAAATACCTCAGAATGTGCCTTTATTTGGAGATTGGGTTTTTACAGAGGAAATCATGTTAAAATGAGGTTATTAGAGGGGCCTCTAATCCAATATGGCTGGTGTCCTGGTAAAAAGGGGAAATTAGGGCATGGACACACAGAGGGAGGAGGATGTGAAGACACCAAGAGAATTCAGTCATTTATAAGCCAAGGAACACCTGAGGCTACCAGAAGCTAAGAGAGCAGAGTGGAAGATTCTTCCTCAAATTGCTCAAAAGGAACCAACACTGCCGACACCTTGATTTTAGACATCTGGGCTCCAGAACTGTGAGGCAATACATTTTGGTTGCTTAAGCTGCTCAGCATGTGGTACTGTGTGCCAGCAGCCCTGGCAGACTAATACATCCAGGAAAGTGCCCTTTCTCAATCTCATCCAGGGTAGACGTGTCTTCCCCGTGGTGACTTTGCTCTGAGCAGACTAAGGTCACCAGACACCCACCATGGCCCTCTGCAGATGGCTGTGCAGGGTCCAACTACTAACTCAGTTGTCAGTGAGGCCACCAGCAAGAGGGCTCCAGATTTCCCAGAGAGAGAAATGACAGACCCACAGCCACACACCAATAGGAAGGTGGAGCTGGGGCTGGAATCCAGCCCAGGGCTCCCCTACCACCTCTCCTTGGCTGCTCTTGTCTAACAAGACTGTGTGTGTGTGTGTCTGTTACTTCCCCCAAGCACAGCATTGACATTGGAGAAAATAAGCAAGCCCACACCAAGAGGCCTCTGTGACAAGGCCCAGAGCTGCTAATGGTGCAGAGAGACGGCCGGATTCAGTTGGTCGGTCGGCTTGCCCCCAGCAGCTCCCAGGCCACCCTCCCTGGAGGCGGTGGATCTGTGTGTCAGCCAGACCTGTTGCTCCTTCCTCTTGTCAATCAAGAAAAATAACAAGACAAATCTCATTCATTTTAGGAAGTCGATTTGCCAAAGTTAAGGACATGCTCCCAGGAGACAGGTTTATGCCTTTCTCTAAAGATGATTGTGAGTGCTCCAAATTTAAAGGGAAAAGGGCAGGATATTGAGAAGTACACAATTTTTATGTAAGTGGGGGTAGGGGAAAAGAGTCATTCATGCCTTTGTCTGGCTCAGTGAGTCTGCATTTTTACACAAGGAAACGTAGACAAAATGGGGCAGGGGAACAATCAGATATGTATTTGTGTCTGGTGGGCCGGGGTGACTGCACCTGTAAAGATAAGCTATCGATTTACATGGCCATGGTGAAATTTTAACAGAAACACCTTAGGGTTAAGATCTTGGAGCTCACTAGGAATTTCCTTGTGGGCAAAATATGGGGGAGACATGTAGCTTTTTATCTTGTAGTCATCTTATTTAGGAACCAAAAAGGGGAAGCAGGTTTGTGTGACCCAGTTCCCAGCTTAACTTTTCCTTTGGCTTAATGAGTTTGGGGTTCTAAGATTTAATTTCCTTTCACACTCTGCAGTAACCAAATGGGATGCATTAGCTTTCTGGGGCCACCATAACCAATCACCACAGACTGGTGGCTTAAAACAATGGAAATTTGTTCCCCCTCAGTTCTGGAGGCCAGAAGTCTGAGGTGAAATCAACATGTGGGCAGGACCGTGCTCCCTCTGAAGGCTTTGGAGTAGGATCTTCCAGTCTCCTAGTGCCCTTGGCTTGTGGCAGCATCACTCCAGTCTCTGCCTCTGTCTTCGCATGATGGCCTCCCCACTAAGCCTGTCTGTGTCTCAAATCCCCTGCTGCCTTTCTCATAAGGGAAAACCAGTCATGGAGCTGGGGCCCACCCTAAACCCAGGGTGACTGCACATAGAGATTCTCAACATAATTATGTCTGTGAATACCTCTAATTCTAAAGAAGGTTCTATTCACAGGTTCTAAGGGTTAGGAGTTAGACAAATCTCTTTTGGGGGACACAGTCCAACTCCCTACTCAGGGTCTGGACCATTTCCTCTGAACTCCATCAGACCTCCAGCCATATTGCTTCTGTATCCTTCTGAAACAGGGACCAGTGTGAATTTAATAGTATCCTATAGAGGAATTCTTACAGCCTCCAAAGAAAAAGACTATGTCTGTTCTTCCATCACCCCTGTCTCCTGCAGAATGCAGCCCCTGATTTCTTGGGTTCTGCCTTCTCTGCACTCCTGCTTCAGGGGCGACCTCACAGACTTGTTCCAGGACAGTTCATCTGTTCCAACCCACAGGCCCCAAACATAATCAGTTCAGGCACTGTTAAGGTCTCAGGAATTTTTCCACCCATCCCTCAACCAAAAGAAACACCCAGGAGTTCTGTTTATTATATTAGGTAAAAAAAAAATAACATATGTATGTCCTAATGATTTAGTAGCCATTTGAAAGACATAGTACATATACATCTAAAAATATATATTCTTACTTTATTCTTGAATAGCCACAATTGCTTCCTAATGGAAAGTGTACCTCATTGGATCCTCCAGAACTTCTCAAGCTCACAGACACCAAATTTGCATCTTTGAATTATTTTGGAGCAGAACATCTTTTTACGTGTTTGTGGGCTATTTTGTTTACGTGTTTGTGGGTGTTTCTTCTTCTGTGAAAACCCTGTTCAAAGTCTTTCCTCTTGGGTTGTTTTTGTCTCCTTCTTACTGATTTGTAGATGTTCTTTATATATGTTTGGATCCTCTCCCTTTGCTGGTGATACAAATGGGAAACACCTTCTCCCAATCTGTGGTTTGTCTTTTCATGTTATGATGATTGGAAGTTTTTGACTTCATTCTTCCCACACTTGTCCCAATGATCAGGCGGTCCCTCTGCTAAACCCCTCTGATGGCTTCCCATCCTGAGCCCGTAGGGTAAAAGCACACCCAGGGGGCAGCATGATCTGCTTCTCCCTCCTTGGGTTCCTCTCTCCTTCTGGCTCACTCTGCACCCTCCCTCCCCCTACTGCATTGTGCGCTGTTTTTTTCAGTTTCTGAAACATGCTCGTTACAGGTGGCAGTCAGGCAGACGTGATGAGCAGAGCAGGAGAGGCGCCCCTCACCAGGAATGTCAGGCAACCATCAGGTGATGGTCAGGAGGTTGTTAGAACTGTCTCTATAAAATAATAATTGGTTGCAGCCAGTGCCAGGGAAAGGTCTCCCAATAGACAGGAACACCTGAAACTGGTGATCAGCAGCTTCCCAGTAAGATCTCAGGAGTTGGGTGAGTGGGCTCAAGCATGTGCACTAACAGGCAAAATGGCGGATTAAACACTCAGCTGGTGAAAGAAAAATGCCTCAAGTGAGCATGCGCACAACTTGAGTAAACACACTGCGCATGCAGCCCCGCCTGAGTGCTGGCAGGCCGCTGTGAGTGCAGACAGCTCACCCCAAGGGGAGAATCAGGGGAGAAGGAGCGCAACCTCCCAGAAGCATGCCAACATATAAAACCCAAGCCAAAGATCAGATTATGCACTTGACTCTCTCCAGTCGCCCGCTGGAACCTCTTCCAAGTGTGCTTTGCTTCCTTTCATTCCTGCCCTAAAACTTTCTGATAAACTTTCACTCCTGCTCTAAAACTTGCCTCAGCGGAATTCTTTCTTTTGAGGAGTTAAGAACTGAGGTGGCTGCAAACCCGTATGGATTTGCTGCCACTAACGTAATTTGGTGCTGTGTGACTTGGATACGTTCCTTAGTGGTAACATGGCCAGCTCATTTTCCTCTGTGGCCCATGTAAAACACACTCCTCCCTTTGCCTGAGTAACTACCTACCCTCCCTGCACCCAAGCCTTTCTCCTCCTTACCTTCTGCCCTCAGTCACTTCCCCCAAGAGGCTCAGGCTGTGTCCACACTGGTCCCCTCCCCCCAGGGGCTCAGGCTGTGTCCACACTGGTCCCCTCCCCCCAGAGGCTCAGGCTGTGTCTACACTGGTCCCCTCCCCCCAGAGGCTCAGGCTGTGTCTACACTGGTCCCCTCCCCCCAGGGCCTCAGGCTGTGTCCACACTGGTCTCCTCCCCCAGGGGCTCAGGCTGCGTCCACACTGGTCCCTTTCCCTCAGGGGCTCAGACTCTGTCCACACTGGTCCCCTCCCCTCAGAGGCTCAGGCTCTGTCCACACTGGTCCCCTCCCCTCAGAGGCTCAGGCTCTGTCTACACTAGTCCCCTTCCCTCAGGGGCTAAGGCTGTGTCCACACTTGTCTCCTCCCCTCAGGGGCTCAGGCTGTGTCCACACTGGACCCCTCCCCTCAGGGACTCAGGCTCTGTCTACACTAGTCCCCTTCCCCTCAGGGACTCAGGCTGTGTCCACACTGGTCCCCTCCACCCAGGGGCTTGGGCTGTGTCCACACTGGTCCCCTCCACCCAGGGGCTCAGGCTGTGTCCACGCTGTCCCCAGCCAGCTCTGGTCATCTGTACTCTAGGGTGTTATGTATCCTGGTGTGTAATCATTTTCTTTATCCTTCTTGCTCTATGTGGGTGTCTTCAACAGGAGCTACAGGACAGAGCGACTTTGTCACTGTCACTGCTCTTTCCCAGTGCCCAGGACATAGTCAGCATTAGCCTCCTGCCCCTGGAATCTCTGGATTGGGACTTCTGTGATCACTCTGGGGTCTCAGCGGCCAGACCAAGGACTCACAGTCCATACCGTAACACAACTGAAATTGGTAACCAGGCTGGGCATGGTGGCTCACGCCTGTAATCCCAGCACTTTGGGAGACCGAGGCGGGTGGATCACCTGAGGTCAGGAGTTTGAGACCAGCCTGGCCAACATGGTGAAACCCCGTCTCTACTAAAAATACAAAGATTAGCTGGGTGTGGTGGCGGGTGCCTGTAATCCCAGCTACTCAGGAGGCTGAGACAGGAGAATAGCTTGAACTCAGGAGGCGGAGGTTGCAATGAGCTGAAATCACGCCACTGCACTCCAACCTGAGCAACAAGAGCAAGACTCCATCTTAAAAAAAAAATAAATAAAAGAAATCTGTAACCTCTGAAGACTCACTTGTTGCCGAGGTGAGGAATGGCAGCCTGGGGCCACCATGATTTTAATGTCTGAAACCTCCCTGGAGCTGCTGGATGACCTCCTGGGGAGGGCTGGTGCCAGGGAGGGGGCCTGACAGAAGGAGCTGGGCTGGCTGGGGACACATTTGCATGAGAACTAGACTTCAGTGGAGAGGAGCAGGGGGAGCAGTTGGTCAATTGGAGGTCTGGGATTTGTCTTTAGCAAATTCTCTGTGATTTCCCCAAACACTTGAAATTAATTAGTGGACTGGAGCCTTCATGAACCTCTCTCTCAGCTGGGATCTCACCCCTGCCAGGGCTGAGCTTGGCACAGCATTCTGCACAGTGCCCTGGATGTTCTGTGCGTTGGTTTCCTCCCCACTGCACCACTGCTTGGGTGGGAGAGCTTCACATGCAAGTCTTCATGCATTTGCACACCTGCCCAAGTACCGAGGCTGGGCCCATGGATTCTGGGGCTCCTGTCCTACGGGGGTCAGAGGGCAAGGCTATGCCTCCTTGGGAGCAGCTATTCTCGCTGTTAGTTGACCCACAGACAGGCCCACCCTTGGACAGGAAATTCAGGCTAGGAGGGGGCTTTCTCTCTCTGGGCCTCATGGGATGTGGGGCCTGGACTTGGAGGTGGCTCCCATGGTATGGCTTGAGTGGCCCCCGGGCTGGAAAGTGGGAGCAGCGTTCAGCAGGGTCTGTGGCCTCTGGGTCCCCCTATCCAGAAGCAGAGGTCCTGTCTGCTTTGTCAGGCTTGAGGTTTCCCTGATGAATGGAAAGATATGCAAGCCTGGTCTCGGCTGTGTCTGAGAGAATCAGGGCAGGGGCCCCTCCCTGAGGCCAGAGGGCAGTGTTAGCAGCCACCACCATGGGGGAAAGGCTCTTCCGAGAGGAAAGTGGCCTCCTTAGGGCTATGGGCATCCACAGCCACCCCTGTGACAGAGTGGCTTTATAGGAGGCCCAGAGAGGCAGGAGACTGGAACTTCTCAGTAATACCAGCACACTCATGGGGTGTGTGTGTGTAAGTTTCTCCATGGGTGTGTGGGGGGCTCAAAGTCAGTATTAATGGTTTTTACAAAATAATTTTATGTATTTTTTTAATAGGTTATGCATTTATTTTTAAAAATAGGTCAAAGTTCAACATTTAAAAGGTAGGAAAGGCCGGAGTGATGTCTCACACGTGTAATCCTAGCACTTTGGGAGGCAGAGGGGGAGGATCACTTGAGCCCAGGAGTTTGAAACTGGCCTGGGCAAGATGGTGAGATGCCATCTCTACAAAAAAATTAAAAAAAAATTACCCCAGTTAAAAAAAAAAAATTACCCAAGTGTAGTGGTGCATGCCCCGTAGTCTCAGCTGCTCAGGAAGCTGAGGTGGGAGGATTGCTTGAGCGCAGGAGGTCGAGGCTGCAGTGACCCATGTCCACACCACTGCACTTCAGCCTGGGTAACAAAGTGAGACCATGTATCAAAATAAGTAAATAAATAGGTCGGGCACGGTGGCTCATGCCTCTAATCCCAGCACTTTGGGAGGGCGAGGTGGGTGGATCACCTGAGGTCAGGAGTTCGAGACCAGCCCGGTCAATATAGTGAAACCCTGTCGCTATTAAAAATACAAAAATTAGCCAGGCGTGGTGGCACATACCTGTAATCCCAGCTACTTGGGAGGCTGAGGCAGGAGAATTGAGCCTGGGAGGTGGAGGTTGCAGTGAGCCAAGATCACGCCATTGCACTCCAGCCTGGGTGACAGGGCGAGACTCCATCTAAAAAAAATAAAATAAATAAATAAAATAAATAAATAAATAAATAGAAAGAATAGCAGTGAAACTTGTCCTATCTACTCCCGTGCCTCAGCCATTCCTCCTCTACCTAAAGACAACCAATGTCACCAGCTGCCTCTGTGTCCTATCGGAGACATTTCACAAATATTCAATTGACTGTATATATATCCCCTTCTGCCCAATGGCAGTATTCTGTGCATTCTGTTCTGTGTAATAATTTCTTCATTTCATAATATATTTTGAAATTATTTCATATTGATACATTCTCTTTTGAAACATATCAGTGCTTTCTCTTTGTGATTAAAATGTATTCTATGATAGATGTGACATAATTAATAACTTCCCATTGATAGACATTTAGGCTGTTTCTAATCTTTTGTCATTGAACAGTGGGCATTTAATGGAAAAGTGACCTTATTTTGTTGTCCCAGGCTGGGGCAGCTTGGATATGCTGTTTATATCTAAGGTAGAGACAGGAAAACTCACTTAATATTCCATTCACCTTCCCACATTTCTCAGCTTCCTTGCAGGTAGGTTGGGTCCTGTGGTCAGTTCTAGCCCATGGACTTGAGAAGGAATGATGTCTGAGACTTCTGGGCAGGGGTAGTGGAAAGCCCATGTGAGATTCTCTAATCTCTCTTCTTCTACCATTGCAACTAAAGAGGCAGAATCTCACAGATGGTGAAACTGTTCACTGGTAGAACATCTGTCAGCCTGGATCTCTGAGGGACGCTATGGAGCAGAGTCTCCCGTAGATTCACAATGGACATTGTGACATTTAGCAGGAGCAAAAGTAAACTCCGTTGTGTTAAGCCACTAGATATTTAGGTTGCTTACTTCAACTGGTCTATCTAGGCCAGTCAGAAGCAATACATAGATGTTTGTGACATTGAATTTAATAAGTGACTTTTAAATGAATAGTTTATTAAGAAATGTCCTGGAGAGTCTCCATGAAGCTTGTGGAGCTGCAGAGGCAGACAGGAATTCTTAGAAGAGCCACCTTGGATATCTTCATCTTTCCTTTCAGCCCAGATGGTGTGTGATCCCTAAATTACCTCTCACCACTGGACCTCTTGTTCCCAGCATGTTCACTGAGAGCACCTTAGCTCTCTGCATGTTCACTGAGAGCACCTTAGCTCTCTGCATGTCACCTGTCCTCTTCACCCTCCCTTTGATCACAGTCAAACTCTTGGGAGCCCTTGCAAAGATCAGTTATTTAGAACCAAAATCACAGGAAGATGCATATGATAGTGAAAACCTAGAAATAATGTAAATGCCTGACCATAAGAGATAGTTTCAGTAATTTATGACATATTCATAAATTGAAACAGCCTTTAAATGATGTGGGAAAAAAAGGATAAATGAAAATGTCCATGATATTTTTATTGAGAAAAGAAGCAGATTACAAACTAGTGTTTAAAACTTAAAAGATGTAGATTTTCACGTAAGAAACGTGCTATAGAAATGTGTAAATGTTGCCCCTTGAGTCTGCTCCAATTTTGCTAAAATAAAGTCTTTGATTTCAGAGTTCTCTCTTCTACCCTTGCAGCTTGAATTCCCATCAGTGTGCTGAGGGCTCCCAAATCTAGATTCCTTCCCAAGATTTCAGCATTTTCCAAATGGTCAGTTTATCACTGCCTTCTAAAACCTGCTCTTTCTTTATGTTGCTGTCATAGTCAGTAGTTCTAATATTCTACCAGAAACCTGGGAATCATTTAGGATTTCTCTCTCCACTATACAAATCCAGCCAGTTAACCAATTTCTGTTGATTATTGCTTTCTAACATCCCCAACCTGTTCAGTTCTCCTGATCTCTTTCAGCACTTTCTCTTGGGCTGTATTATTTCATAGGTGGGAGTTTGCAGCAGACTCCTCTCTCATCACCTTGCTTCCATTATCACTGCCCACTTTGCTTGCACACACTGAAGCCAGAGCAATCTTTCTACCATGCAGACCTGGCCATGTCGTTCCCAACTTCAAACCCTCCACCTTGAACATAATCTAAACTCTTAGCAAGATATTTGATACCCCAAAGGGCCGGCTCCAGCCTTACCTGCGAATCATCACTTTTTGACTCACCTCTGAGCTCATCTATCCTTCCATCCATTTAGGTATCCATCCATCCAATTCCCCCATATGTCCCCCTATCCATCCACCCATCCATCCATTTCTCCACCTATACATCCATCTATTCATCCCCCAATCTGTCTACCCAAACATCCCCTATCCATCTACATAGCCATCCATCCATCCTTCCATCCATCCATCCATCCATCCATTCCCCTAACCATCCACCTAACCATCTAACTATCCCTCCAACTATCCATCCACCTATCCAACCAACTATCCCTCCACCTATCCATCCATCTACCCATCCTCCCATCCATGTATTCATCCATCCATGTATCCATCCATCCATCCGTGTATCCATCCATCCATCCGTGTATCCATCCATCCATCCATCCATCCATCCATCCATCCATCCATCCCCCTATCCATCCCCCTTTCCATCCACCTATCCATTCACCCATCCATCCAACTATCCCTTCACCTATTCTTCTATCATTCCCCCATCCATCGACCTATCCATCCCCCATCCATCTACCTAACCATCCCTTCATTCATCTACCTATCTATTCCCCATCCATCTACCTATCCATTCACCCATCTATCCAGCTATCCATTCCCCTATCCATCTACCTATCCATCCATTCATCCATCCAGCTATCCATCTATCCAATAAAATCCAACAGCACTCCATTATGCATCCATGTGACTTGGGTATAAAAATATTTTTGTTCACTGGGACAAGCAACAATTCCAGAGGTCCCATACAGGAAATTAAAGACAACAAAATGAAACAAAACAAAGCATAGCAAGACAAAAAATTGGTGATTCTAACTTCCTTTCTGAATGCTTCCTATTTTGTGGCCTTGAGTTAATTTTTCGTGATGGTATATCTCACCTGTCTGTACACCCTCCTCCCAGTTTCTGGCTCTTTGCTTGGGGTGAAAATGCCATTATTTTCATTGGAGACCAGTGAGAAATTCACTTGTGGGGTGCCTTTGTGAAATGTCTCTGTGACAGCCTCAGCTTGGCAAATGGGACCATCTCTCAAAGTGCTCATGGAAATATTTGTACAAACACACAGAGAAAGAATTATTTCATTCTGGAATTTGTGTTTCCTTGATCTTGGTGAAGTTAAAGGAAGAAAGGAAGAAACAAATCATGAAGATGGAAGATGAGGTCAGGAAGAAAAGTTTATTTTATTTTAAGCCCTCAAGAAGAAATTTACAAACATTTGGATTTATTTTTTCTTTTTTTTCTTTCTTTCCTTTTTTTTTTTTTAAATACCAGAGTAGGCCTTTGTCCATGTGTTGTTCACTTAGGAGCTTATTTATTATTTATTTATTTTAATGATGGAAACTCCCATCCAAGGAGGTGCAGAGCCCTAATGAGAACTCGCAGCATCCGGAGTGCTTCCAGCATTCCGCCCTCAGCCCCATGCATCCCGAGGCTTACTGGCATGCATATGCCTCATTACGGACACATGCCCTGTCATGTGTTATTCCTCACTTAGTGACAATTTGTCACTGTCACCCTTGACATGTCACTCCTCGGCAGACGGATTTGACTCTGGTGCCAAGTCTGACACTTAGATGAGAGGCAGTTGTAATCTGAATTGAAATAACGGGTCGAGAGTGGCTAATTTCACTCTGACATAATTCTAATACCACGTAAAGAGACAGAAGTGCGGTATTTAAAGGGGAGTTTTTTTTTTTTTTTTAATAAAGCTTTGGCCGCCCCCTCCCCTTGCTCTGAGTCTGAGTATTCAATTATTCTTTAGGATAATGCTTTTATTTTTGAAGGATTAAGTCTTGGATTTTAATAACATTCATTTTCAATTAAGTGCACTAAGATCCATGGATATAACTATTACTTAAACTATAAGTAATGGTTGCCTGTAAAAATTAGGAAACACTGTGCTTTAGATAAATTACATTCAAATTAGATCTTATTATAAATGGGATAGAAAATGGATTTTTTAGCTCTGGCTGGCCAAAGAGCCAACATTTGTATCTACTTCATTTGTTTAAATATATTTCAAGCCAGATTGAAATCCATACGGCCTGACATTAATTGAGTGCTGCCACATCAACGTATTCAAGTTTCATAAACCACTGAAGAGTGAGTTTTTACTGGCTTGAATTAGAAATATTCCAACCCTCTTATGCTAAAATGGTATTGTTTATGTAGCGATTCTTTAAGCCATCATTAAGTGGTATAACTCTTAATAAAATGCATTTAAACAGACCATATGCAGAGTATGGCTGTGTTTTTAAGAAATTGCATTTTTTTTTTCACTAAATAGATGATTACATCTTTTTTCTTGTGGGGAGTGATTCTTTTGTACAATATATTTCAGTAAATACTGCTTTTCTTTTGCAAAGAGATGAGACAGATGCAAGATTACTGTCAATTTTTCCTGTCTTCTCTCCACCCCTCCTTCTTTTCTGGGGGGTGGGAGGAGACCAAGTGGGGACCGTTTCAATATTTGTCCTGGGAGAGAGGGTGGTAGTGGGCAAACCTGTGGTCAATTGCCTGCAAGGAGTCACTGTGGTACTTGGTTTTATTTTAATGAAGCCAGAATCAATATGCTCAATTCCAGTGAGAATTATAAACAGTGTGTCGTTCAGAATTCCTGAGTTATGACCGAGATGTTCTCTCCTATAGGTGGGCCTCATGAGAGATGTGGAGTCCTCATCACGGGGTTGCCTGGTGATTATGGAATAAGCAGCGGACTTACAGACACTCAGCGTCCAGGCGCACCAGGCCACCACATCCCAGACATGAGTACCTGTGCAAAATGCATTCATTCCTCCATCTTGGACGAGTTTACTGAGCACCTGTGATGTGCCAGGCACTAGGGGTGCTGCAGCGGAAGAGCTAAGCATTGAGGGTTTGTTTGTTTGTTTTTTGTTTTTTGAGACAGAGTTTCGCTCTTGTTGCCCAGGCTGGAGTGCAATGGCGCGATCTCGGCTCACTGCAACCGCTGCCTCCCAGGTACAAGCGATTCTCCTGTCTCAGCCTCCTAAGCAGCTCGAATTAACAGGCATGCGCCACCACGCCCCGCTAATGTTTTTGTATGTAGTAGAGACGGGGTTTCACCATGTTGGTCAGGCTGATCACCAACCCCTGACCTCAGGTGATCCACCCGCCTCAGCCTCCCAAAGTGTTGGGATTACAGGCGTGAGCCACCGCCTGGGCGGTGGGCGCGCCCAGCCAGGTTTGATGGTTTTTGATAGGGATGCAGCTGGAGGAGAGTGCTGCGGAAATGCAGGCAAGATGGGGGCTTGTCCAAGAGGGAGGGAAGGACGGCCTTCTGGGAACGCCACATCTAGGCGGAGGCTGAAACCACAGGGAGGAGCATACAAGTGGTTTGAAAGCAGCGGTCAGGGCCCGGCGGTGTCTGGGGGACGCTGGAACAGTAGGAGAGCTGGGATTCAGAGTGCACGGGGAAGTAGAGGAACTGGGCGAAGTCAGGGGCCCAAACGTTCAGGTGAAGTCCCTCCACATCCACTGACCACTGGGCTATGATGGCTTTGCCTCAGCCTCTGCTTGACCATGCATCACTGAGCTTGAGCCTCACTTCCACAAAAATGCAGCTTTGAGTGTCGCTGCTATGTAATCACCCCCGTTTAATGTTGTGTGCTGGGCTTCTGTAAGTACGCAGTGTCTCTGGAAGAGGTTGGAATAACCTGCATAGAAAAGACCTTCTGAGAGCCGAGGAGCCTCTCTCTGGCATGCTGGGTACCATGGTCCTGGTTAGAGTTCAGTCCCGTTAGCTTACCTTTCTTTATTCATTACTCACCCATTCATGCATTCAATACATGGTTAGTGTCAGTGCTGCGCCAGGCTCTGGACAAACTGGCGAAACTCGTCTCTATCTCAGCCCTCCTGGAGGTTATGGCTTAGTAGGGATGGGAGACAGGATCATGAGGAATGCAGGTGCCATGGGCACAGACTCCTGCAGGAACTGGCATGAAGACATGGTCTGAGGATGGACAGGAGCCACCAGAGAAGGTGGGATGAGAGCTGGGCATAAGAGGGAGGGCGTCTGCCAAGTTCTGGAAAGGAAAGAGACCCCGGCAGTCTGGGATCTGGAAGATGGGGTTCCAACCTGAGCTTCAACAGATGATGACTTAGGTCTCGGGTGAGTCAGCTGATGCCGGAGCCTCAGTTTCCTTACCTGTGAAATGTTGACAGTAGTCATGGTGAGCATTGAATGGATGACGCTCATGAAAAAGAGTCTGGGACATGGCAGGGCTCAACAAGGGTCAGGTGAATCTGAATCTAGCACTAAGTTTCCTGTGTTTTTAAAGTAAGATATCTGTAATCCCAGCACTTTGGGTGGCCGAGGGGGGTGGATTACTTGAGGTCAGAATTCGAGACCAGCCTGGCCAACATGGCAAAACCCTGTCTCTACTAAAAATACAAAAATTAGCTGGGTGTGGTGGTACAAGTCTGTAATCCCAGCTACTGGGGAGGCTGAGGCAAGAGAATTGCTTGAACCCAGGAGGTGGAGGTTGCAGTGAGCCAAGATCATGCCACTACACTCCAGCCTGGGTGACAGAGCAAGACTCTGGCTCAAAAGCAAAACAAAAAAAAAAGGAAGATGTACAGTTGCATGATAGAGCAATGCCTATTGACTGTCAGCATTACTCATGGCTGCTACCCTCAGCAGCCCTAAGGCACATGTCATTATCCCCATTCGATAGGTGAGGACACTGAGGTTCAGGGAGGGGAGACATCTTGCTCCTGGACACCTCAGCTGGGGAGGAAGGCAGTGGGGATCATTCTCAGGAATCTCTGACCGCCATGGGCTCTTGCTCTGTGCACCCTCAGGAGCTTAGGGTCTGGCCCAGGCGTGCTTAACCAGGGGCCGTTCTGCACTCTCGGGAACCTCTAGCAATGTCTGGAGAAATGTTTAGTTGTTACAATGCACAGAAAGTCTCTTCACAACAAACAACTAATGGGCCCCGAACATCGGTAGTGCCAAAGGTGGAAAACCCTGGTCTAGCCGGGAAGGACACCCAAACAAATAATTTCAGGTCTCTGCAATGAATGCCGTGTTTGTGGTTAACATAGGCTATTGTGGGAACAGAGCGAGGGAACTTCAATAAGAACCATGGGGATGCGTGGAGGTCCCAACCGGAGTTTTCTGCAAGGGAATAAATCTGCAGTGAGGCCTGGAGGACAGAAAGAGGGGGGCAGAATGACTTTTGGGAAGGGGGTGCAGCTGCAGTAAGGCTCAGGGTGCAAAACAACAAAAGCACATGGACCCTAACCCTAACCCATAGCACCTGGGTATTTCTAGGGATCAAGTCTGAGGAGGCACATGGGGGAGGGAGGTAAGACTGGAGATGCAGACTGAGGCCTTGTATTACACCCTAAGAAGCTTGGATTTTACTCAGAGGACAACAGGGAGCCATTGAAAGATTGTGAGCAGGGAGGGGCCATCGGCAATCAGATTTACATTTTACGTAGAATAGGAGGTGTTGCAAATCTTAGCAGGCTATAGTCAAGGTGAAACAAGGAGGTTCTGGAGAAGAAGAAATCCTTGTCCCATTCCATTTGGGAAGAGCACATTTGCCTGCCTCTCCCTTGGGCATCTTGGGGACTGACCTTTCTGGCTGACCCCACTTTTAGCATAGACCCATTTTCCAGGCAGCTGCTTGAAGTCTCTGGTCCTGTGAGCCTCACTCACTGGGGTCATTATCAGGCTCCTAATGAGTAGAAATGGACGTGTGGCATGTTGAGGATAAAAATTGATTCTTGGTCACCGAGGGGCCTGGTGTCCACTGCTCAGATGTTGGCCACACAGGCCTTTTTCAGGGCGGGAGAGCAATTACATCATACCAATTTAGGCCTTTTTCCAGGGGCTGGCCTGGGAGTCACTTTGCCACTCTGGTTTTTAAGCCCGGGATTAACTGGGGACTGCTGTATGTTGAAAGGGAGTCCTGAGATGAAGCTGTGTGCGCTCTCTGTTGTTCAATAGTCCATTAGGCAGGGACTTTAGAGTCGAAGTGGTCATATGAATCTCTGGAGAGAAAACTCATTAATGGGACAGTAAGTTCCAATTAGTGGCATGGCCCAAAAGCACCAAGGTGCAAAAAAACTCAGTCCTCAGCTCCTCTCCCAGAGGGGCTCCATTACCCAGCTGCCTGCTCTGTGCTGCACAAACACGGTCACAAACAACACAAATATTTGCTCAGAAAATCCATCTTTGTCATCCACGTTGTCAACTGGAAGGCAAAAAACCCTTCCAACCATTGAGAGAAAATAAAAAAGGCCACTGGCTTTCACAAGGCAATTTCCTCTGTCGGCAAGGAAAGAAAAAGCCATTTAGGTGTGGCCCAGAACCGGGGAACTCTTTCTGTCTGGGCGTGTGAAGCTGTGGGATTCCAGTTCTGGGATAAAGTGCATCATCGAAAGGGTCCATTCTTCAGCGACTGCCCCTCTTTGTTCTGCTCGGGCACCCCGAGGAAGCCCCATGGGAAGTCTCTGTGACTCCACCCACTGAGCGGCTACAGCAGAGACGTGGCATGGAGAGTGTTTGCCTTGGCCAAGGATGAAGATATTTCTCCCTAGGGTGGTGGATCGTGGGCTTTAACTTCAGAAGGACCTGATTTCTAGCTTTCCCTGTAGCACTGATGAATCAGTTAACTGTTCCGAGTCTTCACGTGGCCATCTTCAGAATAAAGACACTGATGACACTGATGCAGTAAAGTTCTTGGTATATTTGCAGATGTTTGATACACACTGGCCCCCCAAGAGTGTGCTGTGGCGAAGGCGATGTGTAAACTGACATTTTTCATTCGCTTTCCCATTCATTCCATTGTCCCAAGAGCCTGCGGTTTAGGCAGGGTGTGTTTTTATTCCCATTTTAGAGATGAGGGAAGTGAGGCCCAGCAGGGGCCGCTGGTTTACTGAAGCCTTGACCCTCAGCCTTATTTTCATGACATCGCGAGGCCACCATGGTGGCTTTTGCCAGGCTCTGCAGCCTACATTGATTCTGATAGAACGTGGGCTCCTGAGGGAACCCATCAACCCTTGCCTCATAGCTGTGACAGGTTTTAGGAGGCCTGCCTTCTGGAAAGTTCCAAGTAGAGAGAGAAGCAGGACCCAAACGAGAGATGCTGAACTGAACAAAACTGCATGTGAGGCAGCGTTAAAGGCAGAGGCTTTGGGCTCAGACGGACGGGGTGTGGGTCCTGTACCCACTTCCTGGACTGTTAACAGGTCTTCTGAGCCTCAGTGGCCTTGTCAGTACCGCGGGGACAGCAGGACGTACCCTGTTGGGCTGTTGAGAGTCTAAACAAGCTCACACTCTGCAAAGGGGACACAAGAAGCAGCTGAAATGGCCCCTGTTGTTCCTGTTCTGTTTCTTTGCAAAGAGTAGCTCAGAGGACCAGACACTGGGAGTCCCTTCCTCAGGGAGGTCCCTTTCATCCACACTAGGTCACCTCCCACCTCCCTTCTCCCTCGTCACCCTGTTCATTTCCTTCAGAGCATTCATCACAATCCGCATTTTCCTTGATTGTATACTTATTCACTACACACTTTGGTCTCCCCCCACCGGACTGTAAACTCTGTGAGGGCAGAGGCTTTCTGTGTTTGGTTCTCTGCTGAGCCCCCAAAGCTTAAACCACTGTTTGTCCCTAGCACCTGCTCATTGACTGGTTGACTGCACCAATGAGCTGGCATTCTCGCCCACATGTTCTTCCGGGCTCATCAAGCTGATCTCTGCTTTCTTTCCAGAGATAGTGGCCGCACCCTCTAGGCAGCCCTTCTCTCATCTCCTCCTCAGCAGAAGGGCCTGCTGATTCTGACCAGATTCCAGAATTGGGAAGCGTGGGTTCAAATCCCGGCTCTGCTGTGTGGCATCCTCTGTAAGCCTCTTTCTCTTAGGGAGAAAGACTTTCTCCTAAGTCTCTTTAGAGACTTTTTTATCTGGGGTGGTCAGAGCCTCTTATGGTAGAGGAGGTATTTCAGCTTGGACATGGAGAGATGGGCCAGAGGGGTCATGGCAGGGCTAAAGGAACAGATGAGAGACAAGGACTGGTTACCTATGTGCTGCATAGGTAACCACACCCCAAATTACAGAACTTAGTTAAAATACTTCCTTACTGGTTTTATGTTGCTAACTTATGAGTATATTATCGCATTGGTCCAATCTGTAACATTTGTATAAAACTTACCTTTTTTAGGTCTCCCTAAGAGAAAGAGACTTTCTCCTAAGTCTAAACCAGGAGGCTAGACTTTCTGATCCCTAAGGTCTCATCCTAGGCCTGACCATCTGTTCTACTAGAGAACACTTGGGTGTAGGTTAAAACTGGGCAACAGGTTAAAATCCATTTTCTCACGTTCAAAGGGCAGAGGTCTCTCAGCTGCAAATCGGATAAATTCTGAGACAAGATATTATGGGCTGTGTACTCGCTGGAGCAAATGCCTGTTTCAGTGGGTACGTGTGCTTCCTGTGCCTTAGATGCTATGATATAGCCATTTCTTGGCATATTTTAACTTGACTGTCTCTGTCGCACAGCCATGATAATGGACAGTGAATATTACCATGACATTCTGAAATTATGTTTAGCCATGCAGCAGAAAAAGAAAATTAATTTCATTCATTGACAGGCTTGTCAATTTACTCATATTGACTTTTTGATGCCTCTACCACAGATAGCAAAGTTCATATACTGTAAAATACATCATTATTAAGATTGTCTTGAGCCATCCTAAGTCTTTGGGAGTGGAGAGATAGGGGGCTATTTCTTCAAATCAGATAAGTATTAAAGAATATATGATCGTGTGTGTTCATATTTATATTTTATATTAAAAACACCAAAGGCATCTTGAATAAGTCATCTTTGACTGGCTTCATTCCCCCACATCCAATCAGTTGTCGAGTCCTGTCAATTCTATTCCATCATATTCTTCAGTTCCATCCCCCTCTTTCTATCACTGCTACCTCTACTCTGGTTTAGGCTGTCATTACTTGATGCCCGGATGATTCCAACAGTTTCCCAGGAGGGCTTCTTGCCTCCAGTTTCTCTCCTTCCCAAATCTATCTTTCATCTTACATTCACAGCAATGATGGTGCCACTTTTCCACTCTAAAGCCTTCTCTGGCTCCCTTCAGATTAAAGTTCATCATCCAAGGGCCATTGTGGTCTGCCCTTTGCCTATAACCTCATCCTCCCTCCTCATTTGGAACTTGTGGGTCCACCCAGAGCTCTGCTTCTGCACCTGAATCTTGTTCAGGAACTGGTTAAAGAGAGATTCCTGGGTTCCTCTGTAGCTCCTGATTCCGGAAGGGCCTGGGAAACTGTTGAAGATCTGATGTAGTGGACCCAAGGCCTGCTGATCTGGTGAAACCCAACCAGTCCTTGCCTCTCATCTGTTCCTTCAGCCCCTGCCCATGCCACGACCCCTCTGGCCCATCTCTCCATGTCCAAGCTGAAATACCTCCTCTACCGTAAGAGGCTGTGACCACCCCAGCTAAAAAAGGACCTCTTTCTTCCCTGAGCTCCCACAACCCTTACAATCTTATTGGATTACACTTTTCATCATTACCGGGATTCCCTGGCTTCCGTTAACTCGGGGGGTCCCCAACCCCTGGGCCATGGACTGGTACTGGTGGATGCCCTGTTAGGAACCGGGCTGCAAAGCAGGAGGTGAGCAGCAGGCAATTAACGCCTGAGCTTCGCCTCCTGTCAGATCAGCGGCGGCAGAAGATTCTCATAGGAGCTGGCCAGGCGCAGTGGCTCACGCCTGTAGTCCCAGCACTTTGGGAGGCTAAGGTGGGTGGATCACAAGGTCAGGAGTTCGAGACCAGCCTGGCCAACATAGTGAAACCCTGTCTCTACTAAAAATACAAAAAATTAGCCGAGCGTGGTGGCAGGCGCCTGTAATCCCAGCTATTGGGGAGGCTGAGGCAGGAGAATTACTTGAACCTGGGAGGCAGAGGTTGCAGTGAGCCGAGATCGCGCCATTGCACTCCAGCCTGAATGACAGTTCGAGACTCCATCTAAAAAAAAAAAAAAAAAGATTCTCATAGAAGCACAAACCCTATTGTGAACTGTGCATGTGAGGGATCTAGCCGCGTGCTCCTTTTAAGAATCTAACTAATGCCTGATAATTTGAGGTGGAACAGTTTCATCCTGAAACCTTCCCCGCCACCCCCATCCTGCTGGTCCATGGAAGAATTGTCTTCCACGAAACTGTTCCCTGGTGCCAAAAAGGTTGAGCACCACTGCATTCACTGAAACATAAGTGGATCTTCTATCTTTCTGTTTCTTCTGATTTTCATATCTGTGGCAGAATGGCTAGGACATTTAGTGTTTCTGCTGTTAATAACAATTCACGTTCTTTTGGCACTTTACAGTATTTTCACAATATTTTCCGTTGTCTTTATTCACTTGGCTAAGATGGAGCGCCTCCTGTGGGTGAGCTGTGGTGATGCACCGTGGTGCTCGCACACTGAGAAGCCACTGTCTATTGGGTGAAACCATGGGTCAGCAGATACTTATCATAAAATATAGGCATTTGATGGCTGACAGTGTGATTCCCGTGTCCACCATTAAAGTTCCAATGTCTAGCACAGCGCCTGGTGCATAGCAGGTGCTCTAATGACAATATGAGTGGCTAACATGCACTGAGTAATTACTTACAGCAAAGCAAAGTGCCCCAAATTAAAAATGAGTGGACACTTCAGGAATATCAAGAGGCTGCTCTGTCCAGCAGGGCATACAGGGGTGGAGAAGTGTGGGTGGAGGGCCAGTAAGGTTCCGTGATCTGCCCAACCACCCTGAGAGACAGGCAGGTGTCACGAGCCCAGTGCATAAGCCTTCATTCGGTGTGGCTCATGGAGTGACAGTGGGTAACCAGGAAAGTGGCACCAACAGGCTGAGCACCACAGGCTCTGACTTTTGGGCTGATGGACTGGACTGGACTGATGGACACTTTTCATCATCACCAGGATTCCCCTCGCTCCCATTAACTGAAATGTGAGTGGATCTTCCTTCTTTCTGCTATTTGGACTAGCTTCCTGCGGGGAGTGGGGTAGCTCCCCAGGGCCAGAGAGGAGTCAGAGCCAACCTGAGCAAAGCCCCGTGGGCTTCTCTCCTATAAGGGGGAATTACAGGAAGCATCAGCTTGGGACTCAGGTGAGGCCCATGGGAGGCCTGAGAACCTTGCCTTCAATTAAACATCTGCCCTTCTTCTCTCTCTGGCCCGAGGATCAGAGCCCAGTGGGCTCCAGCCTCCCACTCCCCCACTCACAGAGGGTGTCAGAATACCTGGCATCTGTGGGGCTCCTGTCAGTTTGGAGGAAAATGGCACCTGGAAAAAGTCTCCAAGTGCAGTGCTGAAACATTGAATTGAATCCAGCAAAACTTGGCACCTGGTTTGCTAATAGTGCCACAAAATGTCATAAGAGGAGAAAGTGGCCCTGAATATGGATTAGGAGGACAGGTCATAAAAGCCCTAGTGGGGATCTAGGTAAGAGCTGCATGCTGGGTGACTGACACATGGGATGGCCGTGTCTCTGTCCCTGGTGCTGACCAACCACCCCCCTTGGGTGCTGTGCCTTCCCCTTTGGTGTTGGTGACTCCCGACCAGACGTTCCCAGGAATTTCCAGCCTGGTGATAGAGTGGCAGTGAAGGAGAGTGAGGACAGGCAGATAACTTGGTAGAGGTTGCTGGAGCAGCCTAGCCATACAAAACTGTGAGGCAGAGAAAACTGACTTTTCATGTCATTGCAGTTGTCAAGAAAGTTTTTAGTTTACTCTCCAGGAATTAAGGAGAAATGTATTTCCCTGGGTCACTCAGATGCACAGTACATTGGAATTTTAATCTTGACTCCCCGAGCCTGGTGCCAGGCCACATCAATTCATCCTTCAAGGCCCAGCCTGAGTCTTTCTAGGAAGCCTTCCCTGGCTTGTCCAGGCAGAGTTAGTCATTCTGTCCCTCATGCCCCCTCCAAATTTCACTTAAATGGTCTGTCACTTTGTGCTGTGAGACCTCACCTGACAGGAACTGAACGTTATTTATTTCTGTCTTTCAAGCACGAACCCTGGGTCTGAATAGACCAACAGCCCAGAAGATGTGTGTTGGGTGAATAACCCGCCCCCCTACCCAATACTGTCCACCTGCCCATGCCCTGGGGTCATTTTCTCCCAACGTGCTCCGACACCTGCCTTGAAGGGAACAGTCCGTGGGTATCCACTCATAACCGCCATATTGTCTGATGGCTCTGGTGCATTCATGGGGTTTCCAGGGCCCTACCCTCTAGTCTGACCTTGCAGACCTTGATCCCCATGCATTGACAGGTGAGATGGAGATAGTCTTCACCTGACTGTACAGGGCAACTGAGGCTCACAGAGAGGAAGGGAGTTTTCTCAAGCCCCATGGCTCTGTAATGGTGGAACTGTGACTCTAATCTAAGCCTCAATTAAGCTGGTTGTTTCTGTTTTTTTTCTTTTCTTCAGGTTTTTTCTTTCTTTCGTTTCTTCTTTTTTCTTTTTTTTGAGGGAATTTCTAAACAGTCAATGTTACCTGAACCTTTGACAATGCCAATTCTACTCGGCCGTTGAAAAGGTCTCACTGCCCATATCAGGCCTCTGCCATGCTCTGGCCTCTTGATTCTTCTGCTCTGAGCTTGCCCTGTTCCCCCATTCCACTTTTTTTTTTTTTTTTTTTTTTTTTCTGAGAGTCTTGTCCTGTCACCCAGCCTGGAATGCAATGGCACAATCTCAGCTCACTGCAACCTCTGCCTCCCTGGTTCAAGTGATTCTCCTGCCTCAGCCTCCCAAGTAGCTGGGATTATAGGTGTGTGGCACCACGCCCAGCTAATTTTTTGTATCTTTAGTAGAGACGGAGTTTCAGCATGTTGGCCAGGCTCGTCTCAAACTCTCAACCTCATGATCTGCCCACCTCGTCCCGCCAGAGTGCTGGGATTACAGGCGTGAGCCACCGCGCCTGGCCTCCACCATATCTTTATCACACATTTACTGGGTGCCAGGAACTCACAAGAGCCCTGCACAGTAGATATTATCATCCCCATTTTATGGATGAAAACTTGAAACTCTGCAAGGATAAGTGGCTTGCGCCGTGTTGCAGAGTCAATAGGTGCAGCAGAAAGGATTCAAACCCAGAGCGAGCTAGCTCCTCTGACGCCATGTCCCCCTTGCCCTGAAATCCCTCATTATTGATGTCTAGGGAACATCTGGTCAGGTATCCAGAGCAACGAATCTGTGGGAAGGAGCCCACTGTGATTTATTTTCTCTGAGGTTCCCAGGGTATTTTTTTCCTCCTTTTAAAATGCAGCACTGCCATATTCCCACTTGAGGTCATTAGCCCCAGCATAGGTTAAAAACAAAGTGTTTGTGTCCATCCGTCTAATTGCACAGAAACCATCAAACCCTCATTACCATCAGCCTAATTATTTTGAAATCTAGCATATTATCGTGTTCCACAATTAGGCAGATGATAAGCATTTGCCTCACCTGCCCAGGGATAGGAGGTAAGCTTGGCATGAGGGAGGTGGAGAGGAGGGGGCCGTGGGCTGCCTTGTGAGGAAGTGAGATGTCTACACTTGCAGGAGTCCACCCACCCGCTTCTGATGATTTCCCGTCCCCCAACTTGCAAAGCCACTAACAAGAGTTTCACCCTAATGAGCAGGGAGGATGGGACCTGACTGGTTGAAGGGGACAGTGTTACAGAACTGGAAACTAATTGTCATCATTCAGCTTTCTAGGCATAAATAAAATGCCTACCTGGATATAGTGAAACAGACCAGCCTACAAGGTTCCTAAGAACAGTTGTAAACCTCAGCACGAATGCTTCTGCTTGTCCGCTGGCAGGAGTTGTCCCTTCCTGCACTGTGGCCTCCCTGCCTCTGCATGCTGGTGTGTTGGTTTGGTGCTGGAAGGGGACAATCCTGGGGACTGGGGGAGGACTTTGCATGACCGTCTGAAATGCACCTCCAAATCAGAAAACATAGAGTGGGACAGAGGTTGATGATCAGTTCATTTAATCCCCTTGTTTTATAAATAAGGGGACTCTTCTGCTGGGGTAAGATCATTTGCCTTTGACTCATGTACCAGATGTTGGAAAGAGAGATGGGTCAATAATGAGAAGAAAAGTTGCCATTTACTGAGCACTCACTGTGTGCCTGACCTTTTTCCAAGTGCCTTATGTGGATTTGACCCACATAATGGCCGTAAGGGTTACTTGTATTCTCCCCATTTTATGGACGAGGAAGCTGAGGCACAGGGCATTTCAGCAGCATACTCAAGATTCTACAGAACGACTAAGTAGCAGAGCCACAGTTTGAACCCAGGCAGCCTGGCCCCATGGCCAGTGCCCCCAATTATAATGTGACCCTCCCAGGTACTGCCCAACCCTACCCAAGTACCGAATAACGAGGGATGGAGTTCAGGCCACCTTGCAGGCAAAGTCCTCTGCCAGCTCGTGGACTGCCCCTTGGGTCACTTCGAATACATCGGCATAGACTTGCACTTTGCAGTGCCCCCACCCCCAACTCAGCAGCCCACAGTCAGGCTGGCAAACAGCACCGAGACATTGATAATACAGGGGGTATGTGTGTCAAGGGCACGGGGGGCCTGTGGGCAGCTTGCCCAGGCTGTGCATGGTGGCGAGGCCTGGAAGGTTTTGCAAGGGCAAGGCTTGAGCTAAATCTTGAAGGAGGTTTAGATGTTGGTCAGAAGAAGAGGCGGGGTGGAGGCAAGGCTCACAGAGCTAAATCGTGGCAGGTGGGGACAAGATGGGAACGTGACTTGCCGGGCTGCCTGCCCTGTGCTCATTCTGCCTCACCAAGTGTCCCCTTTCTCCTTAGGAGACCAGAACTGCCTTCTGAATGCCATTATGACTTGACTCAGCTGGGAACCACGAGAGGACGAGATGACATCTCTTCAGGATGGTGTAGAGACGTGGGCGGAGTGTGCAGGGCTGGCGTGCAAGGGGTGGGGACACGTTGCATCCATGGTGCTGTTTGTGCAGGTAAGATGCACAGGTGACAAGGAGGAGGCTGTTTTAAAGCCAAGGCAGGCACCAGTGCCTGGATAGGACTTTTTGGTCCTTGGAACGGGTTCCCCCAGATCTTCGTCTGTGTCTTGGAGAGAGGTCCTCTAGTTCCGCCTAGCCCTGGCTGCCCCAGCCACTGGGATGGAACTCTTTTCAACCACGTGGAAGAAAACCTGCCCCCAGATCTTGCTGGCGTTGCTGCCGTGTGCGACTGCAGAGAGGGCCTGGTTCTTAGCAGACCTTGAAGTGTCCCGCAAAGATTGGAAAGTCCCACATTTGGGTTCATGTTTCTAACAGGTACTGGTCTAACAGGAGGAGTTAAAAGATGGGCCCTAGCTTTCCTGAGCAAGGCAGGTGAAGAGCACAAGATCGTGGGAAGGGTGAGGCTGGCCTGAGGCTTATTTCCCACCCATCAGAGAGGCCAGCAGCTCCATGGCCCCTTCTCCCCCGGAGGGGCTCAGTTGCAGGGAGTCTCTGAGCTGTGCCCCTGAGCCCTTCGCGAAGTCCTAGCCGGAAACCAGGTTCCCACAGCCTCGGGTCCCTGGGGCTCCGGGTCAGCCTGAGCTGGGTTCAGTCCCACTCTCTTCCTGCCATGAGATCTTGGGTGGCTCCCTTTCTTTGAGCCTCAACTTCTCCATCTGTGAAATTGAGACAAATAACATGACCCACTGTATTAGTTTCCCAGGCCTGCCATAACACAAGGCTGCAAAAGAGCAGCTTAAACAGCAGAAACGTCCTGCTTCCCAGGGCTGCAGGCTGGAAGCCTGCGTCAGGGTGTGGGCAGGGCTGTGCTCCCTCTGAAGGCATTGGGGAGGCTCCGTTCCAGGTCTCCCTCTGAGCTTCTCGTAGCTCCTTGGCTTGTGGCTGCAGATCTCTAATCTTCACAGGGTGTGTTCCCTGTGTGCCTGAATGTGTCCAGATATCCCCTTTTATTCTGACAGCGGTCCTATTGGATTAGCTCCTAGCCTAGTCCAGTAGGACCGCATCATAACTATTTACATCTGCAAGGACCTTATTTACAAATGCAGTCACATTCGCTGGCGCTGGGAGTTAGGATTTTGACGTCTTTTTGGTGGGGGCACAATTATACCGGTAACAGAAGGTAAAAATGTATGACCCCTTCCCTCAAGGAGTTCCCAGATATTGATAGAAGCAGAAAATTCTTGTCAGGGGAAGGGGAAAGAAATTTCAGGAAGGTGAATACAACCACACAACTGATAGAAGATAGAGTAGATTCACAGGTGGGACTGTGGGGGGCAGCTCTTTCCCTAAGATCCAGATCCAGAGACAGACAGTGTGACCCCGGAGCAGCTTCTGAATTTCACTTCTTGTCTTCGACTTCAGGTGGCCTCCAGGAGGGCAGTTTCCAGAGATGAATTTCCTTCCCCTTGCCCAGCCCACCACTGCCCAGCCCTGTGGGCTCTGAGGCTGACGGAGAGAGACCTGGTAGGTCACCTCGTCCCTTGTCCCTGGGAAACTCCATGTTACCAGCATGTTATCAGCATGGCTCCGAATCCTATATCCACCCTCCAGCCACACCCCGGGACACTCTGGATCGAAGCCACCCAGCGTCAGAGCTTGGACGATCAAGGTGGACCTACCCGCTCAGAAAGACAGTGGCGCTTCTGTCAAGGGAGACCTCAACGACCTTCCTCTGAAAAGAAAAATGTCCTTGCAAGTAGGTAAATGAAAAAAAAAAGAAAAACAAAAAAAAGATTTTCATTTCAAAATAATCTTCATTACCTGAGGATTGCAAGAATTGTCATTTCAATTATGCTGACGTCTATTCTTAGAAGGAGGTATAATGGCTTTCCCCTTCCAAGCTGGAGTGACTGTCATTATGTGTGGGATGTACTCCATTGCTTAACTCCCTGCCATTAGAAACGTTTAGTGGAGACACTGGCTGATTTTTCTTTTTCTTTTGCTTCGCTCAACCCTCCAACTCCTCTTCTTCCAGCACAAAAGCACAAGAAGCAGCAGAAAATGCATATGGGCTTTCGAGGCAGGGAATCCTGGGTTCAAACGGCAGCTCTCAACTCACCTGCCGAGAGACCCTGGGGATTTTGGCAGCTGTAAGCGGGGATGATCGTGTGATCTGATGGCAGTGTTAAATCACTAAGGAGACAAATATGAAAAGTGCCCAGGAGTGTGTCTAGCACATAGTGAGGGCTTGTAATGGCAGCGAGTGCTTTTCACAAGGCAAGCCACATCCTGTTTCATACCTGACTTTGTTGTTCTCATGGACATCGTGCAGTGGTTGACTGTAGACTCTGGAGCTAGTCCCTGGGTCTGCATCCTGACATACCAACTGCGTGGATTGGGAAACTTGCTTAGGCTCTCTTGTCTCAGTTTTCTCATCTGTAAAATGGGGATTAAAAACTCCACCCACTTAGTAGAGCTGTGATGAGAATCCAGTGAGTTTCTGTGTGTAAATTTCTTGGAATGGGATCTGGCCCAGAGTGAGTACTTGTTTTGGTCCATGTGGGCCCTGCTATGACAAAATATCATAGGCTGGGTGACTTATAAACAACAGGCGTTTACTTCTCACAGTTCAGGAGGCTGGAAAGTCCAAGGTCAAGGCACTGGCAAACTTGGTGTCTGGTGAGGTCCTGCTTCCCAGTTCATACATAGACAGCACCTTCTTGCTGTGTCCCATGGTGGAAGAGGCAAGCTAGTTCTCTGGGGTCTTTTATAAGGGCACTAATTCCAGTCTTGAGGGCTCTACCTTCAAGACCTAATCACTTCACAAAGATTCCACCTGCTAATGCCACCTTGTGAGTTAGGATTTCAACATATGGATTTTGGGAGGATACAGGCATCAGACCATAGCCATGCTGTATATAAAGTGTTAACTGGTATGAACTCCAGGACACTGCAAATAATTGATGTCATGCTCCTATGTTAATGCCTAAACTAGAGACTTTTATGCCTGGGGACTCAGTCAAGTGAAGACCTGGTCAAAACTAACTGAGGCATATAGGGGCTTGGTGCGAACACAGTGGCCTCTTGTGACATTTAGCTGCCACCGTTCTTCTCTCATTCATTCAGTTGAGGGCCTGCTGTTTGCCAGGTGCTATGCAAAATTTAAAAATAAAATGAACTTGCTCCTTTCCCACATGGCACTTACAATCTATTGAGTAGCAATAGATGGCAAACAAACTGGTATCACATTTAAAATGTGGTAACTGTTATGTTTCGAGAAGGGAGAGGAGAAAATGGAATGAGGGCCTAATTAGTTTGGTTAGGGATGGCCACACCTCTGCAGGAAGGCCATACCTGCAAATTAAATTTGCAGCAGGAAGCAGAACCAGCTACAGGGGATGCAGGAATGGGGACAACGTCCAAAGCAGTGGGAAGAGCCTGCCAAGGCCCTGAGGTGGGAAAGAGCTTGGCAGGCCAGTGTCAGGGTTGGGGAGAGTGGCTTGATATGTCCTTGGAGAGGCCAGCAGGGGCCACATCATATCCGGTTTTGTGTATCCGTGTCTGATTAGGGCACAGCACATTTACTATGATGATCTGTAAGGGAGAGAAAGATCAGAAAGTACTTTGCCACGTGGGTCAACTTGCTGGCATTCCAGGCGGCTCTGCAGTCCCATTCTCTAGGTGAGAAGAGAGAGGCATCAGGGTGGAAGAGGCTTGTTAAGCTGGAGCAGAGAGATTTTGAGGGAAGAGTTAGAGAAGGTAAACTGGTGGTCAGTTCCCCAGATTCTCATCGTGCTGGAAACTTGTTTTCGTTTTTTTTTTATAACTCTAATTTTTATTGTTGTGATACATACATGGAGTTTAAAATCAAATTGTTCTATATGGCTTATAGTGAAAAACACAAGCCCTGTGTCTGAACTTCCTTCTCTTGATTCCTGATCCACAAAGCAAACACCTTCAACTATTCTGATAGTTTCTTCTGATATTTATCTCTCCAGTTCCAAAAACATGCTATATACTCTCTCTCTCACACACACACACTCTCTCTAGATCTATGGATGTATCTATAGAGAGAGATCTAGAAAAATCTAGAGGGAGAGTGAGAGAGAATATATAGCATGCTTTTGGAACTGGAGAGGTATATATATATAATTTATGCTGTATATATTTTTTATATGTAAAATAAATCTCTTCATATATAACAAATCTCTTGATAGATAATAAATCTATGTACATATTTTGGGGTATTGATGTGGTTTGGCTGTGTCCTCACCCAAATCTCATCTTGAATTGTAGTTCCTATAAGCTCCACGTGTAGTGGGTGGGACCTGGTGGAAGGTAATTGAATCATAGGGGCAGCTTCCCCTATGCTATTATTCTTGTGATAGTGAGTACATTCTCATGAGATCTGTTGGTTTATAAGGGACTTCCGCATTTGCTCGTCTCTCATTCTTCTCCTTCTTGTCGCCATGTGAAGAAGGATATGTTTGCTCCCCCTTCCACCATGATTGTAAGTTTCCAGAAGCTTCCCCAGCCCTGTAGAACTGTGAGTCAATTAAACCTCTTCTTAAAAATAACTTATCCAGACATGGGCAGTTCTTTTTAGCAGCATGAGAATGGGCTAATACAGGTATATATACCTAATATATATATTTATAAATAGATAGATATGTAAAAATCACTATCTATTATCTATCTAACTATCTGATTGGTTCTGATTCTCTGAACAATCCTGACTGATACACTAGGTACGTGACTGTGTCAGCTACTTAATAATTTTGTCCTTTAGTTTCTTCATCGGTGTAGTCCATTTTCACACAGTTGTAAAGAACTCCTTGAGACTGGGCAATTTATAAAGAAAAGAGGTTTAATTGACTCACAGTTCTGCATGGCTAGGGAGACCTCAGGAGACTTACAATCATGGCGGAAGACAAAGGGGAAGCAAGGCATGTCTCACACGGTGGCAGACGAGAGAGAGAGAGAGAGCAAGGAAGTGCCACACTTTAAAACCATCAGCTCTTGTGAGAACTCACTTCCTATCACAAGAACAACATGGAGGAAACGGCCCCCATGATCCAGTCATCTCCCACCAGGTCCCTCCCTTGACACATGGGGATTATGATTCGAGATGAGATTTGGGTGGGCACACAGAGCCAAACCATATCAATTGCTGAAGTGGCTCTAATTGAATTTATCTCAGGGACCATCAAATTAGATGACGCCCATTAAACACTCAGCATAGTACCTGGCACATAGAAAGTATTAAGTAAGAAAATTTTAATAGTCATTACCATATTTTCTTATATCTAAAGTATCATCTATTGTTAGCTGTGTTGCTTATTTTACGCACCAAGAAAGAAAACATTTCTGCCACTTAATTGTAAGAATATGTCAGCTCTCAGATGCATTCTGATTTCCAAAGATGCTAAACTAAATAAGTAATTTAGAATATAATAATCTCGTTACTGTTCTTATTGGCTGCAGCATACAACCTCTGTGGCCTCTACTGAATTATTTGCATAATAGTAATAATGCAAATTGTTTGGAATGGAGTGAGATGGTTCGTGCGGGTGATTTAGTTATTTTCTCCATGTCTAACTGTGGTCTTTAGTGCAAAGGACAAGAAGGGACAGGGCAACACTTACCAAACTGGTGGGATTAATACAAGCCCATTTGATGTATGGAGAAACACAGGCTAACTGAGGTTAAGTAGCTTGTCCAAGGTAATATAATCCTAAGTGTTGGAGCTATTAGTTTAACCCAGGCGCATCAGAATTCAAGTCATTCTTCAAAAAGGAAAGTCCTTTTCATTTGGCCAAACATCCTGGCTCCATGCAACCTGCTCAGTCACTTCGCCTTTTCTTGTCTCCATAAGCCAATACCCTGGGTCTGCTTCCATCCTGCTTCTCTGTCAAGGCCCCTCTGGGCTCTGCCTGTGTTTGGAGGACCCCAGGCTCAACACAGCTGGTTTTGCCACCTATTCTTTGTATGGCTCAGGGCAAACCCCGCTGCTCTCTTCAAAGGACCCAACCATAGTCCTTGGTGTGTACAGTGTCTGTAAGGACTTAATCATATCAAAGGCAGGATTTTCTAAGAGGGGAACTGAACTTGTTTCTGGTCCACTGTGTGATTTTGGGCAAGTCGTGAAACTCTCAGAAGCCACAGCTTCCTTCTCTGAAGTTCCCTGCACACTCTTTAATGAAGTAAACAAAACAAAGGGGAGATGGTTCCTTGTTGGGTGGAAGTGCCAGGCAACTACCAGGAACCATTGCTTTTGGGGGGCGTGGGGACTTCAGGCTTAGCTCTGTTCCTGCCTCATTTAGTTGGTTATGAGGCTCCTGGCTGCTGACCCTGAGAGGGCCCAATTTGGAAGGAAAGGATTTATAGGAGCAATAAGTCAGTCCCCTAGGCACTGGGCTGACATTGCATTTTACTGTAGGGAGACACAGAAGAATCCAGGCGAGAGCTGAAGATTCTCCTAGAACCTAGAACAGAGCTCCTTAGAATACCTCAGAAGTCCTGTTGTGAATGCCTCAGCTGTCAGTGTCCAGGGCAGTAAGAAGAATAATCATGATAACGACAAGACTGGCGATGGTCATGTGTGTTTCCTGGGTGCTAAGCACTGTGCTTAGTGCTTCCATTACAGTGATCCGCTCATTTACTTCTCAAAGCAGCCTGCGAGCAAGGTGCCAGTGTTGTCTCATGCACAGATGGGTAGAGAGCTGCTGCAACTCCTCATCAGGATGTCCAGCTCCTGCTCAGCAGAACTGGCATTTAAAGGCAAGTGTGCCTGAATTTCTGATCACCAGGTGATTCTGTCTTTTACTTCTAGTCTATTTTATGTATTTATTTATTTTATATCAGAATGCACTCAAGGATTATAATTTATTTTATTCAGTGGGTTGTAATCTGTTATGATTATTATATACTTCATTGCTCAACAGTCCCAGATTTGGCCAGTGGGAACTCTTTCACACTGGCATCTATATCTTTGAACGTCTTTCCATCATCCTTTGAGTGCTTTCTTATTTTTTTGGCACAAAAAATATTCCTGGCTCATCTTATATTTTTTCTTGCCCAAGCCCTGAGGTCAGCCGTTTTTCTATGGAACCTTGGTTCGTTTTAGTGCAGAATGGTATTTAGAAGCCAAGATCTACACGTGATTATTTCTAAGTACTTCATGGGAAATTGAGAGACCACAACCCTTTGTGGTGTTGTCAGCCCTCAGTGTAGTGTCATTTTAACTCTATCACCAGAAAAATCCCCCAACGGAGCCATGGGGCCCCAAGACCCCCTTATTCCCTTGATACTCACTTTTTCCTGCTCAGGAGTCACCAGAGTGGGCAAATGTTTATCATTCTCTACTTACCCTAGACATTCTGGAAGGGAATGGGGAGGCAGAGATTCCTGAAGAATATCTGGGTTCTGACATCCTCTGGTTTGGAATGTTTTGCTGCCAACTCCTTTCCTCCCCACCCCTTCCCCTCTTCTTAGAGGACCTAAGCTTTCTGGATATCCTAGTCCCTGGCCCACAGCAGTGAACAAGACAGTCAAAATCTTTGCCCTGGTACGGCAGTGAGAAAGACAATACACAAGTAATGAATGAACAAATATTACAAATAGAGATACATGCTAGGAGGAGAAAGGGTGGGGCCCCTGATGCAGAAGAATCGGGGAGGTGGTGATGGTGATGGTGCTTCATTTGGAGAAGGGTCCAGGAAAACCTCTCAAAGAGGAGACCTGCAAGAGGAGAAGGAGCTGGTCACGGGAAAAGCGAAGGAAGAGTGTTACCAGCAGAGGGAAGGGGATGTGGGAATGCCCAGAGGCAGGGAAGAGCTTGGTGTGTTCCAGCAACTGACAGGAAGCTAGGAGGCCGGCATGGTGGGTAAGGGGAAGGGAGGCACGGGAGGAGGCTGGGGCCAGGGCCGATTGCACTGGACTTAAAAGCCACAGCAAAGACTTGGATTTGGACAGTGCTGAAGCTCCGAGAACTGGGAAGCACATCTGGTAATTGAAAAGATGAAAAAAGTAATAATAAAGTGCTCACTCACAGGCAGCCGTGATGAAGGAAATGGATGGTGGCCAGGCAGGCCATATGCACTTGGCTAACAGAATTAATCATGTTCGGTACGGCACAAAACAAGAATGACAAGCACAATAAAACATTTAAAGACGAGAGTGGATTTTAATTTTAGGAGTAGTCTAAAACAATATGATAATGATGATAGCCAACTTGGCCCTGTGAATGTAAAATCCAAATAGGACACAAATTAAAGTCATAAATAATATTTAATTTGCTATACCAATGCATTCTCAAAAGTCATATTGATGAAAAAAGTTATTAGAATGAATCAAATGAAGACTCTTGTATGTCTGGAATATTTAGTGGACTGGAGAAATGCTAGCAGAAAAAAAAATCCATAACACGATGTATGAGTTGGAAATTGGATGAGAACATTATGATTTTCAACTTGCATTTATCGAGCAAACCACAGACTGTATTTCCAGGGCCATTTAGCTAGATTAGAACAAATAAGAAAAGACCGATTTTTAAGAACTTGTGATTAATGACATGCAATTCTTTTAAAGTAGTTTTGTAAATACTCTATCCCGAAGATATGTTGTGCTCTCATCTGTTACTGAGCCTCGAGCTACGGGGCTTGAGGGACATTGTTTTGCTGTCACTGATGGTTTCTCCATGCATCGTACTTTTATGAACTGGGATCTTAAATTCAGTGAGCCTACCTTGTACATTGGATGTGCAGAACTGGGAGAGGCAATGAGTGGTGCCAAAAACTATATACGTATCTAGAAAGAGGTGGATTGTGGAAAAAACAGCTATTAATTTGCAGAGTATTAAGTATGATTATGGGGAGTGTTAAGGCAGGCTCCTGTAAGTAAAGAGAAGAATGGCTAAATGCAGAGAGCAGGAGAGAACAAGAAATGCAAAAGGAAAGAGTGATTACCAATGTGAATGAAAAACACAACATGACTAAGAGTGTCGGTGTGGAGGAGGGGGACCACCGATCTGGAGCAACGTGTCCACCTGAGCAGGGGGACCACCGATCTGGAGCAACGTGTCCACCTGAGCAGGTAATGCTGCTTTATAAACTTTATAAAAAAAACTTTATAAAAGACAAGCAGGCCAGGCGTGGTGGCTCACACCTGTAATCCCAGCACTTTGGGAGGCCGAGGTGGGCAGATCACGAGGTCGGGAGATTGAGACCATCCTGGCTAACACGGTGAAACTAAAAATACAAAAAGTTAGCCGGGTGTGGTGGCACGTGCCTGTAGTTCCAGCTACTGGGGAAGCTGAGGCAGGAGAATCGCTTGAACCTGGGAGGCGGAGGTTGCAGTGAGTTGAGATCGCATCACTGCACTCCAGCCTGGGTGAAAAAACGAGACTCCGTCTCAAAAAAAAAAAAAAAAAAAAAAAAAAAAAGACAACCAGCGAATGGAACACAAGGGTTTTCCTAAAAACATATTAACATATTGTGTTCCCTTTCTATACATGGAACATATTGTGTTCCCTTTCTATACATGGAACATATTGTGTTCCCTTTCTATACATGGAACAATGGCGTTCTGTAATTAATGCTGGGACATGACAGTTCCAACTGTGTCATTGAATGAGCTTCCCCTGACCCCAAACAAAAAGGATCCCGAAGCTTTGTGTAAATTTAAACTAAGCCCGTGGTGTTGCCAACCCAAGGAGACATCATGACTGTGTCTTTGCAGAGTTCATTGGTCAAGAATGAAAAACAAAGGTGAATGGCATCCACTTTTCATCTCCAAAGAAAACGTGTTAGGTAATGGCCCATTGGAGGTCATGAGCTCTCACCAGACTCTTTTCTCTAGAGGGATAGCTTAGGGTGGCTGTGTTCCTTCTCCTTGCTTCCTCATGCCATTGAAAATGGGTGCTGGTCCAGCTTTCTCGGCTGATGTTCCAAATGAGTCCTGCTCTTGCCCACCTCCAGTCTTCATTCAGGGGCCAATCAATCACCCAGCGCTGAGCTCCCCACCACGAGATGCCTCCATTCTGGCTCCTCTTCAGCTCCCTGGCGATGCCTGTCCTGGTCATTTCTCACCTGCATGATGGAAATCGCCTCCTTGCTGGTCTCTGACTTTCTCTCCTCCTCTCATCCATCTTCCACTCAGCAGCCTGAGTGATCTTTCTGAATTGCAAATCAGATCCCATCAGTGTCCTCCTTAAAAGTCTTTTAATGGCTCCCTAGGGTGGTGTTTTTCAACCTTTAAAAAAAAATCCCATGTGCTGGTTTGATAAATAATGATAATAGCTCCTATTTATCAATAGCCACTGTTACTATTTATCAAGCACTTCCTGTGTGCCAGGCCCTGTGCTTGTGATAATTCGTGTAACCCTGACTGGAACAGGCACATGTCTCCTGTTTTAAAGGTGAGGACACAGCTTTAGAGGGAGACGTGTCTTGCTGGAGGTGAGGTCACACAGCTGGCCAAAACCCAGGTCTGATTGGCACCTAAGGGGAGGCTGCCAAACGTGATGTGAGGTGGCCTCTCTATTGCATGCTTCCACACACCCCTTTTATAGTTTGCTATTTCTCCAGGGCCCAGAGTCTCCCTCCAGGTGATGGGGCCTCACCCCTCTGCCCACACATAGATTGCACTCCCTTTTGGAACCATCACCCAGTGTCTGTGGGATAGACTCCAGGACTCTTCTGGTGACCTACAAGGCTTCTGCTGGCCTCTCTCTGTCTCCCCTTCTATGCATCCACTCTACTTATCCTGGTCCCGCCTCTCTGCTTTGGGTTTGCTTCCCCTGCCTCTTCGGATTCTAGCTCATTCTTGAGACTCAACATAAGCATCACCTCCTCCAGGAAGCCATTAATGCCCCAGGCTGGATCAGGGGCCCCGCCTGAATGTTCCTGCTGCATCAGGTACCTCTGCCCTTGATCACGCTCTAGCCAGGTATGTTTCTCCTTTTTCACCTCCTCCAGACTGTGAGTCTATTCATTCATTTGTTCATGTATTCATTTAAGAAATATTTACTGAGTGCCTACTATGTGATAAGCATTGTGCTAGGTACTGCAGATGCTGTAGTGACAAGAACAGACAAGATTCGTATTCTCATGGAAATTACATTTGTAACAAGATGTTGGAATGGAAATTTTGGGCAAGATCCAGGATGAAGTTGGGTACTACATCCCAAAGATGCGGACATGAGGGCCTTGTTCTCGGTGGGGGAGGGGATACTCTACTTTGAAATGTACATGCATGGCTTTGGAGTCAGATGGCCTGGCCTCCAAGCTCAACTCTGGTGCTTAACTTGCTGTGTGCCCTCAGGCAGGTTACATTGCTTCTCTGAGCTGAAAAACAAGTTCACTGATTCAGACCCCACAGGGTTTTGGTTGGGATTAAAAATGTGGGTGATCACCTGGCATTTGGCTGGTATTCAGCTGATGAAAGACCCTTCACTATCCTCCCTTTACCCCACCACAATTGTTCAGCGAGTCCTGCATCTCCAGTTTGGTTTGGAGGTAGCAGGTGCTCCTGGGGCATTCCTGAATCCCAGCCCCCTGGACTTGCCTCTTTTGGACCTCTCCTTCCTTGGGGGATCTGAGACACACCTTTGAGGACAGGGGCAGTGATTTGCACATCTGCCGTCAATGTATTTGATGGCCTAGTTCCACTCACCGCTTCCAAAACTGTGTTTTATTCTTCTCCTAAATTACTAATAACATGAGAATTGAAGAATCTAGATGTTTAAAATCTGTTAAAAACTAAAAACCTAGGAGCAACCAAGATGTCTTTCGATAAGTGAGTGAATAAACAAACGTGGTACAGCTATACAATGGAATATTATTTAGAGATAAGAAATGGACTGTCAGCTTACAAAAGGACATGGAGAAACTTCCAGTCCACATTGCTGAATGAAAGAAGCCAGTTTGAAAAGGCTAGCTAGTGTATGATTCCAACCATATAACATTCTGAAAAAGGCAAAATTATGGAGATGGTAGAAAGATGGGTGGTGGCTAAGAATTGGGAGGAAGTGCAGAGGGATGAAAAGGTGGAGTTCAGGGGCTTTTGAGGGCAGTGAAGCTATTCTGTACACCACTGTAATGCTGGATACATGCCATTTGCCAAAATCCATGGAATGTATGACACAGATGGTTAACCCCAATCTAAAGTAAGGACTTTCATTATTAATAAGGTGTCAGTACTGGTTGATCAGTTGCAACAAGTGCAATGGCAACACTCATGCAAAATGTTGACAGTGGGGGAAGCTGTGAATGTGAGGGCAAGGGGAATACACAAGAAGCCTCTGTATTTTACACTCACATTTTCTGCAAACATAAAACTGCTCTAGAAAATAGTCTAAATAAAATAAAATAAAATAAATAAAGTTGATTCCTTTGAAGAGCACAAATCTCATGTACCCCAGGCACCAGGGGTTCTCCTCTGGGATTTCAGGCTGCAGGTTTTGTGCTGTAGAGGAAGGAGTCCAGCTGTGGGCTGGGCTACACCCTCCTCACATACGTTTGTGGCCAGAGCCCAAACCTCTGGGACTGGTCCCAGCACAGGCCGTAATCACCTGTGGAAAGTTGAGAGCAGTGCTGGCCCACAGAAACATACAGCGAGCCACATGTGTAGGAGGTTTTTTAGTAGCCAGGTAAAAAGGAACAGGAGAAATAAACTTTAATACTATAATTTAACCCAATTATCCAAAATATTATCATTTCAACATGTAATTCATATAAAAATTACTAGTGAGGTATTTTGCATTCTTTTTTTTCCACACTAAGTCTTTGAAAGCTGGCGAGTGCTTAAGACTCATCTCAATTCAGACTCAATTCAGGCTGTGTTTCCAGTGCTCCGTAGCCTCCTGGAGTCTGTGGTCACTTCAGTGGACAGCACAGGTTCAGATGGTCACTGGGCCATGTGGGGAACCAGGAGGTTGTTCAGGGAGGCTCCTCCCCACCATCTCCTTCCCTCCTTTGTTCCTTCCCGTGTCGAGGGTGTGCCAATTAAAAATTAATTTTTAGAGGTGCACTCGTCTCGCAGACTCCTTGGGGCCAAGTGTCTGTGCCCAAGGCTCTGTGCACTCGAGGCAGAGGCAGACCCATCTTAGTGAAGCTGCTGCAGCTTCATTCCACCACAGCGGGTGGATTTTTCTCCTTCCCCTACCTGCACTTTGATTATTTAAGACAGAGCTAAATGTGAGGGAGAATGGGGTCCCACAGAGCTGCAGGCTAACTTTGCCCCAGAAGAGCCTCTTATGGGGAAAATCCTCTTAGCAACATCGCCAGAATAAAATGGTATTCCTTAGCTTGCCATCCCTGCTGAGACAAGGAGAGCACAGGCTATGTGCGGATTCTTCAGCTGTTTCCCTTTCTGTGTCCATGACAGACATCACTAATCAATCTCAGCTCTTTCTGAACTATCTGCGCCTGCATCCTCTCTGTACTCCACCTCCTGCTCCAGGCAGACAATCCTGATTGATAGACTACAGACAACCAGTTGGCTCTCCCTCTCCAGTTTGCTATCCTGCTCTATGAGATGGCCCATCTCATCTTTCCAACATTACTTCTCATTGCACCCTTCTCTCCATGGACATCACATTCCAGCAGCATCAAATGAGTCTTTATTTTCTTGAACACCTAAAGCCCTGTGTATGGCTGGTCAGGTTGTTCACTGTATACGAGGGCTCCCAGCCAAGGGGTGGGTAGGGCATGGCATATGGCCCAATGCCCGTTCATCAAGCTGTACACTTTAGACTGAGGATGCCTGCACTGGGTTCAAGGTAGCTTTTGTTCAGTTTACACAAAGGCATTATATATTCTAGTAGTGATCTGCGAACAGTCTCCGGCCCTTTGTGTATGCAAATCCTTCTGCCTGGAATGCCCTTTCCCTACCATTTTGTCCTCATTCTTTGAGACCTGCTTCAATCCCTCAAACCCTGTCCAGGTCTAGTGGCAAACACTGCAATTTCCCTTGCGTCTCTCAGCCATGGCTCAGCTCACAGCCAACCTTATGTAAGAACTAAGTGGGGTCATTTTTATCCACATGGAATTGTGAGCCTCTTGAGTCTGGAGGCTGTGTGTGATTTTCCAGCCTGGGGCAGCCTGGCATAGCCACCTGAAACAGAAGTGCACGGACTTGACCAAACCAGACATTTCTAATGAAGTTTTTTGTTGTTGTTGTTGTTGTTTTGAGATGGAGTCTCACTCTGTTGCCAGGCTGGAGTGCAGTGGCACGACCTCAGCTCACTGCAACCTCTGCCTCCTGAGTTCAAGCAATTCTCCTGCCTCAGCCTCCTGAGTAGCTGGGACTACAGGCACCCGCCACCACACCCAGCTAATTTTTGTATTTTTTGTAGAGACAGGGTCTCACCATCTTGGCCAGGATGGTCTCGATCTCTTGATCTCGTGTTCCGCCTGCCTCGGCCTCCCAAAGCGCTGGGATTACAGGCATGAGCCGCCGCGCCTGGTCCTAATGAAGTTCTAAGACAGACCAGGCTGCGACCACTAGCGACATGAACAGGCAGCACTTACGGAATGCTTCCCCCGTGCCCGCACAGCTCTAAAGACAGCATGGGCGATCTCAGTTAGTGCTTGCAACAAGGCCATGAGGTGGGGGTTATCACTGCTGTCCCTGGTTCATGGATGGGAGTGGCAGAGGGAATGAGTCACAGACAGATTGAGAACCTGCCCCGGGGTATGGGACTGGGTTAGGGACAGGTGTGCTGACTCCAGGCTCCTGCTTATCATTTTCTCTAGGCACCCCCATCACCTCCCACTGTACTGATGGTTCAGCTTTTCCATCATGGATGTGGGAGGGTGGTTAAAGAGCATTAACAGTAATAACAACAGCAGCGGTAACTCGTTCTTAGGGACACTCCACCTGTACCAGACACTGTTCTGAGTGCTTTCTGCAGATCACCTTGATTGTGCCTGCATGTCTGTGCCAAATGCTGGACACGCATCTCAAAGTGGGCATAGCCTCTCCCCACCTTTTGTTCCTGCTGAGTAAACTGAGGCCCGAGGTTCTCGCAGCTAGCAAGTGCTGGCTCCTGGATTTGCCTTGGGGGCCTGCCTGGCTTTCATGCCTGGCCTCGGGCTCCACGTGCTGCTGCCCCTCAAAGTCCCCTCCCACAGGGCAGGGAGTCTAGGGTGTTCCTGCCTTCCAAAACCTAAGTTTATCCCCTGGGGGAGGTAGCAGAGCCCACTTGGTGGGCACATGAGCCCTGGGGGCAGCCTGCTTGGTCCAAATCCCAGCTCTGCCACTCACCTGTCGAGAGCCTTGGTGAGTTGCTCAACATCTCTGTGCCTCAGTTTCCTCAGCTTTAAAATAGATGCAATGCTAGGCCTGTTGCTGTGGTTGCTATGGACACTGAATGAGACAACATGTTGATGCGCTTATACGCTTAAACATACAGGAAACGTTAACCTCTCACTATGATACCCAGCACCGCTGAAGGCGGCAGCTAGAGAGGATGGAGCCTGGACTTTGGAGACGGGTCCTGGCATTGCACAAATTGCACATCCTCTCTGGATCTCAGTTTCCTCACCTGCAAAACAGGTGTGAGAATCTCTACCTGGAGTTACTTCGTCATTCAGCACATGTGTGGGGGCTTGTGATGGGCTAGCCCATGTTGGGTGTCAGGGATTCCACAACAAACCCATCCCTGTTCCTAAGAAGCTTGGAGGCAAGCTCAGAGGTACTTAATCTGGGGTCTGTGGGTCCCAAGGCTGTCCACAGTAGGCTTCAGGGGGCTCTACAAACCCCCCAGGCATGTAAGAAATAGGTCTGGGGCTTTCACTGGATCTTTGAGAGGCCCTGGGCAGAGAGGAGAGCTGTGTCAAATTCTGGATCTTGGTGCTTGGGGGAGCCTAGCCTTTACACCTGCCTGTGCTGGAAGGCCGGGCTGCTCACCTTCTCCAACCCAGGGCTGGTATCAGGCTGCTGGACCAGCCTTGCCCAGTGCCATGGTTCCCCATCAGGGCCCTTGGGGATCCAGTCCTGAGTGCAGGGTAGAAGCGGGCATGGGCCTCTGTGCAGGTGAGTCCACATTTCCCTGGATTCAGCCCACACAGCCTGCCCTCCTCACCACAGCCTCAGAAAGAGCTTGGGGGAAAAACACATTCCTAAATAAATATGGGCAGAAAAAATAATACAGAAAGTTCTTGCCTTGTCCAGGACTTTTGACAGGACTGGTCTGCCTGGCTCTGGGCTCTCTCTGTCTCTCCCAATTACTGCCTCTGCCTTCCACATGTTGCCATGGGAGCGCTAAGTCAACTCACCATCAGCAGCTGTTGCTGGAAAGTTCCTAGCATCCATGTTTCAGCCCCTCTCAGTGCTCTGGGGGCATGCAGCTATGAGGACTCAGGTCCTTCCTCTGGAAAATTTCACATCTTCCCACAGCGCAGAGGGGAGGGGTGGAATGGCCAAAGCATGTGGGCTTTGGGGTCAGACTGCAGGGTTCCAATCCTGGTTCTACTTCTGTAGCTCAGCCAGGTCATTTAAACTTGCTAAGCCTCAGTTTCCTCATCTGTAAAATGGGAACAGTGATAGAACTGACCTTGGACAATGCTGAGGCTGGACAGTGGCATGATGCATGTAAAGTGCCTGGTCCATTGTCAGCACTCAATCAACCTGGTTGTTACTATTACCACCACCATTGGGCCTGGGAAGGCAAAGGAGGTGTTTTCCTCTACACAGAGGGTGGTATGTAGGAGAAAGACTGAGACCAGTGCTATGAGATGGAGTGAATCAAGAAGGCTGAGTTCTCACAGGGTGTTTTGGCTGAGTTACTGCCTCCCTGTAGGCCTCAGTTTTTGCATTTGTTTAGCGGGCCACATACTTCATTAGAGGCTTCCTAGGTCTGCTCCTTAGATGCTTAGAGAAGTGTTGATCTGGGAGCACACTGCTGGATTTGCAGTCAGAGGACACTTACTTCAGCTTCAGGGACAGGTTGCTGAGAGAATAGAATCCAGCTTGGCTATGTGAGTTGCATGGCCTCACCCCAACCTGGCAAGGGTCCAGTCCTGCTCTTCTCTGGCCCTTCCCCTCAACAGTCTAGTCCTGCCCTGATGCCCTCCCTCTCAGCACCCATCAGGTGCCTCATCCTCCAATGATTTGCTCCAATTGCAGCTCCTCCTAGAAGCCTTCTGTATCAGCTAGGGCCCAACCAGGAGATGGAGCCATGCCTGTTAGTCCAACAGAGCAAATCTAACATAAAGTAGTGGTCTATTGCATACCCATTAGAATAACTATTACCAGCAAAACAGGAAGTTACAAATGTTGGCAAGGAAGTGGGGAAATTGGAGCCGTTGTACCTTGCTGGTAGGAATGTAAAATGGTGCAGCCTCTGTGGAAGATATTATGGTGGTTCCTCAAAAAATTAAATATAGAATTAGCTGATGAACCAGCAATTCCATTTCTTGGTATACATCCGAAATAATTGAAGGCAGGGTGTTAAAGCAATATTTGCACACCCATGTTCATAGCAGCATTATTCAAAACAGGCAAAAGGTGGAATCAACCCAAGGGTCCATCAATGGATGAATGGACAAAGAAAATGTGTTATATACATAGAGTGGGATATTATTCAGAAATATTATTTCTTTCCTTGAAAAGGAAGGAAATTCTGACACATGCTGTGACATGAATGAAGCTTGGAGACATACGAGAAAAATAATCTAGACACAAAAGGACAGATACTGTATGATTCCTTATATGAGGTTCCTAGAGCAGCCAAACTTGTAGAGACAGAAAGTAGAACAGTGATTGCCAGGGTAGGGGAGAGGGAATACAGAGTTGTTGTTTAATGGGTACAGAGTTTCAGTTTTGCAAGATGAAAAAGTTCTGAAGATTGGCCGGGCATGGTGGCTCATGCCTGTAATCCCAGCACGTTGGGAGGCCGAGGCAGGTGGATCACTGTAGGTCAGGAGTTTGAGACCAGCCTAGCCATGATGGTGAAACCCCAACTCTACTAAAAATACAAAAAATTAGCCGGGCATGGTAGTACACATCTGTAGTCCGAGCTACTTGGGAGGCTGAGGCAGGAGAATCTTTTGAACCAGGGAGGTAGAAGTTGCAGTGAGCTGAGATTGTGCTACTGTACTCCAGCCTGGGCAACAGAGTGAGACTCCATCTCAAAAAAAACAAAAAACAAAAAACTCAAAAACCAAACAAACAAAAAGCTCTGGATATGGAGAGTATTGATGGTTGTACAGTACTGTGAATGTACTTAATGCCACTGAACTATACACTTAAAAATGGTTAAAGTGGTACATTTTGTGTTATGTATATTTTACTACAATTAGTAAGAAAGAAGTGTTAACTATTTATGAGATTGTTAATCAGGTCCTTAGAAAGAGCACATTAAGGTATCATGGGAGCAGGAAGCAGCCCCAGGGTTTGAGCTTGTCTTCTGCCCTTCTGCCATAGGATGACCCTTGCTGGATGCCAGTGACATGCTCTTGGACTTCCCAGGCTCCAGAATCATAAGCCAAATAAACCTCTTTTCTTTATAAATTCCTCGGTGTGTGGTATTCTGTTTTTGCAGAAAATGGCCTAACACCCTCCCAGGGCTGGGGACAAAGGAAGCAGGTAGAATTGCTAGAACTTAGAAAGCACAGCAGAGCCTGTGGAGCTTGAACCCAGACCTCTGAGGAGCGGGCACTGCTTGGCTGGTTCTGGTGTCTCTGAGATGAGAAGGGTGACCAACCATTCTGGTTTGCCTTGGGATGGAGGGAATTCCTAGGGTATGGAACTTTCAGCACTAAAACTTGGTCTCCCTAGCGTGGTGCACAGGAAAGCTGGTCTGATAGGTACTGAAAACATTCAAACTAGATTCAGTTCCGGCTGCAGGAAGGAACTGCTGCTGCTGGAGTGAAGAAGCAAAACAGGAAGGACAGAAGAACAGGAAGTGCAAGTTCATTTTTTCTGCAAGCCTACCAGGGAGCAGCAGAGAAAACAAAAATGCAGCTTCCAGAGCCTAACCCAGTGTCTCAGAGCAGAGAGCTCTGAAGGGTAGGGTTTGAATAAGAGATGATATCTTGGTGTGTCTGTCACTTCACTGATTACTTCAATCCCCACTGATACTTTCTAAAGTCAGGGTGATTCATCTTTGCTTACAATTATTTGCTAATTTCTTGTATCATGTTTTTTGGTACTGGTTTCCCTGTGACACCCACCTGGACTCCACCCTTCCTGAGGATAGGCAGAGACTAGCCTAATTTATTTTTTAGCCCAATAATAAAAATGCAAATTACCTATCATGTGCTTGGTACTGTGATGAGGTTTTAATACTTATGCCATGTAATTCTTGCCACACTCTGTCCCCTTTTCGCAGTTGAGGACATTGCAGCTCAGAGACATTAAGTAATAGCTCAAGGTCACTGCTGTGATTTGAATGTCTCCGCCAAAACTCATGTTAATATGAATTGCCATTATAATGGTATTAGGAGGTGAGGCCTTTAAGAGGTGATCGGGCCAAGGGGGCTGTGCCCTCATGAATGGATTATCTAGGGAGTAGGTTAGTTATTGCAGAAGTTATTGCAGAAGTCCTGATAAGTTTGGCTCCCTTTCTGTCTCTGTCTTGCCCTTGAGCTTGTCTTCTGCCCTTCTGCAATGGGATGACCCTCACCAGATGCCAGTGACATGCTCTTGGACTTCTCAGTCTCCAGAACCACAAGCCAAATAAAATTTGTTTCTTTATAAATTACCCAGTCTGTGGTATTCTGTTATAGCAGCAGAAAATAGAGTAAGACAGTCATACAGCTTTTAAGTGGTAGAGTTTGCTATGAATATTAAGTCTTTCTCTCTGGTCACTTATATCCTACTGTGACCCTCCAGTGCTAGGCACTTAGTAGCTGTTCAATTTTACTCATTGGTCAAATGTCCAATGGAGGATTGATGAATATGTAGATGATGGACTCCCCTGCCTCTCTCTTTCTGGGGGAGTATTCCACCTGAAGAGAAGGATGGCTACTCCAGGAACATCCCCTCAGGAATTGGTCTGAGTGGCTGAAGATGGAGTTACTGAGTTGCATTTTATTTCCTGTTGAGCTTGGATGTCTTCTCACCCTCACAATCCTATCACAGTCCCATAGTGAGAATTAATCTCAGGGAATGTGAGAGAATGCAAGACAAGCTGCTCTGAGTTCTGCATAAAAATAAAATCTGGAGATGAATGATGTTGGAGATACATCATTTCTGACTTGTCGAGGGTTTTTTCTTTTTGTGTAAGTATAATGCAGGAGATATATGAGTCCATTCCTGGATAGGGTGCTGGCTTCCCAAGGGGTTTGTACCAAGACTGGGGGCAGAGAAAGAGAGAGGGAGATAGACAGACAGACAGAGAGAGAGAGAGAGAGCAGGCAAGCAAGGAGGAAGGAGAGGCAGCATTGAGTATAAAAATGACAGATGCCCTGGTGTAAAAGGTGACAATTTGCCTACACAGTGAAATGGTTCTGTCAAGACATCAGGGTATTTGGGGGCCTGAATTCAGAAAGGAGGTGTTTGAAAATGCAGGCAGCCGGGAGCTCCTTCAGCCGACTCAGAGCTCCAGAAGTGATGTTTTGTAATTTTGCCTTATGATCTGTGAGGGTTTATCATGGCGCTAATCGGCCTAATGATGACGGGAACTCAGTTATTCCCACTTAGATGCCAGGTTTTAAGTAATAATACATGCTCAGCAGGCCCCCTCGGCTGTGTGCTGGGAGGACCTGGTGGGGGATGGCCCCTTTGCAAGCTTCTGGTAAATGAGCCCAGCTCCCACAGGGCCATGTGGCTTCTCGGGCTGTGGGCTGTGGAAACAGCCCCCTCAGGCTGCCTGGGACCCTTCCTGGCTCCCCTCTGCCTGCTGGTCCTGACCTGAAGAAAGGACAGCTTTCCTGGTCCACCCATCGGGCTTGGGCATTGGTCATTAGAGACAGTGAAGGCTGCACAGGCCACTGCCCTTTTGGGTGGTGCCTGGTCTTGCTCCTTCAAGTTGCCACTCTTAATGGGGAAATTTAAAACCCCTTGTTCCCATGGACACCAGTGAGCTGCACAACCAAGATTAATGGAGAACCATCGAGACCGGTCCTAAAAGATGGTCCCTCTTGTGGATTACGGTCTGTCACGCGACATCCATTAGCGCCGGAGCGCGGGGTCCTCATCATGTTGGTATCATTGGGACCAGCGCACGCCACTGCAAGATGGCATTTCCACCGCGCATCAACAGATCATTTCACCACTGCTCAAGGCATCGTAAATTGGACTTATAGCTCAGCTGCTGGCATAAATAAGTCCCTTTGATAGTTAGTGGAAGACGTTATGACACTCCAGGGTACAGGAGGGGACATTGGCACTGTCATTTTTTTTCTCCAGCCCTGGCACCCTGGTGCCTGTGATCTTTCTGAAGATTCAGGGCACGCGCTCTTCATTACGGCTTGGGCACCAGGGACTTGTTTTTTTTGCAAGATTAATGAGCGCCACGGAAATTCTCCAGCGCATCTCGATAATTAAGTCTTTGTTTATCAAAAAACAAGTTATATTAGGAGCAGAAAATTCGCAGTAATTATTCATAATTCTAACAATTCAAGTATAGCTACCTCATTTGCCTGGGTAATTCTGCTTTTTAATTTCTTGCATACATTTGCATATTAATTTTGCCCGTCGGCTGCAGCAGGCTTGACAGTTTGCTACTATGTGATGGTTTTCACAGGGGTGCGACTCAGTTGGGTGGCATTTCGACTGGGTGCAATGATAAATTATGAATTTTCTAATTTGCTGCATAATGAAGTAACCCCTTCCAACCCAATTAAAAAGAATCAGGATCTGTTTTTTTTTTTTTTTTTTTTGGTAAATATATATTTTCCAGGTATCTCATCTTCTTTTCTTTGCTGTTTATAAACAAGGCATATATATATTTTCTCTTTGAAAAAAATCAGTGCTTGTATTTTCAGACATTGGGGTGATAATGTCTCACTATACACCAAAGGAGACTCAGAACTTGGGCTGCTCTAAATGATTCAGACCTTTGGTTGGTCACTCCTCAGCCTGCCTATCTAACAGGGTCCGGTCTGCTGGGCAAGTCTCTTTGAGTTTGAGTGGCAGCCTTGTGCATGGTATATGGAGGTGGTGGGGGTGGTGTGACAGCAGACACACAGGTTCAAGGGAAAAAATGGTTGGGGTTGCATTCTATCCATTTAAGTTTGTCCTACCCACAAATTAAGTACCAAGGCTCTTCAAGCTTCTTACTGAAAAGCAAACAATAATAATAATAAATAAAAAATGCCCTGCTGAAAGATCCCTAGGCAGTATCTCTCTACCAGACATAGTTGTGAGAAGACCCAAGAAGAGGTGGAAGTGTGCAGAAGAAGTGTGCTTGGCGGGTATCTGTGGTTGAGTTAAAGATACGTATGGACAGCGGGTGAAGGGGCTGTTGCGGCTGGTGCGAGCCGTGGCATTTCATTTTCTATGCCAGGCCTGCTGAGCTGAGCAGAGGATCCAGGCAGCAGGCCGAGTGCCTTCCTGCCTTTCCAGATGGTTTTGGCATAACCCAGATAATATCTTCTAATGGTACAAAAAATAAATTATATAAAAAAGCTTTGTACAATCTTGTTGTAATTCTGATGTAAAACAATCCTTGCAAGTGGTGTGGTTTGGGCAGTTTAGCTTTGCTGGGAGTGCAAATAATTCTGAATAGGGGAGAGGAAAACTATCCCCTGCCTACTGGCATGCTAATCTCCTCTGCACTCCCCACACCTCCCCCAACACTTAGCAGCTAGAGGAAGTGTGGCTCATGGAGCCTGAGCCCAGCTCCCAGCTCGGCTGTCAAGCACAGTATCATCTCAGCTACAGGCTTGATCCTTGAGTAATGTGGACAACCCCGAAGTGGAGGATGCAATTCAGGTACTGGTTACATTTCACACTAGGTGCAGACTGAACCACGAAGACCAGTGTGGCCAGCTTCCTGTGGACTCTTTCGTACAATATTCCCACAAAAGAATGTCCAGACTTCCCTTGTATGCCTCCAGTGACATGGGACTCACTGCTTCCCTGTGTCATTCCCTCTGTCTTTAGATAGTTCTACTTGTTAGAAACTACCTTCAAATATGCCTTCTTACAATTTCTCCTCACTGGTCCTAATTTTCTCCCCAGAGGCCACATAGGGCACACCAACTTTTTCCTCCTCATTCAATATTATGCTTCATCTCTTGTTTTCTGGAGGTTTAAAGTACCTATCTCTTCTCTCTGACTGTGCGGACCTGAGGTCACATTACTGGCTTACGCTTTTCTGAATTACACCTGTGCCTTTCATAGGGCTAATTTCCAGTAGCTGCTAAAGTAGCACTTGCTGGTGGTTGTTTAACCACTTACGTAAATTCATTGCAAAAGTCAATCCAGAGACTCCAATTGGGCAGTGTGAACTGGCAGTGTCAGGACACAGCTTCACAGGATGAGGCCTGGATTAGTCCCGAACAAAACAACCCCATTCTTAGAGGCTCCAAAAGACACCATAAATCGGGTGTCTCTTGCATGCTGTCATCTCTTGTTTCCTGGAGGTCTTTAGTGCTCATCTTTTTAGCTAGACTATATGCTCATTAAGATGTAACCTGGTTTCTCAATGCATATTTACTGGTGGATTCTAGCACCAGTCCAACCACTGACCACAGAGTTATCTATTTTGGCCTTTTTAATCTGCAAGATGATCTTTTAATGGTTTACTCAATACTATTAATTGAGCTTCAACTCACTGTAGGCCATGTGCTTGTGATGGAAATATACTGTTTAGGAAAACAGGCATGATTCCTGCCCTCAGGGAGCTTTCTTGGTTTGCTTAAAATAGATGCTAGGTTGGGATAAGTGGTTTCCTGAACTATGTGCCACAGAGCCCTAGGGTTCCGTGGAGGTGTCTTGGAGGCAGAATTTTGATGGCCACTTCATGAAAAGATTAGAAAGATAATAATAAAACAGTTAAGTAGCATTTACCATGTGTCAGGCTCTGTTCTAAATACTTGACATGTGTTAATTTACTTACGAGGTAGAGACTTATTATCACCATATTGCAGAGGAAGAAGCTTAGAAAAGACTGTCAGATTAAATACAGTATGCCCTGTTAAATCTGAATGTCAGATAAATAACACATTGTTTTTTAATATAAGTATGTCCTAAAGATAAGGGTCCAATCACATTCTTTTGCATGTGGAAATCCAGTTTTCCTAGTACCTTTCATTGAAAAGATTGTTTTTTCCCCATGTGTCTTCTTCACACTGTTTCAAAAATTATTTGACTATATATGTTAGGCTCTCTATTCTATTCCATTGGCCTGTGTGTCTGTTCTTATGCCAGTACCATACTGTTTTGATTGCTATAACTTTGTAATATAATTTTAAATCAGGAAGTGTGATGCCTCCAACTTTGTTTTTCTTTCTCAGAATTGCTTTGACTATTAGGGGCCTTTTGCGACTCCATACAAATTCGAGAATTGTTTTTTGTATTTCTGTGCAGAATATCATTGCAATTTAGGGACTGCACTGAATTTGCATATTGCTTTGGGTAGCATAGACATGTTAACATGATTAATTCTTCCAATCCATCAACATAGGATATCTTTTTGTGTGTGTGTGTTTTCTTCAATTCTTTCATTAGAATTTCAGCATACAGATCTTTTACCTCCTTGGTTCAATTCATTCTTAAATCTTTTATTTTATTTTATTTTTGATGCTATTATAAATGAAAAATTTTTTTATTTCTTTTTCAGATAGGTCATTATTCATGTGCAGAAATGCAACTTATTTTTGTATATTGATTTTGTATCCTGCAACTTTACTAAATTTATTAGTGAATTTAGTAAATTCACTAATAAATTTATTAATAAATCATTTAATAAATTGACAAATAATTTAAAAATACATAAATAATTAATTTATGAAATTATCTTTATTAATAATATAATATAATATAAAATTGAATAGTGTAATATAAAATATAATAAATTGTATTTATTAATTTATAAATAAATAAATGAAAAATTATAAAGAAATTAATTAATGAAAAAATTTAATAAATTTATTAGTAAATTTACTACATTTACTAAATTAGTTCTAACAATATTTTTATGGACTCTTTGTGGGGTTTATACATATGGAATCATGTCATCTGCAAATATAATTTTATTTCTTCCTTTCTGATTTGTATGCTTTATCTTACACCATACCTCAAAAATCAACTCAAAATATATACAAACCTAACTGAGACCTGAAACCATAAAAGTTTTAGAAGAAAACATAAAGGAAAAACTCCTGGACATTGGCCTTGGCAATGATTTTTTGGCTATCACACCAAAAATTCAGGCCACAAAAGTAAAATTAAATGGAACTACATCAAACTAAAAAGCTTTTGCACAACAAATGAAACAATAAAAAAGGAGGCCTGTGGATTGGCAAAAATGGCAAACCATTTATCAGATAAGGGATTAATATCCAAAGTGTACAAAGCACTCATACAACTCAATAACAGAAAGACAAACAGCTAGATTAAAAAACGGGCAAAGGACTCGAATAGACATGTGTTCAATGGAGACAAAAATGGCTAATAGGTGTATGAAAAGGTGCTCAACCTCACTAATCATCATGGGAGTGCAAATCAAAACTACAATGAGATATCAACTCACAAATGTTAGGATGGCTATTGTCAAAAAGACAAGAGATAACAAACTGTTAGGATGTAGAGAAAAGGGAGCCCTGTACCCTGTTGGTGGGAGCATAGATTGGTGCAGTCATTGTGGACAACAGTATGGAGGTTCCTAAAGAAATTAAAAAAAGAACTGTCATGTGACCCAGTCATCCTTCTTCTTGGTATATACCAAAGAAAATGAAATCACCACCTCATCTGTTCTCCCATGTTCGTCACAGCATTATTTACAATAGGTAAGTTATGGAAACAACTGAAGTTTCCATCTACAAGTGGAAAAAGAAACCGTATATATATAATACAATAGAATATTAATTAGCCTTAAAAAAGATCCTGCTGGCCAGGTGCAGTGGTTTCTTCAGGTAATCTCAGCACTTTGGGAGGCTGAGGTGGATTACCTGAAGTTAGGAGTTTGAGACCAGCCTGACCAACATGGTGAAACCCGTTGTCTACTAAAAATACAAAAATTAGCTGGGTGTGGTGGTAGGTGCCTATAATCCCAGCTACTCAGGAGGCTGAGACAGGAGAAGCACTTGAACCCAGGAGGCGGAGGCTGCAGTGAGCTGAGATCGCACTATTGCACTCCAGCCTGGGTGACAGAATGAAACTCTGTCTCAAAAAAAAAAAAAAAAAAGATTCTGCCATTTACCACACCATGGATGAAGCTGGAGGGGATTATGCTAAGTGAAATAAGGCAGACACAGACAGAAAAATACTGCATGGTCTCACTTACATGTGAAATCTGAGATGATGGTGGTAGGGGAGAATGGGAAGTTGGAGATCAAAAGATACAAATTGCAAATATGTAGGATGAAAAAGTAGAGCTGTCTAATGTACCAGACGCGGATGATAGTTAATAACATTGTATTGTATTCAGGATTTTTGCTAACAGTAGATTTTAGGTATTCTTGCTTCACACACACACACACACACACACACACACACACAGACACACACACAGCGGCTATGTGAAATGATAGATATGTGATAATTTGTTTAACTATAATAACCATTTCACTAGGTATATGTATATCAAAACATCATGTTATACACCTTAAAAATATACAATAAAATATTTTTAAAGTACGTCTCAAATATTTCATGAAACATACTTCTACTATTGTTTTTCATTGTTTACCTAAAACTCAAATTTAATTGGACATTCTGTATTTTTAAACCTGGCAACCCTAAGCTGAGACATAGAGAAGTTTGGTTACTTAGTCAAGATCCTACAACTAGTAAGTGGTTTCAGAGTCTGCACTTTTGAGCCATTGTCCTTTCTCACTTTTACAAATTCACTATGAATATCAATTGAGCAAACAAAGTATAAACAATGCCTAACATTTGCCTTGGCATATAGCAGGCACTCCATAAATGCCAGTTTCCTTCCCTCTTTCCCACCTGTTGAACCCTTTGGGCTCTGCTTAATGAAGTTACTGTTTTTCAGCCTTCCATCATCCCTTGAATTAAGTCACCATTCTTTGCCACAGTCACTGCACTTTTGTTTATTCAATATTCTTCTTTAACTAATTTTAAACTTAAATATATTTACTTAAAAAGGAATTTTATATCACTATTACAAATGGAAAATCGAGATCCCATGCCATAGATCGAAGGTAACTGTGAAATGTACGATGGAAATACACTTACAGAGTTTTGCCTACTGTGGGAGTTAGACTCAAAGGGAGACCTGCAAACATTAGAAAAATGCTATAGTCATCCTAGCATGCACCAGAGGCTTCCTATTGGATGTAATCAGAAAAAGATAACACGTGAATCAATTTTTTAAATGCTATGTCTGTAAGCCACCTAAAATCATTGTGTGTTCTCCCTCAGAGGGAAATGCCCCCACTTTTGGGAAACGACTGAATTAATGACTAGGTCTAGGACATTTGACTAGCAAGCACAAAAGCAATGCACATGAAGCTTTCTGGTTCAGAGAGCCAAGGACCCGATAAGAGTAACTGTACTCTAGCATGACCATCACTTTTTAGATCTGCTATTATATAGTCGGCAAACTCCACCAGGACCTGGATGAGGCATCAAACGAGTGACCATGGCTCTCTTTTTGACAACTGTGGTTCTTTCCAACTCTGAGACTCTATGAACGGGTGATATTCCTGTCCATATACCCAGCTTGATGGATAGACCCAGAGCTGTCCTCAAATGCCAATTTTAGTACTTGAGAGAGAGATTTAAGGCCAAGAATGGTAATTTTACATCAACTTCCCCTCTTGGTCTTAATTCCCTGGCCCTTAAACAGTAGGTCCTGATATGTCTCTATCTCAGTTCATTCAGGCTGCTAAACAAAAGTACCATAGATTGGGTGGCTTAAACAATAAGTATTTATTTCTCATAGTCTGAAGTCTGGGGAGTCCAAGACCGAGGTGCTGGCAGGTCTGATGTCTGGTGACAGCTTGCTTCCTGGCTTATATACAGCACCTTCTCTTTGTAGTTTCATATGGGGAGAGAAGGAGGAGAAGAAGGGAGGGAGAGAAGGAGCTGGGGGAACTCTGTGTCTTTTCTTTTTTTAAAAAAATTCCATTTATTTATTTATTTTTACCCCAAGCTATTAAGCGTTAAGTGTCTTCTTATAATGGCACTAATCCCACACATAAGGGATCCACCCTCATGACCTAATCATCGCCTAAGAGCTCTATCCCCCAATACCATCACAATGGGGGTTAGGATTTCAAGGTATGAATTTGGGGGACACAAACATTCATCCATAGCAATCTCTAAGCCCTTAACTTTTCTTATCGCCACCTGCACCCTCTCCATGACCTGCATGGATTTCCATCAGGGCCTTTTCTTACAATATTCTGCTTGGGAAAACATCAATCAGCACAAAGCCCTTCCTTCTGCCCTATGCCCTAACTTCTAAGGTTTAGGGATGTGAAAATTAACTCCTCTCATAAAACACTAAGGACAACCCCAGCCTTAACAACCGCTAGATTTTTGTCCAGATAGGTTGCAGAAAACCTCACAGGACAATATTCTTGCTATTAATCTACTTCTTTCTTTCTTTCTTTTTTTTTTTTTTTTTTTTTTTTTTTTTTTGAGACGGAGTCTCACTCTGTCGCCCAGGCTGGAGTGCAGTGGCGCGATCTCGGCTCACTGCAAGCTCCACCTCCCGGGTTCACGCCATTCTCCTGCCTCAGCCTCCTGAGTAGCTGGGACTACAGGCATCCACCACTGCGCCCAGCTAATTGTTTGTATTTTAGTAGAGACGGGGTTTCACCGTGGTCTCGATCTCCTGAACTCGTGAGCCGCCCGCCTCGGCCTCTCAAAGTGCTGGGATTACAGGTGTGAGCCACCGCGCCCGGCCTATTTCTTATGAGTAAGTCATGGCAGGAATCAGAGCATGTGTGTTTCACATGGGGAAAATGAGGACCAGAGAAGGTACACGGTTTATCCAAGGCAATGCAGCAAATTAACAGCAAATTTGATCTTCAACCTAGGTTTTTTGGGCTCCAATGTACTGTTCTTTTGGACATGTTGAGCTTTTGTGTATCATTAATAAGATTAAGACCACATGATCAGATCCTCAGTTTCAACCCTAGGGTTATTGAAATTTACTTATTTTATCTTCAGTTGAATGACTGTGTGATCACTATAAACCTATCCTTACATCCTTATAATTCTTTTAGCACCAAATCAGATCATAGAGCCAGTGGTTTCACTTCTTGGCTCCAAATAAGAGTAGTTTCACCTTCATCTTGGAAGATATAAGCCATCTGACTAGAGATGAATTGGGGGATTATCACCATTGGCTTCGGTTTATCTTGTCTTCTAGACCAACTTCAAATTTTCTCCTTTTTCAGAAGAAAATGTCTGACTTTCATTTTGTTCCCTTCAATTTTAATCATGACTGGGAACTCAGTATTTGCATATAGAGCCAATTTGACCTTAAAAATAGTAACAAATTATGAAACTTAAAACAACAATGACAAAAGCAACCTCAAAATAGTATAGTCTTGCTTATAGTTGCCCAGATTTTACATTTTGTTTATATGCTGATATGGATAGGTCTGTTTAATTGCTCAGTTTCCCATGTATTAAGATTACCTCAAGTTCTGTATTAGTGAAACATTCTAAAGAAGAAAACATGCTTTTCTCTTACTTGTCCTCATAGCCATCCATACATCCATTTGACAGATCTTTACTGAAAGAATAAATGCATGAATTTATGAATTGCCTAATTCTTCTTCTGTACAATCCTATGAAGGAAGCATTATCATTATTTCCATTTTACAGATGAAGAAACAGAGGCCCAGGCTAATAAACTTTTCTGAGTTCCAACAATTAGTCAGTAGTAGTAGAACCAGGACTATACCACCAAACCACCAAATCTTAATGATGATTTTGTCCTACCTTTGATGAAAATCCTTCTTTTCTAGGCTTACTGGTGGCCTTGACCTCTCTTTTGCCAACCTCATTCTTTTTCATTTATTTATTTACTCATTCAGTAATTATTCAACCATAAGTTATTGAATGCACTGTGTTGGGTGTTGAACATATGGAGACAAGAGCAGAATCATGCCTTCTTTTATTTAAATCTCTAATCATGTCAAGAACTCCCTAATCTTAGAAAAATTTTCTGTTGACCTCACTGCCCAGTTTTGTTTTTTAGCCCATATAATTTTCCTTTTTGTGGCTGAGTTCCTGCAATGACTGACTGTTATGAACTGAAAGTTTGAGTCCCTCCCTCTCTTGAATTCATATATTGAAGCTCTAATCCCCAGTGTGGCCATATTTGGAGTAAGGAAGTATGATGTCATAAGGATGGGGCCCTGATCTGATAGGATTAGTGTTCTTAGAAGAAGAGACACCAGAGACTGTGTCTCTCTCTCTCTCTCTGCACAAATGCACTGAAGAAGGGCCATGTGAACACACAGCAAGAAAGTGGCCATCTACAAGCCTGGAAGAGAGCCCTTACCTAGACTCAACTCTACTGGACGTTGGTCTTGGACTTTCAGGCCTTCAGATTGTTGAGAAAATAAACTTCTGTTGTTTAAACCATACAGTCTGTGGTATTCTGTTATGGCAGCCAGAGCTGATTAATTCAGTGACCATTTTGCTGTTACTTCCAGTTCATTACCTTTCTCAATCCCCTGCAAGCTGGTGCTGGTTTGCGTCCTTGCAACACTTGTAAAGGAGGTAGCTGTGGAGGAGTGATAAGACCATGGCATTTGGAATCAGAAAAACAGGGTCTAAAAGTCATTTCCACAGGACTGAATGATGCAGAGGTACAATGATGGTAATTATAATCTCAAGGTTGCTCAGACCCCTAGTAGAAGACCTGTTTCAGGGTTGGAAAATTGAAGGTCTGAACTGAAACATCTGTAAAAGCTATTGAAAGGGAGATCCTCATGAAAAAACTTCCATGCAAAATGAGCTCTTAAACAAAAATTAAAAATCACATGAAACTCAATGCAACAAGAGACAGCCAGTATACCCAATGCATGAGAGAATTCAAATCTAGGAAAATAGAATAATAATAATAATATAATAATAATAATGATACCTAACATGTATTAAAGGTTGAACATGTGCCAGGTATTGTTCAAAATGACTTATGTGCATTAATTCATTTGGTTTTCATAAAATATGGACTATGGATTATAATGATCATAATTATTAAGTAGAAGGGGAATAGAGGTACAGTAAGGTTAATCCCAATTACAGCTATTTCAGTGGCAAAGCCAGAATTTATCTATCCAGTCTGGTTCTGAATTCTTAATACTTAACTGCTATGCTATGTCACTTGTGCTGTAGATAAATCTGAAAAGATTTAAAGTGAGTATGTTTATAATTTTCAACTAGATTAAGGTCAGAATAGCAACCTTAAAGAGAAAGAAGTTGAGAGAAAGAAAGAAGCTATAGGAAATAAAAAATATAGTTATAAAGCAAAAGTTGAATGGAGTAAATGAGAGATTAGAGATAGCCGAAGAGAGAATTAGTGAATTGGAAGCTGCAAATGAGTAACATTCTTTCACCTCCTGAATGAAGCATACAGCAATAAAAATAAATACCAACAAAGAGATGTAGAGCCATAAAGAGCAATTTGAAAAGTTCCAAGCAGTGTTAAAAAATAAAAATCCACATCTATACATAGCATAATGAATTACAGAGTGGTAGTGATAGTGATAAGCAAAGGCAAAAAGAAAAAATGTGTTCTGTGAATTTTGGACAATTATAAGTATTTTTATGTGCCAAGTGCTGTGCTGAGATATTTTCATATTTGTTTAGATTTAATCTTCTGAACCACATGTATTAGCTTTTCTGTTTTAAAAATGAGGCAACTGAGGTTCCAAAGATTTAAGTGATGTGCCAAGGGCTTAATAAATCTCTGCTGAATGAAGGGGTGATGTGCAGCCATTTATCTTCTCTGAGCTGGTTTTATTTTTCTCCCGCAGGTTTTAAATGACAATGATAAAATTTGCATTTTTAACTTCTCTTTCTTACTTATAATGCTGCTTATGTATGATGTCTTTAGAAGTAAGAAAGTGAAAAAAAAGAACATTGGTCATTTTTACCTCTTTACATTCTGTGAAACTGTGATTGTTAACTTTATAGCTTTGTGACTTCTGCATCTTTCATTATATTATTTATTTATTTATTTATTTTTATCATGGCATTTATTATTTATTTTTTATTATTATAAATGTATTGTTCTTGGGTAAAATATCAGGTAATATCTAAGTAGACACTTGGCATGAGATGTAAATAATGCAGAAAACATGTTGAAAAATCAAAATCCCTCTTTACCTCTTCCACTTCCCTTGCATGCACACATTGGCTCAGAGGCAATCACTGCTAATAATGTCTTTTTCAGACTTGTCTGTATTCATTTACACACTCATATTTACATTGTTCTTTATGTAAATTATAACTTATTATATATAATATATTCCAAGGGTTTTTTTTCACTTAATAATACGTTCAAGGAGTCTTTGAGTAACAGATATTACTAAACTCATTTTACCATTTCCATATTTTAATTTTTTAAAAATTTTAAGTAGAGATGGCATTTTGCCATGTTGCCCAGGCTGATCTCGTGCACCTGAACTCAAACAATCCACCTGTCTTGGCCTCCCAAAGTTCTGGGATTACAGGTGGGAGCCACAGCGTCTGGCCCATTTCTATATTAAAGGATATTTAGGTAGATCCTAGATTTTCTATTAATATTATAGGTAATAAACATTTTTATAAATGCTCCTAGGGACATATATCCTAGTATTTTTACAGGATATTGTTCAAGAAGGTGAATTTGGGGGTCAAACTATTTTTAATTTTGCAATTTAAAATTACACACGCTACAAGTGTGTAACCCGGAACATCATCAGATAGGTTTATTTTTTTCTCCAGGAAGGAGCACTCTGGCTGCTTTGTGGAGAGTGAATCAGACACTGTTAGGGAGGCAGTCTGGAGTTGAGGCTATTGCTGTGGTCCATGCAAGAGGCGGTGAGTAACCAAGACCATGGGTGGCAGTGGAGATGCAGAGAAGGGGTGCATCTGACAGAGACTTTGAAGGGAGAATCGTATGAACCTGGATGTGACCTGCATCTGAGTAGGGAAGAGGAGGAGCAGGTGAATAAAGTTCTATTTGTGAAAAAAAATTTCATCATATGTGACATCAAGTATAAACAATTATATATTTAATATAGTTTATTATAAATGCAGTAACCTTTGTATTAGATTATGGTTTATATTTAAAATTGTGTGAACATTTAAATAAAATATGAGTAAAGAAACCATAGAAAACTATATGCATTCTCATGAGAATAATAATAATCATAAATACTCATTTAGTCTTTACTAGATGGCAGATTGTACATTTATTAGGTCATTTAATCCTCATCATAAATCTGTGAGGTAAATACTATGTTATTATCCCCATTTGACAATGAGAAAACTGAAGCATTGGGAGGTTAAGTAATTTGCTTTTTTTTTTTTTTTTTTTTTTGAGACGGAGCTCATCCAGCTAGTGAATGTCAGAGCCAAGATTAGAACCTAGGAAGTTGGGTCCAGAGCCTTCTTTTTAAAAAACCACCAAGATATTATATCTTGCTTAGAGAGTATAAATATAAAGAAATGATGAGCCCTCAATTTAGAAAAGTGGTTACTTTAGGGTAGGGGAAAAAGAGGATTTGATGAGAAGACACACCTGCGGCTTCAGCTGTGTTGGTAATGCTTTCTTAAACTCTTAGGTGGTACATGGTGATGATTGTTCTGCCATCTCTAACTCTGTGTACATGTTAAATATTTCAGAGCAAATATTCATGTTCCACACATGTGAGAGATGTTGTTAGATCAAAATCTTTAGACATGCTAAACCTCTTTCAGAGTGTGTGGCTGAAATTAAGCGACTCTCAGACTTAGAAGAAGCACACTTATTAAAAATCCACAGTAAATATTTGTCGATCTTTGCTTTGTGATTTTCTGGATTAATCTTATTTGGAAATCCACAGTCTCCCACTGAAAAAGCAATCCGAAAACAAAGGACCTGGTGTCAGTTAGGAATTTTAAGCAATAGAGGTTGGACCATTGCGGTTTAGACAAATAAGGTATTATCTTTTCACTTAACAAGACATTTTAGAAGGAGGCAGCTGCTAGCTAGCATGGGCTCAGCAGCTTCAAAATGTCAGGCTCAGGATGCTTATACTTTTTGGGGTTTTTTCCTCATAGTGCCAAGATGGCTGCTGCATCTCCAGCTATTGGGTCCGTTATGAGCAGCAAGGCTTAAAGGATGTAGCTCCCCGCTGAGTCAACTCCCTTTAAAGAACTTTCCAGAAAACTCCATCCAACTTTTGCTACCTACATGTCACAGGCTGCCCCAACTGCAAGGAAAAATGGGAAATGTACTTTCTTTTTCTTTTTTTTTTAAGTTGGCAAATTACCACCTGCCAAAATATAGGGGTTTTGTTAGTGAAGAGGAAAGGAAAAACAGATTTTGAATATTTATTAGCAGTCTCTGCCACAGACCTCCACGATCCTTCTTTTCTCTTTTTTTCCAGTGATGCAGAATAAAGTGGCAAATTGAACCCCACTTTTGTTTCTTGCTAATTGTTCTCATAAAACGCCCTTTTCACTCCAAGCCCAAGGCAGCTCATTTTAGAATGTCCAGAAAAAGAAAAAAAAGGAAACATGGAAAATTCTGAGTCACAGAATATTTCCTATATCACAGCAGAAAAAAATTGGACTCTTCTAAAATAATGGTACTGGGAAGACTTTGTGTTTTTCCCAATTTGCTATAGTTTTGAGTTGTTAAAAGTCACTTTCAATTTTTAGAGTACTAGAAGAGTTTCAATCAAGCCATTTTAAGTAAGACCCATTCATGACAGAGTTTATTTCCATTCTGTATTGTCCTTTTCTTTTTGTAAATACCACAGAACTTGAGTGTTTGCTTTTTCATTTGTTAGTTTATTTATTTATTCTAGGGTTCCATTCAACAGCCAGACAGCTGGGTTATGGAAATGCCAATTATGAATTCCCCACAGATCTGAGCACTGAATTTTCCACAAAACTGTTTGATTTTTTTTTTCTCTCAGCAAGGCAAGCTAACTAAATTTTAAGCAAACTTTAGACAAAGAACTCAATAATACCTTTTGCCATGATGCGTTATGGAAATCAGGAGGACATTTTTTTTCTCCAAAAGAAATCATATTTTTGAATCTAATGTTATACTGCACAAGAGGCAATAGAAGTTTTTCTATGTGGTAAGTGACATAATTACTTTCAACTAAGCTTTGTAAAGCACTTTACAGTTTACGGAGCACATTCATATGCATTATCTCATGCTTGGATGCTATTTCAGAAGTCATTACAGAGAGGGCCACTATGTGGGGCTTGAGAGGCTGTTTGGCCACGTGCCAGTGCCCTCTGACATTTATTTCTGTCTTTCCTGATGACTTGCCGACCCCCACCCCAGCCCTAATAATTTGACAAAATTACTGATTATTTCAGCATCAGGTAGATACTATGAGCTTCCTTTATATGGAGATTTCCTTTACAAGCTCTTCTCAGCAAGGAGTTATTTGAAAACATTTATTTTATTTATCTATTCAGTAAACACTGAGTGTTATTTGGTGCTAAACATTGTGTTTAAATGCTTAGTTACATTTGGCCATTCAACAACCCAATGCCTCATCTCATTTGGCCAAACAACCCTACAAAGAAGAGACTATTGTGATCCACAGTTTATAGCTGGGGAAACTGAGAACCAGAGAGACGAAGGGTAGCAAGACTACAAGCACCTAACCCTTACTCCCTGCCGGTCCCCTAATTGTAAAGTGCTTAAGTCAATAAAAGCAAAGTTTTGTTTTGTGAGACTGTACTTCTGTTTCATGTCAGTTTCATGTCAGTTTCACGTGGGCTGTCGCTGTGTCTGGCACTGGGCTGTGAGCTCTGGAAGGGCAGGAGGAGGCGTGTTCCTTTACATGCCCCCATAGGACTGGGCGCTGGGTTTTATCTGTAGGAGATGCCGAAAGAACTTTGATTTAGTAGTTGGTTGTAAAATTAATTGGTGTGTCCCAAGCATAAATCAACCGTAGAGGTGACGGTGGCCAGAAGCAAGGATAGCTGGGGAGAAAGACTCAGATAAAGACTTGAGTGCTGTGCAGCAAACTCCGAGGAAGAAAAGCCGCGTGCGAACTGGAGAAGGACATATGTTTTTGTTGGCAATTGCTCCAATTTCATTTGGACATCAGATATTCTAAGTAAAGAGAAATTCAGAAATGAAGTTGCTGCGAATTGAGTTGAATGAAAAAATGATGATGATGTTTTACGACTATTGACTTTGTTCAGCTAAAAAGAAGCAGAGTGCATATTTATGAATAATGATACCTTGCATGAATGGCAAGATGCTTGAGGTGATTACTGTAATTCTAAAATCATTGAAGGACAGGACAGAGCTAGGTAATGATCAAAAAAGAAAAAAAATTCATAGAATGGGGGAAAATAAATTTTAATGGCTAACCAATGTTAATAAGTCAAAACAAATTAATCCTTTGCTTTAATTTGGTAATTTTTAAACTCTATCAGATGTGAAAAGCCACAGATGTTGAGTTTCATTAATATGGAATTAGTCATGCAGTTGCATATTTTTTAAAATAGTTATTTTGTGCACTCTAAATTAAAAATTTTAAAGAAATTAGTTTTGAGGCACAAAGCACATTACGTGCAGTTTTCTTGATCTGATTATAAATAGGCTTTTTTTTCTTATTAAGAGATTTCTGTGTTCTTCTTTTGTTTGAAGAAGATTAACCAAATTGATTTTTTATTTTGTTATTGACTAATGGTAGAAATACAGTGTGATGTGACAGTTGGTGGATGTGATTATCACTCATATTTCAGGAAAATCCTGCCAAAGATGAGATTCCATGGTCTGGGATACTTGTGTCTTACTATGGGAATGTTCTCTGCCTCAAACCATAAAATAAAGGCAGAAAAGGGGGAAGAAGAAAACAGGGTAAGTCACTTTGTCCTGTATTTTTATTTTACAAACAAGGAAAGAAGCTTGGAGAAATCACATGACCTGCCTAAGCCACCCAACTGTTAGTAGAACAGCCCAGTGGTAAACTCTTCTCTGTCTCTCCATTGCTTTAAAAAACAAGATCCAAATCCTTTATATGACCTACAAGGCTTTGCAGTTCTGGTCCCCAGCCAAATCTCCAGCCCTCACTTATACTGTGCTTTCCTTCTTTGCGTTCCAGCCATTGGCCTTGATTAAAATCTTTGACTGCAGGATGCTCCCTTCCACCACAGGGACTTTGCACAAGTGGTGGCGTGTTTCTTTTCTTTCATTTAGTTAAATCTGGGGCCATCAGATCTTGTCCCCATTGGTACCTCTCCTGAACCCTGAATTTTTCTATTTTACCACGTTGTGGTATTGTGTATCTTTCTGCCCGTAGTATGACTAATGCAAGTCATATGACCAAGCCTGATGCCAGTGGGGCGAGGAAGTCTCATGGCCATAAGTGGCTGTACCTCATCCTCTTACAGGCAAAAGAGGACAAGTAATAACCTACCATAAGAGCCCAGAAAGGGCCTGGCTCAGGGTGCACTCAACTGATGCTTCTGTTCAATAGGGATTTTGCTTTCTGTTGAGGCCATCTGTGGTAAATGGGATGGCAAACACAGCCACAACTAAAGAGTGTGACTTAAGTAGGAGCTCAGCAAATGATCATTACTATCGCAATGGCACCGGGGGAGCGGGTCTGTATGGGTACTGTTGGTGCCCCATGCAGATGCCCTTTATGCAGCCACTGCAGAGCACCAGCTGCTGAGAGTGCTGGCTGTGAACACTCCAGCTGTCCCCTTTCTGTGGAGAACTGCCCTTGGCAGATGAACGTCCACTTGGCTTGGGGGGCAGCAGATTGCCGATAAATGACTAGTTCAGGAGGAACGAAGTCTTCAAGGAGCAACTCTGTGGATGTGTTTATGCTCCAGAGGCCCTACCCTACCCTTGGAGCAGGTCATGGCCTAGCTTGACCTGAGACAGTCTCCTTGTTAACTCCTCGCCTGTCCTGCAGCCCTCTCTCCTTTATCGACCTATCCTGAAGAACTTTCTGTCACAGTGAGTCATGTGGCCTGGGTGGAGATCCATGTCTAGCCTCTGCTTTGCAGGAAACCTGACCTCAGATAGAATCACTGCAAGAAAGGTTGCCATAGGCTGCGTGAACAAGGCCTGCAAATCTTTATGGAGAAGTCAGTGGTTCACCCAAGACTGCCATGATGAGTAGGAGTTTGGTGGAGGGTCCAGGCAAGGAAAAAGCATTCTAAGAAGAGGGAACAGCATATGCAAAGATACTTACCGCACCTCCTTCACTGTGAAATGGGCATGTTCTCCTCTTTCTGGCTTCTGGGGTTGGAATGTGTCTTACAATGGAAAAGCTGTTCCTGAGGATGATAGCTTACCTTCAATGGCAATTACAATCAAGGAACTACGTTAGGAATGGCATGGACACAAGGAAGGTTTTAGTGCACTGAAGAGTTGAGTGGTATACCAGATTCATTTCTACATGATTCTCTGACATTCTTGAAGAGCTAAGCCCACAACCCCAAACTCCTAAGGCTGTGTAGATGCAGCTCTGTGAACTGAGATGTTTCTAGATCTTAGCTGTATCTCTCTCTGGCTCTTAAATAGAAATGGCAGGGCCAGCATTTGGTTGTGACTTCCTTAAGGATCCAAGACCTCAGTCAATGCGGGGGGTAGGGGGTGGGAGGGCAGAAGCAAACCTGTGACCTCAAGGCAGTTGGCATGAGGAAGTCAAGCTGTCACCTTCCCCTTTGGCCTGAGAGGATGTAGATTTCAGTGACACTGGAGGAGTGACTTGCTCATCTTTCCCTCTGGCTCCCATTCTTTCCCATGCACTGTAGTTCAGGGTGAGACCAGCACAATACATGGCTCTCTGTGGGTCCCATGGCTCCAGACCCTGAAAGTCCCTTCATGCCAGCACATGGAGCCTTAGCATTGTCTTTGGCACATCTTGGTTTGACAACTGCATGTTTCCTTCCTTGGCTAAATATATTGCTCCTCATCCCCCAATACTACCACTCAAAGGCATGAAGATGCAACAGATCACACACTTTAAATATTTGTAGCTGTCAAAGTGGCCCTTTTCAAATGATTTCCCGAGAATATCTATCTTTTGTGGTGATGGGAAACACTGAGCTGGTTTTATACAAGATAAAAACCCACAACTGTCTGTGGTCATCTTGGGACTTGGTTGCTTCCTGGCCTCCCATTGGGGATGACCCGTTGCCTGGAAGTGGAGGTCTTTAGCCCAGGGGATGAATCCATGAAGTTAGGCCCTGTTGCCCCAAGCCCTGATGACTCACAGTGTTGTTATACCATCTCCCTCTTGCACACTATGTGGACACATTTGGGGAGTTTCTTGTCTCCTAGGGACTTATTTCCACCAATAATATATTTCCAGGGACTCTGGAATCCAGAACTGCTCTCTTTATCTTCCCACCGTGGCTTGGTTCACCCTAAAGAAGCAAACCAGTGCTACACATCTGTCAGCTAAAATTCACAGAGCTATTTGGAAGCAAAACCAAGAAAAACAAAACTGATTAGGGAAAGATCTGCTTTCAGAAAACCTATTTCTGTCACAGGGGGATGGATAAATAAAATAATGTTTCAATAATTTATGCAGCCTGCACGCGAAAAAACATTGGAAATGTGAAATGAGGACGACACATAAAGAACAACCGAAGTTGATAGCTGCTTTAATCAGTTCGGTTGATAATTCTAAAATAAATTGGAAAAATCAGTCTTGCTCTCAGCTTTTGAATGATGATGGGATGGTAGGGGGAATGTGTGTTCTTTTGTCCTGCAAAATGCTTATTCTTATTGGGTCTTGCCAAGGACACAATCCTCAGTCCCCAGTGGATCCCATCCCGGGTCAGCTTTTCTCCTGTCTTCACCATTCCATGCATGGTGTGCATGTTTAGCCCCCAGACCTGCCTCCCTGAGCGTGCTTTTCATAGAACAACTCAGGACTTCCTCATGGATGAGGCTGGTGGGCCATTGGAAGAGCGGGTTTGGAAGTCTCTTATTTTTCAGAGCCTTCCACCTCCCAAGTCAGCACTGAGCTGGTCCTGAAGCACCTGTGGGAAAGACAGAGAATCCCTTCTCACTGTTCTGTTCTGTTCTGTTCCGTTCCGTTCCGTTCCGTTCCGTTCCGTTCCGTTCCGTCCTGTCCTGTCCTGTCCTGTCCTGTTCTGTTCTATTCTGTTCTTGCCTAGCAAGTCAAATATCCAGGTATAATAGGAGACTCTAGGAAAACAGAAAAATAAGACCTGGGTCTCGCCCTTAAGGATGGTGGTGTGTATAATTTGAGGTTCGCTTAGTAAGATTGGACCTCAAAAGTGGCTGTGTTCAACACACCTCATTCTCTAAACCAGATACTGGTGGTCCTCTGTTGTCTTAACCTGCGGAACTCCTTTGCTGGCCTCCTGTTCATCGCCAGCTCTTCCTGGGTAGGGATACTGGCTGAGCAAACATCCTTCCAGCCACATTAGAGTCCATGGCAAGGCATGAGCACAAGGACAACTCTTCTGAATCTACTGCTGGTGGGGAGATGGCCTTGGTGTCGACACATGTAATCACAAGGTAATTCAATTTCACTTGATGATCCATCCTCACAGGCAACTGGGAAGCAACCTGTTGGGTATCCTCTCCATTTCTGGAATTAAAGGAGAGCCAGTTGACTCCCTTATGAGGATGCCAGGGCAGGGAAGAGGGAAATCCAAGACACAGCCAGAGTCATAGACTCCCAGAATGGGAACCCACCCTTGACTCCCTGAACTCCCATGGTAATGGAGAGAAGACGGAAAACAGTATGGTGCCCAGAAGCTCAGAGCCCTGTTTTGACAGTCTAGCATCACAGGAGTGGCAATATGACTTCCCAAGCTTGGCTTAAAGGAACGCATGTGGACAATGCCTTTCATAAGGTGAAAACTCATTGGCCTGCTGCTGTATTTCAGTTCGTGGCTACTTCATTCTGCCACCCTCCATCACCACAACAACCAGCATCCCATGACCAGAGAGGTGAGGGAAGGCCTGAAGGTACAACCCTTGCCTTCAGTTGAGTGAAGCTTATCTTTGGCTGTGCTCCAGAGACCGAGTGCCATATAATATCCCCAAAAGTACTGATGAGTTTCTAGGTGGTTGGAAGGGCTCCTGCCAGCTTGACTTCATGACTAACACTTGAGACCATGCCTGACTACCTTCATGTCCAGCACTAACAGATCAGGTACATACCAGAGGTCTTGAGTGTCTTGCATACCTTTGTAGCTTCAGACCCTAGAAGAGTGCCCAAGTTTGTTGAGTCGGAGAATGAATGCACATTCCAACCAGGGAAAAGGGATGTGGAAACCATCTAGGACAAGAGGCTATGCAGGTTTCCCTGTGTGACACTGTTTGCTAGATATAAGATGGCCCAGGATGTGAGAAGCCAGGACCTGGGGAACTCATGTAAGAGATATAGAGGGCAGGTTATGAATTCAGACTCTCCTCCCTCTGCTTCTTCCCCAAGTTTGGTTCTTACTCAAATTCTAGTTTATGATCTCCCCTTTTAATCATGTTTAACTATCATCCAGTCAATACCTCTCTCCTTCCAATGCAGATATGCTTCCTGCAATAGTCCACACGAGTGATCAACCAGCCTTCTGTCATATTTGCAGTGACAGAGAGCTCCTTACCTTCCAAAGTAGCTCAGTCTGTTGTTGGGCATGCCTCTATTACAATGCACAGAAATCTGCTCTGGCCATTTCTACCTTCTGGTTCTGAGTCTGACCTCCAAAAGTCTCTAGGAGCCTGATTTACCCTGTCCCAACTCTCAACATTCCTTTAAGTGTTTGATGACAGACATCATGCCCCTGAGTCTTTGCTTCTCAAGAGAAACAGTCCCAGTTCTTACAACAGTTTCTTGCATGATATGATCCTTGAGACCCTTCATCTTCTGGCTATGTCTTGAAGCACAATGTCCCACTAGGGGCAACCTTAAAGTAAAATGGGGCTATCTTGTGTTATCCCCTTGACCCAGATGATGGTGAGAGGAGTTGGCTGAGCCAATTGACTTTTCTCTCTCAGAAGGGATCTTTGTACATGTGTCCACCTGCACGAAAGCCTTGGGTACCAGTGTAGTTTCTCTGCTTGGACATCTGCTATTCTTATTCCTCTGGGAAATACCACAGGATTGACCTGAGCCTTTTGTAGTCAACCTATTTTATTCTCCTTGTTTGGCATTGACTGGCCTAAGTGGGTGCCTAGTAAATGTTAGGGGAATGAATAAATGCATTTAGGTGCACAACCTTGGCACACTCAAGACCGGTCTGAGAGCAAGTGCTTAAAAAAATTCCTGGGCCCCAAGAGCTCCATGTTTCAGTCACATGATGGTCTGACAGGGATGCTGGAGTCTTATCTCTCATTCTTTCTGTCTGTCTGTCTCTTTCTGTTTTTTGGAGTTCAGCTCTCTTTTCCTCTCCAAGCCCTCCCTTCCTGCCTGGCCCCTTTGTCGACACTTGATCATTTACATCAAGTTGACATTCGCAGAGTTTACTCAGGGGTCTGTAATTGTATTCTTTCCCTGGTTCTGCATTACCAACCATGAAAATGGAATCTTATCATCCCTGACCAATTTTTAATGTACAAAATGATTTGGCTGAGGTTCAAAGGGAAGCACAATTGAAATCAGGTGAATGATACATGTAGTTTTTTCAGTTCCTCCGTGCTTAGATTTGATTTTTTTTTTCCGGTATAGCATAGAAGAAGTAGATTATTTTTGCAAGTTATATAAGTGCATTTCTGTGCTGTGTAGGTATGAATCTTTATACATCTGAAAGCACGAATATGTATATGCATGCATGTTTGCTTGTATTACCATACTCACATTTCACATGTGTGCACCTATTTAGACATAAGCAAACAAATATAATTATATTGTTTGCAATTTTATTGATGGCAATCAAATTTGCAATGATCCTTAAAATGTATTCAAAGCACCCAAGGAGCTAGTGCCCAGGATTAATGGCTGGAATATTCAAATCAAGCTCTGACACTCCTTTGTTAATTCAGAAAGGAACCCCCAGGGAGAAAGTGGCACTCTCTGGTTCTGGCCAGAATCATCCCAGTCTCGGATATACTAATGTGTCTACCATGATGTGCTTTTGCAAATGTTGTTCTTGGAGTAGGCAAGAAACTGGAATGTTCTGCCAAAAAGTATAGAGATTTGGTAAGTGATTTGTTGGAGAGTATCCAGGACTGGTGCCCCTTTTCTCATCTTCCGAGATGAACTCAAGCAAGCAAACCTATGCACCTGGCTTAGAAGGGCAAAGGCGTTGTTTCCCCTCCAAGTTTCTAGCTAGAAACCCTTTGCATAGAGCAAAGGGGCCACTGTTTAACAAGGGCCAGGCCTGGGGCTAGAGGGGAATCAGGCTGTATCACAGTGAACTTCCTCTGCAAGCCCACGAATCTGGCTTGTGGTTTTAATGTTTCTAAAGAGGAAATTGGGGACTCAGAAAGCTTCATGGTGATGGTAGAGTCCAGATTTGAATCTCTATCGAGAGGGTTTCGAGTGTGGCCTGTGATTATCACTCTTCATGAGCCCCTGTTGAGATAGAGCACGGACACCTTTTAGGAGCCTGCTGGGACCCCCCTAAGCATGCAAATACAGGAAAAATCTTGAGTTCCTTCAAGGAAAATTCCAGGCACCTTGTTAGTCTTGAGAAGTAAATGAGCAACCTGACAAACAGGAAGGTAGTAGTAACTTAAGCAATCATATTCCAAGCGAGGAAGGCTCACAAGGTGTTTTTGTTCCCTGTAGAAACAAAAAGATAACATCTTAACCCATGTTCTTGAGTTGTTTTCAGAAACCCACATCCCCACTGGATGGAAAATGCCCACTGCTCTCATGTAGACCTCAGTAAGGGGGAACTGAGGACTGAACTCTTTGTTCTAAATTTTTTCCTGTGGGGCCTGGAGAGAGTGATGTCCACAGGCCAGACCTTAACATTCCTTTCTGCTGACCCCAAGCTTTTAGACAAAGCCTTGCTTCCTTAACCAGTTGCAAGTGAAAGAATCTCTGAATCCATCTATGACCTCTAAGCCCCACTTCAAGGTGTCCTACAGTTTCGGGCTGAAGCAATGCATAACCTCCATGTATTGATTTACATTTTTGCTGGTAACTTCTGCTTTCCTGAAATGTACCCTGTCTTAAAAACACCCATGCTTGTAAGCCATTGGGGAGGTTGGGTTTTAAGTATTAGCCGCCCATCCCTCTTTGCTTGGAGGGACCCTTGGAGACCCTGCAATAAATGTCTCACTTTCTCTCGCTGCAAATCCTGGTGTCAGTGTTTGGCTTTTTCTGTGCACTGAGCAAGCAGACCCAAATTTTGTTCTGTAACGCTGTTGAGCAAACTCCCATCTTCATCTCAGAGAACATCATACTTGTGTCTAATGTTGGAGTCCCTGAGGAACTTGATCAAATCTCTCAGGATATCTTGGCAGAAAGGATGAGTATATGGGGGTAAAATACCAGGAGGTGTTAGGGAGTTATTGTTAACAATTATACTAGAGGAAATCAATCATTGGGTCAATGTCGTTGCTCAGGAAGGAATTCTGGTTGCGCCCAGGCCTCTGCCTCAGGCTCAGTCCAGTTGATCATTTCTCCCAATCCAGATGAAGAAAGAGAAGGTTTCTTATCAGATTTGCAGCTGGTCCAAAGTGAGGATGTATTGGTTGATGATTCTAGACTTGAAATGACCTTGATGCTTGGCATTTTGGGTCTAAGTGATCAAGACAGATCACATACTGCCCAGAAGTTCCTAACTCACTGAAACATCTGCCTCAAATTCCAAATATCTCCACAGTGCCACTTACACACACAATATTCACTAAGGGAAGGAACTATGGGTAATAATAACAGTTATTTACTGAGCACCTTTTTTGTGCCAGGCACCTAATCAATTATCAGTCTCTTTTTTAATTCCCCCAATATTCTCTAGTATTTAAAAAAGGTAGGTCACTTACTCAAAGTCTAGGGATCTTTGGAACAGTCAAACCAGAATTTGAACCCAGATATTGGGGCCCAAAGTTTGCATTCCATTTGCTGTGCTGGGCAGCCTTCATGAGCTCAGCTCAAATGCCTTCTTTCTGCTCAGGGGCTGAGCTTGCATTCCAAAGTTTGTATTCCATTTGCTGTGCTGGGCAGCCTTCATGAGCTCAGCTCAAATCCCTTCTTTCTGCTCAGGGGCTGAGCTCAAGTAGAGGAGCTGGGAAGGAGGAGCGCCTCAAGACTGGGTCATGGGAATTTGCAGTGGCCTTGAAAATGTCCATCCAAATGTTGGGCCAATCAATTTCCAATGTATCTCTGCAGCAACCCACAGTAGGGACCACCACAGTCACAACTACCCTCTACTAACCATCTGCAGGTATGTCTAGTTTATCCTCCTGACTAGAAGCTCCCTTAGGTGGGAGATGGTTCAGGAGTCATTTCTTTATGCCCAAAGAGCCTGCCCACGGCCTGCATGTATCTGTGGAACTGAATGGAAGTCAGCAAGCAGCAGCCCTTCAGATGCTCCTTCTCAGGCCCTGAAATTATGGGATGCTGTTTGTGGTCATGGATGGGATAACAGCTCTTTTGTTTATGAAAAGGAAACCTGTCACGTGTCTGAAGACATGACAGGGACTTGAATTGCAAAGCAGATGACTGCCCCTTGTGTAAAATGTGAAAGAGACACACAGCATTTTAGGAGGCATTGGCATCACTGTCTGTCCTGTGTGTGTGCCAGTGGCAGCGTTGGCCTGGACTAAGCATCCCTTCTGCACAGGCTGTGTGCATATTTCTGTGTTACACACATAGACGTGTGTACACACATATACACTTGTAGATATGGTGCTGCTGCCAACAAAACATGGCAAGTGTGACTGTCATCTAATGAAACTACTTCTGTGTGCTTAGGAAGGGGTTTTATTAGTGCTTACTGAAATCACTTCTGGTAAATCTCTCTAACTGTGAGGAAGAAAACTATGTGTTATTTTCACCAATACAAGAATTAGAGGAGAGTATTTATGCTTACATAAGATTATGCTAAATTAGGCTTCTGATGTACAGCTATGATTATATAACTCTTCTATTCAAAAGCCTTTAATATTGTAAGTACAAATGGCCTTTATTTATTTTTTATGGTTATTTTTGGCAATCCAAGGTCCTCCATAATTTAAACCCAAACTCCTTCTGTAGCCTTGCCACCCCCTTATCTCCAATTGCACCTGCACCCTGGTCACATGGCTCCCCCCCCACCCTTCCATCTGGGTCCTGCACTTTTCCAACTCTGTCCATGTGCCCAGGTTGCCAGGTTGTTTCCTGTGCTGGAGATGCATTGCTCACTTTGATCTGTTTCAGTACTGTCCATCCACAAAGACCATCTCACAGGCCTCCTCCTCCTGGAGCATGTGCCCATATTCTTGATCAGAGTGAATTGTTGTTACTTTCATGTCCCAAAGTACCTCGTTCCTGTCTTCTGCAGGTCATATCTTTTTTAGAGATTCCATTGACTTTGGAGTCAGAGAGTCTGTTTTTAACTTGGCCTCCGTTACTTATTAGCCATGTGAGGGGTTGGTTATTTAACCTCCCAGAGCTTGAGTTTTCTAAACTGGAAGATGGAGGAACAATACCTACATTACAGGCTTGACCAGATAGTTGCATAAGGTAACCTATGTAAAGTGTTTAGCCAAGTGCCTAGTACATAGTGAGGGCTCAAAACAGATTATTTACCTTCCTATTTATAATAGTTACTAGCTGCAAATGATAACTTCAAAATCTTAGTGGCCTAACAAAACGAGTATTTATTTCTGACTTGGGTTAATTCCTTAAAAATGAGTGTTAGGCAGCCTCTCATGCATGGAGTCAGGAATCTGGCTTCCACTTCAGCTCTGCACCCTTGAGGTGCCAGAAGCCTCGCCATTCAGCCAGAGGATAGGGAAAGAGCAAGTAGAGGGTTACTTGGCACTACAGGCCTTGGAGTGGCAGCTGTAGCTTTTTGCATACATTTCTTTGGCTTGATCTCAGGTACCTGGCCACATCTCTGGCAAGGAAGCTGAAGACTGTAGCTTAGTTATCTGCTGGGGAGAAAGAAAATGGAATTTGATAATTGCATAGCATGAGCTTCTACATTTATTGCCCTTCCCTTCCCCACCCCAAGAAGTTAGTGTTCATATTAATTTTCTGTTGCTATGTAGCAAGTTGTCACAAACTGGGCACCTTAAACCGACACACACTTATTATTCCATAGTTTCTATGAGTCAGCAGTCCAGGAATGGATCAACTGAGCTGAATCCTCTGCTCAGGTCTTACAAGGCTATAGTCAAGGCATTGACTTGACTGCATTCTCATATGAAGGCTCAACTGGGGAAGAACCGGCTTCTGAGCTCATTCATGTTCTCAGCAGAATTTATCTCCCTGCATCTGTAGGAGTCTTGGGGCAGTGGCTTTTTCTGGCTGACACCTGGAGGTCTCTCTCAGCTCCAAGAGGCTGCCTACAACTGCCAAAACTTCCTACAGCCCCTTGTCATGTAAACTTCCTCAACATGTTTGCTCACTTCCTCAAGCCAGCAAAGGCCATCTGTAATATGAGTCTTAACTAGTTTAACATAATTATAGGAGTGACTTCCCATCACTTTTGCCATATTTTATTGGTTTGAAGAAAGTCACAGGTTCTATTCACACTCAACTGCCGGGATGACACAAGTGTGTTAAGACCAGAAGGTGGGGATCACTGGAGTCAGTTATAAATAGATCATGTAAGATTTCAACCTCAGAAAGTGTGCAGGACACAAAATATATAGAATTCATTATTTCTACCATCTAATGAACCGCTTAATGGCCACCTACTATGTGCCAGGTATGTTCCGATGCTGGGGATGAAAAAAATAACAACATTATGTGCCAGTTTGCTCTTGGATCCATTCCCTGCTATTCTCTGCCTTCTGCATTTCAGAAAATATTTTCTGAAATCTCTTTTTCTCTGGATTCCAGATAGATTTGGCCAATGGGAGGCAAGGATATAATATTGCTTCACAGCATTTATTACCTTCTAACAAAGTGTATAATTTACAAACTTATCTTTATTGTTTACATCTGTCTCTCTCCCTAGAATGCAAACTCCATGAGGTAAGAGATTTGAAGGTATTGTGTAAAAGGAATGGAGAACCAGAGTAATTTTACATTTTTCTATTTCTGGTGGCTTTTCTGCCAAGCACTCTGATGCCATGGGCTACGATTCCAAAGCGCCTCCCAACAGGTGTGACTAAGTGAGGAATGAACAACCCAGGGTCTGTTCAGTAGCATATTCCTTGTGAAAACTGGGTAAAGGAGAGAGAACTTCAGAGGATAGATGCCCCAGGAGGACAATACCAAGACTAATGAATGAGCATGATGACAATTAGCTGCCATCCTGTGATGGAGTAATTGATTGAATAATTCGCTCATTCATCAAGTGCTTGCTGCGTGGTTCCTTTGTACCAGGCTCTGTTCTAGGATCTTGGGATACGATCACCAAACAAAATACCTTCAAATCTCTTACATTCTAGAGAGCAATACAGACATGAACAATAAAGATACATTTGTAAATTATATACTTTGTTAGAAGGTAATAACTGCTATGAAGAAATATTAGAGCAGGGAAAGGGGGATCAGAAGGGCCCAGGGGGTGCAAGAGTGGGGCAAAATAAAAGCTTTTGGGGGTTAAGTCTCTTTCTCCACTACCTCTTTCCCTGGACTGGGGGGTTCCATGTGCATGGAATTCTGCTAATGATCTATTGAAGTCAGTATTTCTATCTCCACTTTGTAGATTAGGAAACTAAGATTCAGAGAGAGCCAGAGACTTATCCAACCTGGCTCAGCTGATAGGTTGTAGAGTCAAGATTCAAATCTAGGTTTGCCTGTCTGCAAAGGTTTACATTTTATCGTTGTTGTTTGTTTTTTTCTTGTTTTACTATGTTGCCTCCTGTGGGTGCAGATTGCACTGCATGGATGAGACCTGGCTGGGAAGTCAATAGATTTTGGTGTTAGCAAGCTGTGTGACCAGGGAACAGCCACCTTCCCTCTCTGGACCTCAGAGTGCTCACGTATAAAGTGATGAAATGGCAGAGAATGCTGTGCGTTCACCAAATCCCATCTTGCCTTCCTGAATACTCAGATTATAATTCCCAGTCTCCTTTGTACTTAGATGGGGCTGTGGAATTGTTCTGTGGCTTGTGCAGTGTCGGTGGAAGTGGGATAAACCTCTTGTGCAGCCCCAACTCACTCTCTCTGTGCTGGAGAGATGTAGGAGATTTGATGGAGGATGCTGAAGTCCTAGGAGATGTTAGAGCCATGCGATGGAAGAGTCCTGGTCCCCGAGTGACTGTATGGAACAGAGACCCCACTGCATTGGAACATGAGATAAGTGAGAAATAAACTTTGGACACAGGTGTTATTGTCATGGTGATTGGCATATACAGGTCGGGTAGACCAGATGATAAGATTTCCAACTGTGCCTATGGAGGACCTTACTGGGGATAGAGGTGGACAGGATCTGAATGCTCTGACTCCTGCTTTCAAATTAGACTTATTGTTGAGATTTTGCTGACAGAAGAGGGTCCCTAGTTAAAGTGAGACTGAGAAACACTGGACAAGATAATTGCAATGACTCTTGCCCCTCTCAGTGGTTGAGTGATACTGAAATCTGGGCCATAGCCTCATCTCTGCTGAGGTTCCCTCTACCATGTCGGAGACCCTCATGTGTTTGGATGGGCTCCACTGGGCAGGTTCTGGGAAGGACAGATGGTGAGCAAATACTGACTTTGGACCAGACTATGTTCTACTCCCTACTTCTAAAGACTTTACATTTTAGTGGACAGAAAACATGGAGCCACGTATTTGAGAAAAATATTTGTGTAGTAGAAAAAAGCAGAACGATTAGAAGGCGGAGGATTGAACTCTGGTCTGGCCCTCTAACTAATTTGCTGACTATTCTTGGGTCTCCAATTTCCTTTATCTCCTGGACTCAAGTGATTCTCCCTCCTTTGCCTCCCAAAGTGCTGGGATTACAGATGTGAGCCACCATGCCCAGCTCCCAATTTCCTCCTGTATAAAATCAGAGAATCACTGGATACATTCCAACTATCACTTTTGGTTCTTCAAATTTTTCTGATGCCATCATCTACAAAGCAGCTTTGTCTGGGTTGGTATCCAGAGTGATTATGGCACCTGTGTGCTCAGCTGATTGAGGACAAATGGGCAAGGACAAAGAACAAAACACTTTGTGGCTGCAGAAGCCACCTGTGTCCTAAACTTGCTCTGTAGACATTTTCTTTCTGTCCCAAAGAATATTGTAGCAACAAAACTTGACTTGTGTAGTACAGTACTTTGGTCTGGAGCTGGTGGGGAGATGGGGTAGCCATGGTTCTGCACTTCAGAGCCACCTTAACGATGCAATTCCAGGCTCCCTGCAAATTTGGCAGTGGAATAGTGTGATGGCCAAGGAGACAGCTTTGCTATTGTCAGACAAACCTGGGTTTGAATTTCCACCTAAATCTCAGCTCTACCACTTACCAGGTGTGTGACATTAGACAAGCTGCCTAACTTCTCTGAGCTTCAATTTCCTCATCTGTAAAATATAGATAAAATCGGAGGTAAAAAAGTGTTGTTAAGTATTTAATTGAGACAATATGATGATCCTGATAATAAAAAATGATGATGATAACCATGACAGCTAAGATTTCTTAGGCATCTATAATGTGTCAGACTTTGGGTCCTGCATTTTGTTTGTTTTATCTCATTTCATCTTGACTGCAGTCCTCTAAAGTATGTACCGTGCGTGTAACATGCTTGGCACAGGTTCCTGCACATAAAAGATGTTGGATATGTGATTCAGTCATCCATTCACTCATTCATTCATCTATTTACTCATTCTACACATCATTTTTGAATGCCTACTGTGTGTCACGCATTGTGCGAAGTCCTTGGCTCCCTGGCATGTGCAGTCAAGGAGAGGAATGGTCATCCAACAACTAATTATACAACTAATAAATGAATTGCAATTGGGCAGCTTTAAGAATACTGAGGGATGAGATCTGATTCCTGGCCAGGGGAATCTGGGCAGTCATTCTGGAGGAGGTGGCATGACCTGGTCCAGGAAGAACAGGTGAGCCTGGTAGTGAGACACTAGGAAAAGGCTTCCCAAGGAGAGGTCAGTGGAAGCAGAGCCATGGGAGCGGGAGAGCCGAGGGGATATTGAATGTCTGCCAGGAAACTTGTGGATTGATACAGGAGTCCATCAGGCTGGGCAGTGGGATGGAGGGCTGGCCAGCCACGTGACGAAGGGTCTCAACTGTGGGGATGAGTGTGGGGCTTTATTCTGTAAGCCAAGAGACACCACCCTAAGTCCCAGAGCAACATCAACGGGAACTTGCTCTTCACTGGAGATGGCAGCTTGTTTGAAGTTCTGACTCAGCTGCTCATCGGCTGCATAACCTCAGGTGAGACATCTGACATTTTGAGCCTCAGTTTCCTCAACAGTAAAATGGGGACAACACCACCCACTTAAAGTTATGAAGTTTAAATGAGACGGCATTTGTGAACCTCCTTTGCAAATGCAAAGCCCTGAGCACATGCATAGTTACTTATTCCGACTGCTCCTGGCCAGTGGAATGGAAGGTCACACCCGGTGTCCTCTGATGTTCCTTCTGGTTCCAAAATCCCAATTCAGAAAGAGAGGGCAGGTCATGCCCAAGTTATGAATAGTGCCCAATAAGGATGGGAGAGCCTGACTCTATGAGTTGACCCGGACATCAAAACCACATATTGTTCTCGACACCATAAAGTGTCTTGCAGAAAATCAGAGACTATTTCTATGTGTTTAGAGGAAAAAAAAATCTGAGAAGTTTTAACTAGCTTCCCTTAATTAATTAAGTAAGCCAATCAACTTTTTTTCTCATTGCTGATGATAACATTCCCTTGGTCTTTTCTAAACCTTGGAAGAGAAACAGACATTGCTTTGCTACGGCTCGGCAGGCACTAGGATAGAAGGTTCAGTTTGTGAGGTTCCTTCCTGTTGCAGCTAGTTTTCATGTCGGGTTACCAGCAGGGTGTGTTAGGATGCTCCCGAGGGGGTCAGGTGAGGGACACAGGGTCACTCTCTTAGTGAGTCCTGTGAAACACTAACATTAACATATTAATTCACAAAGCTCTCAGTTAATGCCAGACCTCCAAATTGAATCATTCTCTGTTGTTCTGATATGCTCTAAGATCTCTTTTGGATGGGAGAGTGTGAATGTAGTTGACTTTTAGAATCTGAGGTTATTTTATTTATTTTTCGAGTGTGGGCTTATTCTTGCTTTCACCTGACAGGTTCTCTAACACCGTGAATACCAAAAAGAAGGGATTCCACGGTGCCTTCAAAATGTACAGCTGTCTTTCCTCCCATGAAAGCCCAGGGATGGAGTTGGTTTACTTTTGAATGCTTCCCATTAGCACACACGGATGACATCCAGCCCTTGAACCATGTTTAATTGAAAATGGCAAATAAACATTGCCCAGCCGGAGCTCCCGTGCCTGGAAGCTAAATTAAAAGGAAAAATGACCAGCTTCCTGACTGTCCACACGGCCTTTCCATATGTAACGTGGGATGTTGCATTTGGAGTTGCATTAATTTTTTATCATTCCTTAGTAATTAACATTGTATTTCTGCTGATAAACCCCATCAATATGGTGATTTGATTATCACAACATAAAACTACTCATTAAACTCCAATTATGTTGCTCAGGTATAATTTGATTTTGATTGGTTAGAAAAATGCTGTTGTGTTGCCTTTTTTTTCCTACTCCCCCTTTTAAAATATCCAGTTAAGTGCTACATTTACAGTGCTGCTCATGTTGCAAGGCTTCTTTAGCGCAGGACATGTCTTACCATGTTTACTAAGAACCCATTGATATTTAGGTGCCAACAGTGGGGATGACATTTATGCAATCTAATAGTCAGAAACCTCCAGATAATTCACCCTTCCCATCCCTGGTGGGAAGCTTCTGGTGGGAGTGATCATCTTTAAGGAAATAGGGGATCCAAGAAGCAATAACCAGTGATGATTCTTCCTGTGCTGAACAAACGGATGTGAGTTTCTGAGGACTATCAAATAGGAGGTCGATGGCATCAAAGCTGCCTTTTAAACTTGATTTTGCATTTATCTCTTTGGGGAATGGTGTGTGCACCCACACACCCTCTTCACACAAAGAATCTAATCTGGTCAATGAGCAACCGAGGCCCTCTCTTGGCTGCTTGACCCCTGTGAAGATATTGGCATCTTGAATGTCAGTTGACTCTGCCACAAGAAAAGAAGGGTTTGGTCTGACAGGTTAAAACATAATTTGAATGTTCAGATTGTAATGTCAACGTTCAGCTAGTACGAGTCTGCAGGGCCAGGGAAGGGATGCTGTAGTAATGAGTTGATTCATTTCACAGATATTTATGTGACATTTACAATGGACCAGGCACTGTATTGGGCCTGAAATCTAGGGACAGATGAGACTGATGAGGCTGCACGCTCATGGAACTTGCAGTCCAGTGGGGTCAAGGTCGTGACCGGGTGGAATCCATCAGGTCTGTCTGTCCTCCATGCTGTTCTTTGAACTCACCAGGCATGCCCCTGCCTCAGGGCCTTTGCACTGATGCGCCCTCTGCCTGGAATGCTCTACCCCGGGAACTTACCTGGCTCACTTCCTTGGCTCATCCATGTGTCTGCTGAGAAGTCGCCTTCTTGGAGATGTTTTCCTGATTTACCTAAATAAAATAGCAGCCTTCATCTGTACTAATCTCCTCACACTGAGTTATTTCTTCATAGCACTTAACACTACAAGATATTATGTTGTTTATATTTATTTCTGTTCACCAGTGGAACAAAAGTTCTGTGAAGGCAGTGACTCTGTCAGGATTATTGTCATATCTGCAGCACCAGAATAGTGCCTGGCACTTAGGTGCTTTGTAAATGTTGTAAAGTGAATCAATGATTTACTCATCATTTCAGGTAATAAAATAAATCGGGATCATGTGAAAGTGACTGTTGATGGAGGAAACCCTTTATGTAAAATTGTCAGAGAAAGTCTCTGAAAAAATGACAGCTGGGCTGAGATCTGAATGACGCAAGGAATCCAGCCATTCACAGACCTGGGGAAAGGACGTCCAGGCCATGGAATTACAAAGGCAGAGGCCTTGTAGCAGGAACAGGCTTGGAGATTTCAAGGAACAGAAATAAGACCAGTGCATCAAGGGGAAGGTGGCAAGAGAGGAGGTGAGTGTGGGAGCCAGAGGCCGAGTCACGGGCCTTGTAGGGCTTCAATCCTGTAACCTGTGCACCTGGCCCCGCTTGGCCCTGGACTGCTCTGCCTCAGTCAGCAAGAGGACGAGGTCTCTGATCTGCCAGCAGAAGGAGATCTGGGGTGGTCAGTTTCCAGCTCAACTCCTCCCAGTCCCCCAGGACTTGCAGGCCCATCAAAGCCTGACTTCTGTGTTGCCTCCAGGACCTCTGAGCCCCCTCTGCCAGGGACTCATGGTTTCTGGTTGTCCTTGTGGTGTCACAGTGGTCCTTCCTTGGAAAGGTCTTGTGGGTGTTCATTTCTAACATCTCTCTGAGCCTCTCCCCAGTGGCTTCCTATACTTGAGAGTAAGAGGCATCTTGCTCTTTCCCAAACTCCATAAACATCTATGTTGTCTATGTCTTTGAACATTTGCTTAAGCCCCCCTTTTTTTGTCTGTCTGAACTTTCCAGCTCTTCTGTCTCTGCCTGGAAAATGTCAATTTCAACCCTGGGTCCAGCTCAAATGCCTTCTTTCCTTCAGTGGACCATGTCCCTTCCTCTCTAGCAAAACGAATTCTCTCTTCACTAAAATTGCAATGCTCTGTTACAGCATGTGCTGCTGTTTGCTGGTCTTACCTGCATCTCTCTTAAAAGAAATGTGAGCTCCCTGAGGGCAGAAGTCGTGTCTTCTTGGTCTCTGTACCTTCAGGGAATGACCGGTGGTAGAGTAGATGGGCCATTAGACAACAGTGGACCGCATGGGCCATCATGGTGTGTGGGTGGGTGGGTGGGGGTGATTTACCCGGTGCAGTAATCAGGGATGCATTCGCTGGAGGGAATTAAAGAACAGAAAAAACTAACACAGAGTCATCACCATGGCCCTGCAATTCTGAATGCTGTTGGTGACCAGGTGCTCCCCTGCTCTCCGATGGTCATCTTGTTTTCCCAATTCCACTTGGTCATTGCTGGTATAATGGCTACTGGTAGCTGTGAGTTGTTTTGTTTATTTGCACGGCCCACCACATTTTCCATTTTCTTTCTTTTGGCTTTTTGAGGAATTACATCCCAACTCAGTGTGGACTTTCTGGGCCTGACTATCCCAGGCTTCCACTCCCATCTACAAGTATAGAACCTGATCCTTTCAGACCTAAGCAAGGTGTCTTGCTCAACCTACCTGGAGTGACTGGCTTAAAAATATACATGGAAAACTAGAGCCCTTCACAGGCCTTCCCCACCCACCCCACCGCTGGATATAAAGAGATAATATTACTTTTTTTCCTGTGGGGCATAATCTTTAATGCTGTTGGCTGGGGACTGACATGGGCTATCTGTCCAGAAAGAAGGAATAAGACTGGCATGGGAAGAAAAGCCAAGAAGAATCAAGTACAAGCACGAAAGACTCTAGGACATTTTTTGAGCCTTTGTGTTATGGGATCTTTGGGGTGTCACTTTTCTGACTGGAAACCTGTGGCCAGTGATGTCTTTCCCTGAGTTTTGCTTGGGCCCGCTGTGTTCATTCTGCCCACTCAGCCTGGTAGGCTTCACTCAGCTCATGCTACCAGCCTGGATCCCATGCCTCCAAGGAAGACTGGAGTCAGGCACAGAGTGGTGAGGAGTGTGTGTGAGCAAGCATGGGATCTGAACACTGTGCAGTCAGACATGCTGGCTGGCTGTTATGGGGCAAGCAGCTCCAGGTGCTGTCATGGGTGCCAGCTCTCTGCAAGACTGCAGCTGGATTAGGCACACCACAAGTAGCTTCCCCAGCTGGCACTGGGGAATGCAGTGGCACCAGGAAGCTTGGAGACTTCAAGAACTACAGGGCCCCAAAGAGGAAGTCACAGTCCTGGCTTGGGGAGCTCCCACGTGTGGGCTCCCCAAAGGGCCACAGCTCTTCTCTCCTTCTCTTCACTCACAACATGGCAAGCAAGGGGCATGTTTCAGCCCTGTTTTTGTTACAGCCCTTTAAGCTCTGCCATTTGGTGGGTCCTGAGTTCTTGTATTATTGTGACTAGGAAGAATGATGTATGCAGACAAGTGGAGGGTGAGCAAGATGAAGGGGAGCTTTACTGAGCAATAGAACAACTCACAGGAGATCCACAGTGGGTAGCTTCTTTCCACAGCCAGGGTGTCTCAACTAGTGTTAAGCTCCTAGCAGAGATGAGACCCTATAGTGGGAAGCTCCTCTCCACAGGCAGGACATCCTGTCATCTTTGCAGCTCTCAGCAGACAGGAGGCCCTGGAATGGGTTGCTTCTCTTTGCAGGCAAGTCATCCCATCATCTTCCCAGCTCTCAGCAGAGAGGAGGCCCTGAAGTGGGTTGCTCTTCTCTGCAGCTGGTAGTCCTGACATCTCTGCAGGTCTCTGAAGCTCTCAGCAGAGAGGAGGCCCTAGAGCAATAGCTCCTCTCTGTAGCGAGTTGTCCTATCATCTGCTCAGCTCTGGCTGAGCCTGGGGCTTTTATGAACCTCAGAGGGGAGGTCCATGAGTGGCCATGGGTGGGCCTGGAAAAGGCACTAAATGTTCCCACTCTTGTCTGTGGGACTGGCAGCCCAGCCACCAGCCTTCAGACCCTCCCTGGCCTGAAAGAGGGGCCTCATTGGGGACCTGCCCCCTTCCACCCAGGAATCTGTCTGCATCCTGCTGCCGTTCTGGGCCTGGTCTCCAACTTTGCCCGAAGATTAGAAAGGGTACCAGAGTAGGGAGAGGCCAGGCAGTGGGAGCAGGCACTTCCAATCCTGCGAGGGTAGTGGGGCCTTCCTTGGCCCCCAGGAGTGCAGGGATGCCTGAGTGTGTACTGCTGTTCCTTGCGGGGGGCTCCTCCCTGCTCCTTGGAGCAAGAGGCCTGGGTCTGCAGCCACTGTTTGGGAAGCTGCAATGCCACCCAGTGAGCTCCCACCCCAACATGAAAGAGGTGTGGCTCTCACTTGTCCCTGGCTCCCACCTGCTCCATGGAACGTGCAGCCCCCACTGTACCTCCCTGCTGAAGCTGGTGTGATGGCGGCAGTGGCAGGCTGTCTGGAAAGGCTGTTGCCATCATTTGGATCCAATCAGGCCTGGGGACTTCCATTCTGGAATCAACTGATTCCTTTTCCTTTAAGCTAATTCAAGTTGAGATTCTTACATTCTCAACAGTAACAGGTCTAGGTCTGAATAACAAAAGTGTAGAAAATATTTTAATGCTTTTAGACATCTTCCAGTGATCTATCATCTGGAAATTTACTTGTGGCCAGATCTCTCAGGCAGATGTAGTGGCGGAACCCTGACACTTCCATGGCAAAGCTTTTCTGGCTTAATTTTGCTCATGCGTGTTCTCTTGTGAAAAGGTGAGAATGCTGGTGTTTTATGTGGTTGCCCCACGAAGCCCCTTCTAGAATGGTGTCTACCTGAGAAAGTTGGCCCATCAAAAGTCCAGTTGAGAAGGAATCATGAGAATGAGCTGTCTTTGAAAAAGCAATAGGAAAGTATAGGGAAATTGAACTTTTCTCTACAAATACCTTTAGCTGACAAAGTAACATTTCACATTGTTGGTTCAGAATTTAAAGATGCAGTTGGCAAAGTTCTCTTTTTTACCCCTGCCATATTGCTACTGTTGTAGGGCTCCACCCTATGTCTAACTTGCAGCCACAACTTGCCCCAGAAGGTCATGGTTAGGTCTCACCTTCCCAGATCCCAGGGAACCCTTATGCAGCTCATTACTCCCTGCATAATTCTTGCTGCTTCAAGACTTTTGGAGACCGGATGGCACTTTTTTTTTCTTTTTTGAGACAGAGTCTCACTCTGTCACCCAGACCGGAGTGCAGTGGCACTATCTCAGCTCACTGCAACCTCTGCTTCCCGGGTTCAAGCGATTCTCCTGCCTCAGCCTCCTATCTGGGAATACAGGCGCACACCACTGCACCTGGCCAATTTTTGTATTTTTAGTAGAAATGGGGTTTCACTATGTTGGCCAGGCTGGTCTCAAACTCCTGACCTCAGGTGATCCATCCACCTCAGCCTCCCAAAGTGCTGGGATTACAGGCATGAGCCACCATGCCCAGCCTGGAAGCTACTTTATAGAGATCAAAAACAAATCTGCAAAGTTTTTAAAGTCAAGAATATTGAGGAGCTAACTCCTTAGTGGAGGTGTTAGACTCTCTGTTGGATAGGCTTGAACAAGATATAAGGAAATAACCACTTAAGGCTACACTTCTTGCCTAATTAGCCCATGGAAACCATATTTCCTCAATCCTTATTCATTCATTTATCATCCATCCATCCATCCATCCATCCATCCATCCATCCACCTATCCATTCATCTACGCCCATTTATCCATCCCCCATCCATCCATCCATACACCCACCAGCCTATCCATTCATCCCCCATCCATCCATCCATCCATTCATCCATCCATCCATCCATCCATCAACCTATTAATTAATCTACCTGCCTATCCATCCATTAATCCATCCATCCATTCATCAACCTATTTAATAATCTACCACATCTATCTCTCTCCCATCCATCCATCCATCCATCCATCCATCCATCCATTCATCCATCCATCCATCCGTCCGTCTGTCCCTCCGTCCGTCCATCCGTCTGTCCATCCGTCCATCCATCCCTCCATCCATCCATACACCCACCCATCTATTCATCCGCCTATCCATCCATCTTTCCATCCATTCATCTACACATCTATTTGTTCATCAATCTCTCATCCATACATCCACAAATCATGGTGACAATTGGGGTCAACTATTTGAGGGGCCTAGCTTTCTGAGAGATGTACTTTGGGTGGGCTGAGAAATCCTACTCCCAGTCTGGATTCTTGCTTGACTTGGAGCAGTCCTAAATATGAGATCTGCAAAACAATTTGCCCACAGTTGTCTGAAGAAACAGTATACTACCACTACTCTTCTCCAGTTTATGAATGAGGAATGAAAAAAAGAAATTGGATATGATGTGGAAGTCATTTGGGATATTATTTTTACCTATCAAGTTGACAAAATTAAAGAGTGTTCATCAGGCTGTATTGTAGAATAACAAACATTGTTGGTGGGGAATGTGATTTGCTGTGGACTTTTCAGGGGATACTTTTGTTAGATCTATCAAGGTTTTAATTGTATGGGCTCATTGACACAGTTATTCTATTGTTAGAAATTTTCCTTAAAAGAATGCCCAAAAACTGATAAAAGAATATTTCTTTGGGCATTGTTTATAAGAACACAATCCTTAAAACAACCTAACTGATTGATATGGTTTGGCTGTGTCCCCACCCAATTCTCATCTTGAATTGTAACTCCCACAATTCCCACATGTCATGGGAGTAACCCAGTGGGAGGTGATTGAATTATGGGGGCGGGTCTTTTCTGTGCTGTCCTGTAATAGTGAATGAGTCTCACGAGATCTGATGGCTTTAAAAACGAGTTTGCCTGCACAAGCTCTCTTCTCTTGTCTGCCACCATATGAGACGTGTCTTTCACCTTCCGCCATGATTGTGAGGCCTCCCCAGCCATGTGGAACTGTAAGTCCAATAAACCTCATTCTTTTGTAAATTGCCCAGTCTTGGGTATGTCTTTATCAGCAGCATGAAAATGGACTAATATGCTGATCATTAATAGTAGACAAGTTAAATAAGTTATGGCATATGCATTCAGTACAATTCTCTCTAAGTGATTAAAAAATGAGATAGATGCAGATGATAAGAGAAGAGCTCTAACACTTATCATTATGTTTTTATTATTCATTTATTTATTTATTTATTTTCGAGATGGAGTTTCACTCTTGTTGCCTAGCCTGGAGTGCAATGGTGTGATCTCAGCTCACTGCAACCTCCACCTCTCAGGTTCAAGCGATTCTCCTACCTCAGCCTCCTGAGAAGCTGGGATTACAGGCACCTGCCACCATGCCCAGCTAATTTTTGTATTTTTAGTAGAAACGGGGTTTCACCCTGTTGGCCAGTCTGGTCTGAAACTCCTGACGTCAGTGATCCACCCACCTCGGCCTCCCAAAGTGCTGGGATTACAGCTGTGAGCCACCACGCCTGGCCCATTATGTTTTTAATTGCAAAAACAAAAACAAAAATCAAAACAGGAAACATCCTAACTATCCATCAGTGGTGAATGGATGAACTAACCATGGTTTAGTCACACAACAGAACATTATGAAGCAATTGAAATGAGTATCTGTTATGGATGAATGCTTGTATCCCACCCAACTCATATGTTGAAATCCTAACCCCTAAGGTGGTGATACTAGGAGGTGAGGCCTTTGAGAAGTGATAAGATCATGAGGGTAGAGCCTTCAATGAATGGGATTAGTGCTCTTATAGAGGAGACCCCAGAGAGCCCTGTTGTCCCTTTCACCATGTGAGGACACAGCCCAAAGATGCTGTTTATGAACCAGGAAGTAGGCCTTCACCAGACACTGAATCACCAAACACCTTAATCACCAGACAATTTGATCTTAAACTTACTGGCCTCCAGAACTGTGAGAAATAAATGTTTGTTGTTTAAGCCACCCAGTGTATGGTACTTTTGTTATAGTAGATTAAGACAGTGTCTTAGATCTATTTACATCAATATGAATGAATTATTATAAGTATGTTTACTGAGAAAAGCAAATTCTAGGAAGATATAGTTGATATCATTCTATTTACGCAACATGAAATCCACATACACAAAATCACAATATATTGTTCTTGACTATAAATCCATGTAGCACAATTACAAAAATGTTCATTAGAATCATACATACCAAACTTCAAGATGGTGGCTACTTCTGGGGAGGGGACAGGATATGGAACTTGGGGGTTTTACCTGTATCTCTGTTGTTCACCCCTCCCTCCCTCCCTCCTTCCTTTCCTTCCTTCCGTTCCTTCCTTCCTTCCTTTCTTCCTTCCTTCCTCCCTTCCTCCTTCCTTCCTTCTCTCCCTCTCTCCCTCCCCCATCCATCCCTCCCTTTCTTCAGTTTCTTTCTTTCTTTCTTCTTGGATCTGAGGCAAATAAAATAAGGCAAACATATCTTAAATCTGGAAGATACATACATGGATGTCTGTTATATTATTTTCTGTATGTTTGAAAAATTTTGCAGAAAGCCAAATATATTATGTTTCCCTTTTGAGTAAGCATATGTTAGTATAGACGCTGGTATCAGTGTAAAAAATGTTGTTTTCTTGGTGAGATACACATGGAACTGTTAGCAAAGTGTAGCTTTAGGGGGAGATGAGGAGTCAGGTTTGCAGGAGGGATGGAGAGAGAGATTTTTGCATTTCATTTCATTCCTTTCTGGACTATTTGAATAATTTAAGATATGTGCACTGTAGTTCCCATTCATCCATCCATCCATGCACCCATTGCTGTATTTATATCCAACATGGGTTATCTGGTTGTTGGGGATAACATTTTTGTTCTATTCTTTAAATTTATCTAATCAAAAACCTAGTCAATGTTACTTAAACATAATAATCATTTACAATTGCTATTTTAATAGAAATTTATAATTCTTCTCTGACAACTTTTCATTCTGAGTTTTAACTGAGCCCAGCCCTGATGATAGAGGAAAGGAGATTTTATCTGTTAGTTTGCTTTGTATTTGAAAGGCCAGAAAGACCCCTTGAGATGACTAATCCAGTTCCTCATTTCAGATGGGGAAATTGAGGCTGAGAGAGGTTAGATTTGGATTAACGTGAAACTTAGCCCTTTGTGAGGACAGAGTGATACTTTCAAAGGGCCTCTCCATAATCAGAGCAAATGGGAAAGTCTCCCTCTCTCCGCCTGTGCCTGCCTGAGAATGGGTAAGAGAGAGGGGAATCAGGACTAAGGCCATTTTCTCGAGTGTCCAGATGATTGCTTTGGGACTGTCTGTCTGTCAGTTGGTGGCAGGCCTGTCTTTGCTCCCACGTGGAATCGGCAGCACCCCATTTGGCTGTGTGTATTCATGCGTCCCTTGTACAGGGGAGTCCATGTGGAAAGACACTGAGCAGATAGCTACAGCTGTTGTCACTTACACTCCAGAGAACAATTCCAGGAATTAATGGCTTCTAATCCTGCAAATAAGGTAGATACAGCACAGTGTTAGATTCCAAGCTGCCAGGCGCAAGCCATTGCTCTTATTTCATAAATATGCTTATAAGGACATGCTCTAATCGCAGGGCCTCCTCGATCTCCCCCTCCTGCAGCTAAGGCCCAAGGCCTCAGGCACCTTCCCAGACCAGGGAATAAATGAAGTCAATTAAATCTTTAAAGAAACTCCTTATGAGACAGTGTCAACAGATAATCAGAAAAGCTTGCAAGGAGTCCTGATACCAATTGCTTTAGATAGCTTTAAAAAGCAAAGTAGCAAGGATCAGATCCTTCACTGTAACAATCTTTCATTTTAATAATAGCCTTTATGTACTACAATACGAAGTATCAAAGTCTATTAAATATAATGGGCTGATCCTTCCAGGGATACAGAAGCAAATGAGTCCTTCTTTGGAGGTAGTTTAGCAATTTTGGGCTTTTAAGGCTTTACTTTAGCCCTTTGGTGGTGGAATTTACAAACAGGTTGGTTCTAGTCTGCCTGGCTTTTTGTTCACGTTCTGGGATCACCCTGGTAGGAAGGTGCTCCAGGGGCAGAAAAGACCTGGCTCAGACTGTGAGGGCTGGGGTAGATGGTGAGATTTGCCAAGGAGAGAGAGCAGCTACTGGGAGGTGACCGGAAGGCTGGGCAAGGTTGTGGGGAGTAAAGAAGGGGAGCAGTTAGCGCCAGGGTGGTGGGGGAGAGCAAGACTACTTAATGACCTACCAGGCCAGGGGTATGGGAAAGCAGCTTGGCTTTGGGGCATGGCCACCCTTCCTTACTCCAAGATGCCCTTCCGAAGCATATATAATTCTCCGCCATAATACCACTCTGAGGACTCACAGGCACTGCCCTGGAATTTATCTGATAAACGTTTGGCTCTGAGTTCCCACACAAATCTCATCTTGAATTGTACTCCCATAATTCCCACATGTTGTGGGAGGGATCCAGTGGGAGATAATTTGAATCATGGGGCGGTTTCCCCCATACTGTTCTTGTGATAGTGAATAAGTCTCATGAGATCTGATGGTTTTATCAGGGGTTTCCACTTCTGGATCTTCCCCATTTTCTCTTGCCGCCACCATGTAAGAAGTGCCTTTCACCTCCTGCCATGATTCTGAGGCTTCCCCAGCCATGTGGAACTGTAAGTCCAATTAAACCTCTTTTTCTTCCAGTCTTGGGTATGTCTTTATCAGCAGCGTGAAAATGGACTAATACATATCTCATGGCGCCCTGCCCCAAGGGAAGTATTTGTCCCCTTCTGATGGAGAGTCCCTATACTTAGGGGCTCCACACTACATCTGGACCCAAGAAATTACCTTCCACTTCTTGCTGTAAGTCAAGGGGCAACTTTCTCCAAATCCTGCCCACTCACCCACCCTAAGGCCCTTTTCCCCTCAGGGTCCCAGCGAGCCTCCGAGAGACTTTTCCAGCCCAATCTCCTTCATGGCTCCCTGAGAGATCAGAGGCCACAGGAGCACCCCAGGCCCAGAGCAGCCCCCAGGAAAGCTGTTCTTTCTCTTCCCATAGCCACTGAGTGCTAACTCCCGCAGCGCTGTGGCCCGGGGTCTCCTGGATCTGGGATGTGACCGTTTTTTCTTTCTCCTTGGTGTTTAATCACGGCTCCTTCGCGCATGCTTTCCTTTCGGATTTAGTGCCCCTGGTGGGATCTCAGGGGTCTGGTCTTACTGTTGAATAGCAAGGAGCTCCAGGAGAGGAGGGGGAAGAGGTATCGGGGGCAGAAAGGGAAAGTTATGCAGAACAAGATGTGGCCATCACAGAGGGTCAGAAAGGAGAGCTCGATGGAGGGACTACTTACAAAGGCGGAGGGAACCAGCATGGGATGGAGCTGCACACTGGCAGCAGGGGCAGCTGGGAGCTCTTATCCCTAATCAGGGGCTGGCACTAACCCTCCATCACCAGCCTCAAGGGGCAAGTGCAGTGACTGGTAGGAGAATAGAGTTACTGCCACCTGCAGCCTGCTGGTGCCTCCCATTGGCGAAGCCCCACCAGAAGCCAGTGGGCAGGGGGTAGTCCCATGAGGGAGCCTCCAGGGTGCAGGGCAGGGTAGGGAATATTAGCTAGTACAGAGGGGAAGACAACTCACTGGGGTGCCCACGGTTAACCCCACAGGGCTGAAGGCAACCATGGATCCCAAGTAGCTCTCCAAAGACTGGAGTGTGTCCCTGTAGAAGAATCCCACTCAGGGCTTGAGTGGCCCCAAAGTGGATTCACCCACCCCAGGCAGGAACCTGGAAGTTGTTTGGGGCCCTTCCTTCCTCCCTCCCTCATCCTCCTGCCTGTGTGTCACTTTCCCTTCACCTTGCCTGCATTTACTCCTCCCAACAATTCTATGAGATGGGGAGAGTAAGGTATGATGAGGCCAAGTCCCTTGCCCGATGTCACCCATCCGGCCAGTGATGGAGCCAGGATTTGAACCCAGTGCCCATCCACCTGCTTAACTACTGGGCTGCACTGCCTCACAGATTAGCTATGGAGCTGTCCCCAGGCCTGCTCTCCCACCAGCCACTGCCTCCAGCCACCCTTGCCTTCTCTGGGCTCAGCGCACACCTCCCTCTGCACCCCCAAGATGCCCTGAATCTTTCAAATGCTTCTTTGCCTCCTATTTAAAGCATGATCATTGTAGGATCTGAGAAAAAAACGTTCGAGGCCTTATACATCAAAAAGATGATGATGGCTCCTCTCCACCCTTTCATATATAATTAAATGCAAAAAATAAATACATAAAATAAGGGTAAAAAATGTCAGTAAGTCCTGATTTATCCTCAGAGATTTACTTTGATAATTTTGGAGGCAAATATCAAGTATGAAGTTCTTCCTAAACAATTTTTTCTCATTTTTTTTGGGTAGGGAGGGTGCTCCTGTTCAGTGGATGCTCAGTTGCCTGCTCAGTTTATCTATCGGGTAATCCAGTTCTGGGAAGAGGCATGCAGGAGCATTTTTTTCCCTGAAAAATCACAGTATGATGTAGTCATGGGAAATATTCCCATTTCCATGGCGTGAAGCCTGCTTCAGCTGAGAGAAAGAGTTCCCTACATGGGTCAATGCCAGATGGGTCAGAATTTTGGGGGGAAATAACCAGAAATAGAAGAAAAGGGTTTTTCTATATTCAGAATCTCTGGAAAATGTTTGGGACCAATCCACCACATCCAGCATTCTCTTGCACTCACCCAGGGGTTTAGGGGTTTATAGCCATTGAATGCGAGATGCTTGGAAGTGAAGTTGTGAAGGGATGTCTAAACTTTCTGTTAACTCCAGATCAGTCTCATCATTTTACAGATGGGAAACAACAGCCAAGATTCCTTTCCTCCAAACCACCCATCTGAGTGAGGTGCGAGGACTCTCAGAGCTTCCCTTGAGTCTTACAGAGAAGATATGTGTGGCACCAGGGATTCCCCAAGGAAAATGAACAAACTTTGTTATAAGGCTGGAAGGTGGTTCCAATGTGCCAAGGCACTTTGCAAAGCTGCAGTGCTTGCATGGATGAGGGGGCCACTGTTTCTTCCCCTCCTCCACCCAGCAGAGCTAATCTCTCTCTCCTGGTTTGAGCTTTGTGAGGTCCTGTACAGAGAGCAATGTAATTATTAGTTTGACTCAAGCGAGGGCAGGGATACAGCACGATTCACTTCTGCCTCCAGCATCTCTCACCACGATGGTCACATGGAGGTTCTTGGAGGGCTGCTGACCAACCACAGCATAGAGTCGCTTCTGAACCAGTACCCAAGAATTCCAGGTTCCATGTTTAAGAACAGCCAAGGTCAGGGACTCAGTCCAAAATTCTGCAACAGCTTCCTGAGAGGAGAGACCTTCATGGTATGAAAGCCATTTTGGTAGGGGTGGGAAACACTTCTGCTATTTTCTAGGGTGGCACCAATGTGTTTGAGGTCTTCAAGATGGAAAGGCTTGAATGGTTTGCATTACTGACCCTTGGGCTAGTCCTGGTTTGATCTCTGCATGAAGAACTGAGGCCAAGAGAGAAGGAATTCAAATCCACCAGGCTGATTTTCCTTCGTTACAGAAATGTCTTGAAAGGACAGTGTACACAGAAGGGGATGAATGTTGAAGTATTCAGTTAATTGTTCTTGTCCTTGAAGTAACTGTTAAAAAATTGTATAGACTTAATTTATTTGGTAGAGCAGTTTTTGGTTTGTGAATTGAGCAGAAAGTACAAAGAGTTCCCATGTAGCTCCTCTGTCCCTCCGCAAACTCTCCTGTCTCAGGGGAACTTTTTACATGGAGACAATACCAAATGTTCCCGTAGAAGAAAGATCGTTGGTGAGGATTTTTGATGCAAACAGGCCATTAATGGCACTCACACATTCTGATTTTTTTTTATCAAGGTTGAGTAGAAAGCCCACTGACCTGTGAATTACTGACACAGATTTGCTCGTTCATTGTCTTCAGTCATTTGACAAATATGCGTTGACTTGAGCACCCTCCCTGCCCAAATGTGGGTAGCAAGCACTGAGATGAGCTGGTGAGATTTGTTCCTGCCCCCATCCAGCTCACGGTTGAGTCAAGGGTACACCTACATAGGAGCACAGAAATGCTGTAGACACAGAACATTCAGCCCTGCTTGGTGCACCAGGGAAAGAACACTTCTTGGACAAAGCAATGTCTAAGGTGAGATAGATCCAAGATAAATAAACATGGCAGAATTTACAGGACTTCATGACTGGGATGTGTGGGATGTGGGAGAGGGGGCACCCTAAAAGGAGAACTTGGGCAACTGAGTGAATGGCACTATTCACGAAGGCAGGGGGCACTGGTGAGCAGGCTTGGAGGGAAGGGGGAGCTTTCAACTTCAGGGACAGGTGTCGGAGATGTCTGCTAGGACTATGAGTACCAGAGGCATTTAGTGCCCGAGTTGGAGGTCAGAAGAGGATTCTTGTTCAGATTTTGATCTGGAAGGCGTTATCTGATAGACGGCAGGTGGAGTCAGGTGAGGCCACCAGGAAGTGTGCATTGAATAGAACGACAACAACGTAGGTGAGGCTAGACTCTGAGCACACCAATGTGTAATGGCAGGAAGATGTAAGGAGTAAGTGGGTCGGCCACTAGGCCTGCAGTGGCAGGAGCAAAGTGATTGTGCAAAGGCCCAGGGCAGAGTGGCAGTGGCAGGCTCTCCTGGGTATGTGCAGTTCCAGAAAGAGCCCAATGGGAGGCTGAGACAGCAGAGGACGGCTGGTGGAGACATCAGGTTCTGACCCAGCTGAGAAAGACCACAGTCCACCAGCCTTAGATGTCAGCAGCAAAATCCAACAAAATGCTCAAAGATGGAACTAGATGTGATGGCTTCAGGAGATGCACCTGCCAAAATGCCCGCATCTCTCTTCCTGTCCCTGGATTGTGAAGGGGAGGATGAGAGGAATCTGAAACACTGAACAATTAGCCAAATTACACCTCAAAGAACTGATGAACTTGTTGAATTTGGATTACATTTAGTTTTAAAGCAGTTTGCTTTCAATGCATTCACAGTGCCTTTGCTACCCGGCAAGCTGAGAATGGGACCACTGAGTATGGTTCATAGCTGTGCAGTGCCCAGCCAGTGCTTCTGAGCAACGTGGCTGTGTTTATACATCTGAGTGTGAGTACTCTTGGGCCACTTCCTCGTTTATTGATAGGTTGGCCACCTCACTCACTGTCATACAAGCTTCATTGAAATAGAAGTCTCTACTGCATTGGGAGCACCTGCTACAGTGCCAGGCATGTGGAGTGCACAGTAATTCCTTATGGAATGAGTGAATGCCTCAGACAGAGAGCTATCTAGGTTCTGCTTGCAGACTTTTTTCCTTCTTGGGGAGTTCTATTCTACACAAAGTAGCTCATTCCTTTTTTCTAAACATTAGAGAGTTCCATTTGTTGGAACCTTAATTGGACCTATTATAATTCTTGTCTGGTTTTGTCCACTGGAGCAATAAAGGAAAATGCTTATCTTACTTCTGGAGTTTCTTCAGCTCCTGGGTTCAGCCCTCAACTATTCCTCAGCAGGTTCCTTCATCAGAATCAGGACAAAGCCCCCCACGATGAAATTCCCAGGAATATTGCTGAAAGGGGTATTTATCTTCCACCATGGGCTCACCAAGAACTGCCCAGCCTGGACTATCCCTGATGACAAATTAGTGGGCAGAAAAGCATGAGGTGACATTCCATTTAAAGGAATGTGAGGGATGAGCTAAGGGAATGAAGATCAACCAGGGGGAGAACACAGAACTGAATACTTCCCCAAATGAAAGAACCACGCTCTCCTCATTGGGCAACTTTTCTTTTGAATGTGGACAGAGCTTGCAACAAAGTCTCAAAGCAAGGCCGCTGCATACACTCTCTCCTCTCAGCAAATAAGAGTGGGTCTCCGAGAAAACCATCTGATGCTGGCATAAATGCCACTACTCAGCAAATCGCTGCAGCGTTACAAATATTTAGGTAATTATTTGAGACAGAGTCTCTCTCTGTTGCCCAGGCTGGAGTGCAGTGGTGCAATCATAGATCATTGCAGCCTCCATCTCCTGGGCTCAAGGAATCCTCCCATCTCAGCCTCCCAAGTAGCTGGGATTACAGGCATGTGTCACAAAGCCAGGCTAAACTTTTTATTTTATTTTATTTTATGTTATTTTATACTTTATTTTATTTGCAAAGACAGGGTCATGTTGCGTTGCCCAGGCTAGTCTGGAACTCCTGGACTCAAACTATCCTCTTAACTCAGAATCCTAAAGTGCTGGGATTACAGGTGTAAGCTGCCATGCCAGGCCCACTGCAGTTTCTATTGAGCACCTATTTTCTCCCCAGTGGGTGCTTCAGATTAGTAGAGATAGAAAAGAAACCCTTGTTCCTCCCTGAAGGGAGTCTACAACTCATCTTGGCAGACAAGGTTGAGTTTGAAATAATTGGTATCTGGCTAAAATGCTCAGGTTGGTGGAGGGAGAAGTTGAGTGACCCCAGGACAAGCCCTAGTCTTCTTCAATCTCCTCTGTAATCAGTGGATAATCTTGGCATGCCGAAGACTTCTGTCTTTTCTATGAAAGCCCGCTTGCCCTCTGTTTACACCATGGATGGTGTCTTACTCAACCCTGTGTCCCTAACACTTGGCACAGGTGGCACACCTCCCAGATCCTCGGGGCACATATGCAGAAAGATAAATGAGAGAGTGTGTCAACTTGGGGCACCACTAAAGAGAAGAATGAAACCGAAAGACTTTCTTATGTTTCTTTACACCTATTAGGAGGCTGGAGAGAACATTTTAGGTCTCAATATATACTTTCCGAAAAATCAAATGAATCACAGGACACTCAAGTGCAGCCGGCATTTCATTTTCATCATGGCAGCTCCCTCCTTCTATGCATAGGGGATTTCTTTTCCAAGTTGTCATCTTCCTTCTCCAAAACTAGGTAGAAGGCAGCTCCTTGGGAATTGTGTTGGATGAGGTTGTGTGTTCCTGAGAACATTGCTGGGCAGGTCGACTGCCATCCTTTTTCAGCTGCTTACAGAAGGAACATGGCTGGGTCTTCCCCTGGTCTTTGTCTCTGCTGTGGACTATGATAGTCGAGTCTTGCATTTGGCGGAATCCACAATGGCTGTCACCCAGGCAGGCCTGTCTGGGACCAGTGATGAGCTAGTGCTGAGGGACACTGCATGTTTTCTCTTTTGTACACAGAAGGTGGTCATACCTCCTCTCACTATGCCCAGGCCTGGGACAATGCAGGAGGACCCTAGTGGCCTGAAATCTATGTTGGCTTGTCACTTAATTGACAATAGAAGAAATTTATGAACTGGCAAAAAAAAAAAATGCTACTGCTTAAAATAACCACAAACCATTCGACATACCTCACATTGAAAGCTGAGCATTACCGCTCACACAATGACAGCATCCGTAAGAGGGTGCCAGATGTGTGTGTGGGGAGCTTGCGTGCGTGGATCTGGTTCTCATTCTTTGTGTAGCATCGGACCCAATAACTTTTTTTTTTTTCATTTTCACTGGACACTTATTTTATTCCTTCGGTTTTCTGGCCAGCTGTTGTTCATGGCTCTTTCTGTCCTATAGAATGCAGATATAGTCATTGAAACCCTAAGTTACCTAGTCGAAACCCCAAGTGAAACCCCAAGTTACCTAGGAAGGGAAGGTACAAGGACAAGGAAGGGTAGGGAGGGAGCCGCGTCTAGAGCAAGGCCCATGGGGGCCAGCACCCTGGGTGACCACAGCCATCCTCGGTAGACTTTAAACAACAACCTACTGAATGAATGCATGAAAATTGAGGACAAAATTCGTAATCAAGATTCTACACCCTCTACTAAATATTTTCATTTTTGAATGTTATGTTCTAGTGGGTTATATTGAATTTTTATTGTTTTCCATTTATCAAAAGCTTTATTTGCCACCTTGCATCCTAGAAATCTTAACATAGACCTGGGTTATATGATAACCATGACTGTTAGTGATAGAATATTCTGTGAGGAGGAAGTGACATCATCTAGGCAAATATTTCTAGATTTGGCAGAATTTAGAATCTTTTCAATTTTCAGTGATGATAAATTCTAAAACGCACAACCTAGTGCATATAACGTTTTAACTTCAGCAGAACTTTTTATGTTGAGAAGTTTACATTTTGTCATGAGTAGCATTAAGCTTCGATACATATTGCTAAGCTCCCTTCTAAAAGAGCATTTTCAACCGATCTTGACACATCCTACCAGCACTGTCTGTCAATGTTCTATAATTAGATGGAGGTGATGGTTGCACAACTCTGTAAATATACTAAAAATGTTCAATTTTATGCTTAAAACAGGCACATTTTATGGTATATAAGTTATATCTCAATAAAACTTACAGAATTGTTATAGGATAAAAAGAATGTCTTTCTTAAGTAGCTACACCTTTGGAATAATTTTAGGATGGTTTAATTCTCTACCATTTCATTTGACATTTTATGTTATGCTGAAATGTGATTACTCAACCCAAAATGTATGCTTTTCATTAAATGTAGAAAGCACATCTTATGCAAACATATCCACTGCTTCAGTTGAGAGTGATAAAATCTATGTTCAAATCCTGGTCATTTACTAGCTATGAGACCTGAACCATGCTTGTTTTTTTTTTTTTCCTTTTGCTTCTCAGTTTTCTCATCTGCAAAATGGGGCTAATAACTCTTTTCCTGCCTACTTCTGGTGGTTTTGAGGGAGAATTAATTAAGTCAACTGCAGATGCAGGCGGTCTGTGATGTGGTACATGAGTGCCTGCCGGGTCTTTGGAACCAAGGCACCACTCCAGGTGGTGATGGAAGAATCCTAGGAAGGACACACAAAAGAAACTTCTGATACAAAGGAGTCAGAACAAGTGACACGTTCAGAAAAGTCATACGGGTGAGTGGGTACAAAAATACTTAATGTAATAGAAGGAAAACACATGAAGTGCCACCTATTTCTTTAGGCACCCACAAGGCAGTGATAACAATACACTTGCCACAGCTACAGATTATTGATTTCTTGGCTGGGTGTGGTGGCTCACCCCTGTAATCCCAGCACTTTGGGAGGTTGAGGCAGGTGGATCCCTTGAGGTCAGGAGTTCAAGAACAGCCTGGTCAACATGGTGAAACCCTGTCTCTACTAAAATACAAAAATTAGCCAGGCATGGTGGTGGCCACCTGTAATCCCAGCTACTCGGGAGGCTGAGGCAGGAGAATCACTTGAACCCAGGAGGTGGAGGTTTCAGTGAGCATGACAGCACCACTATACTCAGCCTGGGCAACAGAGTGAGACTTTGTCTCAAAAAAAAATGGATTTCGTAGGGTCAGCACTATCAGTTATTGCTAATCCTCATGGCAGCAATATAGGGAAGGAGGTTTTCTATCTCCACTTTCCTGATGAAGGCACTGAGGCTCTCAAAGGGTAAATCGCTTGCTGATGGTTATCGAGCTGGTATACTCCCCAAACCCTGAGTGTTTTGCCCTATCAGCTGCCATTAGCTCAAAAACCTCTACTGTGTCTCCATTGCCTGTTTATACCCTAACTGAGAAACAGGGAGAAATAGGGGAGTTCTCAAAGCAGCCCAATGAGACACTACCCAGCATTTATGTCTCATGTTGGAAGAGAACATCTGATAATGCACTCTGCTTCACAAAAGACCACAGTGAGCTTGATGCTGGGTTTACAGGCGAGGGCTGCCTGAAGCTGGCAGGCGTTGGTGCTTGTAGGCCTGTGCCCAGCTAAAAAGCTGGATACTGTTTTATGCACCTTTAATGAGCCTGCAGATTCTTCCAGGCCTGGGGCCATGGCCTGAGTTTCAGCCATAGAAGTTCCTCCTCATTCTCCTCTTCTTTCTCCAGAGCTGATGATCATAATTTCTATACTGTGGGTGTCCTGAATCCCTGATTTTCCCCCCTGCCTGGGCAGGCCTTAAATTTGGGCAAAGGTCTTGGAAGCTGGGGCTGAGTTCACGTGCGGTAGGACTTGCTCAGCCACCAGCTACTGGTAATGCACCCAGACAGGGCTCTGGTACTGTGTCTGGGCGGAGAAGTAGGACTCTGAGGTCAGACAGGCCCATTTCAGGTTTATAGCTTCGTGAACTTGAACAAGTACTGACCTTTCCTAAACCTCAGCGTAAATTGCTCCTGGGGAGATTCAAGATAACGCATGTGGAGGAAAGAAGTAAGGATCTTCTATGTCTGAACTCCAGGTGATAAGCCAAACAGACAGGGATCCCCAAAACATCAGTTTGAGGGAGCTGGCCAGAGGCTCAAAGAGCAGGAAGCAAGAATGAGACAGCAACAGGTCAGGGATGGCAGCAGCAGACCGCGACCTTCTCTGCTACCTTTCCCACATTGCTGCAGCCAGTGTAATCTTTGAGAAGAATGCAGGTAATAATTTACAGTTAATCACTTATTGAGTATGCCTACAATAAGGCAGGCTCTATTCTAAGTTCTTGACATGGGCTAACATTATGAAGTTGGTTAAAATTATTACCACCCTTTTAATGATGGAGCGACTGAGACACAGAGTGGGTTCGGAAACTTACAAGCAGGATTCTGTGGTCTAGCTCTTGCCCGGATCTCCTGCCCCTTCCCACCCCTGCCCCCAGGCATTTTCTAGTTCCTCACACTGGCCAAGCTGTTTTCTGCTACAGTTTCTTCTTTGCAGTTACAGTTTCCTTCTGTCAGGAACACCCTCCCTCCCACCTCATTCTCCTGCTCAGCTTCTACACATATACCCCAGAAACACCTACCTCATCTCCCTGATGGAAACCCAGCTCCTTGGTTACATGTATACCCAGTACTTTTCCTTTATGATGTTTGTGGTGGGCTAAGTGTGGTTGCTGTTCTCTGACACTGCTCCTGCTGTGAAGAGGAGTCAACTTCTCTTCTGCTGAATCTGGGCCAGTCTGTGATTGCTTTAACCAGTAGAGTATGGTAGAAATGGCACTGTGCCAGTTCTAAGCCTGGAATTCCAGAGGACTAGAAGCTTCCACTGTGGTCTTCTGGAGCCCTGAGTAGACCATGTAGAGAGACCATGAGATGAAAAGAAGAGGGACCCAGTTGGGTTCAACCTTCCAGCCATCCCTGCCAAGGTACCAGGCCTGTGAGTAAAGTTGTTTTGGTTGTTCCACTCCATCCAGCTGCTTGCTGAATACCATCCAGTAATCCCAGTTGATGCCACACAGAACAGAAGAGTTGCCCAGCTGAGCCCTGCCCAAATTGCTCACCCACAAAACCATGAGATATAACAAAATGGTTGTTGTTATTGTAAATCGCTCAGTTTTGGGGTGTTTTTATGTGCATCAATAGGTAATCCACCCATTGCTGACATTATACTTTATAATTACATACTGAGACACATGGCTATTGAGTGTCTGTCTCTGTTCTCTTTCTGCCCTTGACTTTAGGCTCCACTAGCGCTAGAGACTTTTCTCTTTTTAATTCTATGTCCCAGCATCGAGCACATAACAGACACTCAAAAAAAGTTTGCTGAGCTATGTCATTCAGAACTCTATTGTTTATAAAGCTTTTTTATATTTACCATCTCTTTTGATCCTTACAGAAAGTCTACAAGGTTGTTTTTTATAATTATCCTCATGTTAGATTAACTCAACAAATATCTATTGAATTTCTACTATAAGCCTATTACTGTTCTAATCACCGTGGCTACAGCCATCAACAAGGCAGCCAAATCTCTGCCCCGTGGGCTCATGTTCTAGTGAAGAAAATGGGTAGGAAACAGTGTCGCCTGATTTGTGAGGTACCAATCAGTGCTGTGAAGACCACAACAAGAGTAAGGAGATAAAGAGATGCCTCACTGGGAAAGGTGGCAGTTCTAGACGAGGTGCTCAAGGAATGCCTCTCCAAAGAGATGCATTTGAGTGAGACCTTAATGAACTGAGAGAGTAAAGCAGGCTGATATTTGGTGGAAGAGCTTTACTGACAGAGAGAGTGCAAAGGCCCTGAGGCAGGAACATGAACCCAGAGACTCTTACTGTCTTGCTGTGGGAGGCTGAAAAACAGCCCCGCTTCCCCCTCTGGATATCCAGGTCCTAATTTTTGGAACTTGGGATTGTTACCTAATATGGCATAGGGGTGATTTGGTTAAGGATCTTGAGATGGGGAGATGATCCTGAAATATCCAGAGGGGTCCAAGGTCATCATAAGAGGTTTTATAGAGGGAAACTGAGGGACATTGGGCACACAGGGGAGAGGTGATGTGATGACAGAAGTTGAAGCAATGCAAGTGCAGGAATGCGGGCAGTCTCTAGAAGCTTGAAAAGGCAAGGAAACACATTCCCCCTAGAACTTCCAGAAGGAACCAGCCCTGAAGACACCTGGACTTTAGGCCAGGGAAACCGATTTTGAAATTCTGACCTCCAGAACTGTATACAAGAGGATAAACTTGTGTTGCTTGAAGCCATCAGGTTTATGGGAATCTGTAACAGTGGCCCTAGAAAACTGATACACGTGCCCAAGACCACAAGGACCTCCGGGTGTGTAATAGACAACTCTGAGTTCTCACCTATCTATCTCAGCGTTGGTGACGTCTTGGGGGAAGGCAGGCTTCTATCCCCTGGAAGGCCCTGGCACAGCTTATGTGTTGTTAGGTGTTGAAGTACTTCTTTACTGTTTGGAAGATAGCTATGCTGTGATAGCTCCCTTGGCTGCCCTGGAACCCGCCTGGGGAATCCCCTTGACTTAGCAACTAAAGGGTTAATGCCTGACGAGGGGAAGGGGCACTGGGGGTCAGCTCTGGCACAACGCCAGGGCTCATTCTGCTTGATCTTCATCCTGTCTGCCAGTTGCTAAATATTTTGGATTTTTGGATGTCTCCCTGGGGTTAAGGCGTGTTCTGCAGATGGTCCCACCAGATCTCTCAGGCTGGGCTGCCCAGAAGTCCTGAGCTGCTCCATTCCATGCCCAGAGCCAAAGGACAAACCCTGTCCTGCTGACTCCCAGCAGCTGGCTCATTTTTTAACAAAAGGTTTAAATTCATACCTAATAATTGTACATATTTATGGAGCACAATGCGATGTTTCAATACATGCATACCATATGCAATAATCAAATCAGGGTAAGTAGCATATCCAACACCTCAAACATTTATCATTTCCTTGTGCTGTGAACACAAAATGTCTTCTAGCTATTTTGAAATATGCAATACATTATTCTACAGGGGTACTGTAGTCACCCTAATGAGCAACAGAACACCAGGACTTATCCTCTTAATTTGCAACTTTGTACCTCTCGACCAATTTCTCCCCATCTCCCCATCTTCTCCCCTCCAAAGTCTCTGGTAACCACTGTTCTGTTCTCTACTTCTGTGAGATCAACTTGTTTGGCTCACACATATGAGTGGGATCATGCAGAATTTATCTTTCTGTGCCTGGCTTATTTCACTTAACATAATGTCCTCCCACTTCATCCATGTTGTAGCAAATGCCAAGATTTTCTTCTTTTTAATGGATGAATAGTATTTCCTTGTGTAAATATACCACATTTTCTTTATCCATGAGATGGCCCCATGAGCTAATCAAATGCTCCTAGTTTCAGCCCCATTGAAAACAGGACCAGAATAAATAAAATGTTTGCTAAGTGGAAAAAGACCATGAAGCAGGAAATAAGGAAACATTTTATATTCTTTTAATTTTGAGATGAATGTTGTAAACAGATTTTCTTCAAAGTCTATTAAAAGGCCCTTGCCAGCAGTGTCTCTTGCAGAGCACAGGCATAGAAAACAAGAAGTACTATTAAAAACAAACAAAACTTGACTTTTCTGTTGTTTTTGGTTGTTGTTGCTTCTAGCAGTGTTGAAGGTGTTTTGGTGAATTCACTCCTCACATGTGGAGCTGGGCTATGACTGATCTTGGGAACAACATCTTCGATTTTTCTTTCCAGAAGTTTCCTGGTCCCTCCTGGGCCCTGATTATGTGAGAGAACTATCAGGGATAAGCACCCAGAGCCTGGCACATGGTGGGGGCTCAAGTGTGTTTTATTTATTTATTACTTTTATAGGAGAGATGGGGTTTTTCCATGTCAGCCAGGCTGGTCTTGAACTCCTGGCCTCATGTGACCCACCTGCCTTGGCCTCCCAAAGTGCTGGGATTACAGGTGTGAGCCACCACATCCGGCCCGCCTGTGTTTGATGAAAGAATGAATGAATGAACTCTCACAACAATTCATTCAGCCATTTATCTAACAAGCGTTTCCAGAGTGACTCCTTTGTTCTAGGCTCTGTGCAGTTTCTGGGAATTCAGAGATGTCTAACACCCTCACCTTGTAGGGAAGGAGCTCTTGGAAGGCGTCTGGGCTATGTATGATTTGGGGAATAACATCTTGAATTAAGTATTCTAATTGTACTCCATTTTCCCCAAATATTCAAACACCAATGTTTTTTGGGGGGCTGGGAAGTTCCAACAAAGGTAAGTAGTGCCTTGCACAATGGTTGGCCCGTGGTAGATGCAGTGACAGGGAAAGCACACAGGCAGTAGAGGAAGTTGTGGCAGACTGTGCTCTTGTTCTGGTGATAAGATTACACTTCCCATTGACATCAAATGTGGTCATGTGGCCTGCTTTGACCGCTGATGTGGGAGATGGATTGCCGTGTGCCCAGCTAGAAAGGAACTTTAAGACTTCCCTGGGCTCTGGAAGTTGGAGGTTGCAGTGAGCCGAGATTGACCCACTGCACTCCAGCCTGGGCAACAGAGTAACACTTCATCTCAAAAAAGGAATTAAAAAAAAAAAAAGAAAAGAAGACCTCCCTGGGCTCCTTTCCCTCTGCTAAGACCCCACCTATCCCAGCTGGTGGCTGCTGCTTCAGCTCAGAATGAATTTTTATGGTTATAAGCCACTGAGATTTGGGACTGCTTGTTACTGCATGTTGCTTAGCTTAAGCTGTCCAATATAGAAGACTTCACAGAGGAGGCACATCTGACCCAGTCGCTGAAGGATGAACCATGGTTTTACCAGGCTGCTGGAATGTATTTGCAAAGAAACAGAGGCAAGGCAATGGGAGCATGAGTTAATTAGGATATAAGCTGACTTTCTGTTTGCAGAGAGCTAATATACTGATAGCTCAGACAGAAGAGAGGTTTATTTCTCTCAGGCTCGGCAAAATCAGTTCAGGGCTGGCATGATGGCTGCATGATGTCAGGTCCTAAGCTCCCCCTGTTTTGTTGCTGGCCCTCTCTTAGTCCACTCCCATGTCTACGTGCTAGTCCACAGGAAAGGGGAAGAGATAAACTCCCTTATTCCTAGAGGTGGGACATATAGATTGCAAGCCTCACCTCCATTCCTTAGTCACATGGCCATCCTGAGCAGCAAGGAAGGCTGGGAAATGTAGTTTTTATTGTGAGAGACATGTGTCCACCTATGAAGGCAGAGAGACTGAGACTGTAGGACAAACTGCCCCAGTATTTTGAGGACTGGGGAATAGTCAGTGCCCTTTTAAATGATAGGATCTGTGGTGTGAGCAGGGAGTACTACAGATGCTGTCCCACTGTGCTCATTGGAATGGATAAATATTTTTGAATCCACAAATATGTAATGGGTAATTCTGTATGTAACAGGAACACAGAACCCACATTAGCCAAATGCAAATTGCTCCTTTTAAAGTGGGGGTAGACTCTCTCTCCTTCTCACCTTCTTTCTGATCGGATCATAGACCCAGAGCTGCAGCCCATCTCCTCGGTGTCCCATAACAGAATGATCTGCTCTTGACTAAGTGTCAAAGTGATTTTTTTTAAATGGACAGATGGTCCAGGTCACTCTCAAGATTAAATTCTCCTACGTCTTCCTGTTGCTCCTGCAGACCCCCTGTCTACCCTTCTCCCCCTGCTCAGTGCCCCAGGAACCAACCTGTGTGAAATTTCTCATGAACTTCATCAAGGGGCTTCCCTTGCTGTCTGGTTTTGGTTGGGTTTGGTCAGTGGGAGCCCTAGAGGAGATAAGAGGGAAGGAGGAAAGGGAGGTGAGGCTTTGTTTCTACACAGTAAGACAGTGTTGTAATTTATGGGACTCAAAAAATGTACACTTATTTTTAAAAATTTTCCAAAGCAATACTATGATACCTGATTCAAGAAATATAGGAATGGAGAGTGTATTAGTGTACTAGGGCTGCCATTACAAAGCTTAAGTGAAGTGGCTTAAACATAGAAACTTATTCTCACGGTGCTGGAGGCTAGAAGTCCAAGATCAAGGGATCTGTGGGCCATGCTCCCTCTGAAGGCACTAGGGAAGGCTCTGTTCCAGACCTCCCTCCCCTGTACCTCCCTCCTTGGCTTGTGGCCACAGACTCGGATCTTCACATGCAGTGCTCCCTGAGTGTGTGTGTCTGGTCCAATGTTCCCTTGTTATAAGGACACCACTCGTATTGGATTAGGGCCCATCCTAGTGACCCATTTTAACTTAATTACTTCCAGAAAGACCCTATCTGTAAAAAGGGTCACATTCTGAGGTACTGGGGGTTCAACATATGAATTTTGCGGGGGTGGGGGGAGGGTACACAATTCAAGCCATAACAGATAGTGAGAAACACAACAGAAGGAGCTCCCTGCACCTGCTGTGACCTTTGCTTCCAGCTCCCCACCCAGGGTGAAGCAACTGCTGTCAATACTTTGGAGGCCACGATTCCGACTTTCCTATGCTTACACATCCCTTGATTACATACCCTCACATGCCATGTGTGAAGAGAGAAAAATCAAGAAAAAGGATAAACCTACAAACATGGAAAATAGAGAAATCCCTGAAAACACAAAGCCTTAATGTCCAGGTTCTTATTCTTAGTTTGCCGATTTGTTGATTTGCCTTTATTTTGTGATGGGCTCTGTCTCAGATGTGATTCTGAGGCACGGGGTAGGACAGTGGGCAGCCTGGAGGGTTCTAGACCTGCTGGTCTCTTCTGTGTGAGCCTCTCTGAGGGTGAGGCTGATTAGAATCTGCTGATTGCTGCTGCGGCAGAGAGAGGAGGACAGCCAGCCTCGCACCTCCGCATTTGCACAACCTGGAGTCCCAAAGCTTCTCCCTGCAGGTATGCCTTAGGGAGGAGCGGAAGGTGGAGGTTCCATGTCCTAATCAGGGCCCCAGACTGAGGGACGCCTCTTCTTCTTCACAGACAAGTGGGAGCTGGACTCTGACAGAATATCAAAGTGAAAATTAATGCCCGCTGCTTGTATATTGCCTAGACGTTACTTTTGAGAGGAAAACAACAGGAGCAGAGCGAAGCTGTACATATGTTAAATTCACATCAGTAATAAAGATTAAGTAGAAGTTAATAGCATCCCAGTCATGCTTGTGGAGGTAATCTCCTTTCTGAAAATTCAAAATTAGATTTGGAGGATCGAAGCAAACAGGGGGTGAGACTTTGGCGTAATATTTTAATCAAATTGTCATGAATGAGTGGATACAATTAAGAATTCTGTCAGTCAAAGTGCTGAGGCCCTTTTGTTAGTCAGCGGTGGGAGGGGTGCGCTGGGCCGTGGTGGGGAGAGATTAAACTTGACCTTTCCTAGGGTCTTCATTTTTGACCCTGAGGCTGGGCTTTGCCTGTCAGATGGCTGTTTTTTTTTAAAAAAAGTATGTGTGTGTGCATGAATGTGTATACCTGTGCATGTGTGCGTGCACTCAGGCATGTGTATACATGTGTATACATGTAGTTGCAAGAGTGTATGTGTGCGCTTGCATGTGTGTGCATATGTGCATGTATGTATGTTTGCATGGTGTATGCAGATGTGCATGTGAACGTATGAGGCCATGCATGTGTCCGTGTGTGTGTACAAGGCAGCTGTGTATTGTGCTATTGTGCACGTGTGCACACATATGCATATGTGTGTGTGTGTGCAAGGCAGTGAGAAAGAAGGAATTCGGGGCAAACAAAGGATTCGTGCTGTGTCACTTGTGGCAAATTCTGTCCATAAGTACTCTTTTAAATCTCACTCCTTCCCTTTCCTTTGTAGCTAAAGACAGGTGTTTTGGGGGCAAATATTCACGTGCATAGGATGTGTCCACCTGAGATAGCTCCATGCAGATAGCTACACTAATACCGTCCAAGGCCATATGCAAAGGGTAATGTAATTGACATCAATGAATGAGTGAATGACTGCATGTATTTGCTAACTTTGACTATAATGTCGTTTTGCAATCAGTGTAACTCCTGAACCAAGTTGCATGCCCTGCCATCTCTTCTCTTAAGGCTCTGTACTTTTCAAGACCTGCTTTTTGTAACCCCATTTTTAACGGTTGAGATACCAGACAATGTTTACTCTTTCTCTCTTTCTACCACTCTCTCGTCACCATCCCTTCTCCCGCATGACATTGATTTATTTTTAATTTTGATCCATGGGTAGTGGGGTTGTAGAGAAAGATGCTGGCAAAAATATCTTTCTGTTTCCCTTCTGCAGCTATAGTCTGCCATGTAGGTGGATCTTATTTATCAATGATTATAAATCAATAAGGACAATGCAGAATAGCGGGATGAGCCAGGCTTCCCAAGCCTCTGGAATTACAGACTTCAACATGCATGAATGCAACGTGTCTGATGTGGAATTTATTATTTTAAGCAGATTCAAGTAGATTTGAGGTTCTTTTTTAAAAAACTTATTTCCTCCAAGGCGGTAGCTGCTACTGCTACTCCATCTTCCCTCTTCAAACCCTGTGTTTGGGAAATAGACAAATGCCTTCAACATAAGATGACAATATGTAATCAGTGTCCCTGCGGTTTATTTTACCTTTTGTTGTAGAAGAGAATAAAGTCAGAGGAACTTAACGTTACTCCCTCCACTTGGGTGAACATTTAGAGGCCGAAGGACCTAATTATTTTTTAACACTGCCGTTAGTGCATTTGCCTGGGGAATTATTTCAAATCAACTGACAGACCTATTGTGCTTGTGACATCACAACAACTGGCTTTTTACACTGAAAACAAGCCTTCTGTTAATTCAGCAATAACACACCCTGCACGCAAAAATTGCATTAGCAACGTCTAACCCGAGTGTTGAACACATTCAGAAATAAACACTATTGCACTACAGGGGTTGAAAGGGAATATGCATCAAAATGCCTGGCATTTAATATTTTCCCCCTTCTTCGGGAATTTAGCCGGTGAAATATAGCTGCCAGTGTCCCAGGTCTGCGCGCGCGCTCCTGCAATATGCTCTCGATCAATCAGATTTGCATAACTAAACTGTCTGCGAGCCCGCTCGGCTGCCCAGGTGCAAGGCCATTTGCATATAGAACAGTGAGGAGGTCCCAGGAGTCACTTCAGACCGGAGCGACTGCTGAGCCCGCAGTCCACACAGCCCAGGAAATGAAATTGCAATGACAAAAAAAATGGGAGTGCTCGCCTAGGAAGGGTGAAATATGCAGGCACGTTGCAAAGGTTATGTAGAGATTACCAGGCGGCAGTTTCCAGATGCAGAAAGACCCACTGGTGTCCAAGGCAGAGGTGCCACAGGGTGGGCGACAGTGCAAGGCGAGGCCCCTGGGAGGGCTCCTCTCACCTGCCGGAGTCCCCTTGAACCTGTAGAGCGATTTTGGGACTTCCAGGGCCTCTCCTTACGTGTAAAGACTTCCCAGGCCTGATCCCTTTGCAAGACAGGCTTACCAAAGGGAAGTGGGGTCTGGCACCGTGTCCTCCAAATAGCAGGGGCTCATCCTGCTTCTTGGCCTTGTAGAATGAACTGCTTTTTAAGTGCCAAGTCCCCTGGGCTGAGTGCTGTGGGTCATAAGGTTACCCCACCTTATACTAACCCTACAAAGTGGGGCTGTCATCATCCATGTTTTCTGGAATGCTCAGAGAGAGCAAGTCTCTGGTCCAGGGTCACACTGCCAGAAAGTTGGTGGAGCAGGGAGGGAATCCCAGAAGTGCAGGGAAGACCAGCGGATTATTCAACGTCAGCCAGCACATCAGTAATGGGCAAGCACTTTGATTTCCTGGTTCCCAGCCAGGACTTGATCTACTAGTCCTTCCTTCTGTAAGGGCCAGAGAGTAAACACCAGGCTTTGCGGCAGGGCCACGTCTTGACTTTTGTGGGTCCTTGGCACTTTTACCTTCTTGAGTCCCTTTCTTGGTAAGAAAATATAAAAAATATTACAACATATTATACAATTTTTACAATATTTTGTCTATTTACAATAAAGACAAAGATAGCCTAGGTTGGATTTCTTATTATTATATTCATGTTTTTCTTCCTATTTTAAAGTAAATTAGAATTAAAACATTTTTGTGAGCCCCTAAAAGTAACTGAGGCCTGAGGCACTGTGTCTGGTGGGCCCAGTGGAGTGCTAGGCCCTGCTTGTCTGGCAACCTGCTCTCCCCTTTTCCTACCCATCTCTGCCGCTATATGGCAACAGCTGTCCTGGATGGTATAGGAATGAACATGTGGACTGTGTTCCCGTCAGACCTTATTGATGGACACAGCAATAGGAATTTCCTATAATTTTCAGGGGTCACAAAGGCTTCTTCTGAGTTCTTTTCCACCCATGTACAAATCATTCTTTGCTCAAGGACCTTGGAACTATGCCATGTAGGTTTCCTGGGCAAAGCCTCCCCTGACGTTGGACTTGGTAACATGAGAAACAAGTTCTAGGCATATCTGCTGAGAAATAATATTTTATTTTTCCTTTATCCATTAGGGATGGCCCCATTTTGAGGGAGCTGTCCCTTTGCCCACCAAGTGCTAATGACACAGAGAATTGTGCTGTCTCCCAGGCCTGGGGCTGAGGAGGCTGAAAGCAACGAACAGCACCCCCATCCTCTCCAGCGTTTTTCTCCACCTCTGGTAGAAAATTGTAAGGGAAGTTCTGTCTTTGTCATCCTCATTTCAATGCATATGAATAGGCAAGCGCTTCAGGTAAAGGAAAGGACACTCTCTCTGCGCCTTCTCCCCTGGCACTTCAGGGGAGTGTGTGGGATGGGGGGGATCAGGTCACTGTCCCTCTTGGTTTGAATGTCTCTTGTCAAGTTGGCAGCATTCTGTGTGGTTCCCATGGCAACAGCTTTTTGTGTAGGGGGGAAGGGTCATGCACTGTGACCTCGGTGGAAAGGACAATGACAGCATGCCCGTCTTTCAGTGTTTTTGCCTCTCCTGATGGATTTGAGTCCAACCTTGAAACTGGGTGAATACAGGGCAAAGAACATGAAACACAACCATGGGGCGTCTGATCACGGGGCCGGGGAGTGCTGGACTTGGCCTTTGTTTACTGGGGAACAGGATGAGCAGCCCAGGCCACGAGCTCCATACGTGGGCTGCCGGCATCTTGAGTTGTAGTTGAGCACATTGGACCTCACAGCTGGTTCCCAGCTAATCTGGTTCCTGGTTAACTGCCTGGTCTGGGTGAGTGTTGCTGACAAGCTGTGGCAGAGCTTCCAAGAAGCCCCATCTGAAAATGGAGGCAGGGAAGCCCCTTCTGCCTCTGGTCCTTATTTCTTACCTAACTACTGCAGGGTCTTGTTCCTCTCGGGGTCTCGGCTTGTCTTCTGGGGTAGCTTCCTTTTCTCTGGTGATCTGAAGGCAGCTATTACCACCAGGTACTCACAGTGTTCTGACTTTGTGCCCCAAATCTCCACGGAGCCAAGCATCCATCTACTCAAAAGCTGCTTGCTGAGGGCCTAGAGGGTGGATGCTGGAGGTACAAGATGCAGAAAACAGAGCCAGTCGCTGCCCTTGTGGGCTTAAGGCTGGTGATAGAGATAGGCATTAAGCAAACACCTTATGAATATATACTTATCAATAGTGGTAAGTGCTAGTTATGTTCTGCCATTTTAAGAACTTAGTCAGTGCCTGTGTGTGGCCAGACAGGGTGCAAAGAGCTGGGAATCCAAAGATAAAGAAGACACAGACCCTCTCTAAAGGGAGAAATGATTATGCAATAAACATTCTGACTGACTTGGTGTAAAAGAAAGCACGTTCCCCCTGGCTCCTCCCAGGATGACCCAGCTTCTCATGTGGGTTCTGCACTTCCTAGATGAGTTTTCTCTAAGCTAGAGAAAACTCCCCTCAACCCTAGAGGGGAGTAATATGGCCTGCCTCTAGGTAAGGATGAAACAGCATAGGGCACTCTTAGCACAGTGCCCAGCAGGGAGGAAGTGCTCAGAACTGGTGGCAATCATGGTTCTCATAACAGAAAAGGTCGAGGGCACAGGGCACCATGGAAAGGACACCAACTTGGCATCAGGAGATTGTCACATGACCGTTTACCATCAAGGCACTTAGCTTCTCAGATCCCAGTGGCTTCCATTTGCAATGTATTTGGGTTCAATTTGGGGCAAGAAAGGTAATTGTATCTTTTTGGGGGTGACCCATTTTCAGCACCAAGATTCTGGTTTCCTTTGCCCAGGGTGCTTAAGCATTGTGCTTGAAATAGCCCCGTTCTCTCTGTTGTGTTTGTGCTGTGGAAGTGGCACAAACTCCTGCTTCCTGAGACTCCTGAGGGGAAATGGGAGGTGAGAGGACAGGAGGACAGGTGTGACAGGGGCAGGGCGATAGAAGAAGTGCAGGATGAGTCCTCCCTCCCTTCTTCCCTCTTTCTTCTCTTTCCTTCTTTTCTTTTTCTTTTTTCCTTCCTTTGTCCCTCCCTCTTCCCTCTCTCCCTCCCTCCCTCCTTCCTTCTTTCCCTCCTTCCTTCCATGAATAGTTTCCATCATGGACTCATCACTTTTTTGGGTGCTGGGGATTCCTGTACCTATATCTGGCTTGGCCTATAGTATGTGCTCAATAAATATTTGATAAGCAAACCAGTGAATGCACCAATAAAACAATGCTTACTTTGAAGCAGTGCTTCTCTATGCTGGCTGCATATCAGAATCACCAAGGGAGCTTTAACAGTATCCATGCCTGGGACCCACCCCAGACTAAGTGAATCCACATCTCAGGGTAAGGGAAGTACCTCTGCTATAATAGAAGCAGCAAATGGCAAAGGGCATGTTGAATGGTCAGTTGGCCAGCTGATAGGGCAGAAGCTCAGGGGGCTCCAGCCCTGTAGTCCTTGGTTCACTTTCCACTTTCCCAAGGCCATGGTAATTGTTTTGACATTGAGGATAACTGGAGAGTTCAGGGTGAGATGCTGGAGCCCATCACTTCTTTTACAAGGCAATTTTACCAAGAAGTCAGGTTGAGATGGCAAAGAAGGTAATGGGGGCTGAGAAGAAATTCTTACATCTGCTTAGAGCTTCACTCTTACTGAATATTAATACACAAACCTACTTTAACTGTGAGATCTCCTTGGAAGAATTACTGTGCCCATTTTGCAGATGGGAAGCTGAGGTGCAAGTTATTGCACGACCGCTCTGATGTCACTCAGATACAAAGGAGCACAACCAGGGTTCAGACCAAGAACTTCTGCTTTCAAGCACCTGACTACAGATGTGCAACTTCTTTAACACAAAGAGGAAGGAGGCCAGATTTAACCCCAATTCATAAGACTCCAAATCTATTCAAAGGAGGGAGAAGTTAATTCCTGATCCTCCTGGAGTTTAAAACTAGTTGATCACCCATCACCTTAACATACAAACCAAGACAGTTTGGGAATGAACTTTGAGCAGGACACCATGCCACTGAGGCTATAGAAGTTTAGAAAAGTGTAGTATGGGCTGGTGAAATCAAGGAAGGCTGCCTGAAGGAGGATGACTGAATTGGAAGTTGAACAATGAAAAGAATTCAGTGTAGACAGGATTGGGAGGAGGCCTTAACAGTGAGGGGATGTATGAACAAAGGGACAGATTTATTTATTTATTTATATAATTTATTTTTTATTTCAATAGTTTTTTTGGGGGAGCAGGTGGTTTTTCAGTTCTGCATAAGTTCTTTAGTGGTAATTTCTAAGATTTTGGTGCACCCATCACCTGAGCAGTGTATACTGTACCCAACGTGTAGTCTTTTATCCTCCCCTCACCAAACCCCCAAAGCCCATTATATCATTCTTATGCCTTTGCATCCTCATAGCTTAGCTCCCACTTACAAGTGAGAACATAAGATATTTGGTTTTCCATTCCCGAGTTACTTCACTTAGAATAATGGTCTTCGACTCCATCCAGGTTGTTGCAAATGCCATTATTTCGTTAGAGGGACAGATTTTTAAAAGACAGTTTTGTATACATTATGTATTGTATAACAGACCAACCCAAAATGCAGTGACTTAAAACGACATGCATTTATTCGGGCTCATGAGCCCATGGATCAGCTGGGCAGTTAGGCTGTCCTGGATCAGTCTTAATTGATCTCATGGGCTGGGCTCCTCTGTGTTTCTCTGGGGGGCTGGCTGTCTAGGAGATCCTCACTCGTGTCTGGTGTCTGGTTGGGGCTATGTCTCTATCATCCACTAGGCTAGCCCTGGCTCATTCATTCAGCAGCTGACCAGCATTCTGAGAGAGAACAGAAGCACAAGGGCTTCCTGAAGCCTAGAAAGGGCACCCTATCCTCTCCAGCTCATTCTAATGGTCAAGGCCTGCCCAGGTTCAAGTGGTGGTGTGATGGCCTCAACCTCTTGGTAAGAGAAGCTGTGAAGTCTCTTGCAGAGTGGAGTGGGTAGAGAGAGGGGGAATAATTAAGGCTATTTGTGCAAATAATTTTTTCTCTCTTTCTTCCTCCATCTCTCCTCTTTTCCTCCCTCTCTTTCTCCCTTTATCCATCTCTTCCTTTCTGCCATCCATGAATATTTCCTCTCTTCCTTCCATGAATATTTAATGGGCACCATTTGGGGCTCATCCCTGTGTTAGGAACTAGAGAGATGGAAGTAAATGGAACTTCAGCAGTCCCTGCCTCATGGAGCTTACATTCTGATGAGGCAAGACAAGTATGATCAAATAATCGCTACATGCTTGGTTGTATCCTATAGTAAATGCTATTTAAAAAATAAGTTAAATCCAGCACTATTCACAATAGGCAAGCTATAGAATCAACCTAACTGTCCGTCAGTGGATATATGGATTTAAAAAAGTGATATGATATATGTATATGGGACCATGAATAACTTAGGGTCACTTTCATTGCATGTATACATTATACACACACGCACGTATGCACAATGGAATACTATTCAGCCATGAAAAAGAATGAAGTCTTGTCATCAACATCAACATGGTTAGAATTGGAAGTCATTATATTAAATGAAATAAGCCAGGCACAGAAAGACAAATGATACATGTTCTCACTCATATGTAGGAACTAAAAAAGTGGATCTCATGTAGGTAGAGAGTTGATTGGTGGTAACCAGAGGCTGGGAAGGAAAGCGGGAGAAGGGGGATAAAGAGAGATTGGTTATTGGGTACAAACACGAAGTTAGCTAGAAGGAATTAGTTCTAGTGTTCGATAGCACAGTAAGGCAACATTCTTTAACAATTATTTGTTCCATAGTTCAAAATAGCTGTGGGAGACAACCTGGAATGCTTCCAGCGTAAGTAAAAGGTGAATATTTGTGGTGATGATGCTGCAGTTGGCCTGATTTGATCATTACACATTGTATGCATGTGTCAAAATATCACATGTATCCCAAAATATATACAACTATTATGTACCAATAACAAAAAGAAGTTCACAACCATTGTGGAAAACAGTTTGTTGATTCTTCAATAAGTTATATATGGAGTTACCATATGACACAGCAATTTCATTTCTAGCTACATAACCCAAAGAATTGGAATCACGTACTCAAAAACGTGTCCCTGAAACAAATGTTTATTGCAGCCCCATTCATGACAGCCAAGAGGTGGAGAAAAACCCAAATATCCATCCACTGATGAAATAAAATGTGGTATATGCAAACAATAAAATAGTATTTAACCATAAAAAGGAATGAGGAACTGACGCATGCTACAACATGGCCGAGCCTCGTGAGAACTTTATGTGACATGAGAGAAGTCAGTTACAAAGGCCACATATTGTGTGAACCCATTTATAGGAAATGCTCAGAAGAGGCAAATATGTGGAGACAGAAAGCAGATTGGTAGTTGCCAGGGGCTGGGATAGGGGGAGTGAGGAGTGGCTGCTAATGGGTATCCAGCTTCTTTTTGGGGTGATGAAATGTTCTGGAACTGGATAGTGGTGATAATAACACAACATTGTCGATGTGCTAGAAAGCCACTGAATTGTACATTTCAAAACGGTTAAAGTGGGGAATTTCACATTCTGTGGATTTTGTCTCTCTCTCTCTCTCTTTCTCTCTCTCTCTCTCACACACACACACACACAGAGAGAGAGAGAGAGAGAGAGAGAGAGAGAGAGAGAGAGAGAGAAAGAGAGAGAAGTGCAGCGAGTTGGGGGAGCTGTGGCCAGCAGTCTGATGGGTCTGGGAGTCCGAAGGCTCGCGGAGGAGAGTGTGATGTGGGGTCTGCTCCCAGAGCGCGCGCGCTGTGGCTCTTGGAAGGTGGGGCTCTGAGGACCGGGGTCCTGCGTGCATAGACCTGGAGCCCACCTTAAAGACGCTGCTTCAGGGACGCTTCAACAAGCCCCAACCCACCCAACTGCGTGGCGCTCCCCGCCTTTGGGCGCCCTGTTAGGGTTGGGGGTGACCCCTGCAGCCCCTCATGTGCGAATCCAGGTTCTCCTCCCCTCCAGGCTGCTTCCTGCACAGCAGCACCGAGCAGCAGCCACCTCAGGGCCAGGGAGCCCGAGCTGCGGGATCCGCCGCCCCGGGGCCGCAGCAGCTTCAGCTCCTTGGCGTCTGCGCCGGGGTCCTCGCGGCCGCCGCGAACCGCTCCTTCAGTTTCGCTATGCGGAGCGGGCGCGGGACCCCAGCAGGTGAGGGCCCAGGGCAGGTGCCTTCCCTCGCCCCGGCTCCCGCCCCAGCTCCTGGCCGGCCCAGCGCGTCCTGCTCCCGCTCTCGCCGTGCTCTCGGCGCTGCATGTCCCCGGGGCGCGGCGCAGCAGCTGGTGCCGCGGTGGGCATCTGTTCGGCCTCCTCTGTCCCCACGCGTGACCTGATCGCTGCGACAGCGGAATCCCACGGTGCAGGCCCAGAGCTGCGCCGAGAGCCGCGCGTCCAGCTCCTCCCGGGCCTGGGTTTAGGGTCCACAGCTCTTGCCAAATTCCAGAGGCTGGAAGGGACGCGAAGTTCTTCGTGACCCCAGCTTCTCAGGCAGCGCAGAGGACTCAGAAACTCTGCTGCAGCCCCGGAACGGGCCGAGGGCACCCACCCCGGCGGGGAGAAGGGCCGCTGGTGGTCTCTGCATCGCCTCTCTCGACCCAGACTCCTGTCTCTGTCCGAGATGTCCCAAAGTGGCCAGTTATTATCTGCAACACGGGTGCCTGCTTCAGGCCTAATGGGAAAGGGCTCAGCGGGCATGTTAATGGCTGGATATGTGACTGCTGCTGTGGTCGCCCCTAGGCCCAGCCCCAGCTGGGTTGTTACCGGAATCAAAAGGACACAGAAGCCGTTTCTATCTCAGCTGTGATGGAACGTGATTCATCTCCCAAGGAGCGGTGGGCTGTTCTTTCTTGTGCTGGGCTCCTCACCCAGTTCTCTCTTCCCCCAGGGGCCGGGGACCCCTACCTTTTTTAAGAGTCCTCTCTGCAGACAGTTCCCTTGAAAAGGACTTTCTTTCTGCGGTGCCTGGTTACGGGAGGCCAGCTGAGATGCTTAATAGTGAGACCAACTGTGCCCTGCAGACTGGCCCTGCGGCAGGGGCCCTGGTGACCTCCAGGACACACCCATGGGAGCCGTGGCTTGGGGTCAAAGGGCCCTGGGGAAGGGAACACTTTGGCGTTGATCGTCTGGGTGGCTCCAGTCTCTGCATCTTTCCTCTGTGTCTTTTTTTTTTTTTTTTTGAGAAGGAGTCTCTCTCTGTCGCCCAGGCTGGACTGCAGTGGTGCGATCTCAACTCACTGCAACCTCTGCCTCCTGGGTTCAAGCGATTCTCCTGCCTCAGCTCCGGAGTAGCTGGGACTACAGGCGCCCGCCACCACGCCCGGCTAATTTTTTGTATTTTTAGTAGAGACGGGGTTTCACCGTGTTAGCCAGGATGGTCTCAATCTCCTGACCTCGTGATCCGCCTGCCTTGGACTCCCAAAGTACTGGGAATACAGGCGTGAGCCACTGCGCCCGGCCTCCTCTATGTCTCTTAAACTTGAATGTGACAGAGACCTTTTGTGCTTTCTTCTAAAACAGATTTTAAAGACCCCCTCAGATAAATGAGAAACTGTAAAAAATGATGGTCTTACCCTCTGAAAATGTTTTAAAATCAAGCATTATTACAGCAAAAGAGACTTTTGCTCTTTAAATGGTCATGTTTTGTATGATTCAAAGGAAAAGACAAAAATCAAAAAAAGTGTCTTGTAGACTTTTTAACTCTTCAGGACTTTGTGCACCCTGAGGGCTCCACAAATCCAACTGTTGACAGCATTGTCTTTCTTCATGTGATCATCACAGCACAGATGTGAAATGGAAGGAATTACCCAATTTTCAGGGTGAGGTAAACTGAGGCTAGGAGAGGGCATGAGATTTGGCAGAAGGAAGTGATGCAGATTGAACTGCAGGGGTGTCTGATACGTGTTCACCCACCCGGAGGCGTGCAGGCCTCTACCGCTGAATCCGAGCTACCAAATGCTGTCTTCTGCAGGGCTTGAAGTTTATTTTCAGCAACTTACATCTCTCCGTTACAGGCCATTTGTCCCTTTTGTAATAGTTTCACTTCCAATCTCTCCCTTGCTCAAATTATTCTCCCGCACTTCAAGGAAGAGGAGTAAGAAGGAGATTAACATTGATGTTACTCTGCAAGGTACCTTACATCCACTATTTTGTTGGCTCCTCGCTAGAGCATTTTGAAGCTGGTGTTGTTCCCATTTTAGAGTTGAGAAAGGCAGTACTCAAGAGGTGAGATAACCAGCCCAAGTTCACATAGCCGGTAAATGGCAGAGCCAGGATTCACATCTCGAGAGGGTAATCTGACCCCAAAGGCCCTTCTTTTCCATAGCATCATGTTGGAAGATGTAAGGATCTGCCAGGGACTCCCTGGGGGCAGAAACCTGGAGAAACAACTTATCCAAAGCATTTCTTTAGCTGACTTCCCTTTTTTTCCCTCCCTGTTGTATGAAAAATTCATACTTGCCATTAAGAGGCAATGGGAAGGGGGCTTTGGGCAGTCATCAATTCAAGAAACAGGATTAGCATGCTGGATCCATGAAGCACAGAAGGAAGGAAATGTAACTCAAAGAAAGTCACTGATGATTATGTACAGTGGAGACACATGTAATGGTATATTCTAGCCCACGAATAAAATGGCCAAAGGGCTTCAGAGGAAAGAAATCAGCCTGAAGCCCAGGAGCAAGGGATAACCAGTTTTTCTCTCCTGCAGTCTGGCCTCCAGGTTCGACTGTGTTTTTGTCTTGCCCTTCTCAGACAAACGTCTATCTTGGTCTCCACTCTGTATCTCCATCCAGAAATGCTAGTCATGTGGCCATCATAGGATGCACCAAGTACATATTTGAATTACGTAGTTAAATAACAATATTGATCACAAGCGTAATCATATATATTCACATGGCATTTACTTTTAACATTCTTTCACGTGCAAGACGTCACTGAGTCTCCACAGCAGACTACTAAGATCCTGAGGATAAGGCTTATTTTCTTCCTCTTGTTGCCAAAGCAACTAAGCCTCAGTGGGGCTGGGGAAATGAAATGCTGCCTTTGACATGGAATGAAGCAACGCCCCATGCCAGCAAGCCTATCAGATTCTCCAGGACCCACTCCAACCCCCATCAGGCCGTCTCCTGACCTCACACTGGCAGTCCCTAGAATGCTTTCCTGTGCGTAATGACATTTCGCTTTCCCAGTATCCCTGTGTGATACATAGTTTTTCAAAATTGCCTGTCAATTTCATGAATACAGAAGACTAACATCCCAAAGGAGGCAATGACTTGCTCGAGGCCCCACAGTGGAACCAGGGCTTGAACTCATGCCAACTGATATGAAGTCTTAGGTCTTTTTGCTACGACACAGGTGCCTCTGTATCTGCAGTTGGTTTTGATGGCATGTGCGTGTGTGTATGTGTGCGTGCACACACACGTGTTCATGTTGATGAGGGAAGGAAGAACGACAGAAGGGGCTACCTTTTGGATGATGCTAAAAACGAGCCCTGTCTAACTGGTATCTGTGCCTTTACTGTGTTGGACATTAGAACTATTCAAAAGAAGTTCAAATCACTTGGGAGTCAACATCTCAAAATACAACTGCCCCTCAAAGCGTGGCTTATTTAGAAAGGGTGCACGGGGAGGGCTTTGGCTCTGGAACGGAATGACAGGAAAGAGCTCCTGGGGTGTTCATTGTCCCAGTCTTGATGGCTGGGCTGAGATTATGGCTTGGGGGATGAGAGTCCATTTATCTGGTTCATTCCCACAGTCTAATTGGAAAAGTGGAATTACCACTTAAGACTGATGGTAACAGAACGTCTTTAAGCGATGAAGCTAAAATGAGCTGTGAAGTTATATCCAGGAGCCGACCACTTTTGACTGCAGCAAGAGGTTTTATTTGAAATTAGAAAATGAAAATTACCGATCAATGCAGTAAGAATAGAATGAATCGTGTTTCAATTGCACTACAGGAAAATGTAACTCAGAATCAAGATGTCCTATTTACCTTCTTTCCAATTCCAGCTCCTTACACATAATGGCAACATATATAAATAGATAATGCATTGGTGAGCAGCAGACACAAGCCTCAGCATCTCTGACCTTCAGATCAACCCGGTGGCAGTAAAATGAGCTCTGGGGAAGTTGGACAGAAAGAGGGAACCTCTGTGGGCTTCATCCTAAGGGATAAAGTGTAAGCCCTGCCCTGTGGTCCTTCTGTCAACTTAGAATGCTGTGGGTTTGTGCTTTTTTTTAATTGAAAAAGTCAGGGCATGATTTCAATGAACAACACTGAGGCCAATGAGAAAGATTTGTTTTCACAATTGCTAAAACAAGTAGTCATTGTGATGAAAGAAATCATTCCAAACAGAAAACTGGCATTGTGGAAGGCATCGGAAGAAGGAATTTATATTATAATTTTTAAAATTAGTATTATTGGTGTTGTCAACAGACTGATCGCTTTTATTCCTTGGGCAATTAATATGGCCTGCATGATTTTCAAACATGATCTATTCATTCATTCAAGAGCTACGTTCTGAGTGTCTAGTATGCACCACGTGCTGCGGATACAGTAGTGAACAAAGATAAAAATTTCTGCTTTCATGGAGCTTTTATTTTACTGGAAGACATGCAAAATAAGAATGATGAGTGCTGCAGAAAAAATAAATCAGGGAAGGGAGAGAGGGTGTGCTGGGGAGTGGTCAAACATAGTTTGCATTTTTACACAGCATCATCAGGCAGGTAGGAGATGAGCAATGGAGGAGATGAGGGAGTGAGACGTGAATGGCTGAGGAAGAGCAGAGGGAACAGAAAGTGCAAACAGCCAGAGGTGGACACTTGCTTATTGTGTCCAGAGAACAGGAGGGCGATCACATATGCTTGTGCAGTCTTCAGAAGCCCACTGGGAGATCATGTCACAGAAGAGAGGGCTCAGACTCAGGGCAAAGTTGCACAACTTGACCAAGAGTCTGTGCCATTAACCACTGTGCACATCTGTTTCCACCATCCCAGGGATCTTTTTGGTGATGTGAAAACCACCTGGCTCAATGTGAAGATATTGGAGCCTTCCTTCAGAAAGGTTTGAAAATGAAGAGTTGAAGACTGTTATTTTGCTTCCTGAAAATCTCTCATCTATTCATTTGTCTGTATCTTCAGACCATCTGCCCTGGTTCAAGCTGCCCTGTCTCTCTCATGGATCCCTGAAAGAGCTGTTGTTTGTTCTCCTTGTGTCCACTCCACTTTGCTCCAAGCCATTCCCCACATAGGCCAGAATGATCTTACAGAAATACAAATCTGATTATATCATCATGCCCCAACTTAAAATCCTTCAACAGCTTCCTATGGCTCTTACAATTGAGTCCTGAATCCATCATGGGAGCAACGCCATCCTGTCAGGTCTGCTCCTGTCCTTGTTTCTAGCCTCCTAACTCTTTTTCTACAGCCTGTGCCCCAGCCCTACCTGCTTCTCAGACACACCATGCGGCTTCCTGTCTCATGTCCTTCATGGGTGTGCACTTGTTTCCATCTGGTATGGTCCCTTATCTTCTGCCTGTTAATCCTGTCTCTATATTCATCAAAGCTCAGTTCAAATGCTACTCCTTGCCTTCCCTGTGCTCCAGCCTCTGACTCTCTCAAGTCCTGGCTAGATCCCTGATTTGATGTCATGGTCCCCAGCATTTTCTGCACTGTTCTGTCATGATACTTGTTACACTTACATTTCTGATCATTTGTTTACTGCTGTAACCCAGCATCTACAACAGTATCTAAATGCCCAACAAGTACAAATAAACACATGCCTCCCTGCCAGACCCTAATGTCCATGAGGGCAGGGATCACTTGTTTTACTCCCATAATTCCTCTTGTGTTTAGCTCAGTGCCTGGCACCCAGAATGTACTCCATAATGACTTCTTGAAGGAATGACTGCAGTTTGCAAAATATGAGCCTCCAGTGTTTTTCTCTGATCCTGTCTGGGGGAAGCTCCTTACAGATGCATTAATAGATGAATCCCATCTACAATCTTCATCTTGTTTTACCTATGAGCTCATCCAGCTGTGTCCCCAACCTGCCACCCAGAGTGGCTTGCTGTGTTTCTTTGTTTGTCTTGCTTCTGTGGAGTCTCAAAAGCAATTTTTTGGCTCACTTCTAAACATTCTGTGAGTCTGTTCAGTATGCAGACTCCAGGCTTTTTGATTTTGCTTCCCTTTCCTCCCTCTGCCTGATTTCCTCAAGAACATATTTTCTTCTTTAGTGTTGACTATATTTTTATACATTGCCCCAAATTCATTGTGAATTAGTGTAGAAACGGAATAAATAAAAACTTGAGTTTCCAGCCATACCCAGAATTGGATAGACTAGGGTGTATGTTGGGTGCCAGGAAGGATCCAAGCCAAAGCCCCGCTTACTACACCATGGCTCATGATCCTGAGCCAGGGACTCTCTTCAGATCCCCACTCTATCTGCCCAGTTACTTTGCCTCATCTTTCTGGAAGGTATCTTTCTGGATTTGGGAACTATCATGAATCCAGCCAGGTCACATTACCATGTCAAAGTTTTGCCAAAAGATTTTACCCAGAGCCTGGGCTCAGCTCACTGTGACCTGTCTTTCCCGTACATACTCAACACTTGCTGAGATCTTTCAGAAAATTGGCTAGCCTTGAAAGCTGTGCTTTTGTTTCCCATGTCTCTTCATTAGGGCTTCATGTTCTGGTTTCACTTCCTGAATTAGATCTTCTGGGACCCATGAATGTCTGGGTTATCTTGGGGTGGCTGTGTTGAGGTGTTTTCCTGCATTCCCACAGTCTCTCAGAAGCTCCTCAGCTCAGGGCATGTTCTTCTTTCTGTTTAAAGTACATCCCCTTTAAAAAGCATATAGTTGGGTCTTAATGTTTTAGTCCAGTCTGAAAAATCTCTGCCTTTTAATTAAAATATTTAGTCCATTTATATTTAATGCAATTATTGTTGTGGTTGAGTTTAAGTCTGCTTTACCATTTTGCTATTCATTTTTCACTTGTCTTATTTAATTTTTGTTCTTTCCTTCTCCTTTTTACTTTTTCTAAAAAATAAATATTTTTTAGTATTTGATTTTATCTGCTACATTGGTTCTTTAGCTATATCTCTGTGTTATTTTTCACACTTATCTTAGCCAAAAGGTGACAAAAGGATCCTCTGTGTTATTTTTCTTAAAGAGGTGCTCTGGGGATTATAATATGCATGTTTAACTTATCACAATCTATCACGAATTAATATTATACCACTTTACATATACAATAAGAACTTTATAACACTAAATCTCAATTTATCCTTTCTGTAGTTTGTATTACTGTTATCATACATTGTACTTCCATATGTTATAAATTATAGCATTTATAACATTGTTATTAATTTTGTTTTAAATAATCAATTATCTTTTAAGGAAATTAAGAAACAAAAAACTTGTCTTTTAAATGTATCTATGTATTTGCCATTTTTGAGGTTCTTCATTACTTTGTATATATTAAAGCCTCCATTTGGTATAATTTTTCTTTAACATAAAGAATTTCCTTTAACATTTCTTAGAGGGTAGGTCTGCTAGTGATGGATTATCTCAGCTTGTGTTTATCTAAAAATGTCTTTATTTTGAAAAATATTTTTGCTGGATATAGAATTATAAATAGACAGCTCCCCCTTCCCCAGCATTTTGAAGATGTTGTTTTATTGTGTTCTGGTCTGCATTATTTCTAATGAGAAGAGTAGTCATTCTTACCATTGTTCTTCTGTGAGTAATAGTTTTTTTTCATTGCCTCTAGCTGCTTTTAATATTTTATTTTTATCTTCCATTTTTAGCAATTTGACCATGATGTCTCTGGAAGTGTGTTTATTTTATTTATTTAATTATTTATTTTGGTTTATCTTGCTTGGGCTTTGCCAAATTTCTTGGAATATAAGTTAATCTCATCAAATTTAGAAAATTTGGACCATTATATTATCAAATATTTTTTCTATCTTAATCTCTCTTCTCTTTTAGGGACTGCATATATTTGGGATTATACATATATTAGATCAGTTGATATTGTTTCACAGGTCACTTAGGCTCTTTATATTTTTGTCCACCCCCTTTCTCTATGCATTATTTTGAATAGTGTCTATTGCTCTGTCTTTAATTATACTGATTCTTTGCAGTGTTTAATTTGCTGATATTCCAACACATCCAGTGAATTTTTCTATTCAGGTTTATTTAATATTTCAGTTCAAGAATTTTCCATTTAGTCATTTTAAAAATAGTCTATATTTTTCCACAGAGATTTTCTATTTCTTTCCTCATTATATCTAGTGTCTCATTTAGATACTTAAACATTTTTATGTTTCTTATTATTTTCTCCTGGTTCTAATATCTTCATTATATACGTGTCCATGTTTATTGACATTTTTCTTCTTGATTGTTGGTTATATTTTTCTGCTTCTTCTCATGTTCAGTAACTTTTGATTATATGTTGGATATTGTGGATGTTATATTGATGAGGGTCTTGGTTTTGTTGTCTTCCTTTAAAAATTGTTGGGTTTTGTTTTGACTGGTAGTTAATTTATTGGTGGATCAGCTTGATCCTTTTAAGACTTGTTTTAAAGCTTTGTTATTTGTGGGTCTAGTGGAGACTTTACTTAAGGGCTAGTATGACCCTAATTCTAAGTTTCGGCCTTTCTGGAGATTCAGCTGAACACCTGGAGAGTCTATTGAGGTCTTTGTCCCTTGTCTGTTCAGAATGGCACCAGGTACTAGCACTGTATAATTTTCAAAATCTCTATTCGCCTTATAGCTTCCCAGTAGTTGTTACCTGCTAGGCCAAAATGAAGTCTTTTCACGCACTTGCACAGCTTAGTATATGGCCAGAGACTTAAAAGAATCCCTATGGAGATTTTGAATTTCCCTTTCTGTGCATCTCCTTCTTCTCTGGCACCCCACTGTGTAAATTCCAGTGCCCCTCAATAGTCCCAAATTCTAATCTCTGCCTTCTCAGTCCAGTAACACCACCATGTTTTCTTGGGCTCCACCTCTTTATACTGCAGAACATAAAACACCTTCAAGCAGAAAGCCAGAGCAATTGTAGCACTTACTTCACGCATTTACTTTCTCTCAGGGATCATAATCCTATGATGACTCTTGTGCGATATCTGAAAACATTTGCTGCAGATATTGCCCAGTTTTACAGTTGTTTTCAACAGGAGAAATAATCTAGTACTAGTTATTCCATCATGAGTAGAACCAGAAGTTTTGTCATATCCTCTGTTAACTGTGCCTGAATGTTGTAAACCACCTTAAAACCCAGTTTTCTTTTTTCCTAAGTAACTGGTGATTATTTACAAGCAGCAAATAAATTGGTCAATACCCTTTTCTTGGTCACTGCTTAGGCAGAGGATGGAGGAATGAAATGGGATAAGATAAACTCTTAGGTAGGCGTATGACAGGTACTATGAAAGATTCCATGATGGAAATTGTTAGCAGGAGTGGGTTATGAGTGTTTATATGGGTTATTAGTGTTAGCGCCTGTTCTCCACTGTTGATATTTCCTTCAAAGTGGAGAGACACTTGTTAGAGGAATACTCTTGGTCACCTGCCTTACCCTAACTCTTCTCAAGTGGGTAGATAGAGTTACTTGATTGGTAAATTTGAGAGTAGAAATGAACATGTTCAGCTGCAGCCCTTTCTCCTGCTCTGCCCTTGGAGATCCAGCTACATGGTTTACTCTTCCGTGGCTTAATTTGTACAATAATATCTGAGAAGACAGCAGGAGCTCAATAAACGGTAGAATCAGAAGTTATTATTATTACTATTATTATTATTATTACTTTTTTTCTCATTTCCATTTCCTTTTTCATTTTAAGGGGCCTCTAGAAAACAAAACTTGAGCGATCATCTTAGGTCTGCCCTACCTTGTTTGTGTATGTAATGGGGAAGTGATTTCCATGTAAGAGAATTCAAATGGGAAAAGAGCGGCACTCATGAAATCCCTTGGCTCACCCAGAAAACCCTGAAGGTAAACCTGGTCCATTTTGCAATGGCTTCTCTCTGGAGACATTCAGAGTCATTGGGATTGTTCATTAGTAGGGTGCAGAGACTCCAAGATGGCAGGTACCACTGCTACTATCCACTGATAGCATGGATGCCTTATGGAACTTTTCCCCAGGAACATATACGTTCCTAATCTTGTGTTACTGGAGTTATTAATGTAACTGTGATATTTTCTGAGTGCACGCATGCAATCTAGGAAGCAAAGAGTGTTTGAAGTATGCTGGGAAGTGAAGGAAGTCAGGCTAAGTTGGGAAAATCAACCCTGTAGATTAATTATAGAGTGCCAGGATTGGTACAGTCTCAGAATTCATTGCTCTAGATAGATAATTCTTATCCTTTTGTTTGTCTCCCACACATTCATAGAATTCTGGCAAAGAACCAAAGGGGATACAGTGTGGAGGTTATAAGCATCAACTCTGGTGGTGCTAGATTATCTGGGTTAGGTCCCTAGTTTCATCCCTTATTGCCTACATGGCCTTGGGGAAATCCTTTAACCTCTCTGTGCCTCAGTTTATTCATCTGTGAAACAGTAGCAACCTACCCATAAGGTTGTTGGAAAAATAAAATTAAAATAAACTCAATGATATAAGATGAAATGAGATAATATGCCATAATTTTAATATTGTGAGTTAGGTTAGCTAACATTTATAAGTGTTCTTATAGACCAGACCCTATCCTAAATACTTAGCATGTAATAATTCATTAACCTTCACACATAGAATCCTATGAGATAGGTCGCTATTATTATCCCCATTCTACAGATAAGGAAACAAGAGTTTTCTAGTTAGTGCTGGAGCTGGAACTCCAGGCCTATCTGCCTCTAGAGAGGAGCACGTGGTGAACAAGGTACACTGTTGTTTTCTCATTCATAACTTTCTCAATCATGCCCAGGGGCCTGAAGTTCGGAGGTGTGCTCCACCTGTGTGTGAGACTGGGTTCGATATACACCCCACCCCCCCATCATACTCTCTGAGGCCCTTGCCCTGCTCTCTGGACCTTCCTGCCCCCCACTGTCCAAGACTAAGCTTTCTTCAGTGGCCCTGGTTGGGGAAGTGTTTTCTTTAAGCTCACACATGACAGTCTTGGGACCAGGTCTCCAGCATTCTAGCCCACTATTCCTTTGGACTTCCATGGGGGAAAAGTTTTATGGCAGCTTCTGGGCAGGCAGCAGCAGATGAGACAGAAGATGACAAGGAGGAGGTGGAGGCTTGTGGATGTCACTGATGCCACCATGACTCAGTGATGGTGACCAGGGTTACTAGAGGTGACAGGACAGCTGCCTGGGTCACTGCTGGGCGCTAGGAAAAAGGAGCAGGAAAAGGGAGAAGATAGCTTGTGGAAGGGCCACCAGGAGAGCCCAGCCACCGGGACATGAGAGGAAGTGGTCTGCATTGGTCCCGGAGCTCAACTCAGAGAGCACTGTTCGTGGAATGAGAGCCAGCACCTGTTAGTACAGTGCCTGGCTTGCTTCTATGGAGCCCTCACTCACATCGTCTGATTTTGATTCTTCTATAAGTCTGGGAAATAGGCACAGCAGATGCTGCTATAATTGTTTCCCCTTAAAGATATAGAAAATAACAGCCACAAACTCAAAGCTGGGTGCTGTATGCACTGCTTTATCTGTGCCATTTCAGTCCTCACAATGGCTCAACACAGGGGGACTGTTTTCTTCCTTATTTGATCGATAAAATGAGGATCAGAGTCTGAGCAAGTTGCCTGAGGTCACACAGCTAGCAAGCAGCAGACCTGTGAGGTGCCCAGGCAGCTTGGCTCCAGAGATTCCTCTATGAACCACTGTCCCCCACCACCTTCTGGGCTGAATGTCTCACCTAGGGGGACATCATTCATCACTGGAAGTGCTGGAACTCCCATCCAGATCTCCTGCTTCCAAATCCTATCTTCTTCTCCCTACTTCATGGACTTCCCACAATCAACCTGGTTGTATTATGTAATGTGTCTTTTGGGGAGAAGGGTCCTATTTTGAAGAAATGTCAGAAATAATGCCAATATCGCATTTCACAAGTTCCGAGGCAATAATGAAATCTTAGGGAGGGTTACAATCTTCAGTCCAGGAAGAAAAAAAGAAAAGATGAGTATAAAGGACTATTGATGTTTTTCTCTCTGTTCATCCCAGTGAGTATCCTAGATTTGTATGATATATTTAAAACATCATATTTAACTTCTCATGCAAGTACAGTGCATTTGTGTTTCATGTAAATATTTGTGGATTTTGACTTGCCTGTGTTACTAGTGGTGCTCTTGACGTGTGGACTTAGGAGCCTGGAAAGATCAGGATGCCCAAGACTGTTGCAGAACCCTAAAATGATCATCACTCCCCACCTCTACTATGTCAGCTCTTTTCTTCCCATTCCTTACCTAGACCAGAAAGAACACCTCTTTTCTCTCTGCACACACACATACATAAAAACTGAGGAAGATATTCAGGTGAGGAATCATCACTGTCTTATCCAGTGATCCTCAGTGTTGGTCCCCTTGTCTGTTTCATCTGCACTGGAAGCTCCATGTTTAACTCCCCCACGTCGAGCACAGTGCTTGGCACACGGTAGGATCTCAGCCTACATCTGCCGGACCGATCCTTGGAACAGCCGGCCTCACACATCTCTGATGTGTGGTCAGGACCACCCGTTTCCTTCTCACTGAGCAGATCCTTTTCCCCAGCCATGCCTAATTTAATTTCTGCATGCAAGGTGTGATGGTGAGTTTCAAGTGTCAACACGGCTAAGCCAGCTACTTAACCAAACATGAATCTAGGTGTTGCTGGGGAGGTATTTCGTAGATGTGGTTAACATGTAGATTCAGTGACTTTAATGAAAAGGGATTATTCTGGAATAATGTGGGTGGTCTTTATCCATTCAGTTGGACGGCCTTCCAAGGCAGAACTGAAGTTGCCAGAAGAGGCAGAAATTCTGCTTCAACTGCAGCATCCACTTCTGAATCTCCAGCCTGCTGGCCTGCCCTGTGGATTCTGGACATGCTAGCCCCCACAATCCTGTAAGTCAACTCCTTAAAATAGTCTCTTAACATACATATTCTATTAGTTCTGTCTCTCTTCAGAACTCAGATTGATACACTAGGGCACAACAGCCGTTACACCGTTCCTTTAAGCCTTCTCTTCTCCCTTCAACCCAGCTGGTTTGCTTTCTGGATGTTGTGCTTGGGCTTCCTGTCCCACCAAGCAAATAAAAAACACTTTTTTTTTTTTTTGTTTCTGCCCCTCTCTCTGTGACAGCCAGTCATGGAGAGCTCCATGTTGAGACTAAACTCTTCCACTTTCATCCTGGGGAAATTCTCTAGGGAGAAACCCCCTGAATCAGCATGTGCCATGAGATTTGGTCTTCTGAGAATCTGGTCACTGCTTTGAACATTGAAAAAAAGATGTCTTAGAGTAACCAGGCCATTCTCACACCTGCCCTCGGTGGCGTCAATATATTTCTCGTTAATTTACAAGCGGGAATGTGCACATGGCCTTGAGCTTGGATACATTTGATGAAGAATACGACAGCCTGAGCCTTGGGTTTGTTTGTTTTCCATCTCCTGGAAACTTGAAAGAAGGAAGTGTTATATACACACGGATAGGTATTTCACCTCCGAAGAATCCCAGGCGTGGAGTTTGAAGAGTCACATCTCATTCAACATTCTTTCCCCAAGTTCAGTGATCAGACAAATAGACATATGGAAGTTGCTAAAGTTAGGTACCGCAGATAGGGGAAAGATGTTCACATGGCACCGCGTTCTTCAGCCCTCTCTCAGCACAGAATACCATCCTGTTAAAAACGGTCTATTTTTATGGAACTCTTTTGCTTATATTGAGATATAAAATTATTAGTCTGAGGTTGGCTCACATCATCAGAGCTTCAGATTCTTGGCAGAGTTGTCTGCAGTCTGTTCCAGTCACTCATTGCCAGGGACAGAGCCCGCACAGGAGCAAAAATAGGTCTTCCTGCTGAAACCTGCTGAGCTACCAGGAAAGCGATGTGCGAGAAGAATTTAATATCCTGGCCTTAAGAAAGTTTCTGTGTTCTCCTCAGACAGACTTGCCCTTGGTAGGTGACTGATAATATGAAATTATAGAGTTTCAGCGAGGATCGGGAAGTAGCAAAAGGAGACTTGGCAACCAGTGGCCCTGTTATAGGAGAGTTTTTGCATATAAATTACATATGCATATGACATTTTAGCTCCAACTTTACATGTGTTTTGGAGGCTGGATGCAGTCCTGTCCCTGCCTGTCTGTTTGCTTTTCCCATTGCAGCATCAATATTAATCCTGCTGTTTTTAGTTCGCTTTGAAGAAAAGCGTGGGTTTTCTTTTCTTTATTTGAAACCGCAAGAGGGACACTGTAGTTTTTAGTGCTGTATCAATGTCCTGTATTATTATTGTTATTATTATCATCTTTTGGAGAACCTTGCATCTTTTATGCAGAAAAGCATCCCATCTCTCATTTTGTCTAAACATTTCCAAGGAGCACCCTGCTCCCATGACCTCCCTTTGAGCATGCTTCAGAGCAGTGAAGCTTTGGGTAAATGTCCTTCAAGATGTGGTCCTATAATCGATTGTTATTTTCTTCTTAAAAATTACAGAGCCTTCCTATGAGGGAAAGATGTGACATGAGAACAAACTGTTTGGAAGCATCCGGGAGCTGTGGCAGGTGATTTGGAAGTAACCCGGATAGTCCTCAGTAGGAGAGCCTGCAGCCCTCACAGGGTCATGGCGTCCAAGAGCTAAAAGGACCTTGGGAGCGTGTGTTAGAACCCTTCACTTCACTGGTGGAGGAGGGAGGGCTCTGAATGGAAACTGGCTTGCTGGAGGCTGAACTGGGACTAGAACTCAAGTCATCGAAATTCTTCTCTAAGATTCCTTTTGCAGGCCGCACTGGGGGTCTGTGGGCCAAATCTGACCTGCTACCTGCTTTTGCATGGCCTCAAGCTAAGAATGACTCTTTTACATTTTTAGATGGTTGAAAAAAAAATCAAAAGGCCTATGAAAATTATATGGGATTCAAATTTCAGTGTCCATAAAAAATGTTGTATGGGTGCACAGCCACGGCCATTTGTTTATTGTTATCATCTGTTATTGTTATCATTGTTATGTTATTATTTTGTGCCACAACGGCAGATTTGATCAGTTGTGAGCATGAATGTATGGCCTGTGAAGTTGAAAACACTATAGAAAAATGTGCTGACCCCTGCTCTACCACACTCCAACTCTTCATCCTCCAGATGGGCTGACACGGTTATCACTTTCTTCTTATTCAGTCAAATCTACCCATTCATTGCTAGGTCTGGTTTTTGCCATTTATATTCAGGATTTCTTTAGAACCAAGTTCAGGCTAAATGTTTTATTGGGGAGTTCAGTACAAATTGGTGCACGGGAGGGAGGTCTTTGATTTGACTTTTGTGATCCCAATATCTAGTTCTACTAATGATATTTAAAATGGTATTAATAGTTGTATATCAGCCAGAACTAGAGGAGGGATCTGTCTAATTCTCCACTCTGTAGCTTGGTTCACACCTGGGATTCATGGTGGTCACTACACTTATTAAAAGGGATATTGACAAAACATGTGTAGGCTAGTGTGAGCAAGTGATAAAGAGAACTCAAAACTTTTTCCTTGAAATACAACTAATGTAGTTTGTTTCAGAAGAGGTACAAGCATCTCTTGTCAGATCCAAGAAAAGGCTGGCACATTTCATCCAAAGTTGAGTTCATTCCCCATCCAGTTAGGTCAAGTTAGAACGAGGGTTGCCATCCAGTTAGGTCAAGTTAAAATGAGGGTCACCAGCCTGGGTCCTAGGGTAAACGTTTAATTCTGACATCAGAGTTTCTGTTTGAAGGAAGTAGCATATGAAAATTTTCTTTTTTAAAAAATTCAGTTAAATAAATGTATTAATTTAGTATGGAGAGGTTTTGGATGGTTTAGCAAGATATACCACAAATACCAATTAAGATACACAATATTTAAAGCAATGTCCAAGAACAATTTTCCAAAACATAAGCCCTTAGCTCTTCAAAGTAGAGGTTTTTTTTTCTCCACTCTGTAATGTCTTACATGGGGATAATGTAAAGAAAAAAGGAGACTCCTTGGTTTTGCTGTGGGGTGAAACAGAGCTAGGAGCTGGCCAGGCAGACATGTTCTCTGTGATTTGCATGTTATCAGGAAGCCTCTGGCTTGCTGAAATTCTTCATTAGAAACTCCAACTCCAATTTGATACATTTCAGACGTCACAATTTTCACTAATAAAGAGATTGAAGAAATGTTCTCTGAGTAGATCACTCATTCACATAACAAATATTTGCTAAAAGCCTGCTAGCTAGGGTGAAAGCTAGGCATGGGTGAAAACTACACTTCTTTACATCTTTTCAGGACTTAGGTATCTTTTATGTTGGCTGACTTTTATGTGGAGCATCAACCCTGTGTGAGGTGCTATGGAAGGTGGGGATAGTGGGAGAAGCAATGTAGGATAATGGCTAAGAACACAGACTCCAGAGCCGACTGTGTGGGTCTCAGCTGCACCTTCACTAAATCTTTCTGGGACCTTGGGAATGTTCCATAAACTCCCTGGGACTCAGTTTATTCACCTCTAAAATGGGGATAATGGGACCCCAACAGAAGACTAAGAATTAAATGAGTCAATGTGTGTGAAGCTCAGAGAGAGAGCACATGAGAGTGTAATTTAAGTGTCTGTTGTTGTTATTTTGCTGAAGCAATTGAAGATACTGTGCTACCCCTTTTATTTTATATTTGTATGGCACACTACATGACCTTCACAAGTGTCCTTCGATCCTCATAAAAACTGTGTGATCTGTAGCAAGTAGGTAAGTGTTATTATCCTCATTTTAGAGTTGAAGTGGTGAAATAAATATTGGGTAAATGGCTTGCCCAAGGCCGCACAGAACCCAAGACCTTGATCCCCACTACAACCCCCTTCCCACCCAGCCTACACCTTTTGGAACAGAGGCCATGTGACCATATGACAAGCCAGTTCAGCCTGGGCAGGTATTGGCTGTGAGTCAAGGGAACTGGATTCACACTTGTCATTGCAGAATGGAGTTGTGGACCAACACATTCCCTTCAGCTTTATGAAGCAGTTTGCTCTGAAATATGAGGTTTTCCACTTTGTCAGTCAACAAACTGGGAGCTAGGGTGTCTGCTTGGCAGAACCATTTCTAGAATAATTCTTCTGTTTAACTGGGGATCTTTGAGCAAAGCAAGAGAAACCAACAGAAACAGCAGAATCGTTGTTGCCATGCTCATCACTTTGTACCTCTATGTAGCGCACTCAGCAACATCTCTCCTGTGAAAATTATTTTGGATGTAACAAGCCTACAACCCAGGGTTCTGCTAGAGAGACGTGAGAAGATTCAAGAGGTCCACTGGAAGTCAGTAAGAATAGCTGAGGAGTCTCCAGTCAAAGAAAAGTAAAGCAAAAAAGGGAACGTAAAACAAGATGGGATTCACAAATGAAAGGGGGTCTGGATAACCTTACACCTCAAAGACGGGAGAGGGCTCCTGCAGCTCCCTTCCTCCTGTGTCTTGGAGGCCATGGTTGGAAAGCAGGTTAGAAGAGGGACATCTGGAGCTGACCAAGGAGTCTCAGGATACTGGGGAGGGAAGAGCTGAGGGAACAGAGCTGACTTGGATGAAGAGGAAGTCAATGACGACTCACTCATTCCTGAGCCAAGAGGCAATGCCTTCTAAGACTTAGAAGGTGCAGTGAAATTCTGAAAATCCCAGGGGGCAGAAAACAAATCAGGTGCTTCAATATCTCTCACAGCATTAAGAAATGCCACAGGCGAGTGGGTTTTCAGACCTACAGTGTCCAGAATTTAGTATTTGATGGAGATTTCCAGACTACTTACTGTTGGATCCTTTAGCCTAACCATGTGTGCTGGTTAATTTTATGTTACCAACATGGCTGGGCCATGGTATCCAGTTGTTTGGTCAAACAACACTTTAGATGTTATTGTGATGGCGTTTTTTAAAGATGAGATTAACATTTCAATCAGTAGACTCTACAAAGCCGATTACCCTCTATAATGTGGGTGGACCTTGTCTATTCAGACAAAGGCCTTAAGAGCAAAACCTGAGGTCTTCCAAAAAATAAGCAATTCTGTCTCAAGACTGTACCCTAGAAATTTCACCCAAGTTTCCTATCCTCTGTCCTGCTCTGCAGATTTCAGACTTAAGGCAGCAACACGAACTCTTACCTGAATACCCACCCTGTAGATTTTAGCCCTGCCAGCCTCCATAATCGTGTGAGCTAATTCCTTAAAATAAATCTCCTTCTCTCTCTATTGATATGTCTGTATATCTATATCTGTGTCTGCATCTATCGCTATCTCTCTATCTATATCTCTATTTATATCTATATCTATATCTGTCTTAGTCTGCTTGGACTGTCATAACAAAACACCATAGATTGGGTGGCTTAAACAACAGAAATTTATCTTCTCATATTTCTGGAGGCTGAAAATCTGAGATCAGGTTGCCAGCACAATTGGGTTCTGATGAGGCCTCTCTTCCTGGTTTACAGACAGCCGCCTTCTTGCTGTGTCCTTGCATGGTGGAGAGATAGAGACCAAGCTCTTTGTTGTCTCTTCTTATAAAGGCATTAATGCTATTGTGGGGCCCCACCCTTATGACATCAGCTAACTCTAACAACCTTGCAAAGGCCCACCCTAGAGCTTCAATATATAAATTTTGGGGGTCACACAATTCAGTCCATAGCTATATACACACACAGACACACAGACACACAAGCAAACACACATACACAGACAACATCCATACACACACATACACATACAGACACACAAGCACACACACACACACAGACAACATCCATGCACACACATATACACACATATGCACACAGACATACACACAAAGACACACAAGCACACACATACACACACAGACAACATCCCTATACACAGACATACACATACACACACATAGATACACATACACACACATAGATACACACACAAACATAAATACACACAGACACATATACACACAAGCACACATACACACACACACACACACACACAAGCACACATACACACACACACACACACACACACACACAGTGGGAAAGGGAGAGAAAACTTGCCACCCTGCAAAGTCCGTGAAACTCATTTCCCTGAAGGGGATCCCCAAAAGTTTGCCTGGTAATGGGGTTTCCCTGGAACAAAAACAGCTCAGCACTGGGGGTGGGAGTTGGGGTCCTTGAGCTCAGACATCCTTAGGGTGACTCCATTATGTCTTCTCATTTCTAAAGTGCCAGCCACCATCAGACAGAACAACAGCTTTTCTAGAACAGAGAAACATTCCTACGTTAAATATTTACATCAATTGTAAGATGCATCTGAATTTCAAAAATCTTAAAATAGGAAGCAATGTGTATTTTTGAAATGGAAAATTATAGTAGTTAGCAATAGTTCAATCTTAATGTATTTTATTGAGTGTCAGGCTCCATGTGGAGCAGGGCTAAGTGTAACTGTTCTAAGCCTTAGCCTCCTCCCCTGTGAACTGGGGACAACAGTGGAATGAGGGGTAAATGCTCAGTGTTTAGTGTGGGGCCTGGCCTGCAGGAACCATTCGACATGGGCTTCTTTATTATGGTTCTTAGCACGAGACTGCCACCAAGCCAGGTAGATGCATCGCGGAGAGGCAAAATCCCTGAGCCCAAGGACAGGTCGGTAGGGACAAACTTGGAAACCCAATTAATTCTAAGTGCTGAGCAAAAGTTAGAATCCAGTGAGCGCACAGGTGAGGCAGGTGACAGTCATCCCGGAGGCCCAGGAGAGGCTTTTCTGAGGAGAACCCAGGACTTAGTCAGAAAGGGACAAGAAGGAATTGGGCAGGTGACAAGGTGGGGGAAGAGCTTTTCTGGTACAATCAAATGTGGGACTTGGGCAAACGAGAGGAGCTGTGTGGGTGGAGAGTGGGGGACACAGGGGAAGGCAGAGCCCCATGGCAGATGGTCTGGGTGCTAGACTAGAGAGCAAGAGTGCTTCCATGGGGCCCTGAACTGGGACTGAGCACGTGGAACAGAAACCAGTGCCCGGTTCAGGGCCCAGAGCTTACTGCAGGCTGAACAAACCTAGTGTGGGCCTAGTGTGGGGCCGGGAGGCAAGGGCCTCTCCAGCACAGGGCACACCACCCTCACCCAAGCCAACCTGAAGTTTCCACCACGAGTCTGTAACTCAGCTCTGAGGGCTGTGAAGAGGCAGGGCCACCTGCTGCCTATCCCCATGGCTTTGCCCACAAAGATGGGTGTGTCCAGGACCAGCCACACAGCAAGGGAAGGCCAGCTAACGTGTGGAATGCCTGTCATTTTCCAGGCTCTGTGTTGAATGAGTTCAGTTTCTACTCAAGTGGGATGGTCTTCCCTTCACTTGTTCCTTCATTCATCAACAAATGGTGGTATTTATGTAATGCTTGCTTTGTACCAGGTGCCCGATCCAAGAGGAAAGTAGTCAATAGAAAATGAGACAGACAAGGGCCTTGTTCCATGGGGCTTATATTCCAGTGAAGAAGACAGACAGTGATTTCCAAAGTAAGTATCATAAAGAAAATAAAGCCCAGGGATAGGAGAGCAATTGCTGGTTGCTGGTACAACCTCCAGTAGGTTGGTCAGGGAAGGCCACTGTGAGATGCGAGCTGAGCTGAGAACTGAATGAGAAGCGGCCAGCTATGCAGAGACCTACAGGGAGAGCATTCCAGAAAAAGAGAAGAGCAAATGCAAAGGCTTGCAGGTTGGCATGAGCTTGCAGTGCCAGAAGGACAGAAGAGAGCCAGGAGACAGTGGTAAACACGGAGCTCTCAGAGGTGATCCGATCACACACGACCTTTTAGCTGGCAAGAGATTAGAATGTTCTTCGACTTGCAGGGGAATGATGATAGTCATGTTGACAGCTGCGCCCATGCCAGGCAGAATTCCAGCTACTTTATAAAGGCTCTGTCTTATCCCGACACCAACCCTGCAAGTAGATGCCATTATCCTCGTTTTGTTGACAAGGATACTAAAGTGCAGGGAGGGAAATTACCTTGTCAGGGTGAATCAGAACTAATCAGTGGTGGGACCAGGGTAAAAATGTCATTCAGCACTCTCTGTACCCCAAGTTTTATCAAAATGTTCTGAATAGCTATAAAGAGGAACTGGGCCCAGGGCCACCATTTTAGTGCTTGGTGAGAATGTGTCGATCCTCAGGACTTAGAGAGTTGGACCTCCCATCGATCTTGAGCTTACTTGTGGTTTGGGACCCTGGCCGGGAGCAAATTTGCACCATGTAATGCTGGCCACTGGAGACTAGGAGACCACGAGATTGCCCTTCACGTCTGACGTGGAACAAGGACCAAGCAGCTATCTTTTCTTCTCTTGAGTTGAATTTGAACTTGCAACGGGAGGGTGTAGGGTTAAGGAGAGAAAATGGGGAGGAGGTGGCTGTAAGGTGAGCAGAGGGGGAGAAAGAGCAGGAAAGAAAGAGAAAGGAACAGAGCCCAAGAGTCAGGCTGCCATCAGCCTTCGAAACCCCTTTGCTTCTCTGATTGATACTTTTCAATTATTCCTTCCCATTTCACTGACATTTGAAATGCTATTTTTTTTTCCTAGCGATAACTTCAAATGCTTAAGTTCCCACAGCCCTGGTAGCCCTGTTTAGCTGTAGTGGTAAATTGCTTCCTTGTACAACATAATGGCATTGACAGCCTTTTGCTAGGGAAATGAGTTCTCCAGTGGGACATGCCGATGATAAGACGTCCGGTTTTGAAATTGTATTTCTCTGTATCAGAATTAAATCTGGACTTTATATTTCTGGGCTGCCATGCTCAGGAGCTGGCCCCTATACAGTACACCCCAAGACTGACAAGCAATGCTTACACAGGGACTCTTTCACTTAAATTGGATCTGTGCTTTTATGGTCTCTCCTATTATTAGCTATTAAAATCTCTCAAACTGCAAGCCCCTCAACACCCCTTCTTTCTTCTCCTTCTTCATCATCGTTTTTTTTCTTTCTTTTTAAATAGTGATAGGGTTTTCCAAACCTGAAACTCAAGACAACTGCAGAGTGGGGGAGAAGAGAATTTCTCATCTTTGCGGCAATAATTCCCGTCCGGAAGCTGAAAGGTGCAAAATTAACGCAAACTTAGTAAAATGCAGTATTGATTTTCTGTGATTCATAGGGGGATCTGCTTTTCATTACAAAAGGGGGCCGAGGCTGAGCATATAATACTGGGAGGCTGAAAAGCTTTTGTGCAAATGACTCTTCGTAGATGGAAAGGGAGGGGTCCTCTTCAGACACTGTCTGTAAATCCAACTCTCTCTTTCGATTTCTCTTGCCTTGTCACTTGCCTGTTGATCCCCGTTTCCCCCCAGAGCAGGAATAGTTTAAAACCAAAGCTAAGTGCCCCCCTGCACCCCCAGCCCCTAGCTTTTTCCTCTGCAGCCGTTCTTGATGGCATTCCGTTGTGTTCACTTGGTTAATGCTCTTATTAACATACCATAACCTGGCTGAATAAAGGAAGTGGCCTGCAGGGTATCAGCACATGTAATTTCATTTTAACCCGAGCATTAATTTATTTCTTAAAATAATAAAAAAGCACAAGATAATCAGCTGTGCCCAGGTAAGGATTTTTCTCTGTGCTTGTATTCTATTAAGATCCAAGGGCTTTCTCTTGATCCCTTGATCCCTTGTTTCAAAGTTATTCAGGTTCCTCGCCGCCTCTTCTTCCTGGAAGATTTCATTATTGGCATTTGAATGAGGGGGATCCTGAGAAATCTAAATATCCTCCTTGAATTTAGTTTAATATTGCCAAGGTACTATCACGGGATAGCGTGGAGATTCTCCTGGAATCCTGGAAATGACTGTCAAGGTTAAGGAGCTGGAACCACGGGTGCCGGTGCTCAGCCCTGACCTTGAACCAGCTCCCATGCAGGTGGCAGGGGGCAGTACAGGATTGGGGATGCCCCCTTTGCCCTGGTCCTTAGTGCCAGATGCCTGTGGAAGAGGGCTTCCCCCCACTTCAGATGTGTGTTCCCTTCCAAGGAATGTGGAGGAGAGGCTGCAGTTCGACCAGAATGTAACTCTATAGCTTGTGTTTCCTAAATGTCATTAATAATCAGCAACGTTGAATACAGAAGGGCAAGTTAAATCCTGTCATTGAAACAGCAAACAGCTTTAGTCAAATGTATTGGCAAAGGATTAAAAATGCATCAAGCATGTATTTGTCTTCTCTATGGGAAGCTCTTATTAATAGTCTGAAGAGTGGAAAGCTTTGCCCTTATACAATCAGCACTGTAGTCGTTTCTTTAAAAATATGTTTTAATGTGTGAAATTGCAGGATGCCAACGTTACCATTAAAACCCCTCTCCAGTTCCAATAATTTCTCCACTTACATTTCTTCACCCTTTCCCCCTCCTCTTTTTTTTTTTTTTTTTTTTTTTTAATTCTACTTCTTCCAAAGCATATTTCAAAGTGGTCAGAGCAGGCTTGCAGGGCTACCAGGAAGGCAAATGCACAGCCTGCCTTTTGTCCACCAGCTGTAGCCACGGAGCAGGGTGGTCCCACTGCATGTCGTAGGCACTGTTCACGGATCAAGGAAACTTTCCTTCAGAGGAATTTAGACTCGATGTGACGTTTGTGGCATAAAGAGCGAGATCTAGTCTCAACTCTGTTTTGCCATTACTTAGGCACCTACTGCATACCAGGAAGTCTATATGTGACAATTCAATTTACTTCTCACAACCCTGGTGTTGATGTAGTTGGAGAGAAAAGGCAGCATGTTCAAGGTCAAGAGCTAGTGTGGGTTGGTCAGAACCTAACTCAGGTCAACCAGATGTGTCCATTGCTTCCCTTCCCTCCCTGCCTCCCTTCCTGTTTTGGCTCTGTCTAGTCATTCAAAAGATTTTCTGAGCACCTGCTCTGCTCCAGGGTCCAAGGTGAGTGAAAAGTGGCCTCCGCCTTTAGAGACTCAACTCTTTTTTCATGGACCCCCATGGAAACACAACCCCAGGAGCCCTATGGCCATTGATCTTCACCTTCTATCTGTACAAAAGAGGAAGGAGGCCTTGAGTCATCCCCACAGTTTTTTCTAGAAATGCATTCTCCAAGGCCATGAGCTCTGGAAAAGTGGGAAGTGTGTGGAAAAATCCCCTCTCTCTCTTGTCTTTACTGAATCTCTACCAATTCCCAGGGCAATGGGTAACAGCCACAACACTTTAGCAATCCTCCTCTTGGCTCCTTCTGCCTTGTGTTTTAGATTCAATGCTCATGTGCCATATTGTCAACACGCCTGCTCATGGACTATTACTGTCACACGCACACATACACTCATGGAAAAAAAAATCAATGCAATTTGAATTTCTCTTCCCCAGACGAGTCTTTGATAAATTGTTGTGGAGAGCTATTGATCTCTTATTGCGATGTGATTTTTAAACAGCATTAAAGTAAACATAGTCTTATTGTGTTCGTTTTACTGGATAACACTTATCTAGACAAAAGGAGGCACGAAGCTGCCGGAGCTACTCAGCTTTACCTCTAGGAAAGATACAGCGAATCACCGCCAATAAAACAAAGCAAAACAAAAAGCTCGCCATGCTGAACGGAATGGGAAAATTGCTCTCTTGTCACTAATTTTGATTGAATTGAGTCGGCAATCTCTGAACCGGTTCACTGATACAACAATAGGAAACATTTAACTGTTTCTTGCACCTTTAAACATAAATAGTAGGTTTTTAAGCAGTCAGTAGGCGATGTGTGATCAAGGTTCAGACAGACGCAGACAACTGATCACCCACTCAGATCCCAGACTTGATGGAAATGAGATATTGTCCAGAAGAGCGCTCTCAGTGGCTGCTGGGTGAGCAAGGACTTGGCCCTTGTCTGCTGGGAGAGATCAAGGCTCAGGGTTAGTGATATGAATGAGCACGCTGGCTGACACTTACTGAGGACTCTCTGTGCACCAGGCTGTGCTCTAAGTGCTATATATGCATCATCTCATTAAATCCTCATGACATCACCATCATGTTGCTGCTTTTATGACCCTATGCTTTACAGATGGCAGGACTTAGCAGTTGCCAGACCTGGTTAAAAACCAGCCTTCGGTCTGAAGAGCACTGGACTGGAGTCAGGAAACTGTGGTTCTGGCTTTGGTTCTGCTAATAGACCTGTCTCCAATTCCCAGCTGCTGCTTACCAAAGTCTGTGTCAGTTAGGGATCTCCAGGGAAACAGAACCAATACAATGCATCTCTCTCTCTCTCTCTCGCTTTCTCTCTTTCTCTTTCTCTCTCTCTCTCTCTGTCTGTATCTCTATACCTATATGGAGAAAGTTGAGAGACTGAGATGTAAGGAATTGGCTCATGTGATAATGGGAGCTGGTGAGTCCAAAATCTGCAGGGCTGGAGTCTCATGGAAAAATTGATGTTGCCATTCAAGTTCAAAGAACATCTGTTGGCTGAATTTCCACTTCCTCAGAAAATTTTTTTCTCTAAGGCCTTCAACTAATTTGATGAGGCCCACCATATTATGGAGGAGAATCTGCTTTATTCAAAGTCTACTGATTTAAATGTCAATTGCATCTAAAAAATACCTTCATAGCAATATCTAGACTAGTATTTGACAATATATTATGTGAGTACCATGGCCCGGCCACGTTGGCCTATAAAATTAACCATCACAAGTTAACCTCTTGTGAACTTGGTGCCCATACGTATGTTCTTCAGCCGTTCTTAATCTCTGAATAAAAACATTAATGATGTCAAACATACTCCTAACATAATACAAATATACTATGTACCATAGAAAAATACACTAACTCTTTCTTCAGAAGATGATGCAAAGTCCTTTGGTGATGTCACTCTTCTTGCTATCTTGTAACTTAAATACTATGGTGTAAAGTGAACAATACTCTGCTAGAAGTTTGGGCAAGTTGCTAATTTTCCTCAACTTTGGTCTCCTCCTTTGTAAGGTGGGGAAAGTAGTCCCAGCCATTCAATTGTCCCAGTGACTATTGAATGACCTGATGCTTCTAAGATGCCCCACACTCAGTGAAGGCAGGCTGCCTTCTGCTTCCTTTCTGAATCATTGGTTCCACTAACCAGGTGTTGGCAAGCCTTTTCTTTACAGGACTAGAGAGTACATTTATTATGGTATCTGTCCCCATTGTTCCACTGTATTCTTGTAGCATGAAAGCAGTCATTGACAGTATATACACAAGTGGGTGCAGCTGTCTTCCAATAAGACTTTATATTTCTGGCCACTAAAATTCGAAATTCTTTTTTTTTTGGAGATGGAGTCTCGCTCTGCCACCCAGGCTGGAGTACAGCGGTGCTATCTTGGCTCACTGCAACCTCCACCTTCTGAGTTCAAGTGATTCTCCTGCCTCAGCCTCCCGAGTAGCTGGGATTACAGGTGCATGCCACCATGTCTGGCTAATTTTTGTATTTTTAGTAGAGATGGAGTTTCACCATGTTGGCCAGGCTGGTCTTGAACTCCTGACCTCAGGTGATCTGCCCACCTCAGCCTCCCAAAGTGCTGGGATTACAGGCTTGAGCCACCACACCTGGCCTGAAATTTGAATTTCATATAATTTTAATGAGTCATGAAATGCTATTGTACTTTGGATTTTTTTCAAGCATTTAAAAATGTAAAACCATTCTCAGATTGAGGGCTATACAAAAGCAGGTGGCAGGCTGGATGAGGCCTCAGGCCAGAGTTTGCCAAGCCCTGCACTAGACTGTAAGCCTCTGGAGGGCAGAAACCATGTGTACTTTGCTCTTCCCAAAATCTCCAGCATATTTCCTGTGCAGAGCAGATAGGCACAAACATCAGTGTGCAATGGCTTGACTGTGCCCCTCAAAAGTTCATGTGTTGGAAACATGGTCTCTAGCACAGCCATGTTGAGAGGTGGTTGGATCATGAGGACTCTGCCCTCACAAATAAATAAATTCATGGGTTAATTTGTTATCCTGGGGGTGGGTTAGTTATCACCAGAGTGGGGCTGCTAAAAAAGCCAGTTTAGGGGCCGGGCGCAGTGGCTCACGCCTGTAATCCCAGCACTTTGGGAGGCCGAGGCGGGTGGATCATGAGGTCAGGAGATCGAGACCATCCTGGCTAACATAGTGAAACCCCATCTCTACTAAAAATACAAAAAATTAGCCGGGCATGGTGGCGGGCACCTGTAGTCCCAGCTACTTGGGAGGCTGAGGCAGGAGAATGGCGTGGACCCGGGATGTGGAGCTTGCAGTAAGCCGAGATCGCGCCACTACACTCCAGCCTGGGCGACAGAGAGAGACTCCATCTCAAAAAAAAAAGCCAGTTTGGCTGTCTCTTGTGAGGCCCCTGGCCATGTGATGCCCTGCCTCATCTTGGGACTCTGCAGAGAGACCGCACCAACAAGAAGGTCCTCACTAGATGCAACCCCATCAGCCTTGAACTTCCCAGCCTCCAGAACAGTAAGAAATAAATTTGTTTTCTTTATAAATTACCCAGTCTCAGAGATTCAGCTGCAGCAAGAGAAAACAAACTAAGACACTGTGGAATAACCAAAGTCTGTATAATGAAGGTTAAACTCCTTGATCTGGAAGGAGATTGACACCACAAAGCTCTGTGCCACTGTAAGCTCTTAACATTATCTATTTTGTGTTAGTCCTCACTTGTTCCTTAAGGGGAGACCAGAATTCATGGTGATGACTATCATTAAATGGCCAATAAAAGGGGAAAAAAATCAACTTTCTGAAATCCTTTTTGCTGAGTTTTTCATTTATCTGTTTATTAATTTATTAACAACAAATTTTGCCCCCACTAACACTACCCCTTTGCCTGCTCATAAAGGCAAAACTTTGTTTTTCCCGGTTCCCTGGGGAGCCTTCAGTTCACAGGGTGGCCTAAGGAGAGATCAGTGAAGCTACGCGTTGTAGTCTATTAAAGCACAGCTGTTCATCAATTAGGACGGAGAAAATAGTCCTGCTGTTTTAGAGTGGCGTGATGCGCCTCGTATTGCCGGAGCAGGCACAATGAGATGGGACCGGGTCGCCCATTTTCCTTCATTCATCGCCCGTAGATGCTTGTCGGGAGGGCAGCCAGGTTTCTGTTCCTGCTTCTCATCCACAGGCCTACTCCATCCAGCCTCAACCACAGCCACAGGGAACTGGCTGTCCTGTTTTAGTACTCAAGCTGATCTGTACCCCAGAGGCTGATGGGAGACCCAGGCCACAATGGGTCCCTCCGTAAACTCGACTTGAATAGTATAGTGTCCTTGGTTTGACCTGAATAAAGCTTCCACTGAAACCCATTGTGTTCCATGCGTCCACCCCTTGCAAATCCCTTTAGTTGCAAAGAAGTTGGCTGTCATTGCCCTGTGGATTCAGAAAGCCTAAGTCTTGACGACAATTTCAATCCCAAAGAAATCTTTAACTCCACTCCCATTTCCTACAATAATGAGAGAGAACACCAGAGAGACTAGCAAACATCATCAGATGAACAGTTCACATTCTCTTGGTTCAAGTCCAAGGTTTTTTTCTACTATATTTAGAATGATATTTTCCAAGGTAGTGTGTGAGTTGGCTCCTGTCTAACTCTCCAGTATCATCTCAAACCAGGGTACCCCAGGGCCTTTGCACGGCCTCTTTTGCCTCTTTTGGTCTTTGCTTACATGTCACCTTCCCAGAGGGACCTTCCAAGTTCATGCCATCTAAAGTCATTCTCTCCCTTACAATCTATCACACTGATCTGTTCATTTCTGCAATTTGTAATTTGTTTGTCCTTCCTTTATCCCAACACCCTCTGTTTTTATGTAAGCTCCCAGCACAAAGTAGAAACTCAATAAATTATTGTTGACCAGATATTGAAATTTGTGGCTGAAGAAATAATATTCCAGATAGGCTGAAGAAAGAATATTCCAGACTGCTCTGGACTAGGGCTGAGAACCCTGGGATTCAGGTTTAATGCATGGTCATTGTGGTCTGGGGCCAATCCCCTGGTCTTTGAGCATCAGTCTCTACAGCTCAAAACAAGGACAGTGCTAGAAACTTTCCCCTAGAAGAGTTGGGAGAATTAAATGCTATAAAGAATATGAAAAGTGATGTGTGAATTGTAAGTCACACCTCACATCTGAGTCACTGGGGACACTGTCAGCTTCCAGAGGGTAGGGACAGCGAGTGGCTCAGCTTTGTCACTGTGGCATCTGGCAAAAGCCCTGCTCCCTCTCCAAGGTGATTTTTGGGTAAAAGCATGGTGTGGGGCAGTCCGAGCCAACACTAAGGAACTGCAAAGGAAGGACTCATCTGCTGAAACAGAGCCTGTCTGGCTTCCCTGGTATAATGGGTTGAAATGTGCCCCTCTCCAAAATCCCTGTGTTGGAGTCCTAACCCCCAGTACCTCCGAATGTGACTGTATTTGGAGATAAAATCTTTTAAAGAGGTAATTGAGGTTAAATGAGGTCACTGGGGTGGACCCTAATCCAATAAGACTGTTGTCCTTATTCAGAGAAGGAATGTGGACCCAGACACACACAGAGGAGGGCCGTGTGAAGATATAGGGAGAAGGCAGCTGTCCATGAGCCAAGAAGAGAGGCCTTAGAAGAAACCACCCCTGGCAACACCTTGATCATGGACTTCCAGCCTCCAGAACTGTATAAAAATACATTTCTGTTATTTAAGTTCTCCAGCCTGGGGTACTTTGTTATGGTAGCCCTAGCAAACTAACACACCTGGACAGCCCCTTCATAGCAGTTAACAGCTCCTGTTTGCAGAGGCCTGAGTTCAGTCAAGGCAGCATGAGAAGTGCTTCATAGAGAAGATTTCCAGATGCCCCTCAGCAACCCGGCAAGGCAGGCCTCATCCCCCCAGGTGTGACAGACACAGGGTGAGGGTGAAACGGTCTTCCCAGGAGCACACCCGCAAGGGAGGCAAGGCCCGAGCAGTGAGGAGTCAAGCACAGAGACTTGGAACAAGATTCCGCCTGAGTTTTGGCTCCTCACCTGCTAGGCTTGGGGTCTTGGCACCATGACTTAACCCTGGACTCTCAGTGTCTCCATCTTTAAATGGGGCTAATAACAGCAGCATCTGTCCCTCAGTGCTGTCAGGTGGCTTCAGTGAGATAATACATGGTATAGCGGATGACGCGTGATGCAGGACAAGCCCTCAAACTCATGGATGCAGTTCACAGCTTTTTGCCCAGCAGGGCTGAACTTGAGATCCTCCCCTCTCCTGCTGCCCCAGCCTGGCCCTGGGCCTGGGGATGGGGGCTCGGTGCTGCCTGATGCATGGCCCACTGAAGGAAAGCTGGCTTCCAGCAGCAAATCTGCTGGTTTGAGCCCCTCTCTGAGCCCTTGTGACCACTTTTGGGCCTTTTAAGGACCTCTCTTGTACCTCCTGCTGCTGTAGAACAAACAAAAAATCTGCTGTGGCAGCTGGTCACCTCCTTAATTAAGCCGTGCAAATGTCGAAAAAGGTGTGAAAGCAAGACTGCATGTGGATAATCTCACTCTTAGATTGCAATGTGAATCCTTTCTCCCACCTCCCTTTTGGATGGATGACACCATTGAGGTCACTGGGAATAGGAAGAAGTTAAAGCAGAAAATAGTGACAACTCCTCATCATATCTGCAAAAGGCATAATGGTCCCTAAAGTTTTTTTTTTTTTGGATACGGAGTAATGCTCTTGTTGCCCAGGCTGGAGTGCAATGGTGCGATCTTGGCTCACTGCAACCTCCGCCTCCCGGGCTCAAATGACTCTCCTGTCTCTGCCTCCCGAGTAGCTGGGATTACTTGCCTCCACCACCATGCCCGGCTAAGTCTTTGTATTTTTAGTAGACATGGGGTTTCACCATATTGGCCAGGCTGGTCTCGAACTCCTGACCTCAGGTGATCCACCCGCCTTGACGTCCCAAAGTGCTGGGATTACAGTGTGAGCCACTGCGCTTGGCCGCCCAAAGGGTTTTTGAATTCATCACTCCCCAACCCTGGCCTACAGGCCTGAGCTTAAACTCTGGATGTGCCACTTCCTAGCTGTGCAGGTTTAGGGAAGTTACTTCATCTCTCCGTGCCTTGGCTTCCATGTCTGTAACATGGGAATCATCACAGTACCTATCTTAAAAGTGGTTGGGGAGATCAAGAGATATCATGCACACAGATCATTTAGCAGAGAGTTTGCTCAAGAAATGATAGCTATCATCTGCTCGTTCTTATTGTTGTCATCATTTAAAAAAATTCCCATCCTCTCCCATTTCTGCTACCCTCTATACTTGGGCCAGCCCACTCATCTCTTCGTGTTTACACCCAGCTCTTCCTGCAATGCATCGCCTCTTGTCTCTGCCAGTAGCCCAGTCACTTCACACCCTCTGAGCTCCAGCGACTCCTCCTCTGAGAAACCTCTTGGGTCCTAGTGTTTGTAGTTTGTCTCATGCAGTCCTCCTAAAACCTTGCGAGTTCTCTTCTCCCCATTTTACAAATACGGAAACTTGGGCTTATAAAAATTGATTTGTCCAAGGACACAAAGCTTTCCAGGTCACAAGATTTCAAGCACAGGGCTCTGTGGTCCTCAGGCTATGCTGATTTATCACTGTCTCTCCCCACACATTTCACCTTATTTGTGCACTGTTCATTGACCCAGTCACTTTGTGAATTCTTTGACAGGGGGGATAAGACTTATTCATGTCTGCATCCCCAGCATCTAGCATAATCTTTGACATAGGCAGATACTCAATAAATACCTGCTGAGTGAGTGAAGGAAGAAATAAATTCCATATACATGAAATAAGAGAGTTAGATGTGAAGGAATCTCTAAGCTCCTCCATAGCTCTCAAAAGTCTAAGTCACATAATTTATGGAAATTTCTTCCCATCAAAATCATGTTAGGAAAATATAGCAGTGAGTGGTGCTGCATGATTGTTAATATAATTTGCAATTTCCATAGCTTCTTATGGAGACATGAACTTAAACATGCACAGAGGTTTGTCAAATATCCTATGTATCTGGAGAATCCTAGGAGAATCTCAGAGGGGATCAACCTGAGGAACGTCTTGAACTGGGGTGAGATGTCCCAATAGAAACAGTGTCAGGGCCGGGCACACCTGTGCTGGGTCTTTGCTCAGCTGCTTATTGACCTCTAACCTTCCCCAAGTCTTGGCTTCAGTTTTTTCATCTGTAAAATGAGGGCAAGGCAGAATGGGGCTATGGCAGAGGCTATGCCTGATACATGGATGACTCAAGATGAGTCGCTTTCCTCTTCCTTCCCTTGTAATTTCCTGGCTCTGGCAGGTAAGGTACCTGTTAGTCCATCTTTCAACTTAATGTCTTTGTCTGCTCTTTGTTGCCATCTGGGGCAGCATCCAGGAGCATTCACTGAACATCTAAAGGGTGGGTACAGATGACAGAGGTTCATGGAGGTCCCAGGACGGTGCCATCACTTCCAGCTGAAGGCTCGACTCAGCTGTGAACAGTGAGGACTTCAGTAGGCAGAGAAGGAAAAGGGTCAGGCACAGGAATTGGGAAACAGATGGCATTTCTGAGGGTCCAGAGGAGAAAAATGCAAGCACACCCAGGGATTGTTGGTAGACAGTGTGTTTGTACCTGGGGACTGTGTGTGCAGAAGAGGATGGAGGGGCCAAATTAGGATGGTGGGAGTCAGACCAGAGTGGGGGGCATCCTGTTCAATACCATGGGGCCTACAAAGGGGCTGAAAATTCGTCTTCCCCGTTTTCCTTCCTCCCTCCCTCCTTCCTCCCTCCCTGCCTCCTTCCTTCTTTCCTTCCTTCCTTCCTTCCTTCCTTCCTTCCTTCCTTCCTTCCTTCCTTCCTTCCTTCCTTCCTTCCTTCCCTTCATCATTCCTCCCTCCTCCTCCTCTTTCTTCTTCCTCTTTTTTTCTCTCTCTCCCCATTTCAGAAGGATGGAGCTAATTCCAGAAGGGTGGAGTTTAATCCAAGGTTAAAGTTGGAGGACACAAAAGACAGATCTCAGCGGGGTTCTGAGTGGGTGGGGGAAGGAGAAGAGATCAAATTAGAAAAGGATTAAAATATCAGGGCAGTTTCTGAATCTTGAAACTAAGTGTTAGTCTGCAAAGGACAAAAGACAGAATCCCAGTATCCTCTTAAACATCGCCTGTCCCCTGTTTCTTTTCTGTCTCTGCCTTTGGATGCCCCTCTGCTGAGGGGCAGGGCCTCTCAGACGACACCTTTCCTGACTTTCTCTGTGTATCCAAACTCTCAGATGACATGCATTTGATTTCTCCCAGTTTTAATTTTAAGAAAACAAGAATGCCCTCCCTCTCTCCCTCCCTAATTTCGTCCTTCCTTCCTTCCTTCCTTCCTTCCTTCCTTCCTTCCTTCCTTCCTTCCTTCCTTTCCCCCTTCCTCCTTCCCATCCATCCATTAGGCACTAATATATGGTAGTAGAAAATGGGCATGCAGGGGAGAAAGGGACAATTATTTATTGAATTTAGAGTTATCGATGTCATGGAGGCTAGGGGATGAATCCTGTCTTCTTCTAGCTACTGTTTTCTCTGTCAAGTCCCTGTGTCATTCAGAAACCCAGCTTTGTCATCTGTAAACCAGGGTTGATAGAGCCGACCTTGCCAGGTTCTTATGCAGGGACTCACAGGAACCATCACCAAATGCTTTCGCTGGAGATGTGGGCAGGAATCTCCTCCCAACAACCCATGCACAGCAAAGGGGTTATTTGTATACTTTTCCAGAATGAGAATAGGGCAGGACTGCACTGGATCTGCTCATTGGGAAGTCAGAAGTGAGATCCCTGAGAGAAGATTCTCTTTCTCTTGAAGCGTTTCTGGGGAGCCTCATTTTGCTTCCCAGATAAGATAGAAATAGATAGGTAGATAGATAAGACAAATAGATACACGGATACAAGGTTAATAGATACATAGACAGATAAATAGACAGACAGATAGATAGATGAATGGAATAAATAGATAGATAGATAGATAGATAGATAGATAGATAGATAGATAGATAGATAGATAGATAGATTAGATAGATTTGCTAGAGGCCAGACTTGGCTTTGAAACTCAATGTATGACTGCTGCCCCCTGCCCAGGGACGTCTTCCCCCGGTGGGACAGGAGAGCAGTGAGTTCTGCAAGGTGTGTGTGTGTGTGTGTGTGTGTGTGTGTGTGTGTGTGTGTTTTCTGAGACATAGTCTCACTCTGTGGCCCAGGCTGGAGTTCAGTGACACGATCTCGGCTCACTGCAACCTCTGCCTCTCAGGTTCAAGTGATTCTCCTGCCTCAGTCTCCCAAATAGCTGAGATTACAGGGATGAGCCACCACACCCAGCTAATTTTTTATATTTTTGGTAGAGATGGGGTTTCACCATGTTGACCAGGCTGGTCTTGAACTCTTGACCTCAAGTGATCTGCCTGCCTCTGCCTCCCAAAGTGCTGGAGTTACAAGGCATGAGCTACCGCATGTGGGTTATTCTTGAAAGCAAAGTGTGTGCTCAGAGGCAGAGCCTGGGCTCCACACACATGATCTCACAGCAGCCTGATCAGGGGATCCTTTACCCTGTTTTTCCAGATAGGGAACCTCAGTGGCACATAGGCAAGCAAAGAGCTTATCCAGGGCCACACAGCCAGCGGGCAGAGATACATGGCAGCAGACAAGTGGCCCTGGCCATGCAGCTGCCTCACCTCAGCTTTGATCTTAGAGGAAGAAACTCTGCCTTCAGCCTGGGCCTGTGCAACACACACCTCCTAAACAAGAAAACAACCAACAATGTGGGGAGCATTGTCTCCAGTGACCATCCAGGGCCAGGGCTGGCTTTGGGGTGTATCCTCAGGTCAGCTGCGATATGAGGAGCTGCAGGTCAACTGCAACATGAGGAACATCGACAGGCCCAAGGTCTTCCTTTTAAAGAGCTACCATTTAGTCTGAGACATATTTGTGCCTGTTCTAGAATTTTGGTGTGAAAAGTTCTCTATTTTATGAAAGGAAGAAAAGTTCTCTATTTTACTCTATTTTATGTAGTACTTGGGTTTTGTTTTTAAGTTTTGGCCAAATAAAAGCTGACAACTCTATGTCAATTCTATCTCTGTCTATCTATCATCTATCTATCTATCTATCTATCTATCTATCTATCTATCTATCTATCTATCTATCATCTATCATCTATCATCTGTTATCTATCTATCTATCTATCTATCTATCTATCTATCTATCTATCTGTTTATCTATCATCTATCTATCCATGTATCTCTCTCTCTTATCTATCTACCTATTTATCTCTAACTTATCTATTTACCTATCTCTATTTTCTATCTATCTATCTATCTATCTATCTATCTATCTATCTATCTATCTATCGCTCTATCTTTAATTTTAAAATTTGCTGCTTGGTGACACCCACAGGTCTGGATACCACTGCTCTAGCTATCTCAGGGAAGTTCCATGAATTAGAGGCTTCAAATGCCTTTCAGGGGCTACTGATAGCCACAGCTCAGGCACCAGGTGCGCTCGTGGTTCTGGCTCTGCCCCTTTCTGCCGGGTTTGTAGGTGCTGCCCTCCTCTGAGCTTCCTTTTACTCCTCTGTGAACTAGACTTAATGAGGCCAACTCCAACGTGTCAGTGTCAGGCTGGGGTAAGATAGAGAGAGGGAACGGCCAGCATGGGGTCTGGCATACTAAGGGCACCAACCAATGGGGCTTGGCTTCATTTGTACGTTCACTTAACCAAGCCCATGGACCACCTACTGTGTACCACCCCTGCGTAGAGTACTGGGAAAAAGCAGTGAACATCCACAGTCCCAGGTTTTCAATCCAGCAGGGGTCCTGATAAACACACAGCTGACCTCCTCCCTGTTAAGGGTGAGGAGGGGGCTTCAGGAGGGGGGTGGCAGGGTGTCACTGGAGCACCTGGTGGAGGATTAGCTTCTCACCTGTCTTGGGTGTGGGTGGAGGTGGGGTGGGAACTGGCTGCTGGGGAAAACCTTCTGGCTCTTCATGGGACCTGCTCAGAGGGCCAGAGGAATAGATTCCTGGGAGCCTGGGAATTGAAAACAGAAATGTGTGACAACAGATGGACTGGGGTCTTTTCTGGAGCAGAATGTCAGTGCTCGTCTGGAGATCTCACTGTCTCTGAGGGCCATACCCACAGGTATGACCTACATTGAGAACGTCTGTCCTGGGTATGAAGTCTCTTCTCAGATGCAATTTTGTTGGAGCTGCACAAGAGGCCCATGGGTTGATGTGATTATCTCCATGAAAGAAGATTTGGAGATGAGGACGGATGAAATGACTGGCCCATGGCCACCTGTCTGGTCAACTGCAATGTGACCCAGGACTTCGGATCACACTTCACCAGCTCTCCAAAAGCATCTCACTCCAGACTCTCCAGATGCATCGTTTGCCACATGCAGGGGGCTTCTGGAAGAGGGTGGCAGGGTGTCAAAGGAGCACATGCATAGCTGCCCTCTCTTTGTTTTCTCTGACATCAGTTGGCTTTCAAAAGCTGCGTCATTTCCTTCAGCCATTGGCCCAAGTGACTCAAGGGGACATGGAGCTCCAGTGGGAGGCGGGAGATTTCGCGCCCAGCTCCATCCTGTCTGTGGCCTCAGGCTTGCTTAGTCTCTGCCACCATGAGATGGGCAGTGGTCTGGGTGGCCCCCTTCCTCTCTCCTCCTGGCTGCTTGGCAGGGAGCACCTGATGGAAAGTGCTGTTGTATGGGGCCTTAGGAAAATTGGGACAAGTTGATGTTCACAGTGCTGGAGAGGCCGGCATCTGGGGGAAATTCATTATTTATACGCTGCGTGGGAGTTCCTGGTCATGTTTTTCTCAAGTGGAAACATTTGATAAAAAGCCCAACAAGTCAGAAAAAAAACTTAACTTAGAAAAAAAAAAGAAATAAAATTTAGCATCTGAAGTTGGACACTGATTGATATTCTGGGTTAAATCTCTTTGAACTAGGGAACAGACAACTCACAGAGCCATCCGACGTAGACTTATATTTAAATGAACGTTGCCCTGTTTTCGTTTTGTTATTGGGTGTACAGGGTCTTTTTTTTAAGGATATAAATTCCAACCATGTTTTGTGTGAAGGGTCTCAGTGCATACTGACATTGTGAGTGTCAGCCCCAGATCACTTTAATCAGAGAGTGGATATGCATGATAAAACGGATAAGGGACTTTAATCAAAAAATCCGCTGGCCTGGAAACGTGACGCACTCCGCCAAACACACTTCATCCCACTTTTCTTGTGCCACTGCCAAGATTGTATTTCATGAATATGCATTGGACATGATATTACATTAAAATGTGACATTGGTGTATGTTGTGGAGGATTTAGAATTACCCCCCAAATATGTATGTATACATCTGTATACACACACACACACATGCATGTGCACATATATATGTGAATCTATCTATCTCTATATATATACACACTTTTTCAAAGTTTGTGTCAATTGGACATTAATGTTGCAATATGAGTTTTTTCCTCCTGAAGCTTACTTGGGAGCTGAATATTGGATTTATCACCTGTATCTTCCCTGCAAGAAACTAATAGCTATAGTAGGCAGGGGTTTTATTTAAACTCTACCCAGGAATGCCCTATCCAGTTTCCAGCAAGGGTCATATCTTTCCTTACAAAACGCTCATTTGTGAGAGAGGGCACTGGTGGGGATTTTGTGTGTGTGTGTGTGTGTGTGTGTGTGTGTGTTTCTATTTCAAGGCATTAATTCTAGACGCAGTGAATGAGAGAGCTGTGTGCCTTTCCTGATTTCAGCCACATTGCATGCCTCTTAGAAACAGGGGTAGGCCCTGGTGCAAATGCACGTGGCTCCTTTCCTGAGAAGCAACTTTGGGGCTCATTTTTGCATGCTTTGGACTTCCACGGACTTCAGCAAATCTGCTGCCTTAAGTCTCTTCCTCTCCTCTCTGCCTGCTGGGTTTTTTCCTTCATCTAGACGGAGGCTGCAAATTTTGAGAATTTATCGGAAATCATATCATGCCATGCAAAGCAAACAACTTTCAAAGTAAAGGTGCACTGCGCAGATTAAAGATGAATGTATTGTCAGATCTTGTTTGATATCTTGCAGAGTCTCTCCCGTGGAAAAATTCCGGGTGGCGTTTGGCAAGCTCAGATTCATCTACAAGGAATCAGACGCTGAATGGCTCCATAATGCTATTTGCATAGAAATGGGCTGGTGTTTTGACTCCCCACAGGGCTGGGTGTCTCTTGGCGTCCCAGGGGCATTGGTGGCAAATGGCTAGTGCTTGTACCTGCCATGCATTTGGGCTGTAAGGACAATTGCCTACATTGTGGGATTTTTCTGGGTGGTAGTCAGAGCTTCCCGGTTTTTAAAACTACTGCTTTCAGCTGCTTAAAATCTCTTTTACAAAGAATAAAACTGGGAATTGTGTGATGGGTTGAATAGGATTCCCCCCACCCTAATTCATGTCCACCCAGAGTCTCAGAATGTGACCTTACTTGGAAATAGGGTTACAGCAGATGTAATTAGCTAAGAACCTGCAGATAAAATAATCCTGGATTTAGGGTGAGCCCTAAATCCAATGACTGGATGTCCTTATAAGAAGAGAGGACACAGAGACACACAGGGAGAAGACAGCCTTGGGAAGATGGGGTCAGCGACTGGAGTGAGGCTGCCCAGGAATGTCTGGAGTCACCAGGAACTGGAAGAAGCAAGGAAGGATCCTGCCCTAGTGCCCTTGGAGGAAGTGTGGCCCTGCTGATAGCTTGATTTTGTCTTTTAGCATTTAGAAGTATAAAAGAATAATTTCTGTTGTCTTCAGTCACCTGGTTTGTGATACTTTGTTATGGCAGCCACAGGAATTGAATGCAGGTCGCATAAAGAAAAGGGTTACTGAAGGCCCCTCAACCATTCTTCCATGTCAATCCCTACTCTGCTGCGTGGTTTGAATTTTGTTTATGCCATCTGCAAATCAGGTTAAGAGTACCTATGGCATAAAGTTGTTCAATATAACCACTTTTATTTTAGGGCTCATGAGGTGAGCTCACAGGAGGGAGAAGACACAGGCCTTAGACAAACAAAGGCCACTCAGGGTGGTGGTGGCGAAGGCAAAAGTGGAGCTCCAACCCCACCCAGGGCTGTTACGCCTGAAGAGGAGACACCCGAAGTCAGAGCCTGGAGACTGGAACGAGGAGCCACCCCCAGGGTACATGACTTACCCCTGCGTGGGCTTTCAGAGAGCCGGAGTAGCAGGAGCTCAGAGCGGAAGGATTTTGAAGGAAGAGGACACAGGGCCAAGGGTCCCTGCCTGTGGCTGGTCACAGCTCCCTGTCTGGCTGGTGTGGCTCTGCAGAAACCTCTGAGACTGATCATTTCATACATGCCATTTTCTTTCCAGATCAGCAGCATTAAAACACAAATATTGTATATAATGATACATTGACAGAATGAACACATCATCCTCAAACAAAAAGGTGTTGAATCTCAAAAGTCACAGAAACAGAAGGACCCTTTAGGATGACCATGGGGTCATATCCGCAGCAAGAGTTGGGGGTGTTCATGGCTGGATAACCCTTAGCTGGGCCTCCATCTCTCAGAGCCTCGCTTTTGTAATTTGAACAATGTGGGCAAAATTATTATATAAGCAACACTCAGGGCTGCTGGGGAGGCCGAATGAAGTGAGAGGATCATGTGAACAGTCTATAAACTATGAAGCTTTATAGAATACTAATATTGCCATCCTTTAAGGGCAAGTTCTCTTTCTTCTCTCTCTCATTATTTCTCCCCTCTCTTTTCTGCCTTTCTCTGTGTCTCTTCCTCTTTTCCTCTACGCTTCATCTCCTTCCCCCTTCCCTCCTTTTCTGCCTCTCTCCCTCCCTTTCTTCTTCTTCTTTCTTTTTCTGACACAAGCTATGTGCTGTTATGAGGGTTGAGTAGGGTGCAACTTTTGTGGACAAAGACATACACTATTATCACGCTGGAGAAAGGCATTGTTTGAGGCTATGAGTCTTGGAAAACTTTCTTTGATAACGAATAGGGATGTATTCATTTGGAAGCACTTTCTCTGTTGCCAACATTTCCAAATTGCTTCTCTACAAAACTAAAATTTAGCAATCTTGGATCCTTTGGGGTGACCCAGTGGCTTCTGATGACATCAGGATGACTGACAGACCAGTGGTGTTTCCATCCAGGACCCCGAGAATAAAGCCTTTGGGTTGCCTTCAAACATGGAGAGTTGCAAACTGCAATTTGGGACATGTTGGAATGAGGGAATGTTTCTCTCTGACAGGGACTAAATTTTTAAGGAATTCTCTATTTGGTCCCCAGATTGCTGTTTCTGATGAGCTTCAACAACATCCTGAATCCAAGCAAGATAAATATTGTGATATTTCAAAAGCTCAATTGCAGCTCCTGCGGGCTGTGATAGCCTGATGGGGGAGGGATGGTGTCTGAACCACCAGCATGGGTGAGAGCTGAATTGGAGAGAGAGCTTGGTGCCATGAAGAGAGCCCTGAGCGAGCGAGAGGACGTCTGCCTGTCCAGGCCCTGCTGGTCACAGGCTGTTCCATCTTGCCAAGCCACATCCTCCTCTGGGCCTCAGTTTTCCCATCCACAAGATGGGCCTGAACCCACATGGTAGGGAATTTGTGAGAATCCAAAGGGACTATTTCCTTTTTCTTCTTTTCTTTTCTTTTCTTTTTTTTAGATAGAGTCTTGCTCTGTCATCCAGGCTGGAGTGCAGTGGCGTGATCTTGACTCACTGCAACCTCTGCCTCCCAGGTTTAAGTGATTCTCATGCCTCAGTCTCCCAAGTAGCTGGGATTACACGCACACGGCACCACACCCAGCTAATTTTTGTATTTTTAGTACAGACGGGATTTCACCATGTTGGCCAGGCTGGTCTTGAACTCCTGGGGTCAGGCAATCTGCCTGCCTTGGCCTCCCAAAGTGTTGGGATTACAGGCATGAGCCACCACGCCCGGCCCAAAGGGACTATTTCTAAGCAAAATACTTAGACAACTGTAGAGGGATGGCAAATGCCAATGTGATTTTCTACCATTTACCAAATAGTCCAGACACATATCCATTCACTAATAAAAATAGCAGTGTTTTCAGGGAAGTTCCTACAATCTTAAATTAATAATTTCCTTGGAAAAGTTCCACATGCTGTAATTTTAGGTCAGGAGGCTAGCCTGTTGATGGGGCTTTGGTGGTAACAGCTGGCAAACAGAGGCAGGACTGTGTCTGTGTGTGGTCCCTGGCAGGTGAAATGACCCTTGTTTTCCAAATGTGACTACCTGGTTCTTAGCTTTATGAAGTCTACAAAGCATCTTGAGTGCCATTAACAAGGAAGGTGCCCACACAAAGGTGGGGCGGTTCTTCTCATTTGCAGCCGTCATTATCACACAGATCCCAATCTCCAAACCCTGTCACCCAGGAGTAGGGGCGGAGGAAGAAAATTCCGCGTGTATTTCTGACATGCTTGGTGATCTTGAATCCTTTTGCATTTGCTTATGTCATGTTGACGCCTCACATTGGGTTACATTGTGTCATGTTTCATTATTCTGGAATTTATAAGACATCATAGAATACTGGCAGGACTTAGGGAATTAGGGGGAAAAAAAACAACCCACAACTCCACACCTCCAGTATATTTTTCTTATCTGTTCCCCGCTGCGGTTTCAGTTAGAGAGCTCCTCCTGTGACTTTGTGTTATTAATTAGGAGGGTTGATTATCTGTGAGAAGCAGATATTTCTCCGATACAGGCAGCACACAGTGTGTGAACGGGGGTGTCTGGGGACTCACTGTACTTGAAGAAATAGAAGCATATTTGAAAGTTGCATTATGTGGTGAGGACAAATGCACCTAAAAATAGCTCACTGGTCTGATTCTTTTTCTCCCGCTTCCTGGACAGTAGTTACACATTTTGACTCTGGCTTTTCTGCACTTTGGGGTCCTCTAGACATAGGCATGACGCTGACTTTTCTTCTTTCCTGCCTCAACCACAGAGAAGTTTTTCTTTTTCTTTTTTAAAAAATTTATTTTATTGTGATAAGAACGGTTAATATGAGATCCACCATCTTTTTCTTTTTAGCTTCTATTTTAAATTCAGGGTACATGTGCAGGTTTGTTACATAGGTAAACTTGTGTCATGGGGGTTTGTTGTAAGGATTATCTCATCACCCAGGTGTTAAGCTTGTACCCATTAATTATTTTTCCTGATCCTCTCCCTCCTCAACCCTCTACCCTCCAAAAGGCCCCTGTGTGTGTTGTTCTCTTCTATGTGTCCATTCTTTAGATGTACCCTCTTAAAACATTTTAAGTGTCCAGTGCAGTATTATTATCTACAAGTGTAAGGCTGAACAACAGATCTCTAGAACTTACTCATTTTTCATAACTGAAACTTTGTACTCATTGATAGCAATGCCACTTTTCCCCTCCCTCAGCCCCTGAAAATCACCTTCTGTTCTTTGTTTCTAGGAATTTGATTATTTTAATATCTCATATAAATGGAATCATGCAGTCTTTGTCCTTTGTTAGCATCATTTATGTTGTAACATATGGCAGGATTTCCTTCTTTTTAGAGGCTGAATAATATTTCATTGTGTGTATACATCACATTTTTTTTTTTAATGAGGAAAGGTCTTGCTCTGTGGCCCAGGCTGGGGTGCAGTGGCACAACCATGCCTTACTGCAGCCTCGACCTCCTGGGCCCAAGCGATCCTCCCATCTCAGCCTCCCAAGTAGCTGAGACCACAGGCATGTGCCACCACACCTGGCTAATATTTTTATTTTTTGTAAAGACAGGGTCTCCCTACATTGCCCAGACTGGTCTCCAATTCCTGGGCTCAAGTGATCCTCCCAACTTGACCTCCCAAAGGGCTGGGATGATAGGCATGAACTGCTATACTGGCCCCACATTTTCTTTATCCAGTCATCCATCAATGGACATTTAGGTGGTTTCCATATTTTGGCTGCTGTAAATAGTGCCGCAGTGAACATGGGAGTGCAGAGATCCCTTTGAGATCCTAATTTCAAATCTTTTTGATACATACCCAGAAGTGGGATTGCTGGATCAGGTAGTAGTTCTATTTTTAATTTTTGAGGAACCTGTGTACTATTTTCCATAGTGGATAAGCCATTTTTTAGAGAAGAGAAAATGAACAGCACAGAGATTTGTCCCTGTGCAGGGCTAGCAGGAGGTTTTGGTCAGATGCTATCAGGGAGCACAGGTAGAATGTTGCTGTACATTAAAATTAGCCAGGCGTGGTGGTGGGTGCCTGTAGTCCCAGCTACTCGGGAGGCTGAGGCAGGAGAATGGCGTGAACCCAAGAGGCGGAGCTTGCAGTGAGCGGAGATAGAGCCACTGCACTCCAGCCTGGGCAACAGAGCGAGGCTCTGTTTCAAAAAAAAAAAAAAAAAAAAAAGAATGTTGCTGTACGTTGATCTGTGCCTGTAAGCCCCTGGCCATCTGAAGTCTGGGGTCAGATTTCAAGTAGCCCGCTCATTGGTCCCTCACTGAAAATAATGGCAAGGGCACATGCTCTTTAAGGAAATCAGTGACCTTATGCCAATGGACTCATCTGTAGGAATAACCAGTTCACTAGCGTGAAAAGAGCTGGTTGGTGCTGGTCCGGGTTGGGTTTCAGGAAGAGAACAGAGGAGAGTTATTTATGGGTTTGTTATATCAGCCCCACTAACTATTGGCCCCAGTAAGCATTGATTATTGATCTTGTCCACATGATCCACTCTCCAGAGAAACCCAGAGCCCTGTGCATGTTGCTCTGTATCAGGCTGTTTGAGGTTCTGTAGCGGTTGGCCCTGTGTGTTGCGGTTTCTGGGCAGAGAGCTGCCCCTTTGCAGGTCACTGGACAGCAGGGCTCAGCGGAGCTCAGGCCTGGTTCATTCCTCATTTCTTCTCCTCGAGGAGGTTTTTGGAGGAGGGATTGATCCTTCTCCACAGGTGCCTAACCCAAATGACAGGTCCTGCGACATCGCCGGTGCCGGGCCCTCTGATAGAGCAGCTGGACTCTGCAGGGGAGGCTCCAAACCTTTGTTTCCCATGACCCCTCCTAAGTCTAAGATGGCTGTGTGAGCAGGGGATGGCCTGCCTGTGTCCCCCACCCAGGTGCAGGAGAGCAGAGTTGGAACAGGTTAAAAAAAACCAGCAGGTCCAGCTTTGGTCTGCTTAGTGCCTGACAAGTGGAAGCGCCGGAGGGAAGCGTGTGCTTGCACACTGGCCATGACGACAGAGAAACTCTACCGGCTGATGAAGCTCAGACCAGGGGCGTCCTGAGGTCTGACTCAGCACATTAGCCACTTCCCTTCCTTTGAGGCCTGGCAGTGGTCTGGAAAGGGGCCAAGAGAAAAAAGGAGCTTTAGCCGAGAAAGTAGAAGTTTTCTCTCTAACGTAGTTGATACGATTGCCAGATTGAGCAAATAAAAATACAGGGTGCTTGGTTAAATGTGAATTCCCATCATACTTCTTGGGGACATGGTTATGCTAAAAACATGCTTGTTTATCTGAAATTCAAATCTAACTGGGCATCTTGTACATTATCTGGCAACCCTCATCATTGGTGTATGTTTTGTTTCCTGCTGTCACCTAGCATTGTCAATAATATTTGTGCTGCCTGGAGGTGGGTTTGGCCGGAGAGGTTGGCGGTGGGCAGGGCTGAGGTGTGGGGAGAGGTGAAGTGGAGTGATACCAAGAAATTGTCTGTTCAAATGTTACTAATTCTTGGGAACTTGCAGAGCAACATGGCGCACGCTGCCTTTATTGCTGCCTGGAAGGGAGAAAGACACTTTTTTAGTAACCTGTGCTGGTGTCATCAAATGTGGCCTGAGATCACTGAGGGGGATGTTCTCCAAAATGTGCAGAGCATAGGTGAGTTTGCCGCACTGCCTTTGTGATCCAGATGCCTGCGTTAGTTCGCATGAAACTGAAATGGATACGATGGCAATTTCTGGGTGAAGAATACATGAGGAAAGAGACGCAATTAGAGTGAGCGATATGTTTGTGTGTTGTTTTGGTTTCAATCTTGAATGCTTGGCTTTGGCCTTTCCCCCCATAGATCCTAGAAGGCACTTGGGCAATTGTGTGAAAACAGGGAGTCCTTGGATCAAAGACTCAGTTCCTTACTGACTATTTGTGGGATGTTTGGGAAGTTACATCACCTTCTTGAGCCTCAGTGTGTCCTTCTGTAAAATGAAGTTGAGAAAGATATAATTATTGATAAGGTTAAAGAGATAATGAATGTAAGGCATAGCCTGGTGCTTAGTAGGACTTCAATAACTGGCGATCATTATTGTTATTCAAAAAATATGTGTTCCAGTCATCATCAATCCGCCAGCCAGCGTGTGCAGAGCTTGATATGATTAGGAGCACTTACAAGTACACATATTTCCCTCCCAAGTGGAAGGCTATTTCATGGTGAATAAATATTGTATTGATAGCATTAATAATAAAAAATACAAATGCGACTATAAAGCAGTGTAATGGATGTGACTTAACAATGTGGAGATCCAAGTGGATTTGGGGAATCAGTTTGATTTGTGTGGTTTTTATGCCTAGGCAGTCACAATAAATAATAGTTATATTAATTGGCTCCCTGATCAGAGTTATAAAAATCATGTTTTGTAGGAATTACGTCAAATACACTGGAGTAATGGTTTCAGTGAGAAAAGAGCCCGCCCTGGGGATCAACATGCACAGATGTAACTGTCCCAAGGTTGCTGGGTGGCCTGGAGCTTCTTGGTGCAGATTCTCCAGAGTGGGTGCCCTGGCCTTAGTTCTGAAAATGACCCTTTTCCAGGCCACACTATGTGTTGCTTCAACAGCACCAAACCCAAGGTAAGTGCAGTTCAACCCCTTGAGCTGCCCTGACCCACTGGGTCTCAGAGCCTGGAGAGAGTAAAGATACCATGTTCTCCTGGAGAAACTGAGGCCCCCAGTTTGGGAGTGACTTGCCCAAGATCACACAGAGACTAAAGGTAGTCTCTAAAGCTGTCCTATAATTATTAAACTTGTTGAACTTTCAAAGCAGCTCGCTAATATCTTTCTTCCATCTCCCTGGCCATGGGAGACCCTGAACATGGGGCCTCTCTACCATGCATGAAGCACATGATTTGTTACAGAGCGGTTTTTATGGCTGACTCCCAGACTTCTTTTCCACCCCCGCTGATTAGTTGAAGCCACCTGGATTAGTTAGGGCAATTAGTGCTAGCTGCAGGAACAAATAACCCTAAAATTTGAGTGGCTTGACACAATACCTTTATGTGCCTAGACCAGCATTTGGCCTCTTATGAAGCGATTTAGGAATTCAGATCTCTACTTCTCTACTGTGCTGTCATCTTTTAAGGCATCTTTTAATCTCTACTTCTCTGCTGTGCTGTGAGTCCTCTGCCTTTGGCTGCTGATGAAAGTGAGTGTGGAGGACCACACAAGACATTTTATGGACAGGCCTGGAAGGGGCATCACTTTCTCACATTCTATTTATCGAAGCTGGTTACATGGCCCCAACTGAATTGTAACAGAGGCTGGGAAAGGCAGTCTTCCTGGGTTCTGAAAACGACTCTTTTCTCCTGGAGGGGGTAATGGATTAGAAAACATCTACCAAGTTTCTCCTACAGCGTCCATGGTCATCCCCCCACCCTGCCAGTGATGGTTTAAGAGTGGGGATGTAACCCAGCAATGTGTATGTAGCCCATCCCTGGCCAATGTGTCTGGAGGTGATGACAGCTGGAGCTTATAAGAGAGGCTGTCTCACACTTCAGGAGATGGGCCCATTGCTTCTTTGGAGAAATCCCTACAACTGCTGCATTCTGATTCCTTCCTTCCCGAGGAAGAAGCACACACATGGAAAAGGGCCAAGCAGGGGGACCCTTGAAGCAGCAAAGCAGATCTTCTAACATATGTTGCCTGGAACCTGCCCTGCCTCTGGTCCTCCACGGTTAGGGGCTAATCAATCATCTCATTGTTGAAGCCAGTTTGAATTTGAACTTGCTGTTACTTGTAGCTGAGATTATCCTAACCCATGGCAGGGATGGCAAACATTTTTTGAAGCAGTGTCCAAAACTGAGCAAAGGATGTCAAACTATATTAATAAATGAGATCATTACAGGTAGCCAGTGCCAGACAAGTTGATTGGGCTCAAAAGCCAAGAGGCAAGTTGGAAAAGGGGGGAAGCACAGGCTGTGGATTCCAGAAGACCTAGATTCAAGGTCCTAGCTTTACCTCTTGCCAGCTCTGTGACCCTTGGCAAGTTACATACCCTCTCTGAGCCCTCTCTGGTTTTTCATGGAGTCCTAATGCCTACTTTGCCCAGTTGCTGAAACTCTTCACGTAAGTGCTGGTCCACAGACCACCTTTAGTGGCTGGTAGGTAACTTGTTCTTAGCTTAATGGACTTGCTCAGGGAAGAAAGCTTCTATTTCTCCAATGTGTCAAGTCTTTGGGCCCAATTACCTCGTAGATCACCTCCCCTCACCTGTGCAGACAACCTCATGGAGGTGGTTTTAGATCTGATATCCCATTTTAACATAGCAACCAGGTCAGACTCTCTATTATTCATATTCTGCAGTAATGGGCTCATTAAGCATTACTGTGTGACTCCATAGAATCTGCAACGAAACCAAAGACCACTTCTCCAGTGGTTATTTTCTTCCCCGATATGCTTACACTTTTTGGAGGTAATGCCAACACATCCAGCGAGGTACTCAAATCCTCTTTGGAGGGAGACAAGATATAAATTATTAGTAAGTAAATAAATAAATCATCATTTGATTCTGTCAGTTTAGGAGGAAAAAAAATCAGTCAACCTGAAGTTTGCTGTCACGCAGACCCCTTGATGGACTGAATTATGAACTTTTTTGGGGAAGAGGGGAAGGAGGAGAAGCATCAGCATTATGCTGCTGTCTGGAAGTTTTGGAGAACAGAACTTAGAAAACAAGGAACAGAAAGTTTGCTCAAGTGACTGCCTCCCTTCTGTTCCTGCAATTAACCAAGGCCTAGCACAGAAAACACCCATCACTCTGCAGGCACATCGTAGGTGCCAGGGAAGTATTTGGACCTCTCTCTTCCTTATAAAAATTTAAATTCAATATCACATTAATGCATTTTTGAGTCCCTTTACAAATTATTGTTTTCCTACAATATTAATTGTAATATTAAAAACAAAAGATTGTGATGTTTAAGGAATTGCTCAGTTCCTTTCTATGAAGGAAGAGCTCTTTTATTAAAGGAGTGATTTTGTGTCTTCCTATGGATTTTTTAAAAACTGAATAATGATTTCATCTTTTCCCCCTTTCAACAGTAAGGTATAATTACATAAGTAGAATTTATTCTTTCTAATGTATAGTTCTGGGAGTTTTGACAAATGATTACAGTGTGTAACACCCCCACACTCAAGATATGGAACAATTCCATCATGTAAAGGAATATTCCTGTGCCCATTCATTGCCAAACCTCCCTTCCCTGGCCAACCCCCAAACCCTCTGCTACTTTTACTGCCCTTATAATTTTGCCTTTTCAAGAATTCAGTACACATGAACTCATACAGAATTTTGCCTTTTGAGTCAGGCCTGTTGCACTTGGCATGATGACTTTGAGATTTTATCTATGTTGTTATGTATAAGTAGTTTTTTTTCTGTTTATTGATTAATAGTGTCACACTGCTATAAAAGAATTACCCAAGACTGAGTAATTTAGAAAGGAAAGAGGTTTAATTGACTCACAGTTCAGCATGGCTGGGGGGTCCTCAGGAAACTTATAATCATAGTGGAAGGTGAAGGAGAAGCAAGGCACCTTTTTCACAAGGCAGCAGGAGGGAGAAGGGTCGCAGGACGAGCTACCAAACACTTATAAAACAGTCAGATCTCGTGAGAACTCACTCAATATCATGAGAACAGCATGGGGGAAACTGCCTCCATGATCCAATCACCTCCACCTGGTATCTCCCTTGACACATGGGGACTATGGGGATCATGGGGATTACAATTCAAAATGAGATTTGGGTGGGGACACAGCAAAACCATATCAAATAAATAGTATTCCAATGCATGGATGTACCACAGTTTCTTTAATCCCTGGTTGAGAGACTCCTGGGTTGTTTCCAGTTTTTGGGGTTATGAGTAAAGCTGCCGCAAACATTCTCCTACAGGTTTTTATGAGAACATAGATTTGCATTTTATTTGGATAAATACTTAGGAATTGGCTCAGTCAGTGGTATGGTAAATGTACATTTAACTTTATTTCCTTTTACAGGAAGCTGTCAAATTGTTTTCCAGAGTGACTGTTTTCCAGACTACCATTTTGCAGGCCCCCGAGAAACACAGGAGAATTCCACTTGCTCCACATCCTTGCCAACACTTGCTATTATCATTTCCCTGCTTATTTTTAGCCATTAAGACAGGCACATAGTGGTATTTCCTTACGGTTTTGATTTGCATTTCCCTAGTGACCAATGATATGGAGTATCTTTTCTTGTGTCTGTTTTTATTTATTTATTTTTTTTGGTGAAATATCTGATCACATTCTATATCCATTTTTTTACTGTACTATACTTTTTAGAACAGTTTTATGTTCACAGCAATATTGAGTGGAAGGTGCAGAGCTGGCTTTCCCATATCATCCCTGCTTCCACATGTGCATAGCCTCCCCTAGTATCGACATCCTCCACCGGTGGTATACCTGTTGCAATTGATGAATGGGCACTGGCTGTCATAATCACCCAAAGTCCATAGTTTACATTGGGCCACGTTTGGAGTTGTGCATTCTAAGGGTTTGGACAAATGCATGATGACATGCATCCACACATATAACATCTTACAGTGTAGTTTCACTGCTTGAAAACCCCCGTGCTCTGCTGGTTCATCTTTCCCTCCCTGCGTACCCCTAGAAGCCACTGATCTTTTTCCTGACTCCTTATTTTTGTCTTTTCCAGAGTGTCATATAGTTGCAATCATACAGTATATAGCCTTTTCATATTGGCTTCTTTCACTTAGCAATATGCATCTAAGATTCCTCCATGTCTTTTCATGACTTGATAGCTTATTTCTTTTTAACACTGAATAATATTACATTTTCTGAATGTATCACATTTTATTTTATTTTATTTCATTTTATTTTTTTTTGAGACAGAGTCTCGCTCTGTTGCCCAGGCTGGAGTGCAGTGGCATGATCTTGGCTCACTGCAAGCTCCACCTCTCGGGTTCATGCCATTCTCTTGCCTCAGCCTCCCCAGTAGCTGGGATTACAGGCACCCGCCACCACGCCCAGCTAATTTTTTGTATTTTTTTATAGTAGAGACTGGGTTTCATCATGTTAGCCAGGATGGTCTCCATCTCCTGACCTCATGATCCGCCCGCCTCAGCCTTCCAAAGTGCTGGGATTACAGGCATGAGTCACCGCGCCTGGTGTAACACATTTTATTGACCCAGTCATTTACTGAAGGACATCTTGGTTGCTTCCATGTTTTGGAAATTAAGAGTAAAGGTGCTAACATCTGTGTACAGGTTTTTCTGTGGACATAAATTTTCAATGCCTTTGGGTAAATATCAAAGAGCGTGATTTCTGGATCGTATGGTTAGAGTATGTTTAGTTTCGTGAGAAACTTCCAAACTGTCATCCAAAGGGGCTGTACTATTTTCTATTCTCAAGAACATGAATGAGAGTTTGTGTTGCTCCACATCCTTGCCAGCATGTGATGTTGTTAGAGTTTTGAATTTTGGCCACTCTAATTGGTGTACAGTAGTATCTCGTTGTTTTAAGTTGCATTTCCTTGCTGACATAAGATATGTAGACTCTTTTCATGTGCTTATTTGACACCTGTATATCTTCTTTGGTGAGACGTCTGCTAAGGTCTTTGGTCCATCAGCTCATTTTTTTTTTTTTTTTTTTGAGGATGAGTTGTTGCTTTTCTTACTGTTGAGTTTTGAGAGTTCCTCATATATTTTGAATACAAGTCCTTTATCAGATATGTGCTTTGCACATTTTCCCCCCAGTCTGTGGTTTGTCTTTTCATTCTCTTAACTGTGTGTTTTGAAGAAGAGAAGTTCTTGATTTTGATGAAATCCACTGTATCATTTTTTCTTTTATGGATGATGCTTTTGGTCTTGTAACTAAGAAATCTTTGCCTAACTCAAGTCCACAACAATTTTCCCCTGTTTTTCTTCTAGAAGCATTATAGTTTTAAGTTTTACATTTAGACCTATGAACCATTTTGAGTTAGTTTTGTATAGGGGACAAGCATCATGAATTATTGATACCCTCTTACACCAATTGCCAGGTCACCGTGGAGAGGCCAGAGCACATTTGTTGGCTACCCCCTTCCCCACCAGGCTGCACACGTCCCTTGCTGTCAACCAAGTTCACTTCCAGGTCTCACAACTGTAGTTTCAGTTTCTCCAAAGAAGCAGCATTGTCAGGATTCTAAACCTCAACAGGGAGTGTCTTAGTCCATTCGGGCTGCTCTCACAAAATACCATAGACTGGGAAGCTTATAAACATCAGAAATTTATTTTTCACAGTTCTGCAGTCTGGAAGTCCAAAAATCAAGGTGCCAGCAGATCCAGTTCCTGGTGAGGGCCTAAATTCAGGTCCATAGATGGCCATCCTCTCCCCGTGTCCTCACATGGTAGATGGGTGAGGCCACTTAGTGGGGCCTTTTTTTTTTTTTTTTTTTTTTGAGATGGAATTTTGCTATTGTTGCCCAGGCTGGAGTGCAATGGCATGATCTTGGCTCACCACAACCTCACCCTCCCAGGTTCAAGTGATTCTCCTGCCTCAGCCTCCTGAGGAGCTGGGATTACAGGCATGCGCCAACACATCCAGCTAATTTTGTATTTTTAGTAGAGACAAGGTTTCTCCATGTGATAAGGGCACTAATCCCATTCATGAGGGATCCATCCTCATGACCTTATCACCTCCTAAAGGCCCCACCTCCCAATATTATCACATTGGGCATTAGGTTTCAATAGATAAATTCTGGGGGGGGGGTACATATTCAGTTGATAGCAGGGAGAAAGCAGCCGAATGGAAGAGCAAAACCATCTTGCTTGGATTCAGGACACTGGATTTGAGTCTCTTCCCTGCCACTTACAAACTGTAGGACCCCAGGCCAATAATTTGCTTCTCTGGATTAGCTCTGGGTTAGCTTATCTACAAAGCAGAGATAATGACCCTTTTATGCATATCTTCTTGAGTGGTTTAAGGCTCCAATGTCACAACATACACAAAAGAAGTCTGCAAATTTATCACATAGTAAAGAAATTGTTTCACGTGCCACGTTTCCCCTTGGAATCTCGGTGACCTCCTTAAACAACTCCTCAGCTCTCTCCATCTCTTTTGAATTTATCTTGAACCTACCCATTATCTGTTCACTCCAGTGACTGGTTAAGATCTGCTCCTTTCATTCAGGATGGGGGAGTGTAGATTGTGGAATTAACAGTAAGGGCCTTTTGTGTCTGCTTAGTGATGATGATGATGATGGTAAGATTAATGTACATTTTCAGGACACTTACTATGTAGCCAGGCACTCTTCAAAGCACCTTATATCTATTAATAAACTCATCAGGACAACTCGGTGGGAAGCATAGGATTGTCATGCTTACTTTACAGATGAAGAAACTGAGGCACAGAGATGTTGAGTGACCAGCCTGAGGTCATAGTGGTGGTAAGTGTCAGACTATGTCTGACTGTGTCCCAGTACCAGAGCCCACCAACCTCTCAGATAATACCCCTCAGCTTGGTCTGACCCCAGAACCTTGAAATGTTGTGTACCTGCCGCTGTGGACAGCTTCCCATGCAGGTGTTTCAGCCTCGTGTGACATCTCCCTACACTACACTAACACAGCTCTTAAAGGTGGGAACTTGTCTCTTTCATGCCTGTCTTCCTGTTATGTCTTTCACACTACGTGGCACATAATAGAGGCTAGAAAAATGCTCATTTCATTGAATATAATTCAAGAAAATGCATAAGACAGCATCAGCCATGTACTTGCTCTCTCAGCAGAGATAGGTGTAAACAATGATGGGAAGGGGATACTTCCAGATAGGGGAAGAGGGACGCTGGGCATAGATTCTGTAGGTTGCTCAGATGGGAAGTTGTTTCTTTTTCTTTTTTTGTGTGTGGTTTTCAACAACTCTAAGTTCTGTTATATTTGCTTCAAATAAAACTAAAATATGAGTTATGCACACACTCAGATATCCAAACAGATGCATGAATGAATGGGATACCCCCATCCATCTGGCACATCATAATAAATGAATTAGATAAGAACAGCTGGAAAAATATTGAGATCCTTTGCCAATGACACCGGCAAATTCTAGTTCTATCTCCGAGTCAGATCTGCCCCCCACCCCCAGTCTGTCCAAAAGGGTAATAACGTTGGATAATAACTTACATTGTGCAGGGCCCTATGGCTTCAGAGTTTACAAAACCCTCTTATTGAAATCATCATCTTGCAGATCCTTTAAAGCTCAGTGGCATCACCTTCCCACCTCAGAGGCTGAATTTCTCCAGCTGGGCTAAATTGCTTATATGATCCTACATGTTCCTCACTCTCTCTGGTCTCCAGATTGCTATACATGCTGGTACCTCCAGCCCTGTGCCCTTGTTTCCCTTTGTGCCTGCTCACCCCTCAGATCTTGGCTTCATCATTGCTTCCTCCAAGAAGCCTTCCCTGACTCCACGTCTGGGTCCCCTGTCCCTCTGTGCTCACTAAGCCTCTCAGAGCCTCTTCCCCACCATCGACTATTCTACCTCCATCTTTTCCACCAGACTGTGTGCTTCTGAAGCCAGGATCTGTCTTACATATGGCACAGAGCAGGTGTCTTCAAATAAGACATTACAAGAATGTGGAATGGCAGAACCCCATAAGGTGGATATGGTGTACCTCCTTGGACACGTGAAGAAAGCGACACTCAGGGGCACTGAGCTGACGCCCAAGAGCACGGCTCTCTCTCAGATGCCCTGTGTTAGATGCTGCTAAGATGCGATCTTCCCAAAGTAGCTTTGATTCCTTTAAGCTTCTGCTGGCCTGGAGAGCATGTGCCAAGTTGAAATGAGCATTAAAAGAATGTTGTGGGCTGAGCAGATCATGGGAACAACTGCTATACAAATACTGTCAAATGGGGCATGTATTTAAAAGGTTAGACAAAATACCCCCTTGGCTTTTTCCTTTGGTTGTCTTTTTATAGTCCACTGCAAAACAATAACGGATACAAGCTTGCAGAGAATGCGTGTATATTTTCTTTTTCTTTCTTTCTTTCTTTTTCTTCTTCTTCTTTTTTTTTACCTTTCCCTAAGGAGCTTCTGTGCTACCCACACTAATTGTAGGTTTTTCTGAAAATGCAGCATGAATCATTTATAAATAAAGAGACTTTAAAATCCCTAAAAGACTCCCCGAGGTATTCAGTATTTCAGCATAAAATAACTGTTAAATGGAGTTATTCTGAATTAGCTTTTACTGGAAAGTGGTGAAAATAAAGTTTTCTTTTCACCATGATTCTTGCAGTAATTCTTTTACACAGCCACCCGGGGTAATTGACAATCTATTTCCATAATGCAGGTTTTAGCAAAGCCATACTCTGAAATAGCTAGTGCTAGAGAAGGGGGGCTCTTCGGGAAAGACAGCTCTCACATTGGCTGAGAAGGAAGCCAGCCAAAGGTCCCTGGGTGAGGGTCTGGGATGACCCTTAAGGCCCAAATACAAACACAGATATTGATGTGGGGTGGTGGGAGTGGTGGGGGAGGGTGGTGGGGAAAGAACAGTGGCTTTGAATTCAGACAAACCAGAATTCCAACACCAGCACTACCTCCTACCAGCTGTGCGACTTTGGAAGAGTTGTTTAACCTCTCTGATTTTCAGCATCTTCAGGGATAATAATAATAATAATACTTCGTAAAGTTGTTAGGAAAGTTTGAAATAATATTTATAAATTCCCAGGATAAAAGAGATCACAATGACCGTGATCCTTAATTATTAATAATCATGATGTTACCATTTATAGATTTGGGTTGGCCTTGAATACATGTGCCAGAAAGCTATCTGAATACCTTGTCTCTGCTCTCTCTTACTGGTCATTTGAACACCTTCATTCTTCCATCCATCCATCCTTCCATTCTCCCATCCATGGGTTGTCTGGTTCATTTCATCTGCAAATATTTTCAGGCCATATCGTGTACCATGTGCTCTGTGCTAAGCGCTGGGGGTCTGAAGGTGAATGAAAGCATGAGGGGCTTAGTCTCATGGGGAAAGGCAGAGAGATAATGAATATGTGTGAGACAGTGATACAGGTGTGACAATGACAATTCTACATTGATGACAGTGGAGGTGAAAAGCAAGCAGTGGTCAGTTTCACCAGGGGGTGGAAAGCAGGGTCAGGGGTGTTTCATAGGTAGAGGGTGGGCGCTTGAGCCAAACCTTGAGAGGCGAGGGTTTTCCAGGTGAGTGCGGGGGAAGGGGTGCCACCACTATTCTGTAGGAGGGTGTCCTCTGAGCTCAGGAACATCTGTCTTATTTTCCCCCACTCTCCGTCCCATGCTTGTCTCAATGCCTGACTCACAGTGGGCTTCCCATCCACAATTTAGTGAATTTATGAATGAGTGAATGAATTCCAGGTGGCAGGCACAGAGGATGACCTGGAGGAGGAAGGACTGGCTTGATGACTGGTGTGTCCGAGGACAGTCACTAGCTAACTCGGGCTAGGCAGAGGCACAAGGTGGAAGGAGTGATGGAGGTGGGTGTCAGGTGAGAAAGGACCTTAGCCATCTGGCCAAGGGTGAGGTGGAGCCACTGAAGGATTTCACTGAGCGAGGCCAAATGAACTTTCCTGCCTTTTGACAAATCCCCAGCAGCTTCAGAGAGCAGATTGGAAGGAGGAAATAGGCAAGGATTTGACAGGCCCTGCTGGACTCATCCTCTTTGCTGTCCCAGCTTGGTGTACGGTCCCAGATCACGTTGGATTCTGTGTGTAAAATTATGCAGAGGAGGTTCCCCTTCTATTTTTTAGTTGATTGACAAATTGTCCTGTCACTCAAACGCTTCTTCAACTTATCATAAGGAGTAAAAGAAAATTATCTGTTCAATGCATATGGGAAAGAAAGCTTGTTCATTAACCTCTCGACTGCTGAGCTCTGAAGCTTGTGACGCTTCAAGGAATACACAGGGAGGACCTGAAAGCAGGTATGGGAATGCTGTGTGTACGCATTGCTCTCTTTATTTACACGTGCATGCAGTGTGCACATCTGATCTCTACAATCCCTTTCAGAAATACACAAACTCAAACATACACATACACACACCCACACTAACAGCTCACATACATCTTGCAAAGTGTGTAGTTACTGCATACGTTTACGCCTTGGAGAAGCGCACACACATAGACAGACAGATGCTTGCAAACCAGTGTTTTACAATGGGAACTGCCTGCCAGCTGTCGGAACTTGGGACCGATCTAAAAATGTTGCACTTCTTGGAGAGCTTTTTTTTTTCTTTTTCTTTTTGAGACAGAGTCTCATTCTGTCACCCAGGCTGGAGTGCAGTGCGATCCCAGCTCACTGCAGCCTCCGCCTCCCAGGTTCAAGCGACTCTAGTGCCTCAGCCTCCCAAGTAGCTGGGATTACAGGCGCTGGCCACCATGCCTGGCTAATTTTTGTATTTTCAGTAGAGACGGGGTTTCACCATGTTGGCCAGGCTGGTCTTGAACTCCTGGCCTCCAGTGATCTGCCCACCTTGGCCTCCCAAAGTTCTGGGATTACAGGCCTGAGCCACTGCGACCGGCTGGAGAGCTTTTTAAAGTATCTGTCTATTTTCTGATTCCTCCAGCATACAGCTCAGACTTCTCTAAAAGGAGGGTGTTGGTTGGGAAGAAAGCCCCAAGAATATGTGACAGTGAATGTCCCCAGATGGCTAGGCAGAGGTGCTCCTGAATCACCGTCATTGTGGTTGTTTCCTTACACTTTGTGCTAGTCAGAATTCTCAGGAGAAACAGAACCAGGTTTATGTGATTATGGAAGCCAAGAAGTCCCATGATCTGCCACCTGCAAACTGAAGACCCAGAAAATTCAGTGTGTGGTTCAAAAGCCTAAGAGCCAGAGAGCTGATGGTGTAGATTCCAGTCGAGTCTGAAGACCTGAGAGCCAGGAGCATCGAGGGCAGGGTAAGACTGATGTCCCAGCTCAAGCAGTCGGGCAGAGAGTGAATTGAACTTTCCTCTGCCTTTTTGTTTTATTCAGGTCCTCAAGAGGTTGCAGGATGCCCACTCATATTGGAGAGGGTCTCCTGTGTTGCTGAGTTCACCCGGTAAAATGCTAATCTTTTCCAGAAACACCCCAGCAGACACACCCAGAAATAATGTCTAACCAGCTATCTGGCCACCCTGTGGCCCAGCCAAGTTGACATACACAATCAACCTTCATATCTGGTAAGTCACAATACTGACACTTAGTTCTTGACCACATATTAGCACATGCCAAGCACCGGGCTTGGCCTTTTTCATGCATGATCTCAAACCTTCACAATGACTCCAAGAAGTAAGTGTGGTCCCATTTTATAGATGTGAAACTGAGGCCCAGAAAGGCGGATCTGTGTCTGCCAGGGTCAGAGTGAGAGGATAACAGTGCTGGGGTCTAACACAGGTCCCTTCTACTCTAAAATTCATATTCAATGACACCTTTTTTTTTTTTCTGTGCACACTTTTTTTTTTTTTTGCTTTGTTAGGCACTTCTACTGTTGCAGTTCACCTTTACACAAGTAACAAGAAGGTGGACATTATTAATACTTTCATCCAAATATTTATTGAGCCAGGCACTGTTCTCAGTTTGGGGAAACAGCCCATGAACAGAGCAGACTAAGTTCTAAATACCAGCTTCTTTCTAATAGGAGAAGGCAGAGTGTCAACAAGTTCCTAAGTAATACTTCTGTGTGTGCAATGCAGGAGAAAAAGAGCAGGAAAGGGGAAAAGTGTCTGGGGTGTTTCTCCTAAGATGGAGTACTTGCCAAGGCTATGTGACTTTTGACCAAAACAAGAAGATGCAGGACTTGTAAATAAAAGGGCTCATCTGGTAGTAGTGTTGTTTGAAATGACTGGCTAATTTTGAGGATTTCAGTATTTATGGAGAAATTCAACATTTTTAAAAAAGTACTTAGAAATTGGTATTGATGTTGAATCTCTTTAAGGTAAAATGTTAAAGCTTTTCACGTATTGGAACTCTACCTGGCCTTGGGCTATCCCTGGAAAAAAGCAGAGCCACCTCTATGGACACACAGCTGCCCCAGTGCTGGAAGCTTCAACAGCTTGCATGAAGGAACTCACTCCAAAATGAGAAATTGTAGAGTTTTAAAAGCTGCTCATTTGTATAAAATAACTTGATCTGCTATAAACCACCATTAAAAAAAACACAGTGGGCCAGGCGCGGTGGCTCACACCTGTAATCCCAGCACTTTGGGAGGCCAAGGTGAGTGGATCATGAGGTCAGGAGATCCAGACCATCCTGGCTAACACAGTGAAACCCCGTCTCTACTAAAAATACAAAAAAAATTAGCCAGGCACATGCCTGTAGTTCCAGCTACTCTGGAGGCTGAGGCAGGAGAATCGCTTTAACCCAGGAGGCAGAGGTTGCAGTGAGCCGAGTTCATGCCACTGTACTCCAGCCTGGGTGACAGAGCAAGACTCATTCTCAAAAAAACAAAACAAACAAACAAAAAAGCAAAAACAACAACAACAACAACAAAAAAAACACAGTGTTTTCATTTGGTGCTTAAATATTTTTGGAGTGAAAATTATCACTAAAGTAATCCATGACTCCAACAAATATATGATTTTATTGTATTAAAGAAGACTGTATAGATTTGCCAAGGTTTTATAGCTGAGTAAAGATATTACCTTCCTAAAAAAAAGATGGGGTGCTCAGAGGAGGCCTCACTGATGAAGTGATCGTTAAGTAGAACCTAGAGGAGGTGAAGCATAAATAAGAAGCGAACTATCTGGGGAGGTGAATTAACTCAGATGTGGTCACAAGGCCCCGTAGCAGTAGGGCTGAGCTCAGACCACAGCCCTAGCTCTCAGTGAAGCTTCTGCCTCCAAGCTTCCATGGGCAGAGCTGGTGGAGCTCCATTCTTGCTCTGTGCTACTGGGTGGATGGAAGGGTGGCCATCTTCCCTGAGATGAACCAGGTGCCTTCAGTCCAAACACCTGAGCGGAGGGCTTTTCTTGGCACTTGTCCTCATATTTTCTTCCCAAACTCTGGTTGCAAAAGGTAGAAAAGTTGAGGCCACCTTGCAGGCCTGTACAACAAATCCCCTCACTGTGGCTTCTGTTCCCAAAGTCCAGTTTTTGCTCCACTTTTGAAAATATGTCTTCCTGCCAGGGGCTGAGTAGGTTGAAGTCTTTGAAACACTAAGTGTTCTATAAAATCCAAATAATTCATTGTAAATCAAAGTACTTGGCATGCTGGCTGCAAAGCCTGGAGCTTTTTTTTTCCTTTTTTTCCTAAGGTAATCTCTAGAAAGTAGTTTGTACTCATGTTTCTACAGTGATTAAATATGCAAAGTAATTTCCATGATTTTCACTGCGTTCTGAACCAAATCAGATTCCGTTCTGCTCCTCTTTGTACAAAGCCACTTATTGGATCAGATTCCAAAACAAATCCCTCGAATTTGGCGGATCATCATTTTAAAAGGGGGCTTGTTAAGGTAATCATTAAATTAAACCACCCCTTTAAGAATATTTAGATCTGGTCTGCCAAGCGGAACGGTCTAATGGTTTTTAAATTAGAAGCTGCGGAATGCTGGCGAATTTTCTTTTGTGGGTCAAGTGGGTATTAACAAATGCTAAGACTGTTGTCTCTTTTGTCATCACCTTGAAATCTGCAAAGAAAAGCAAAGAGTGGGAAGGACCCAAGGAGAGAGGCTGGGTGGGGATGGAACATCCGCTCAATGCCCATGGCTGGCCGCAGATTAAGGCTGGGCAGGAGAAAAGGTGGGAACTGCTGCTCACCATCTCCACATCTGGCCTCAAGAGAAGCCAAAGCCTGAATCTGCAGGGAAAACGCTGAAGGCCAGGGAATGTCCCAAAGCCTGGCAGGCTTGAGCAGCTGATTGGGTCAGATCTCCTAACCACAGAGCTTGAGCCAATATTGCTGGCCTGAAGACTTTTTTTTTTTTTTGAGACAGAGTTTCATTCTATCACCCAGGCGGGAGTGCAGTGGCACAATCTCAGCTCACTGCAAGCTCCGCCTCTTGGGTTCAAGCGATTCTTCTGCCTCAGCCTCCCGAGTAGCTGGGACTACAGGCACTCACCACCACGCCTGGCTAATTTTTGTATTATTTATTTTTTTTTTAGTAGAGGCAGGGTTTCACCATATTGGCCAGGCTGGTCTCGAACTCCTGACTTTGTGATCTGCCCACCTCAGCCTCCCAAAGTGTTGGAATTACAGGCATTTTTTTTTAAACTTCCGCACTTTCTGTCCTTCAGGGAGGTTGGCAGTGAGTCCTGAAGAAAGCCAGAAGCAGGAGCAGGAGCCCTTTGTTAGCTCATCCTCCAGGTGCTTGGGGACTTGAGATTGTCATGCAATGCATTTCACCTCCTCTAACCAGGGTTTTTTGTTTTTTGTTTTTGTTTTTTGACATTGTCTCACTCTGTTGCCCAGGCTGGAGTGCAGTGGTGCAATCTTGGCTCACTGTAGCCTCAACCTTCTGGGGTCAAGCAATCCTCCTGCCTAAGCCTCCTAAGTAGCTGGGACCACAGGTGCACACCACCATGCCTGACTAATTATCAGATCGTTTATCTTCTTGGCAGCTCCTCGGATCGCAAGTTAAGGTGGCCCAGGCATGGGGCCTAGTGGAACTGAGCTGGGTTTGTCTGACTAATTGAAGCAAGGTTGTAGCTGAGCCTTAGAGTCACATGGAGAGAGTTACACCAGCCATGTCCATATGCACCTTTAACAGAGCCTGATTTAATTCAGCTGGGGTGGGGTCCAGTGCTGGCTTTTTTTTTTTTTTTTAACTTTCTATATAACTCTAATGTGTAGCCAATGTTGAAAACTATTACACATTTGGAAAAAAGTCTTCCTTGTAGAGACATTTAAAGGCATAAGGGTCCTGTGCACATGCAGCCTTCGGTTAAACCAGAGGAACAGCAAACGAAGGCCCTTGGGCTTAGTATCGCCTATGCGCACCATGTGTTTTTGTATGACCCATACAAGATTGTTTTTGCATTTTTGAGCGGTTGAAAAATATTTAAAAGAATAATATTTGATGATACGTGGGAGTTATATGAGATTCACAATTTGGTATCTGTGAATAAAGTTTTATTGACACACAGCTATGCTCATTTACAAGTTATTGTCTATAGCTGCTCATATGTTCAACAGTCAACGTTTATATGTTTTGTGCTTCATTGGTAGAGCAGTTGCAACAGAGATTGTATGGCCTGCAAAGCCTAAAATATATACTGTCTGGTCCTTACAGAAAATTTGCTGATTTTTGAGTTAAATCCTAGGAGAAGAGGACCATTGCACATATACTTCTGTTTAATCCATGCAATGCCAGATGGGACCCCTTAAAACCAAGAAGCCTACAGAAGCAAAGATTTTTTTAAAAAAGATAAAATTCAGCATTACTGTGGTTGTGGGGGAAGGGACACTTTCATACACAGCCAAGGGGAGCATCGGTAGGCCTTTTGTTAGTCTGCAACAAGGACCTTAACAATGTTCATATGCTTTGGCCGGCCCATTCTATTTCTAGAAATGAGTCTTGTGGAAACTCTCAATTATATGTGCAGTTTTATCTACCAGGATTTTATTGCAAAATCATAATATGAAAAAAAACCCACAAAAATCTAATTGTCCAACAATAGAGGGTGTTTTAATAAATTGCGCTATATCCACATACAGCTATAAAATGGATACGATGGAAGAAGAGATAATGATACAGGAAAGTGTCTATGGTCTATAAAGTGAAAAATAAGCCATAAAAAACCTATGAGCAGAAAAATTTTACTTTATCAAAAAGCAATACATATCTATATGATACCTCAAATGATGATAATGTCTAATTCTAGGTAATTTTAATTTTTTCCTGTTTTTCTATATTTTTCAAATTTTCTGCACTGAACAGGAGTTAAAGTGGTAGTGCTATTGAGAGGTAATTCCCTAAGATCAGTGCAGTATGGGAGACGGTCTTAGCTGTGGAGTGAGAAACTTGAATATCCCAGGACCCCTCCTCGTCTCCACCTGCTGGATGGGCTTGAAGATGCTGCACAAAAGACGTGACGTTCTCTGCCCTAGGCAATGAAGTGTGTTGTGAAAAACAAAGACTTCCAAACCGTGGGACCTGAATATGACTCCAGCTTTGATCACTTATTTGCTCAGTAATTGTAGCCATTTTGAGGGTCATTTTGATCCTCTGAAAGGCAGGGACCAAAAGAAGTCTTCCTGATGAGGTTTCCTTGAGGATTGATGAGGGAGCTTATGGAAAGGCAACAGGTGCAGTCCCTGGGTCAGGCGCATGTGCCAGAACCTTACCCTGATCTTTCAAAGTTGTTCTACTTGAAACCTCTTGAACATGTTGGATTTTTCTAATCATGCCCTTTTGTCTAAGGGCAAGAGGTTATGGCTGCAGTTTCATGCACTCAGAGAACATCTGTCCTGAAAGCGAGTCCCTCATGCATCTGCACAGATTCTCCTAGGCTCTGCTCCCACATGCAGCGTCTTCAGTAGATGCAAGTTCCTGATGCTGCTCTCCAGGGCACGTATGTGCTCTGTCCTTCCACATGCCTTATATGGGGGTCCTAGAGTGACAGGAGGCAAATGCTCCTCAGCCCTACCTTAGCCATAATAAACACCCTAGGGGTGACAGATGAAGCTGGGCCCGTAGGCACTGTGCCCCGGTCACCTGTTACTGCATGCCCTGCCCTGAGCAGATAGTGGAGGGGACTTGACAGCTACACAAGGACTAGAGGCCTTTGGTTCACATGCTGTGAATCACAACAATGTGAGCACTGCGCATGGAGCACTTGCTGTGGCTGGCAGAGTAATGTCCACACTCTAATCCCTGGAACCTGGGAATGTGTTCTCTCACATGACAAAGAGGTAATTAAGGTACAGGTGGAATTAAGGTTGTTAATCAGTTGACCTTAAACTAGGGAGATTGTCTTTGATTATCTGGTGGCTCAAAGTCATCACAAGCATCCTTAAATGTGGAAGGGGGACAGGCAGAAGAAGAGGGTTGGGGAAAATATGATGATGGAAGAACAGACAGAAAGATGCTTACAGCATTGTTGGTTCAGGGCAGTGGATATCCAGTCTCTGCTTGAGTGCCTTCAGTGATGGGGAATTCAGTCTTAACCACAGAATGCACCCAGGTCTTGGACAGCTCTGCCTATTGAAAAGATATTTTTGTTTGTTTCTTTTTAGAGACAGAGTCTTGCTATGTTGCCCAGGCTGGTTTCAAACTCCTGGCTTCAAGCAATCCTCTCATGTTAGCCTCCCAAGTAGCTGGAATTACAGGCACACACCACTGTGCCTGGCTGGAGAGATTTTTCTGATTCAGCGTGTTCATTGTAATCTGCCACCATGAGACCACTATTCTTGGGAAGACCCTCAGAATGTGTTTGTTCCCCATCCCCTACAACAAGCATTGAGAAGCATGTGGACACAGCTCACATGTCCCCTTGGTCTTCTCCTCTCCACCCTGAATGTCCTTAGTCCTCCACCATTTCTAACCTGACATAGTTTCAAGCCCCACGCCATCTTTTCACTCCAGCTGTTTTGTGTCCCTTCCCAAGGCTTGTGCCCAAGACTTCTCCGTTCTTCCAGATGACCTGTGCTTTCTGGAGGAGCTAGAACTATCCCTGCTCCCACCCTAGGTATGGTATTTTTACAGATCAGCCTCAGGCAGATGTTTTTCTAGAGGCTGCAAACCAGTCTTGAGTTATATTGGGTTTACTGTTGACTAAAACCACCAATTCTCTCCATCACTGGCAGGTTCTGAGACCCGTGTTACACAACCAACCCCCATGTCATTCATTCATCAACCGATACTCATTGCACTCTTTCTTTGGGCTGTGCTGTGCTCTTGATTCTAGGAATCCTGCAATGGAAAAAACAATGTTCTTGGCCTCACATTCTAGACTATACTGAAGGCCCATGTACAAGCTTTTCATTTAGGCCAGCAACAATTCGTTTTGTTGGAATGTCCTTTAGTCCACAGAGGCCTCTGGGGAGCTTGACTCTGCTGCCCAGCATCTTCTCCACCCCCAGATTTTGTCAGGCTTGTTCCTTCTTGGCAGCTCTCATCAGACCAAGCCCTAAGGACCCCAGTTGGCCCTAGCATGAGACAGACACATCGTCTTCACCTTGCCTGTGTTTGGTCTGTAGTTATAGGAACACTCTCTCATGAGCCAGCTGGACTGGAGCACAGCATTCTTTGAATCTCAGGAGGTTTTCCACGAAAGCAGAAAGCCCCTTGTCTCTTCTCACCTCTCATCTTTCTTTACTTCTTATCTTCTCAATTGCATTATGAAGACAAACTAAAGCCATGTGCTTATTGATCTGCCCCAATAACCTCCTGGAGGACCAGGACCATGCCCTAATATTGATAAGAATTTGTACTAGCTGAGTGTTTATTGTGCACCGTCCTTTTTGATGGCCCTATGCATAGGGAATAGCCCTATGCAATGGGTACTCTTAATAGCCCCCTGACAGATAAGGAAGCTGAGACTGGAAGAAATTACGAAGCCCACTCAGGACTGGTTGCAGCTGAGAAGCAGAGAGGCTGGGATTTAACCTCAAAGGCATCTGGTCTTAGAACCTGGGCTTCTGAGCACTGTGCTGCACTATTATTTTCATGTCTGTGCACCCAGAATTGAGTCTAATGCTTACCACGTTGTAGATGCCCAAGAAATGTTTGCTGAAATAAATGATTGACTCAGGGTTATGTCAGGTGAGGGACAGCCAGCTAGGGAGCTGCTTTCAGCTCAGCCTAAAGTGTCCACATAATCAGGTCCTTCCTTAAATGGGGTTGTCTCAGCAATGCCAGTCAAAGAGCAATGAAAGCTAGAATGGGGACCCAGACACTGTTCAGCTGAGGTTGCACGGGGTTAAGCTATCATACCCAAGGTCAAGAGCAGGGTGGAGAATGGAAGACACAGTCATAAGGCTGGGAGCTGGAAGGGGAGCTTGAGAAAGAAGCAGGGAGGGGGACAGGGCTTTAATGGGGACCAGGACTGGCTCTGCACGGCTTCCTGTTCCAGGGGGCTGGGATCTGGGCATCAGTAGATCGACCTGGGATAAAGGCCCAGGGTCTTTCAAGATGATGGCACACCCCTAATCTGAAATGGAAGTAGAGCCCTCTGGGAAGCTGCCATTTTGCAGAATTGCTCAGGTGGAGGCCAGGCTCATCTGGAGCCCTCCTCCTAAACTGAGACAGCTGTTCCTGAGAAGTGGCCCATCTAGGGCCCTCTGTGGGAAGTTTAGGAACTCACATCTTCAATTCTGTATGTTGTTATTGATCTTCCAAATAAATGTGGACCCAAGTCTTCCTTCATTCAAAATTCATTTGTTCTGAGTTGGGGATCACTTGGAAAGAGGTTGGGTTGGATTTCACCTTCCTTTTTTCCTGCAGAATAAATGAAACTGCAGGCGGCATGGGTAGCTCACCCAAGACAGTGATTGAGATGGGCACATTTTACTAAGTGGGGTGTTTCATTGGCACGTGGATTATTTATCCTTGGATACAGAATCCTCTGAGATATCTACCCATCAACACTTTAGTAGTCATATAGAAGCTACTCTAATGGAAATTATAATTGTTATTATTTTGGGGTGTTTCCTGAATGACAAGTACTGTGATAAGAGTTTTTCGTGCATTTCTCTTGTCCTTCTTAAAAACAGAGCAAATGAAGAATCATAGAGGTTAGGAAGTTTGTTCAGGTCACACAGCCATTTGGTGACAGTATCTACAGCTTCTTAACCATGTCCCCATCAGAGGAGCTCATCAGAGTTGGAGCAGGTGGATGGTTATAGTCATCACCACGTGTTCACAGTGACACCTCACTGAGCCTCAGTTTTGTCATCTAGAAAATAATAATTTGCATGATCTAGGAATAATAATTTGCATGATCTCATAGGATTGTAGCGGTGGATAAATTATTGTTTCTTCCTAACATTTATTATAATTTGTATTTTTCCACTTGTGTTTTTACTTGGTTTTGTCTGTTTTTCCCACTAATATGTGAACTCCACAAGCCCAGAGTCTGTCATTTTGTTAGCTGTGGAATCCCCAGATCTTAGCACAATTCCTGGCACAGAGAGTTGGCATTCGGTCAATATTTGCTAAATGAATGAATGAATGATGCACAATGAAAATGGAACCTGGCATACACTGGACATGTACTTCCCTGCTTCCTCCGGAATTAGTTCCTGGTAGCTGGGTGGGGCTCTTGGAGTTTTGCAGGGAAAGGGGGACACAGGGAGTGTTGCACAACGTACCCTGATTCCATAAGGTTGATTGGTTTTCAAAATCAGTGCCTAGGGAGAAGGAGAGACAGACAGCTTGGCAGTATTCACTAGATGCTGGGCTTTGTATTCTTTGAATTGCCCATAAAATCCCTCAAACATATGCCATCATTTCTCCATGTGACACTTCCAAAGTAGCTTTCATATCTCATCATACTGAATAAATGTCAATGATAGGACTGGAAAATCCACAAAATAATAGTAATAATAACAATAATAGCAACTTCCATTTATAGAGTGCTTGCTATGTAACCAGGGTTACAAAAAACACCTTATAGGATTTAGTTAATTGTTAGAAAATGCTAAGAGGAGAATATGATGATCTCTATTTTTCTGTAAGGAAACTGAGATTCAATTTGCCCCAAATCACACAGCTTGTAACTAGTGGAATTTCCCTTTGCACCCAGGGTTTCCCTTGTTTTCTTACATCACAACTGTACCCTTGGTATCTACAGGACAGGCTCCTGACAATCTCAGTTCTCCACATTACTCCCATGAACCCAAGCATAAACAAAGGCCTTTCCAGAGCTGAAAAAGTGATCATAAAGATGCTCTCTAAAGCCCTACTCTGGGGCAGTAAAGGCAGCGAGTAGCTGCTGAGGGTAGTTTTGCAGTCATATTTATACCTACTTTTAATTACATGTAGATTAAGTGGTGGATTATGCAGAAATTTCTAGGAAAGGGATAATAACTTTTGAGTCTTCAGGTCATTGTCATGGAAAGGGACAGGAACTCCCCAGTGTTGCCATGGCAATGGTAACTGACATGGCACACTGGTAGGCGTGCCTTATCAAAAGCTGCTTCTGTCCTGGCCCTGTTTTAGCTAGTCCTCAATTTGGTCCAGTGTCCAAGCCCCACATTTAGAATCCCACCTCCTACCTCACTAGGACCCCTTTACATGCTTATAAATTAATGAGAACCCTAAAGAGCTTTTATGTGGGTGATAGTTATCAATATTTACTATGTCAGAAATAAAAACTGAGAAATCACAAAAATATTTACAAATTCATTAAAAATAATAATAAATCCATTAACTGCAAATGTAAATTGAAAGATATATGTATTTCTTTCTTTTTTTTTTTTAACAAAATTTTCTTTCCAAAACAAGACAAAAAAACCTTAGTGAAAAAATGACCTCATTTAACATTTCTGCACATTTCTTCAATGCCTGACTTATCAGAAGACAGTTGGATCTTCGTATCTGGCCCCACATTTGTTGTAAGATGTTGCTTTGGTTGCAGTACAGTTGATGTACATAGGAAAAAGATCTGTTCTTATACATAAAAGAAACAGGAAAATGGAGGACCTGGGTGCCCCCTGAGAGGTTCTGTGATCTCAGGGGTCCTCAGGGCACACTTTAAGAATGGCTATCCTAGGCAGAGAGGACAGCCTCTCCTAAGGCCAGGAGGCAGGCCGCAGCTTGCATTGTTTGGGGAATTGATCACGCACAGCTCAGCATTACCAGAGCATACTGGGAAAGGCCCCAATGGGAAGGGGTCCCTGAAGTGATGGGTGGGGAGAACCCAGATGCCTGGTGGTCCATGCTACAGCCAGCAGGTGATGGAAAGCCACTGAAGGTTTTAAGCAGGGAATGCGTGGGCAGCTGGCATTTGTAAGGCGCCCCCTGACTGCTGGGGGGAAGGGGTTAGTGAGGAAGGGCTGGGGGGAAAAGGCTGGAAACTGCTGCAGTGGTCCAGGTGACTGGCGACCTGCTGCTAGAACCTCCTGGTGCTGCTCTGTCACTGGGTTACATCTCAGCACACAGCCGCAGTTCGTACTGATGGCCCTGAGCCAACGAGACAAGGTTAATCACACTGAATAGGCTGTTTTAAGAACAGACTAAATGTTTCCATTAAAATAATTAAAATCTTAAAACGTTTTGGGGCTCAAAGGTATATGTTTCAGTTACCTGGAAAATCTACTTGGTGAAACAGTTCATTTTCTGACGATCCCAGAGAAATAAGATATTACCGTATTTTCTCTATACAGTGGGACTTGATGGCAAAAATACCATTTAGCAAACAGACAGGGCCCAGTCCTCCAGAGATTTCCCCGCCCAGTAGTTCCGTGACCTCAGATACAGGCTTGGGCTCCCCGTGCCTCAGTTTCTCTATCTATAATAAGGGAACAGCAATTTCTACACTGGTGATGAAATGAGATCCACGGAGGTTCAGTCAACGCCCTTTCATTTCCTTTGACCACTTGTGTCAATTTCCCACAGAGTTGCAAACAGTGTTCGTTCTACCAGGGGTCTGACTGACAGCATTTGAAGCTGAGCTCTCAGCCTGCTTTGAAACCTCTGGCTCTGTATGGCTGGTCTTTGATCCCAAGCATCCTTTTCTACAACTATCCATAAGTCCTGGCACACAGCATACAACTGGGGACTCTGATGTTGAAAACATTCACACCAGAAGGGAGTGAATGTCAGCTGGGCTTATATAGATTTGGGAACCCTTCTCCTCACCATTCTCAGGTGGCCTTTATGCCCCAGCGGAGAGCCATGTGGGCCACTTGCAGGCCAGTCCTACTTGGTGGTTTTGAGCCACGGCTATAAATGGTCTCCAAGACCAGGATTCCATGGAAGTGTCCTAGGAGCCACCAGGGGCATGGAAGAGGGTGGGGGGGCACCATGGTGTGGGGGCTGGGGAGCATAAATCCCAGGTTCCAGGCCCTTACCACACTTTAGCAGTAGCTGTTGTCTGATGTGCTTCTCAGTTGGGGTGGGTGTCATGTTAGCGTAACTGACAAAATGAGTCCTGCAAAACAACAGCAACGACAAAACACCAAAGTTTTCTTGTCTCAAATTCAGGACCGGTTAGATTAGCAGGAGGAAACTGAATAATTATCAACTTCCACAGGATCTTTGAATTCCTCTGGGGTCTCTCTCTAGGCCACCTAGACAGGTGGGGTGCCTTCCTGTCTTGGGGCACAAAAGACCTCTGACCCCCTCTTTGCCAAGCATTCTGCTCCCAAATCTCCTTTGGCTCAGAAAATGCTCCTGACCCCAGGGTCTCCTCCTGACCAATGTACCTGGAGTGCTTCCCGGACGAACCTGTCCTAGTGGGAGAAGCGACTGTAGGGAAAGGAGCAGTACCCAGGTTCAAATCCCAGCTCTGCCACTACTGGCTGTGGGACTTGGGGGCAGTCCCTCCAGTTCTCCAAACTTCAATTTCCCCAATAGTGAAAGAATACCATGATTTTTCTTTGGTAAATGAGATCTAATAAGCAGAAGCACCAGGCACATGATAAATAGATGCTCAATGAACAGCCTGATTTTGAGATTCCTAAAATACATAGAATAAAATGAAGTGTGTGTGTGTGTGTGTGTGTGTGTGTGTGTGTGTGTGTGTATAAGGAGGTGGTGGTACAAAGTGAAGGATTTAGGGGTGCAGAATCTATGCCTTTCTCCTTTTCTGGGAGTAGGGGTTCTGTCCAGGGACTTGTTCGGAAGGATCAGAAAATTTCAGCCAAAATACTGCTTACCGCTGCCATCTTTCTATTTTTGCCTCTCTGCACTGGAGTATGACTGGTTATTAAAATGAAAAATTCTCTCCTCCTCACCCACAGCAGCTGTTTCATTATGTTTTGCATTTTTCTCAGTCTAAATGTTAGCTCTTGTCCTGGGCAGTGACTTTCCTAATTTCTTTAATGTATATATCTCTATTGACATTGTGATGGATGATAACAGACTTCCGCGGAGGAACGAAACAGCCTTGCAGGGCCATTCGGACCTATTGGGGAAAGAGCAAGGATTAAATAACCAATTATAAATGGATATTTACCTGATAGATTAGGATGGTTGACTTTAGAGTAGTCTTGCTCTATTAGGCAAATGATCTATGCTCCACAAAGGTTTATAAATATGTATTGCACTAAAAGACTCAAGTCCTGGTAATAATTAATATGCATTTCGTAGCATTCCATTAAAAACTTCGTCCTCCTCTTGATTTTTCAGAAGAAAATGAGCTTAAAATAATGCTGCAGCCATCAGTCGCTTGTCTTCTGAGTAATATGGTGAAAGGGGCACTGTTGGATTAACTTGTCCAAATGGCTCAGTCTCACGGGTTCCTCCTCCTAGGCTCCCCTTTATCTCACTTTTCTGCAGCATCTTCTCAGCGACAAAGTCAGAACCACAAACCATGATTGGCTCCTGATTTTGCACGTGAAATCGGTCACAAAGCTTTATCCTTCTCCCATCCTGTTTCAGTATTTTATTGCTGCCAGGGTTACACTTCCATCTGAAAAATCTACACGTTACTCCTCTTCCCAGAAACACTCTACAGCTCTGTGAGGCTTTAGTAGCATTTCCCAATTTCTATTCTTTAGAACACAAATCCCATGAGATCTCTCTCTTAAAATGATTAAAAAGATGCTATGATGAAATATTGGGGAACTATTATATCTTTTGTATTCCCTCTTGGGAATGCCTGTGTGCACTAAAATATTAAAGGCTCTGAGAAGTCCTGCAGGGTTTATCCTAGCGTCTCCCAAGTTTATTTCGGTAAAACCTATTAGTACCTTATGGAATTGCTTCATGGAGCATACTTTGGTAAATCCTGGCTCACAAGATAAGCCTCGAATTCCCTATCTTGGCCAGTGGAGCCCTTTATGACCTCTAGGCTACCTTTCCAAATTCATTTCGGCTGGTCCTTTGTCCCATTCCCATTACAGACCATTCCTCATTTTTAGTGTGTGCAATTTTCACGCATCCTTCTTACTTCCCCTCCTAATCTATCCCAATCTATCAGGTAAATATTCATTTGTAATTGGCTATTTAATCCTTGCTCTTTTCCCAGTGGGTCTGCGTGGCCCTGCAAGGCGGCTTCATTCCTCTGCGGAAGTCGGTTATCAGCTATCACAATGTCAATGGAGATATATCCACGAAATAAATTAAGAGAATTACTGCCCAGGACAAGAGCTATTCTCGACCTTGTAAACTCTGATTTAAACTTCAAAAACCAGATTAAATATCACTTCTATGCAACTGCCAATTCCACACTCACACCCCTTCCTAACTTTAACATTTTTTCTACGCACCTCTACCATCGTACTATTTTTATTTTAGCTTGGTCTATATTCGAATTACTTGTTTATTTCCCCATTTCACTAGGAGGACTGGGAGACAAAAGCTTTTTTTTTATTCTTTTTCTCTGCCTCTACAGCCTAAACAGTTCTCAGCACATAGTTCATGTGAAATGAGTATTTGCTGAAGAAACTTACAGATCAAGTCACCCAAAGTAAGTTCTTATTGCTCTCATTTGTGTTTTGAGCTTTCTGTGCATGACTGTGTGAATTATTTAAGCGACAGAACCTGAGGGAAAAACTGGGCCGCCTGGTGTTGTCCGGTTTCATCGTTGCAAAGAGAGCTTTGCAGGAAGGAAGCATGCAGCCTTCTCCTGCTACCCATCCCCTCTCTGGCCTTGATGAATGAAGCCAGTTGACTCATGGCTCGAGAAGCACCCATTTGATATACTCGTTTGAAAGAGCTATTGGATATTATTTTAACAGAGATATTAACATTATGCTCCCATTGTAGATTTCCTGATTCCTTATGTCTGAGAAAGTGCTTTTAGCCTTGGCTCAAAGGCAGCGGTACTGGAATAAATGCTCTTCCAACGGTACCTGGACCCCCATGAATATAAGATGCTTTATCTCTGGGGACCATCCAGGCAAGCCAAGCTTTAAATAAATAAAATGAATGCTCTCGTCACACAGGATGCCTACGAGCCAAGCGTTTTCAGCCTTCTAATATGGATGTGAAGCCTGATTTTGGATGGAGGCGAGAGAGGATAATATAATAGAGGCAGGAGGCCACAGCTCTGCATCAAAGTAGCAGAGCTTCTTAATGGGATCCTGGACAGGGCGATGACTTGACTCTATAAACCCATCAGTTTTATTGTCCAAACGCCATTTGTACATTTTATGGGAGAGCCTCTTTAACTGGAGGGAAATACTAATTGTAACATTTTAAATATCCACTAGATAGGCATCATGTCTAATCTCCATCTTCCCCTCTCTCTCTCTCTCTCTCTCTCTGTCTGGTGTGTGCCCCCTTCTGTGCGTGCACGATCAAGAAATGTTGGTCCTCACTGATGGAAATAATTGATTGCAATACAAAAAGATGCGTGTCACAACCTCTTTTTATCCTCAACTGGGAGTGGGGGCATATTCGGTTTATATTCTTTAGTTGAAATACTTTTGTCTTCATCATCTGTTTCTACAGCTTGGAAGAGTTCCCAGAGGGCTCAATGTGACCCTGGTCAAAGATCAGCTAAAGATGGGGTAAATTCCAGAGAGAGACAACCACAGCGTCTGCCCTGAGCCTTTGAGAATCCAAAGTGGGCAGTCTACTCTTACTTTAGTTTTGTCTCAGTTTTATTTTAGATCGAGGGTCAGCAAACTAGGGTCTGTGGGGGCACCCACCTGCTTTTGTCATTAGCATTTCCCTGGGACTCAGCCATGCCCATGGGTTTGCATCTTATCTAAGGCTGCCTCCCAGCCACAGTGGCAGAGTGGAGTAGTTGCAACAAAGACAGCGTCAACCGCAAGCCCCACATTTTTACCTCCTTGCCCATTTCGAAGACAAGTTGCAGACTCTTGGCCTAGATCTTGAAACTGAATTGGAAAGAACCTTGGAGGGGCCCTCCCTGACTCTGTGGGTGGATGCTGGAGTCCCTGCCTGTTGATTCTTCTGCAGCTGCTTGAGTGGCCTGCACCTGGCAGGAAAGCCCATTCCACGGCGGAGTGATTTTCAGTGTTTTCTTTCAGAGCTCTGTTTACCCTTCCTGGGTAAACAGATGTCTTACAGTTGAACTTCATAGCTTCTCGCCACGTAGCCATGCACCCTTTCCTTTTCTTCATACTTCACTCAACACCAAGAAATACCACCTCTCCCTTCGGGAACATCCGCTTTTAAATAAACCCACGTGCCTCCTCTGAGTATCCCTGCACAGATGAAGTGCCGGTGGGTAGGACCCCAGCCTGTCCTCGGCTTGAGACGCCCGCAGGGGAGGTGGAAAGGGCGTGGCTGTAGTCAGAAGACTGAAGTTTAAGGGTCAATTGGTCACTCAGTAATTATTTACTGAGCACCTACCTGCTTCCAGTGACTCTTTTAGCCACTAGGGACACGAAGTTTTCAAAACAAATTTCTGTCCTTTGCTCCAAAGCCTCTGGGGGAGATAGATCACCAAGGCGGAGGTTGGGGGTGGGTGGGGGGAGGGTGGAATTTAAAATAAAACTGTAGTGTGGAGGGTGCATGCCGGTGAGACCTCTAACTCAATCCAGTGGGACTTGGGGAGGGCTTCCTGGAGGAGGTGCTTAAGATCCAAAGAAACGAAGGATGAGGGATGGAAGGAGAGTCAGTGGAGGGCATTTGGGCAGACTGCTAAAGGTCTGTAGTTCCATCCAACTCTTACCTTTCCACTGCTATTTCCCCACCCCTCTCTAAGTTTCAGATGTGTCTTTGGGCCTTGGGACTTCTTCAAATGTCAATGTGCGTGAATCACCCGGAAGCTTGTTAAAATCCCAGCTCTGATTCAGCAGCTCTGGGTGGGACCTGAGATGACACATGTCTTACGAGCTCCAGATGGCATCCATGCTGCTGGTTAAGTGACCGCACTTCGCACGCAAACGTTCACTGCAGCACCGTTCTCAATGGCAAAGACATGGAATCAACCTAAATGCTCATCAGTGGCAGACTGGATAAAGAAAATGTGGTACATATACACCACGGAATACTATGCAGCCATAAAAAGAACAAGTTCATGTCTTTTGTGGGAACATGGATGAAGTTGGAGGTCATTATTCTTAGCAAACTAACACAGGAACAGAAAACCGAATACAGCATGTTCTCACTTACACGTGGGAGCTAAATGATGAGAACTCATGAACAGAAAGAAGGGAACAACAGACACTCGGGTATACTTGAGGGTGGAGTGAGGGAGGAGGGAGAGGAGCAGAAAAAAATAACTATTGGGTACCAGGCTTAATACTTGGATGATGAAATAATCTGTACAACAAGCCCTGTGACATGAGTTTACCTATATAACAAACCTTCACATGTACCTCCAAACCTAAAATGAAAGTTAAAAAAGAAGAAAGACCTTGGAGGATTTTATCGACTTAGCAAACATTTTTTTAAGAATCTATCCTGTGTGAGTCACTGTACCAGGATCAGCTAGAACAGGGAGATGGGAGTCAGGAATATCTGTACCTTGTAGTCATCTCACTCCGTCGGGGAGAACAGACATTGAGGCAAGGACCACACAGATGATCAATCACATTTCTGATGAGCTCCATGAGGAGAAGGAAGGGTGCCATGGGGGCGTAAATTCAGGGCTTCTGACTAGTTGGGGTCAGGAGGTTGGAGTTAGGCAAGGCTTCCCTGTAGGAAGTGAAGAGATATTTAAGGCTAAATCTTGGTTATCAAAATCCCCCTCTCCCATCCTGGGACCTCACAAATAATTTGCTTTCTGTACGGAATGCAAGTGAACTTCATTCCATAAATGCTTGGGAGGATCCAGGAGAGCTCAGTCTTCACACTGACAATGAACTCTCAGGCCCTGAGACTTACCTCAGGCACCTCCTCCAGGAAGCCTAAAAAGATTGACCCTACCTGACAGTGTTCAAACGAATCCTCTCATAAGTCTATTCTTGAAGGCCCATGTTTCCTGCAGGTTTTGTCAGGGGCCTGGTTTCCATGTCTCTCCCTCAGGAGCTGGAGCACTGGCCCACACAAGTCAGGCTTGCAATAATTTCTGACTGAGTGACTTTGAAAGTATCTGAAATGGGGACTTCAAAAATAAAAGGCAGTTAAGAAGCATGTTGCCTTTTTGATATCTGTCCTAGTGTTGCCAGATAAAGAGAATCCCATTCCCTTCTGTCTGGCTTTCAGTTTCTAAGGCTCAGGCTGAGCAGGCCTTCCACCTGTGTGATGTGAAGACACCTATGACTGCCTTTGTTGAGTACCTGCTATGCACAGGCTCGGGGCCAGCTGCTTTGCCTGCCTCATCTTTTCTGTACAACTGTCCTATAAGCAGTAGTTAGTGTGGCATTATACAGGCAGGCCGAGACGTTCATAAAATAAAGGTCTCGCTGTTTTGAGAAATACTGGGCAAGAAGGGAATTAGCCTGGAGCTGGGTTAGAGAGAGCAGTTGAAAGCTTTGAGTGAGAAAAGCATGATCAAGGGTCTTTGGAGAGAGGCAGGTGCGGGGCTGTTCTCTGGGTGGCCTTGGACTGAGCCACTTCTCCATTTCTTGCTTGTAGTTGTCAAGAATAACTGTGGAGGCCAGGCACAGTGGCTAACACCTGTAATCTCAAACTTTGGAAGTTTGAGACCAGCCTGGCCAACATGGTGAAAACCCATCTCTACTAAAAATACAAAAATCAGCTGGTGTGGTGGCGGGCGCCTGTAGTCCCAGCTACTCGGGAGGTTGAGGCAGGAGAATTGCTTGAACCTGAGAGACAGAGGTTGCTGAGAGACGAAATCGTGCCACTGCACTCCAGCCTGGGTGACACAGTGAGACTCTGTCTCAAATAAAAAAAAAAAAAAAGAATAACTGTGGAACGAGCTAGGCATGCACCATCTTGAGGTAAGGGGGAGCTGGCCAGGCCCTGTTCCAGTCCCCGCAAGAATGGGATGTCCTTCAATAGTTGAGCTCAGTGAGTCACATTCTCCACGGTGTAAAACCAGGGCAGATGGCTTTCCTGGGCCCCTCAGTTGTGCTGCAAGTAGGGCACATGCAGATAAGACTCCATCTGCCCTGGCAGCTTACCTGAGCCTTGTGTGGGACCAGCTTCCGATGAATCCTAGACATCTGTTGTCCCTTGCTGCCTATCTGCCAGGAATAAACACTCTTCCTGTAGGTCGTTGTGCAGGGGTGTTCTGTCTCATTGGATGCAAACAAGCTGGTTATCAGTGCTGGGTGACGCTGCTTCACAGCAGGGAGTGTGTTTGGGTACAGTGCTCCAGAGGACAGCCAAATGCACCCTTGTCAGCCCCTCCAGGATTGAGGGGGACATTAGAAGTGTAGTTCCTTGGCAAAGGGAGGCAGATTGAGGGGTACTTAGAGACAAAGAGACATGCCAAGGAACATAAAAAGCAGCATTCAGACAGATGTGGAAGAACTAATCCACTGGGCAGCTGGAGGTCCATTTGTAAGAGTGAACTGGGGCTGACCCAAGAAGCTGTCATTTTCTAACAGGTTCTTGATGGATTTCACTCCAACTTTTTCTTTCTCTCTTTCTCTCTCTCTTTCTCTCTCTCTCTCTTTCTCTCTCTGTCTCCCCCTCTCTCCATCCCTCCCTCCCTCCCTCCCTCTCTTCCTTCCTTCCTTCCTTCCTTCCCTCCTTCCCTTTTCTTCATTTTCTTTCTTTCATTTTTTACAAACAAAATCTCACTCTGTCACCCAGGCTGGAGTGCAGTGGCGTGATCACAGCTTACTGCAGCCTCAAACTCCTGGGCTCAAGGGATTTTCCTGCCTCAGCCTCCTGAGTAGCTGGGACTGCGGGGATGCAATACCACGCTGGGCTAATTTTTAAATTTTTTGTTGAGACAAGGGTCTTGCTATGTTTCTCAGGCTGGTCTCGAACTCCTGGCCTTGAGCAATTCTTCCACCTCGGGTTTCCAAAGTTCTGGGATTATACACATGAGCCACTGTCCCTGGAGGACTTAATTTTTTTAACATTTCGCTTTATTGTTTTGAAAAAAGAAAATGAAGCCTTTTCAGCGGACTTGTGACAAAATCCACATACATGAGTTTCCCAGTGCTGCCCTACACAGCACCACAAACCGGGTGGCTTAAAACAACAGAAACATGATCTTCCACTGATCTGGAGGCTAGAAGTCCGAAACCAAGGTGTTGGAAGGGTCTTTCTCTCTCCAAAGGCCCTTCGGGAGGATCTTTTCTTGGCTCTTCCCCGTTCTGGTGGCCCCTGGCAGCATCACTCTGATCTCTTCCTTCATCTTCCCACTGTGTCTCCTCTGAGTGTGAGTTTGTGTCCAAATTCCCCTCTTCTCTTAAGGACGCCAGTCATATTGGATTAGGGACCACCCTCAGGAAGTCATCATAACTTGGTTACATATGCAAAGACCCTATTTCTGAATAAAGCTGGAGTCACAAGTAGCAGGGGTTAGAACTTCAACGTATCTTTTTGGAGGCTGCAATTCGACCAACTCATAACACCACATAGTACAATTTTAATTTATTTTCTTTCGATGATGTTTTCTAGTGTTATCTAAGTGCTGTATTCAAAATAGCCCAAGAACTTTCTATATACCTTTAAAATATAAATAAAAGTTTTCCTAGCTAGGCCATTGTGTAAAGCCTGTGGGAAAATCCTGTATTGTTCTGACACTGAATGTCTAAGTCATATGGAGCTTTCAAAACAGTAAGGGCAAAATTCCTCCTCGTATTATGACATACATACATTGATGAGAAGAGCTTGTTTTATTAGTATCTAGTAGTGGTTTGTCTAATGATATTACATATGAATTTAATAATATAGTTGCATTATTTTTATATTATCACATATGTACAAGAATGCCGTCTCTTATTTACTTAACAGGGAGAATTTTCTTAATTCTTAATTTGCAAAATGCCCTTTCAAGTCAAACTTGCATTTTCATAAGTCAACGCCTTTCTTTTTATGTTATAAATCTAAAATTCTGCAATTATTTTCATCTTATAATTTTCATTTTTATTATTCTAAAACTTTGTAATTACATTTATCTAACAAGCACAGAAGTAACATATATGCCTGTCTTTAAACTATTATAAATAATTCAACTTTAGTCCTCATCATGGAGAAAATTATATTGTTTAAGAAACAAAAATATAGGCTGAGACAAGAAAATTGATTTCTGTAGGAATGATCCATTTGTAGAAAAATTACTGTTTACTGTGATTTTTACATCATATTGTTAAAATAACATTTATCTGTAATCAAATTGTGAAATGCC